>NC_000004.12:61421381-62671381 GCF_000001405.40 Homo sapiens
AACCAATTAACACAGTTGCTGTGAGGATCAAATGAGATGCATGTGAAAAGCACTAGAAATCTAATAAAGTGTCAACAACAAGAATAATTTCTATCTCTTTGGCACTTTAAAAAGTACTATTTATTGTTATTCCAGTGCCTTATTTATTTGGCCTGCTTATTTTTCTTACATTTTATACAGAGAAATCAGGAAAAATATTTCTAAATGCTTTGATGCCACTTACAAGTAGGAAGAACTTCCTCATGATTTCAACATGATTTAATTTTATGATTAAAATTATTTAATTATTTCTAACTTTATAATTAAAATCACTTAATTTCTATAAATATTGTGATCGGTACCATTAAGTAAAGGTATATTAGGGACTTTAGTAAAGTATTGTAATGACAGATAGTTCTATGGATACAATTGATGCCCATGAGTCAAAACACCTTGATCATGAAGATTTTAGTATTTATTTTCAGGAAAACTATCCACAACATTTGTAAATAAATATGACTTTTCTTCATTCATTATTAATTTATTCCTGCACCGCTTTTTGGTCTAAAAACATCTATTTATCCTTCATCATTCATCTATTCATCTATTCATCCTTGCTAAGGACCCAATTCAATACCACAAGTTGTGTGAACCGTTTTGTAACTTGATTTTTAACTTATATAATATTTATAACTTATATAAAGGATATACTTAAAAAATTGTCCAATCAAAGATGTGCCCCAACAAAGTGAGAGACTGCTTTGCATTTTCGTGTCTTTCTACGTCTGAGTGATCTACAGATTTCAGTGTTTATGTGTTCTGACTGGGGAGTCTTGAGAATTTTTCATTAAAAGTAAAGTTTAAAGCCTCAGAGTTAAAATGGGTGTATAACATTTTCAATGTATCAACTTCAATGTCCCTAGAAAGTTAACCAACTACAATATCTTCCTTAAAACATTCTTAAATATTTGTTTTTTTCTAAGAAGTAAACAGTAGTTTCTTTCATTTCTCATCATGTATTTTCAGCCAAGATTGTGGCAAACATATGCCACTAGCATGCTTGTGAATGTATACTAACATATTCACAAACATGCCATGTTTATGCATACACACAGATATGGAAAAGTAGAAGAGTTATGGAGTACCTTATTTTATACTTGGTTATATTATTTACTAATGTTTCTAAGATTTTTTCTGTAAACGTGATAAAACCAAAATTGGTCCAACATATCTTCCTAAGTAGAATAGACAAATAAGCATTTGAGACTAATGTAGATGTTTCAGTGTACCTAATTCATTGATATTATAAAAGTTAGTAACACCCTGCTTGGGGGAATATCTGTTCTATGAATGAATAGTAATCTGCCCACATAGTTTTCACTTACATAAAATAATTAATTATGTGATTTGATTTTTGTGTGAAGCTTCAAGAATATATATAAATAGATAAAAAATATAAATAATATATATTCTTAGAAATATGTATGATTAAGAATATGTATGTGTACATATAAATGGTGGGTTGCTATCTTGGTTTGGCAAAAAATAAGAATGTTATATAGATGACTGAAAAAGTAACAATTTTGGTAAATCCAAAGAAAGGTGAAAATTCCTCATGATTAATTCTTAGCCTTAGAATTATAAAGAGGTGGAGCTGAGAGACCTAAGTGAGCCTGTAGTATGAGAGTTCTGATATCAATTTGGGGGCACATGGCTAAGACATTAAGAACTAGGTAAAATTTTGAGGTAAAATTATATAGCTTATCTGAGTTAGTTTCTCTCCAAATTTTGCAGTTTTACATATCTGGTTTATGTAGTATTTTTGTACAGCAAGATGAGAAGATTCCAAAGAAAGGGATGTTGAAGTTGAGAGTCGACTACCCAAATGAAACAACCAGAAAACGTTGACCATTTCAGTAGACAAACAGGATGATTAAGATTTGGATACATAGAGAAGGAACAAATAGAAGCAGCCCTTGGAACAGCATGGGCAAACCCAGAGGCCATGCACTTCCATATTTCAGGAAACATTGAATCCAGTGTGGATAGGATTAATAGAAGACAAGATGGGAAAGTGTATAGGAGTTTAACTTCAGAGCTATTGAACATTGTGTTAGATAATCTGGACTTTATGCTACATCAACATGATGTCATCTGAGCCTTGATGAAGGTATAGGGAGAATCCATGAACATAGTTTGATCTGGCAGAGAGCAGTATGGAAGATAAGTAGTGGAAAGGGACTAGGTGGAGGCCAACGGATTAGGGCCAGTAATGCCATTTTAATAGACTGAAATCACAGGGAGTGTAAGAGCTGGGATTAGTAGGAGAGGGTCATGATTGTGAGAGGTTTCAGACTTTTAAAGCCTGCTGAAAGTCCTGGTTGTGTTGTTCTTTATTTAGTTGGAAATGCATTGTTTTGGAATTTAGAACCAGGGCCATGGTTAACCTGAGATAAGAAGAAATGGGTTTAATGTGTGTATATGGTAGCCATAAGCCATGGAAGGAGCACAGAGTAAAAACATTTAAAGGTGAGTTTTTGATGAACACCTCCACTTAAAGAAGTAGAAAATGAAGAGTGAGTGAAGGAGGCCAATAAGGGTGAATGTTAATGAGAAATTTAGAAGGAAACCTACAAAAATAGGACAATGTGACTGTCAGGTTTTAACCTGAGCTGGGGTCCAAAGGGAGTTGATGGACAGGTGGTGGGTAATTGAAAGAACACTCAGGGGGTGAAGGGGCATAGGCAGGTGGGACATGGCTTTATTATACGCTGTCCCTCACAGTGTCAGTGATACATTTATGCACTTCACAGACAACAGTGGCTCAGAGTCAGGTGATGAGCCGACTCATAACATGGTAGCATAACTGTGATTATATAATGCATGGGATTGTGCACCTGCGCTCTAATCCTGCTGCATCATGCTGTAACAGATGTTTACCTTGGCCTACTCTTGACTGCCGCACAGCCATTTTCCTTACACTCCACCCCCTAGGCTGAGGGGGTCCTCTTAGTGGGGAAACTTGCCCACACGGTGGCACCCTGGACCCATAGGCCACAGCAGTAATACAAGAAGCAACAACCTACTACTAATATCCCTGTTACGCTCCCCATGATTATCAGGGCCCAACGTAGGCCAGAGCTCAGGGATGCCCACCATCTCTGTGGGGGGTCATTAGTAAGGCTCTCAACTGCTTCAACCTCCTGTGCCATCTCTTGCAAGGCTGCTATTATGTTTTGTTGATTTTCTGGAATAAATGTACAACATTGTGTCCCTATAAGGGCACAGATGCCACCTTGGGCAGCTTACTATATCTAAGGCCATCCAGTTTTGCAGCACCATCTTTCATCTTTCTGGTTTGATCAACCTCATTGGTTAACAGGAGGAGGGTGACTTGGGTGTAATTCAGGGGCCAAGCTGTGTGCTCTGCAAGGGCTGTAACCTGTGTTTCTACAGTAATGACACCTGCTCCAGGGATGGTCAAAGCTAAGGGGTAGAGCCACCAAGGGGCTTGCAGCACTTGCAAAAAGTGGGAACGTAGCACCTCCCAGTTGTGTGGGCATCTAGGCAATGTGGGAAGCACAGTGGCAGGCACAAAGGCCATCCCCAGGTACAAGGGCCAGTCCAGTTCACTGGTGCATATGGCCATTCCATGTCTCCACAGACCCATAAACTCCCAGGGGGCACAAAGTCCATTGGAGCTTGACGTTGATGAGGCCACCTATTCCACTACACCCTTGGTGTGGTGATATATGTTATATTTGTGCAGGCTATGGTGGGCAAATACCCCATGTTGACACCATCCCATTGTTGCTGTATACATCGTGGTACCTGTGGGGTGGGGGCACTATGTGTTCCCCTGCTAACCAGCCCCATTCATCATAGACATTACAGGTCAGCCAGGGGTTGAGCATGTCATAGGTTTTGCCATGCCCCCTATCCAAAGTTTACCATTTCACATTCCAGGCATCGCCCATGGGACCCCAAGTCTCTAGCCATGTCCAGTTCTCCATAGAAGCTAAGTGTATGTGGCAGGGCAAGCCGTCCATAGCTGCTGCTGGAAGGGTGGTGCAGATCCTACAGTTGGAAAGA
The DNA here is from genome assembly GCF_000001405.40 of Homo sapiens. NCBI lineage: Eukaryota > Metazoa > Chordata > Mammalia > Primates > Hominidae > Homo > Homo sapiens. Next base: position 61,425,453 of record NC_000004.12, read on the forward strand.
TTAGTCACCTCAGCATAGGTGTGGGCCCATTTCACAATGCTTTTGCAGCATGTCAATCTATGGTCGAAACGACAAAGCAGGCACAGGTACTAACAAGGATGAATCATGCCCTTCAGGCAAAATACAGGCTAACCATTCATTTCTGGTAGCTGCCAGTGGCTTCTGCCCAGGGTGGTGCTCCCCATGGTTCCTTTGGGTCCTCTATCTGTGCTAAAGTTACTGGGGAGCTCATATTAGGCCACACAGATGGTACAGATGTCCCACAGAGGAGGGTTCCTTCCCTGGCCATTCCCCTATGAACAGTCATTCACGGAGGCCATATATTAAATACCCAAGGAGTGACATGTAAATCACACAGTAGGCCCTCCCCCCTGGGGCTATGGTAGCCAACCATCTGCAATGGGCCTTCGAGAGTCCATGGCCAAAGCCAGGTTTTTTGTTATCCTGCCTTTAGGTGCATTGAGGCAGGCAACAGCAGATTACCATTCGTCCCCATATCTAGTGAGAGGAGGTCATCCTTGGTGTCTGTATCTGTAACTGAATGGAGGCAGTGGCCCAGTGTAGAAGTGCCCCACTGGGGCTGGGCCACCTTTCTGTGGCTGTTCATTCAAGGTTTGGAGCATCAGGTCCAACCTTGAACTACAGCCCCACAAAGGCAGGAGAATAACATGCAAATGTAATTCATTTTCCATAAGTCTTGCCACATGGCGTGGCTCCAAATGAGTTGGTGACCAACTAGCCAATTCGGTAATTTCCAGGTAGTTAACCACAAGATTGGGCCCTGGTAAACTGCCCATCTATTGGTGCAGATTGCCATAGGTGTCTCCTTCTTGGTGATCACCATCCACACTGCTCTGAGTTCAGCCCACTGACTACTTTGTCCACACCTGATAACAAATCATATGGTGTCAGTACTAGGCTGGACCGCAACAGCAGTCCAGGAAGCAGTCGCACCCTGGCTGGACCCATCCATATGCCATGCCCCATCGGGAATGGGGGGGTGCCCCTCTCCTACAGAGTCAGCAGTACAGTTATGTTTTTCACTTTCACTGACTGGCCTCCATAGCCGTCTATGTATGCAGCCTTGCCTGGAAACTTATCTAGGTTCCCATAGACGAGGCTACACTCTGCACCAGCATTTACCAATGCCAACACTGGGGAGAGTGGATTGCCAGTTCCACATATGGCCTCTGGTCATCTGGTTTCCCCCCAAGCCAGGCACCTTGGCCAGTTCCCTAATCAAACACAAAAGGCTCTTTACCTCCACCCACCTTCAAGTAGTCTTTGAGCTGGAGCATCCTGGTGGAACTGGGTCGAGCAACATCATCCTGCCCCGTCTTGGGCATTTTCTGGAATTGCTGCTCTGGGGACAATTGCCTCCACAAAGTTAACAGCACTTCACTGGGTTGCCTATCAGTTTTATCTCGGTCAACCCCAGCCCAAATCAAGTCAATTCCCATCTGTGTGCAGGTCACCCACTGGGGCGGTTTTTTGTCCCACGAGGTGGCCCCTGTGGAAGGGGTACCTTCCCCTTTTTTATGGCACAAAGTCCCTGGTCCTGCCAATGGCCCTCTGCTTCTCTGAGGGCCACCATGGCAGTAGTCATCTCATGTATGCAGTGCCCCATGTACAGAGTAAGGACAGTGGCCAGAGAGCCGAAAGCACTCAGGGGTGCAGAGCTCAACACAAGTTCCCTCATGTGGGAGGGAAAGCATTCAACATATGGCCCTCAGGTATTTAAATCAAACAAAACTTGCCACATACCCATTTCCTGAATTACCTGCACCAGCTCTGCATATGAATGCCATTTACTCACAGTTTTTGGTATTTCTCTGGCATTGTTCCATACCATTCTATGACAGCCATCAGCCATTCAGTCAGGGTGTGGTCGCCTCGCCCCTGTGTTAACCGCCTGCTCACCTGCAATCGCTGTTGGAGGGATGGGTCATAATGGAGGCCAACTTTTCCATTTCAGAGGCAGAGCAGACAATACCATCAGCTCCCTCATCCAAAAGGCAAAGCATCCAGGTAGATAGGGGTTCCCCCATGCACTGCTGACACTGTTTACCTAATTTATGCAAGTCAGTTGGGGTATAGGCACTGTATGACATGTGCTCCACCACAGTAGGAGGTCCCTGAACCCCCACGCCCTGGGGCCCCAGTGGCTGTTCCTGCTCTATTTTCTGACGGACCACTGGGTGAGCCTGCAGTGGAGGTTCTTCCTCCTTGGTATCAGACCTGGCGGGGGTCTCTGACTGGGATGGCTGGCCCAGGCCCACACTAGTGGCAGGCCCTAATTCTCGTTTCAAGCTGTATGTCCGGATCTCCAGGCGCTCTGCTTGACCCTGGAGGTCCCTTACCTGAGCTGTATCCCTCAGGGACTGAGTGTGCACTTCCTGTAGCACAGTCAAAAACGCCCATCCAACTCTGCCGGCAAAGGCTCGCTCCTTTTCAGTGCTCTGTGCTTCAAAGTGCTTCAGCGCCTTCTCCATGGTCATGGGAGACCCGTCCACCATCACCCGTGTTTTCACCGGGGCCCATCTGAGCAGGAAGGCTGCCACAAGGTAACACAACCCATGCTGAGACCACATAGCTGACCCAGGACCATCAGGGGCTGAGGACTCACTCACCTCGGAATCCTGTTGACTACGCCAATTATCAGGTTCCAACCTGAGCTGGGGTCCAAGGGGAGTGGGTGAATGGATGGCAGGTAGTTGAAACAACACTCGGGGGGCCGTAGGCAGGTGGGACATGGCTTTATTATGCACCACCCCTCACAGTGTCAGTGATACATTTATGCACTTCATAGACAATAGTGGCTCAGAGCCAGGTGGTGAGCCCACTCATAACATGGTTACATAACTGTGGTTATATAATGCAAGGGATTGTGCACCTGTGCTCCAACCCTGCTGTGTCATGCTATGCCAGATGTTTACCTTGGCCTACTCTTGACTGCTGCACAGCCATTTTCCTTACAGCGACAGAAGATAACATTAAAGGGAATGTTAAGGAAAGACCATCAATAGTTTCAAAGGCTACCAAAATTAGATCTGAAAAAATTCTAGTGCCAGAAAATTAGTTTATATTCAAATATTGAGAGACAGTGTATATAACTTACTAGGTAAGAGTAGATTCAGGAGTGTGTTGTCTGTTTCTGCCACTTACCGGCTATGTGATTTGGTAGTTATGTCATGCCTAGCCTCAGTTTTCTCATCTGTAAAATTGGAGTGATAATAGTGGCCACTTCATGAATACATCATGAGTATTAAATGAATTAATATTTGTGAAATGCTTAGCCGGTATCTGTAACATAGACCTATCTAACTGTATCTCTGTAACTATCATATATCTCACATGTTCTGGATATCTAGCTATCATTTATCTATCTATCTATCTATCTATCTATCTATCTATCTATCTATATCATCTATCTATCTATATCATCTATCTATCTATCTATCTATCTATCTATCTATCTATCTATCTATCTGTCATTCCAGATAAATATATGTGTATCTTATATAATTATGGCTTAATGAAAAAAAGCATTTTTCATTGAAATAATCTATTATAAATATAGATATTGGTAGGAAGATGTGGTTACAAACCCAGGTATAATTTTACTCCAAAGCTTGTATTCTGTTCTCCAGGAAAACACTGTCCAATGTTTGCTTACAGTTTTGTTAGCACAGCCAACAATCACAGTATTGTTTGAGAACATAAACCAGCTCAGATTGAGAAATTAGAGACAGTGATAGGATATTGAAGCTTGACAATTGTCAAAAAAGTATTGCTAGTAAATGACAAAGTAAATATTCATATCTGAATCTAAAAGAACACAACCCTTGAGTTGTTTTCATTGCACCATGTTGCCTACCTAGAAAAGAAAGGTGGGTAGAAAGCAAACTTAAAAGTTAAAGGTGAAAGAATCAGTCATACCTTAAGTAAATATTGGAGAGACAAGATGCTTTGGATGATTGTCTTCATCAGTATGTGAATTCATGTATTATGTATCTTTTTATATCCCAAAGAACTACAATGATAATTGTACAGTTGATGTAATTGAATTGGAATTAACCCCCCACTTCTGTAGCTTAGACTTGGAGGAAAATGATTATAGAGTTTTATCAGTTTATTCCTTTTCTCTTTGAATATCAGCAAGCTCTATAAATTTTCATGTACATAATTGTAAAAGGTCAATAAATGATTACATTTTTTGTAGGCATTGTGATTTAAGAAATCCAGATAATAACTTCCCTAAGTATTAGATATTCAGAGACTCTAAAGTTATTATAAATTGCAGTTTAGAAATATGGATGGGAAATAGTCATGTTAATTAGGAAGATACACTTGGAAATGAAGTAATTTTTTAAGGTAATTTCCTTGGTGAGTGCTTTACTGATAGCTTGAATTTATTTACCACACAGATGTCATAATAAAATAGGTATTTATGGGGTAGTTTTTAATTAGAAATAATGGCTTCTAGAGTTAAAGTGATGAATCATTTTATCCATATATTGGCTTAAGTGGCCCTAATGAAAGATGATCCCATCAACAGTTTTGGACTATCCTAACTGAATGCTTTATCTTCTAAAACATAGCAAAATCTGTACTGCATTTCAAACTCTACATCGACAATGAGATACAAAGATAATCAAAATATTAACCTGTGCTTTGGAAACAAACAGGTAATGTTGCCTTTCATCATAACTGAAGCACTTTATAAATTAATAGAAAAATATCCTATATGGCTACATATTTCTAAATGTAAATGGGATTGGAAGAGAATCAACCAACCTTGTCAAATTTATGAGCATGAGTGCAATAGTCTAGCTGATGAGATGGCTTTGCAGGTATGAAGGATATGTCATTCAGAAGGACACATTGATTCAAGTTAGTTCTTTTCTGTTTGTTTGCATTTAATTATGTCCTAAAAGGATTGGTATAGAGAATAAAATATACATGAACTAGCACTTCTGATTTATAAAAGTATATCAATGACATTTCAATTTAAAGTACCACCACTGTACAGAGAGTAAGACACTGTACATGCAACTTGCATTAACAATATTGAATTCAAATGAAAATTTATTTCTATTTTTCATTCTTCTTTTAGCCAATATATTTTATTCCTACTGAAATGTACATTTTAACATCGGTTGTACTTAAAACCCACAATCAATAAAACTGAGAAACAAATATACATAAATAAAACTTGACAAAATATACCTAATTTCTTTCCTTGTTCATCCCTTATTCAGGGAATGGTGTTTCTCATTGCCCCTTATATAATATGGGGTTGAGAAATTAAATTCACCACTAAATGACTATGTAGAATTAAATTTTTTGTGAGTGCAACACATATCTGATATGCTGATATCAGAATATATTCTCCTGCATATTTTGGTATTAAGGATAGTAGAGGTTTAGTGATAACATTATAACCTCAAGTTCAGGAAAGCTTCAAGGTGGTTGTTAAAAGAGTAATGAGTCTTAAATGATAGTTTCATAATCAATGTCTTTGATGTACAAATAGTCATTGATTGTTACTAATATCTCTTTTCCTTCCATAGGTCTTGACCTTTCCCTAAAGTATGAGCCAGAGCTAGAGTAAGATAGATAGTTGCTTCCTTTAATTTTAAATTTCTTATTATAACCATGATCATCATCACTTCTAACCAAAGAAAAAAGGTAGCTTGGGGATGTAATCTCTTTATAGACTCCGTCTTTTTAATGGAAACAATCTATCCTTGTGAGGAATCGGAAATAAATTTCACTGACCACGAAATAGGATCTTTAAGGTGCTTAAACAATCCTTCTATAAAATAGGACCAACCAAGAGGTGTCAGGGCCATCTGGCAGCAGCAGCTGTCCTCCCCATGGCTGTCCTCCTTGGATAGCAGGTGCTTCTTCAAGCCTTTGTCAGGGGAAATGGTTGTCTTTCAGAGGCTGAACGCTCAATAGTCGATGAGCCACTAAGATAGAGGACAACTCTTCTTTTAAAGAGTGATCAGTTCCAGGTGACTAGACCTGTTTATTACCACCTCCAACAAGTTCCCTTGAGATTAAACTGTTCTAAATATTTTTGTTGATAGAATTTAGACAATTTCATATAAAAGTGTTGGGCAGAGAACAAACTAAGTATCAACAAAATGACTGGAATGTAACAAATTTCTGGTTGTGATGACACCATATAAGAAATTATTGGGATAGAAGGAAAGCAAGAACATTTTAAGAGGCGGACTAGTATTAAATCTACCTCAGAAAGGAATGTATTTTAAGTCATAATATGGATGTCAATAATAGTTTATAAAGTTCTTGTCTGCTAAAATCATGTAACACTTCAAAGATTAAACTCTTAAATAACATGTAATAATAGTCATAATACTTCCTCTCTAAGTAACCTTAGATAAGTTAATGAATTTATCTCTGCTTTTCTTTCTTCATAAGTAAAATGGGGACAATGCTAGCTGCTTTCATAGTTTTGTGTTGGTGATTGAGTCAATATATATTGTGTTCAGCAAAGAGTAAGTTGCTACCATTTGTAGTATTTATATTAACAAAATGGACCTACAGAGCTTTTGCAGAATCAGTTGCCTTGCTTGGTATATGTAATCCAATTGATCTTTTCTCCTGAATTAGTGTAAGACCAGTTTCTTGATACTGACTCATTTCAAGATATAATTGAAATTACGCTGCCAGTTTTATGATTCTGTGAATGTCATAAATTTTTGTTGGTAGTAATTATAAAGACAAAAAGCTTGATTCTTTAAAATCAAGTTAGTTATTATGTCATATTAGCCTGGTTATGACTATTCTCCTTTGCCACGTTTCTTTCATACTCATCAATTTTTAGTCCATTCCACATCTACATACTTCTGCCATGCAGTTAGATTACATATAAAGCAGGCTTTTGCTTTTGAAAGACAAGAGAAGCCTGATAAGTAAAAATTACATTGTATTCTCTCCTAATCCTAAATCAGTATTGCAAGTACTTTATTAACCATACTATTTTTCTTACTTATTCTTGGCATAGGTATGAAGTTGCTAATTTCTTAAAGCTCAGGTTTAGTATAAGCTACAAAACCAATAGCCTTTATAGATTTCTTTTCTTTCTCTTCCTTTCTTTCTTTCTTTCTTTCTTTCTTTCTTTCTTTCTTTCTTTCTTTCTTTCTTTCTTTCTTTCTTTCTTTCTTTCTTTCTTTTTTTTTTTTTTTTGAGACAGAATTTCACTCTTGTTGCCCAGGCTGGACTGTAATAGAGCGATCTCGGCGCACCGCAACCTCTGCCTCTTGGGTTCAAGTGATTCCCCTGCCTCAGCCTCCTGAGTAGCTGGGGTTATAGGCATGAGCCACCACGCCTGGCTAATTTTGTATTTTTAGTACAGATGGGGTTTCTCCATGTTGGTCAGGCTGGTCTTGAACTCCTGACCTCAGTTGATCCGCCTGCCTCAACCTCCCAAAGTGCTGGGATTACAGGTGTGAGCCACTGCGCCAGGCCACTTTTATAGATTTCTATTTTAACATTAAAACTGGCAATTCTAGATCAAAGATGCATAGAACAGAGAAATAAAATTATTATTTTTCTGCATTCCAGTGGCCCCTGGGCATCACTATGCATGGCTTATATATGGTATTTTCAGTATTTTATATGTATATTTGTGCTATAATGTTATGGGCTCATTATATATAAAGACTATGTCTATTTTCTTATTTTCGTTTGAATTGTCAGACCATAATAGATTGCTTGTCACTTAGAATGAATTTAGTAATAGTTTGTTAAATTTAATTTGCCAATATGTATGTAGTATGTAAGATGTTTTAATATTGTCTCAGATGATTAAATGTTTACCAAGGAATAGCTTTTGATCTTAGATAATTTGTAGTTTCAGGACTGTGAATAGCTTTTTTTTTAAAAAAAAATCAGGCCACCTCTCTCCCTACTAAAGCTATAATGTCTATGTTGCTAAATCTGATAGACACTTTACAGTCTCACCTTACTTAAATATCAATAGTATTTTAAGCATTTAAGGACTTACTTTTTTCTGAAAACTTTTTTTAATGTGGTGAAACAAATCATATTTCTTGCTCTTCCTTTTCAGTTTTAGGGAATATATTTGCATTTATTCCTTTCCCTGTTCACTAAATGCTAAAGTTCTTCATAGCTTGGCTGTTCGCCCTTTGGATTTCTATTCTAGTTGACTCTTAACATTTCTCTATAAGTACTGAATCTGTGTCACTGACTCCCAAATTTATACGTGTGTTGAGTTTCCTTCTGAGCTCCAGACTCATATAATCAGCTGCCTAATTGACATATCAGTTGGATATCTCATAGACTTCTTAAACTTAACATTTCACAAATATTTTTTTAAAATCTTTTTCTGCCTTTCCAGACTCTTCTATCCACCAGTCTTCCTTATCTCAATAAATAATATTCCCTTCATGTCAAAGACTTTAGAATTATTTTTGATGCCTCTATATTACTTGCTCCAGAGCAAATCCATCCTTAGGTCCTATTAATCGAACCCTTCCAAAATATGTCTTAAATGGATTCAGTTTTGATTATATCTCTGCCATCCAATTAATCCAAGCCACCTGATTTTCTGATTCAGTCTCCTTCACTGGAATGTAAAATTGTTAAGGGTAGCAATTAGTTCTGTTTCGGATCTGGTTATTTTTCAAGTGCTTAGATCAATGTCTGGCTCACATTAGATATTGACAATTATTTGTGGAGTGATGGATTGATGGGGGCTTCCTTAAAGAGTCTCTTCTGTAATCATTGATAAATGATACTATGATAATGAGGTCTGCAATGGTCATGGTGGGAAAAATGCTGGCAAATTCTGTATTAATTGACACAGATATTATTGAGGTAAGTTTAAATGACCCTTTTGATGAACGCTTTCTGGAATTTTGACGCTATGATACATATTGACAGGGTGACTCACACTATGGATATGCATGTATACATATGTTATGTATACATATATCTTTAACTTAAAACATATGGTATTTGACTATGAAATTCAGTGCATTCATGTAGTGCTAAAAATGAAATGATATTTTGATTTTGACCTTTTCTTTCTGTAGTCAGAATAGATAATGGACACACACAGAATGGTTTCTTTCTCCTTTATCAATGCTTGCTTAATGATTACTCCGAATCCTGCTGACTATTTTTAAAATGTTCTCAAATTTCATTTGCAGTAATTTTGAATCAAGCACAGTTCTTTGTACTACTGTATTTTGTGAAATTTTAGCTTTTGATTCATTGAATAATTTCAAAATTAACCAAGTTTCTTCAAATATGCTACTTTTGAGGTTTTGATTAGAGCTGATTTTAAAACATACTCACAGCTTGTTTTAACTGATATAATTTGTAAAAATTAAGATTTGTAAAATTAAAGATGTACATCTCATCTCTCTCATTTTGAAACAAAATGGCTTTGCAAATGTTTTAATTTACATTTTATAAAACAAAACTGATTTGTATGGCAGGATGGCCACTGAGATTTAAAAATATCACTCAAGTTCTATGAGAAGTTTTCAGACATTAAACTGCAGAACATAGAATTCATAATTCCATTTATGGTAGATGATATTGAAGTAAAAGCAAAGTAATCTACATTTTTAAATGCCAGAACAATTTTGGTATGCTGTGTGTTTTGAAAATATTTTGTCAGTAACACATATTGTCATATATAATTATGATATTTTGGTAAATTTTTATGTGATGTGACAATTTAAATTTGATATAGAGCTATTTTATTTTATGCAAGATATGGTCCCTGAAATTAAAAGTGAATAATTGACATTGCCATTCATAAAAATTTTTTGTAATAGAAGTATGTAATTTTTCCAAAGGAGTTCATGATCATTACTATAAATAAATGATAAAATAACAAAACAGCAAATGTAGATAGTAAAAGTAAAGGTCTCTTCCTAATCCTCTGCTTAAATTTGAACTTCCACCAGAAGCGTATGGATTCATCATAAATATGTTAAGTTTTCCACATCAGTACATTTCTTGATGAATGCATGTGGGCCCATTACCGGTGTGAAAATGGAAAGGTTGGTTCAGGTTTCTGTATATAGACTCAGCAGGTCAATTTGTCTGCATTGTATTTTATATATTTTTGTTGAAGTCTAAAATGTGTCTTAAATCTTATTATTTTTCACAAATTCCTAAGTGTATTGTCCAATATGTTACCTTTCACGGGGACAATTGCATTCTCCTCCTCTCCGGTCTTTTGCTTTCTCTCTTGTCCTTCACCTTCCATTCTCCATAAAACAGTCAGTGAAACCATCTCAAAGGGCTAATCTAATCTCATTACTTCTCTGCTTAAAACTTTCCAATTAGACACCATTATTTGGTTATTTGGGGAAGTCCGTAGTAAAGTTATCAATGGGAAGTTAATCTGCATTGTCTCAGTTTCATTTTTAGTTAGTATTTCTACTGAACATTTATTGGTGATCATTTTTGTAGTAGTCACATTTTAAAATTAAAAAAAATTAGATAATAATTTTAAATAGTAGATTATGTCAAATATTTCCAAGTATAATGGGAATTCAAATTAAAAACCTTTTGAATGCAGATTTAATATCCCTATCCATGTTTACAAAACCATTTAAAAACAGTGTTTGCCTATGTAATACAGAGTTCCTTTTGCAGGCTATTTTTGTGAATAAACTATAGTCTTGCAGATGTTTGTTAGCATTACATTTATTGTAAAACATTAAGAGTCTCTTGTTGGGCAAGTTATTTCTAAAGAGGTTATAAAACATTGTTCATATAGAATACAGGAAGTATCTCAACTAGATCCAAAAAAATCAGTGTTAGGCAAATATTAGGAAAAAACTGAAGATTTATTTCACAAGCTTCTTAACTTACATTTTGGACATTCACATTTGCATATGAAAAATATACATTTATGTCAGCTGAAAACATGCATATGGATTTATACCAGCTGGTAATTATTATTCTATTCTCAAGGAGCTCATAGTCTAGTAGGGAAAGGTCATAGTTGTTTTGCGAAGACTGACTTGTAAATAAATTGTTACAGAAATGTGATAGTTCCTTAAGAGATATGTGAACAAGGAGCATTGCTGACATATACGTGAGCAATGAAATCTGCCAAAGTTCATAGAGGAAAGAAGTAAATACCAGGAGACCTAGCACTGGAGGTTGCTCATTTTAGGCAGTGAGAACATGTTCAAAGGCATAGTGGTGTGAAACATCATGGTGGTCCCTAACTTGAAAATACAAAGGTAGAGCAGTCTCCTTGTAAATGTTGAGGCCAATTTCCTGAAAATCATAGTGGTAAGGTTTATAGAGGGGAACATTAACACCTCATGTGAAATACAGGGTGGGATCCACAGTTACTGTTCATATACAGAGAGCATTAGAATAATGCTTTTAAATGTGTGGTACTTGATATCAAAAAAAAGGGAGTCTAAGCTGGAGATAAACATTTGGGATTGATCAGCCCATAGGTAATAGAGAGAAGCAAATTGCCTGAAAATTTCAGGAACTATGAACATAATAGCCCTTACCAACTTTATTTTTATAATGCATAGATATCTAAAGTTCATAAATAATACTGAGTTATATAGTATTGATAGGAACCTAAAAGTAGGAAAACGGAAGAAGAATTTGTCAAAATATTGTTACATTTAAATTTAGAAAAATTATGTTTAAGGTAAAATAGTAGTGACCAGTACGCCATTGATCCAAAACTAAAAATACAGAATGTTCAGATTAAATTTTATTCAACGCTTTGGAAAGTTGATTAAACTCCTATATAAAACATATGCAAGATAATAAATGCTGTTAAAAAAAATTTAGGCTACCTGTTGGAAATTTGAAAACATTCTAAAAATATTCTTTGCATTTTTGTCATTGCAAAGTTTATTCAGTATAACATATTACTGACAGTGAAGGAGACACTTTGCATTATTTCCTTGGCCAGGATAAATTGGGCCCCTCCCATTTTCGTTTCTCTTACCCCACTCATCTCATCATTCACAGTGTCTTGTCTATTTGATCTTTAACAGTTTTATATGTGTGATTTCTTGCTGCCACTGCTATTTGAGTTTACATGAAAGGTTTAACCTTCTAACTGATTTAAATTTTCTCTCATCTGCCACTTTCAAGCTGCGTACTGATCTCAGAGTCTTCTTTATAAAATATCATTTTCATCCTATAATTCTCCTTAGAAATATTGAATTAATTCTATCTACTTGATGTATACAGATCAAAATCCATGGGCAAGATTGTCCTCAAACAAACTCCCCATACAAGCTTCTCCTTCTCTATCAGCTCCACCTCAGACAAGCTTGCTCCATACTTAACTCATGTTGTTTTCCCTGCCTTGGAATTCTGCTCGTCCTCCTCCCTCCCTCCCCTTGCAACACTTACCCACACTTCAGTGTCCAGGTGAAGTCCCACTCTCTTCCACTGGACATTAATGACACTTTTCTCCAAATTCTTATGACACACATTCACATTTGGAACTTGATCCAAAGATAATTGTCAGCATACTTAACAGAATTTTATTATTGATTTCCTCAGGTTTGTGTACCTTGTTTTTCCTGGCTTCCTGGAAAACTCCTCAGGGGCTGGCAACTTATTTTGTTCTTCTTGGAATTTCTGATACTCATCATTGTATTACTCATTTCTGTAAGCAGTTTTTGATGACATGACAGAACAAATGTGTCTTTAATAAGGGGACAAATATGAATATGACATGGGTGAAAGGAGGTAAGAATATTTTAGTACCTCTTTTGGAAAATTGCATGCTAAAATGCATATGAAAATATAAAACTGTATGTACTTGAATCACTCTATCACTTTCACATTAACCTGTTGTATCTCCTTCCTTTTTTTATTTTTATTTTTATTTATTTATTTTTTATTTAATATTATTATACTTTAAATTTTAGGGTACATGTGCACAATGTGCAGGTTAGTTACATATGTATACATGTGCCAGGCTGTGATGAAGGAAGTACTTAGTGATAGTACACTAAGTACTATCAGAAATGAACTTATTTTATTTTTTATTTCTTGCTTTTTTAAAAACAATCTGCTATATATTTAACTCCCATAGAAGAGGCCCCATAGAAGATGTTCCTGTCTTCACTGCTAGGTCCTGGCATTCGTATAGTGCCTGGAAGTTGATAAGTGTTAAATATTAGTTGAATGAATGGATGAATTAAATACGTTTAGCAGAGTCATACTATGCTACGATCTTTCTTTCTTTTTTTTTTTTTTTTAGACGGAGTCTCGCTCTGTCGCCCAGGCTGGAGTGCAGTGGTGCGATCTCGGCTCACTGCAAGCTCCGCCTCCCGGGTTCACACCATTCTCCTGCCTCAGCTTCCCGAGTAGCTGAGACTACAGGCGCCCGCCACCACGCCCGGCTAATTTTTTGTATTTTTAGTAGAGACGGGGTTTCACCATTTTAGCCAGGATGGTCTCGATCGCCTGACCTCATGATCCGCCCACCTCTGCCTCCCAAAGTGCGGTTGTTACGATCTTAAGATGGGACCTAACGATAATATGTTACTTGTACTCACTGGGTGGTAAGTTGAAGGAAACAGAAACCCAGAAAAAAAAGATACTGAGCTAAGTATATAATATTATAGAGCAAAACCAAGGCACTCATGAAAACATCATCATGTTATAGTATTGTGTTAAATTAAAAATTTCTGATATGGGTTGCATCTCATAAAAGAGGCTTCTCTGTACTTATAAAGTACCATCTGTTGTACTGTTCTCTGTGAATCTATCTGAGATTTATTAATTGTGAGGCCACTGTACTTAGAAATTTTTATAAGAGTAAAATGGGGGCTTGAAAGACAATATTTGAGAAGAGCAACTCATTCTCAGCTTATTCTTCCATCAAGATATGGTTTCAAGTAATGTTTGAAAGTGAGTGACCCTTTTATAAATCAGAAGTGACACTTCTCTTGCTAAGAAAACAGATGTAAATGTTGTATTGTCTGATGTTTTTATTATTATACGAAATATAATAATGGGTGCATGTGCAGAACGTGCAGTTTTGTTACATAGGTGTACACTTGCCATGGTGGTTTCTGCACCCATCAACCCGTCACCTATATTAGGTATTTCTCCTAATGTTATCCCTCCCCTAGCCCTCCAACCCCCGACACGCCCCGGTATGTAATGTTCCCCTCCCTATATCCATGTGTTCTCATTGTTCAACTCCCACTTATGAGTGAGAATATGCAGTATTTGGCTTTCTGTTCTTGTGATAGTTTGCTGAGAATGGTGGTTTCCAGCTTCAGCCATGTCCCTTTCCTGTTTATTTTAATAAGATGACCTTGGAAGTATAGATTTTAGAAAGCATTATTTTCTGTCTTCTCCTACACTTGCCCTGTAACTCAATCCTTCTCTTTTTCCATTCCATCCTCTCTTTTATACATGTACACATGGATACACATACATAACATATACATTTAATTTTTATACATAAGTCATATGCAATGAAATTGTTGCAATTTCTGCTATCCCCATCAATGATGCATCTGTGCTATACGTATCTGTGCTATGTATTATTTTTATTTTTATTTTATTTCATTTTATTTTATTTTTTGAGACAGAGTCTTACTCTGTCACTCAGGCTGAAGTACAGTAGTGCAATCTTGGCTCGCTGCAACCTCCACCTCCCAGGTTCAAGCGATTCTCCCATCTCAGCCCCCTGAGTAGCTGGGATCACAGGCATGCGCCACCACACCTGGCTAATTTTTGTATTTTTAGTAGAGCCAGGGTTTCGCCAATGTTGGTCAGGCTAGTCTCAAACTCCTGACCTCATGATCCGCCTGCCTTGGCCTCCCAAAGTGCTGGGATTACAGGCGTGAGCCACTGCACCCGGCCTATATTGCTTTTAATATACAATTTGTGGTTCTTGCGTTTTGACTATTTTTGCTCCATAATTCGTTTTGGAAACTACAACAAAGTTTGGAAGAAGGACTTAGTAATTGGGCAGCTCAAATCATGTAACAGGTGATTCAGAGCCTATTTATAAAGTACCATCTGTTGTCTCAAGAGACTTCTCAGACTTCTCAGCCATGTTAATTGATTCCTTATAGTTTATGAGTGGCTTTTCTTAAGAACATGATTGAGTGTGATTTTTATAAGAGGCTAGAATCTACAGATGGTAGGAGCTGAGTTGCTGTCTGAAAAATGTAAGATCAGAATGCACATGATACATCACAGTGTTGTTGGTCCATGATGTTCTATTCATTTATCCTGTCATGAATTGTATTGTACTATCTTATCCCAATTCTTCTAGTTCTCTTCCTTTTCATTTTTCCTAGTAGTAATGGTGGTAATGATGATAACGACCATGACACCAACAATAATAACAGAATTACAATTAACTGTTTGATATTGGAATATATATGAAGTCATGTACCCTTTGGTTTAAATATGCCATTTGATTTCTAGGACTTAGAGGTTAAATTATTTGCCCAACATTTTGTAACTATGAAGTGGCAGAACCAATAGCTGAATACAGGTCTCTGAGAGATTATAGACTTACTCTCCAAAATTCCTTTTTTCCTGTTATTCCTATTTATCCTTTCTTACTCTTGTCAAACTGACCCATTCTCATGGCATCAATTTTAATCTCCTCTTAGATAATTCCTAAATTATTGGTATTTATTATCTTTTTCTTTCTTCTGATCTCTGATCTGTATCTCCAAAAGCCTGACCAGTTCCTCTGCCTGAAAACACTCTGGGAATATTTCTTTCTACTAATATGTACTTCATATTATTCTTGGTTAATGATATCATTTTCCCCTTAATTATTCAAACTTACAACATACTCTTTGTCACCACCACCTCCTCATTTCATAAAAATAATTATAGAGGCCACCATTTCCATTTGGTATTCACTATCTTTCATAATGGCATGCCAACAGATAGTGGATATATCCAGAAATTGTTCTCACAACTTCAGTCAAGCTAGACACCTGTCCATTTCTCATTAATGTCCTTTCCTTGTTGTAGCTCTCTTTTTTCTTTGTAACCTCCCCCTCTCACTCTTTTTTTTTTTTTTCCTCCAGACGGAGTCTTGCTCTGCTGCCCAGGTTGGAGTGCAGTGGTGCGATCTCAGCTCACTGCAACCTCTGCCTCCTGGGTTCAAGCAATTCTCCTGCCTTAGCCTCCCGAGTAGCTGGGACTACAGGTGCATGCCGCTACGCCTGGCTAATTTTTTTTCTAAACTTGCCTATTAAAATATGTAGATAATTTTAAAGTTCTGACTTCACATGAAGTACTGTCTTTGCTGGAATCAGATTGATTCTGATTTGATTGAATATGCTTTCTTTCTAGTATCACCACTTTTGACTAGATAATATGGTTCGAGATGATGTTCATAATATTCTTTTCAAAGAATTAATATTTTATGCTACCCAGTGAAAATTATGAATAGTAGTTTCAAATAAAGGAATAATTTGAATGGTTTCCTTCATAAAGACTACTCAATGTTTATTTTATTCCTTACAAAGTAGTACTCATCTCAGTATAACATGTAAATTTAATTATTTTGATTTCAAGAAAATGTTTAATGCACCTAGGATGTACAATGTACTGAGTAACTGGAAGTGAGTAAGACCCCCACCCAGTGCTTAGAATGCAAGCTATTCATAAAAAAATCATTTTGATGATAACTGTAATGTTAGTTCAAGTAAAATATTTTGGAAATAGATAGTAGAGTTGGTTATTTTGTATGGAAGAGTTATATCTAAGTTGAACCCTGAGGCATAAATCGGAATATGAGAAATCTGTGACAAGTAAAGGAGATAATGTTAACTTTTGGAGGAATGACTATGGTTTGCTGGAGGAAGGTGAGTGCAGCCAATGTGGCTAGAGAATCAGATACGTAGGAGAAAATGACTAGACGTTAGTTTGAAAATAGGCTGGAATATGTAAAAGGGAGCCATTCGATTATTGCAAGTAAAGAGGTGACAATCATATTGTGACACACTGTAATTGTTAGATTGGGGAGGGTGAAAAGCTGATCAGGGAGATCATTTAGGAACTATTTCTGATCATCTAGAAGAGAAGGTCATGCTTGGACTGGGAGAGGTAATAAGAGGAAGAAGGCAGTTATGAGGAGTAGAAGAAAATAGTACTGTTAAGCAAAATTTAAAGATGACTTAGATGTTTTCCTTGAACATCTGGGTTGGGTGATAGTGCTACCAATTCAGAATAGAAAGCAGGAGGATTTGGGAGAGAGAGCAAGTATAATGAGTTGGTCTTAATGCCTGATAAATACTTAGGGTAATATCTGGGTTATTCAAAGTTAAGATATGATTATGCACCTTAATAATTTATACTTTAAAAACCCCAGTATAACCATATATTTTTTATTATAGTTTTTCCTTTCCAAGCATGGAAGGCTTTTGATGGCCAGAAAGAGAGAGTGAATGTAAAACATTCTGGTTCAAGCCACTGACTGCTGTGGGGAATTTTTCAATTTGAATTAATTTTTGTTCTAAGTTATGTTTAATATAATGTATCTTGGAAACATAAAACAGACTGTATAGTAAACAGAAGTTATAAGACTTAGATACAAAGCCATTTTGTTCTAAATCCAGTGCACTGTTTCTGACCCTTTCTTGCCAAATTCAGTGAGTTTTATATCAATAGAGTCATGTAGCTTTCTCAACTAACGGCCATTTAGTCCTTGTTTTATGCAACATAGTCTGTTTACCAGCAACTGAAGTAATTTTCGAAATCCTATTAGACATACATAGCTATGTTCTTTGCAAATAAATACTCTATTTTAAAAAGTTAAATGAAACTTAAAGGAACTCATGCTCTGAAGAATATTTCAGTGCTGTTTATTTAATCTTAAAATTTAAGTAATTTTTATCTTTTAAAGTCAATTAGAGGCATGTTCTTTTATCATTAACAATGATATTTATTATTACTAATTGACTTTAAAAGTTAAAAAGTAAATAATGAGTAATATCATTGTGTGCTAAGTTATTTATGGTTTTTATCTTATCTAAAAAGAACCCATAAAAATATTCAAATGAAGTTAGCACATAAACAGCTAATATTTAATTCTATTTTTTCTACATTTCTTTAAAATTGATAATGATGTTACTAATTTTGTGTTATGTATACTTCATGTGTTTATGTTTTTTTTATTTCCTTCTGAGGCTGGTGTGGGAGCAGTATACAATCTATAACATTTTGGCTCTCTATACTCATTTTATTCCTCACTGAAAAATCACTCATCAATTGTTCAAGGAAAAAAAGCAGGATGGAGATAAGCCATAACTAATCTCAAATATCAAAATCGTTTCATTGTTAGATGAGAGCAATGGTGGGTAATAGACAAATTCCAATACAAATTATGTGAAATTTATATCAAAAATTTACTAATTCAGTAACACTGGATTTAGGTGGTTTCATTTTCAGTCGGTGTGATTTTAAATACATTGCAAATATATTTGATTTTGATGCCTGAATCAGTGTGTAGTATCAGTGTGTGCCTGAATCAGCGTGAGTGTCATTGAGAAACAATGACAGGAATGTATTTATATTTTGTAATACAGACAAAGGGACTGTCTTTGCTGGAGATAAAAAAGCACTTCTTGTTCCCAATATGCAAATCCATTCTATGCATTAAATATCTTAACATTTAGAGATATAATGCCATTCCATTTATGAAGGCATGTTTGTGTTTTTCTTCACTTGATGTATTTGTTAATATGATTAATTCCTTCTGATAAGCAGTTTTTAGAAAGATTGGAGCTTTGCCTGTGTTCATAGGCTTTTGGTGCAGCTTTCCCAGCCTGGCAATTCTTGAATCCCAAGCCTTGTCTTCTTGCCAAACTTTTGGACTTGCCTGTAGACACACCTACCTGCTTTCTGCCTCCACCAGATTCCATGAGTGACTTTTGTCTTGATATCCCCAGCCAGCCCCTGACTGGAGCTCACCATGTTTTTTTGTTCTTGAACATCTTTCAGAACTAGACCTTGGCCTACCTTCCTTAGAACCTTCTCAAAGCTGACAACTTTTGATGCACCAAAACCACTTTGTGGTCAAGTTATATCCTTTATCATCCACTTAAAAAAAAATTCCCCCTCTTCTCCCATGCTCTGTTATACTTTCACCCTCTCCCATGCATATGTTCCCTGACTCCAGGATTTTTTTTTATTAGGCTGAAATGTTGGTGGAATTACTTATTGTTATGAGGTATTTTGTCATTAAAAAACTCTTTCAGGTTAAATACAAGAATCTCTGCAATCAATTTCACACATTAAGAATGCTTATACTGGCTGGGCACAGTGGCTCATGCCTGTAATCCCAGCACTTTGGGAGGCAGAGGTGGGTGGGTCACTTGAGCTCAAGGGTTCCAGACCAGCCTGGGCAACATGGCGAAACCTTGTCCCTATAAAAAATACAAAAATTACCTAGGTGTAGTGGTGTACGCCTGTAGTCCCAGCTACTCGGAGACTGGGGTGGAAGGATCGCTTGAGCCCAGGAGGTCAAGGATGCAGTGAACAATGATCATGTCACTGCACTCCAGGCTGGGTGAAAGAGTGAGACCCTGTCTAAAAAAGAAAAAAAAATGCTTATACTTCAAATGTGGAGGATAATTTCACTGTTTATTGAATCTCTCCATTATTTCAGATACTCTCTATACATTATCTTATGTAATCTAAGAGAAATCATATGAGATTGGTTTTCTTATCTTCATTTACGAATGATGGCACTGGTACTAGGAGGAGGATGATAGATCCGCAAAGAATTGTGAAGTTAGCAACAGAGCCAGGACTTGATCTCAAGCTTGCCTAATATAAAAGAAACCCACACTCTGCTATATCAACCTGAGGGCTAGCTAAAATAAAAGTCAACTGAACATTCCATTTATGATGTTAGAACTCAGATTATTTCATGGAATTAGACAAAATACATAATTTTTAACAAAAGGAAGTCACAGGAAGGTGTGTTCACTGTTTAACTTGGGTTCTAAAGTGCAAAGAAAAAGATGTAATAGGAGTGTCATAGGCCTTGAGAGAGATAGTGTTGACTTAGAGATAAGTGGGTAATGGCAATGAGGTAATGGAGCAGGTTAGTTAAAGAGGCAGTTGCTATTATAGTAATACCAAAGTGTGGTTGCTGTATTTGTACATAAATCATCGTCTCTCCTTCATTGTAGATCCTTTAGATCTTAATTTCAGCATTACTTTCTCAGAGAGACTTTCATTGAGCTCTCAGTTGAGTCACATTTCTTAGCCTTAAATGCTTTTAAACTACAGTCATGCACCATATATTGACATTTCAGTCAATGAAAGCCCTCATATAAAATTATGATCCCATAAGATTATAATGGAGCTGAAAAAATACTATTGCCTAGTGACATCGTGATGTCATAGCCATTGTGATACCCTAGCACAACCATTAACTTCTCTATGTTTACATGTTTAGATACACAAATACTTAGCAGTGTGCCATAGTTGCCCACAGTATTCAGCACAGTAACATGCTGTACAGGTTTATAGCCTGGGAGCAATAGGCTGTATATAGCATACAGCCTAGATGTTTAGTAGGCCATACCAGGTATGTGGTGTCGGCACAATGACAAAATCATATAATGACATTATTTCTGAGAGTGTATCTTCATCATTAAGCATGACTGTAAATATGAGCTCTGCCCTGGACATATGTGTGTATATATCTCTCACTTGCTCTCCTTCTCCCTCTTTCACTTTCTTTTGTAAGTGGAAAAGCAACTAAATGTGTGTAATTCTAAAGTGTATAGTTAGGAGCAATAATGTATTCTCCCCTTCATTTCCACTTCAGACTTGTCTAATCCACTTCTAGCCTTTTCTATTCTTCTAGCAAATATATTTATTCATGATTTCAGGCAAGTTAATCTGATGAACTAATTTATTCTTATGTGATGGTATTAATGAATTGATGTCTTATTTGAGCAATGTCATATGTTTTAAGAATGTATGGTTCCAAGCTCTTGAGGGAGATACATTTGTAAGAGATGGGGGAAACCCTCCAAATTCTTCACATCATACCTTCTACTACATCTACATAGAGGATGAAATACCAACGATACTAGTTAATGGTCTGTCTGGCGCCATGTTGCCTTGATTGTCCAGGTGCAATTGAATAAATAAAGATAATATGTTGGTTGATCATATCCACATTTGACCTTAGCAGTTTGTAAATGTGGAGCTCTGAGTCCAATTCAGTAGTATGAGGACATAAAATGTGAAAAAGGAGAAGCAGGTGTGCTAGGTATTAATGAATATACAGAAATCAGCATCATTCCTAGTAGGTGTTTAAAAAATGCTTGTTTTTGAACCTGTACCCATTTGTTTTCCCTACTTGCTATAGAAGAGTAATAATTGCATTACAATAAAAGGTAGGTGCCAAATTTCATGTAGTTCTCTGCTTGGGCAGCTTCCTCAGGATCCCTGAGTAGCTGTCTAACCCCCTACTTGTATGCATACCCCTGCTCCAAGTACCAATAAGCTCTATTATTAGGAATCAGCTATAATTTGCTCAGTTAATTTGGATCCTAACTGAATTACTTTCCCAGTTTTCTCACCCCAGTTTATGGATGACTGGATGCTGGATGCCAGCCACCTGCCTGGCCCCATGGTAACTGCCTGTTTTCTAATCTTCTCATAAACACCAGGGGTCTTGGTTTCTTGGCACTGGATCTTTCATTTTAGTGACTCTTGCATTTTTTACATCATTTTTGTTTGTAGTTTGATCTTTTAATATAGACATCCCTTTGTGTTACTGTTTCTCTATTTTCTCACCCTGCACTTTGTATTTTATAATCCAGTATTGATTTTCAATGGATTCAGTGTGGCCTGTATTGCCACTGGTCAAATCATGGTTATAAGATAATCATCAGCCAGGTTTTATGATACTTTCTGTCCCTCAGTAATCTCTGGATTCTTAAAACAAACATTTTGGATTGGATTTCTTGAGTTTGTGATTGATATGATCGAGAGTTGACGAATTATGAAAACATGATACTTATGGGTGGGATTTTCTTTAGTGATTCAGGTTTGGTATATTCAGATTTTTGGATAACAGACTGACAGTTTTATTTGCATAATTATAATCAGCATTGTACATAGAAAGGATACAGCTGCTTTTTGTTAAATCCACACTTTCTAAATGTCAAAAAAGGGAAATGGAGTATAAATCAATTTTTGTATAATCTGTTTGAAACATGAGTTTTATTTGCTTAATATTACAGCTTTGCCCCTTTTCTGTAAGTCTTTTGGGATCCTGTG
Organism: Homo sapiens; assembly: GCF_000001405.40. Classification (NCBI taxonomy): domain Eukaryota; kingdom Metazoa; phylum Chordata; class Mammalia; order Primates; family Hominidae; genus Homo; species Homo sapiens. The sequence continues at coordinate 61,447,767 of NC_000004.12, forward strand.
TAGAAGCTGTTCTCATTGAACACCAAACAGTTTAAGTCCATTCTCTGGTACTAGCTACAAATTCGGTTTCATATTCTACTTAACAATTTAGGTAAACTGAAATATTTCTAGATGGTCTACTTCTGTTCATATAAAAACAAAACTTGATTTCCAAACAACAACAAAAACAACAACAAAATACGGACCTGGGCCTGAACCTAGGTTAATACTGGCAGTGCTGCCTATAGAAAGAGATGTATTCTACATGTCCTGCCTAGAGCAGTTGAGAACATATAGATGAGTATAGTGAAAGTCAGAGGAGATTTATACAAAGGCAAGAACAATCTTGTCTTTGTTAAATCACCAGAATTTAGCTCAGTGGTGTGCACAGAGTAGTAATACATATTGGTTGAGATCACTAATAGCATGCTGATAAAATCTTCCCCTGCTCCCCTTTCAAGTCATACACAGTCAGGTGTGTATTTATTTAACTTCTTTTAGGCTTAGGGTATAACAAAATACACTTGCTAAAAAAAATTTGCTGTTACAAAGCTTAAAAATAACCAGGAAGGAGGAGTGGAGATAGGAACAATAATGAGAGATAAAATACTGCGGGAAATAATTCTAAGCCCAGTGGTTAAGAATGAGTGTGTTTTGGCTTGAATCCTACTGCATTACTTAGAGTCTGGATGACCTTTGGGTTAGTTACTTTACCTATCTGTGCCCTAGTTTTTGTCTTTATTTATGGAATAAGAATAATAAAAATACTTTATAAAGTTATTGTGATGTTTAAATGGCAACATGTATGTAAAGTGCTTGGAACACTACAGCATATTCCTCATTTGATCATTACTCCTTACATTCTGTCGGCTTCAACTATTTAAATGGAAATTTGATTCAAATATATATCATTAGAAGTTTAAGGGGCAAAAATGGCAGTAGAAGGATAGGAACGAAGGAAAGAAAGAAGGAAGGAAGGAGAGAGGGAAGGAAGGAAGGGGGAGAGAGGGAAGGAAGGAAGAGAGGGAAGGAGGGAAGGAGGGAGGGTAGGAGGGAGGAAGGGAGGGAAGGAAGGAAGGAAGAAGGGAGGGAGGGAAGGAAGGGAAGGAAGGGAGGGAAGGAAGGAAGGAAAGGAAGGAAGGAAGAAGGGAGGGAGGGAGGGGAACTAACAGCAAAAGCAAATACAGTTATTAATTAGGAGATTTTTTTGAGAAAACCATGTTTATGTGGAGATATATGTTTCCTCCCTTTTAAATACACTGAAGAAATTGTTAAGAATGATATATTTTATTTAGAGCACTTATAATTTGAAGACATTGGGGGACCTTTAGAGATCTTCTAATTCAAGGACTGTCCTTTTATTTTTTCCTTTTATTTTTTATTTAATTTAATTAATTAATTTATTTTTTGAGACGGAGTCTCACTCTGTCGCCAGGCTGGAGTGGAATGGGGTGATCCTGGCTCACTGCAACCTCTGACTCCCTGGTTCAAGCAATTCTTCTGCCTCAGCCTCCCTTAGTAGCTGGGATTAGAGAAATGCGCCACCACGCCCAGCTAATTTTTGTATTTTTAGGAGAGACGGGGTTTCACCATGTTGTCCAGGATGGTCTCGATTTCCTGACCTCGTAATCTGCCTGCCTCGGCCTCCCAAAGTGCTGGGATTACAGGCATGAGCCACCACGCCCGGCCTATTTTTTCCATTTTTTTTTTAAGTGAAATACTATTTGGATAAAAAAGATAAATGCAAGACTGTACCTAGGCAGGTACAGTTTAAAAGTACTAATTGTGTCTACCTATTTATTCAAAGAATAATTAGACACAGTCAAGTAATATGACTTGTCCTAAATCACACAACTTCCTAGATACCCAGTCTGGACTATTAACAAAGCACTGTTTCATATATAATATTCTCTAACTTGACTTTAGTTACTTAAAGTATTTCCACACAGGAAGCTATTATTTAGATAATAGGAACATCTCATTCTTTAGGTAAAGTTGTTTTGGTTCCCTGTTTTTTAGTTAACCAAGGACTCTAGAAATGACAGGTAACGTGTTCATATTCACCACCTTCACTGGACACACTTAATATTAGTCAATGGCAACCTGAGTTTCTCCACCACCTTTAACAAGCATATTAGAAAATGCAAAGAGCCTTACAAAGAAAATGATATAATGGTGTTTTTCTAGGCATGATGTCTATTGGAAACTATAATGTGATATTCTACTAATTTGAAATAATAATGATTGACTTATTTTGAGTTTTGTTTTACAGTTGATCAGTAACCAATTTATTGAAGCCACGTTAGAATAGTAAGGGCTGAAAACCCAAATGGATTTGTCTGCAGGCTTGCTCAGGGACGGTGTGGTATACAGTCACTCAACCAAAGGTGGCTCTGAAGAGACTACATTTATGATTTTAATAGGCTATAAAGTAATTTTAGAAAATTATTTTTTAACTTCCTTTAATTGTTTAATCAACCTCTACATTAAAGAAAACTGTTAATTTCACTATAGTTTTAAAAATCCCTGAAATTATAAGACCAAAATACCTAGTAGAATATGTACTATTATAAATTGCTAATTGATTATGGTGAAGGTCCTAATAATGCAATGATTTTCTTTTAAATGTTGAATTCTTGGGTCACTTGTCATACATTTACCCATTTGTGATTTAAAATCAAAATCTTACAGCACAATTATAAGTACTGTATAGTTTAGTCTTACATTTTTTCCAGGCCTGCAATCTTTGCCTGTTAAGTGGCATATTGAGTTCTTTTACACTTAATATAAATATTGATATAGTTTGCTTTAAGACTATCAGGTTAGTAATTCATTTTTATTTGTTCTGTCTGCTTTTGTTTCTCTTAGATTATTTTAAATGCAGTTGCTTATTATTGAAATATATGTGTAATAACATGGATTAATGAAAAACACAGATCCCAAAAATCATAGCTTTCTTGTATACCGGCAAAAGCAGCTTGAAATTTTGTTGTTAGAATTTCCATGTACAATAGCCTTAAACATTTCGAACATCTATGAACAGCCATAATAAGATATATTTGAGAACCACGTGAAAAATATTCTAAAAATTTGAAAAAATATTGAAGACGAGGCTTTATCAAATGAAGAGTCATAACTGCTTCCCAGAGAAGAGTGAATATAAAAAAGATTTTGATTATTAACTAATATATAAATTCTTATGAGTTACACAATTACAATAGTATTAGATTATTCTAAATTTAATCTGAAAGTGTAACCAGATGAAAAAAAGTTAGTAACCATTTTGTGAGCACTTACTGTTTGCTGATCATTGCGTTCGTTATCTAATTGTATTTTTAAAATAGAAAGCTTGGTACAAGAATAGTTAGAGCATTAAAATAAATAGATAACAAAGAAATTGACCCTATTTTTTTAATCCCTGATTATATGATAAAATAGATGACTCAAATATACAGACAAGAGTTTGGACTATGTAAGAATTGTTACTGTGATAATTTGTCAGACATTCCTATAAAAATCCATTAACCCTCATTTATACCACATAACTGATAAATTGCAGATGGTTTAGAGACCTAAGTGTAACATATATAACATTTTAATGAAAAAAGGGCAAAATATGAGTTAGCTCTGAATGAGGAAGGATTTATAAGCTTATGGGTAATAAAAAACTCACCAAGGCTGTACAACCAACCACTGTGTTGAATGCTAATAGATTGAACAATGTTCAGATTGATAAGTATGCTACCTCAGATATCACCAAGATAAATAGTTTACTTATTAATACATTACACAAAACTTCGGAGCAGTCAACATACAAGGCAAAGAGATGAGCAGTATTTTCTAGTATAAATGGAGGTTTATTCTTTGAGTTAAAGTTCCTCACCAAAAGATACAGAGCTGCAGAAAATGACACCTGACTAAGTGATGATTACATTATTCATTCTAGAAGCCCAACTGTAATCCTCCAGACCTGCCTCTGTGTATGCATACATATGTTTATACAACTGGGGTACTTCATTTCATAACCTAGTTTTGATATATTCTGGTTACTGCTTCAGCGGTATGGCAGTCCTCCTTAATCATTTTTTATTTTAGTGGAATAAGAATAGAGGTCAGTTTCCCAGAAGTAATAGGAAGATATGATAACAGAGAGACCAGATAAAGGGCTTTTGCTACAATTGACTACATTTGTTATGTATTGAACTTTGATTTTGCATCACTTTATTTTCAAAGCCATTGCCATCTACCTACATAAATCAAATAACTGGTTGTGATAGATGTTGTATTCATTGTTCAGATTACCCTTTTTCAGAGTAATTCCCCAGTTGCATGGAGTGTGGCTGCTTGGGCTCACAGCTGAATAACTCTGCATGAATGTCCCTCAATCAAGGATGTGATATGCTCCAGGTTATGCTTCTGCCCTGGAGGCCTTCCTCCAATGAGTAGTCGATAATAGGGTCCCAAGACACTCTCCATTACCTCATTCCGGGACTGCTCTGGAAGGTCATCTTGCAGCCTCCTGGGGGAACAGGCTGAGGCCTCTGTTATACTCGTAACAGTTCATCCTTGCCTTCTGCCCAGTTCTGCTTCCCTTCTGCCCAGTTCTGCTTCCCTTTCTTCTTGGGTGTAACCCTCCTGCAGTAACCTGGCTGCAAAAAACATCTCCAACTCAGAATCAGGGAATCTGACCTACAATGGTAGCCACATTCATGATGACATTCCAAATCTTGCAGATATTGTCTCAGTTTCTGTTGATTTCTGAAACAGGAAGGCAAACTGTTGTTCTTTGTTGAAATTTTGGTGGTAATGTGTGAGAAACTTTTAGAGATTCCTTGCTTAGTGTTTGAAATCATTCTCAGCTCTTGTCAAGCATTAATAGAGTTTTGAGGCATAAAATATATAAGTCGAATCCTCTATTTTTCTCATTTTCACTAACATTGTTGGCATGGCTATAGTGAATATAATATGTCTGCAATCTGGTATGAAATTTGGAGCATTTGTGATATATAAATTCTCATGATTTACTTTCTTTAGATAACAGAATAGCCAAGTGAGATGAGCCTTAATTTACAGAATGCCTGAAACAAAAATGTCAACATGTAAAATGGCTTGGTAATTCATGAATGATTTATTATTACTTTTCTGAGTTTTAAAAAAAATATTGTATAGACTAGTTAGGAAATACTCATATTAGGTTTCATGTTAATTTTCCAGTGGCACAGAGATCCATGCATAGATAATATTATTAGAAATCATATACTAAGTTATAATTAAGTGATAAAACCATAGGTGGCCCAGTAGTTCAGAAGTATAATAGAGTAATTGTAAAGGATTCAGTGAAAGAGCAGGGACTAGCTCTTTCCTGAAGGTTGAATGTGAAACATTTTGATTCCTGAAGGTTGATTGTGAAACATTTTGAATGTCTGAAGGACACTGAACTTTATTTTTTAGGCATTATGTAGTTTTAAAGGATTTAAGAATTGGTAACATGTGAGAAATATATAACAGATATAACAGTAATGTGTAAGTGATCTGGGAGAGGAAGACAGTGGTGGAAAGACTCCATTAAGAAGCAATCTTAATAATGTTGCAAAGAGCCTTGATAATTACATTCTCAATTCTTTTCAAAATGTTCACAAATATGTTTATATTTATCATCTTTTGGATTGATTCCTAGGGGTAACGATTGACATGCATTATCTCAGAGCATTGTGTTCCGGGCACACCTCCTGTAGATAGCTGGGAATTGGCTTGTTTAGTCTCAAAATTTTTATTTATTTATTTTTTTAATAGGCGCTGTATGGGTTAAAATCAAAACAATCACTGTAGTCCACAGATTAAATATATTGCTTTCCCCTTATCTACATTGCCTCTAAGTTTATCACAGGAGCAAATTAAATTGGTTTGGAAGTATTTATACTTTATAAATCCATGTTCGTTCCTACCTAGTACCTCAAGCTTGTGCAGATAACTGAAAATTGATTTGAATTCACAACTATCCATCAATCTGTAATTATAATTGTCCATTTCTTACATAAAAGACAAAGTTTAACCTCTACTGTGACTGAGAGACTTGCTAGTTTCTTCTAGCTTCTTTAATTAATTTTAGAAACATTATAATAAGTAGTGGCACTAGGAACAATATTATCTGAGAGTTGCCTAAGTACCTGTCCACAACACAAATTTTAATATTATATATATAAATTGATATATACTCTTACCTTAAATTACTTTCAAATTGCTGTCATTGTTCAGTTGTTCATTGTAATTGAATTAGTTTGGGTAATCCATTTAGCCAGTATTTCAAAATCGATTTGATTAGTATCTGCATTCATATTTCTGTTGTTTTAGATTCCATATAAAGGGCTCAGCACAGTGCGTGGCACAAAGGAGAACTTCAGCTCTCATGGTTGCCTACCCAGGAAGTAGTTTTCCTGCAACACTAACATAAGGTTTTAATTAAACAACTCCTGTGACTAGGGTTTAGCTAAATTTTGTGGTCTTGGAGAAGAGGTTAAAAACAATCTGTGCTACCTGAAAAAAAAAGATTAAGAAATATAGGTGCATTTTGATTATTGACTTTTTTGTTTGGCTTGTTTTTTATTCCTACCTTTCATTTAGAATAATATTCAGATATCTTATAACACAACTGTTTTGCATTTTAAATTTACTTCAAAGTAAAGATTTATTTTTAAAACAAAACAATGTGAATGTATGCAAATAAGACTTTTTTGGTGAGAAGTATGATGTATTATTACAGTGTACTGAAGTGTGAAGAGCTTGATTTATAACCTTGGATAGTTAACATGAATAAATCATAAATTATTGAGCTTCTTCTGAGTTTTAGAATACCTTATTTTGCATATAGTCTGTATGAATTTGGCTAAACAAGTGGTAAGCTTGTTGTTTCTATGTGGATATGTACATAAATATTACATGATATATATATATAAGCATACATACATAGTGTTTTATATATTAACTTTTGTCTATGCAAGACTCATATAAGAATACTGTTTTATCACAAAAAGTAGACACTCATACAAATATGTGGTTGAATAGAATGGAAGATAGATTTTTTTTCCTTAATTTACAAATGAGAGTAGTGTATGTCTTTGGAATTGACTTTGTTCAGAGCCCGCTTTACTGGGAAGGCATGAATGCTAAATCCAACTTTCATATTGGAAATTCTTCCTCAGTGACAATGGTGTTAACAGATTAAAGATGAGAAATTTCATTATGTGGCCAGTAGTACATTTTTCTTGTAAGTTAGAGCAAAGCAAAAAAACAAAAAAACAACCCAAATGATTTTATACTCGAACTAAGTTCTTAGTTGGCTTTCCCTTTTTTGGACCTAAATCTAATCAGTCAAAAATAGTAATGGTGGGTTGGAGTAGGAAAAGATATTTTCTGGATTTGGAACACTTCAAAGAGTTTAGTTATTTCTCAACTGAGCATGACTCTTGAAGCTGAGAGAAGATCATATGAAGGTTGAGGGAGTGGACAAATCAGTGGGAATAGCATCGAAGCAGTATGACTAAAAATGAACAAGGAGAATTAATGATAACTTTGGAATATTTTCAAAGTTGAAAGTGTTTTTTCTGTGACAAAGGTTATAGTTGAGGACACTTGCAACAAGAAAAAGTAAATATATGATGAGCACTTAGCCATGTCTGAGACTGGATGCTGAGACCACAAGTTTTTAAATAATTCATTTATTCAAGAAGTTTCCTCAGAATTAGCCATCTAGGCCCTGAGATTGTAGGGGAGAACAAAACAGACAGCACTGACTTGTGGAATTTGTATTCTGCTGGGAAGAAGTAGGCAATTAAATATTCATGAGTATAATATGTAGTATTATTATATTTATAGTCTGCAACTACTGAACTCTGCTATTCTATTTCATTGTATATTCTGATAGTGGGAAGTAGATAATTAAATAAATATTTATAGATGTAATAAATAGTATTATTATATTAATAATCTGCAACTTCTCAGCTATTGTATTCTATTCCTTACCTGATTCTAAAGTAAGAATAAATGTTCTCAGAGAATAATCCTACATTATTTTATTTATTTATTTATTTGGAAACAGAGTCTCACTCTATCTCCCAGGTTGGCATGTAGTAGTTTGATCTCGGCTCGCTACAGCCTCCACCTCCTGGGTTCAAGTGATTCTCCCACCTCAGCCTCCCAAGTAGCTGGGATTACAGGCACCTGCCACTATGCCCGGCTAATTTTTGTATTTTTAGTTGAAAGGGGGTTTCTCCACGTTGGCCAGGCTGGTCTCGAACTCCTAGCATCAGGTTATCCACCCGCCTTGATCTCCCAAAGTGGCATGAGCCAATATGCCCGGCCGACCCTACATTATTTTAAGAAATACATTCTTTTTACACTATTGAGCTGTGTGAAATTATGAAGCCTATTACTTTAAAATGAGATGTAAAGCATCTTTGATCAATAAAAAAGAGGATATATATGCTTGGCTATTCATAAAATAATTTTCATAAGTAATAGTGAACATATCTGTTTCATTCTCTTGACCTCTCCCAAATTGTCCACTAGTTTCACATATATTTAATAATAAACCAGATATTTGAAGGAGATATATATAGAGATATAGATATATCTATATATATATATAGATATATCTATATCTATATATATATAGATATATCTATATCTATATATATAGATATATCTATATCTATATATATAGATATATCTATATCTATATATATAGATATATCTATATCTATATATATATAACTATATATACGTCACACTAAAGGTGCTCAGTGACTTACTTATTTAACCAGGCTTTATCCCATACTTATTGTCTGTTTTTCCTGTGTAGCAGAGGCAGATAAAAAGTTTGGAGAAGAAGTAAGTACAAAATGATATGTGGCTCGGATAAAACCATGGGCGACCATTTTTTATTCTAGAACAGGAAACTGAGAGTTTTTAAATGCTGTGTTTTGAGGTGGGTCTTGAAATATGCGTAAGAAGTCATAATGAGAAAATGGAAAACACTTCATTTGTCAGTTAAAATTCAGTCATAAATGTATTATGATATGGTGAAAATTAGAGAATTGTATACATCAATTTTTATTCTAAATTTCTTTTTGAGGTTTGATACTGGTACTGCCTCACTTTTGTAGGAGTAGGCTGTTTTTCTACCAATAAATATCTTTTTATACATGTTTTCATGTAATTCTTTTTAGTCTTTTAAAAAATGTATACTTATGATAGTTTTTCTAAGGTATGGACAATAATACATGTTCAGTTTGTGTGTTCTTTCTAAATTAATTTATCATGAAGTACTATTCTTGCCTTTAAATTTTTTTCAAAATGGGATTCAGTGACTATTTCCATTATGTTTTTTAAAAAATCAATCTCCGTTTATTAAAACATGATTTGAAAATTTATAATGCCCCAATTTAATACTTTTTTAACATGTAAAATAGAGTTATTTAGTAGTTTAAAAACTTATTTCACATAGTCGTATTGTAGTCATTCTCAAATATTTAGGGGCTGGCATCTGGTAGTCATAATGCTTAACTTACAAGATTATAAATAATTGATTATTAAACAAAAGTTAATGCAATGTTATTTTAATTAAATCACTTACCTTTTCATACATTAAGAAAAAATGGAGAGAAATTTAAAATTAAGATATTATTAGCTTATTCTTTCCTGTGAATGCAATTTTATTACCAGAACTCTCAGCTTAAATCATGTAACAGTTATGTTCTGCAGCAGCTTGGTTTGAAATCCTCTGTTAAAATGCAAATTACATATTGTTAAATAATGAAAATTTAATCAAATTAATTGGCCTTTAATTTACATTTTTAATCCCTCCTGACTTGTTTCTTGTTCTTTCTGTCTGATCAAATTCAGTATATTATTCTACAATGAGACCTGAACCAGCAGTTAGGATTCATGCCTTCTGTCTTAAAGTTTGCTACTATGTGCTTGAGCTTTAGGAAAATTATTTAACAACTCTTATTTTACTGACATGTAAAATGATTGGATTGGGTACAATTGAATTTTTTTGATCAGTTATTCCCGAAGGCCTTGTGTTTTTGTATAAAATCACAGATGACAGATAGATAGATAGATAGATAGATAGATAGATAGATAGATAGATAGATAGATGCAGCCGTTTGGCCTGGTGTTCCTAATCTTGAAAAGTGAAGAAACAACCATTGATTTTTAAAGTTTCTTCGAAATCTATAATTCAGTCTTATTGGAGATATTTAGATATTGTGAAATGCCTTTTTGCTTCAAAGATACCAGGACACTTTTTGGAGTTAGTATGTTTGCAGATAGCAACTACCTAAAAATAGATTGTATATAAAAGTGTTCTTTCCTTGTTTTAATATGTAAGGTATTTTGCCTTATGATTTTATTCCACTGTTATTTAATTTGTACTTATTTCTTAGGAAGTAGGAATAAATCATTTTATATGTCCATAAATATAAATATTATTATTTAACTTTGTTATAATATGAAAAATGAAAAACTTATTTATTTCACCTATAATTTATGTTTTTAATATTTTTAAATGTCAGCTAAATGGGTTATTACTTTGATGCTTGTTTTTTAGAGAGATTTATAAAAAACAATAATTTTTATTAATAATTATTTGATGAGAAGGATTAATATATTATTAATTTTAGGACCAGAAGTAACATCTCTAGTGTTGTACTAAAAATATACTAATTATATATATGGTTTAGAAATTTACTGTTAGATAGGTCAATAATATTCTTGGTTCCCATGATTTGTCATAGAAGCAACAATTTCAGAAAATAATAGCAACAGAAATAGGCAAATTTCTGAAATTTGACTCCCAGATATCAACTTATTGTAACTCTTAAATAACAAAAATATAATGCTTTCTTGCCAAGAAACTAAATTTACCTTATCAAATTAATCAACACAAATTGTTTAGGTAGCTAATATTTGTGAATAAAATTAATTTAAAATTATATAGGAAATACATTTTAGGTTATTAGATATTTATTTATTTTTGGAACCCTGTTTTTCTAGATGTTCTCTAGATAATTTATTTTAAAATATTAAAATTTTGATGTAGTCTGCATGATACTAGGATCTCAAATTTTCAGTTCCATATATTTTTCTAACTATTTACCACATTTTTCTATAAAGCATTTAACACATTTAAAATATAATCAATGAATGCTTATTCAAAAATATGTTAATGTTTTGTGACAAATGGAGAGTAATTATTTTCTGAAGAGTTATGTTGAATATTAAACAGAACCCCAACATTTAAGGAAAAGATTATTTTCTTCACATTCTATTAAATAATATAGAGAGAATTTTTTTAAATGTGTACTTAAGTTTTCAAAATATATGGTCAAAAAAATTGTACAGAAGTTGTGTTGTAAACTATTCTTGTATTCCATTCATTTGCTATTTAATTGACAAATATTTCATGATATTCGATTCATTTTTGGTGTTTGGTTTATAAATATTAGTAAAAAACAAATAAAGTCTTTGTCCTCCTGGAATGTGTATATTCTGGCTATAGGGACAAACAATAAACAAATAGATTAGAAATAAAATAATAGGACATTTAATGAAAAATGCTATGGAGGAAAATAAGATACAGAATCTTCTATGTAAGATATTAATAAATGTGCATTTACTATATCTACCACATTTTCTTTAGTCATTCATCCAGTAATGGACTCTAAGGTTGATTTCATATCTTGAGTATTAATAGTGCTGCAGTAAACATTGGTAAAGAGGTATCTTCGATATATTATTAATTTCCTTTCCTGTGAATAAATCCTCAGCAGTTGGATTGCTAGATCATATGGTGATTCTATTTTTAGTATTTTGAGAAACCTCCATACTGTTTTCTATAATGACTGTAATAATTTACATTTCCACTAACAGTGTATGAGTTTCCTTTCCTCCACTTCCTTGCCAGAATTTTTTTTGTCTTTTTGATAAAGTCATGGTAATTGGAATGAGATGCTATCTCACTGTGGTTTTGTTTTGCATTTCTCTAAATATTAGTGATATTGAGCATTTTTTTCTTCTTGTAGTGCAACTGTGCAAAACTTCTGGATCATTTTTGTAATGTATCTGTTGGTCATTTGTATGCTGTCTTTGCCTATTCAGATCTGTTGCCCATGTTTTAAATGGATTATTTGGGTTTTTTGCTGTCAAGTTCCTTGTATATTTGGATATTAGTTCCTTGTTGGATGAGTAATTTGCAAATATTTTCTCCCATTCTGCAGGTTATCTCTTCATTTTGTTGATTGCTTCCTTTGCTGTACAGAAGCTTTTTAGTTTAATGCGATCTCTTTTGTCTGTTTTTGTTTTTGTTGCCTGTATTTTTGAAGTCTTAGCCATAAAATCTTTGCCTAGACCAATGTCCTGAAGCATTTCCCCTATGTTTTCATCTAGTAATTTTATAGTTTTGGATCTTACATTTAAGTCTTTAGAGTTGATTTTTGTATATGGTGAGAGATAGGAGTCTCATTTCATTATTCTGCATAAGGATATCCAGTTTTCCCAGAACCACTTATTGAAGAGGGTGTCCTTTCCCCAACGTATATACAGTGGAATACTATTCAGCCATAAAAGGGAATGAAATTCTGTCATTTGCAGCAACATAGATGGAACTGGAGTTTATTATATTAAGTGAAATAAGCCAAGCACACCAAGACAAATATCACATTTTCACTGACATGTGGAAAGGTTGATTTCATGGAGGTAGAGAGTAGAATGATAATTAACAGAGACAGGGAAGGGTGGGAGGGGGATGAAGAGAGGTTGATTAATGAGTGTATTAGTCAGTTCCCATGCTGCTAATAAAGACATACCCGAGACTGGGTAATATATAAAGAAAAAGGGGTTTAGTATACTCACAGTTCCACATGGCTGGGGAGGCCTCACAATCATGGTGGAAGGCAAAGGAGGAGAAAGGCATATCTTTCATGGCAGCAGGCAAGAGAGAAGCCAAGCAAAAGGGGAAACCCTTTATAAAACCATCAGATCGGCCAGGCGCAGTGGCTCATGCCTGTAATCCCAGCACTTTGGGAGGCCGAGGTGGGCAGATCACCTGAGATCAGAAGTTCAAGACCAGCCTGGCCAACAATGGTGAAACCCTGTCTCTACTAAAAATACAAAAATTAGCCAGGCGCGGTGGCAGGCACCTGTAATCCCAGCTACTCGGGAGGCTGAGGCAGGAGAATTGCTTGAGCCTGGGAGGCAGAGGTTTCAGTGAGTGGAGATTGCACCAGTGCACTCCAGCCTGGGTGACAGAGTGAGACTACATCAAAAAAACAAAACAAAACAAAACAAAGCCATCACATCTCGTGAGACTTATTCATTACCACGAGAACAGTATTGGAAACTGCCTACATGATTGAATTATCTCCCACTGGGTCCCTCCCACAATACGTGGGAATTATGGGAGCTACAATTCAATATGAGATTTCGGTGGGGACACAGCAAACCATACCAGTTAGTACCAACAAACAGTTAGATAGAAGTAATAAATTCTAGTGTTTGACAACACAGTGAGGTGACTTTAATCAGCTTTATAGTATATTGTATATATCAATATAGCTAAAAGACAAGATTTGAAATGTTCTCAATACAAAGAAATAATAAGTGTTTGAGGTGATGGATGTCCTAAATACTCTGATTTGATTATTACACATTGTATGCATATAGCAAAATAACATATATACTCTCTAAATATGTACAATTATTTTGTATCAATAAATAAATATAGAAATATTCATATAAACAAATATTCTTATACGCCAAAAATATATCTTAAAGAAAAATGGTTATTTCTCAAAAACAATGTGTATTTACTAACAAAATGTATAAATTTTATGTCACAGAAAAAAGTGAATTTTAGTTTATCAGCTCATGTTCTATTGTGTATGAATTATATTTATAAACTCATCACATGAAATATTAGGGACACAAAAGCAACCTCATTAGCCACCATATTGAAAGGATCTATAGAAACACTGTTGTGTAACAAATAAGACCCAGGCTGGATCAATGACTTACTCCAAGATTACAGCCAGTTTCAGTCCCATGCCTCTTAGCTGGAATGTGTCAGCTCAGAAATGCATTCTTATTTTTTTTAATTAATCTACCCAGAAAGACTGCCTTTTCCTAATTACTTAAAATAGTTAATTACAAAATTCAAACAAAAGCACTGAAACATCTTAAGCACTTTTTATTAACTGTACAAGAGGTAAAATAAAAATGTAATATTTATACATGTAATTAAATAGCATCTTGTTATAAAATTTAAACCTGACCTTTCATTTTAATAGCCCTTTTGCAAACCTGGTAATCTCCACTGAATGCATAAATGGAGACAAGAAGAAACAATAACCCCAGTGTTTCCTATTTGGGCTGAATTTAGAATTAGAGTAAGTTACAGCCTATGTATTGAGATTTCAGGGGAGCCAGAAAGCTTCTGGATCCACTAATCTCTTACTTTGCTCTTGCATGAAATCTACATTAAGATCAAATCTTGTCTTTTATTAAAATACATATGCTCTTGGGAAAGATAACAACTCGAGTCACAGCAGAACTTTAGGTGAGGGGGCTTTTCTCATTACTTTCTTATTCTGGCAGGTAAGAAGTCAGAGTTTGAGGAAAAGGGGCTTGTAAAGGAGAAGGAAAATATTAGATTGGAGACAATAGCTCCAGAATAGGAGAGACTGGGTGGTGATCTTCTGGATATGTTGGGCTTGGTTTCATCTTGTTCACATGAGTCAGCAGAAAAATATGTACTAAAACATAATAAACTAAAGATATGATGACTTGATCGTGCTACTTTCCCTTAATAAATTATCTAAGTGTCAGTTAACAGAGGTCGTAATAGAGCTGAGTATTTTAGGCAAATAAAAAAACTACAGAAAGAGAAGACTTATGAAAAGTTATATTGATAGTTTTACTTTAAACTTGGCCAAGTATATTGGGCAATCAGCCTAGCCAGGCATTACGGTGTTACTCAGGATAAGCAGCTATTGTTCCATGTGTGTAATGGATATACA
Source organism: Homo sapiens (assembly GCF_000001405.40). Classification (NCBI taxonomy): domain Eukaryota; kingdom Metazoa; phylum Chordata; class Mammalia; order Primates; family Hominidae; genus Homo; species Homo sapiens. The sequence continues at coordinate 61,462,820 of NC_000004.12, forward strand.
GTACCTGATTCTTGGCAAAAGGAAGAGAACCAAAGCTAAATAGCCCAATCCCTGCATCAAAGAGATTAAGGATTAGTCATGTTTGGGCCTAGTCAGAACTGTTTCAACAGCCCAGTGCTCAGATGTTTGCTTTTTTCCACCTCCAAGGTCTCTGCTAGAAAAATAAAAGACCAGTTACAGATCTAACAGTCTTCTAAAGGTGAAATAGGTTAAAAGTAAAGTGAATATAGAAAATAACAAAAGGATCAGATGTGGCTCCTCTTAATTTTCCTAGTTTCTAGATATGGTTAAAGGGGAGGAGCAAGGGGTGTGTGTAATGACCTGCAATAGTCAGACATAGTTATACTAAAATGCATTTGTTGTTCATCTGAAGTTCAAATTTCACGGAATAGCCTTCTATATTCGTCTGTTCTCACATAGGTATAAAAAACTACCTGAGACTGGGTAATTTAGGGAGAAAAGGAGTTTAGTTGACTCACAGTTCCACAGGCTGTACAGGAAGCATGGCTAGCAGGTCTCAGGAAACTTAACAATCATGGCAGAAGGCGAAGGGGAAGCAAGCACATCTTCACATGGCAAAGCAGCAGAGACAAAGTGAAGGGAGAAGTGCTGCAGACTTTTAACAACCAGATCTCTTGAAAACTCACTCACTATCATGAGAAGAGCAAGGGGGAAATCTGCCCCATGATCCAGTCACCTACCATCAGTCCCTCCCCCAACACTGAGAATTACAACTGGACATGAGATTTGGGTGGGGACATAGAGCCAAACCATATCACCTTAGTTTTTTCTTTTTTACATGCTAAATGTGGCAATCCTACTTTAAGGGCACAACACTCTAAAATTTTATCAGTGATACATTGAAAAGAAAAAATACAGGAAGATAATAAATATGGTACTTTACCTTGAAAAATACCTGAAGTTTGCTGTGGAAGTGGGTGTCAGCTTGTGAGTTATTATGAGGACGGGGTGGGTATGAGGGTTATCTGAAATTAAACAAAAGTTGTAACACCAGATGTGGATGGTCATGGATCACAACATACACAGTGAATGGAAGTAGCTGGTACATACTTGAAGGTGTGTTTGTGCATTTTGTGTATTTTTCTGCAACTTGGTTCAGTAGGGTTCAGATTTCTTTGAACACTTACTGCAGGGCTCAACAGACATTCCCCAAAGGGCCAGAGAATATCTCTATTACAACTACGCACATCTACTTAACACATGAAAGCAGCCAAAGGCAATTAATAAAAAATGGTTTGGTTGTCTTCCAATAAAACTTTATTTACAAAAACAGGCCACCTACCAGGTTTGCATAGTTTGTAGATCCATGACTTAGTGCTTCTTGCCTATAAAAGCTCACATAGCAAATGGAAAAGTAGCGTTATCCTCATATAATTCCCTAACACATCAGTTGCTTTGGAACAAATTTACATTTTCAAAACAAGTGTTGTAGCAGAACTGACTATAGTTTTTAAAAGTTTGGCATGTTAGAATAAAGGGGTATATAGGCATATGGCAAAAGGGTGAAACTCAAGAGTCATTAATGTCTGTCTTAAGAATGTAAATGTGCAGAGTTGTTAGCTGGGACATGCTAAATCAGGCTCCCTCAATTGACCAGGATTTTTTCATTTCTAAAATTTAACTTTTGATCTGTATTGTTTCTTTATATGATATTTTGAAATATTAATTTACTCCAGAAATCTCTTGCATTTAATTCAGACTTTTAGAAAATTTTTTAATTAAAGTTTGAAAATCAGAGTCTTTAAAGTATGTTTCTATTATTAAAAAATAATACATAACTAATATGGCAATTTCTACATAGTCTATATGACATAATACCCATTTTAACGTTAGGATCAGGAACATGAATTGCATATAACTGATATGGAAGATATTCTTCAGTTTTGACCATTTGATTTGAAATTGCTTCATATTTTATGCAAAGTATTTGTTAATTATCTGTTCCCCAGAAAATTAGTTAAGGATGAAGCACATAAATTCATTTTCACTTTACTGCCTCTTCTCAGTCAATGGGTTGTATTTAGGGCATATTGCCTGAATGCTTCTGGCAATTCAACAGGCACATTAGTCAGCAGAACATTATAACCGTTTCTCTTACATCCCTACCTTCTGAATCTCAAACTGAACCAAAAAACTCTGGGGTCTCCTTCAGAAATGTCCATGATAAATTGTTTTGCTCAGGAATGGGGTCCCGATGCTCAACCACGGGATCCTGATGTCAGAGTATATTGGGAAAATAAATTTAAGTGAATTTAAAATATTGTGACTATTTCAGAAGACCCACATAGTTGATGAAAAAGCCTAGTTAATGCAGCAGTTTAAAGTATTTTGTATATCAATTAAAATATCTTTAGGTACATTTAGTTTATAAGCATAGACGTAAGAAAGTATACAAATACAAGAATATGCCCAAACTTTAAATACCATTTCATTTATTATTAAATATTTTGCCATATTAAAGTTAGTATAGCATGTCCAAAAGAAGATGGGTAGGCTTTCATGAAATATTTGTGAGAAGTTTTAAAAATAGTTCGTATAGTTCTTAGAAATTGCTTCATTCTAGTTACTCAGCTCTGAGTTACTCAACTCCAACACAATACACAGAATTATGTCTAAATATAATTGAGATACAATTGCAAAGCCATATTGGTCCTCATTCTATTAATAATCAAAATGAATTTATATTGTATTTTACCAAAAGAAAAAAATATACTTTCTACCTATGTCTTCTATTTTTTAAATTAAATGTTAAAAGAAAATATGCAATAATTACTAGAATGTGTATATTTCTGACTGCTAAATGATAAGAATTTTGTCTAAAATTAATTTTTCTGTTGATAAGTTTGTCCAACATGGACAAACCAACATAGTTTATCTTGGATACTTGGACTGACTCTGGATTTTAAAATTATATATAAATATATATATATATATATATCTTATATGGAATATATATTTTCGTTATATAATCATAACAAAATAAAAATAATCCAACTCATGGCTGGGCGCAGTGTCTCACGCCTGTAACCCGAGGACTTGGGGAGGCCTATGCGGGTGGATTGCCTGAACTCAGGTGTTCGAGACCAGCTTGGACAACTCCGTGAAACACCCTCTGTACTCGAATACAAAACATTAGCTAGACGTGGCAGCATGTACTTGTAATCCCAGCTACTCAGGAGGCTGAGACAGGAGAATCACTTGAACTCGGGAGGCGGATGTTGCAGTGAGCCCAGAGTGCCATTGCACTCCAGCTCTGGGCGACAGAGCAAGACTCCATCTCAAAAATAATAAATAAATAAAATAAATAAATAAACAAACAATCCAACTCACTTTTAATGTGAAAACTTGAGAGTATTTTAAAGTTGATAGTAACATTTAAAATAATTTCCACTACCTGTTTCCTTTCAATCTAATTTCTAGATTATCCCCAATAATATCAGAATACAAATTTTAGAAAAATTGTCGTCTCTAAAATGACTGCAAAATGTATATTAACTCAGCATACGCTTTTGCTATATGAAAAGATAGCTTTTCAAAAGCCCTAAACATTTTGTATTATTAGTATTTAATATAGGTACCAAGAATAAAATGTTCATTCTATAATTCCATTGTAGAAATTATACTTTGTCTGGTTTGCTAGAGCAGGAGGATGCATAAATCAGATTATGCATGAATGTATTTTACATTTCCTTATTCACGCCATTATATTGCCAAAGAGTGGACCTGGTACTATTTGGAAAATTAAATATCGTCAGGAGATTGTAAGTTGTATGAGGTCAGAGATTTTTCCTGTTTTGTTCCTGCTCTGTTTTAAGACGTACCATGTATGGTGCAAAGTAGGCACTCAATAAATATTTGTTGAATGAATGAACACCATCTTTCTGTGCTGATTAAACCAATAATACTTTGGAAAATTCTATTGTATATCAATTAATAAAATGGGATTAAAAATCAAACAAACTGCAGCTTGAAGGTCAGCTTTGGTTATTTTAGACAAGCTCCTAGAATTTTTTTTTTATCTTGAGTGGCCACATTAATGAAATGTGGATGCTGATACCTAAATTATAAAACTATTGTTAAGATTTAATGAAAAAAATATGCTACAAGTATTTAGCCAAATGCACAAAACATGGAAACTACACATTTTTAAAGTAGCTATTAAAAGTAACTATGTATGAATTGATTTATTCATCAATATGTGATAAGTACTTGTGACACCAAGCTCTGACTTAGGTCTTGTGGAGGCTGAAAATAATAGGACGCAAGCTGAAGGAGTTCAGAATCAAGCAGAAAGAACAATTATGTAAACAACTAATTATAATACCAATGTTTTTAATGTTCATAAGAGAAGTGTAAACATTAAAATGTTAAGGCATGCATTTTATTTTAGATATGTTTTGTTTCAATCTCTTTTGAACATCAATGTCAAAGCTTGTTGAGCTTCCTTAAAGCACGTGATAATATTACCGTTCCACTTGACATTCACGTTCTATTCTTGGAATTAATTTTATGGTACTATAAATCATAAATTTAAAGTTTCAATGCTTAATATAGGGTCTGATACTCTAGAAATATATGTTGAATGTTGAATAAAAGAACAAGTTAATGAGAAGTCTGATTGCATTTCAGATGTGGGTGTGTGTGTGTGTGAGAGAGAGAGAGAGAGATGAAGGGAGGGAGGGAGAGAAATAAGTGAAGACTGAGACAGATATAGATGAAAAATAATAACTTTAAAAACTGTGTCCATGAAAAGCATTCTCATTTAAAGTAGAAACACTCTGAAGTGGATATGATCTCTGGTTTTCTTATCAAAGTTTGTGTGAATATAGGTAAATCACCTCATAATTATATGATACCTTATTATCCTGTTTGTAAAGTTTGATTAATTTTCAGTAGTACAGATGAAATAATTATCCTTAATTTAAGAAATTAAATATTGATGCAAAATGCCTAACTACATCATATTACTTGTTCTTTTCTTCAAACATCTGTTACTATCCTTATAAAATATTGCTTTTTAAGAATTCACATCTTAATGGTCCTATGTATGTATAACATACAATAATTTGGCATTAAGTAATTTAACCTATATAAACTGATGTTCTGACAAATTTATACACATGTTGCTTTCTTTTATTTGTGTGCTAGGGTAGCAATAAATAACCATTCTCTAACAGGCTTTCCCCTGTAGACTTCATTGTTGTAAAAATCGCTTTAGGCCCACAGCTCTTTAAATCATTGCAGTCTGTATTGCAACAGGTGGCTGCAAAGGAATTAAACATAAAAGGAAATAAAAGCAATGTAAAAACCCCATTGTTGGAATACGGTTGCCACTGGCATAATTTCTTCCATCTGATTTCCTCAGCTTCTACCCGTATAGCTGCCACAGTCTCTTAAGCAATAATGCGGCAACTTTTTGTAAAACCATGACTATGCTTTACTACTAGGCTTATAAATACCAGGTAGCTCAGCTTCAGCTTTTTTCCTGACTTTGTGGGTTTGGTGACTCAGTGTGAGGTGCAGCTGGAAATCCGGTACTTGATGGCTAGAGAAGGATCTCTTTTTTCCAACAGATCTGCTTTTGTCATATCAGCCTGAAAGGAACCATTTTTCTCTAAAAGTCTTTTTCTGAGTGTCCTAAATAGTGTGTAATATACAGGATGATTAGAGTTTAGATAAGATTTCACTTTATCAAAGCCTTAACCTCAAACGAGTTAAAAATTCTTTCCCTTTGTCCAAAATAATAGCATCTTATGAATGTGTATGTTACAAATAGTGGAGAGACAGAACTGAGAGTCTTGCCATAGAGGCTGGAAAATAGGACTAAGATAATTATTAACAATTGTGAGACACCATGGTTTCTTGTTTAATGGACTTAATAAAAAAGGCTCTGTTCCAGTGGCTGGCATAAAGAGAGTGAATGTTGTTTATCAGAGTCTACACCACAGACTCAACCAAGGGAAAAAGAGACGTCTAGTTTGTCTGCTTTAGTTTTATCGATATAACCACTCCCTTCTATTGACAGATCTCCCCATTTCTCAAGTAACAGGGAAAATGAAAGATAAAATTAAAATAGGTTAATAAAGTATATATACAAAGTTATAATGAAACTCTTCTTATTTTGTGTGTGTACCTTGAGCCGGACTCAGAGCTCTAGACTGTACGCTCTACTTGTCTGGGTTTAGTCATATGACTCTTTCCCAGCTCCAGGAACCATTAGAATATTAGAATTTTCTATGTTCCTATTGGGAAGCCCACTACCCATATACTTAATTGACTCCTACTCAGTCCTCAGATCTTAGAAGGGCAGTATTACCTTCTAGTTTAAGGTAAGGGCTCTGGAGCCAGCCTGCCTGGTGTGGATTGCTCTTTTGCCTTTAGGTGATTTTATGACAGTGATGTATTGTTAGGAAATTAATTGTTTTGTGCCCAGTTTCCTCACCTGTAAAGTCAACTGATAATAACAGTGTGTTCCCTAAAGAATTATTATGAGTATTAAATGAATTAACCTTTGCCAAGTGTTTTGAGCAAGGACAAGCACATAGTAAGTATTCAGTACCGGGAAGCCATTTCTGACTAAGTAAAGACTTTTGTTAATAAGCTCTCATGACCCATGTAGTTCTCCTTAGAAGCATTGGTCAGTTTTAGTTTGTGTGTGGGTAGGTGTGTTTTTGTGTGTATGATTCAAGTCTGTGTTTCCAGTAGGGGCCTGTGCTCTCTTAGGCATTTCAAGTCTTGTTTTACATTAAAATTTGCTTTTACACTATCCTAACAGCATTTTATTCTTTGTTGTAAAATATTAGGATAGATAAAGAGAATAAATAAATTTGGCCATATGAATCTTTTAAGGTCTAAATGTTCCCTATTTTCAAGGTCATTTATAGTTTACAGCGTAAGAATGTTGCACAAAATACAAGTGCCAAGGGAACAAGTAGTATAGAAATTCATTTAGGGCATAGGATGATTTACTTGAGAAGTCAAAGATAATTCCAAGGTCTGAAACTCTATACGCATATGAAGTCAAAGAAGACAATATGTTTATGTCATGACAATAATAATTAATTTTATTATATTTAGTTTGTTTTAAAAACAAAACAAAAAAAAACAAACCCCCAGCACTCTGAAGTATTATTACTTATGCTTTCTATCAGCCGGATGCTTTATTTATCATTATAGATTTTACACACTGAATAAGGTGGGCTAATTTAAATTCAGCATATCCCTTGTAACTTTTTAAAATTATCCACGTATTATAAATCATACTCCTAATGGGAGTATGAAAGAGTAAACATTAACATAATTTGCATTACTACATAAATAATTTTTTTAAGTCATAATACAATGGATAAAATTCCAAAACCTTTACATGTTTCTCAAGTCCATGCTGAGCATTCCAGAAATCAGTCAGAATACTAGCATCTAGGGAAGGGCATTCATTCTTTTAAATGCCTTGACTCATTCCAGGTAATATTTTGTATTTAGCTGCTACAGGATCTAGTAGTAGCCTAATTGTCTGCAGGAGGGTCAACTATTTCTCTCAGCATTGGTTTTCCTACCAGTAACAGATAGACACTGCCTTTTTTGTTGTTAGTAATACTGAGTAACATGATTAAATTCTTAAATCAATGAAAATAATCCATGTGCTTTCCTGAAATCTGAGTTCCTATAATGACTGCATATTTATTTGCTTCTTTATAGATAAGTACTCCTTGTTTTAAAATTTTGAATTATGACTTCGAATATAAATATATGCTGCAGGAAATAATTTAACTTTCTATATTAAAAGGTAGTATTCCTCTTTGGGGAATTTACCAAATTAAAGAAATGCTGGTTTAGCAACTATGAGCAAGGTTCTGTGCTATGGTACAATTAAGAAGACATTCATGTAATATGGTTCATTTTAATGACATTTAAAATGAAGTTGATAAGGGAGGATGATAATTCCTACAAAGATTTAAAAAAATAATAAAACAGTGGTTTTGAAAGATTTTTTTCATTTACCACCCGAAGGAATTTTTAAATTCATGATGTACCTCTTTAATGTTTTAGATTAACATTGAAAACATTTTCATTACAAATTTTTAAAGTTGCAAAGAATATATTTTAGAACACTGGAAACATTGACAGTCACTTTTTTAAATTGATTCAGTAGGACTTAAATACAGTATATATTAGATATTTACCATTATTCAACTAAAAACATCCCTGAACAATGTCTTTTTAACAGGCTGATATTTTACTTTGTCCTTTTTACTGCTTGAATTCATTATTCCTTTGGAATTATTTCACAAAATTGTATCTTATAGTAATATGCTTCTGTGCTTGCAAGTATTTACTTGTTTACTCTCTCAAGCTTCTTTTTAGCATGTGAATATTCAACAGTCTATATTTTCCATGGAACTATAAAGCTTTAAGTGTTTTTTTAAAAGCCTCCTCTATATTGACTTATCTTTACATGTAATAGTAGTATCCAATTGATCAAAATTACATAAAATGCATTTATTTTTTGATAAGTATTATTATAAAATAGAAAATATTGGTAATAAAATTTTCAGTTACATAGATGGAAGTGATGTTAATAGTATACAGATAAATAAATAGTTTAAATACCAATTTGTTTGTTTTTTCATTCTTGTAGGCAGTATATCATAGTGACATTCTAGATAGCTGAGAGGAATTTCTATTATAAAATGGAAAAAGCTGTGATTTTGAAAAAGGCTACAGAAGTGATTCTTGATCTTTTAAGTGTCTTCTGAGGCAAATTCATTTTAAAAAAGGGACTACATTGAATTTTAAGATCTGAAAGTTGATTATCTTAAAATGATCTGGAGTGCCATACCCTTTAGAGACCATTTCTATTTTCTCAGTTTCTGACAACAGTGCAGTATTTAACTGACAAAAAAGCATTTAGGTTACAGGGATTTCTTGTAATCACAGAAATGGTCGATTAAGGTATTATTGAACAGAGTTTTTCTTAATTGTAAACATTTTTTTTGTAAGATTTGGATACCTCTTCTAAAATCTCCAAATGTCATGATTACAGAAGTAGAAGGAAATGTATTTAAGAAATACAGTATAATATAATACGATTATTTATTACAATACAATTATTGTATTATGCACAACACAATACATTAAATACAATAAATGTATTTAAGAAACAGTAAGCCAATTAACACAAAGTGGAATATTTTAGTTAGCTTTGAGTACTAGATTCAGTACTTTCAACATATCCTTTCTCTGCTATTGTGTTTAAAGGCATTGCTTATTGAACACTGATTAATAGGAAAACATGGTTCATATGATGCTGTGGGAAGAATGAAGTGATAGAACAATACAAATTACTTTGGAGTTGATAAGTGTTTAAACAATTACAGTATTCCTGGGACGAGATGTTATTTTTGATGTTATCTATTACTGCTTGAAAAGTTCAAAGACTAGAACTTTAAATATGATCTTATATTTTCTATGGGTCACAAATCTGGATGTTACTTAACTAGTGCCTCTGACTCAGTGTTTCTTATGAGGTTGCAGTAAAACTGTTGGCCAGGGCGGCAGTCTCATCTGAAGGCACAATTTGTGGAGAATCCACTTCCAAGCTTATTCATGCAGGCCTCTTTATAGGGATACATCATGACATGGCAGCTGGCCTCTCCCAGAGTAAACCATACAAAAAAGAAGATGTCTAAGATGGAAGCCTTAGTATTTTTGTTATCTAATCTTGGAGGTGAAATCCCATCACATCTGCCATATTCTACTTGTTAGAAATTAGTAAGTTCTGCTCAGTCTGAAGAGGAATAGAATGCAATCATGAACCAATGGGTCCATTATAAAGCTGCCTACTACGAAGTTAAGGCCTGAGATACAGATTTGGCAGAAGTAATAGAAAGATCTATTTCAAAGAAAGTCTTGATAAACTTTGGAGAGATGGCCCTGACTTTTAATCATAACTCCATGATTAACTCAAGATGTGACCCTGAGAGAACTGATTTATTTTTTTGGGGGTTGTAGCTTTCTCATATGTAAAGTGAAGTACTGAGCTCAATTATACCTAAAGTTTTGTTATTATTTGGTACATTTTCTTTTGTCCCTTGTATCTGATTGAATTTTAGGAGCCAAGGAATCTGATTGAATGTAGGGCTTGTCAGTGCTACAAATAAATTAAGTAAATTGAAAACTGTGAAGAGGACATTGGATTTGACAATAAGTCCACTGGGGAATTTTTTCAGAGAATTTTCAGTGACTGAGCAGGGCAACCTGGAATAAATGAGAGATTGAAGTGTGTTTGACTTAATACAGCCAACAGTCATTGGTTGATAAGGTGAGAATTTCGGCAGTGAAAGGAAAAAAACACCTATTTGTATGTGTTTGTGTGTGTGTGTGTGTGTGTGTGTGTGTGTGTGGTCTTTTTTTTAAGTAGGGGAAACTTTTAAAATATTTCCAAGAAAGATAGAGATTAGAGGTTTTTAAAAAAAGCCCTCGTGTTATTCACTTTTGTACCCTGGGTACTGTACACAGTGCCTAGAACAAACCAAACACACGGCGAGGGTGTGTATGTGAAAGGAAAGCAGTTTTTCCTTCAGTTATTTTAGGCAGTGAATATATAGTTAAGAGAAGTCTCTAGGATGAGACTCCCTGAATAGAACATGGATCCAGCACTTACTTGTTTAATGACATGTGTTTGGACAAGTTTCTAAAAGTTATTGTGGCTCAGCTTTTCCATATGTAAAAGTGATATAATTTCAGTCTGTACAAGAAATAAATGAGGAGGAAAAAAACCAAAACATGTATAGAGTTTATAATAGGAAGTGAGACACACTAAGAGCTTAATAAGTATTTACTCCTATTATCTGTTTTATCTAGAAAAAAATATTTTCAGCCTTTTAAAAAAAAATAGAAAAGCTTACTTCTATCTGTGGGGCCTGGAATCATTGTGGAATCTTAATCATTGGTTTGTTTTAGCACAATTTAGATAAGCAGACATTTATTGACTGTCTGTTAGATGCCAAGTCTTGTGCTAGTTGATGGAGACAAGAAGATGAATAAAACATGAACTTGTATATTGGGCATTATTGTCTAGGAGTGGATATACACCTGTGGACAAATGAGAATAATAAAGTATTCTGGACCCTGAAATGGAATTGTCAATAGGCATTTTGAGGGATCGTCAGGAAAATCTTTGCAGAGGAAAAAAAAAATCTGTGAATATTACAGAAGTAGGGATTATTTTGTTCCAGAAATAAAGATGATTAGGCAGTTCATGCTTGAGCTTCTACTTTTGCAATACAGCCAGCAGACAGAACATTTTAGAAGGTTATGTTTTGGTGTGCACTGAGAATGTAAGACAACTTGAGCAAAATTCCTCTGAAATATTCAGAATGCAGTCTTGGCATTTACATGCAAGTGTCCTTTTATGCGAATAACTTCTAAATAGGGAAAATAACAGAATGTGAAAATCCTAGGAACTTCTGTGAATGACAGTGAAAAAATCAATTTGACTGTTTTCTGCCGGAGGGTTTGTTTTGCCTCCCTACCTTGTGAGGACCTAAAAGTTAAGGACAAGCAACAAAAAAGTCTCACTGTTGTGATAAATACTGCTTGTAGGACACTGAGGTAATTTATTTATTCACAGCATTTGTTTAGGGCAGTGTTTTATAGAATATTATTAGTTGCTAAATTTATAAAACTGAAATAATGTCATTCTTGCCCTAAAGGGTTTTTTAAGAAAAAGAAAAAGAAAATTTATCTAACAATAAGGAAGAGTGAGAACATTTTAAATAACAAGAAAGACAAATATGAGAAATGTCTTCATTGTGTTGCTTTTATAATTTCTTTTTCCCCTTAAACAGAAAGAAATATGTTAACTTCATCAGCATTCTTTACAAGAAGAAAAGGCACATATATCTCAAAGCTTTAGCACTGAGGGATTACCAGTTCTCTGTTATCTAAAAGCATAAATATAGTTCATTTGAGCACTATTATATTTTACCTATCTATCCAAATGTAGTATATCTCTTCCAAAGATAAATCATTTCCCCCACAAGATTTTGAAGTTGCCGGTTAAATTAATATAAATTACTGTCCCAGGCTTATTAAATTACTACTGCCCAATTGCACAGTTACATTTTTAATTTAAAATGATTAATCTCTCACCAAAGAATGTGTGCATCTCATAACAATCAATTAAACCATTTTAAGCTAATCTAACAACTATTTTAGAACGGGGAGGAAAAATGTGAAATATATGTTTTCCGTACTCTAATTCAACATTCTGAACGGAGTTATCCCAAGCTAGGAAATTTTCTAATGCTTCCTTGCTTATCATTGACTTGCTCTGTAGTAGCCTTTATTGCATATCACATGCCGTAAGATGTCTTACTTATTTGTAAAAAATAAAAGTATTTGTTTAAATCATGACATTTTAAGCATATTTTGTTGGAACTGGAAGGGGATAGTATTAGCTGGGATACAATTAACAAAACCACTATGTTAGCTCAGCCAAGGAAAATAGTTCATTTTGGTTGAATTCAGAGCTCATTTCTGAAAGTCTGACAAAGATTTATGGGGTTTTTTTCCTGTCATTCCCACTTAGTCCCCGTGGTCCTATATCTTTCTTGAAGTACATAAGAAACAGTTAGTGCTAATGGCAAGATATCTTCTATGAAGGTGCATATTAAAGGTGGATTTAGGAAATGTTAGCAAAGCCACTCTGATTTTTTGATGTAATGATGAGGTATGACTACCCAGTGTAGATCTTGATTAATATTCATAAAATATATCTTACATTTTCTTTGTTTTATCAAACTACTTGCCAAGATCTTGTGCTAACTGCTGTGACTATACAGATTCCTTAGTAGCTTTGATAATGTTTCAAGGATTTAAATTTCAATTCAAAAATATTAAATCAGTGATAAAGGAAGCTTCTAAATTATATTACTTCATAGATTTATAGGCTCTATGCATTTAGTGCTGAAACCTGTAGACGTTCTCTTATTCACTGTTAAGCGTATGTGTAGATCATGTACTGATGAACAAATAAAGATAGCCTTTAGTTTCAAACATCTACAATCTTATGCAAGCATTTTAGTTAAGAATTTAGATTTAAAAAGATAAATCAACTCAAAAAATGTAGGTAGATTAGCAGCACTACAGTCTATCTTGGCTCATGGGCATTTCTTTGGGCTTTGCTGAGTTTGATCATATGACTCCTCATATTCATCATTGTATTTAGGAGTCAGATATTCTGTTGCACAACAGCCATAGTACTCTGTCTTCTGGCGGATGCCTTTCTCAATTAATTATTCTTTCTACTGTTTCTTACCATAATTAATTACTTAACAAATATTCTTGTGTATTAATAGTTTATAAGGGCAATAACTCTTCTTTTATTTTTTTTATTTTTTTGAGAGAGAGTCACTTTGTCGCCCAGGCTGGAGTGCAGCGGGTGGACGATCTCGGCTCACTGCAACCTCTACCTCCCGGGTTCAAGCAATTCTCATGCCTCAGCCCCCAGGTAGCTGGGATTACAGGCACACACCGCCATGCCTGGCTAATTTTTGTAGTTTTAGAAAAGACAGGGTTTTGGCCAGGCGCTGTGGCTCATACCTGTAATCCCAGCACTTTGGGAGGCCAAGGTGGGTGGATCACCTGAAGTTGGGAGTTCGAGACCAGCCTGACCAACATGGAGAAACCCTGGCTCTACTAAAAATACAAAAATTAGCCGGTATGGTGGCACATGCTACTTGGTGATCCCAGCTACTTGGGAGGATGAGACAAGAGAATCGCTTGAACCTGGGAGGTGGAGGTTGTGGTGAGCCAAGATCATGCCACTGCACTTCAGCCTGGGCAACAAGAGCAAGACTCTGTCTAAAAAAAAAAAAAAAAAAAAAAAAAAAAAACAAAAAAACATAGAAGAAGAATAGACAGGGTTTTGCCATGTTAGCCAGACTGGTCTGGAACCGCTGACCTCAAGCAGTCCACCTGCCTCAGCCTCCCAAATGCTGGGACTACAAACATGAGCCATGGAGCCTGGCCGGCAATGACTCTTGTTAGGACTTTTCTATGCTATCCCCTCCTCCCTATTTTATTTCTTTACTTATTTATTAATAAAATTATTTATTTATGTAGTTAGTTATTTTGTTCAGTTCATGTGAAAACACTGAATAAATATACAGAAATAAATGAAAAAATATTTTACTAAACCTTGAAAAAAGCACCATTCAGAAATATATCTGATACGTAATTTAAAAAAAGATTCATAGCTTTTTGGTAATTTTTCAGTTCAATACATCTAAACTTAATTTCAGCCATAGTTTGAGCCTCTATTCAAATTACGTAAAATCAAAACAGTCAAATGCACCAGAAAAATCGAATGAATTTTCCATTATTAAGTCAGAAAATTCATAGCCCGATTTTAATCTGACAACATGGTCAAGTTTTGGTGAGGTGGTCCTTCCTATTTTATTATTATTAAGCTATGGTAGCATTTAGTTTTTAAAGATAGTTATTGTATATAGAATAGTGATGTTACACACACACACACACACACACATGTGCACACACAATTTTATGCAAAAGAAAGCTGACTATTTGATCGGTAAAGACATTAACATACCATGAATAAATTATCTGCACCAAAGTGCTTGATACAAAAATGTTATGGAATCAAGGATTTTAACTGTATATGCTTTAGCTCATTATAAGCAGAAGTTGCTTCCCAATTTCATTGTATATTTTCTTCAGTTTCTCTGAGACATTTGGCTAATGTGGCCCAACAATACAAGTGTGTGTAAGAGGACATAGAAAGCTAATATTATCTCCTCTTCACTTGTCTTCAGGGATTTAAGAGGCTGTCCATAATTGAAAATTTATCTTACTGTGGATTTGTGGATTGGAGTCAGTACATCCTGCCATAATGTGATGATATGTCTTTATCTCTATTATTTTTAAAAGCTGTAGCTATTTTGACACTGTATATATAAGTATATATATAGTGTTGAAATATGTATCTTTTTTACTACAGAATTTGTGGAAAAAACTTGTCAATTTTTAATGTTTAAAGTATTACATTTCTCATCTTCAAAAAAAGGCTTGAAATAGTTTAAGAGTTTTCATTAGTTCTGAAACATTGTGATTATCCAAATATGGACTTCATACTTTTTACATATATTAAAATATTTTAATTAACTTCTCCATAAAAATGTCTTAAAAGTCACGTTTCATTTTTTCTTATGAATTTGCTTGGAGAATAAAACATAAAATAATAATGACTTTCATTTGGGACAGAATCTTCCATAGCCAATAAAAAGTTTATATATGTCAGAGTACTTATGGGCATTTAGGATGAACTATATGCTAAAAGGATTAATGCCACACTTGTTTTCTAATAATTTTAGATCTTCTGCTTAATGTTAAGATATACAAGCTCACATTGAGGTATGTGTTTGTTTAAAAGCATCTCTAGTGATGTCAAAGTGATTATGGTAATAGTGTTAGTGAACTTTTGCTTTTTTGGCTGGACCACTGTGAATCAACAAAGCAAAAGAGAAAGGGGAAAAAAAAAGAAACAGACAGAGGTCATGTCTGAGAGTAGCTAATGGATGCTTTTGGTTTAATGATCTCTAAAATGTATTTTTTAATGCTCCTTAGAATTCAAAGAAACTTCTCCATTAGATTAACTGTTTTAATCACTGGGAACACTGATATTCTCCAGATGGCCAATCACATTTGTTTTTGGCTTCTGCTATGTATTTTCATATCTGAATCTCTACAAAATCTGGGCAATCCAATATAGAACTCTTTGACTCTTTCTGTATGAAATAAAGGGGATCATTGTTATATGTCTTTCTTGGATCTGGATAATGATGTTTTGCCATCTGATGTTTACTGGCAGTATTCAGCAAATTTGCCCTTAAGTATTGATTTATAATAATGCATGCTTTCCTATCAAAAAAATTTTTAGGTACATGTCTGTGTGCACATGTGTGAGTTTTATCTATATTAATGTGAACTCAAAAGAAAAACACAAATTTTATTTCAGTTAATGTTATGTTTCCATGGTAAAGAAAAAACCTATAGAGATATACCCTAAAAAACTCTTAAGAGTTTCTTTCTGTAATGTGGGTCATATAGAAAATACTTCACAGATCTTTGTCCAATTGATAGGCATTAAAGCTATACTTCAGCTGAACTGACAGGTGAACTGTCAAAATTTTTCTCTTTCTTTTCCTTTTTTTCCCCTTCTTTTAAAAATTATTAGATGTGAGCTATTAGCAGATCAACTCTAGACAAAAGTATCAGGGAGATGCCTCTTGACATCTTGACTCTTCAACATTTTTTTCTTTTTTTGACACCAAGCTTCCAACCAGAATCTAAGTTTTCCTTATATAATCCCTGAGTATAAATAAACTACTTATGCTAGAAAATTTACATAATTTAAAAAGGAGCTTATAAAGAGATGTTTAGATGTATGTAATGTTTAAACATATAAATACACACACCGCCCCCCATGCAAGGGCCATTCTCAAAAAAATGTATTGCTTATATTACCTACCTACCTTCCTATAGAGTACCTTGGTGAAAAATAGAGTTGGGATGTAAAGCCTTCCTTAGATCTATAAAAGTACCCAATATAGGGTCTCTGCCCACTGATAGGAATGATTCTTAAAGGGGATCTATTGTATGAAAGCCTTTAAATTGTTTTATTATAAGTAGAATAAAAACTATAGGAAATTGGGGAAGATTAAATTACCAGAAACTATTTGCAGAGCCCAGCGCTGAAGAAAACACCATGGTGCATAAGCCTTGATTAAAGTTATTAAATAAATTTGAGGAGTAAAAGAATGGTGTAAATTCACTGAAACATGTATATTAGAGGTGAAATGACCATAATAGTGTTTGCATAATGGTTTAAAATTTGGATATTCATATCAACAATGTTCCTAATGATATGGGTTCTCTCTCTTTTTTTATTAGCATGCTTGTTATCTGTAAGAATACAAAATTATCAATTTAATTTTTAAAACAATTTTAAGCTTCTTTAAATTATAATTAACAATTAGGATTTGTATATAGTTAAGGTTCACAAGTTTTTTTTTGATGCATGTATGCATTGTGAAATTATTATCACAATCAAGCTAGTTAACATGTTCATCTCTCAGCTACTATTTTCTTTTCTTTTGATTTAAATTTGTGATAACACTTAAGATCTAGTCTCTCAGCAAATTTCAAGCATGTACTGTTATTAATGGTAGTACTACCATACTGTACATTAGATCTCCAGAACTCATTTAGCTTGCATAACTGAAACTTTATACCCTTTGATCATCATCTCTCCTCTCTCCATCTCCTCCTTCTCCACTGCCACTGTCAACTCTCATTCTGCTTTCTACTGCTATAAGTTTGACTATTTTACATTCCAAATATAAGTGAGGTCATTCAATATTTGTTGTTCTGTGTCTGGCTTATTTTACTTAGCACAATGCCATCCAGGTTCATTCATATTGTTTCAAATAGCAATAGTTCCTTCAAATTTAAGGCTGAATAATATTTTGTTGTCTAAATATACCACATTTTCTATATCAGTTTGTTAATATTCAAAATATGTAAGGAACTCTTAAAATTCCATAGCAAAAAAAAATTAAATAACAGTTTAAAAATGAGCAAAGGTGGCATGGTGGCTCACGCCTATAATTCCGGCACTTTGGGAGGCCGAGGCAGGCAGATCACCTGAGGTCAGGAGTTCGACCAGCCTGGACAATATGTGAAACCCTGTCTCTACTAAAAATAAAAAAATTAGCTGGGCGGGGTTTCGGGTGCCTATAAGCCCAGCTACTCGGGAGACTGAGGCAGGAGAATCTCTTGAACCCAGGAGGCAGAGGTTGCCATGAGCCGAGATCATGCCACTGCACTCCAGCCTGGGTGACAGAGGGAGACTCCTTCTCAAAATAAATAAATAAATAAATGAAAATAAATAAAAGATAAAATGAGCAAAGGACCTAAGTAGATATTTTTTCTAAAGAAGACATACAAATGGCCAACAAGTATATGAAACGGTGCTCAACATCAGGGAAATGCAGATAAAATCCAGAATTCTTATTTTCCAATCACAGCCAATCACTCTAAAAGACATTGATATTTGCTGAACAGTTTTCAATAATCAATATTGATATCTTCAATATAGAAAAATTAAAATGTACTTAACACACCCCTAGTAATATATTGGCCGTGGTCATGAACACTCATTTATTTCAGGCAGCCAGGGTTTCAAATTATATAATTGCAATGACCTAATTAATACAATGACCTAATTAAGCTCAATGATAGGATTTAATCAAATTAAAGGATTTCATGCATTTCTTCATTCTTGCTAAAATTACCAAGTGATGACAAAGTTTTATTCATGCAGTGAATATAGAACAGAATAAAAAGTAAAAGGCAAAGAAGAGAAAAGAAAGTCAGGATGGTGTTCTGTAAATAGTGTGTGATATCTGAGGATGCCAGTATTTAGGGCTTGGCTTTCTCAGCCTCTTTATAGGAAGATGGACCTCAAAATTATTCGACTCTAAAAGGCCGAAAAGAGCCACCATATATGTACATGTCCTTCATGTGGGCAAAACCACTGCAGTTTGTTGAGATTAAAAGAAACAAACAAACAAAAAAACGCACTCTTGACAAATGGTGAAATTTTATGAGCTCCAAAGCTCATAAAATAAAATTAATCCATGGAAACCTTAATGTTAGGAAGGGATTGGGATTTTATATATTAATGAGTGTTTGTTTTTTTTTGTCGAGACCACATGGAAGTTTGAAAGATAGTATATCCATGTTTTATCTTAAAATCACATATTAGAATATACATTTTAATGATAAAATAAGATATACTATAGAGGAAAAAGAAAGAAGGAACTGTTTTCACAAGGCCACTATTTTATCTAGTTGATTAAATAATATTCTTACTCTTTCACAGAAAAAAGTATTTATCTTCTCTTTAACATTTTTAGAAAAAAATATAAAAGGTGTAAACTTTGTGATTAGACTGTCATTTCCATACATAGCATTTTTAACAAAATTACTAAGATAAATCTTCATAAAAGCAAAAATACGTTTTTTTCCTGAATGCTATTGTCTTGAGATATTTCAGGAAACATCTAAAACATCACTAAAATATAAATCAATGTCCAAAAAGAAAGAAGAAAATAATTTGGAGGTTATCGGTCAAAACTGTGTCTTGTTTTAACAATCACAGACTTGCTAGAAGAACCAAAACAAGAAAGCAGAGATAACCTTTGATTCTAAAACAGATAAAAGAAACATTTCTAATTATTCTAACTCACACAATTTTTAACTCTCAAAAAATTGGCACATGTGTACTTACTGAATTAAACAATGTTTTAATCTCAAGTTGCTTCAACACTTTTCATTGTAAAAAATCATCTGCTTTATCAGTCATCACTGTGAAATTTTGAGAAGATTTAAGTAAAATATTAGCTTTAAAGTATTCAGATACCGTATTTTTAATAATCTGCCAGCTTGGTTATTTCTGATGGATTTTCCATCACAGTCAATCTGTGTTCCCTTACTTTATTTCTAGCCGGAGCCAAATATTAAACAATGACACTATATATCTTTCTGTACAATTTGCCAGTTTGGGTTACTGTGGAACCTAGGTGCTCCTGAATTGTCCTTGTGAATCACCACTCTTCCGAGAAAAGACTGAACAAAGAAATGATTTATTTACTGAAACATCAATGTATTTTTTAAGCTACATAACTCAAGGATGTTTTACCCAAGATAGAAAAGGCTTTTTGCAGGGATCAAAGTGGTGGTATCTTTAAATAAAAATAGGAGCCATTAAACCATTTTAGGAAATGTTATAATTATTAAGAAAATAAAATTGTATTAAAAGTTTTCTACAGGCTTTTATATTTAAAAGTAGTCTTTGTCAAAATAGTTTTGGAAAGCCACTTTCATCCTGCTATTTTGCAAGTTTTCTGTATTTCAGGTGCATGGTCTCTAGAATGGGTTGCTGCTTGGCCTAAATTAATTCAAATGTAACTTAGAGATAATTATATGATATATCTTGCAACCTAATGGGAAATAAAAATAATTACCTTGTATAATACTATCTGACTCAAATAATTGGGATGAGTTCATTGAAATTTCCAAATTTGAGGTGCTTTGAATAGCATAGACTCCCAGAGTATGCAGTGTAAAGAATTCTAAGTGAGATATGTTTGTCCACTTTTGTATTTAACTCTTCATAACTTTCACATTTCTTAATGAGGCTGTTCTTTTTCAAGTGCTGTTCTTTCCAGTAACCAAATCCTCTTTGGGGTTTTCCTATTGTCTTAATTAAAGATACTGTATTTGATTGATTTAATTATCTCTCTGCATCATAAAATTTATAGTATTATTTGTATAGACATCTTTAGGAGTCATTCAGTGTAATTTTAAAAATAAGTGCTTGACATATTTAATTTGTGATGCCATTGATTTTACCATTATAAAATATACCAAAGTATACAAAATGTATATACATAGCAATTAAATAATGATAGCACTCAATTATGCATTCATAGACATTCTCTTGTGCTGTGTTATTAAAGAAAATTAAAGGCCTGGCGCAGTGGCTCACGCCTGTAAATCCAGCATTTTGGGAGGCTGAGGTGGGCAGATCACCTGAAGTCGGGAGTTCGAGACCACCCTGACCAACATGGAGAAACCCCATCTCTACTAAAAATACAAAATTAGCTGGGCATGGTGGCGCATGCCTGTAATCCCAGCTACTCGGGAGGCTGAGGCAGGATAATTGCTTGAACTCGGGAAGGGGAGGTTGCTATGAGCCGAGATCATGCCACTGCACTCCAGCCTGGGCAACAAGAGCAAAATTCTGTCAAAAAAATAAATAAATAAATTATAAAATTTTGAGCTCCAATATTTAGTTTATAAATACATGAATGAAGTCATAATTAAAAACTATATGCTATCATATGTAGTTATATGTACATTTATATAAAATATATAATATATATGAATTAATAAGATTACGTTAATAACTAAGTATAGTGTGTTCTGTTATAAAGTTCTTTAATTATGGGCATATAAATAGGACCTAACTTATAATATATTCTGCTCATATATTTAAATATATTAAATAAATTCTGCTCATATATTTAAAGATATTAGCCAGATTAGTCCAGTGATTCCTTTTCTACTTAGGTCCTATCACTTGGAAATTCTCCCCTCATCCCCGATTTTTTTTTTACTTATTGTTTTCTCACAACCTTTTGCTAAGTGACTCCTGGAACATGATACGTTGCTTTATAGTTTATCCTAATGCTGCTCCAGTTCAATTTCTACACTGATAAGGCTAAGTGAGATGAATGGAACAAATGGATCCATTCCACTTGTTGGATCTATTGCCATTTTGCCTACCAATTTTCCGTTTTGACTACCAATTAAAACCCTAAAAGCTGAGGAGATGTTTTTGACTGCAAAGCAGTCTTCTTATCCTGGAAGTTGGAATGTCAATATCCCTACCTAATACTTTCCTTAGTTAGGTCATCACTGCTTTATTGGTCATCACTGTGAAGTCAATTTTGCGAGGATTTAAATAAAATGTTAGCTTAAGACTATTAGATATCATATTTTTAATAATCTGCCAGCTTGGTTGTTTCTGATGGATTTTCCATCACAGTCAACTTGTGTTCCCTTACTTTATTTCCAGCTGGAGCCAAATATTAAACATTATCATAGTTAGAATGAAATGAAATAATGTCATCAGCGTATTAGCACCTATTAAGAACCCTTCAAAAAAGCTGTTATTATTATTATTTTATTCTACTAAGTTATATGCATTTTAAGTGTTCTTATAATTGAATAATTCAATAATTAGGTATAATTATGAAGAACTTCAAAGATTAAAATTACTTTCAGTATTATATTCTTCCCCATGGAGATTATACTTTGTGGCTCAATCATCTATTTTAAAAGTTAGCTTTTGTAAAACCACCTATTACATAATTTGGTAGGTACGTATAAATGCAAATTATCAAACCATTACTGTAAAAACTATGTTGAACTTATATTTTCAAAATGTGTCTTTGTAAACTTACCATGTTAGCTATTGATTTCAAAACCATAAATATGTATTTAAATAAGCTCTTAATCAGGCTAAAGTTACAGCAGAAATATTGCATCATCTAGCACAACTTTAGAAACTCTCCCTTGGCAGTAATTGTCCCTGCCTCCCTTTGGGTATTTTGGGCACTGATATTCTATAATGGGCCATTAAGAAAGGTGCTTAATTTGAGACCCACCTAGGTGCACCGTACTGAGATGAGATAATTTCAAAACATGTGTATTTTCTCTCTTGCCCGGTTGCTACTGATACACTAACTACTGAGAATGAAATATGGGAAAATTATATTGCGATATTTTGTGAATTGCAAAAGAGACCACATTTCTTTCATAATCTCAAGAACAATTTAAGACTTATTATACAGATATCCTTTTTATGTAAAGAATTTTTTAAATTTGTTAATTTTTCTGCTATAGATGTATTTATTTCCATTATTTTACAGTAATCTTTTCTCATTACTGTTTAAGCCCCTTTTGAAAAAATATTGAAATTTTTTAAAAATGTGAATATCAAGCGTTTTAAACTCAAATTGTCTATGTGAAAGAGATATATGTGACTGACCCTCATGATAACCAAACCTCAGTGAAACTATGTTATGTTAACCTAGCTCATGATGAGATATACCTTCCCCTGCATTCCTTTTTGTCTTGGAAAGTGTTCAAAGAAAGTGTAAGTAAATGTGTATTTTTTCCTTATCCACTGGAAGGAGTTGGAATAGGATGAATTTGACTTTACTACCTCAATTCTTACAACTTCTCTATTCTAGGCTTTATTTTTAAGTCAGTTACTTAGAAACTGTCATTGTTTTCAGAGAAACAGTGTTAAGAAGTGAGATGTTTCCTAGTTTAGACCCTGAAATGCATACTGTAGCTTAATAGGATTTGGATTATTTAAGAAGATATTTAAAGCTCATTAGTCTCAGCTATGGAATGCTTTTTTTTTTTTGTTTTGTTTGTTTGTTTGTTTGTTTTTTGTTTCCTTTGATGGAGTCTCGCTCTGTCGCCCCGGCTGGAGTGCAGTGGCACAATCTTGGCTCACTGCAAGCTCCGCCTCCCAGGTTCACGCCATTCTCCTGCCTCAGCCTCCCGAGTAGCTGGGACTACAGGCACCCGCCACCATGCCTGGCTAATTTTTTTGAATTTTTAGTAGAGACGGAGTTTCACTGTGTTAGCCAGGATGGTCTCGATCTCCTGACCTCATGATCTGCCCACCTCGGCCTCCCAAAGTGCTGGGATTACAGGTGTGAGCCACCATACCCGGCTATGGAATTTTTTTTAACCAAACTTGACTATAATGCCAGTTGCATTGATAATGATTTTAGAATTTCACAGGATAAGGATGATACTGATTTTATATTTAAATCAAATCCTGGAATTCCATTTATAACACACATTGTCACTAGATGCGATATATTGTCACAATTATCAATCATGAACTACTCAGGTGATTTTATTTATACAGTTGCCATAGGTGTAAGGCTTATTAGTCTATCCTAATCATAAAGGCTCTAAGATAGTAAAAATCCAGCAAATATTAGAAACATTCGAGGATACGTTGACCTATCATATACCAAGTTCCATCTTTGAGTTAGAATTAGTATGAGAAAGTCACAACTAATTCAACTTTGAAGATATATTTGGTTATTCTCAGTAATATTCAGAATAATCTCAGTTCCCTTTTAAGGAAAATTAATAACAGAATTAAATACTCTTACTGATTGAAATCATACTGATATATTTTGAAATCTTTTAAAAACTTTTATTTGGGAAAACCTTTCTTTTTTTCTGATTGTTTTAAACTTTTGCTGTAACTTAAAAAGCACATGCTTGCCTTCTGAGATCCTGGAAGATCATGGTTCTTGGTTACTCTCCTAATGAAATCTGTGATGTTGCCCTTCATTTACCCAATACATGCATGAGTAAAATGGGTTATTGCTATCTCTTCAGATGTGCCAAAGACATATATAATGCCAGATAAAAATTATTCAGAGTGAAGATATTGAAGGCCTGTTTACGGCATGATTCTTGCAGGCTAAAGTTTGTTTTAATATTTTAGTGTATAGCTATACTCTAGGTCTTCACCTCACTCCATTCAACCTACAAGTTAAAGACTAATCACACCTAGCTGAAAGCTCCTCACATAAGCTCCTTTACATAAGGTATGCTACAGAATCTGTAGTCAGTATAGGTGACGAGAAGCAGTAGAATCTAATGACTGAAAACACAAACCTTGGGTCTAGACTGCTTTGATGCAAATCTGGGCTTTATTACTTTTAACTATGTGGCCTCAACAAGTTCTTTAACTCTCCATCCCTCGATTTCCTCATTTGCCAATTAGGAATAAGATAGCCCCTTCCTTATGGAGTTTTTATAGGATATACAATAATGTTTATAGTTAGAAGCAATTAAATGAGTTAATACATGGGAGGCTTTCAGAACAGTGTCTGGCACAGTAAGGGCTTAATAAATGTTAGTAGTTATTATTAGGAAGATGATTATTTTTCTTGGTTCTCTGTAGATTTTGGAATAAATTCATACATTCCTGTTTGAACTGAATTTATTTACTTTGAAGTAGACACCTATTATGTTCTGAATGTTTTAAGTGTAGCTTACTTGCCTTTCCTGATTTCTAGTAGACTTGGAATCATAAAAATCAATCCTTGATTATTGTCTTAAATGGCATATTGTTAATAATTGTTAATTTTTAAAATATATTTTAAAAGTATAGCTATGTTCATTTAGACTTGTTTTTCATAACTAGTTATCATGAATATTTGAGATTTTATGCGTGATTTTATTTTTAAAGAGCAAAGGTTCTATCTTACCAATTGTATATATAGAAAGAACATGAGGTTCATTTTTTAGTTTTAATTATTGGGGAGTCAAGCAAGTGTTTTCCAAATTAATTGATTTTAACATAATTATTTATTTACACCTTTAGTTTAAAACTCACTGATTTTATTTCCAGTTGAACGTATCAATATAGACAAATATTATCAAAGCCTATTGGTAATGTTCTCCAATCAAATGCTTTGTGGGATCTCAGAAAAGATGTTAACTCAAGGGCACTTCACAAGAAAGTGATCCTGTGTCGAACATTAATCTATTTCATAGATAATAGATGTGCTGCTCTAAAGCCAAAAAATAGCAATGTTCATTAAATATAAATTTGTTTCTAAACATTAATAGACATTTATTAGATCACAACACTACCTGAGAGACAATTAAATGAAACTTTTATGCTAGAAAAGTTTCCTATTAAAATTACCCTAGAGAGATTGTCTTCTAACTTAGCATCAAGTTATGTATTTAAAATATAATTATAAGGGGAAGTGCCTTTTTTACTTCAGTGATAAAAAAATAAATATTATTTGCCAGTGTTTCAGATGATGTGTTGAGATTTAGCATTTCATTGCTTGAAACATGTTTTGGGTAACCTTAAAATTAAGGTTAACCATAAAATTCACTGAAGATAAATAAGTCTTCCTTGCTCTGATCTCTCTGAAACTTATGTAGGGTATTGCAGGGAAGAAATGAGGGAAGAATGGAGGCATGACTCAAAGTTCTAGTGCAAGTGTCACTTTATACCTGAACTACTCTCCCTACTCCCAATTTGATTCAACTTTTTACTGTATCTTCCGTGCCCATCCTATGTTTTTTTCCGTTTTCCCTCCTGACTTTTGTTTACTTCCACACTGACAAGACATTACAGTGATATTTCTACAACTTGAAAAATTGTTGACTTAACGTTCTTCAAATAATCTATTAATTTAAATCACATGCTGGACTTATAGGTCATTGTGAACTCCCACCATACTAACTCTGGCAAATATTGTTACTGACACAGATTGCTTAAGGTATTTTTCTTTTCTCTCCATTTTCTCCTATGTACCATGACCAATTTAATCTTCTAAAAGCATGGTATTTACAATGGACCTTCTGATTCTATCCCCTTTTCTAGTTGACCACTCACAATCTTTTATCGAATGTTCTTCTATCCCACTTACCACTAAATGCAATCTCATTTACCATTTATGACCCCACTTTTAAATATAAATCCTTCACTAAATGAGAACAAGAATTTTTCTCATTAATCGAATGCCTACTCTTGCCAGGAAGCTTTATAGCTTCTTATATATATTACCTTTATTTAAGCCTTAAACCACCTGGTAAAATAAGTATTAAATTCAGATGTGAACATTAGGGTATAGAAAATTTAAGTAATCTGCTTATGTCATACAGCTCACAACTCAAAGAGAAAGGACTTAAAACTGTCCTTTTCACACTCTAAAGCTCCTATTATGTCCTGTATTCATGCTGCTTCTCATGACCCAGACTTTTTGATGTTTTATACTTGAAAACAGTAGCTTAGTTTAAAAAAAAAAATCTATGCAGATATAAAGGACTAGGAAAATATGGCTACATTCAGTTCTAGGTCAAGGTAAATACATATTTATTATAGACGAAATTTCTTCCAAGTTGTGTTTGACTTGAATGTGTTATAAAATATACATCTATCCAGATAAGTCATTACTGCCAGATGCAGAACAATACCATTCTATCTAAAAGTGCTGTAATTATCTGGAATCAATATTTGATCTCAAATAGCATAATGACTGCTAAGCTGTGTTATGCAAATCTGGAACTCTGACAAAAATATTATACTAAAAAATGCAAAAGCTGCATTTTTTTCTGTGATGTCACTATCTAAATAATAGTTTATTAATATACTGATTCATTTAACACCTCTATTGATTCAGGCTCCTCATATCAAACCAAAGATATTTAAAAAATTGAATTTGCAACAAAATGTTTGAATATTTAGGAGCAATATAGAGGATTATAACAGTTTTGGGGATATATTTGCTGTAAATATTTACCCCCACTCTTAAAAGACAATACTTGGAGTAATTTATATGTGTTGATATATTTTGTGCCTTTAACTATTATAAATTTCATGATTTGCAACCAATCAAAATGAATTTATATTCCTTGGTATAGCCTTCAAAATATTTCCTATTCCACCCTAATAGATTCTTCCTATTACTGTCTACTGCTCCTCACTTCTTCCTGAGAAACCAGATGACTTGCAGTTCTGCAACACGCTGCCTTTTTCCACCTCTTTACCTTTACCATAGCAACTCTTAATCCAAAACGTTCTTCCTCCACCTACTGTTGAGTGAGATCTTAGCCATTCTTCAAATTATAGCACAATTACCACTCTCACAGATCTTCCAGATCTTTCAAGCTGTGTTATCTCCTCGGTTTTTTTCAACTCTCTTCTTCTTTATCAAATTTGGATTTATATTTTACCACTTGTATTTACTGCATTATCTCATCTTCATTCTCTTCCTCATTGTTTCCTTCTCTTCCTCATTGTTTCCTTCTCCTCTTTCACTGGTTCTTCCTCCTCCTTCTTTAATGCAGGAATTATGCCTTGTATATCTTACCATAACCCCATGACCAAACACAGTGCATACTTGTAATAAATTAACAAAGAAACACACATGTAAATTTGTTGAATTAAATGTTTCTTGAAAATATTAAAGAAGATGATTGAAAGTTTGTCCTCTATGAATTTCCAAAGGGTGTTAGCACTATTTAAGAAAGTATTCATGATTAGAACATTTAACTCATTGTTGCTGCTGACTAAACTCAGTGGTTAAATGCTTTCTTCATACTTATTTAATATAAGGTTATTTGACCCCCTCAATATTGAAAAAAAAAAAAGAAAAGATCCTTGAGTCTTACTGTAAGTGCCTTGGTTTTCAGAAACTCTGAAACCAAGAGTTTCAGGAGAAACTCTATGAATAATGGGAGGACCCAAACTAATGATGCTTTACAATTCCATAGTGTATTCACATGCACTCTGTAAATTGAGAAACAATACATGTAATTTTTCAAGAAAACAAGAAAACCTTAAAGGAGAAGCATATGTGTAGGTTTCAGACATTGTAAATTATAGCTAAAATTTACAAAACATAATATATTTTACTGAGTTCAAACTCCTTTAAAACTCATTTTGCTTTTGCCCAATGATGATCATACCAAATATATTAACATTTGATAGGATGGTGATGGAAAGAACCTGTGTTATATTCAGGGAATTTTTCTTCTTGCTGTCCTACTCTTTTCCTCTGGGTTAATTGTATCATAGAGCTCTCATTCACATCAGAAGGAGTCTTCCATGTAGAACCACTTTTGGAACGATAATTTTTTTGTGAGAGATGTCCTCTGTCACTTCGTAGGGCATGGATTATGAAGCATTGCTGTAATGTACCTATGATTCTGCAATATTGTAAAATAATGGAAATACTGGAATCTTGAATTGAATAATAAGCATTTAAGTCCCTCACCTAAGCATTTATGCATAATTACTCTAGTTAAAATATATTTTCTAGTTTTACTAAGTTAAATTTCTAAGAAATGCTTGGCTATCTTTGGTTACTATGGACAGATATTATTTACAAAGGTAGAGAGCTATGTGCACACAAATCACGATTACTTTGTTGCTCTGATATCAGATATTTTCTTTACTTGTTAATGAAGTGACAAATGATTAAATAAAACAACTGGTTATTCTTCTTTGTAATTTATATCATTTCTTTTTCATTATTTTTGTAGACACAGGGTGTTGCTTTGTTGACCAAGCTGGTCTTGAACTCCTGGCCTCAAGCAATATTCCCCGCTTGATATCCCAAAGTGTTGGGATTACAGGCATGAGCCACGATGCCTGTCCTTATTTCTTTTCTCCATACGTCAGTGTTATATTATTTTTACCATTTTATCAAGGTGCCAAATTATACCTTGATACAATTTTATGCCACGTTACTATAAATTAATTTTATATCATTAAAAAGGTACTTTATGGAGAAGGCTTGTTTTGATTTTTAAACCAAAATGGTTTTAAATTTTTCAAATTTTAAAGTCCAAATACTAACCCTGGAAGAACACAGATAACACCCAAGTGATAATTCTGAATGCTCCTAAAGTAAGTTGTAAGGTCATAGCTATGATTTCCCTCTATGGAACAATGAAAAAAACAAACAAACAAACAAACAAACAAAAACATTGCTTAATGGGAAACTCCTGTATTACAATTAGCAATTAGGCTATAGGTCTATATACCAATTCACCATTACAATAATGCCAAATGGCATTTTTTATATTTCGTATGTGCCAAACATGTCAGAAAACATTGGCCTCCAAAAAGTATATGACAAATATGAGTAAATATGCAAAATAAGTTATGGATTGATAAAAATCTGTAAAGTCAATATTGAAGTAGAATTTGTAGTTATAATTTATAACAAGTGAAAAGTTAAGAGTTGGGGAAATTTAAACATTTATAAACAAGATATAGTTTCTTGTCTATGATATTATGATGGAAAAGGTACAATCATATTCAGTATACTTTGGGGAATGTTTGAGAGTAAATTGTCTTACAGAAATGTGATTTAAGAGTAGCTAACACATTCCCAGGATAAGCAGTTTTGAGACTCTAATGTTAACCTCTGTTTGGTGTATAGAAAGGAAGCTAATATACGATAGAAATATAAATTTTTAGCATGATTTGAAAAGAAGAGAATATTAAAAAATAAAACTGGGGAAACAATTATGACACCAGAATTCAAGATGAAAGTTTCCAGAAAATAAAATCAATGTCTCCCATTTAGAAGACTTACTTTTGTTGAAAGGAATAACAAAAAAATTTGAAATTCTTTTAGAGTATAATTGTGTTAGATTTGAATAAAAATTAGCATAGGTAATAAGTAAGGAAGTTTCCAAGTAGTTGATGAGGGAAGACTTTAGTTATTTAAGCTTTTTGTAGAATTTCTTTCCATACTGTATTCTTTTGTAACTTTTAGTGGAACTCATGTCAAATAACACAACTTTAAAATTCTAAATGTAAACATTATTGATGCAAATTAGGTCATTTTAATCAACTTTACTTTTAAATTTTGGATATTGTGAAGAATAGTGAACTTAGTTTTGTTTTAAGACAGATAACCACTAAGATTTTTATAAGAAAAGAAATTTGTTTGGTGAAGTTAATGACAACACTTCAATGGAAAAATCATCATAAAATGTTTTCTTTTAAAAAACTGTTATAATTCAGAGTGGTGATATATATTTCTGTAGGTTATGAGAAATCTATTAGCTATTAAAACATATTGTATAATTATTGCAAGTTTATTATATATATCCTCTAATTAGCACAGTATTGGAGTTGTGAGTAAGAGAGAGGCAGGCGGTGAGGCTGGAATGTGAGAACGTCACCCTCTTCAAATAATAGCTTTTATTCTTATAAATTCCGTTTCCCACCTCTATTTACATTATAATTATGGAAACAAATCCCTATGCCTAAATCAAATGTCAAATGTCCGAGTAGAGATGGCTCTATGTCCTGCTGCAATACCTTAGAAGAAATCATTGTTAATAACTAATAGAAATGTACTTCCTTATTCTTTCTATAAAATAACTTTCACCCATTGTTTCAACATTGTAAAATATGTATCATATGAAATAAATGATTCCAGTTGTAATTGAAGCCAGAGTTAACAATAGCAATACTCCTCTTTCACTATGGAAATAATTTTCTCTCCTCCTCTGAAAAATGCGCCACTGTAATTAGGGTGGTGTCCTGAAAAGCACCACCCGTTGTGTGTTCTTTGTCCTCTCTTCTCTGCGTGCTTTCCTGCCTGCCTCATGTATCCATGCTGTTCCGGGTTCTCCACTCTTCACAATCAAATAATGTTTCATTTAAGCAAGGCCTAAGTCTTCTTTGGAAATCCCGTGTTGTACCCTTCCTTTGCACAATTAACGTTCCTAATTATTTTCATCCATTTTCTTCTTTATTTGTGCCATAGAGGAAAGAGCACTAATGTTGAAGTAATTTTGGCTTGAAATTCTAGACACATAACATGTCTGATTTTCCTTCTCAGTAAACATGGAACAATGTTATCTGCTTTATATATTTATATGGATAATTACATTAGGAAATTTGTGTAATATCTAGCACAATGTGTAGCATGTGATAAGTACTTAAAGGAAGGTTAATTCTTCTCTATCTTGTGACTTCATTTACTTTACTGTGTCCTGTTTTTTTTTTTTTTTCACTACAGTATGGGTTGTGAGAAAAACTGTTCTGCTAATTTGCATTTTCTATAAAATCTACTGTGGTAGAAATTTAGTATACATGTTTGAGAAAATGAATAAATAATTCATCTAGATGGCAGCTCATAATTTCTTCCAGTAATGAAATGCTATATATACATTTACTTTCTATTTTTGTGTATGCACGTGTATGTGTATCTGTATGTGTGTGTATACATACATCTCCTGATACCAACTTTTGACTCTCGTATACTCCATGGTCACAGAGGAAGGCAAAAAAGGCACAGAAAAAGAATGTTGAGGTTTGTTAGGATAGAGCATTGTGATCTTGTTCATGAATCTGACAATTGTCTGTCCACTTCAATATCCCTCTTCAAGTAGCTGTCAGTTATTTTGTGCATGTTAAATAATGTAATTTTAAATTAGTAATTGCTTTCAAAATTTCTTTTCTGAGTTATACACTTATGACAATTGAGAATAGATTTTCAGGTTTTCTTGTGAGTCAGAGTTGGGTAAGAGAAAACAAAATGAAAATGTTGCCATGATTCCTTTTCACTTAGTTTCTGTTTTATCTCAACCAAATATTTCGTTTCTTGTCAATGCTTTCTCTATTTGTAAAGGTAAAATATTATGAGATTATCTAGAATGAGCTTTGTTTCCCATAATATCAATGAAATTAAAGAGAAAACTCTTTATATATATTGTGTCCATATTTAGTACTGTAGGAGCCTATGTATACAATAGTAATCAATAAATATTTTTTAGTTAAATTATCAAATGATCTTGCTTCTTATGGATTCACATTGAAAGGATGAGTAGGTTAAAATAATTGCTAATGCTATAGCACCTACCACATGCCAGCACTGTTCTTGGCTATTATTACGTATTTTATATAATTAAAAATTACAAATTTTAACTCATTTAATGTTCATAGAACCATATGAATTAAGTAATATCACCCTACCCATTACACAGATAAAAAATGGAGATGCTATAGTTAAATGACCATCGACAGGAGAACTGAGATGCTATATAGTTAAATGACTTGCCCAACGTAGTAGAACAGTAATTGAGATCAGGTTGTCTGGCTCCAGAATGCGTGCTCTTAACTACCATGCCGTAAATAACAATATCAAAACATCTGATAAATTTGTGTAATTTTTGCCTTTTAGTAAAGACTTTGGTTTTTATTTTGACAGAATGAAGTGTATTAATACATTCATCAGTAAACAATTTTGAATATCCCTTTTGAGAAGATTTTAAAATTTAATTCTAAAACTCTGAAATTATTGAAAATATGTATCAATCTCCAAGACAAAAAAAAGAAAAGAAAGACAGAAAGAATGAAAGAAAAAAGGAAGGAAGGGAGGGAGGAGGAAGGAAGGAAGGAAGGAAGGGGAAGGGAAGGGAAGGAAGGGGAAGGGAAGAGAATGGAAGGAAGAAAGGAAGGAAGGAAGGCCCAATTTGTGCTTGATTGATCAGTTTGAAAGGTGCTGATTGTAAAAGATGGTGTCTTCAGGATTTGGATTATGTTTCTTTAGTATTTTGGTTTCCTAAGATAAATCTTGGGAAGACTTGAAGAGGAGGCAACTACACTAGTTTGGTTCAATAAAGTTACTTTTTCAGTGCTTAAAGTTATTAATATTTGACACCTCTAGGCAAGATTCCTCATCTTGAATTGTACAATCCTGGAGAATAGGTTGCATGTTTTCTTCAATATTCTATTCCATGTTTCTAGACCACTGCTTTGTATTTTAGTGAGCATTCAATTAACCTCTGTTGAATGAATGATGTTCGAACTGCATTTTAATTTAGTTTGTATCTATATGCTTACTGTTAAAAACAAGCTATTTAGAATAACATAAATGAAACATAAATGAAAATGAAATTTCGGGCATAATAATCTGTCTTTAATCATCGTACATTGTTATTTAGATAATACTTTGCCTTGATTTTCAGTACTGAATGAAGCTTTTGACATTCAAACAAAGAGTAACATCTTTTGTAAACATAAATCTATGATGTTCACAGATTTACAGAGATGTTTAGAAAAGTAATGTAGTTAATATGTAGAATAATTTCTGAATGAATATTGCAGCCTGAGATGAAAGTAAGACATATATTTACCTTTTGTTTTAAACTTATTTATGGTAACAGTGATGAATTAAATATTTTACTATTCTAATGTTAGTGAAATTATACTGTGGTATAATTATACTGTGGTATAACCCCATGGGGCTTACTTTGTGTAAGCTTTACCATGGTATAATATATATGTATTTTTAGCCAGGCGCAGTGGCTCATGCCTGTAATCCCAGCACTTTGGGAGGCCGAGGCGGGTGGATCACCTGAGGTCGGGAGTTCAAGACCAGCCTGACCAACATGGAGAAACCCCCTCTCTGCTAAAAATACAAAATTAGCTGGGGTGAAGCTACCCGGGAGGCTGAGGCAGGAGAATCGCGTGAACCCGGGAGGCAGAGGTTGCAGTGAGCCGAGATCGTGCCATTGCACTCCAGCCTGGGCAAAAACAGCGAAATTCCATTTCAAAAAAAAGAAAGAAAAGGCCGGGCGTGGTGGCTCACGCCTGTAATCCCTGCACTTTGGGAGGCCCAGGATGGCGGATCACGAGGTCAGGAGATCGAGACCATCCTGGCTAACACGGTGAAACCCCATCTCTACTAAAAATACAAAAATTTAGCCTGGCCTGGTGGTGGGCGCTTGTAGTCCCAGCTACTCAGGAGGCTGAGGAAGGAGAATGGCGTGAACCCGGGAGGCGGAGCTTGCAGTGAGCCGAGATCGCGCCACTGCACTCCAGCCGGGGCGACAGAGCGAGACTCCATCTTAAAAAAAAAAAAAAAATCAGTATATTTCAGTTAATTTGCTCAGTAGAGACTGAATTGTTTATTTCATTAAGATCTGAGGCCAGGATATTAACATGATGGCAATATATGTATTGTATAAATAATGTCTTTGGATTACTTACTTATTTTATACAATAACCCTTTTTTTTTTCTTTTTTGCAGGTTTCAGATTTGGGATATTGGTGTTTCTGTTTTGGAGAAATTATTCTTTTTCTTTTTAATTTGAAGAAAAATCATCAGTCTTGGAATACAGAAGAGAAACTAGAAATATACGTATTTTGTTTCACATTTGAACAGTCATTCTTGAGGAATACTCCATACCTGAGTAGACAGCCATGTGGCCATCGCAGCTACTAATTTTCATGATGCTCTTAGCTCCAATAATTCATGGTAAGATTTTTCAGATTTTTGTGTAATGCTTAATGTTGTCTCACTTATTCATACTGGACACTTCCTTGGGATCTTTTCTCTGAGACTGCTTTGTAGTTTTTCCTTATCATATGTTAGTATGAGTAAGTTAAAATAAAAGAACATAATGTGTATTTCCTTTTCTTTTCTTTTTTTTTTTTTTTTTTCAGTCAGAGCCTCGCACTGTCACCCAGGCTCGAGTGCGGTGGCACGATCTCGGCTTACTGCAACCTCTGTCTCCTGGGTTCACGCCATTCTCCTGCCTCAGCCTCCTGAGTAGCTGGGACTACAGGCGCCCACCACCACGCCTGGCTAATTTTTTTTTTTTTTTGTATTTTTAGTAGAGACGGGGTTTCACAGTGTTAGCCAGGATGGTCTCGATTTCCTGACCTCGTGACCCGCCCTCCTTGGCCTCCCAAAGTGCTGGGATTACAGGCGTGAGCCACCGCGCCCAGCCCATAATGTGTATTTTAAGCTGAAATAGTTATGAGTTTCCAGTTGCATTTCTTAAAGTGCCTATTGAAATGTATTTAAAACCAAAAGGCTTTTTAAAAAGAGCTCTTGCATTTTATTTTTAGTCTTTACTACACTTTTGGAAAATCAGCTGAAATATTAATTATCTCATTTATTGTGAATTTTTTGGCTTGCATAGTTTCATACTTAAAAAAACATTTTTAATGTAGTAAATTTGGGCATTTGAAAGAAAACTCCAAAAGTAAAATCCCACTTATTCAAAAGTATCTGCTTTCCAAAACCAAGTAATTATTTTTTCTCTGAGTATTTACTACTCTGCACAATCTTTAATATACAGAACACAAACTATAACCTCCCAATAAAGGGAAATTGTTTTGGTACTATACCTTGAAATGCAAAAACACAAACAAATAAAAAATCAAAAGAACGGCTGGGCACCATGGTTCACACCTGTAACCCCAGCACTTTAGGAGGCCGAGTTGGGCAGATCACAAGGTCAAGAGATCGAGACCATCCTGGCTAACACCGTGAAACCCCGTCTCTACTAAAAATACAAAGAAATTAGCTGGGCAGGTGGTGGATGCCTGTAGTCCCAGCTACTCGGGAGGCTGAGGCAGGAGAATGGCGTAAACCCGGGAGGCAAAGCTTACAGTGACCCAAGATCGTGCCACTGCATTCCAGCCTGGGTGACAGAACGAGACTCTGTCTCAAAAAAAAAATGAAAACATACACAATAACAAAATAATATTAATGTGTGTTTTCACTTTTTAAAGAAAGGTGTGATTATGGAAACATGCTAATATACTTAATAGACATGTATACTTAATGTTGTTCATTTAGACATCTTTGTATTTATAGCAGAAATATGATAGTTTAGAAAGGATGTACCTTTGCAAATTTTATAAAATATATCACATTATTTAATATATAAGCGAGACATTTATATTCTGTACAACTTAGAGTAATATTCACTGAATCTCTCTCAAACCTGGTAAATTAAAGTCTATATGTATGTTCCTCTTACACAATTTAATGTTTTTGGCTAATTATCATTGATTTTTTTCACTAAGATGAAAATGTTGTAATATAGTCACTCTCTCATATGTTGATGATAATTATAGCAAAGAAAAAAGGACACAGCTGTATTTGCCACTGCTTAGGTCTCAGAATATTATAGTGTAGCAAGCAGCTGAAATGAATTTTTAGCCTCTTTAGCTCACTTTTGGTTTTTAATTGATTACAGAAACCCATTGTAGTTCGTCAGTGATGCAATTCTGAATCTGGCCTGTGTTCTTAAGTTTTAACATGCATTGCATTTTGCTGTCATTCTAAATACTGGGTAAAATAACTTCCTTTGACGTTTTCCTCTAAAGTTCCCTGGATGCAACATATTTAGTTCTAACAATTCACTATATTATAAGGTAGAGATGTTTGTAAAAGGGGAGTATCCTACTTATTCAACAATCTCAACCATCTTGTTTTAAGCAAATTTGTTTAAAATTTCAAAATCTTTTCTTAATTCATATACTTATACATTCACATTCTCTGCATGGGCACATATAACATTTTGTGATGTGGGAAAATAAAAATAATTATGTTACTTGAGACAATGCTTTTCTAATTATCCATATATGTAAAGATGACTTAAATTAGATTTTTTATGTGATAAAAATTCCTCCCTTATAATGTTATTTTGAGAATAAAATAAATAGCATATGTAAATAATGTAGTACAGTGCATAGAAAATATTAAGTGCTTGAACATGTGAATTTCCTTCATCATATAATCTATCCCTCTAGTTAATTTTTGTTCCAGTAAATTATAACAACCAGGAATTAGCTAGCCATAAAAGCTGATATATTTAATGTTGATACTAAGGAAAAAAAGAAAAATACCTACATATATATTTACACACACACAATTCGTATTCAAAAGATCAATCTAAAATTACCTTTGTTAGAGAAAATTAGGTTAAAAATAGCAGAAACAGACATTGTAAGAAAGATTCCTTTTTCAGAACTAAAATTCCTGGTCCCTAAAACTGACACATACTATGTATTTCAGTGGACCCCTAAATGTGGCTGAGCCATGGGTCTTGGGTCTTGGTTTGGGAACTGATAGTCTGCATTGAAATCACACACACACAGACACACACACACACACACACACACACATACACACACAGAAACAGAGAGAGAGAGAGAGAGAGAGAGAGAGAGAGAGAATATCTCCAAGTAATTCTTAGAAGTATTAAATCAATCCCTAGTATAATAATAGGACACATAAAAGACTAACCTGGTAGGTAAAATACTCTGGGTTAAAAAAATAAAATAATCATTTCCATTTTATGTGGACTATTCAATATTATCTTGAGTTTTGAACCATAGAGGACAAAACAATATAGAAGCTTTTTACTTATAAACTTTATCCTTTATTTTAAAACTTTGTACCTGAGAAAATACAAGTTGGTTTTGTCTTCCTTCTTTAAGAAGGCTTTTTCTTTTGCCTTTGTGATACCACTTCTGACTTGTGAATGAAGGGCTTTATAAGCAGCCTTTTGGAACCTAACTTGCTCATAAATAGAAAAATGTACCTTTGATCAAGTGCTGAAATATAATAGGATAGGAATTTTTAGAGTCCCTATCAATCCTGGCTTAAGAGAATACTGCATAACTTGAAACCTTAGATGACTGGGTTAAAATGTATGTCACAGTTATAGAAGTACTTTTGGTTCCAACATGTCCTCTGCTGACGTCTCCTTGCTACTGTTATTGAGATGTCCAGAATTTTTGCCCTCTTGACCATTGGGAATTAATTCTTCTGGGTAATGATCTGAATTGCTATCCCTTTCCTCAGAGAAAATAATGATGATGACTACTGATTTTATAGCCATAAACTTTAGATGTTTTAGTTCACTTAATATTCACTATAATTGCATGGGTTTATTTTTCATTATTTGTTATTATCATAATCACTATCTTTACAGGTAAAGACATTGAGGTACACAGTGGTAAAGTAAATTGAGATCACACAGCTACTAAGGGACACAGAGGGAATTTAAAATCAAGGACTTGGCTTTTGAGCTCTGCTCTTGCTGGCAGTAGATATCCAATTCCTATCAAGGCCATTCCTCTTTACATAGAATCTCATCTCAACTCTCCTAGTCACTTGGGAGCAGGTGAGGCAGAAACATTGACCATCTGCCTCTTCCATGTTCTTGGGACAGACAGACTGTGGTTCTGAAGCCTGACAGACCAGAGATGAAATTCCAGCTCTGCCACCTACTGGCTCTGTAATCCTGTTTATCTGTCAACTGGTTAATAAATATCATTAATTTACCCACTACAAGCCAGAAAACTGCTAGATGTACTAAAGACAGGACAGTGAACAACAGACTTGTATTTCTTCCCTCATTGAGCTTACAGTAACCTAAAAATGTGTAGCTTAATATAATTTTTATCTGTAAAAATGAACATTTATTCCTTGCAGAGCTATTTTAAGAAATGAATGCAAGGATGTATAACTTCTAACATGGTGCTTTGGCATTTGATAAACCTTTCATTTTTTTCCCCTGCTCCTTTCTTACCTTGAAATAGTGGTAAACCCCTGAGCACTAGGTAAGGAAAATAAGTAATTACTGTTATTCTAACCCTGAGAATGGAAAGAAATCTTTTTCTACTCAAACCTCAGTATCTATGTTTTGCCAAACATTTCTAAATACTAGCATCTAAACAAAATTATTGTCAATATTACTAATATCTAAATAAAATTATTCTCACTATGTAGGAATGTTTAAACTACTATTTTAATTGGTTATATATAATTGTTAGTGTTATACTTTTGCATAATCTCTACATGAACAAAATCAGAGACTAAGCTAAAGAATTAATTCTGATAATGTTTAGGTTAGTTGAATAATCCCCACTTGCTCTAAATAGTCTGGTCCATGTTTTGTATAGAAAAACAAAACAAGTACATCAATATCACATAAATATGTACAATTTTTTAAATTAGGAAATGTCCCTGCTTCTATGTTTATCTGTCCATATTCTGTGTCTCTGTGTACTTCTGTATTTCTCTTTTTCTGTTTTCCATGACTGTGTCCCCTTCCTGTAGAGCCATAATATCCTTATCTATAATGCAATGAGACCTGGCAGAAGTAAAGAGGAGCAGCTGAAGCAGATGGCCAGTTCTTTGCTCTGTACTACTGTAGTGTTGCATGAAGATAAAGGATTCTTTTTGTTGTTGTTCTGTTGATGTGGTTGGGAGCAAGGGAAAATAAGGAAATTGGAGAGCAAAACCCAGTAATAACGTAGGTACCTGGGGCTCATTTTGATAGGCAGTAAAGAAACATCAAGGTCCAATGTGGGACCTTGGGCTGGGAGATCTGTTCCTGGGAGGTAACTACACCTAAGCCCCAGATGATTGGGAGTTCAGAAGGTGATTCTGGTGCTCAAATATTTCAACTACATCTCAGCTTAATTGAACCTCACTTGTAAAAACTGAATCATAGTTGAAGAGGTACAAAGCAGGATCACTGGCACTTAAACTAGGAATAACGGCGAGCGGTATGTTTTATAGCGTCTTCACAGAAAAAGAAAACTGCAACGTAAAAAAAATGCTTGTAGAACCAGCTTATACATGTTTTTTTTTTTTTTTCTGCAATTCTATTGTTAAAGTTGCATCTGTATTTATATATTCAGGGACTTTACTGGTTAGCCTGCATTTTATCATGTGCAACAAATTACTTATAATAAACAGTTCTTAGTAGGGACAAAAGAATGATCAGATGCATATTTGTTTTTATATAATTTTCACTTTATTGTTAATCTCTGTTTACAATTAAAATACTAATGTCAATGATTTAAGATAATAGTCATATATTTTGTAACTTCAAAGATATGAAACTTGAAAAAGTACAAAATTACACTTAACTACATGGCATTTTATCATATAATTCTTTCTATGAAGATGTGTTTTATTAGTGGTGAAAGAGTCAGGTTGACTTCTAAGCTCTGCTTAACTTGGTTATTTTTAGAAATTAATCATCCTTGAAATGTTTATAACGCTTGCCAACCTAGGTAATTTGTAATATCTGCAGTAATATAACTATGTTTATAGTCAAATACATTATACAGAAAAATCTGTGTCATGGTAATGATATATGAGGTTACTGCTAACACATCCAACGCCATCCACATTAGCCAGTGGGTACTGAGATTTAAAATAGGTATTTTGTAAGCTAACTGCTCAGTCGCTAATACCACAATGTAAGCTACAAACATGCATGGCTGATAGCTTTACTTTATGTGTAAGAATTTGTTTAGAAACTTCCCCAAATACTCAGTATGCAGGTTGGCAATTGGAAAATAATTTTTTTTTTTGCTTTTGTACTTGCAAAAGGTGTTACGTATGAATTTAATTGTAGTAATAATCTATGAGTGATGTGTACATATTTGGAGTAAAATAGCATTTTTCTATATTGAAATTTTGTGTATTGTGACTATTTGAGGTGCTTGTAATTTATCCTATTTTTTATATTTCTTTGTCTGTGGTGGACTCTGACTTCTGTAGGGTTGTTGTTTTATACTTAATGTTGAACAAATTTAAAAATATTTGAATATACAATATAAAGTCATTGTTTTCTTATTCTTTGGATTACTATTTACTTTAATCCTCAGTGTAATTGGGTTATTTATAAATGGGTCATTTTTCTTTATATTGTCAAATTATAAGCATTCTTCATAAAAATATATTTTTTGAAAAGACGGTAAGATATCATTAGAAGACATTTAGTTTTAAGAGATTTTTAGACTATATTTTCTAAGAATAGCTTTTAAATTTTTTATTTTTAAAATTTCAATTTTAAGTAAAAATTTCAAATATTGTTATTAGTAAAATATTTTTTATGAATACATAATATTTGTACATGTTTATGGGGGTACTTATACAGCATTTTGATACATGCATACAGTCTATAATGATCAAATTGGAGTACTTAGGATATTCGTCACTTCAACCATTTTTCATTTTTTTGTTTTGGGAATGTTTCAGATTTTCTGGAAGGCTATTTGCCTGGAGTTACCCACTTAAATTCTCATCTATTTTATGTTGAATCATGCACCATTTGTCTACCCTCATCACTTCAAATTCTCCAACCCCCTTTTTGTAAGACAGGGTTTCACTCTGTCACCCAGGCTGTAGTGCAGTGGCATAATCAGAGCCCACTGTAACCTCAACCTCCTGGGCTCAAGCAGTCCTCCCACCTCAGCCTCCCAAGTGGCTAGGACCACAGGCATGCGCCACCACACCTGGCTAATTTTTAAAATTTTTTCATAAAGATGGAGTCTTGCTCTGTTGCCCAGGCTGGTCTCAAACTCTAGACCTCCAGCAATCCTCCTGCCTTGACCTCCCAGAGCACTGGGATTACGGGTGTGAAGCACTGTACCCAGCCCCCTTTTACTCATGTATTTGATTCCTCAAAGTAGTTCATTCATTCAGAATTTTTTTAAAAAAATAATTTTTAATCATTATGGATATTTAATAGTGCACATTTATGGGGTACATATAATATTTGATACAAGCATACAATTTGTAAGGATCAGTTACTCCAGGGTAATTAGGGTGTCTGTCATCTCAAATTTTTATTTATATGTGTTAGGAATATTACAATTCTACTCTTTTAGTTATTTTGAAATATACAATAAATTATTGTTGGTTATAGTCACCATATCTTGCTACTGAACACTAGATCTTATTCCCTCTACCTAACAGTATTTTTGTACCAACTAACCATCTTCTCTTCATCTTTCTCCTCTCCACTAATCTTCCCATCCTCTGGTAACCATCATTCTACTCTCTGTCTCCATTAGTTTAATATTTTTTTTATTTCTCATATATTACTGATAACATGCAATGTTTGTCTTTCTATGTTTGGCTTAAGAATTTCATCGCTTTTTTATAGCTGGATAAATTTCATTGTGTATGTGTAACCACATTTTCTTTATCCATTCATTCATTGATGGACACTTAGGTTGATTCCATATCTTGGCCATTCTGAATAGCGTTGCAATAAATATGAGAGTGCACATAGCTCTTCAAAATACTTATTTTCTTTCTTTTCCACATATACCCAGGAGTGGGATTTCTGGATCATACAGTAGTTCTTTTAGTCTTTTGAGGGACCTTCATGCTGTTCTCCACAGTGGCTGCACTATTTATATTCCCACCGACAGACAAAGGTTCCCCTTTCTCCACATCCTCACTAGCATTTGTTATTGCCTGTTTTTGGATAACAGCCATTTTAACTGTGGGAGATGATATTTCATTGTAGTTATAATTTGCACTTCTCTGATGATTAGTGATGTTGAGCATTTTTCATTTACCCGTTGATCATTTGCATATCTTCTTTTGAGAAATGTCTATTCACATCTTTTGCTCATTTTAAAATCAGATTGATTTTTTTCCTGTTGAGTTATTAACCCTTGTCAGATGATAGTTTGCAAATATTTTCTCCCATTCTTGTGGGTTGTCTCCTCACTTTTTTATTGTTATTATGACTATAAAAATTAATAATTGTCCATAATTGAAACTTTATTTTTATAGGAGACCTGTATACTGGTGAATTGTATACAAAACAGCAAGGCAATTCATTGAGTTCTATTAGTTTTCAATTATTTCTTCCTAAGAAAATGATGAAGATGATTAAACTCTGGTAGCCAAGAAAAATTTCTATTTTTGGTCGAGTCTGAATATTTTTGAGATTTTGGAAATCCTCTTTTTTATATTTTTATATCTTTGTTCAAATTATAAATATTGAGTCTTTCATTTTACTTCTGTAGATTGTTTTTTCTCTAATATGTTCTGCAAATTGCTGAATGCCTCTTGTAGTTCATCTCAAGAGTAATCCTATAGCTTTGCATCTCTCTATCAAATCCACATATTATATATTAGTGTCCTCTGGACTCACATCACATCTTTTAATAAAAAAAAAACAAACAAAAATGTAAATCAGCAGAGAACCTGGTGTTTTATATGGCAAGGATAATTAATGGTTAATAAATGTTGATACTGAATAGCTCCTGTAGTTTTCAGGAACTATAGAAGATGATGTCACCATATTTAGGAAGCATTGCTTACATGAAGCCCAGAAACTGAAGTTTACAGTATCATCTAATCTAAACTGCTTTAGAATCCTATATTGTATGGTCCTATTAAATGGAGTAGAAAGATCTTAAGCCTTAGAGTTTAACTCCAGTTCTATTACTTCCAAGATATATGGCCTTAAAGAGTTTAAATCACAGTTTATTTATTTGTTAAATGAGTAATTAGGCCTACTTTGTTATAGTATGAGGATTAAATAAAATAATGTATAAAAAGGCCCTAATACAAAGCCTTACACATTTAATCCTGGCAGAATGGGGTCATTAAAACATACCTTTAGGAATTAGAACCAAAAAAAACAAATGTTCTGAATAGTAAGCAAAATTTAAAATACAACACCATCTTGGGGTCACTTACATTCCACAGTTCTTTTTCAAAGACTGCATTGTATATTCTTAATCCCCAGTGTGACAGTTTCTCTAATTATGAGTCTACACGTTTGTACACACATCCCATCATTATATTTAGGACTCGCCCACTGGACTGTAACTAAGTCTTTAATGAGTTACTAATGAACATCTTAAGCTTAGATCAGCATTCAAAGAAAAATGTTAAAGGGTGTTGAAAAGCTATTCAAAGTGCAATTCTGTCACTTTTAATTAGACTCTAAGCCCAATAAAATAACCTGTCATCACTCTTCTAAGTTTGAAAAAAT
Organism: Homo sapiens; assembly: GCF_000001405.40. Classification (NCBI taxonomy): domain Eukaryota; kingdom Metazoa; phylum Chordata; class Mammalia; order Primates; family Hominidae; genus Homo; species Homo sapiens. The sequence goes on from NC_000004.12 coordinate 61,506,659, forward strand.
TGAATAGTGAGTGACAGATACACCCTCACTTTGGTATCATTAGTTTTATGTGAAGTTAAAAAGGGTAAATTCAGTGACCTAAATTAGAGAAATCATTGTTTTGACTAAATGTAAAGATAAAAATAACGTGCAAACATAAAATAGCATTTTACAACATTTCATTCTTTTTCTTGGACTCAGATGACTTTAAAACAGATTGATTTTGTTGTTGTGTTGGAGAATAACAGATGATGTGAGGAAAAAACCTAATGATTAGATATGTAGGTTAAAAACGTAAAAATAAAAAAAACCCTCTGTATTTATAAAAGAACAAATAGTCTACTTTCACTCATTACTGATTCTCTCCAAGCTGTTAGAGATATCACAAGAGTAGTAAACATAAACATTACCTGAATTAGATCAGAACTAATCTTTAGTAGAGCTCTCCATACAAATTGACAATGGTGGTGACAATTTAGCAATGATCATTTTTCTTCTTTTTTTTCTCCTTTTGATAGGGAACTTGGTGAAACCATGCAGACCTTCAGGGCACATTATTTAATAATGAAGACAAATAATGCATAAAATTTAAAGCAACAGGCTGGTATGATGCTCTCCCTCCAGGGAACACTACACAATTGCTTAAAAGGAGGCCTTTTAGATTAGTTACAAAAGCTGGATTGTTGGAATAGCTGTGATAGCACAGATGTATTAGAGGTTACAGGCTGTTGGCAGGCTTTATGTTGTCCCTCTGCAGACAGATAAAAAACCACCATGTCGATTTTTAAAAGTAGGTGTCCAATAATAATCACATCCAACATAACATAATCGATCATTTTGACATTTGAGCCTGTTAACATATTTGCTGTCTTGTTAAACAGAATTTAGGCATTCATAAAAACTAACGGAAATTAAGATGTGATATGGTTTGGCTCTGTGGCCCCACCCAAATCTCATCTTGAATTGTACTTCTATAATTCCCACAGGTTGTGGGGGGGGACTTTAAAACAGATTGAGTTTGTTGTGTGTATGTGTTGAGAAGGGTGGATGGGTGGCAAAAATATCTTACTACCATTAAAAAGCAAAACAGTTCTCATTCTTCTCAGCTGTCTTCAGAAATGCCAGTTATTATTTACTTAGGAGAGGGAGCTAGAACTCCCTAACAAAACAGACCTCTGTCAATATGTGGATCATTTTTGCTCATTTTGCCCACACATTAGTTACAATTGGCAGTATGATTAAGGTAGAGTGCCTCATTACTATAGTTGTAAAGATTTTTAAAGGAATAATTTACAACATTCTGAAAGTATAGTTGCCATACCATTAAAAAATTTATATTCTAAAGGTTTTTTGTTACCATGAACTTAAATTTTTTTGCATTATGTTTACAAGGAGGCTGGTGTTTGGAAAATCTTACTATTAGTTATCACTCCTCTTAAGGTACATAATATGGATTTTATTTGACTGGAATAAAAAAAATCCTTTTTGTCAGGAGCCAAATCTCTAATAAATTTATATCACTAACAGAAATCTCTACTTACTCATTTTCAGAAGTGTTTAAGGTATTTACATCACAGTATTACAATTTAGGCAACGATTATAATGAAAGTCACTATTTTTCCCTTTATTGATAGAATATATAAAGTGCCAGCTATGAAAGCCAATTAAAAAGCAATCTTAAAAAGTTGGTTCTTTTGTTCTTTAACAAAATGAAATGTTTCCCTTTAGCTTTATTCACAGCCATGTGTTTGACTCTTTTACTATTCTCAGCGTATTTTATAAAGCTTTTGTAACATAGTAGCTTAGTGTTCTGATAATGACTCTAATGAGTAAAAGCAGACTATTTATTCTTTTATAAATACAGAGGTTTTTAAAAATTTTTTTAACCTACATATCTAAGCATATCTGGATCTTTTTTCCTCATGTCATCTGTTAAGTTATTTATTTTTATAATTTCAACAGTTATATTAGATTCAGGGGGTAAATGTACAGGTTTGTTACAGGAGTATATTGCATGACTCTGAGGCAAATGATCCTGTCACCCAGGGTAATGAGCATACTACCCAATAGGTAGTTTTCCGACCTTGCCTCACTCTCCCTCCTAGTTCCCAGTGTTTATCGTTCTCATCTTGTATTAGTCCGTTTTCATGCTGCTGATAAAGACATTCCTGAGACTGGGAAGAAAGAGAGGTTTAATTGGACTTGCAGTTTCAGATGGCTCAGGAGGCCTCAGAATCATGGCGGGAGGCAAGAGCACTTCTTATATGGCAGCAGCAAGAGAAAAATGAAGAGGATGCAAAAGTGGAAACCCCTGATAAAACCATCAGATCTTGTGAAACTTATTCACTATTATAAGAACAGTGTGGAGGAAACCACCCCCATGATTCAAACGATCCCACGGGTTCCATCCCACAACCCGTGGGAATTATGGGAGTACAATTCAAGACGAGATTTGGGTGAGGCCACAGAGCCAAACCATATCACATCTTTTTTTTTTTTTTTTTTTTGAGACAGAGTTTCTCATTTGTTGCCCAGGCTGGAGTGCAATGGCACGATCTCGGCTCACTGCAACCTCCGCCTCCCGGGTTCAAGTGATTCTCCTGCCTCAGCCTCCTAAGTAGTTGGGATTATAGGCACCCGCCACCACTCCCATCTAATTTTTGTATTTTTAGTAGAGACAGGGTCTTGCCATGTTGGCCAGGCTGGTCTTGAACTCCTGACCTCGGGTGATCCACCCGCCTCAGCCTCCCAAAGTGCTGGGATTACAGGCGTGAACCACTGCGCCTGGCACATATCACATCTTAATGTCCATAAGTTTCAATGTTTAGCTTCCACTTATAAGTCTATGTGTGCAATCTTTGGTTTTCTGTTCCTGTGTTAATTCACTTAGGATGATGGCCTCCACTGGCATCCATGTTGCTGGAAAGGACCTGATTTCATTATTTTTTATGGCTGCATAGTATTCTTCCATGCTGTGTGTGTGTGCGTGTGTATATATATATATATAATTTTATTTATCCAGTCTACCATTGATGAGCACTTGGGTTGATTCCATGTCTTTGCAATTATAAATAGTGCTGCAATGTATATACAAATGCATATGTCTTTTTGGTAGAATAATTTATTTTCCTTTGGGTATATACCCAATAATGGGAATACTGGGTAGAATAATAGTTCTGGTTTTAGTTCTTTGAGAAATCTCCAACCTGCTTTCCACAGCAGCTGAACTGACTAGCATTTCCACCAACAGTATGTAAGCATCCCTTTTACTCCATAGCCTTGCCAACACCTGTTATTTTTTGTCTTTTTAATAATAGCCATTCTGACTGGTGTGAGATGGTATCTCATTGAGGTTTTGATTTGCATTTCTCTGATGATGAGTGATATTGAGTGTCCTTTTTGTGTTTGTTGGCCGCTTGTATGTCTTCTTTTGCGAAGTGTTTGTTCATGTCCTTCGCCTGCTTTTTAATGGGATTATTTGTATTTTGCTTGTTGAATCATTTAAGCTCTCTGTAATATTAGATGTTTGTCAGATGCATAGTTTGCAAATATTTTCTCTCATTCTGTGGGTTGTCTGTTTACTCTGTTGATAGTTTCTTTTGCTGTGTGAAAGTTCTTTAGTTTTATTAGGTCCCACTTGTCAATTTTTGGTTTTGTTGCAATTGTTTTTGAGGACAGTCATAAATTCTTTCTTAAGGCTGATGTGAGAATGGTACTTTATAGGTTTGCTTGTAGGATTTTTATAGTTTAGGGTCTCACATTTAGAATTTTAATCCCTCTTGATTTAATTTTTGCATATGCTGAAAAGTAAGGGCCTTGTTTCATTATTTTGCATACATGGCCAGCCAGTTATCCTAACACCGTTTATTAAATAGGGAGTCATTTCCCCATTGCATATTTTTTGTTGACCTTGTTGAAGATCAGATGGTTGTATGTGTGTGGCTTTATTTCTGGCTTCTCTATTCTGTTCTATTGTTCTATTTGTCTGTTTTGTATTAGTACCACACTGTTTTGGTCATTGTAGCCTTATAAGATAGTTTGACATTTGGCATTGTGATGCCTCCAGCTTTGTTCTTTTTGCTGAGGATTGCTTTGGCTATTGGGGCTCTTTTTTGATTCCACAGGAATTTTACAATAGTTTTTTTCTAATTTTGTAAAAACTGACATTGATAGTTTGGTAGGAATAGCATTCAATTTGTAGAGTGCTTTGGGTGGGCAGTATGGCGATTCTAGCAATATTAATTCTTCTATCCACGTGTATGGAATGTTTTTCCATTTGTTTGTGTCATCTCTGATTTCTTTGAGCAGTGTTTTGTAGTTCTCCTCGTAGAGATCTTTTCACCCCCCTGATTAGATGGATTCCTAGATTTTTTATTTTCTTGATGACTATTGTAAATGTGATTATGTTCTTGACTTGGCTCTTAGCTTGAATGTTATTGGTATATATAGGTAGCTCATGCCTGTAATCCCAACACTGTGGGAGGGCAAGGTGGGCTGATCACTTGAGGTAGGGAGTTCAAGACCACCCTTGCCAACTTGGTGAAACCCTCTCTCTACTAAAGATACAAAAAAATTAGCCGGACATGGTGGCGGGTGCCACCTCATCACCTTATCTCAACTACTCGGGACGTTGCAGTAGGAGAATCACTTGAACCCAGGAAGCGGAGGTTACAGTGAGCCGAGATCACGTGCCACTGCACTCTCCAGCCTGGTGACAGAGTGAGACTCTTGTCAAAAAACAAACAAAAAATGCTACTGATTTTTGTATGCTGATTGTATACCCTGAAACTTTACTGAAGTTGTTTATCATGTCTAGGAACTTTCTCCTGCCTTTAGGGTTTTCTAGATATAGAATCATGTTGTTAGCAAAGAGAGATTATTTGATTACTTCTTTTCTTATTTGAATGACTACAAAAGTTTATCTTACTATTTATTTTATTGTAACAGTTATGTTTTGGAGAAAATTAATGAGGAACCTAGTCTGAAGTGTAATTTCTTGCCCACATCAGGCATACCAGTACTTTATGAAACAAGGTAGTCTAGAGAAGGAACCTGTTGAGTTAAATAAGATTTAGGTATACCATAAAATTGGCTTCATGATACACGGGAGGACAATTTGTTACTACTTAGCTTAGCTGTTTTCTTATAAGACCCAGAATTGAAACAGATTTACCCCTCTGTGTTAGGACTTTCATGCTGCAATTTCTACATGATGGCATCTTTACTCAGGTGCTTGAATTGGATCTTTTATGACTATTGTTAGAGATTACTACCCAGCCTATAAAGAAATTATGCAGCTATCATATACACCTTAGGGAGAAATCAAGAAAGATATAATCTTTTATATGGCTAAAATGAAGGTGCTGTGGGAGAGAGCCTTTCAGGTATGCATAAGAAAGCAGGATTGAAAATGTGCCTTTATTTACAGAAAAGGAAATGAAAATAGTGGTCTCTTCTCTGCCCCCCAACCCTTCTCTTTCTTTCCCTTTTATTATATATGTTGGCAGTGAAGTTGGAATAGACATTTCAGTAGCAATCAGCCATTTGCTATTGTAACTTTTTAATATAATTTCCAGCATTTACACAATACTTTCCTGTTAGCTAAAGAGTTTTGTACATAATAGCTCAGTGAATACTCATAACAATCCAATGAGTCATAGGTAGTAGGACTGGTAATTTTCAGATGAAAAAATAGACTCAGAGCTGTGAATGTAATGATGTAATAATATATTTTAAGTGACTTTTGAGGAGAAACTCAACCCAAAATTTCTTAGCCATCTTGTGGAGGCTTCGTCCATAGGCATTTTTATAACCTACTGAGCATTTGCCTTATTTTATAGATCTATGATTTAAATTATAAATAAACAAACCAAAGTAGCATATTGAGATTGAGCTAGAATATAATAAAATAAAATAAGTAAATTTTTAAAATCTTCAATTAGGGAAGACAGCAATACTGTGTTTGTTTAAATCTTGGAAATAAAAAGGAACAAGATTTTGAGTATGTTTTAGTAGAGAATGGAAAGGAAATATTATGAAATGTGATTATCATTTTATATAGAGATAGAGAACTGTTTGGTAAAATTATGGAAAGAGTGATATTAGAAAGTGGTGAGATTTGGAAAGCCTGAGCAGTAGGGGAAAGGATTTCCTACTAGGAAGGATACTTTGTACAAAGGATTAGGCGGGTATGTTCAGGAGGGTAAGTATTCTCTTTCCAAGAGATACTACCATGGTGAATGACAGAGTGTAATATGTAGGTTAGAGTCATAGCTATATTAGTGTACATTTCAAACTCTGTAAGGCTCATGGTTGGGTTGCTAATAAAGACATGGTGAAATATAACCCTAAACCACAAAAGTAAATGACTTGTGAGAAAAATTTTTAGTTTATGAAAATTAAAGCCCTGGTAACTCTGATAAATATGCCCAGGTTGTATTTTGTTTTTAGCATTTCTCTCATTATAGAATTAGCCATTGTTTTGTTTAGAGTCCCAGCTCACTGTTATGATTAATAGCTATTTGGGGGAATAAGCTGAATAATTGACTGAATTACAAAGCTGCTCATGTAAGAAGAACAAGAAAATAGAAACAGCTGAAGTTGGTTAGAAACAGTACTTACTTAATTTTAAAAAAATTATAAATCAGTATTGATCTCTGCAAGTTATCTATCATTGAATTCTGATATTTATGGGTATTTATACCAATTATATCTTCCACAGATAATATGAAAACTCTGGTATTATCATCACAAATACTTTACCTTTTAAAAACTCATTATTTTTCTTTTGTTTATCTCTTGCCATCTTATCTGCCCACAACCAACATTCTGGAACAGTGATGCTCTGATGGCTTTTGATATTTAAGAGACATGAACATGGGATAAATATTTTGATCATTATAGTAGGTTATGAAATACTAATTTTATATTTCACGCTTGCCCACTAGGAAAGCAGAATGAAAGTGCTTACATTGTAAAAATATCTGGATATGAATCAAATATAAGGATGATTTGTATATGGCAATAACTCATATTACTTACAAGGAGTATTATATATTATGTATGATTTAAAAGTTAAAACTTTAAAAACAAATAAAAATAGAAAATCTCCCCCTCAATTCAAATAAAATCCTAATCAAATATGCAGTTTTTAAAAGATAAGCATGAAGTTTCTCTGAAGATGGATAGAAAGAACAAGATGCATTGACCTTATTATAGCTTCCTGCCTCAGAGCCAAAATTAACTTTGCGACATCTTAAAATTACATGCAACAGAGTTTGAAACTGTGGCCTCTAATGGTATTGGGAAGGAAACTTGGAGGGTTGCCTTCAACTTATGGTTAATGCCACAACATGCTGGTGTATTTTTAATAGCTAATTTGAAAGAATCCTTTCTCTTAAAGGTCTGGATAAAAAAAGAGGCATTTAGAATGTGAAAACTATCTTCAAATATCTGAGAAGAACCTTCGAGGAGTAATTTGAGTTGGTTTTGTAGCCCATGTATTCAATTTAGACAAGTGAGTGGAGAATGCCAGGGCATAGATACCACCTTCCTTGACCTAAGGAAACTAGCTGCTTCAGATGCTATTGTGCCCCAAGGAGAGAGTGAGTTTCAGAGCAAAACCTCTTGACGTGAACCTTGGGAGATCTGTATGGCAGGAACATTCTAACTTTCTAGCATGTGAATTGAAGGAATCTTTGCAGACTTAAGATTCGTGTTTCTAATGGAATACCAGACACCAGATTTATAAGTGTGCTGTTTATCTTGAAGACTTATTTGTATAATAGCTTCAGGAAGACAAATTGGATTTATATTTATAATTCAAATAAATATTTCCACAGAAGTCATACAATATCTTGAGTATAGTACACACATATTTTTTAAAGCAAAAGTTGACATTTTGGCTCTGTTCTAATAATCCTTCTCTATGTGGGCAGTGTAACAGCCTCTCTAGTTTTTCTGTCACCCATTGGATTTCTTTTATAGATACAGTGAATTTAAATGAGTGTATGAACTACAGACACATAAGATACTTTGGTTTCATAGAACACATCAGTCTACTTTTTTCAATTTACAGTCAAAGTCGACTTAAGCTCCTGGTATTTTGTATTCTTTAGTCTTACTCCATGAAATCGTTTTACTCCTCAAGCCAAACAACTCTTTCTAGATCCCTAAGAGTTTGCTTCCTAGTTCTATTGACGTGTGTTTTTATGTTTTGTTTATTTTTCAGATTTTTTTCATTTAGATACAGGCACTATTATACTGTTTAGCTGATGCTTGATTCCATTGTTTATTCATTTTTAAATCAATTGTCATTCTTTGCCTACTCTAGAAATTGACCTTTTCTAGAAATATTTGATCTCTAGTTAAGAAGAGATCCCTATTCCCACGTCCCTGTCCTATGCTACTCTTCCCTCCCAAGAGTTTTAATAATTATCCTAAACAGATTGTCTTAAAACTAAGCTCTTTACCCTGGCTTACAAAGCTCATGATCTGGATGTTGCTTGCCTCTCTGCCTTCCAGACTATTCTTCACCTTGACCCCTATACCCAGCCGTTGTGCTATTTCTCAAACACACCAAGGGATTTTAGCCTGGAGGCCTTTCCTGTATCCTGGAAGTTCTTTGACTAGCAACTTACAGTCACACAACTGAATGTTGTATGATTAATGACTTTAAATCTCACTGAAATCCCAATTTATATTTTGTCTCCATATCCAAATATTTCACAAAAACCCAAATGAAGTAACCTTTACATAATACTCTATTTATTTTTTCATAGATTACTCATATTTATATGGTATTTTTTCTCTAATATTTATTTGTGTATTTTCTAATTTCCCTTACCAGATGTGTGATTCATTAAAGTAGCTTTGTGGTCTGTTTTCTTCACCAAATTCTCCAGCACCTAGAAGAGGTCCCAACATGTAATGGGAACTCAATAAATATTTGTTGAATGAATGAAAAAATAAGCACATTCTCCCCCACTCTAAATGTGCTTATATTTTAACTTGGCTGAGGATAAAATCTTTCAATTTTTGCATAACAGAGGCTTATAGGATAATCTATTTTGATAAGGTTTGGCTAATTTTCTTCCATAGAGTAGTAACAAAGATATTAGAGAAAACATGCCTGTATATATTCATGTAAAAATATTTTTATATTAGTCATATTGTCATTTTAGGTAATGAAGAGAGGGATATCTTAGGAGCCAAAAGTTCAGAAATGATGCCACTAGAGTGAAACATCAAAGAAGGCAATTACTTAGAGATGTTGATTTTCGCAGCTTTTTGGTCTTGAAACTTATTTTCTTCTTTGGCACCTTTTTCATTTACACAGGCTATAAAAATGGCATTCAGATTACCTTTGCCTAGATATTTTAGTAATCATACATTGTAATAAATTCAAATAAAAATGTTTCGGGGCAATGTCTCAGACTTATATTTTAAAGTTTTCCATTATAGATATATTGTTTAACATATTTCTTAATATGATTTTTTTCCATAAAACTTGTATTATTTTATGTGTTTTGGGAGGGATATGTTTTACACTTCTAATCTGCAGATATTTTATATAGCAAGAAATTATGGCACCACTGTATAAATTTCTAGTGTTAGCAAGATGATCATAAAATTCTCTTGCATTATTGATTTTCTTAGTTTCTCTCCTGTTTAATGTTAGCCACATAACATTATTAATGTGTTTTTATACATGCATGTTATAACCTGTTAAAAAATACTTGTGTGAAGCAAAATCTTTTTCTTTGTAAAATTTATCCTTTCTGTTGACAGACAGATTTTCATTATCATTCCTATTTATTAAACTAGTTGCAAATAGTGTAGGGAAATGTGTATCTCATGTATCAATTTATCAAAAAAAATCCTATATTTAAATATCTCTTTTCAAAGCATAAAATGCATGGGTGTTTTCTGAATTATTTTTAAAAATCATGTATACTTTTTTTTCATTATTGTCTTGGTCTTTCATATTTACTCATTTATGTAATATGTACCATTTGTCAGTAAAATCACTGTGTATATAAATGGTAAAAATGTGTGTATATCCTTTTCACCTTAACGTCCAGCACAGATCTTAAAACAGCACCTCTCCAAAAATGGTAGTTAAATGACCTGAAAACATACAAATAAGTATAAAACAATCCATATAAGTGTAACCATACATCAAACAAAACAAATAAACAAACAAAAGACACCTTTCTGGGACTTTCTTTACCCATTACCTTATCAAACATTTTGTGTAAAAATTGAGTTTAGGAACCATTATTCTTATTTACACTTATGTAGGTATTAGTGCCCTTAATTTACATTAGAGTGCTGTGAATCTATAAAAATAAAAATAATATTTATATTTTTTCAGGTAGCTTACTGTGCTTTCAATAATTATGTCTAATTTTCTAATCATTATTAGAGATTAGGATGAGTTTTTTTTTTTTTTTTAGCTTAATTAAGATAGTGTTTAACTAGGATAGCATTATACTAGGGGCCAGGAGATGTAATCCTCTCAGCTGTAGGGTTGTCTGAGTAGGGCCTGGGGTGGCTGGAGTCTTGGGCCTATAGCCGGCGGCAGAGAGCAGCCTTGGGAATAGCCTCTACCAGGGCTCCCCTGAGGCGGGACTGAGGTGAGCAGGGGTCTGATGGTGCGCCCTGCGGTCCCCGCAGGTGGCAAGCACAGTGAACGACATCCTGCCCTTGCTGCTCCATTGCGACACGCTGAGCGCAGCCCAGGAGGCGCTCTTCCACCCAGACATCTGCTTCAGCAGCCAGCTGCAGAGCGCACCGCTGCTCATCGTGGACAAGGGCCCCGTGGAGCTACCAGAGGAGTTCGCGGTCCAGGTGCCCAAGGAGCACAGATTGCAGCGCAAGGTGCGGCCAGCGGTGGGGAGAGAGGGCTGGGGGTGGCTGGGCAGGGGCTCCTGAGAGGCTCAGCCCCAGGAAATGCCCGAAATGTGTCTTCTTGTAAGTTTACTGTCTGCATTCACTTTTGTGGCTGATATTACCACTTAGTGATATCCTGGCCATTTTTTTTTTAAGGCTTATACAATGCATGCCTGTTCTACATCAGAGCTTCAACATTATTTTGAAATGTTTTATTTAAAATACTTGATTGGGTTTGAAATATTTTTGCATTATCACAGGAAATTTAAAATTACTTTTAGTGACACTTTCAACTCTTGTAAAATTTGAAAGGCTGTATAAGTTTTAACATGTCTGATCATCTGCTTGTTTGAAAAAATTTTCACCAATGGAAACTATCAAGATTTTGAAAAGATTATGATTAAGACGTCTTGGTTAGGAATTGCACATTAGTCATTTAAAGCGTAAAACTTGGTAAAAAAGTTATAGTTACTGAAACAACCTAATTTTCTTATGAAAATGGCGGAACATTCTTCCTATAATATTGCCTCTGCAGCTGGAAAGTATAGCAAGTGGCATCCAGCCCCAAAAGCTCCAGTGAGGAGCATTAGGTCATATTTGCACAAAACTTAGTACTTACTCTTTTCCCGAACACTTTACATTTTATTTTTTATTTACATAATATTTAGGCAATGTAATTTTTATTTTTCTCACAAAACTTCATATGGGTACTCTTATTTCTGTCATTTCCCCCAAGGAATATAATATTTGTAACTTTATTTGTGGAAAATAAGCTGGGAAGCATTTGGCTAGTGGAACTATGAATATCAAATCTTTCCTAAAACACAGTCACTATTCTGACCCAAGAATTTCTTGAGAGGGATACACATATTAAGTAATACTAGCAAAAGAACATGAAACATCACAGTATTAGCTGAGTTTATCTTCTAAGCCCCGTTGAAGAGTTCTCTGGTAAAATAAGTTGGAATACTTTGTTTCAGTCAGGACCTAAGGGAGGTGCATCATTAATCCATTTGAGATTTGAGAGACCCGTGAGAGTTAAATGTAATTCTTCAATTACTGTGGCCACGAGGCAGAGTAAGAGCATGTGTAACTTTGCATTCACCGTAGCTCTGTCTCCTAAGTCACATCGTTCAATCTCTCCATTCAGATTGGCCTTTCTGCCTTGTAGTGGTGGTTTGGCAGCAGCAGTGGTGATGACAGGCAGCAAAGTGGTGGGCGAGGCCATGCAATACCATAGAAGCCTGTAGAATGGACTCCAGTGTGTTCTCAAAATTCAAGGGCAATGGATAGTAAACATTCTTTAAGAACTTCCTATTTTTCCCTTTCTGTTTTATTTGTATTACCTTTTCAAACTTGAAGTTTTCTAAATTGGATGGGCTTTTATTATTCCCAGAATGTGCTTCAGCAGTCACAATTATTTCATCATAACTTTGTCTTATGATTTATATTGTAAAACAATAATATATAATGAATATTAGTTAACTAACTCCAATGCCTGTACATTCATCGGACTTTCTAGAATTAAGAAGAAATACAGAAATAATATTTAATTTATATGAATCCTATAAATATTTAAATCAGCAACTAATGTAAACACAAACACATAGCTGCTGGAAACTCTCTCTTCTGACAAAAATTCAGAATATCAATTAGAATCATTGTTTCTAAGAACTTTATACTGAATTTATTCCCCAGTTTTTATAGCTTAATAAGATTTTTCTATATCACTAGATTTTAGTTTTTGGCATGTATGTGGCAAGTTACAGTGCAGTGACGGGTTTTAAGTCACATTTTTAAATCAATTTACAAATAGAAAAGCTGTATTATATTCTGTTTTGGACAGAGATGAAAACGACAGTACAAGCCAATTTTATGTGATATTTTTAATGGAGACTGAGGTAAACGTCTTGTGATTTAAAAGGCGCTTACAGAATTGTGTTAATCTGTCATGATGAGATGATACTTTTTGAAAGTTGCTTTTGTGTGAAAGTAATTTTATCAAGGAGACAGAGAATAAAGGTCATCTTAGAATATTCCCTGTAGAAAGAATAAAGAAGAATAAGTAAATATTATAGGGGCATAATCTTTCCTAATATGGAAGACAGTATATACAGCTAGAATGCTTGGACAGGTATTAAAAATGAAATTGAAGTAAGAGATATCACATTATCTTGAGCTCTTTAAATTGAAAAGACATGGAGGAATTTGAACAAGAAAATGTCAGTGAATTCAAGTTCTCACCTTTCCTCCCCTCCTCCACCTTCATAAAACAAAAACAAGTCTGTTCTAGAAACAAGATACTTTAAAAATATAAAGCTCAAAAATAAATAAAAGAATAAAGGCTGATATTAATGCAATCTTTGATTCAAAAACAAAATTGATATTACTTAAAAATATATTAACCTCTGTTCGTTCTGTAGATAGCCAAACAGGCAAGTAGGAATCCAATGAAAGCAGCCATAACAACATAACAAAATGCCCTTATTGGCTTGAAATTAAGCTTTGTTTTTTCCCCCCTTTGAATTCATTTGACTCTTGATAGCTAATAGCACTTGAGAGTTAATGAGTATTTGGATTCATACAAATTAGGACATCTTGGTAAAACAGCAAAGCATGAAGAATTTTTAAAAATAGTTCTCCTAAGTTTCTTTTTAGCATGTTAAAGCAGAAGGAAGTCTGAGGGCAGATTTCCCAGTTAATGACTAGATATCAAGGCTTTCCCTAGAAGCTAAAGGCATGTTAATGTGTTTTTTTCAATCAGCATATTTCTTGGTTTATTGTTTATCTCCATGCAGCTGCATTAAAAAAGTTCATTGAGAAGATCTACAAATAATGTTCCTACAAACCACACAGACAGTGGTGCCAAACCAGTACAACTTTTCACTAGGAAAACAGCTAAAGCATTTCAGTCCTGACAAAACATCTGAAAAACTCTACTCTGGGCTCATTTTAAAGTTCATCTTTTGCAAGAGCCACAAATGCTTCCACAAGAGGGTTATATATTTGATCAGTCCATTTGGAGAATTACATCAAACTCTACTATAATCTTTTTTCAAAAAAACTTTTTCCTTCCTACTTGGGTTTTAATATTTATAGATGAGGAGGCTTCTATAAACCTCTGTGTGTGTGTGTGTGTGTGTGTGTGTGTGTGTCTGTCTGTCTGTCTGTCTGAGGGGGAGTACTAAATGCAGGAATAGTGTTTTAAGAATGTGTCATAGTATGGAATTCTAAGGACCCTTGAGTACTAAACCTTAGATACCAGGAAATAACACCCAGGGATTTTTTTTTCCTGTGAAACCAGTTTTTCTTCTGTTTTTCTCAATCTTTCCAACAGCTTTCTCTGCTCATTGTCATTATAAGTGACTGTCAGCCTGAATTGTGCACCACTCCTCCCCTCCAGAGCACCAACAACCAACTGGTACTTGCCTTCTCGCCTCTTAGTTCAGATTTCTAAGAAAGGAAATTTAATCCCCATTGGGTTAGGTAAATATCCTTTATCTAATTACTCATGTCACTAGTCATTCCCTGGCCCAGGGCCCACACAGTAGCAACTGTGTAACAGAGGCAATACTAGGAATACCTATTATAGGGGTGAGAATAAAGTTCTGTGGAGCATGTAGGGGGATTGTCTATTTGGTGGGTTAGAGAAGGTGCCCCTGAAGATAAAGTGGCCTCTAAGCTGCAACCTAACAGACAAGTAGTAGTTTGCCAAGCACAGAAATGGAAGAAGAAAGATACTATTCTGAGTAGACGAAACAGCAACACAAGGGCCTAGTTCAGGATGATTGAAACATAGAAGTCCCAAGGATAATTTCTAGATATCAGTCTAGTAATGATCTGGAGAAGTGGTCAGAGATCTGGTCAGGAAGAACACAATGGTATAACACTATGAGGAGTTTGAAATTTTCCTGATGGTAGTGAGGGAAAAATTAAGTTGATCTTAGAGGAATTAAGCAAGGAGTGACACATTTGAAGAATTAACCAAAACAGTCTTCAAGACCAATGGAGTGTTCATCATGTTGATGCAGATAGATAAGAAATAGACGAGTCTGTTCTATTGGTGGGTCTGACTCAAGGAGTGAGTGATAGTAGTGATGATGATGGCCAAATAACAGGACTTAGATATTCATTGCACATGTGAGTAAGACAGAGGGAAAACCCAAAGGAGAAAACCAAGTATCTGGCTTGAGAGATTGCATTATAAATGAGTGTACCATTTACTGAGATAAGAAAGACAGGAGGAGATGGAGAATGTAGGCAAGGAATAATGATGTTGTTAACCAACCATTTACTGATTGAACAGAAACCCAACTTTCTGGCCCCAAATTTAAGGACACATAACTTAAATACAATATACAAATCTGAAAAAAAAACTAAACTAAAAATGTTATGTGTTTAGCATAAGTGATTCTTAATAAAAAAATAATAACTGGTAGCCTTATTATTTGTTAGGCATCTTCTTTTGGCCCAGATGTGATAAGATGTCCAGAAACATTAAGGATATCTGCTAGGATTTTCATTCAATCGTTCCTTCTACTTCCCAGTAATACCTAGCAGGGATATAGTGGAGCCAAGATTGGTTCTGAATTTTGAGCTTTGCTGTCTTTCCAGGCCTAGATATATTTGACATTCATTCAGTTCTTAGTACAATGTTCCAATGCAAAATTTGGAGAAGCAGGAGACCACTCTGCCCATATTTGCTCTCATTAATAATGTAACATAGCACACACTTCAGTAAAATAATAACAAAGAGTAATCTCCCTGTGTCTTTTGAGAATGCCTCAAAAATGAACCTTGATTAATCTCTTGCCTAATTATAACTGGTTATTAAATAGCATAACCCTTGATGACAGTGTAAAGTGATGCTTTATCTTGAAAAAATGGTTAATGTTCTCATTGATTAAGACTCTTGAAAATAAAAGCTGTGATCAAAAAGGAAGTGCTTTCAAAGTTGAAGATCCAAGACCACAATTGCCAAGCTTACATAATTTTACGTACGATGATGTAATAAACTGTTAGGAGCAGGAAAAGGGTGGCAAAACCTCATTTGTTGGTTTGCTTGTAACACCATGATTTGAGAATAGAGGGAGCCAGTTCTTTTGCACATTATGAGATCACTAACTAGAGAAGTCATTCACACTGGGCTAAATGATGAACACAAAGGTAAATGTAGGCTGCTTTAAAACCTGTAAGCCAGAAGGCCTACATCTAGTTTAACAAAGTTAGTAGGAAGCACTTTTCTCTCTTGCTCCAAATCACATCACCTCACGTCTTATCCTTCAGCCACATGGAGGTTGCGTCAATTTACCAGACGAACATGCTTGCCAATATACCTTTGGCAAATATTATCTTTGCTGGTCGGAATGTCCTATAGACCACCTAACTCCTCTTCAACTCAGCTTAAACATTTGTTGTAGCATTGAATCCAAGTGATTTTCCCCCACTTTCACTCATCCATAGCCTTATTCCTGACAGAACAATTTCTATTCTCCTGATTTTGAATTTGACTGGTCTGAAAATTGTGCGTGTGTGTGTGTGTGTCTGTGTGTATGTACGTGTGCTTGTGCATGCATATGAGACGATGATGAGTAATCCTTCTGGCATCTTCTCATGTTCTTACTTTCCTTACTCCTAAACTTTTGGAAAACATGGTTCTAATTTTGTTACTACATTATAGTCTGAAGTGTGTAGGTGAAGTCTAGGAATTTGTGGGGAAGTATGAAGATGAAAGATATTTTAACAGAAGAACAGGGATCAATTTTGCTACAGCAACGGAAAACTCTTACAAGTTCAGCCTTTTGGATGTATCTCTTTGCTGCAGGAGAATAATATAATGTGGCTTTTAGAGTGCTGTGTTAGCTGCCTTCTTCTATATGACACTGTAATATTATTTCAGGTAAAATCCCCTGTTCACATTTATTTATGTCTTTCAGTGAGGTTTGCCATTTTAGACAAGACTTAGAGTCTAATTGATATGCATAATACGTTCTTTGCACATCACTGTTCAGAATTCTTATGTGCATCTAGGGTCAGTCATATTCTTATTTTATGTGGGAAGAAAGGTAATAGGCCTCTAGGGAAATAGGTCAGTTATTGAGATTTTTTTTAAATGCTTGGTAGCCCTAAAGATAATTTCAAAGAATTTCTTTAAGACCCTGTTTTTCTCCTAAATGGTATAAATACCAGAAGGATGTATCCAATTGAAAATAAATGTGCGAGCTTGACCTTCAAGTATTTCCAGAATAGTATAAGCTCAGTCTTTTTTTCTATTGGTGTAAATTACAATTTATATTCCCTCTTTAAAAAGCATGTGAGTAGCTTTTCAAAATACTTACAGAAATTATACTTTTGACTATTGAATTTTTTCACAAAGAGTATGAATAACTAGAAAATAGGTGCTAAACTTTGACACTTAGTGCTCAAAACATTTTGGTTTAAAATTTAATTAAGAATGTGCTTTAAATTGTTTCATTAAACTATTGAGCATCTGCCATGTTCAAAGTATTATATGTGTGTTCCAAAGGAGCAAATTTTATACAATGACAGATACTTCTCAGAATAAGTCAATTACTAGGAAATATCTTCCTTTTTCTTCTCTATCCCCTTACCTAAAACAATGTGTGGTATAATAAAGATCTGAAGTGTATCCCAGATACAAAGAGGAAACTTACGTTATATTTATAGAAGCGTTAACACAAAATTCAGGTGAAAAGAAAGGGCAAGTCAGATGATGTCCATAAAACATCAAACTTTCGTAGACTGCCTTATGCTCCTGTTTTTAGAATCTGCATTTCCCATTTATGTAAGTCTCCAGTACAGAAATGCAGAAATTTGGCCAGGTGTTCTAACTTATTCTTTCTTTCATATATACAATTAATTAAATTGATGATTTTTTTTCTAATTCTTACTGCTTAAGGAGCTATTTCTTTTTCTTGGTTATTAGGCATATCTTTAATTCTTCTTCACTACTTTATTTTTACTGCTGCAAAGATGCTACTAGTATGGAATTGCAGTAAATGGGCTTTGAAGTCAGATTTGTTTCAGTCTCAGCTTTACTGTTTACTAACTATCTTACCCAAGTCCAGGGACTTATATTCTTAAAATCTTGTTATCACATCTCTAAAGTGTGATATAAAAATGCATATATTGTAGTGATGTTGTGAAATGGTAAAGCATGTGGTTCCTGAGACCTAGTAAGTGTTCCCCACTGCTGTTTATCCCTTTTTTTGACTTTCTGTTTTATAATAATCAAAACAGAGATATATAATGGAAGATCCATGAAAAATGTTTAATAAATTCATTTATTGTTAATATAGCTGTATGGATTGGGGAAAAGCAAAATAATTTTTGAAAATACTGGCTTTATATTTTGGGCACATTCAAGGGTTCGTAGCTTGGGTAACTGAACATTGATTATAAACGTTTGGGAGAGACAGTAATTTAATTCATATATTTCTTGTGCCTACAACATCTATGGTACCCTTTATAAGGTTGTTCCTTTCCTCAAGGACTTTGCAATCTGTTGCTAGCAAGAGAAAGAATAGGTAAACCAGAAATGCAGTCAACTCTATGATTTGGTGGAATACGGTGTCAGTTAAATGCTGTCATATTTTAAAGAAGGAAATGACATTCCTGGTATGAGATGGAGATAAACGAGAAAGGAGGATTGATAAAGCTCTTTTAGATAAGGTAGTATTTTAATTAACTCTTGAGAAAAAATTCCTAGGATAATTTGCAAGCATAGATGAGAGGTAGTAGAGGAGGGTGTTCCAGAGAACTGAGTTATGTGAATAAAATTACAGTGGGAGAGAATTATGACATTTTTATGAAATGTCAAATAGTCTAATTTAACCAACAACAAGAACACGGGGAAAGAAATAGTGAGACAGGAAGTTTGAAAGGCAGTTTGTAGCTACCTTAGAAGGGGGTCTTAAATGTCAGGGTGAGACTCTGTACATAATTGTGTCTGTAGTGGGGATTCTTTGGAAGCTTCTAATTAGAGTTGCAGTTTAGAACCTGCTACAATTGTGTGGGAAAAGTTAGGATAGAGTGGGACTTAAAAGTAGAGAGCTCAGTTAGGTTATTGCCATAGGGCAGAAGGTAATGAGTGTCTGAACTGGGGAGATAGCAATGGGGATGGAAAGAAGAGGAATGATGTGAGAGATGCACAGATAGTACTACTGGGCTACTAATTGGATGCAAGAGGTGAGGTCGAGGGAAGAATCAAAGATGCTGAGGTGACTGGGTGGTACCATTCACAAAATTAGGATGTCAAGAGGGAGCATTGCCTTTTCAGGAAAAAAATAATGGTGAAGTTGGTCTTAGATATATTGATTTAGAGGTGCAAATGTGAAGCAGATTCTAAAAATGTGAATCTTTGTCAAGAGAAAAGCGATCATTAGTGATAAAAGTTGGCAATTTCTGACAGAGCTGATAAAGAGATTGATTGGGGATGATGAGATTGCCGAAGCAGGGGAGGGACAAGGAGGGATGCTGGGGACGCACTTACCTTTAGAGAAGGAAAAAATGCAAGCCATTGAGGGTGATCAAGACATGGGTTGATACAATTGGTAAACTGAAGTGAAGTTCCATACTTTTCTTACGCTTCGCCCCTTGGCCAGCCTCTGCTAATGCTAATCCACAGAAAGTTCATACAGATGTAATAGGGTGATCACCGAGCATGAGCTAAGTGGATGAGAAAATGATTGGTTTTGATTCTCACTGATAAATTACTGACTCAATGACCTTTCATAAATCCCATATTTTTAAGGAGAGCAAGTAGTAGAGGATTAGACTTGTGAGTTTTATGTGATAGAAATGAGGAAATATGACTAAGTTTAGTGATTTTGCTCCATTTTGAAATTGTTATACTTTTTTTTTTTGCTTTTGATCATTGGTTAATTGTAAATCATTAGGCTAAAGTAGTGTTGGAGTGAACACAAATTGGAAGACTAATACACTTGGCTGGGCATGATGGTTCATGCCTATAATCTTAACACTATGGGAGGTCAAGAAGGGAAGAACACTTGAGGCCAGAAGTTTGAAACCAGCCTAGGTAACATAGTGAGACCCTGTCTTTATAAAAGAAAAAAAATAGCTGGGTATGGTGGTGCATCCCTGCAGTCCCAGGTAATCAAGAGTCTGCATTTGAGCCCAGGAGTTTGAGGTGGCAGTGAGCTATGATTGTGCCACTGCAATTTAGCCTGGGCAACAGAGTAAGACCCTACCTCAAAAAATAAATAAATACATAAATAAATAAGTTTAAAATGTTTAATTCGAGGAATGTTGTAATACCTTATGAGATAAGTAGAGAAACACTGGGATATTTTTGAATCAGTAAGTAGATGAATATAAATATATTTTCAAATAGTCTATAGCAAAAACAAAGTGAAGACTTTAAAAAAGTCATTTTAAAATTCAAAAATTACACTATGGCCGAAATATTTGTCATGAGTGATACATTTATTGAAACTAGCCTTGAAATATGAAAAAGTAAGTTAACATTATTTGCAACACATTTTTTAGACATAGAAATATTTATATTCATCTTTATTTCTGCCAAGAAGTAAATACATTAGTACTTTCGTAATTTAAAAATATCAGGAATTCAAAAATATATAGATTTCTCAATTTTATTGAAAACTTCTTATAAATGTATTTCCATAGTTTCACATCTGAAAGAAAAAATATACCATTCTGTCCATCTAATGCTTAAAAATTTCATTTCATTTATATTAAATAATGTAATTATGTCTAATGGGAGATAATCTAGCAGAATTATTTGAATGGTCTGTGAAGGTATATATTTTGTTGATTTATTTCTTACCTTTATGTTATTTCTCAAATTCTTTGTCATCCTTAAAGAAACAGCTATAGCAACATAGTATTACTGAAAAGGTACTTGTGTGAAACCTATTATTGTATTTCTCCCATCTTTAATTGACATATATACACATATGTACATATCCATAAATTTATATATAATTGTTGCATATATGCAATTTAAACAAGTTAGAAATGTTTAGGTGACTCATGGATAGAAGTCTACTTTAGATTAACTGTGAATGCCCCTTAGGTTTTTGTTGTAGTTCAGAGAATCCTCCATTGGGAATTTTTGTAAGATGTTGATGTAAATTAAAAGAATATTATTTTTAATTGAAAATTTCAAGTCTTGCTTTTGGTTTTTGTTTTTAATGCTATGAAATGTATTCACTTTTTTTCCATTAACAAGATTGTGGCGTAGACTTTGAGTTATAGAGCAATATAGCGAGGAGACAATAAGGTAAGAGCTTTAAAACTAAGCATAACTTAAAACCCTCTCATTGACTGGGCCTTCCCACTTTAACAGCATCATATCATACAGTTCCTGGTGCCTCCACTGTGTTCAAACTCCATTTTTCTTGGTTTCGTTCTCTCACCACCATGCCCTTTCCTCTCTTTTGTTGTCATTCTAACCTCCAGTCATCTTTTAGTTCTTGGCACTTGGGGTGTGAAGCAGTGTAATTTAGTGATTAAGAAGATAGATGCTTGGTCCACAATGCCGGCTGTCCAATCATGACTCACTTGAAAGATGTGTGACCTCACTATGCTTCGGTTCCCTCATTTTTCAAATAGAAATAATAACGGTCATAACTCATAGGATTGTTGTGAGTATTACATGAGTTAATTCACATCAATTACTTAGAAAAATTCTATCACTTGCAGCAAGCCATCAGTGTTAGTGATTCTATTCTTCTCTCTTTTCTCTGTTTTATTCTGTTCTATGTTCTCTGTGTCACTTCCTCTGGGAAGTCTTTCTCAGTCTCTGGAGGTTGGAATATGACAACACTATCATACCTAGTATGTTTCCTTATCTGTTTTTCTCCTTGGACTCTGTTTAAGAACAGAGGATATATCTTTCATCTTTACACCCCAGACACCCAGAATTGAGCATGCTGTGTAGAAGGTACTCACAATTGTTGAATGAGTAAATAAATTAATAGGATTTTGGAGATACGTGCCACCATATGGGGATTTATATAGATTCAACAATAGCCTACCATACTGAGTAAGCTCTAGTAGAAGCTAGGAAATTGAAAGGCTAAGAGACCAAGGTGCCATAATTCTAGAATCATGTCATTTGTTTATTCTCTAGCCAGAGGCAAGGATGCAGATGGGGGTAGGTTTACACAATTAGGATAGGAATCCATGAGGTGGAAGGGCCACACTTCCTTAATTTTGTTTTATGCCATGCTGCAATATCAAAATTCACTTTCTGTCGCATCAGCTATTTCTGCTGATGGTGTGCTTACAAAGACCAGATATGCAAGGAAGCTCAATAGCTGGAAGGTGCCTAGAGGTAGTAGCACAAGGCTTACTCTGTTGGAGAGATACTGGGACTCAGACACCTAGCCACAGCTGTAGTTCACTGATATAACCTGGTGAGCTACTAAGGCTATCTGAGTTTTTCAAGCAGAGAACTCATTATGGTCATAATGATGCCATAATGGATGTCACTAAAGGAGACAGATTTAGAGTCAATGAATAACAATCTGGAAGTGATATGATCTGGGCTTTATGAATATTCAAAATTTATGGTCTTTTCATGTTTTTCTAAGTGACAGTCTTACTTGTTCCATTCTTGTTATTGATGTTCAGCAGAACTGTATTTTATAATATGTCTGTAGCTTACTAAGTTACTCTCTATTCTAAGTACATCTTATGAGTTCTGGATATGTTTCCCAAGCTACTTGTCTATCCAGTATGTATATTTAACACATAAGTTTTAGCTAATGCCTTTTGTTTCTTTTAACCTACAGCAGACTGGATATTCTCAATTAAAACAGCAAACACTATATTACATGTATTATAGTTAGGCTAACCATATGTTCTAGTTTGCTTAGAGAGACTCAGTTTACACCTGCTATTCTGCAGTAATCCTTAATAGTGTCTTCTTTCACTCCCAAAGTGTCCTGATTTGGGTGATAATTTATATAATCACCTTGGTTATAATCCAACATCTGCTACTTACAAAACTATGTAAATTGAAGTAAATTATTTTATATCTATAAGTTAGTGGATTGGGGCTAGGTTATTTGTAAAGCTCTTGCTAAATTTGAAATTATTTGACATTTATGGAATGATATATAAAGCTTTTTACTTCTTTAAGTCTATTCATAAGACTTCTATTCATAAGACTATTCAAGACCAGTTTTTTTTTTCATTACAAATGGTTCTAAATGCAAGTTTAGCATAAATGTATGCATTAACTGCTTTGAAATGTGCAAAATTAAAGTTTTAATTGACACTTGGGACAAAATATTTAAGACATTATGACCATAGATTTAAAAGTAAAGAAACTAAAAGTGCTTTTATTAATTTCTTTAGAATTGAATATGTTAAATGAAGGGCTTTGAAATCACTACATGTGGCTTTAAAAATATTTTATGGCTTTAAATTCAACCTATGCTTGTATTCCTTATCTGTACATTGAATTAAATAGTTGGCAGGGAATACTAGTTTCTAAGGAAATTAATGATTTTAGTTTTCAGTATGATGTATTTCCAGGTGTCCATGAGCCAGTTCTGTAGGGATTTTGAAAATAATGGGTATTAAATTAAATAGAATATTTAGCCACAGATTTGGACATTATCTACAGAGAGAAAATTGCATAAGTGCATGAATTGTCTCAAAAGTGTTAGTGTAGATATAGAAGGGTAGTGAAGAAAATGCAGATAGCATTTCTGACTGTCTCTGCTGGTCAGCTGTTCCCTGGGTCTGTCAAGAGGTACAACTATATGGTCTTTCAAGAGGACAACTATATGGACCAATTTCTATATGGTCTTGCCATACAGAAATTGGGTTTGCTACCCTCCCTAAAAAAAAAAAAAATCTTCACAGAGTATATGGATATTTGAACTATTTCTTTTTAATGCAAGAGTACTTGTTTCAGCTCTTGTCAAGGCTAGAAAGCTCCATGGCTCAGTGCTGAGTTTGGTAAACACAGACTGTGTGGAGAAAGATTTTTGCCTTTTGGAATTTTATACTTTTGTTGTTATTCCAGTTCTGAGGGGGTGGGATAATATGTTAATTCATTATTTAAGTTTCCCTGCACCCCAGCTTAGATGATCTGATTCTACTACAAATATGATACTACCAGCTCTCTATAGTGCTGCATTAATTTTGAAAATATCAAGAGATTTGATAGGTGATTAAGTGACTTGAGCTGATGAAAACTTCCTCACTCTTATAGGTATATGGAGAAGCAAGAATATTGGAAACATATTCATCTGTGTATTTTTGGCAGTTTACGGAAATTAGTATAAATGTAGATGGCAACACCTGGTGCTTAAAAGTACTAGAGAACTTATCACATTCTCTTTAATTATGGTTATGTGTATGTTTCTTCCTTATTTGGTTATAAAATCCTTGAGGTAAGGACCTGTGCTCTATTTATCATATATTTGCCAGAGTTCTTAATATAGTCTGTGGCTCATAGTATTAACTCAATAAATATTTCCTTACTGGTTATTAATTGTAATGCAAATGGAAAAATATTTGTGATTTATAGAATACCACCTATGAAAGAATGAAGTTGCTGCAAAAATATTGTGATGATTATATTGGCATATCACTTCAAGCCGATTGAGCAAATAAAGGCAAAGAAAATGAGTGTGTGTGTATACGCATACATGTTCTTTCACAGACCTGAATCTTGGTAAAAATAATTAGGCGCATTGCTACCACCTGCACCCTTAGGAAACAAGGGTGTTTTGTTTTGTTCTGTTTTCGCCTAGTCTAACTTGCATTATACTAACAGGCTAAAGTTCACATTTCAGTTGTTTGCTTCTGGGCTTTGTAGAAGCTGCTCACTAATCCCCTTGGGATTGTGGAAAGGGAAAAGAGGTGAGTGCCTTGCGTCATTCTGTGGCAGCCTCAGGGATTCATTCAAGAGCCTTAGTGGCTTGATGTGGTGAGAGTGATGAACAACCTTCATCACTGGAAAGACATTATTATTATAGCATTTCATTTCCTTCCTTCCGCAAGCATTTACTATGCACCTACTGTGTGTACATAAATGACTGCATCCAGACCCATGATAGAAATCTGAAGATTTAACTCCTACTTGGGAAGAAATTACAAATGAATAGATAAAATATAAGAAGCAAAGAGACCAATACTGATTTCAATAATCTTTGAAGTGTGCAGGATGCTTGTTGTAATAGAATTTCCATGTATGATGTACTCTAAATTTCTAATAGTACACTTTACATTTCCTCATGTCTTCATTGCTGTGCCCTTAGTAATTATTGAGAAAAGCAGAAAGATCTTTTTATCATCCAGTATAATTTTTGTTAGCCTATGGAAATATTATTTTCACCTTTCATAACCTAACTTTAGAGTGTGTAATACAATGTCTGTGTTTCAAATGAAGGTGGTGTGTTCTACCACATGCATATAAAATAAGGAAAGGATCATTTTGGTTCTCTGAGTAGATTACTTATTTGATATCATTCAATCTGTTTTATAACATGAAATAATCAACAAGCTAAAATGAAATATTTGATAGAATTGGTGATCTCTTCCCTTAGGAGTGATCTTGGAATCAGAAGGCATACCTTAATTTATACAAAGGTCACCAGTTTATACTGCATGTGAGGAAGGAAGGCAGTCAGATATGCGTGACTGCATCTAGACAGAAAAAGTCTTGCATTTATAGCCAGAGCAGCTTTCTGCTTTATCTTCAAAGTTAGAATAAAAGCTTGTATGACTTGGAGTGGGAAAAAACTTTATCAGCAAGATCATTAATAACTTGGGACTCAGCTTTTCAAGTTACAATTAGCTGCTCAACAGCTGTGACCTTCAAGAGCTACTCATTATTGTTGGTCCTGATTGTTCACTCCCACTGTAGAGCTCTTTTCAGAAATAGTTTCTCTGACATCATTGACCCCAGGGGTCAGAGTGAGAAATGAGTCTTCAAGTACTCATTTGTAAGTCTTGTTTCTGCAGGATGCTGCATGCGCGCGCGCGCGCGCGCGCGCGCGTGTGTGTGTGTGTGTGTGTTTAAGGAATTCAACTGATGGCTAATGCCTCATTGTAAATCCAGCTGTTTGGTCAGATCCCAATTAGGATGATGCCTGTTAGATGAAGAGGCACTCCTGGGAGCAGCCAAGGGATTCAGTGGCCTCAAATACAGAGTAAAACCGATAGTAACACCAGCTCTGTTTTATTTAGATGTTTAAAAAAAAAAAAAGGTCTCAGCACACATGCTTGCCAAACTCTGCCATGCACTGTGTAGCATCTCAGCGGATCAGCAGGGATTTTAAACCTGCTATGTGTTTGGCATACACTGCAACCCAAAGAGAAAGTGGGATTAGAGAAACTGTAGTGAAGTATGAAATGAAAGCTCAGTTGGAAAAGGAGGACTGGATTATGTTCAGCTTCTTTCTTTTAGATATTAAGAACATGGGACTCTTTGGAAAAAGGGATTTACTTCCCAGGACAAGGTGTAGTGCATAATCTCTACATTCTGAAAGCAGCCTTAATTAGGGAAAAATCTATCTGCCATAAAACAAAAGAATAAGCAAATTGACAGGAAAGTTGATAGAATTTTGATAAGGACGTTTCTGGCCAATGAAGACCCAGAATTAAATCTTATACTCTGTGGGAGTCTTTTCAGTAAAATGTATATATGATGAAGTTTTTCAACATGCACCCTTGGCAGTTTCAACCTAAGATCTCAAAGGTTGAAATCATTGTGATGTGGCAAGTGGGATCTCTGTAGGAAGAGGTAGACTGGTTTTAGCTCTGACTCACTTCCAAACCACGGGAATTAGGACAGCACCTCTGGGCTGTGTGTATGAGTCCTCATTTGTGAAAACAAAGGAACTAGGTTAGACTTGGACAATATATATTTCCTGGGAAACTGGGCTAGATTGTAATCTCTCTGAGAGCATTTGTATTTTTTTTATCACCTTCATTGTAACTATTTTCACTAGTTTCACCATTACTTACCTCAGTAACTAGAAGATAAACCATTGAATAAAATCTAAATAAATTTCAGAGATCCCTTTCTTTGTTCTCTGACCTTAGCCTCTGTATCATAGCATGCTTAATTGTTTATTATGTCTATTGTAAAATGGTTAGGTTGTCTATTTTCTATTCTTTGAAATGACCACATGGAGTAATTTTCTAATATTATGATTTCTAAAGCATAGCTTTGCACTCAAATGTCTGATGAGGTTCTCCTAATAAATAACTTATTACTCGTGAAATGGACACTCTTTTTGAAATTTTAGCGTAAAAAATATGCAAATTAATAACAATGACATCAATAAGTAACTTAGTGAAAAAGTGCTATATACTAGGTACATATTTTTTGTTATTTTATTTTATTTCAGATTCAGGGGATACACGTGCAGGTTTGTTATATGGGTATATTGTGTGATGGTGACACAATTTTGATTTTGTTGCATTTGCTTTTGAGGTCTTAGTCATAAATTATTTGCCTAGACCAATGTACAGAAGAGTTTTTTCTAGGTTTTCTCCTAGGGTTTTTGTTGTTTCAGGTTTTGCATTTAAGTCATTTTTATCCATCTTAATTTTTCTATATGGTTGAGAGATAGGGGCCCAGTTTCATTTTTCTGCATATGGCTAGCCAGCTTTCCCAGCAGCATTTATTGCATAAGGTGTCCTTTCTCCATTGTTTATTTTTGTCAGCTTTGTCAAAGATTAGTTGGTTGTCACTGTGTGGCTTTATTTTTCGTTCTATTCTGTTCCACTGGCCTATGTATCTACATTTATGCCAACATCATGCTATTTTGATTATTCTTGCCTTATAGTTTAAAGTCAGGAAATGTGATGTCTCCAGCTTTGCTCTTGTTGTTTGGAATGCGTTAGCTATTCAGCCTCTTTTTTGATTCCGTATAAATTTTAGACTTTTTTTTTCTAATTCTGTGAAAAATGATGTCAATAATTTGATAGGAAATGCACTGAATCTCTAGATTGCTTTGGGGAGTATAGTCATTTTAATGATAATTGACTCTTCCTATGCATGAGCATGGCACTTTTTCTATTGGTTTATGTAATCTACAATTTCATTCATCAGTGTTTTGTGGTTCTCCTCGTAGAGGATTTTAAATTCCTTCATTAAATGTATTCATAGGTATTTTATTATTTTTGTGTGTGGATATTTTAAATGGGATTGAGTTCTTAATTTGGTTCTCAGCTTGAGAATTGTTGGCATATAGGTATGCAACTGATTTTTGTGTATCAATTTTGTATCCTGAAATTTTACTGAAGTCATTTATCAAGTCTAGGTGTCTTTTGGAAGAGTCTTTAAGATTTTATAAGATCATGTCATCAGTGAACAGAGATAATTTGACTTCCTCTTTTCCAATTTGGATGCCTGTTATTTTTTTCTCTTGTCTGATTGCTCAGGCTAGAATTTCCAATACTATGTTGAATAGGAGTGCTGAGAAGTGGACATCCTCATCTTTTTTGAGTTTTTAGGGGGAATACTTTCAACTTTTACCCATTCAGTATAATGTTGGCCATTAGTTTGTCATATATGGCTCATATTATATTGAGGTATTTTTTTTTATGCCTAGTTTGTTGAGGGTTTTTTAAAACCAAGAAGGGATGTTGGATACTGTCTAATGCTGTCTCTGAATCTATTGAGATGATCACATGGCATTTGTTTTTAATTTGGTGCATGGAGTAAATCAAATTTACTGAATTGTGTATGTCTAACCATCCTTGCATCCTTGGAATAAGACCCATTTGATCGTGATGGATTATTTTTGGATAGGGTGTTGGATTTGGTTTGCTAGTATTTTGTTGAGGATTTTTGCATCTGTGTTCATCAGGGATATTGGTCTGTAGTTTTCATTTGTTGTGTCATTGCCAGATTTTGGTGTTAGGATGATACTGATTTCATAGAATGTGTTAAAGAGGAATACCTTCTCCTCAACTCTTTGGATTAGTTTCATTAAGATTGGTACCAACTTTTCTTTGTACATCTGGTAGAATTCAGGTGTGAATCCACCTGGTCCTGGGATTCTTCTTGTTGGTAGTTTTTTTTACTACTGATTCATTTTCATAACTAATTATTGGCCTGTTCAGGATTGTATTTTTTTTCCTTGTTGTTCAGTCTTGTAAGATTGTATGTTTCCAAGAATTTACCCACTTCTCTAGGTTTTCTAGTTTGTGCACATAGAGATTTTCATAATAGTCTTTGATAATCTTTTGTCTTTCTTTGGCATTGTGCTTTTTTCCATCTTTTCTTCTTCGTTAATCTAGCTGGCATCTATCAATTTTGTTCATCCTTTCAAATAACCAATTTTTTACTTCATTTATTCTTTGTACTTTTAGGCTCAATTTTATTTAGGTCTTCTTGAACTGTGTTATTTCTTCCCTTCTACTAGCTTTGAGTTTGGTTTGTTCTTATTTTTCTAGTTCCTTTGGGTGTGATATTAGGTTGTTAATTGGAAATCTTTCTTTTTGATGTAGGCAATTAGCACTATAAACTTTGCTGTTTTTTTGCTGTATTCCAGAGGGTTTGGTATGTTATGCCTTTTATATGTTTCTAAAAAATTTTTGATTGCTGCCTTAATGTTGTTGTTTATCCAAAAGTCATTCAGGAGTGAGTTGTTTAGTTTCCATGTACTTGTGTGGTTTTGAGAGTTCCCTGTGGAACTGGTTTCTAATGTTATTCCGCTGTGGTCTAAGATGATACTTGATATTATTTCAATTCTTTCGAGTTTATTGAGACGTGCTTTATCGCCAAGCATATGGTCAGTTTTAGAGAATCTTCCATGTGCAGATGAGGAAAATGTATATTCTACATTTGTTGGGTAGAGTGTTCTGTAGATATCTACTAGGCTCATTTGCTCAAGAGTCTAGTTTAAGTCCTGAGTTTCTTTGTTTTCTGCGTTGATAATCTATCTACTGCTCTCAGTGCGGTGTTGAAGTTCCTCACTATTATTGTATGGATGTCTATCTCTTTTGCTAGGTCTAGTAGTATTTGTTTTATAAATCTGGGTGCTCTGGTGTTGGGTGCATATATATTAATATTTAGGATAGGTAAATCTTCTTGTTGCATTGAACCCTTTATCATTATATAATGCCTTTCTTTGTCTTTTTTTAGTATTGTTGGTTTAAAGTGTCTTTTAATTGATACAAGAATAACCATCCCTGCTCTTTTTTGTTTTCCATTTGCATGATATATCTGTCACCACCCCTTTACTTTGAACCTGTGGATGTCATTACACATTAGGTAGGTCTCTTGTAGACAACAGATGGTAGGCTCTTTTTTTTCCCAATTTGCCAGATAAATCTTTTAAGTGGAGCACTTAGGCTTTTTATATTCAAAGTTAATATTGATATGTGAGGTATTATTCTTGTCATAGTGTTGTTAACTACTTGCTTTGTACTCTCAATTATATAACTGCTTTGATAAGATCTGTGAACTTTTTACGGATGTGTGCTTTTATGTTAGTGCATATTATCCTTTTATTTCCACGTTTAGAACTCCTTTGAGTATTTTTTTGTAGAATGTGTCTAGTCGTGAAGAATTCTCTTAACATTTGCTTGTCTGGGAAAGACTTTATCTCTCCGTTATGAAGCTTAGTTTGACAGATTTGAAATTCTTGCCTTGCATTTTTTTTTTTTTAATTTAGGTAGTCTAAAAAGAGACCCTCAATCTGTTTTGGTTTGTAAAGTTTCTGCTGAGAAGTCAACTGTTAGTTTGTTGGAATTTCCTTAATAAGTGATTTACCCTTTTCTCTATCTGCCTTTAAGATTTTTTTCTTCAGCATTGATTTTGGTCTGATGAGTGTGTGCTTTGGTGATGTTCAGCTTGTGTTGTATCTTGCAAGTGTTAATTTACTGTATCTGGATATTTACCTCTCTGGCAAGATTACAGATATTTTCTTCAATTATTTCCTCAAATATGTTTTCCAAATTGCTTATTTTTTCTTCTTCTCAGCAATACCTACAAGTAATAGGTTTGGTCACTTTAAATAATTTTATATTTCTCAAAGGCTTTGTTCATTAAAAAAATCTTTATTTTTATTTTTTGTCTTAATTCAAAAGACAGGGCTCCAATGTCTGAAATTCTTTCTTCTTCTACTTGGTCTAATCTATCATCTAGGCTTCCAACTGTATTTTGGAGTTCCTTTAGTGAATTTTTAAATTCCCAACGTTCTGTATAGAGAGAGACATTTAATTCTTCATTCTTCACTATCACTATACTAAGATTGCTTCGATTAAGATCAAGTATTTCCATTTTAATAAATCCAAATTCAGTGCTTGTTTCCTCTATCCTTATTCTAGCTATCTTGTCTTTCATATCCTGAATTATATTTCTGGTTTCTTTGTACTGCTTTTCAACCTTCCCATCGATCTCATCAAGCTTCCTTGCAATTCATTTTTTTAAATTCTTCATCTGTCATTTCAGAATTTTCATTTTGGTGAGGATTCATTGCCTGAGAGCTGGTACAATCCTTTGGAGGTCTCTAAATACTCTGTGTTTTTGTACCGCTGGAGTTTTTACATGGATTCCTTCTCATCTGTAGAAGCTATTGCTTCTTATTTTTGAAATGGCTTCAGTTGGATGGGAAATAAAAAAATAAAATAAAATAAAATAAAAACTTTTTTCCCCTTGAGGTCTATAGTGTTTGTTGTGTATATTTTGGCTTCATTTCTAGGTGTTTTCAGGGGGCTAAGACTCGTTGTGTGCTTCTTTGTTGTGAATAGCTATTGTCTACGTAGTGGCTTTTTCAAATGATGCTTGTTGTAGTGATGTGTTGGATGTGTGAGTTGACACACCATCTTCTGCGGGTCTGAGAGTGTGGAGGTCTTAGGGAGCTTATCTCATACACTAGGACTATGCCCTTCTGATAGCAGGAGTTTTTTATTGTTGTTGTTTGTTTGTTTTTTTGTTGAGATGGAGTTTCGATCTTGTTGCCCAGGCTGGAGGGCAATGGTGCGATCTCAGCTCACCGCAACCTCCGCTTCCCAGCTTCAAGCGATTCTCCTGCCTCAGCCTCATGAGTAGCTGGGATTACAGGCATGCACCACCACGCCCGGCTAATTTTTTTGTATTTTTAGTAGAGACAGGGTTTCTCCATGTTGGTCAGGCTGGTCTCGAACTCCCTACCTCTGGTGATCCACCCATCTTGACCTCCCAAAGTGCTGGGATTACAGACATGAGCCACCATGCCTGGCCTGATAGCAGGATTTTATTTGGTGGTACAGTTTAATCTCCAGTCCAGTAGATGGGCATGTGCCTTTGGGTAATCTGACAATGAATGGAAGCCCCTGCCCTGACTGGGGGTGGCTGGGGAAGATTGCGTTGGGTTGCATTGAAGTCTCAGGAGCAGGGGTGGTAGGTGTGGGTGCACCAGCTTCTTGTCCTGTGCAGGCAGGAATGTAATCAACTTTCCTATTACATCCCTGTCATAGGGATCATGACCTTCAGCTCATATAGACTGTCCTTTGCCTCTGGCTACTGGGTGATTGCAGACCATGGTGGCTACCACCAAAATGGGCTCAGGGCAGAGCCCCTTCCCCTAGTCCAGAACTGACAGCTCTGTGACTATTTTGCCCTGTGTCACCCCCTACACAAGCTAGTGCTTTATGTAGGGAGGGAAAGATGGGCTACACCCTTCATGCAAACCTGTGCAGTGCTAGCTTACTTTCAATAGGGGTGCAGCTGCCGCAAAATGCACAGAGTGGCTGTCTCCGGGGCACTGATGCCAGCCCCCAGTGAGGAGAGCCTCTGCTGTGTCTGTAACAGTGGGTTGGGGAACAGGAGACGGCCTTCTCTCCACGCCTATTCCTTCTATTCCTGGTTATCAGTACAATTGACAATGCCCAGTGGGCTTTGGCAGGCTGCACTCCCTCATCCCCTATGGGTGGCCCTCACTGAGCGTTAGATCTTCAGGGGCCCCATAACTCTCCAAGGATCTGCTAGTCCTCTACAGTTGCAAAAGTCAGAGTGTGCTCTGGGGTCTTTTTGTAGGGGATCAGGTGATGTGGTGACAGAAAGGCTTAGATTTCTAGGGCCTGGCAGTAAGCCACAGTGGGTACGCAAACAGCGTGGTGTGCATCGTCTCAGTTCAGGCCTGAGGGGGAGAGCCAGTGTACCTGTCCAAGCTGGCTACTTGGTGCTCTGTCTCTGGGAAGTTCACAGATCACCACTGACAGTGTTGCCCAGGGTCACAAAGGCAGACTTTCTCCCCGACAATTTGGTGGTAAGCATATTGTTGCAGGGGTAAGGGGAGCAGAGAAGCACCCCCACCTACCCTTCCCACAGGGCTCCAAGTCCCTCAGGGGACTGTCTCTGCCAGAGCCTTTCTGCTTCCCTTTTCTGTGCCCTGACTTCTTCCCATGGGCTGTCTGACAGGACCTGGCTCTCCTCCCTCAGCTTTCCATTCAAATCCTGACCATTCACCTACCACTTTGATCTTCTTCTTAAGAACTGGCATTTGAACTAAGCATTCCCTAGTCAGCCATCTTGAGAAAAAAATAATGCCAGGTACATTTTTCAGCACTATGCATGTATTAACTCATAACCAACCTATGATGTAAGTACCACTACTACCCCTTTTACAAATAAAGAAATTAAATAACTCGTCCAAAGTCATATCAGGCTAAATATTTCAGCTCAGGGAATCTTCCCTCAAAGTCTGAAATATTTACCACTTTACCACATTTTAAACCCCAATACTGAGTTAAATACAGTGGAAATCTGCCAGGCGTGGTGGCTTATGCCTGTAATCCCAGCACTTTGGGAGGCCAAGGCAGGCAGCTCACTTGAGGTCAGGAGTTCAACACCAGCCTGGCCAATTAGGAGAAACTCCGTCTCTACTAAAAATACAAAAATTAGCCAGGTGTAGTGGCACAAGCCTGTAATCCCAGCTATCCGGGAGGCTGAGGTAGGAGATTCACTTGAACCCACAAGGCGGAGGTGCAGTGAGCCAAGATTTTGCCACCGCACTCTAGCCTGGTTGACAGAGCGAGACTCTGTCTCAACAAAAAAAGAAAAGAAAAGAAAAAAAGAAAAAAAAATACAATGGATTTTCTTCAAGGGATGTAAGATTTCCATATGTTTTAGATATTAAAATTATTAAGCATATTCCTAAAACTGGATTGAATGTAGCGATACTTTTAGGGACAATATTTGAGAATAGAACACAATTTTCAGGTTAAGTTCATTGTGCTTGAAGTTTAATGTAAATTTAATGCCCAGGCAGATATATTGAAAGAACACACAAAAAAAATTAAATATGTGCATATCAGGATCTACTTTTTACTACCTGATTAGGAACAGCAAGGGGCATCTTTGGGTATACAAAAGAAGTTAAAATATAAAATGATCGTTTCACTGAACTTTTGTCAAAGGCTAAATTTGATATAGAACATATTCCCCAAAAGAAAAAAAAAATAGCTGTATATGTTTAGTCACAATGTAATTATGATCAGCTGAGCTGAGGAGGTAAGGAGCCAGAGGCTTGGTAAGCAGAAACCAGTAGGACACTGTTATCAGAGGCAGGGTAGGAGGGGCACTCCAAAGTTCACAGAAACTGCCAGCAGCCTGGAGAGTTATAGGAAGTGAAAGATCCTGGGTGAGATGGGTAGAAGGAGTTCGTGGCCCCAGCGGCAAATAAAAGTACTGAAGCAGCTTGATTGCCTAGTCTTGGTTGTCTTTGTTTGTTCCACCCCTGGTGAGAGTTCACCCTGAGAGAACCTGTACAGCAGGTGAGAATAACTGAAAACAGCTGGCTGTCAGTGAGGGCAAGGGTGGAGCAGATGCTGTTTTCTGGTAGAGATTTTTTTTTTTTTTTTTTTTTTTTCTGACACCTGGGCAAGTAACATGTAGTTGACTCTTTTAGCCAGACATTGTAATGGACTTTCCTGTAATCCCATGCATGCAGGCTGCCATTTTATATCTTTGAAAGCCTGTGTGTCTAAGGAAATATCAACAGAAAGAATTAGAAATGAAGTATTGACATTCTTCACTAAGGGGCATTTGGTCCCATGTGATAGCTGAACTCCAAAGTCATTATGACCAGAAAGTTGCTACTAAGAAAGCCAGAAGGTAGAAATAGGAGCTCTATTCAGCTTGGTTACCTGGACAGCAATTCCTCGCTACATTTCCAGAGGCAGCTCTCTGCTAAAAAGATAATTCGTTGATTATCCAGTGTTCCCTTGTGGCTCTATGTGTGGCCTTTCTTTCTCTCTTATCAAAGCAAATAATCTGTAAAGAAAGGCAACCAACCAGGCAAGTGAATTTTTTGAGCCTTAGATATATATGTGTGTGTGTATACACACACACACACACACACACACACACACACACTAGTATTTCAGTAGCTGAGCTCGTCAAGTTTTTGAAACCATTTTAAATCATTTTATTCTCTGTGTGACTATCACCATGTTTTGTGATAATGTGATGTGGGGTCGTGGCCAATTTATCCACACTTTAACAAACTCTGATTATTAGAATTAGTTCAAGAGATTTTTCTCTTTTTTCCTGATAATTTTTAATCTAAGTTAACTATATAGATTTTTAGGTAAGTAGAGATGACTGTGTGACTATAACACTGTAACTGGAATCTGGATACTCTCATAAAATGTTTAAGCTAAAAGGAACCTTTGGGATCATAGCTTCAATCCAGAGGAAATTGTGGCCTAGAGGTTTTATGTAACTTCCTCATAGTTAATGGGCTGAGACCAATTTAGTGAATCTTGGTTCCATTTCTAATCAAGTTTCACAATTTATTTACTGTGAACAAATATACATTTTAGGTGAAATATTTACATTTTGTTTGTAGCTGCTCAAATAAAAACAGCTGCAAAAAGTTCCCCTACGTCTAAACATTTTCTGAGAATTGAAAAATAATTTCTGTCCATAATAGATAATTAAGACAGTACAGAAAAATTTAAAAGACAAAAATCTACATATCAACCTGATAAAGACAACCACTATGAAGGCTTGCATGTATTTTCTCGTTTTATCCATGCATTTATTTCTTTTAATGCAGTCGCGATTGTACTATGTAAGTACATTTTATCTGCCTTTTTTTTTCCTTTTGAGAATATCAGACCCTTTGAAAGTGTTTATAGCAGTTGCTTATGCATCATAGTCCATTAAGGGGATGGAATGATTTACTTTAATGCACTCCCTATTTTGTGGCATTTTATTTCTGCTAGAAAGAGATTTTTGCATAACACAAATACATATTTATGGAAGTGTGACTGTGCTTTCTTACCATTCCTTCACCTCACATCCTCTCTTCAATACACTTTAATCCTACATTCTTTGCTATCGCTACACTAAGATTGCTTTTATTAAGGTCAAGTATTTCTATTTGCCATATACAATGTTTATTTCCTCTACCTTATTCTAGTTGACTTCTCAGCATTGTATGACACCATTAACAACTCCTCAGTCCCATCTTCCACTTT
This sequence comes from Homo sapiens, assembly GCF_000001405.40. Taxonomy (NCBI): domain Eukaryota; kingdom Metazoa; phylum Chordata; class Mammalia; order Primates; family Hominidae; genus Homo; species Homo sapiens. The sequence goes on from NC_000004.12 coordinate 61,542,986, forward strand.
TCTTTATTATATTTTTTAGTCAGACTCACAGAATTGAGTTGATTTTATTCCTCATTGGGTGGCACACTATTATCGTTCTTCCCAACTTGTTCAGTATTTGTTTTATGTATTTACTAATACTTTTCTTTATGGTAGGCAGAATTATCCCTCCCCCCCACCCCCCCACCTCGACTTCCCCAGAAATATCCACATTTGAATCCCTGGAACCTGAGAATTTCTAATTTTACATGGCATAAAGGACTTTGCAGATGTGATTAAATTAAGGACATTGAGGTAGGGAGATTATCCTGGATTATGTAGATGGGTTCATTGTAATCTCAAAGACCCTTAAAAGTGGAAGCAGGAGGCAAAGGGGAGAGTGAGAAGAAGAAGGGAGAAAGGCACAAGGAGATGCAATGTTTGCCATCTTTGAAGATGAAGGAAAGGAGCTTCTAAAAGCTAGAATGCTCCCTTACTGGCAGAGAAAGGAACATAGCCTTCCTGACTGGCTGATTTTAGCCCGGAGAGAAGCATGCCAGATTTTTGACCTGCAGAACTAGAAGATAATAAAATTTGTGTTGTAGTAAGCCACTTACTTTGTGGTAATTTGTTACTGCGCAATAGAAAACTTAATACATTCTCTTCTTCCATTTTCAAGTTCATTCTCCTGCCTCACTCTAGTATATTTAACGTTTATTCTTCCAGTCTTACTTTCAAAGTTTACTTAAACATACCTGTATCCTTAATAGAATAGAAAATGCTTCACGTTTTTAACCATGCATAAATGCATAGGTGGTGGTGTGCTATTCATCTTATTTACTACTTTTTTCACACAATGCTATATTTAAACTGCATCTGTATTGCTATAAAGTTTGTTCAGTGATTTTAATTTCAACATATTCCATTATTTGAATATTTCACTGCTGTATCATCTTTCATCTTAGGCATATACCACATTTTACCCATCCAGTCTCCTCAAGACTTTGTCTGCTCATATTAGTCCACTCTGTGTTTGTATCACAGTCTACTTATGTGATGGAACTACTTAGGATGCTTCTAACTCTTTATGATTAAAAACAACGTGACAAGCGTTGTACTGGATGTCTTCTTGTGGATCAGTGTGAGTTTCCTTGGGAATATATTTAGGAGTAGATTATACACATAGGTAACTTTACTATTGAGCAACATTGACCATTCTCCAGAATGACGGCATCAGTTTTCACTTGCACCAGTGAGTCAGCTCCCCTTTCTTCATAGCTGCACCCAACCTTAATGGTGTTCAGTTTTCTGATATTTTTTATATACCTGAGAGACATTAGGTGGTATCTCATTGTTTTGATTTGCATTTCTCTGATTACTAAAGAGAATGAACTTTTCTTCAGTACCAATTAGCTATTTGGACAACACCTTCTATAAATTTATTCTTTATAGTCTTTACCTATTTTTCTCTTTGTATTTTTTTCATCCTAGCTTTTAAGAACTACTGATGGTAAGTAAGCCTTTGCCATTTTCAAATGTGCAAATAACTTCTTCCTGTCTATCTCCCTTTAGATACATGTGTACAGAAATCTTTCATTGAGACGTAATCAGAAAATTCTGTTTTTTCCCTTTTGGTTTTATATTTGCAAGTATTACCTTATAAACCATTGTTTACCCAGTATCAAAAATATTTTAGTTTTCACATTTATAATCACATTAAGAATTTAAATACATTAATTTGAAGTTTTTATATTTTATGAGTTAGAAATACATTTTTTATGGAGCAAGTCTTATGTTTTCAACATACATTACCAAATAATGGAACCTCTTTCCAATGATTTATGATGTTTGTTGTTTAGAACAAATTCCCATGTATTCATAAACTCTTTATTCTCTTTCACTGCTTCATTAGTCTGTATCTATTTCACTAACACTTTGCAATATGGCTTAATACTTTCATTAACAAGTATTTTTTTCTTTTACTCTTTTTTTTCAGAATTTGCTAAAAATGTTAAAACACATTGTCAAATTCCTCTTTAAAAGTATAATTGGATTTTGACTGGAAGTTTGTTCAACTTAGATTGATTTGTGGTAAGTTGATTAAGTGAATCATGCTGATATCCAGTCAAAAATCTAGAAGTAATCTTGGATTTTTCTTTCCTTTACTTCTCCTCCTGCATTGTCCTTAACATTTGTGGGACATAAAATAGGAGTTTAAACGGAAGTCAGCATATCATAAGTTGTAATTAAAAATTACAGACCAAGCTGTCCCCGTTACCCAGCCCATGTTCCCACTGAGGTTATCATTCTGAAATCTAGAGGCAAAAGGAGTTCCCCTCCTTGTAGGGCCAACCCTGACAAACCTGGTTAGTACTGATGTACGTGGCAGGAAAAAGTAGAAGCTGGGTTCAGCTCAGGATCCACCCAGAGCTAGGACTGACCTAATGAAACCCTAGAGACAGAGGTTGGGGCAGTGCCTCTCTTTCATATCTTACTTTTCCAACTCAGGATTTCCAGACTGCTCATTAGCTCTCAAACGCATTTCCTCCGCCTCAGGGAGCCAGTTCAGCTTTTCTCCCTGTCTCTCCTTCTCTGAGTCTCACTCTGTTGCCCAGGCTGGAGTGCAGTGACGCCATCTCGGCTCACTGCAACCTCCGCCTGCCGAGTTCAAGTGATTCTCCGGCCTCAGCTTCCTGAGTAGCTGGGACTACAGGCGCACGCCACCACACCCACCTAATTTTTGTACTTTTTAGTAGAGGCAGGGTTTGGCTGTGTTGGCCAGGCTGGTCTCAAACTCCTGACCTCAGGTGATCTTCCTGCCTCGGCCTCCCAAAGTGCTGGGATTACAGGCGTAAGCTACCGCGCGGGGCCTCTGTGTCTTTCTCTCTCTATGTTTGAGGTGTTTGAAGTTTCAAAAATCTTTCTTATAACCAAAACAAACAAACAAACAAACAAACAAACAAAAAACAAAAAAACTTTCTATGTTTTTATGACTGCAATATGTGGGTCCTCTTAGTTTAATCTAAGGACTGTGCTGTCCCCACATCAATAAGCACTGTCAGTCTGCTTCCAAATCATCATCCTCATTCTTGTCTAAGCCCTGGTTATCTCTTGCCTAGACTATTTCCAGTAGCTTCTGGCTAGTGTCACTGCTTCTGCTCTTACCCACTTGAAATTAATTCTCCAGAGCACTGAGAGGGAACATTTTAAGACACAAATTGAGTCATATCTCTCTCCGGATTTCAACTCTCTGACGGCTTAACTTTACTCTTCGGATGAAATAAAAACTCCCTGCATTGGTTTACAAAGCCCTTGCCAGATATGTCTGTTTACATCTGCAGCCTCATTTATATTACTATATGTCTGTATTACACCAGTGTGCTCATGCTGGCTTGCACTGACCTGTGAGAACCTGTTGTTAAATTTTCAGGAATTTTGCAAGCCAGTTGTTAAAACCAACTATTACAAATATTGTATAATCTTACAGTTAAATAGACTGCAATATAAGGAAATATAATAACTACTCCAAGATTATTATTTCCTAGTTATTTTTACTATATTTTACTATTCTCATTGCTCTTGGTGTCTTTTTATATATTGTATGTGTACAATAGAAATACCATATAATGCCGTACTACTGCACATACTTTCCCAACTTCATGTTCAATGAAGTCACGTTTATAGCCAGAAATCAACCCTGAAGGGAGTATTTACACCATAGAAATGGGCAAATATTACAAAATAGGGTTTCATTTGATGATTTGCTGATTCTCCAGACATGAGAAAATGTTTAAAATGCAGACTAAAGTTAAAAGGGTGTGTCTGTAGCTGTTACATTGTGAATAGCACAAAAAAAATTGAAGAAATAGTCCAGTATTTGGAAACTTGTGCCATGAAGCAAAAAAGTTATTCACATCACTGATGAACAAGTGAAGTTCCACCATATGTCTTTTTTGTCTCACTTTCATCTTGCTCATGAAAGTACACAAAAATATCAAAAAATATTTATTTCAGAACTAAACTCATTTATCAGTTACAACCATAGTTTGATAACAGATACAAGAGTTCATCAAAACTCAGTGAACGTATTCTGAGAGAATCAATTAGCTGTATAGAAATTACTATAGAAAGCATTGTGTATTTCTTTATTGTTTGCAGATTGTGAGCTTTACATATTTTACATCAGTAAATTATAATAAATTTAATGTACATTTCTGTATACATACATGTGTCTTTCTAAAGAACTGGTTGTTAAATATTTACCAGCACACCATTGCTCTCTGTGTATCTATCAGCCACAATAATTTTCTGGGTTTTTTGGTTTTTTTTACTTTTTTTTTTTTAGATTTAGGGATACATGTGCAGGTTTGTCATGTAGGTAAATTGCATGTCAGAGGAATTTGGTACACAGATTATTTTGTCACCGGGTAATAAGCATAGTACCTGATAGGTAGTTTTTCAATCCTCACCCTTCTCTCACCCTTCAATCTCAAGTAGGCACCAATGTTTGTTGCTCCCTTCTTTGTGTCTGTATGTTTAACTCCCACTTTAAGTGAGAGTATGTGGTATTTGGTTTTCTGTTCCTGTGTTAGTTTACTTAGGATAATGTCCTCAAGCTCCATCCATGTTACTGCAAAGAACATGGTCTCATTCTTTTTATGGCTGCATAGTTTTCCATGGTGTATATGTACCATGTTATCCAGTATACCATTGATGGGTATTTAGGTTGATTCCATATCTTTGCTACTGTGAATACTGCTGCAGTGAATATACACATGAATGTCTTTTTACAGTAGAACAATTTATATTCCTTTGGGTATATACCCTATAATAGGGTTAGTGGGTCAAATGATATTTCTTCTTTCAGTTTTTTGAGAAATTGCCAAACTGCTTCACACAGTGGCTGAATAAATTTACATTTCCACCAAGTGTGTATAAGTGTTCTCTTTTCTCTGCAACCTCCCCAGCATGTGTTATTTTTTGACTTTTTAATAGTAGCCATTCTTACTGGTGTAAGAAGGTGGTTTTGATTTGCATTTCTCTGATGATTAGTGATGTTGAGTATTTTTTCATATGCTTGTTGATGATTAGTGATGTTGAGTATTTTTTCATATGCTTGTTGGCTACATGTATGTCTTATTTTGAGAAGTCTGTTCATGTCCTTTGCCCATGTTTAATGGGGTTGTTTGCTTTTTGCTTGCACATTTGTTTATGTTCCTCATACATTCTGAATATTAGACCTTTGTCAGATGCATAGTTTGCATGTTTTTTCTCCATTTGTAGGTTGTTGGTTTACTCTGTTGAGAGTTTCTTTTGCTGTGCAGAAGCTCTTTAGTTTAATTAGGTACGATTTGTCAATTTTTGTTGTTGTTGCAATTGCTTTTGATGATCTTCATCATGAAATCTTTGCCAGGGCCTGTGTCCGCAATGATATTTTCTAGATTATCTTCAAGAGTTTTTATAGTTTTAGGTTTTACATTTGAGCCTTTAATCCATCTTTAGTTGATTTTTGCATATGGTGTAGTTAAAGGTCCAATGTCAGTCTTCTGAATATGGCTACTTAGTTATCCCAGCACCATTTATTGAATAGGGAGTCCTTTCCCTGTTGCCTTTGTCAGCTTTGTCAAAGATCATATGGTTACCTATGTGTGGTATTATTTCTAGACTTTCTATTTTGTTCCACTGGTCTATTTGTCTGTCTTTGTACTAATATCATGCTTTTTTGATTACTGTATTCTTATAGTATAGTTTGAAATCAGGTAATGTGATGCCTCCAGCTTTGTTGTTTTTGCTTAGGATTGACTTGGCTATTTGGGCTCTTTTTTGGTTTCATATGAATTTAGGATTGCCTTGGCTATTTGAGCTATTTTTTGGTTCCATGTGAATTTTCAGAACTATGGTTCCCTAGTTTTTTTTCTGATTGTGTGATGAATGTTGTAGGTAGTTTGATAGGAATAGTGTTGAATCTGTACATTGATTTGGGCAATATGGGTGTTTTAACAATATTGACTCTTCCTATCGATGAGGATGGAGTGTTTTTCCATTTGTTTGTGTCATCACTGATTTCTTTGAGCAGTGTTTTATAATTATCATTGTAGGGATCTTTCACCTTCCTAATTAGCTGTATTTCTAGATATTTTATTCTTTTTGTGGCTATTGTGAATGGGATTGCATTCTTGATTTGGCTCTCAGCTTGAATGTTGGTATATAGGTATGCTACTGATATTTGTATATTGATTTTTTATCCTGAGACTTTGCTGAAGTTGCTTATCAGATCAAGGAGCTTTTGGGGTTTTCTAGGTATAGAATCATACTGCAAACAGGGATAATTTGATTTCCTCTCTTCCTATTTGGATGTCTTTTATTTCTTTTTCTTGCCTGATTGTTGTGACCAAGGCTTCCAGTACTCTGTTGAATGGGATTGATGAGAGAGGGCATCTTTGTCTTGTTCAGGATTTCAAGGGGAATGCTTTCAGCTTTTGCCCAACTTTGCATTAATTATTTTGTCTGCTTAGATTGTTCCTCCTCATTTTTGCCTGAGAACTTCCTCTGCTATCCTCAGTGTAATTATCATTTTTGTGGAGACACGCTCTCTGACAAACAGGTTTACCAGTTACTCCTTATTGCATCATTCTATTTCAATTCTCTGTGGAAGACTAGATGTTATTTTTTATGTTTTTTTTCTTAATTTTATTATCTGCCTACCAAATTTTACTTTATTCCTCTAAAATATTGTTTACCGTAAGATTCAGGTCCCAGTATTGCCTGGCTTAATCACAGCTGTATTTACAGGGCCTTGAACAATATCTTGCATTTATTAAGCACTAGAATATATTTTAACTAAATTAATATAACTTCCCTGATTAAAATTAGTTTCTGAATCCGATGATTAATAATGTGAATATTTAAGAAGGGATAAGATTTTTCTTTCAGCAACATATTGATACACATTTCAACCCAGCAATGAATTCTTATATTTAAATAAAATTTATGTGGCTCTTTCCTCTGTTTTTAATCTTAGAAGTATACATTTAAAAATTGTAGTTTCATTATTAAATCACATTTAATATACTCAAATGCAGCATATCAACTGTCAAAACTAATGGTGTTTTGATTTGAGAGTAATTTTTAGTGTATAATTTTAATCATATTACAATAGCACAAGGAGAGATAAAATTCCTTACCAAAATATAGAAATATCATGTAATATATTATTTGAAGATTTATTTAATTCAGATAGTATATTCATCTTTATGAAAATATTTTTGATTGGAATAATTTTACTTTGGGATCCAGTTGAGGTCAAGAACATAGGTAGGTTAATGGAACTAAATTGTTTTTAACTTCTTTTGTGGTTTCTAGGTTTAAAAGGCTACCTAGATGTTGTTTTAAAAGGCAACAGTGTTAATAATTACAAAGTTGGTATGATAAATTAAAATAATTCACTTTTCTTAAGAAAGACAATTTTGAACTTGTTTACTTTCTCAGAAAGTGCTATGCCTTATTTCTACCTTAATTCAGATATGCATGCATGCATGTGTATATACCCCAATTGGACATGACAATAAAATATTATGGCAAAACATATTATTTCTATGTCCTATAACCTTTGTGGGTTCATTTTTAAGATACTTTGGTGTGGGGAGTGGTGAATCAGTGATATTTGAAGTAGTAGTCAAGCGAGGATAGCAAAGGAAAATTTTTAAGATTTTCTTAAAAAAATTATCAGAATACTTTGGTGTGGGGAATGGCAGATCAATGATACTGGTAGTAGCAGTCAAGGGGGTAGCAAAGGAAAGAATATACATATGATGCTAACAGTATTCTTATTTGTGAAGTGAATTGATTTGGAGAGGCTGGCTAAGGCTTAGTTTTAGAGCCATGATATATTTATTAATATATAGGTCATTAGTCTAGGGAGCTGGCCAACTAAGTAATTACCCTGTTTAATAATGGCTCTACAAATCCAGGTAATTCCTACATATCTCACTACTTAGATTATAAGTTAAGCTGGCCACAGGGCCCGCCTTACTGTTCTCTGTCAGCTTGTATGTGTATGTGTGTGATTAGGCACTTGTAAATTTTTACATTGAAGATATTAATCACGTGGTAGCTATTTTTTCTTTTCTCATATCAGCTTACATGTTAGTAGGCTGTAAGTAAACACCTGATCCAAGGGTGACTGTGAATATTCCTTTTAGATTAAATTAAGGATTCTGAGGCTATTTCTCCAGAACCAGGCCTTGAGACAAGTGTAATCGCAATTATACAGTAACTCCTTAAACACTTAAAACTTAATTATTTAGCAACCTATTAAAGGTGTTATCAAATGCATAGTGATTTTTATATAAAAGTTTTGTAGTCAGTGAAAAAGAAATGACACATATCAAGGTCATAATCAGAATGTATCATTTCAGCTAGAGTTAAAAATATGTATTTAAAAAGTCATGACACTGTGGGTATTTTTATGTTAAAAAAGTGTTTTGATTATTTTTCTCATACATCAAAACTAAGAATTTTAATTCTAGAGGATACTGAAAGAACTGTGATAATTGAAGAATCCAGCATTTTACTCATATGAGGTATGGTTGGCATTTATACAAGCTGTGATTACATTTATATAAAACTCATGAGAGTTGGATGTGACTCCTTTTGCTAAGATAAACCAGGTTGTTTTCTCACCCCTTGGGTTGATAAATCTCTAATTATGGGGTAATATACACAGATTATAAATTGTATAATTTATGCTACACATTCATCTCAAACAAACATAGTCACAACTGAATTTCTGCAAGGAATCACAGAGCTGGACAATACTGAGGAGTAAATAAAACCTCAGGACATATATTTTTAAAACATACATTGGTAGTTGCAGAAAGACAATAGTTTGCAATATTCTGAAAAGGCTGAATTTATGACTGTAAATGGCACTGTATGTTTATATACACTTATGTATACATATATTGTATAAGACGCTTGTGTGGGATGGCCTCAAAATTAATGTAATTACATACTGCAACTTTGCCCAAAATGTAGAGGTTATCACTCCACTAAGGGGTAAGTAAAATCACAACATTTTATTAGATGGATTACATTTATTATAACAATACCAATTTAGGGGCTGTTTTAAGTGTTTAAAATACGTGTGATTATAGGTATAGAATTTGTGAGTGCCTAGGTAACAGACCCAATAAACACAGAAGCAACTGCTTAATGACAATAACAGGCTCATATGTCACTTACTAATTCATTCAACCTTTTATTGAGCACCTACTATAACATCAGGCACTGTCTCAGCATTTATTACCAGTTGCTTTCTTTACTTTTTAATCTATAGTTCAGGTAACTGGTTACAGACATTTGATTCACATGTTTCAACTTAAAAATATTTTTTCTTTATAAGAAAATCCCCGGAAGATCACCAAACTATATCACTGGGTGAGTACCACAAAACAGACTCCCATTTTCTTTTGAATCTGTTGAAGGTAACATGTCACTTGCCTTTTTAATTTTTAATTTAATTTCATTTATTTATTTTGTGACAGGATTTCGCTCTGTCACTCAGGCTGGAGTGCAGTGGTACAATGACGGCTCACTGCAGCCTCAACCTCCCAGGCCTAAACAATCCTCCCACCTCAGCCTTCTGAATAGCTGACATCAGGGGTGTGTGCCACCATGCTTGGCTAATTTTTTATTTATTTATTTTGTAGAGATGGGGTCTCCCTGCATTGCCCAGACTGGTTGTGAACTCCTGGGCTCAAGTGATCCTCTTGTCTTGGCCTCCCAAGATGCTGGACTTATAGGCATGAACCACCGTGTCCCATCAGCCTTTTTAATATCAAGGCCAAGAATACACTATTAGACTTTGTATACTTAAAATATCTAAAATTGCTTCCCTGTCTAGCTTATTTCTTTGTTGTCTTGTGTCTTCTTCATATAGTGTCCTATATTCAGCTTTCTTTGTATTGGTCTATTCCATAAATATTTATGAAGGCCTTACAGTGTGTCAGACCATGGTGAGTTCCGGGAAACAAAGATATATACTATCAATCTCCACCTAGTAGTCAGGAAAACAGGTAATTTCAGTGCATGTTAAAGGTTTTTTGGCTTATTGCGCCTGAGCCATTTGAATTGTAAGTTGCCTCCAGTCACTTTTAGAAATAAGCATAGTTCGTAGGTACATATTGCACATTTGGATATGTTACTAAATTGCCTGGACAGATCTCTCTTAATCAAACTTTATATAAATGTGCTGTGAAATAAGTGAAACAGCTATTATTCCTGTATTTTCACTCTCCTTTGGTTTGAAATTCCACAGGCAAAAAGAGCATTTCTATTCAACGTAAGCATCTCTGTACCTAAAATATATAACTGAGATAAAAAATAATCATAATACAAATAAGTATAAATAAGCTTTCAATACAGTAGACAAAATGGAAAAATAGATTTTTGGGCAGATGAGAGAGATTTTCTTGAGTTCGATAAAATAATACAACTATTAATTATTCTCTCACAAACATACAATACTTCTCAGAATACTAAATGAAGCTAAAATGTATTAATGATTTAGCGTTAAAATAGATTCAGCCTCCAAGTTATGAGCCATTATTTATTTTTATTTTACCCACATGCACTTATTGATTATTGTCTGACATCACAATATAATAAGAGAAATAAGTATTATTTAGGTATTAATAACAAGTGTAGGCATAAAAGGAAACTTCAATAATTTTAATTCATTGCACATTTTTTTTTCAAGTGCTTGTCCTGTTCTAAATGTCTTGCCCAGTGGGAGTGTTTGGTTAATCAGTGGCTAGGCAACAGGATATTTTGTAGACTTGGTCCAAGCTCTCTAAACTTCTGAACTAACTCCTACAATTCACATCTTTGGGTTTTTAGTTTCTCAAGCACAGAACAGAGTTAACAACCCACTTTTAAATTAGCTTATGCAAATGGAGAGTATTTGAGCCCTGGCAATCAGAATTTACATATCAGTGGTATGTAGGGTTCTCTTTAAATTAGTGTAGGGCAATGCTCCTACCTGCCGGAGAACAGAGGAGAAAGCTTTTGAGTGAAATCTGATAAAAGAACAAAAAAAGGTAATAAGAATCTCAAAGTCAAAGCTACAGATATATACTGGAAATTAGGCTTGGGCCATTTTTTTTTTTTTTACATTTTAAATATTGGATCCTATTTGCTTATAAAAAATGTCTCTCCTAACTTAGGTATTTTATTTTATTTTATTTTATTTTATTTTATTCATTTTTTGAGACAGAGTCTTACTCTGTTGCCCAGGCTGGAGTGCAGTGGCGCATTCTTGGCTCACTGCAACCTCCACCTCCCAGGTTCAAGTGATTCTCATGTCTCAGCCTCCAGATTAGCTGGGATTACAGGCGCGTGCCACCACGTCTAGCTAATTTTTTTGTATTTTTAGTAGATACGGGGTTTCACAATGTTGGTCAGGCTGGTCTCAAACTCCTGACTTCAAATGATCCACCCGCCTCGGCCTCCCAAAGTGCTGGTATTATAGGTGTGAGCCACTGCGCCCGGCCTAGGTATTTTATTTTTATTCATATTTAAAATTTCATCCACCTGCTTTCTTACCACTATCTGTGTAGGTTTGTGTGTGTGCACTGTGTGCATGTGTATGTGACAGAGAGAGAGGGAGACAGAGGATAAAATTGATTTGAAAAAAATTGCTGAGTAGCACATGCTTTTAAACTTACAACATTCCTATACTTTAATTTCAGTGGCCATACTGAATTAAACTGTATCTCTGTGTAAGTGAAGAAAAACTTTTCTCTGTCCCCTTAGGTTATGGAGCTGGGGACTGTGAATTAAACTGAGGGAAAACAGATTGACGGAAGTTTACTTCACACACAGGGGTTTCCCAGAAAAGAAGCAAAAACCCCAAAGAGGGACTTAGACCCAGGGGCTTAAATACCTTTTTAACAAAGAGTAATAAAGTATGGAGAAGATATTAGACAAAGGAAAAGGAAGTTTGGACTGTAGCAGGTAAATTGACCAGGAAATGTATGATAAACAAGGATTGTTTAGTAAAGTTTGTCCCTCTGGTAGTAAGAGCTGTCTCATTTTCTTCTTCTTGGTATGGGAGAGAACACCTTTACCCATGTAAATTTCCTTTACGAATATTAATTTATCTTACAAAAGTGAAATTTATGCCCAGCTTTTAGGCAGAAAAGAGGAAAGCAGAGAGAGCTCCTTCTGTGTTTGCTGGTTTCTTAATTGCCTTCAGCTCAAAATAATCCTTATGCCAAAGTGGAATATTTGGGGATGGCATATTTTGATCCCCTTCATATACTTTAGAATATTATTAAAGGTTCATTAAGATAAATTTCTTCCAATTTGTATAGACCTATTTTAATTTTACCTTATTATATACCTTAGCTGTTTATCTCCCACCTAAAAGATAGCAGAAATGTTTCTCTTTGTGAGTGCAAATAACACATGAGGCTCTTTAGAAAATAAAGCCAGAATTGTATTCATTCTACTTCTGTTTCAGTAAATATTAAATGAATGCACACTATGCTCTCAGAGCTGTTCTAGATGCTGAGAACACAGCAGCCAGATGGGGATAAGTAACAGACAAAATAGCCTGCCCTCATGGGAAGGCATTTTAGTGGGAGTGTTGCAGGAAAGGGGTTCCAATCCAGACCCCGAGAGGGATCTTGGATCTCAGGGCGAGTCTGTAAAGTGAAAACAAGTTTATTAGGAAAGTAAAGGAATGAGAGAATGGCTACTCCATAGACAAAGCAGCCCTGAAGGCTGTTGGTTGCCCATTTTTATGGTTATTTTTTGATTATATGCTAAACAAGGGGTGGATTATTCATGCCTCCCCTTTTTAGACCATATAGGGTAACTTCCTGATGTTGCCATGGCATCTGTAAACTATCACTGCGCTGGTGGGAGTGAAGCAGTGAGGACAACCAGAGGTCACTCTTGTGGCTAGCTTGGTTTTGCTAGGATTTAGCCGGCTTCTTTACTACAACCTGTTTTATCAGCAAGGTCTTTATGACCTGTATCTTGTGCTGTCCTCTTATCTCATCCTGTGACTTAGAATGCCTTAGTCATCTGGGAATGCAGCCCAGTGGGTCTCAGCCTTATTTGTCCAGCTCCTATTCAAGATGGATTTGCTCTGGTTCACACGCCTCTGACAGGAGCAGAGAGAGAATAGAAGTATGAAAATATTGTTAAAAATATGCCATACCTATATTTTTATGTGCAGTGGAGAAAAACAAGGTGGGGAAGAAAGAATGGGATTGTTGATCTATTGGGAGTTTGCAAATATAAAGAATATAGTCAGAGGAGATCTCAGTGAAAAAGTGACTTCTGAGCAATGGCATATCTAGGGAAAGAACACTGGCAGAAGGAACAAGGAGTACAAAAGGCTGTGAGACAGGAGTTTGAGGAACAGCAAGGAGATCTGGTGCCACTAAGGCAGAATGAGCCGGGGGAGAGCAGCAGGGAGGGAGCAGAGTCATGGAGGTGGGAGGTGTTAGGGCAGAGTAAGGACTTTGGACCTGCAGAAAATGAGAGGGCTTTGAACATAGCAGAAACATGATTTGACTTCACTGTTTCAAAAGAGTCACTCTCCCTGCACTATGGACAACAATTTGCAGTAGGGAAGGGCCTTTCTGACTTGAAATTAAAGGTGTGGCCAAATACCTACTAAAGCTGGACTCAACAAACACAGATGCTTTGCTTACTGGGCCAGAAGATAATATGAAAAAGTAAAGATAAATGATTAAAGCAGCTGGATGTAAAATGATAAAAGGCAATAGGTACTTAACCCCGGTGACAAGGATTTGAAGGAGTTATTGAGGTTGTGTCAAGTTCAATGGTGGGTGCCCACTTTGGAGGGGTAGATGTTGCTCACCTCCAGTTTTTACAGTGTGTTAACACAGGCCCTTCTTTTTAAAAGAAGATTAGACTCTGAATTTTTATAAGTCCCCTGAGTTTTAGACATATGGACACTAATTTGTATTTTAGACTCTCTTCAGCACAAGAATGTCTGGGCCAATTAAAGCATGTCTAAGTGTGGAATTTACCAGAAAGCCTTCAGTTTGCATTTTCTAATCTACAGCAAGATAAAGCCAGTAGTTTCAACACTGGTAAACAAATCAGAGGTAAGATAAAAGATGATGGGAGAGAGATCAGTCTCTAAATTATTTTTTTTCAGGTGAAAAGTTTATAAAATTTTCTTCTTAGAAATATTTAGTCATAATTCAATAATGATTATGGCCTAAATTAAGGCAATGTTTGCCTTAATGATTTTTAATGTGCTATCAGTTTAAAATGATTCTTCACAGAAATACACATTAGAATACTTCATCCTTAAATAGCAGGAACACTCATACAAACATATAATCTAAAACAAATTTCCTTTATGAACCTATAATAGATGGATGGTTCAGTTGTTTTTATTACAAATACATCATTGATTCACAGACCTCAGGCACCAGGAATTGCTGGAATCCATAGACTCACTATGTAGTTTTAGTAAAAATAAAGCAGTAAAAGTCTATAACCCATTTATTATCAATGTGTACCCTCTAAATAAATGGGCATTTTAATGATGGCACTGCCTATTCCAGTGGATAGAGCTGCCTTACAGTGGCATTTATAAGTCATTACTAATGTAAAATTGTACAGCAGGCTGACTGCCTTTCACTCTTTAATGCTAAAGTGCTTTAGGTCTCCAGAGTTGCAATTAATAAGAGCACTCAAACACTAACCTTAGGAATTCCTCACAGGGTGTGCACTCTTTAGTGAGAAAGTATATACTTTGGCTATTTTGCTCTGAATCATTGATCAGGGTTTCAGTGTTTTTTTTTTTCTTGGTTGTTTGATTGGTTTTGTTTGTTTGTTTGTTTACAAAGTATATTAGAGAACTATGGCCCCAGCAGTTTTCATAAGAAGGGAATATAGGTTGCCTGGATAAGTATATTTACAAAACAACTCCATCGAGGTCATGTGGATCTTTACCTTCAAAATCCATTGTGCAACTTACAGCAACCTTGATATCGGGCTTGTGAAATGATTTCAAAAGTGTCTCCAGTTTTGAGAGTGTAAGAATACATATTCTGCATTTTAGTAGCTCTACTGAGTTAGTTCAAAATTTGAGATACTTCTCTGTGAAATTCCTACATATATATATATGTAGGAATCATATATATATGTATATATATATATACACATATGTAGGAATCATATATATATATATATATATATGATTTACACTGTGTCTTATCACAGTATCCTGAATTTTCTGGCTACAAAAATCTTAGGGTAGTCTACTTGAATGAAGGTTGACAGAATTGTACTTTTAAATAGTTCTTCTTATGTGTTCCTGGGATCCTTTCTTCCTTGGACTTTTCTAGTCTGCATTGGATGCTCATTTTAGTGGCCAAATAAGAAAATATGGCACTTTAAAATAGATATTTAGCTATTTGGTAATCCTCTAATCCATAATATTGCTTTCGGTTCCCACTGTCTTTTACCAATACTAGAGACCAGAGATAAAATAGATCTCTTTCTCTTTTTAGAGATCGCTCTCTCTCTACCACTTTTTATCTATCTAGATCTCTTTCTTTTTAAATATCTGTTCATTGATCTGTCTATATAACATCTATCATCTATCCATCTATCTATCAATCAATCATCTATCTGTCTGTCTGTCTGCCTGCCTGCCTGCCTGTCTATGTGTCTATTTATCTATCTATCTCTTTCACTATATCTGGCTATCTAGATTTACTGCCTTTAAAATTGCTCCAGGAACATCATCGTTATTCAAGTTTTTTCTGCAAAATCTCTTAAAATTCCTCCATGGGACCATTTTATTTTTAAAATGAATCTTATTAAGCCCTGGCAAAAACAGCATCATTTTCTAGGCCACAAAGAACATATCTGACATATAAAAATCTCTTTTAAGGTTTCATTGGGCAGATGACTTAAACTTCCTAAGTCGTTTTTTTCCTCATTGGTAAATAGGGGATCATAATACTTCAGTTATCATAAATATTAAAACAAAACACTGTATGCAAAATAGTAATTATAATAAGGATTAATGAGAATAATGCTTAGCACAGGTACTGGTGTAGAATAAGTGCTTTGCCATATTGCAGGATGATAATTATCATGTATTTTTCTATTTAAAGAAGAAATGAGACAGTTTATAGAATAAATTTAATACTGTGTTTAGCCCATAATAAGCACCTGGCAATGGTAGCAGCTTAATTCTCATCATCATCACGACCACCACCCAAACCATTGACATCTTCTTACTACATAAAATGTCAACTTTTATTCTCTGAATAATAAACAAAATCTGCTTGTAGAGAAATAACTCAGTGGATATGAATTGTTTTTAAATTCCATTTAATTTTTGTGGATGATTTGAATATCTTCTGTCAGTTGCCATTCCTTTGCCAGTCTAAGCTGCTTTTGTTTATGGCCTGACTAGATACTTAAATAAAAATTAGAAAATGAAAAAGTTTAAAAATAAAAGCTTGGACTGCACCCATCGTGGCATTTTAGTATGATTAGCCTGAATTTGGCTCTTCCTTGTGCACTAATAGTCAGTGCGTCTGACACATTGGCAGTAGGTTTTTCCAGCACAAATGTTCATGCTTTGTAATATTTTGTACTTAGCTTGTGGACATATTTGTTATGTGTTACTTTTTTTTCTGGCATGCCACAAGGGGATGAAAGTGTGACTCAAAATGTAGAGAACAAGAAAAGCATGAGCGAAATATTTGTGTCTCTCTTCTCTATTTGCTTATGTCCATACTAGTAAATATAATATACTTGCCTAAAGAAGAAATAATGGGGTACTTAGGCAAAACCATAATCATTTTTTTTTAATTCTCGTGTTATATATGTTTTATCAAATAAAAAATTAACTGAGAAGAAATAAACTATGATGCTCTGTGTGATCGTCACTCCCAGAACATACTGTTTATTTATTCATGACTATTCCCTTTACATGACATTCTCTTCTTTCTCTTTGATCCTTAACCATCCCCCACATATTCACATGAAAAAGTACTAATCCTTCAAGATTAAGCTTCAAGACTCATTCCTTCTTTAAAAAGGCTTCCCTATGCCTTACTCCTTTTCTGACCAGAGAGCATTAAAGAGACCCCTCTTTGCTTCCATTGTCTAACCTCCATACTTCTATTATGGCACTTAGCCTATTATATTGTCACTACTTATTTGCCTCGAAACACAAGAGAAACTAGGGGAACTGCTGAGTATGCCTTTATTGTTGTTTTAAACCATAATGATTAGCTTGTAATATGCAATAAAAAACTGGTTCATAAGATAATGCATGTTGAGTATAATGGTTAATAAGGTATCTTTTATGCACCTAGAAGTCACCTGAAATATAACAGCATTTCCTTTCCACTTCAAAGTAGAAATTGTAAAAAAGAATGGTAATCTGAGTATATTTGACCTTTAAGTCACCAGGAGAATCTAAATTTCCAAAGTACAAATTAATGAGTCTTGAAATTGTTCTATGATAATTGGGTTTGTCTTGTGGGAAATGGTGGGACAATCTGAGCACCTGTAGTAACTATGGGGGATACCTGCCTTTGGAGGTCATTAAGTTAGCAGGGATGGAGAAACACAGTCCTACTACATCTGCCCAACATCCAAATCCCATTGAATTTGTGGGGTTTTTATTTATTTATTTTTTTTGCCTTCCTTTAAAGAAATGGAGAATAATTTACTCCCTTTATAACAACTTACGGAGGTCTATTATCTCCATGCAACTGACTCAATATGGCTTCTCCGTCTACTTAAGGCCTGCTCTATATAGATTTCCCTATTTATGTCAATAAACCAGTGGGAAAGAGATAAACCTATCAGTTCTCCAATCATAGATTTGTTTTCATTTTACTAAAATATAGATTCTCTGATTTGTTTAAGGTTGTAGCTATTTTCTTTCAGGTGAAAGGTCATGGTAACGGGTCGCTAATAACTTGAAAAAGATATATAGATATTGGTAAAAGATATAGTGTCATATAAATAAATTAACAAGTATCTTTTATTTAACATTGTCTCAAGGTGCCTAAGGAGGATGAATGTGCATTATTAATAAGGTTGATCAGTAGTTACACTGCAAAATCTTATATCAGATTTATTTGCCATTCAGAGAAAATTAATTCTGCCCTTCTAGATTCAGTTCTATTAGGATGCAATGCTTCATGTTTAATACCTTATTTGGTAGAAGATAGAAGAGGAGGTAATTCTGCTTATCTTGCATTATTTAACAATGCCATTTTAAAGTAATTTTGGAAGAATGGATTCCATACCCAATCTTCTGGTTTAAGACAATTGTTGAGAAAGTAATGTATATGTTGGAAAATGATAGACATTTTATTGATCAAGATTTAATTGCTTCAAACTACATCTCCTTTATAATCTCATTTAACTCCAGGTACACTAGAATCTTTATGTTTCCTGACAAAGCTTCTCTGTTTCCTGACCAAAGCTTCCAGGAAGAAAAATAAGACATTTCTGGCTTTTTTAAAACAAATGATTCAGGGGGCTGGGGAAGAGGAGTGACAAAAATGTCTTTAGGGTATTTGACTGACTTTAGGTGAAATTTTAGAAGATCTTAAATATCTAGCCTTATGCTAAGTGAATATTGGTTAAATCTTTATAGAGAAAACAAATATTTTCTGCACATGTTTCTATTAGGAAACACACTAACAGTTGTTCAATTTCTACCTCATAGAAATTTGTAATTTATAACCTATAAATCTCATAAAAATGTATCATATAAACATGAATTATTATATCAATTCTCAATAAGGTTGACTTTAGAATTATTATTATTATTATTATTTTGGGAGGGATGAGTCCTCACTATGTTGCCCAAGCTTGTCTCAAACTTCAAGCCTTAAGCAATCGTACCACCTCAGCCTCCTAAGTACCTGGGATTACAGGCATGCACCACCATGCTCAGCTAAAATTATTTTTAGCTGGAAGATCCCTTTAGGAATTCACATATCTATATCTATATCTATATGTGCATGCATAATTTTGAGATATTGAGGGTTTGGTTCTGGACCACTGTGGTAAATATTGCAATAAAGCAAGAATAAAGCAAGTTTCATGAATTTTTTGACTTCTCAATGCATATAAAATTTATGTTTACACTATTCTGTAGCCTATTAGGTGTGCAGTAGCATTATATTTATAAAAACAGTATACATACCTTAATTAAATTACTTTAAATTGCCAAAGATCCTCTGAGCCTTTAGTGAGTTGTAATCTTTTGGATGGTGGAGGATCTTTCCCTGATGCTGATGGCTTCTGATTAATCAGGGTGGTGGTGAAGGCTGGAACGGCTGTGGCAATTTCTTAAAATAAGACAACAGTGAAGTTTGTTATATGGATTGACTCTCCCTTTCACACAATATTTCTTTGTAGTATGCAAGGTTATTTGACAGCATGTGACCCACAGAAGAACTTCTTTCAAAATTGAAGTCAGTCCTCTAAAACTCTGCTGCTACCTTATCAACTAAGTTTATGCAATGTTCTAAATCCTTCGTTGTCATTTCCACAATGCTCCCAGAATGTTCACCCGGAGTAGATTCCATCTCAAGAAACTACTTTGCTCATCCCCAAGAAGCAACTCCTCTTCTGTTCAAGTTTGATCATGAGATTGCAGCAGCTCAGTCACATCTTCAGGCTCCACTTCTAATTCCAGCTCTCTTGCTATTCGAACCACAAATGCAGTTATATCCTCCGCCAAAGTCTTGAACCCCTCAAAATCACCCATGAGGGTTGAAATACACTTTTTCTAAGCTCCTGTTTATTTTGATCTTCTTCAGTCAATCATGAATGTTCTTAATGGCATTAAGAATGGTAAATCCTCAATCCTTGCTTGAACCTAGCAGTTCACAGCTGCAATGAGCTATGATTGCACCATTGCACTCCAGCCTGGATGACAGAGCAAGACCCTGTCTCAAAAAAAAAAAAAAAAAAAAGGTGATTCATTAAATCATGAATTATTCTTTCCAGAAGACTTGCAATCTACTTACCCAGAATCATCAGAGGATTCACTATTTATGGCAGCTATAGAGAGTGTTATATGTATATAACACTAAAATCTTATAAAATGTATTTTTAAAATAATAACACTTGAAAGTTGAAATTACTCGATCTATAGACTGGAGTATGTTGTGTTAGCAGGCATGAAAACAACATTAATGTCCTTGAACATCTCCATCGGAGCTCCTGGGTGACAGAATGCATTGTAAATAAGCAGTAATATTTTGTAAGGAGTCTTTTTTTTCTCTGAGAAGTAGGTCTCAACAATTTGCCTAAAATATTCAGTAAACCATACCATAAACAGATGTGCTGTCATTCAGGCACTGTTCTATTTAGACAGCACAGGCAGAGTAGATTTAGCATAATTCTTAAGGGCCTTAGGATTTTCAGAGTGGTAAATAAGTATTGGCTCAACTTAAAGTCACCAGCTACATTAGCCTTTTACAAGAAAGTCAGCCCGTCCTTTGAAGTTTGAAGCCAGGCATTGACTATTCTCAGCTAGGAAAGTCCTAGATGGCATCCTTTTCCCAAGGGAAGGCTGTTTCATCTGCATTGGAAATCTGTCGTTTAGTGTAGCCACATTCAACAAGTATCTTAGATAACTGTTCTGGGTAACTTGCTGCAGCTTCTGCATTAGCACTTGCTATTTCACCTCACACTTTCATGCTATGGAGATTACTTCTTTTTTAAAACCTCATGGGCCAGGCACGGTGGCTCACGCCTGTAATCCCAGCACTTTGGGAGGTCGAGGCGGGCAGATCACAAGGTCAAGAAATTGAGACCACCCTGGCCAACATGGTGAAATCCCGTCTCTACTAAGAACACAAAAATTAGCTGGGCGTGGTGGTGCGCGCCTGTGATCCCAGCTACTCGAGAGGCTGAGGCAGGAGAATCGATTGAACTGGGGGAGGCGCAGATTGCAGTGAGCCGAGATGGCACCATTGGACTCCAGCCTGGTGACAGAGCGAGACTGTCTCAAATAAATAAATAAATAAATAAAAATACAACCTCATGAACCAACTTCTGCTAGCTTCTAACTTTTCTTCTGCAGCTTCCTCACCTCTCTCAGCCTTTATAGAATTGAAAAGAGTAAGAGCTTTGCAATGGATTAGGCTTTGGCTTAAGGGAATATTATGGCTGTTTTGACTTTTTTTTTTATCCAGACCGTTGAAACTTTCTCTCAACAATAAGGCTGTTTTGCTTTCGTTTTGGGGGGCTTTGTTTTTTTGTTTGTTTTTGTTGGTTGGTTGGTTTGTTTGTTTTTGAGACAGGATCTCTCTTTGTCACTCAGACTGAAGTGCAGTGGCATAATTACAGTTCATTGCAGCCTCGAATTTCCAGACTCAAGAGATCCTCCCACCTCAGCCTCCTTAGTAGCTGGGACTACAGGTGCACACCACAATGCCTGGCTGATTTCTGTATTTTTTGTAGAGATGGGATTTTGCCCAGGTTCAGGCTCATCTCAAACTCCTGGGCACCAGCAGTCTGGCTGCTTTGGCCTTCCAAAGTGGTGGAATTATAGGCTTGAGCCAGAGCGTTTGGCCCATTTTGCTTTCTTACCATTCATATGTGACTGGAATATCCTTCAAGAAAATTTCCTTTACATTCACAACTTGACTGCTCTTTGACATAGAAGGCCTAGCTTTTGGCCTTTCTCAGCTTTTGATATGCCTTCCTCACTAAACCTAATCATTCCTAGCTTTAGTTAAAAGTGAGAGATGTGCCACTCTTCCTTTCAATTAAATACCTAGAGGCCATTGTAGATTATTAATTGGCCTAATTTCAGTAATTGTTTTGTCTCTGGGAATAGGGAGGCCCAAAGAGAGGAAGAGAGGAGATGGGAAAATGGTCAGCTGGTAGAGCGGTTGGAGCACACACATTTATTGATAAAGTTTGTTGCCTTTTATGGACATGGTTCCTGACACCCTAAAACAATCACAATAGTAACATCAAAGATTAATGATTACAGATCACCATACAGATGTGATAATAATGAAAAATGAAAAAGTTTGAAATATTGCAAGAATGACCAAAATGTGACAGAGACAGGTAGTGAGCACATGCCATTGGAAAAATGGCACCAATAGACTTGCTGAATGCAGGATTGCTACACACCTTCAATTTGTAAAAAACACAGTATCTGGGAAGTGCAATGAAGCAAAGCAGAATAAAACAAGGTATGCCAGTGTATGTATATACACACACATACACTGACATAATGTTTGTTCTTTTCATATCATCTATTGTATGATTTTACTAAAAAACTCAGGCTCGCCTTCTTGAAAATGTATATATTATTAATGAGATGACCCTAAGTTTATATTAATGTTTTGAAGGAGACTTGAAATTCATATTTAATGACATATTATTTTGGCATAATTGATGATGATGTGGGAAATAAGTCTTGTATAACTGACAAAAATTGGAACTTAAATAGAAGACAAACTCAGTGGGACTTGGATATATCAGCTTATGCATGGGATCTCTTCAATATACTTGGATTTGGGCTTTTTTTTTTTCTTTTTTGAGATGAAGTCTCACTCTTGTCGCCCAGACTGAAGTGCAGTGGCATGATCTTGGCTTACTGCAACCTCTGCCTTCCGGGTTCAAGCGATTCTTCTGCCTCAGCCTCCCAAGTAGCTGGGATTACAGGCTCCTGCCACCACACCCAGCTAATTTTTGTATTTTTAGTAGAGATGGGATTTCGCCATGTTGGCCAGGCTGGTCTTGAACTCCTGGCCTCAGGGGATCTGCCTGCCTAGGCCTCCCAAAGTGCTGGGATTACAGGCATGAGCCACCACACCCAGTCGGATTTAGGCATCTATTATATAGATTAGCAATGCTACTACTAAAATGATCCTTTTCCACCCTAATTTTCTTGGGTTTTCATAGATTACTAAACTGGAAATCTATGAAATATACCAAGTTTTTCTTGGAATATATGATTTCCAATTTACAGTTGTGAAAGAGAAAAGTCTAAAATTATAATCGATTCAAGGAAAGGTGGGTAAGGGGATTTGCCCCAGAACATTGAACTATAGGAGTTTATTAGTTTGCTAGAGCCACCTTAACAAAGAACCGTAAACTGGGTGCCTTAAAAATAGAAGTTTATTATCTCACAGTTCTGTAATCTAGAAATCCAGGATCAATATGTTTGCAGGGTTGGTTTCTGCTCAGGGCTATGAAGACAAGATTTGTTTCAGGCGTCTCCCCTTCGCTTGTAGTTGGCTGTCATTTCTCTGTGTGTGTCTGTGTCGAGATTTCCCCATCTTATAAAGACATGAGTTCTGTTGGATTAGGGCCCACCCTAATGATCTCACTTTAACTTAATCACTTCTGTAAAGACCCTGTCTTCCAATAAGGTCTTGTTCTTAAGTACTGGGGGTTGGGACTTCAATATAGAAACTTGGAGGGAGTGGGTACAATTCAACACATAACAGGAGGGAAAGGTTGAATTTAAAAGAATGATCTGGAAAATTTTTTTCCTCTGGCAGGTTTGTACTTGCAATTTTAAGATATTTTTAAAATATCAACCTTTTCGTGGTATCTGTGGTATGTATGGGAGGAGACTAACAAAATTAATTTTGGCATAAACTGAATACTTTTAGTGTATCTGATGAAGATAAAAATATATAATAAATAAAGCTAAGAGCTATATATAATGGAATGTTGGTAGTTTGCAGGAAATTTATCCTTATAAATAATATTTTTGAATAATAGATTTAGTATAAAATTTGTACACATTTACTATTTTTAGAATATGCTTATGTAGTTTTATTGCTCCTTTTGACTGTTATTATTACTTAAAGTTTTCTTTTTTGAAGGAAATCTAATCTATTTTCTCAACAAAAATATAACATCCTAACTTATATAACGTAGAATTACCCATATTGTCTCATCAATTACCCATTCATCTTGGACTCCAAGCTTTAAGAACATTATTAATCGTTTACTTTACTTCCCATGTTGTATGATAAGGAAGTGGATTTCTAAAGCAGGGAAAGGATTTGCCAAATGCTATGCAATTAGTAGAAAATGCAGGGCAAGAACCTAAATGTTACAGAAAAAAAATTCAACAATTTTACAATTTTAAAGGACCTTTGAGTTCATCAGCTCTGTAATTTTCCAGATGAGAGAACTAAGACTCAGAAAAGTTAAATAATTTGTCAGTCATACAGTTAGCTCACTGGTAGAGTAATTTCCAAAGTGCAGGCTTAACTGCTGCACTAACTTCTAAATCAGATCAATCAAGATCATTGTCAAGGGATGTTTTAGTAGCTGCTAAGTTCTGAATGTTTGTGTCCACCACCCTCCCCAATTTTATATGTTGAAAACTAATGACCAATATGATATCAGGAGGTGGGGCCTTTGGAAGGTGATAAGATCACGAAGGCAGAGCCCTGATAAGTTGGATTAGTGTCCTTATAAAAAAGGCCTCAGAGAGCTGACTTGCCCCTTTACCACGTGAGGTCACAGCTAGAAGATGCCGTCTATGAGGAAGGGGTCCTCACTAGACACCATATCTGTCAACACCTTGTTCTTGGACCTCCCAGCCTCCAGAACGATGAGAAGTACATGTCTGCAGTTTGTGAGTCACCCAGTTTATGGTATTTTGTTTTAGTAGCCCAAAGAGACTAGGACAAAGCCTTAAGTAACCTACACTGATTTCCACAACCCTTTCCTCCAAACAACCCTAAATAAAACTACTAAAAGTTTTAGCAAGTACATACATAAGTAGGGAAAATAGAGTATGTATCTTGCAGTCTTGGAACTATTGAAGTTGCACCTCAATTTGTACTATTATCAGATTAACTGGCCCATTATTAAGAAGAAAAAATAATAGTAAAGCTTAAACATGACGTTTTGTCTTCTCACCATCTGAATATTTAATTAGATTGCTACTTCTTCCTTATTCCCTCCTGGAACCTCCATTGAATTATCTGATGTCTTCCTCATACCATTCTTGTCAAGGCAGGAAGTAAATTGAGTCTAATTATTAATTCATTTGTTGTGGTCTTTTCCCTTATTGTAGTGCCTTATATTTTTTTCTCATTCAATTTTCATTTATCTTTGAATCTAGCAATTATGTGATTATTGTATTATCTGATTTCATCGGAAATATTCTTTCTCTATCAGCATATAATCTTATCTCCTTTCATTTTTAATCTCTTTTTGCATGGCCCCACATCAAATATCTATAAACATTTTTAAGGCTTCTCCAGCAAGACATGCCCAAACAAACAAAATAAGAATTATGATAATTTCTAGAAGTCTATATACTACACTACTCTCCAACTGTCTCTCTTCTCATTTTCTTCAAATTATATTAATACTTTGTAACTAAGTTTAATCTTTATATTCAGTGGATCCGAATTTGTATTTTCCTTTCTTTTCTCTTTGAAATTCATGGTCTAACTACCCCCACTATGGTACAGAAACTATGCTTAATAAATTGAAGCAGTAGAAGAAGAAAGGCATTGTGAAGTAATTGCTTACATTTATGGTTGGAGCTCTGAGAAACTGATAAATTTCCCATGATAATATACTTAAAAAGTGGTGAAGTCAGGATTCCTTAACAAAGAATTTCTTCATAGTCTATGTTAGTCCTGCTATAATAGGACTAACATTTTACTAAAGCAAAAGTTAATGGTCTTTTTTTCAGTCTTCATCCTCATTGAAAATTCTGCACTATTTGATCCTATTATATCCTTCATGATCCCTTTTCTGCCATTTGCTTCTATAAAGCATGATCATGGTTCTCCTTTTTCTTCTTTAACTCCTTTTTTCTCATGATTCCTTCTTCTATGTCTCTGCCTTCCCTCAAATTTAATCTAATCGTTGAGATGATGTTCACCTATCTTGCCTTTTCTAGAACAGTGGCTGTCTTCAATCTATGGATCGTGACTAATGGTTGCATAATGAAGTCAGTTTAATGGAATCAGATGAGAATTATTTTGATGAACCAGAATAGAACAGAGTGAATCTCATATAGCAAGCATTACTTTTGTTTCGAGAGACTTTTTTCATTATGTGTGGTAGTGTGGCAGGGGTGGGAGTGGGGCCGGAGATTTGTATTGGTTTAAGAGAAAATGTATTTCTTAGCTATAAAGTCATGCTTAAAAGACTTTCAGAAACACCTCTCTGACTAGATTGTCTTCCTTGGCATTATTTTTGTGCTTTTTCATAATACATGTTATGATAAAATTTATTTTTATTATTTTCACAATGCAATTTATTTATATGTAATTCACATGCCATAAGACTCATTCACCTAAAGTATACAATTCAGCTGGGTTTTATAGTATATTTATACAGTTGTATGACCATCTTCACAATCTAGAATTTAGAATATTTTAATCATCCCAAAAAGGAAAGCTCTACCTATTAGCAGTCACTCACAGTTTTCCTTCAAACTCCCAAACCTGCTGGGTGTGGTGGAGCATACCTGTAGTCCAGCTACTCAGGAAGCTTAGGCAGCAGGATTACTTGAGCTCAGGAATTTGAAAGGAGCCTGGGCAATATAGCAATACCTTGTCTCTGACAATGACATTAATAAAAATACTCCCAAGCCCTAGGCAACTTCTAATCTACTTTCTAACTCTACATCTTTGATTATTCTGGACATTTCACATAAATAGAATAGTACAGTGTAGTATTTTGTGTCTGGCTTCTTTTATTTGGCATATTGTTTTCAAGGTTAATACAAGTTATAACATATATCTGTACTTCAATCCTTTTTTTTAAATTTTAATTTTTCTGTTGAGGTGAAAGTCATATAACATAAGATTAGCCAGTTTAAAATGTGCACTTATGTGGCACTTAGCACTTCACTATAATGTTCAACAACCACATATATCAAATTACAAAAGTATTTTTATCATCTACTTCATTTCTTTTTATTGCTGAGTGACATTACATTGTATGAATACCCTACATTTTGTTTATGTATTCATTATTTGATGAATATTTGGATTGTTTTGATTTTTGGGTATCATGAATATTGCTACTATGAACGTATTTGCACAAGTTTTGTTGGCAATGTTTTTTCATTCAGGAACTTCATATATCATTTTTAATTCATATGATCATCATTTACATAACTGATTTACATACAAACTCTGGATTTAAGGGCTAGTTAGTAAGCTTTTTGTATTGCCTTAAAAAATAAGTGAACTTATCTTTGCTATCTCCCCTGACTTTCACTTTTTCTGCTAGTAATACAGCCATCTCTGTCCATTTTGATAGCATCCTGTCCCTTGTGTCCACATCCTGATAGTTAACAAAATTCATAGTAATTTCCTCAAATCTTTCAGGGTATTACTCTCTTTCTATTTTCAATACTAACATAATATAATCCAAACTTTTATTCCATCTATCTGGGTGATTACAATTATCATCTTGTTATTCCTTCTACCATTGCCTCTTTCTAAATTCTCTCAAATTCATCTTGCTTGTCTCAGGCATATTATTCTTCCTAATGTGCTGCTAGAACCAAATCAAGACTATTCTCAAAGATATCAATGCCTCATCTCTGAAACACCTCCCTATCTTTCATAGTCTATTATAATTTTGCACCATTACACTTACCACTAATGGACAGTATGAATTTGTGGTTTATTTTCTGTCTCTCACAATCGGAAATTAAGCTCCATGAGAGTAGAGGGAATTTTTTTTCCATTTATTTCCTTCTGTGCTCCAGCTCTTTGCACTATATCAAGGAACTCAATAATTATTTGTGGAACCAAATCCAGTGTTCTCTTCAACATAATCTAACACATATTCTCCCAGGTCATTTGCATTATTTCTTGTCTTGTGTCTGTAGCTATATTACAAAGTTGTAATTCTCATCATTTCTGAATAAATGCATGTTTTCCTACTTCTGTGTTTATTTCAGTTTAAGCCAAATGAAGAAGCGGGTAAGCATGGAAATAACCGAGGCTGGAGGCTTATGGCTCAGGATTAATGGGGGGTTGCTCAAATGGCCCTTTATCTTAGAAGCTGTAATCAAGGTTATCTCAAAAGATATTTGCAAATAGTAAAGATGGAGTAGGGGATGCAAGAGATGATCTTAGGGGAAAGACATAAAATCCAAAGATTTATATAGAAATGGAGACCATAAACACAAGATACATTTACAGACATCAGGTCTACTAAGGGGCTCAAAGGCTGGGTACAGTGGCTCATGCTCATAATCTCAGCACTTTGGGAGGCTGAGGCAGGAGGATCATTTGGGGCCAGGAGTTTCAGACTAGCCTGCACAACATGACAAGACCCTGTCTCAACAAAATAATAAAATAAAATAAAATAAAATAAAATAAAATAAAATAAAATAAAATTAGCTTGGTATGGTGACACCCACCTTTAGTCCCAGCTACTCAGGAGGCTGAGACGAGAGGATCGCTTAGGCCCAGGAGTTCAAGGCTGCAGTGAGCTATGATTGCACCATGGCACTCCAGCCTGGGTGACAGAGACCCTGTCTCAAAAAATAAAACATAAAAAGTCTCAGACCTGAGGAACCTGGGGAGTTTGGGCTGCATGGAGGCAAATAGTTATTTTATTAGATACCTGTGTCTACTTAAGGCCCCCAGATGGCTCTCTGTGCCTGCGTTCATACCATTGCTTCTACTGGGAATGATTTTCTATATTTCTCATATATTCACTTGAAACCCTAGTAGCATCAAAACATACTAGAAATAGAACATTGACTAATCATTTACTATGTGCCTAGCACTGTGCTTGATAATTGATTTAATTCCAATGAGAGAAATTCAAGTTATTATCCTCATTTACTATTTACTACTTTAAAAGTTTGAGAAATTTGGTCATGAATAAATAGTTTTTGGACAAGAATCACAGCATTCATATTCATTACATTCATATTCATCTCCCAGAGAATAAAGCCTCTTTCTTGGCATGTAATAAAACTCAACAGCTGTTTGTTGAATGAATGGTTGAGCAGATAGATAAATAAATTGTATTAACTTACAAATAATAAGAGATTCACATTATATGATTTTTCCCAAATGAACTGTTTGTATGTTTTTGAAGATTTTAATAATATTTGTTAAGAGAGTTTTTGAAAATTCTTTTGGCTTTTTATAAATCCTTTTTCTTGGCAATACTTGCTGTAATAGATTTATATTATGGTAAACAAGCCCATAAACCATACAAAACACTATAATCATGCAATTCATCATTTCTTTAAAAGTGCAAATATTATCCCAGTGGGTTTGTAGTTCCTCTATGGAAACTGATCAAGGGACCTCAAGTACTGAAGAAACTTTAACTTTTAGCAAATACTTTGTGTGCAGTTATTCTTCCTTGAGTCATTTTGTGGTTTAGTGAAAACCACAATTCACTCAACTTGTCATGATCTTCTATTTTGTTCTGTGTACCAGTTTATAGCATAGTCTGTTACTAGACTTACTTAAAATTCTTCGTGTACCCAGATGTCATAACATGAGAAAGGAAACACAATATTAAATGCGTATAAATTTAAAAGTAATTTATGAGATAGTGTGAATTATCTAAGTGACTACAGATAAAGCTTTTTTAAATATATATTTTAACAAATACATTTCCTAATCCTTAGAAATTTTAACCCATGGCCTCTGTGACTGGTGGGATTTATTGCAATGTGGTATCTCAAAATACTATAAATTAAATAATATACCAGCAAGTTGTGATTAATTAAATTTTCACTTAGTTATGTCATAATTTTTTGACCCATAAATAGTAGTGTGTTAATTTGTGTCATGCAAAATTAAGCACTTTGGAGCTTTATAATTATTTCAAATGTAAAAGTTCCATGATGTCTTCAAGGCTCCATCGTGTGATCTGACCTCATCTATGAGACCACCCAAAGAAAGAACTGTTTTCAGCATTTTGAGTTCCCAAGGATCTTTATGTAAATGATCATCTTTTGCCAAAAATTCAGATAATTTACATGCCAAACTCTTAGGGCACTTGTAAAATAAGATTTATGGGTCATCTGAGCCAAATCTTAGGACCTACATAACAGTTACTTATTAGCACAGAAAGCTAGGGATGTAAAAGCATTTATTCAATAAAAATTCAACACCAACAGTGTGCTAAGCATAGTGTAAGGTATTGCTATCCAGCAGGATATTCTGTCGTATTTGAAAGAATAACCCCATTAAATATAATGTGTATGTCGCTTATATTGGCCCTAATATTATATAATTTTGAATATTCTGGAAAGTTTCGTATTTTTCCTTTTTTCCAAATTAGAATTATGAAGTCGCCAAATTGAATTTGTGTTATCATCATTAAAGTACACAGATTTTAAATATATCTGCATTCATCTTAACCATGGCTCCCTATAAAGAAAATATTTATTTTCATTTTCCATCTTTCAAATGCTTAAACTTATTTCATAAATGCTAAATAGACATTTAATGCACATTGAATCAGTGAATGATTGTGAGAACATATATCTAATTTCTAATTCTTCCCCCTCTCCATTATTCCCTTCAGGTAATCCCACTCTGTTCCTAATGTGATGTAACAGTTTTTTTCTAAGTTGATATTCATGTAATATTAAATTATTTTTTAGCAAAATAGAAATCCATTAATTCATATTTGCCATCAATTTGTCAACTAGAATATCTTCTTTTGTGTGTCTTTGGAGCATCTTTGGACAAGAAGGCCATTCAATCAAAACTGATAAATATAAAGAATGAAATGAAAAATACTTCTTATTGACCTATATTCAATAAATAAGGCTACTAAATTGTGTTCACTGTGCTACAAGCTTGGACATATGTAACAATCAGAGAAAGCATAGTGACTGTGAAATACTGGATATTATTCACATTTTATTATGGAATGGTATTTGACTTTAACAACCGCTAACCTTTCTTTCTTGAAAGCTCAAGTGGCAGAATAGCAATACAAAACTTTGACCATTTAAGTGTATAGACAATAAAAATGAAGAATGTTGAAAAATACATTCATAGTTTATTTTTAAAATTGTTTGATTAAAGGGAAATACTTTCATTCTCAAACCAAAAGGCCTTTGTCACTCAACCTGTTTTATAACTAGGGCATTTACACCTATCCAGTCACCATGAAAGTCGGCTTCAACTCAAACTAAGAGAAAGAGTGCAACTCCATCAGACCTAAACTAAACCATCAGCATTACTAGAAAGATAATTAAAAATGCACATTTTTCGTAAAGCAGCCATATGTGCATCTGTGTATATGTGTGTGTGCTTTTTTAACATCTTGCATATATTGAGAAATCCAGCATAAATAAATAGAATAATTGCAATAAGGTATGTGGATGTAACTATCATTCATAAAAATTTATTAATTTATCACTTTAGAACCTTACTAATTAAGTAGAAATGTTAATTTTGAAATAGTAAAATGTTGGCAAAATGCCTTCTGAACTTACAGTCTAAATACAGTGAGCAAGGTAATTGAAAAAATATTTTATTACAAATATTAATGACAGAATCTTATTTAAAGGGTAGAAAAATATCAACAATAATCAACATCAAACAAGAATCTTGGAGATACTAGAGCACAGCCAAGTTGTCAGTAAATATGAAAATAGATGATCAGAATGATATAATTAAAGTTAAACTCAACGAATCAATATGGTTTGACAGGAAGATGGGTTGACATACAAAACAATTTTGAATTAATATATTTCTAATGGTGGATGTATTTCTTGAAGCTGGGGCACATTTCTAGGCATTGAAAGGATTCTTTCATGAAAAACAATGTTCATTTCACTTTATAATCCTGAAATGATAATTTTAGGATTTACTGTTTTTGCTCATGTAAATATTTTAGAAATAGAGAAATTGGCTAATTTATATGAGAAAATTTTAGTATGTTATTTATTATTAATATTAGAAGGCTTATATATTATTATTAATGTTTGCAAGCATCATTTTACAGCTGCTTTCTCGGGAATATTATCTTTTACATCAATTGAATTAAAGAACTAAAAATCTCTTTAAAAATGTCAGTTGATTTTTTCTTAACCACCTGTATTGGAATATTCTTACAACGTGATGTGGTTTGATTGAAGCAGAAAAAGGAATGCAGTTTATCCCCTCATTTACTCTTTTTTGGTTTGAATCACAGAAAGCCATTTGAGATTTTAATCATCCTTTCTACTTTCTCCTTCAATAACTTATTGATTCAAGTAAATGTCTGTTTTTAATAATATGTTTTCAGCTTCCTCTAATAAGAGTTTTAGCAAGACTTAATGAAATAATTTATTTTGAATAACATAGAGAACAGATGCTTTATGAGATTTTAAATTTGTGTTCTAGTAATTTTGAAAATACTCTTGTTTAAAATCATTTTGGATACCCCCACTTTCTTGGGAGAGCCAGAGACAGGTACGGAGACAGGTGACCTATGGATGAAACTGTGGTATGTTGTCTCATGGTATCATATTTTGTTTTGTTTTTCCATCATAGTTCTTGTGGACATTTTGGGGTTATTTAAATGTTATGTATTTATTGATTTTTAATGTTTATCTCCTGCCCCCATCTACTTTGTGAATTTCATAAACTGATGAAACAATGTTTTATTGACCACTGAATACTCACCCATCTCAAACGGTGCTCAATTTTTATTTGTTGGACAAATTAATGAAGTTAATCACTGCGGTGAAGGGTTGATATTTATCAGTCAGGAATGTCAGAATATGTATTTCTCAACCACCATTTTGAAAATTCATTTTTCTTTCACAACTTGTGTTTAATTATATGTTTAATGAATTGAGGAAACATATGTGTAGAAATCCAGAACCTTTATTTTAATCTAGTCTAGAAACTAGCTGTGTGGCCCTGAAAAATGTATTTTATAAAGACTTTCTATTGATTTTTTTGTGGGAGGGAAAATGTGTTTTATTAACCCCAATGGTATATTTTGTGGTTGAGCTGAACAAATATAATAGAGTGCTTTACGTGCCCTGTGTCATTTCATGACAGTTTTCCAACATATAATCCTTGGTAAAGCCTTTTCACCGGTTTCCTGTGATTTCTTTATGTGGTTTTTGAAGTCAATTCATATAGCTTTAGAAAGTTAAGTGTGTGAGCTGGTTTTTGTCCTTTCAGAATATCATTGTTGTTGTTACTCCTCTTAGACCATAAAAACTTGTTCATTCAGAATATTTCTGATGGTTTTGCTGCAAAGCTTGGGAGAGGTGACAGTTTCTTTCTAAACCAGCTACATATTTCATTTTCACTCAAAAGGTCTTCACTAGTGTCCAGCATTATCCAGCATACGATGTGGGGCTTTTCCTTGGTTTTGAGGGTATATTTTGCCTAGAATTGATGGTTTCATTTTGGCTAGTCTATCACATCCTGATTATTTTTTGTGCTTTGGGAAGAAAACTGTCATTAGAATTTATGAACAAACAAACTGGCTACTCTTCCTGTCCCACATTTCTAGCATTTGGCAATGATCTGGGCTTTCATAGGTTTAGAGACTTGGTTGGTTAATGCATTCCTCATTTACCGATATAACAAGTAGAGATTCACTGTCTTTAGAGTGGGAATTTACATTTAGCATCTAGTGTGCAGTCAACTTATTAATAAAAATATATTTGGAAACATTGTTAATGAAAGTTTCACTGGAAATAAAATAAAGAATAATCATTTGATTTTTGTAAGCAGCATAGTCAATTTGCAGACTTATTCCTAACAAATATAGTCTAGTGGAATACATATCAACTTCTAGTTGCTACAAACATGCACTCCGAAACTTTAGTTGGAAAACATAACAATGTGAAAATACAAATTTGGTCACACTGTTTATGGTTAGGTTTATTGGTCTAATCTCAGGTGGATTACGTAGACAGCAATTGTCCAATTCTGAATGGGTGAATAAAGGGGAATATTTTCCATTCCAAAGTCATTGTAAAGCTTGTGGATAATGGATGTATAAATATTGTTGTACATGTTTTTCAATGTTGAAGGTATTACCAAAGAAGTTATTACAAGGTCTCTGTTGTGGAAGATTTATGCTTCAGAATTAGAAAGAAAAGCCTTAGTATTACTTTCCCTAGGGACAAAACAAAACAAAACAAAAATTATATGCCACTGAAAGCTCTTTGTCCTTTCCAGTGAATAATTGTGTGTGTGTGTGTGTATGTGTGTGTGTGTGAGAGAGAGAGTGTGTGTGCATGTGTGTGTTAGGGAAATGGGGGGGGGATGAGGGAGGGAAGGGAAGAATGTGAATAGATTGTGCATTTCTCAAAAGCATGTATAGTGCAGTGAGGCATTTGTTTGTTGCTTAATAACTCCTTTCCTTCAAAATTAAAATTTTGTATAGTTTTAACTGTGACCTCCATTCATTCAAAACTTGTTTTATTCTTCACTAAGTTTCTTCTGTTAAAATCTGCATGATTACAAATTTTCTTGGCTCCACCATAAGAATAACATAAACTTTGTAATTGTTGATTTGCAATAAAGAATATTGATGTTTATATACTGCTATGAAAGTATGCTGAGGCCAGATGAGGTGGCTTGCCCCTGTAATCTTAGCACTTTGGGAGGCAGAGGTGGGAAAATTGCTTCAGGCCAGGAGTTCGAGACTAGCTGGGCAACATAGTGAGATACTGTCTCTACAAAAAATAAAAAAAAAATTAGCCAGGCATGGTGGCGCATGGCTGTAGTTCCAGCTACTAAGGAGGTTGGGGTGGGAGGATCACTTGAGACCAGGAGTTCGAGGTTGTAGTGACATATGATCATGCCACTGCCCTTCAGCCTAGGTGACAGAGTGGGAGCTTGTCTCTTAAAAAAAAAGAAAAAAAAAGGGTAATGACCAAATTTGACAATGAATGTCACATTTTAAAGTGGAAGTAATGATTTTCTATATTAGTACAGTAGATTTTTATACAAAGATTCATATTAACTTTTATAGTATATTAGTTAGTAAAGAATTCTTAAAATTATATTATGTTTTGTGCTGTTAAGAAAAAAAGTTCCTGCCAAGCACAATAAGTTGAATAGAACGTTTAACTTACATTTCATATTCAGGAATTAGATTTCACTTCACTAATGAAATGGGAAACCATAAAGATTATACAACTGATTATTGGTGTGATATTCTTGTATTTCCTTACATATTTCCTAAAAGAAGTTCCCTTTCCTGTTTTCTCTGTGTGTGACACCCAAGGAGAGTTATTGCATCTTATCTCTATGACTTTCTCGTTCATGCCTTCTATTCTTCCTATCTTTGTCTAAGCCACGGTTTGGTAAATGGGGATGATAATTTTTCTAAACTGTTATCATTGGGAATTTGAAATAAAGTGATACTTTTAAAGCACCAGTACAGGAAAAACACTTGATAAATTTTAGCGATTACCATTGTCATATTGCCCTAAATAGCTCATTCCAGTATCTTCCTCATTAATACCCACACTCTCTTTCCTTTAACCCTAATCTGTTTAAATAATCTATTGGCTAATAATTTTTAAGATTAATTTGATAAATCTCTTTATTATGTCATTATATTATATCATAATCTTTTATTGCTTTAACTAATTTGAGCTATATTCTGTGTCTAATTTTAAGGCTTTCTCTGATTTTACTACTGTTCACTTCTGTTCCTACCTCCCTTGTAAATGCACATTTCATTGCTCAGATTTTTTGCCTGAAGTATTTTACTATCCCCTCTCCGATATCCATACATATTGTTTCATCTTTAAAGACCAACTCAAATCTTCGTCATTCGAGAAATCTTTTTTAAGCACACTAGCACATGTTTATTTGATTTCTCTGAAATTCTTACTTTTTATCTGTTCCACATCATTCTGCTTTATAATGTTTTAAGCTTTGCATAGGCATGTATTCATTCTTTCTCCAACTACAAGCTTCTAGAGACCCATGGAGACAGAAAGATTCTTAGTATCCATCTTCTGGGTCATCGGCCTATCTCTTCTCTCCTGCTCTGAACTTTCCCCTTTCTGGTCTTGTTAATCATGAGTAACATCCCTTGCCTTTGGGAGCTTGTTCACATACATGAAGTTTTATCATTTCCTTGATTTCATGTGTTAACTCTGAAGCTTCTGCTAGACTCTTGGAACTTCATCCCATATAGGACCACTCCTAGACCTGAGATAATACCTAATGTGAAGGGAGACTTCAGATGACACCCATGTCTTATGTGTAATAATTCCCAGCATCCACGTTGTAAGGGATCAATATGCATTTAGAATTAAATTGGCATATTTTAAAAAATTTCTTTTGAACTAAATAATTCTTTTTAGTGGATTCTTGCTTATCTTGAAATTACAGTTCTTACTCTTAAGAACATGTTAAACAGCCAGTTTGGATTTTTTGACATTTAGAAGATTGGGAAAATTGTGATATGTGAAATTTGACAAAGTTTTAGAAATGTTATTTCTCGTGAATTGGAAGACAATGTGGAAAGTGATTTCTATTAAATGTTGAAATGCTATAGTAAGTAGATATGAAATGCATTTATTCACACACTTGCTGCTTTTTTAGGCAATCCTCAGGTAGACGATTTCATTTGAAGGTCACAACTTTGTGTATGTGCCCTCAAAAAGGATGAGGTTCATGATGAAGCTCCGTAAGTCAAAAGAATAGCTGCTTAATTGTTTGATGATGTACCACTCATTAGAATTTTTTTCTATAAGTTCAGAAATTGTATATTAAAACATCTGAATTTCATGCTTTTCTTTTGACCTCAGAACATAGTTGTCTTTGGTTATTCTTTTTTAATTGTCACTTTGTTACACTTAGTTAAATGCTAAAATGCCATTTCAATTATATGTATTCTTTTTTGAAATAGAATTGTTAGAATTCAGTGTATTAGAAGTCTCCTGAGAGCATATGTTCTTTTAAAGAAAGTAGATGATGGGTTATTTCTTTTGGTTACCAGTGTTGTTTTTGCTGCCAAGTGTTTTGGATTAGATTTTCAGAGCACATTTCTTAAAACTTAGATAAATGTGTTGGCATGTAAAATGACACGGAGAAAATACATGTATTTAAGAAAATTATGTCAAAAGCTCTGCTGAAACTTAAAATTGATAATATTTACTTTTTGGCAGCATTGAAGTAATGAAATGTTTTTCAAAGGCATTGCCAATAAGTAGAATCATGTCCACTTTCAGATATGTAAGAAACTCTTTTAGAATCATTAGCCTTGACTTACAAATAGTTTAATTAACTACTTCCTCAGAGGAATCAAATCTGTTTCATTTTTATTTTTTAATTTTCAAAAGAGCTCTTTTTTTCATATGATCAGTGAGATGCAGGGGCAAAAAATCGTTTTTAGCACCTATTAGTAATTCAACACTGTTTCCATAAAAAACTAATAGCCTAAATGCTGTTTAAGCAAACGGATGGTAATACTAGACTATTTGTACGATCATTCATAATATTTTTCTTTCATTTATTTGGTAATTTTTCAATATCTATCTAACAGTTTCAGTGTCAATTCTTTAAACATTCTTTCAGGCTTGGTTCTGGGCTGTATTGGATAGCCAAAAACTCTGTGGCTTAAAACAATAAACATTTATTATCTTACACAGTTTCTGTAGGTTAGGAGTCCAGGAGTAGTTTAATTAGTTGGGTATAGCCCCGGGGTTTCTCATGGGGTTGCAGTTGCCTGAAGGAAGGCTTTCTGGTGGATGGAAGACCAGCTTCCAAGGTGCCTCTCTCATGTGCATCCGAAGTTCATCCTGGGTGCCTCAGTTCTTTGCTCCCTGGACCTTTCCATGGGACTGCTTGAGTGCTCTCAAGATATGATAGTTGGCTTTGCATAAAACGAGGGACTGAAGGGAGGCTGAAGTGGCAGTGTGTTTTTAATGAACTACTCTCTGAAATCACATACTCATTTATACCACACTAAGTCCTTTAGAAGCGAGTCACTCAGTACATCCACATTCAAGAGAAAAGGGAAGAATACTGGAAGAGTATCAAAGAACTGTGAACACATTTTAAAATTGCCACGTGTGTTGATGGCTGTTGTGAAAGTTGGGTTCTTGTATTCTTAGTTTAAAGAATTTAAACAAGAGAAACACAGCAATGGAGATGCAGCATGGAGCAATTTATAGCAAAGAAGAAAGAATATTTTGAAAGTTAGGTGCAGAATAGACAGTACACCCTGAGAGATGATTCAGAGAGGGCTGCTCATAAGGATTAGACAGCCACAGTTACTGGGAAAACTCCCTTTATGGGAGTCACCTTACATGATTATTCATGAGAGGGTGGGAAGAGCTGTTACTAGTAAGCATGTTCTGGGTGGTCCTCTGGGTGCACGTGCACGGTAGCTGTACATGCTTGTTCATACATTACATGTCTCATTAGCATCTTAAATCTCCATCCAGGGGTGTGTTTTTCACTATTATAATCAGCAAAGAGTAATTTTGAGAACAGGTAGAATCAAAATGCGCATGCCCTCCACGGGACAATTCCCTCCTAGAGATAGCTCTTTTTGAATGAACTTGACTACAATGTGAATGCTGAAAGAATTGCTCTTAAAGGGCCATAGTTGCTGTGTCTCCAGGACATGGTGGCTTTCTTGATTACCTATCCTGACTCAAATGGACCTCTTTAACTATCTCCCTCCCTAGGTTATCGTTATCTACTTCTGTGATTTTTAAGCACTACCTTTTAACTCTCAAATTGATGAAGATCACTCTTCTGATTCATAGACTTGTATATTTAACTTCCTACCAAATCTGGCTCATGACACTAAAATCTAACCATTTGCTTATATGTCAGAAACGTGGCAGCCATTCTTGTCACTCTCTCCCTTACCTTACATGTTCAGTCAGTCATCAAATCATGTAATTTTTTGTTCCTAAACGTTGTTCAAATACATTCTTTATCATTACCTATTTAAAACAACCATCTTTTCTTATCTTTATTACTATGAAATAGCCTTCTAATTTGCATTTCTTATTGATTCTTTTGTAAAAAATTATTTGATAGATTTCTTGTTGTTTTGCTTTTAATACATAGGATTTGGAGTAAACAAAATATGAAGGGAAGGAAATAGAAAATAAATATAAATATAAGCCATTTTGCTGATGCTTTTATAATTGTAGCAAACAGACAAATAGGGCAGTCTGAAGATTTTCATCTCTGCTATATGGAGATTAGGCTGTAGCTCTTATTATTTTTTTCTTTTAATTTAATTTTATTTTAAATTCTGGGATACATGTGCAGGACATGCAGGTCTGTTACATAGGTAAATGGTGCCATAGTTGTTTGCTGCACCTATCAGCCCATCACCTAGGTATTAAGCCGTGCATGCTTTAGCTATTTATCCTGGTGCTCTCCCTCCCCCCGCTCCTGCCTCCAGGCCCCAGTATGTGTTGTTCCTCTCCCTGTCTCCATGTGTTCTCATTGTTCAGCTCCCACTTATAAGTGAAAACATGTGGTGTTTGGTTTTCTGTTCCTGTGTTAGTTTGCTGAGGATAATGCCTTTGAGCTCCATTCATGTACTTGCAAAAGATATGATCTCATTCCTTTTTATGATTGCATAGTATTCTGTGGTGTATATGTACCATATTTTCTTTAACCAGTCTACCATTAATGTGTAGCCCTCATTTTTGACTGGATCGCTAAATATGTAGAGCAATGCATGAAAAAAAAAAACAGATTTGACTAGGACATTGAAGACTTGGCCCAGGGAGAGACAGAGAAATGTTTGATTCATCTATCATGTAATTATTTACGTTCCCTTCCCCTAGTGCAATGGCAGGTGATTTAGTCCATACAGTCAAAATCTTCCTTGAATAGATATGAAATGACCTTCTGTGTATCTCTCCCATGACTAAGGAGCACCTTCTTCAAGTCGTCAGTGACCACTGATATTCCAACTTCTTTGTTCATCCCTCTTCTCTTACTCTAGAAACACTCACTTAGCTACTTTATATATTAACATGATTTTAGCCTATATTCTACTCCTGAATTCTAGACTCGTGAATTCAACTGATTATTAACCATTTGCAGATATCCTGACACCTTAAATTTAACGTATTTCAACTGAATTAATTATATTTGTTATAACCTCAACCAATTAATTGGCTACTTGCCTCTTAGACTATATTTAGTCTTTTACTTATTGATATGTTTTGTCCCATAATTTCATGTCTGAAGTAATATTCCCTTCTATGAAAGCCCCTAGTTAATAGCCTAGGGTTACCTTGGCAAGTCTCTGACCCCAGTCCATGGAGACCAAGAGGAGTCACCTGACTCTTGATCGGTCACCTACTTCTAGCCTCCTGACTTCCCATCCCTAGTCTGGTATCTTTAGTTACCATCACACACAAGTTCATCAAGGCCTTATAGCATATCGAGTCAAAAAGCACCAAATAGGCTTATCAGTAGGGGAGAGACCCCAAGGAGAAGGAAACAGAATGACAAGAGGTTTCAATAATGAAGTGGCTAAAATTTCAGAAAAGAAGTAAAGAATAGGATTAATTTCTGCGGAAAACAAGTGAGCAAGAATAGGGAGCTATTTCTTTTATTATTTGATATTTATATTTTATGTGCTTTCCTCACAGTTAATATGTGATCAAAAGCACTTTTCACTAGCTGTATGTTTGATATGAATTTTGGAAACTTTCTGAGGTTCTGACATCTTTATCAGAGATGTTTAATTAGTTCATGTCCCTTCAGTCAGTCCTGTGGTCAGTGAGTAGTTCCAAAGTGTGGCATCCTAGCAGAAGGTTTCCAGATTTCACATCTAAAACTTTTCCAATTTATTCAGCAGATATCTATTACACACCTAATAGATGACACTGTGTTCTTTGATATAACAGATTACCTCATGGAATAAAAGTGGTAAGGAGCATAAGAAGGTATGTATATGCCTTCTTTCCTCCAAATTATTACGTTATGAGTCACTCCACAATGCCCAATGCAATGTTAACCTGGCACAACATGCAGTAGACTATTTGACTCATTACTCTGCATTTGAATTGTTGGCATTTTCCATGTTTTAGTGTTTTCCTCTTCTAACCAAGTCTTTCCATTAGTAGCATGATAACTGAATGGCAAAAAACTTTTCTTAACAAAAACCTTTTTTTTTCCTTTGGAGTTTGGTTGCTATTAAAACAGTTAGTAACATAATTAAAAGTAATTTAAATAGCTAATTAGATAATGTTATAGAGTAATTTCCAGCCATACATTCCCATTAACAAATTCCCGTAAACAAAGTATCCATCATTTATGGAGTGCAGTTTGTCACTGGGTTACTGATGATATAAATGCAATTATACATTCAATGGAAGAAAGCATACACAAACTCTGGTACTCCATAAAAATTGCCATACCCATAACTTTTGAATCATTCTTACAAGTCCAAAAGATACATGGAAAATTTGGACCCCGACATTTTAACTGACTTTGCAACTGCCTAGTGTCTGGTACTAAATCATATTTTTAACAGTGAAGACCCAGATTACAGCTATGTCAATGTATTGACAAAATTGACCCATGAGTTTAATAAACCAAATTCCCCACTTACTGAAACAAATGCTTTTTGCTTATTTGTTATTTTTTTGTTACATTAACCTTTTTTTAAAAAACTTAATTGACTGGTTTAGTCAACATACTATAGCTAGATGAATCCAATGTTTGGAAGCAGTTTCAATGTGATTTTTTATAAAATGGTTATAAAAGTTAAGAAACAATTTGTCTCTTGATAAATGTATAAAAGTTTACACTAAAACATTCAGGGAATTCTGATATTAAGGACCTTTTGTGAAAACAAAAACAAAATCACCTCTATGATTCCATTTAAATTGACCAAAGTCCTTTTTTTAATTCAATGATTCTATTATATAAGACTTTAAATACACTTATGAAAATGTCTATATCCATGAAAATAGCATCTCAGTATTGAAAAGGACTTCAGATTTAAATAAGCATCCAATTTCTGAGTGATAAACAAAGAGTTTTATTTTAGGGACAACAGAAATGCACATATCACAAATTCAGTGTCTATTGTGAGAGTACCTTGCTAAGTGTTGACACAAGAACAAACTTTAAAAGTAACATTATAACCAACCTTTAATTGTGCTAACTCTCTTCAATCAATGCTGTGGATGTGCTAGATTCTTCTATGGGTGTGTGTGTATGTGTGTGCACACAATAAAGAAAGAGAGAGAGAGAGAGAAATAAAATGCTGAACACCAACCAGAATGGAATTAACTGTGCAGTGCAGCTTGAATAACTTCAAGTGACCTGTTAACCTGCTAAGAAGTTTTGCCTAGGGTCTATGGTACAGTCCTACTTTTTCAAAAATATCATACAAATGAGGTAAAAACCAACACCACTCTCAACTTTTAAATTATAGATATGTTTCATAAACCAAATCAATATTTTCTCTAAACTTCAAGAGAAAATATTTATAGTTACATGTTTTCTCTTTCTTTGCCCCTCCATTTTTCACCTCCCTGCCTCTCTCCTCCCTTCTTTTCACATTTCATGCTTCGTAAAAAAGCCACAAGAGAAGCACATATTTGTTTAAATACATGTCTTTTGTGCATGTGCACGTTAGTGAGTTAATCAACTATAAATGCAAATTTAAGCTATCATGTATGTTTCTCTATA
Source organism: Homo sapiens (assembly GCF_000001405.40). NCBI lineage: Eukaryota > Metazoa > Chordata > Mammalia > Primates > Hominidae > Homo > Homo sapiens. The sequence continues at coordinate 61,585,618 of NC_000004.12, forward strand.
ACTGATTCTCTTAGTGTGGAAATCAACTTATTTGACAGTTAGTAAACGCTTCATTTAAAATTTAAATTACATGCTTATAAAAGAAGATTTGTTGAGTTATCATAACTTAACATTTGACTCTTTTCCAATAATGTAGTGATTATGTTCACAATCTTGGAGAGGGAAACTGTTAAACTTGACAGGAAAAGGCAGACCTTTCCTGTATAAAAATTAAATATATATGTCCAGCAAACATCTAAACTTAAACGTCAAGCTAGAAAAAGTGTGTTTCTCATAAATATGAAGGACAAATGTTTATTTTTCTTATACAAAAAACTTTTATAACAGCAAATTTTACATAAATGTAAGCAAGCCATTCACAAATAAAAGCAATACAAAAGGTCAATAAACATATGAAAATATATTCCACAGTACAAGTAAAGTAGTACAAGTTAAAGATATTATACCATTCTTTATCAAATTGACAAAGCTTAAAGGAATTGATAATATTTAGTTTTGAAGAAGAAAGTATTGTTGATAGAAAGTATTCATTTTCAAGTTTATTTGAAATCTATTGATATTTGCCACATTTGAAATGTATTGCCCTCTTGACTCATCAATTTCATTTTTTAGAAATGTACCTTAAAATGTATTTGGATAATTAGGTTTTCTCAAATATATTACAGCCAAGGTGCACAGATAGGTTTAGGCTTCCTTGCAGTATTATGACACAAAAACACCAAGACCTTTCAGGATGTCCATGAGCATAGGGCATAGTTAAATAATTTATATATTTATGAGATGTAGCCATTAAAAGTGAAGGAAACAATATCCAGATATGGAAAGATTTCCATCATATATCATTACATTTATAAATAAAATAATACAAAATATCAAACAATATGTATAGTGTGATACTACCTGAGTAAAATTTTCAGAGTAAAGTGAAAAGAGGAGCGGGAGAACACACACATGTCTGTTTCTGTGAAGAAAATTCTAATTGGGAGGTCTCCACATGGGTAACTAATTACCTGTTGACAGTGGGGAAGAGTATGGGGAGGAGCTAAAGGAAAATATAACTTTTCCTCCAAATGAATCTCCATTTTCTTAAATAAATAGCAAGCATTAGTTCTACAGTGAACTCACAAAGTATTGCCTAAAACAATGGACGTATGTTGTAAAATTGAAATAGATTACTTAAATAAGTATATTTAAAGTCAACAATAGTGCAATTTTTCAATGATGATTTTGTTATTAAAAAGAAAGAAGAAAGGAACACTTGCAAGTTTTATTTGAATATCTGACTGTATAAACTGGATGATATTTCTATCTAGTTTTAATCTGACACACTAGGCCAAGAGTTTAATAGAAAATCGACAGTGCCTTTTTTCATTTATAAGAAAAAAAGTGTGATAAAGATTTTAAGAAATAACTGTTTCTGTTAGATTAGAAGAAAAATATTTATAAAGTTACTGAAGAGAAAAATATTCTAGTTTAATTAAAATTATGAATCTTAACTGCTTTATATCTTCGTATTGATTTACCCCAAACATTGGAAAAGCGAACACATGTAATTTTCCTTTGTATGTAGTAACGATGGCATCTCTTTTCTTCCTCTTCCTTTTGGCAGCTTTCAGCCGTGCCCCAATTCCAATGGCTGTGGTCCGCAGAGAGCTATCCTGTGAGAGCTATCCTATAGAGCTTCGCTGTCCAGGAACAGACGTCATCATGATAGAAAGTGCCAACTATGGCAGGACTGATGACAAAATTTGTGACTCTGACCCTGCTCAGATGGAGAATATCCGATGTTATCTGCCAGATGCCTATAAGATTATGTCTCAAAGGTATGATACTTCTAATATTCTTTTCTTTGTGCACAATATAAACCTTCAACATCAATCTGTGTTACATGTTAAGCATAAGAACATAAACAGTGTTATGTATTTTAGGACACTTCAAAATAGTTTTTCCATATCTGACTATTCCTTGTATCACCAAAATGCTAATTGCAAACAGCATTTGGAAAGTATTACAATTTATTGGATTATCTATTACATTTCATGGTCTGCATGACATTGCATGCTGTTATTTTGATAGTGTTCTTTAGAACTGAGTTCATTACATGAGAGAAGAATAAATGTATTTTTCACAATTTGCAAAAATAAGATTTTCTCCAAATATGGCAGAAAAATTATTTTACTGCTAACAATAACTTTCTAACAATGTAGGGAAAAAAAGAAGTAAAAATTAATAGGTAATTTATAATCATTAATCAAAATGTAGTAAGAGTATTGATTAAGGATTAGTTGGCCTTGGAAAATAATTTTAAAAGTATTCTTTTGCTATTCAGCATATGAAATTAATTTAAATATTTGAGCAATCTAAATATGGCCATATTAACATCATATAAATGAATGTATCATATAATATCAGTGGGTAAGAAATATTTTTGATTCTAAAGAGACTGGTCAGTAGGAATGCATATTATATAAGGTTTAAATTATGTTAAAATGTCTTGATAAGTTAGCTAAGTATTATATATCTCTTAGATATTTGTTCACTATTACTATGCTTTCTCAGAAATCAGGGATAAAGTCATTCCTTTAGTATAAGCCTACAGCTATTCAGTTATTTCTTTTCCTTCTATTATTTAAGAACTTCTTTAAATATAGGGAAAACTATATTTTAGATAAAACTAAACAAATTGAAGTCTAAAGACAAAAACAGTAGATTTCAAGGATTCTCTCTTTTGTACTTAGGAAAGCCTTCCTTATTTTTCACCTTTTGTCTTCTTCATATTCAAAATTTTGATAAGTATTTTTGTGTGTAATTAATACATTCATAGTCAATATGTTATTTTTATAAATTACTATTACATAAATTATAAATACGAATTATAATATGTCAGGTTTTTGATGATTAAAGCACTGATGTGTACTTGAAGGGTAATGAAATATGGGCAAATCTGAGGGCTTTTATTTGTCTATTACTAAAATGATGGCTCATGCTAAGGTGAGCATTAATAAGAAATAAGATATTAAAATTAGGCATTTCATTTGATAAAAGTTTGGTTACATCTTGTTGTTCTTGTGTGTCTCTATTATCGTTACGTATTTGACATACCTCCAACTATACTAAATGCTATGCCTGAAAGAGTTCTGATTATTTAGTTGTGTGTAGGTATTGTAATGGTGTTTCAGGAGTGGTTTTCTATGAGTAGTATGCAGTGGGCACTATGACTAAACTGATATTTTTATTTGTTTTAGTTAACCAAACATAAGATTCTGTAGAATTCATTTGGAATGTGAGTTGAGAAGGAAATTCTGCCTTTCTCTGATTCATTTTTCACTTAAAATGTAATAGAAGCATTAGCTCTTTCATCTGTATATGATTTTCACTGAAATTGTTTTAATCCTTTCATTAATATTATTAACAGCTCCAAAAATAAGCCTTTAATCTTATAAGTATTTCAAAAAAGTAGTTATAATGGATCCTTTGGAGTCACTGAACTATATGGGATGCGTACACTAAGTGACAAATGTGTAGAGTAAAAATACTTTAAGCACCGTTAGTAAATCACTTGTGTAAACCCTCCTGGTGGTTTCACAAATATGAGTTGTCAGTTAGCTGAAATAACTTTGGTTAATTCTCCATGGAAGCAAGTTTCTCACTTGCCTTTTAACTGTTAAATGTACTAGATTTAGACTTGTCCAAAGTAAATGTTTTTGACTCTCTGAGAAAAGAAATCAGGTTTTATTTTGTAAGCTCCCAAGAGGCACAATGTCGTGGCCATTTAAGCTGCTTTATAATGAACGTAGTTACACTATTACGCCAACCACAGCATGTTAAATAATGCTAATAATTACTACTTATGGTATGGACATCATACTAATGGTACAAACAGTTTAAATAGATTAAAGCATTTAAACTGAAATCATAATGGAAAACATGTTTTTTTAAAAGGTATCTTAATCCTTTTCTTTTGCTTAAACTTCTAGAAAGAGACTATATCAGAGTCTAAACGTTTCTAAGCATGTCTTATGAAGGATTATTACTCAGTATAAACAGCATGATTATCACCGTATTCTTGTATAACCTTGTTTAAAAAGCCCATAACTTGCTTCAGAGTGATGCAGTAGACAGATGTTCTAGGCAAGGAGAGATATGAAATGTCATTGAGGCAGATGTGTGAGTACACGTGAACAAAGGCATAAATTAAACTGCATACTGATGTGTAAATTAAAGCTAAGTGTGAAAAATTTGGAAGTTGAATTGAAAGGCTGTAACTCTTGATTTCCATATTTTTCTTCAGTAGAGCTTTGCAATCTGATATATGGTCTAGAGAAGCCACTTTCTTCATTGCTTTCCAGATTGCATTTTCTCCAATCACGTGTGCTCTCATGCCATTCTGTCCACCACCCACCAATCGTCCATGCTTTACTTCTGCTTCAATATCTAACCAGAGAACTTATTAAAACATCACAACAGATTTATTTGTCCTTCTCAGGAACTTATACTTTTACTCAATTATTATCACCTACATTTCTCTTTAATCTCATCTAAACATTAACAAACCTATATTATCATACAGCTGCCTTGTCTAAAGCAAATTGTAGGCTTCTAGAAGGCAGACTGCCTGTTGATTTTACCTAAAACCAACTTTGGATATATAAATGAATAAATAAATATGCTAATTTTGTTATGCCACTTAAAAGCTTTCTTAACTCTATTATTTGAATGGTTTCTATTTCTTTTTGTTTTTTTATATATTTTAGAGAGTTTTTTAAAAAAAATATTACACATAACTTTGGAAATCTAAATATGAAAATTACAGTTTAGCAACTGGATAACTTTAGAAATTTTACATTTGGCATTCAGCTTAGGTTTCATGTTATTCTTAACTATTAATTGAAATATTTCAGTTGTTAACCAGCACTTGAAAGTTTACAACGTGCAGTTTACCATAACAGTTACTTTTGGGCTTGATGGATAAATAAGTTAGTCGTGTTTTCTCCCCATAAAACTATGTATTTTTTGGCAGATGAGAAAACTCAACTATACCATTTGCTCAACATTTTACTTTTTATCTCATTTATATGTATTGAAGAGATTAAAGGAAGAAGGCTCTTTCAGCTGAATGATATAAGAGAGCATTTCACTGGAAAGGAAATCTTAGAGCTGCTTCTTGAAAGATGGCAGCATTAGTGGAACCAGAAGAGACCTAAGTGATACTAGCTATGTAAGTGGAAGAACACTAGAAAAGAACACAAGGGCATAGCTTTTTTCTAGTAATCTTTTGCTCATCCTTGGTTCACAAGTTTATTGCTGTTCTGCTGTGGACGTTTTATTGATGTATAATATGCCTACAGAAAATTCCGTATATCATACGTGTACACCTCAATGAATTTTCACAAATCAAGCTCATCCATGTAACTATCACAGATAAGGCAGAAAATTAATGTCACCTCAGAAAGCGCCCCCTTGTGCTCTGCACCAGCCATATTCCTTCCTACAAGGATTGCCCTATCCTGATTTGAAAAACTAAATTAGTTTTGCCCACTTTGTAATTTTAATAAAAGGTTTCATATATTGTATACTTTTTGTCCGGCTTCTCTCATGTAATGATTTATTTTTAATGTAAATTTGTTGAAGCATTTGTATATACTATATAATTCACTCATTTCAATAGTACAGTGATGTTTTTAGTGAACTTAGCAACTGTTGCAACCACTGCAATAAATCAGTTTTAGAATATTGTTATCACCACAGTAAGATTCTGCATGCCAATTACTGTTCATCCCAATCTCCTTCCCCAACCTGTGCAGTGTCCAATCTACTTTCTGTCTATATGTTTATCTTCAATGTATTATTTTAAAGCTAAAAAATGAGTATTTAAAATCAAGTTAAATTTAATGGGCTTTTCAGTGGGTACAATATAGAAAAAATATTGGCAGTTATTTCTGGAGGTATGGAAATAGATATGTTGCTTGTATTTTGAATACTCTTAGAATCAAACATCATGAATCTAGACATTTAAAAATATTTCTTTTGAGTTTTCTATCAAGTATAGGTGTTAAATGTACAAAGTAGGAGTATTTTTTTTCTATTTAAAGGAGCGATCTAAGTTTTGTTTTAGACTCAGGTTGTTCACATATAATAGTCACATTAGGAACATGCAGAAAAGAGAGAGAGAGAGAAGGCCAGGTGCTGTGGCTCACACCTGTAATCGCAGCCCTTTGGGAGGCCGAGGCAGGAGTATTGCTTGATTCCAGGAGTTCAAGACCAGCCTGGATGTTTTATGAAACATCCATCTCTACAAAAAATAAAAAGTTAGCTGTACCTGGTGGGGTGCACCTATGGTCCCAGCTGCTCGGGGTTGCTGAGGTGAGAGGATGCCTTGAGCCCAGAAGGTTAAGGCTGCAGTGAGCTGTGATCATAAAACCGCACTTAGCCTGGGTGACAGAATGAAACTGCTTCAAAAAAAAAAAAAAAAAATAGAGAAAGAATTGTTCCCCATCTTTCTGAAAAGTTAGTTTTCAGTTCATATCAATAGCACTGAAGGTAATTTTATAGCTTACAAAAGATCTTGCGTTCTGCTGAAGTCATTCGGGGTGATGCTAAGGATTTTTTCAATAGTGTGAGGAGGTGAAATGCCAGTGGCAGTTTTGGAGGGTACATAGCCTAGTAAGTGTTCTGCAATAACTGCATTTATATACATGAGTTATTCCGCTCAAGTATTCTCCTTTACTTCTTTGACAGATCCATTATGTTGTCTCGTATTTCTCTTATAAACTATAACAGATCAGAAACAATACCTCATGTTAGGAACTTTTCCATTGAATCCACATTCTATGTAATAAAAAGAAAGAAAGGCATAGAACCTATAATATATAATACATTTCTTAAGGATTACTGTCTGTGTGCATGTCTCTTTAAATATAAAGGAAAAGAAAGGAGAGAAGGAAGATAACTTTTCCCAAGGCCTAAATGTAGAGAATATGGAGAAATGGGAAATTTCCTATATGGAGGGCATTTACTTATTTCTTCTCCTCTAATATTTAGCTTCTTTCAATTCTGGAAGTACATTTTGATAATGTCTGCTAAATTACTTTCAAGTATTTCTTGCTATTAATTTAATTTTGAAAGAAATTGTGTGTTACCATATGCATTGTTCAGAGTTAAAAAATTTAGTAAATGATTCAAATATTTCATTATGGCTTATGGGAAAAGCTAAAGGGAATTGTGTTAGGTCTCCTTTGCCCACAGGAACTATTAACCCTTTATTGCAGCCATACTCAAAGCATGGTTCATGGAAATTTGGAATCCCTTTTAAGGAGTCTACAAGGTCAAACCCAGATTTTTCTCTGGTTGTATGCTTTAATTTCTTGCTTTTTCTTTTCTGTGTATCCATTGCATGTTTTTCATAAGGTTACCATGAGGCTTACAAACACTATCTTATAACCCACTATTTAAACCGATGACAACTTAACACTGATTGCATAAAGAAACAGACTCACAAAAAGGAAACTAATAAAAACTCTACACTTTAACTTCATCCTCCCACTTTTTAACATTTTGTTGTTTCTCTTTATGTCTTATTGTGCTGTTTATGTCTTGAAAAGTTGCTCTAGTTATTATTTTTGATTGATTCATCATTTAGTCCTTCTAGTTAAGTCAAGAGAAGCTTATACATCATAATTACAGTGTTATACTAATCTGTGTTTTTCTTTGGCCTACTGTTACCAGGGAGGTTTTTTTTGTTGTTGTTTGTTTGTTTCTTCTTTTCTTGTTTTGTTTTTTTCCTTCAGGTGATTTCTTATTGCTCATTAACATCTTTTTTATTTCTGATTGAAGAACTCCCTTTAGCATTACCTGTCTGGTTTTGATGAAATCACTCACCTTTTGCTTGTCTGGGAAGGCCTTTATTTCTCCTTCATGCTTAAAGGATATTTTCACTGGATATACTATCCTAGGGTACAAGTTTTTTCTTTCAGCACTTTAAATATGTCATGCCATTCTCTCCTGGCCTGTAAAGTTCCCACTGAAAACTGTTGTCAGATACATTGGAGCTTTATGTCATTTGGGTTTTTTGTTTTGTTTCGGTTTGGTTTTTTCCCTCTGGCTGCTTTTAGGATCCCTTCTTTATCCTTGACCTTTGGAAGTTTGATTATTAAAAGCCTCAGAGTAGTCTTCTTTGAGTTATATCTGCCTGCTGTTCTATAACCTTCTTGTATTTGAATGTTGGTATCTTTGTCTAGGTTTGGAAAGTTCTCTGATATTATCCCTATGAATCCCCCTTGTCTCTGTCTCTTTCTCTCCCTCCTCTTTAAAGACAATAACTCTTAGATGTGTTCTTTTGAGGCTATTTTCTAGGCATGCTTATTGGTTTTTATTCTTTTTTCTTTTGTCTCCTCTGATTGTGTATTTTCAAATAGACTGCCTTCTATTTCACTAATTCTTTCTCTGTTTGATCAATTCTGCTATTAAGAGACTTTGAAGCGTTCTTCAGCATATCAATTGCATTTTCAAGTCTAGCATTTCTGCTTGATTCCTTTTAAGTATTTCAGTCTGCTTATTAAATTTGTCTGATATAACTCAGAATTCCTTCTCTTTGCTATCTTGAATTTCTTTGTGTTTCCTCAAAACAGCTATTTTGAATTCTCTTTCTGAAAGGTCATATATCTCTGTTTCTCCAGGACTAGTTCCTGGTGCCTTATTTAGTTCATTTGATGAGGTCCTGTTTTCCTGGATGTTGTTGATACTTATAGGTGTTCTTCAGTGTTTGGTAATTAAAGAGGTAGATATTTATTGTAGTCTTTACAGTCTGGGCTTGTTTGTGCCTGTCCTTCTTGGGAAGGCCTTCCAGGTATTTGGAGGGACTTGGGCCCCAAACCCAATAATGTTGTGGTTTTTGCAGACTCATAGAGGCACTGCCTTGGTGGTCTTGGATAAGACCTGAAAGAATTATCTCACTTACCAGGCAGAGACTTGTTTTTTCCCCTTACTCTCAAACATATTGAGTGTCTCTCTCTGTGCTGAGCCACTTGGAACAGGGTGTGTAATGATGGAATCACCCCTGTGACCACCATCACTGGGACTGTGCTGGGTCAGACCTGAAGCCAGCATGGTACTGGGACTTGCTCAAGGCCATTCCCTTCAAGGTAGTGAGTTCCTCAGGCCCTGGGGAGTGTCCAGAGATGCTGTCTGGGAGCCAAGGACTGGAGTCAAAAACCTTACCAATTTGCCTGATGTTCTATTCTTCTGCAGCTAAGCTGGAACTTAAACCACAATACAAAGTCCTTCCCACTCTTCCTTCCTCTTACTATGGCTGAGGATCCTCTCTTGTGGCTCCCACCACTACTAGTCCATGGGGTTTCTCCAGCCCACAACCAATGTTCACTTAAAGCCCAAGGCATCTGCCTCAGCTTGTGTGAATGTTGCCAGGCCTGGAACTCACCCTTCAGGGAAGTGTATTGCCTTCTGGCCTAGAGCAGGTCCAGAAATGCTGTCTAAGAGCCTAGACCTCGACTCAGGGACTCCAAGGGCCTGATTGCTACCCTATCCCACTGTGGCTGAGCTGATAGCTGGGGTGCAAGACAAAATCCCCTTTATTTTTCCCTCTGCTTTTCTTAAACAGAAGTATTTCACCATAGCCACCACAGCTGGGAATGTGATGGGTCTTTTCTGAAGCCAGCACGTCTCAGAGCCCAAGGCCCATTGCATACCCCCTGGGTATCAATGGTGGTTTTTCAGGGCCCAAGCGTTCTTTAGTCAGCAGGTAATAAGTCCTTCCAGGACTGGGCTCTTCACTTCAAAGCAGTGGTCCTTCTTGATCCAGGATGTGTTGAGAAATGTCATCTAGGAGCTATGGCCTGGAATGGGGGCCTTATGATTCTGCCCGGCGCCCTATCCTACTGTGGCTGAGCTGGTATCCAAGATGCAAGACAAAGTCCTTTTTCTTCTTCACTCTTCTCTCCTTTAGCAGAAGGAAGGAGTAACTTTTGTTGCTACAAGCTACACTGCCTGGGGTTAGAGGAGTGATGGCACAAGCACTCCTTGAGCTGTGCCAGGTGGTGTCTTCCTAAGTCACATGCCACCCAAGTTCACTGGCTCTAAGCCTAGCCTAGCACTAGGAATTGCAGTCCTTGTGTCCCAAATCTCCTTTCAAGTTTACCTAGGACCCCAGAGCACTTTGGCCCTCAGTGGTGAGGCTTGCATGAAACCCAAGTTCCGGCCCATGGGATGAGTGATTCCCCTCTGTCTAGGGCTGGTCCAAATGCTCCCTTCTTGTGTGGGTGCTGGCTGAGCCCAGCATGGTTTAATTCTCTGCTGTGACAGGGCAGCACTGAATTCAATGTAAAGTTTCTCAGTCACTGTGTCTCCCTCCCCAAAGTGCACAAATACTCTCTCTGTGCCTCATGACCACAGCCGGGGAATGGGGAGGGGTGTCAATGGTGATTCAAGACTGCCTCTCCTGCTCTCCTCAGTGCCCTCTTTTAGCAATATGAAGCTAAAACCAGGTACTTTGATTGCTCATCTGATTTTTGGTTCTTGTCATGGAGCTTTTCTATGTGCAGACAGTTGTTAAAATGTGCTGTTCCAGCAGAAGGGGACAAACAGTGTATACTTCCATTCTGCCATCTTGCTCTGCCCCTTAGTTACTTTTTAATACTTATAAATGAGAAAATGTATTATGCCGGCCTTTTGTAATCAGACTTGAATATAACTGAGTACTGTATAATTTCTAATGTTATACTAAGACTTTAGACAGAGCAATCTTCACAGTCAAACCTTTTGCTAATAAGTTATAAAAATGAAAGTGTATTTTTACTTGTGCCACACTGGTAACTTTGGTTTATTATATACTTAAGTTTATTATTGTGTAGCATTCTGATTTTATTTTTCATTCTCTGCCAGAGCTCAACTTACACTGAAAACATATTATGAAATTTGCCTCCTTGAATACTGTATCTGTCTACCAATCATAAGCTTTAATTGACTCATTGTTTATTTTTTATTCTCCAGGCAGGAGAATTGCTCCAGCCTAGGAGTTCAACCCTAGCCTGGGCAACATGGTGAGACCTCGTCTCTACCAAAAATTAAATTAAATAAGTAGCTGGATGTGGTGTCATAAGCCTGTGGCCACAGCTACTTGGGAGGGTAAAGTGGGAGGATTGCTTGAGTCTGAAAGTTCAAGTCTGCAGGAAGCTGTGATTGCCTTACTGCACTCCAGCCTGGGTGACAGAGGAATACCCTGTCTCAAAAAACTGTTGGGAAATAACTGTTATCCTAGTATTTGTTAATATGATAAAATGCATTAATTGATAATGGTTTCTGTAAAGTTAGATATTTACCTTATCGCTTGTGTAGAAAAAGATATATAAATCATATCTATTTGTGATTATGATTTCCAAATGGTAAAAGTGAAGTGTGTTTTTTTTTTTCATGCATAAGGGCTAATTTCAATATATAAATATATTATGTGTTTTTGTTCTGGCTCAAAAAGACTTGAGATCTTTCCAAAAATGTTAAGTGCCCATAACTATTAGTACTATCAATCTTTGAAAATAAACATTTGGAGCTGTTTCTTGGACTCGTTCGTGTATTGAGAAAGTAATGCTTGGCAAAGAATATAAGTCTACAGGAATGCTGTAATATAAAAAGAAGAAAATATACTTCAAAAGTAATAAAAAGACAAGAAGGAGAGATAGTTGTTACGAAAGGAGACTAGCTGTCTATGGGTTAAAAGGTGAGTAGATGATAATTGAACTAAAGGGAACTTTTCACTTAAGCTTATTGATGTTGTTGAATTATTTAGAGCCACTTTGATCCCAAACCTTCACCAATGATCATCTGAACAACTCTGTATATTTTACTATTACATATTAATGTTCTCCTGGAGATTTGAATTTACTTAGCAAATGTAGTGCATCAATGTTATATGAAATATTTATGACAGTTCTTTACCAATACAAACATTTTTTAAAATATCATATTATAATATGATCCCCTCATTTAGTAACATTGACTTTTTTATTTGTTTCATGGTAATGGTCGTTTTTTGTTTTTTTTTTTTACTTTTACAACTATACACGTGAAGTCCACCAAAGCCTGGATATATGGTATAGCCTTCAGGTTTTCTGTTATAGGTGATATATATTTCATATGTATTTCTCATATATGTTATAGCTACATATTTCTAACTACTTAGACACTCATTTTTATCTTCTTTCTCTCTCCAAACCACAAATATCTGTCTTTTTATTATAATTTGGCATAAAAATACCTATGGCCAGTTTCATCAGTTAAAATCTTCTGGACAGTGGGAATTATTTATCTGTACATATTTTAGAAATTAGGGACACAAAACATACTGCTCTCTCACAAATTTTCTCTGCAGAATTTATCATAATACAGGTTTTTCACCTTTCTAGGTAATTCAAGTAGATCATCCTTGCCTGAGGAGATACAATCCTGAATTACTTTCTAAGTTTGTTTCTAAAGCAAACATAGAGCCCTTCAAATGGTTTATAGTAAGTTAGCATTTCCCTGCTGTGACATTAAAAAAAAAATGTTCAACTATAACAACAAACATATGTAGTATAATTTTTCATGGAAAGGCATAGAATTGGAAAAGCATAAATAATATTAGCAGCACAAACCGACATGGATACTGGAGGGCAACATGAACCTCCTGCGAACTAACAGAAAAGTGGATCTTAATGTAATTTGTGAAGTACATAACATCTAAAATGTTACACATGAGTGAACGTGAAGGAAAAATTATTCTCATGAGATGCTATCAGATACATATCTATACATATGTCATAGCTGTAATTCATTATAAAATAATATCAGCAACAAACAACAAAAAGAAGCTACAACATAAATCTCATCCCCTACATTCCTTTAATCTGTTGTACTATAATTTTTTGTCAGAAATGATTGAAGAACATGTGTTTTGATGGTTACAGCATGAACTCAAATATCCTTAGAGTGGCACTTTTGAAAATAGTATACCAGCGCTGTTGGCATCCATGTGAACACACAAACACATTTACACACATACGAGTGAGATCATAACTTCTGATGTAAGTATATAAGGTATATATGACATATATTTGTAAAATGCAAATTAATTTCATGAAAAAATGTTATCTAATGGTTTAAGATTTCAAAAAGCTTACTTTTTTCATTTATTAAGGAATAAATGACTATATTTTATCCATTTTTTATTTAAAATTTTCTTTTGATTTTGTCAGGATGATAGAGCAGACATAATTATTTTATTTTACTGATGACAGAGCTGATGCTCCAACTGGTAAAGAGATTAATACAAGGATATGACCCTATGCCTTTTAGGGGCCAAGGGAAAACTTAGCTTTTGCTCTCTGAAGGCTCACTGAAAAAATAAACTCACTAAAGGCACATGAATTGGATGAAATACATACAAATTTTATGAATGTGTACACAGAAGCCTTCAGAATGAAGACCCAAAGATACAGGATAAATTGTTCATTTTTATACTTAGGCTCAACAAAGTATGGACAGCCATGTAGAAATATGATTGCACAAAATGCTATGGCCTAATGCTAATAGACTGAGTGACTGGGGAAACCCAGCAAGGCCCATCTGTCTAGATTCTTCTTGGCCTCTCAGATCATTCATTCCTTCTGGGTATGAGGCAGGACCCTCTCTGGAATGGGAGTTTTATCATCTACAGTGAAACAAGGTAGGTCAGATAATTCCTTTTTGTTCTTGGAGACAAAATCTCATTCTGCCACCCAGGCTGGAGTGCAATGGCGCAATCTGGGCTCCCTCCACCTCCTGGTTACAAGAGATTCTCCCGCCTCAGCCTCCTGAGTAGCTGGGATTACAGGTGCCTGCCACCACGCCTGGCTAAGTTTTGTATTTTTAGTAGAGATGCGGTTTCGCCCTGTTGGCCAAGCTGGTCTTGAACTCCTGACCTCAAGTGATCCACCTGCCTGGGCCTCCCAAAGTGCTGAGATTACAGGCATGAGCCATTGCGCCTGGCCTAGATAATTTCTTTATGGTCAGTTTTTCCAAGGAAAGCTGGAGGGACAGATAGAGTAATTATTTTAGGTATTATGGCTAGCCTTGGGGAAAAGGGGTTCTGGTTTCTATGGCTAGCCTCCAGCATGAATGGGACTGAGACAAGAGAACAGGAGAAGGTCAGAGAAAAATTTTCGCTTCTGCAGCCACTTCTGAGGCCTTCATTTTGGGGTATTGTTTTCTGAGTCACAACAGCTTTTACTCCAAGTTTAATTTTATAAATAAATTTTCTGAACTAGTTCATTTGGAAAGCAAAATGACTGATATTTGTTATTTTGATAGACAAGTGTATCTTCCATTTATTGGCAAGATAAAAAATTAATTTAAACTGAAAGTTTTCTAATTAAAAGAGGAAATGGGCGAGGCGTGGTGGCTCACGCCTGTAATGCCACCACTTTGGGAGGCCAAGGTGGGCAGATCATGAGGTCAGGAGATCGAGACCATCCTGGCCAACATGATGAAACCCCTTCTCTACTAAAAATACAGAAATTAGCTGGGTGTGGTGGCATGCATCTGTAGTCCCAGCTATTCAGGAGGCTGAGGCAGGAGAATCGCTTGGACCTGGGAGGCAGAGGTTGCAGTGAGCCGAGATCACTCCACTGCACTCCAGCCTGGGCAGCAGAGTGAGGCTGCCTTGCAAAAAAAAAAAAAAAAAAGAGGAAATGAATTGGAAATGAGATATTCAACAACTGCAGATTTTTTTTAAGAAAAAGTTGTCTCCTGGAGCTCCAAAATTATGTTAGGTTTAGGAAGTTAGGTGTTCAGCAGTCAGACCTCCCTACTCCTCAGATACTTATGCGTGATCTGTAAATTCAGAGCATGTGGTTTGAAATCTTTACAATAGGCTTTGGTTTGGCATCCAAGCCACATGTCCTGGTACACACTGCTTTGGAGCAATTTAGAATACTTGCTTTGAAGGCTTATTATAAACATAGAAAAATCTGTTTTTTCCACAAGGATAGCACCAGAGTGCCAAAGAAGTTATTATCGTGACTAGAGATCAACGTTTTTACATGGTCCTCTATTATTGAATCAGAGGTGTCATTCCCGATTTTGATAATGTTTATTTTTCTATGTAAGTCAAAATAGAAGGGTTTAAAGAACACCTGTCTCAAAAAGGATCTTTCTTTATTATGCCTTTAGCAATACATTAGCTTCACGTTCTAAAAAAAACATGGTATATTTACATTTGTGAATGTTTTACTTGCCCATTGATATTTAATTATTTTCTTATATGACTTCTCAGTATAGAATTCTGTTTCTGGGAAAATCCTTACAACATATGCAGTTTAACCTTCAAAATCAGAAAAGTTTTAGAAATTGGGGGCATTTTTTTTATTTGGGGGCATTCAGTCTTTTAAGGATTCCAGGACATCAATCTTCATTTCTATAGTATGGATAGTATCTTTTCCCTATCCCACTCCTTCCTTTACATTTCTATATAAGAATGTTGTTACTTTTTTACTTTAAAATTATCTCTCTATGAATTTGAGTCATTGTGATTAACAAGTTTTCAATTTATGTGTTACCGAATGCGCCAAAAATCTTGTAGGCGAATTTCAATAAAGATACTTTGTTTCCTTTCAAATCACACAGGGAACACCCATTCCTTTATCTTTTCGTTTTATAGAACTATATATACTCTTTAATATTCTACCATTCGACCAGTTTTTGAAACCTAGAGAACACAATCTTAATTTTAGTAACTATAAAAACAACAAAATATGTCATTTCCTAATCAATTTATGTCAATTAAACACAATTTTAAAAATATGAATGAGCTCTACTCAATGAATTCAAACTATTAATTCCCATGGAGAACAATAAACTTTGGTCATAGTTTTGGGAACAAGTTTTTGCACATATTTGATATTGTGTTCATGAAGCCCAAATAACCATGATTGGAAATAAATTATCATTTTTTCCTACAGTTTTCAGAACCTAGATGATATTACAAAAGCATCTGTTTACATGCTAAGACTCATAAATATTGCAAGTTTAATTTTCTCTATCATACCTCATACCAGTGGTGGTAGGGACTATTCTGTCAGCATTCAGCTGTGGCCGTTCTGCTAAGGAAGACAACATAATTGTTTTTGAAAAGATTTTCAGAGGTTCATGGAGAAATAAAAATAAATTTATATCTTCCTTTAGTGGGTAAGTGGAAGCACTATCATTTTAAGGTCTTTCAAACTACTATACTTAGGTATTTCCATCATCCATGTGTCTTAAAGTGATTTATGTTTTCTAAAACAAATTTTCAAGTATTCTGCCTTCTGCGTGATTGTGAATATATGTTGTTAGATCAAAAATGTGTTTGTTAAGGAAATTTCACTTTTAACTGGGATAAAATCTAATTTAAGATAAATAATAAATAATAATAACTAGTAAAATAAGTAAACGGTTAATAAATAAACGCTTGATCCATGCTAAAATGACCTCCCTGTCTTATATCTGCCAACCCTGGTTTGGTTGCTTCTTTAGAATTCCAATGTGTAATAACCCCATCAAGGTTGATAGGGTCTCCCCATCAAGGCTAAAGCAGTTTCAAGACTCAGTAAGTCCAACGAAAAGCCTCTTTATCCCTACTTTTCCAGAAAAACCCACTTATCCTTATTGGATCAGCTTGACATCATATCCCTAAAGTAATTACTTGGTGAGAGGATGGGAAGCATAGATTGCCTTAAACCAGTGGCTCTCATCTGGGGGTAATTTTGCCTCCATGGAATACTTGGCAATGCATAGAGACATTTTTGGTTGTCACAACTGGAAAGATGTTAGGGATTTGTAATGTGAAGAGGCCAAACATGCTGCAAAATATCCTGTAACGTACAGAAAGCCCCCAACAACAAAAAATAGCAAGCTCCAAGTGTCTATATTACCAATATTGAGAAACCCTGCCTTAAGCCAATCGGTGCCCACCCTTTGAGCTAAGATTAGTTTCAATCCCATGTGAAGCACATATTAAAAAATGAAAGAACAGAGCTCACCAAAGGTCAGTCTGCAGGTTCTTGACAGAAAGCTTGAGAGACAGATGCTGGGGAAACAATCAAAACTATCCATCCCTTACTTCAAAGGCAATTCAGTATTATTATGCAGAACAATCACAAAACAGTTTATCCTTCACTAGAAATAACAATGCCAAGTATAATACTGTATAATAGATTACAACTATGAGCAGGGATATTATTAGTTTCTCAAAGTAAACTCAGGAGTTCATCTACATACTTAAAAGGGGCTATATTTTGAGCTATGAAAATGTCACTATATTAATCAGAAATGTAGCATATCATATCACCTACAAATCATTCCTTTGGCCTGGGTATTGAATAATTGAATTTCTTATATTTTCTCCATTCTATTAAAGTAAGATATTTCAAGCAATAATATTCGTAGATTTTTACAGAAGGGGGTTTATCCTTGTGAATATTGTCTCACGGTGACATTTCATTCTGTCAATATTGTTGGAAACATTTCAATAGACCACATAAGTAACAGTCACCCACACAGTATTTACATTAGTAATTAACAGGAATAGAATTTTAGGGATTAGAGGCATTACCAACACTCCAGCATTTTCCTCTGAATGAAATAACCAGCACAGTGGGTGGCCAACTGCATTTTTTAACTTAGCGGGCTAAATTCTGGAATCGAAACTATCAAACTCTTAGGGAAGGGTTTCACTATAAAGTTTGTTACCAATGAGTTACACTTGTAAGGAAATGCCTCTTAAACAATCCAGCTTAGGAGTTTAGAAAACTTCAGAGCTCTTTCCAAATATATATTGCTACTCATTTTCTATATAGCTGGTCATGTTCTAGGTTAAAAGGCCACAAAGTGAAAATGGGATCAGAGTTCTCCTTTGCTCATAAACACATTCCACTGTAAGGCTAGAACCACGAGTATTTAATTATGCTCTTTTATGTACGGTCAAAGTTTTTGGAATACAGCACTTATATCTCAGCACTTAGAATATTTTCAGTAAGAAAAAATGAACAAGGAACAGATGCTTTTGAAAAATTAAACTTACCAACTCCCATCCCTCTTAGTGTGTGTGTGTGTTTGTTTGTTTGTTTGTTTGTTTTCCCTGACATCTGGGATTCAGTTTAATGGCACCATTTACCCTGGTCACAGAGATTCCAAATCTCAGAATCTTTGAGGTTCCTGCAGCAGCACCATATGCATCCACAAAACCCAAGTCAATCAAAGGAGACAAACACTGTTCCCATATGGTGGTCCTTCAATTCTGAAAGAAAAAAATCAATACCTCAGTATTCATCTTGAGGCATTTAGAGTGCTGGATGCCTTATGATCTGATTGGAGATCCTGCATGAGAGAGACATTTGGCACTAATTAAATTTGAATTCTAATTTTAGTTTTGTCATAGCTTTTGCACCTAAGGTCTTTTCCCTGTCTTATCATCAGTGGTCTGGGAAACGAATACTGAAGCCCTGGGCTGTTCTAGGTTAAAAGGCCACAAAGTGAAAATGGGATCAGAATTCTCCTTTGCTTATAAACACATTCCTCTGTAAGACTAGAACCACGCAGCTGTGCTTCTGATTTTGAGCTGAGACCTGGATGCCTTCATTATGTCAGTGTCTGCCCTCCACTAGTCTAGGTTGTTGAGGTCTAGATAATTAAAATGATATAGAAGCATGAGCCATGCTTATACTAACTATAACTTTTAAAATTATTTTGAAATTATTTAATTTCTGGTATTATTGCTCTGGAATAAAATGCCTATAAAAGGTGCAAAGAAATACCATAATATTTTTCTCTTGGAATGAAACAACGAATGAATCGCATGTTAAAATTGTTTAAATATTTAACATTGTATAATATGACTTAGCAAAGAAAAGTCTTGAAATAATATTGAAACTCAAATGATCCTTTCTTCCCCTTTCTTTAGTTCAGTTTGAACTTTAAAATGCAGTAAAATAATTCCATGTGTTCTACTCTAAAAATAATTGCTGCAGTTTTTACAGTCCTAACATTTCTTGTTTTTTAACACATATACCAAATGAGGCATTGTTAGATAATGCATAGTAAATGGTATGATTCATTTGTAACAGAGAAAAACAAAACTTGTTTTTAGCAGTAATCAAATGTTTCAGTCTGAATAGAAAATAACTAAAAAGTGGCCAGGAACAATGGCTCATGCCTATAATCCCAGCACTTTGGGAGGCCGAGGTAGATGGATCACTGAGGTCAAGAGTTTGAGAACAGCCTGGCCAACATGGAGAAATCCCATCTCTTCTAAAAATACAAAACTTAGCCGGGTGTGGTGGCACACCGCTGTAATCCCAGCTACTTGGGAGGCTAAGGCAGGAGAATCACTTGAACCTGGGAGGCAGAGGTTGCAGTGAGCTGAGATCATGCCATTGCACTTCAGCCTAGGCGACAGAGTGAGACTCTGTCTCAAAAAAAAAAAAAAAAAAAAAAAAAGAGAAGGAAAAAAAAAACTAAAAAGTATATTATGATCACAAAATCTACAAAAATTAGAAAATTTGTATTATAAAAAGAAAGTATCTTGCAACAAAATGGAAATCAGAAGTAAACTATTCTGCGTTTTGAGGAAGCCTTTAAATTCGTCTCATTATAACTTTCACTTCCACAGAAAATAAGGAAGTAATTTTCATAGAATTTGGATCTTAAAAAGTAAATAATATTTTTTACTTTTTGTGTATAGGCATGGAGTGGAGAAGATTGTTAGTTTTGTTTTGTCAGAGAGAACTTGACATTTCATAAGAAAAGTCAACAGCAAATGTGTGTCCACAATAATACTAAATAGATAATGTGATGGTACTCTGTAGAAGCATCTGGCAAACTCTAGTGAAGTCAGAATAAGTGCAAGAATATACACTCTAATTAATTATTCCATATTCTATGTGAAAATTGTGATGTGTGAGTAGTTATAGTCTAGGGATACAAGTAAATTATGTATAGTTCAAGATCATTGATTTCAAACTTAACATATAAGAGAAACCAAAATGCTGTTGTTTTGGCAATAATATTACCTTGATACAAAAAAGTGCAAGTTTTACTTTTTAAGCAAGTGACACATATCCATGGTTTCTGTATTTCTATAGACCTTTATGAAAAGCTTATGTATGTGAAATGAGTACTGAGAATTGATGCTGAGCAAGTCCAGGATTGACAGCATAAACAGACTCAAAATGCCCATGAAAATAAGCCTTCATCTAAGATATTCTTCCACATACACTCCTCAGCCAGGAATCATACTAAATGCTGGGAACTTAAACATGCCTAAAATAGTCCCTAATTACAAGGAGATTTAATGGGAGAGACGACAAATACTTTACATAAAATATGGTAGATGCAATGAGAGTGATACAGGTAATTAAAGTATCCCTGGAAGGGCTCCTAATGCAGCCTGAGGTGAGCTAGAAAATGTCATAGAGAGGTTGGAATCTTAGCTCAGTCTTAAACTGTACATAAAAAAAAAGGGGTCACAGTGCATTCTAGGCTAAGGCTTTACCATGGGCTAAAGGGGAAGTATGGGATTGCACAGATGTGAAGTGAACTAATGCAGTTTGGTGAACATTTGAAGTTAAAGTGTAAATCAGAGAGCTGTAATGATGAGGTATCTACAGACAAGGCAAAATAATAGCTTGCTTATTATGTCAAGAGCATTGGATTTTCTAATGACTGTGTTAGTTTGCTAAGGCTGCCATAACAAAATACCAGAGATTGGGTGGCTTGAATATCAGAAATGTATTTTCTCACATTTCTGGAGTCTAGAAGTTCAAGATCAAGGTATTGTCAAGGCCTTTCCTTGGCTTGTAGACAGACAGGTCCTCACTGTGTCCTTACTTGGCCTTTTCTCTGTGCCCTTAAACTCCTTGTGTCTCTTTCTTTTCTTATAAGGACATCAGTCCTATTGGACGAGGGTCCCATCTTTATGACCTTATTTAACCTCGTTTAGTCTTTTTAAAGGCCCCGTCTTCAAATATAGTCACATTGGAGGTTAGGGCTTTATTATATGAATTTGGGGGCAGGGAGAGGGGACAATTTAGTCCATAATAATGATCATGAAGAGGTCTCACTGCAGTTTTAAGTGAGGAAGCAAAATAAATTCTTGCATTAGGAGAGTCCCTGTCTTGCATAATGAGGATAGAATTAAGGGGAAAATAATGGGGGTATGAGGACCAATTGGAAACATAACAAGTCCAGATATGAGAGGATTGATTTAGGGTGGTTGTGGAATGAATGGAGAAGGGAAACTGAATTGAGAGAAAACCATAGTGTTGAAATTGCCAGACAGGTTCTTCCTACCCTCTACACAGACAAAAGCAATTCACTGAGACTGTGGTATTGCAGTAAAGAAAGAGTTAAATTAACACTAGCCTTGCCATGAAGAAGAGGAGTTATTACTCAAATCAGTCTCCCCAAAGACTCAGAGGTTAGGGTTTTCCAAGGACAGTTTGGTGGGTGGGGGACTAGGGAATGGGTGCTGCTGATGAGTGGGGGATGCAATCATAGGGGTGTGGAAAACACTCCCAGTGTATCAAGTCTGCCTCTGGTTGGGTGTTCACAGAACTGGTGGAGTCATGAGTCATGAGTGTGGGTGGAGCCAGTCGGTTGCCAGAATGAAAAAGTCTGAAAAAAGTCTCAAAAGACCAATCTGGCCAGGCGCAGTGGCTCACACCTGTAATCCCAGCACTTTGGGAGGCCAAGGTGGGCGGATTACGAGGTCAGGAGTTCAAGACCAGCCTGACCAATATGGTGAAACCCCATCTCTACTTAAACTACAAAAAAAATTAGCCGGGTGTGGTGGTGCACGCCTGTAGTCCCAGCTACTCAGGACGCTGAAGCAGAAGAATCACTTGAACCCAGGAGGCGGAGGTTGCAGTGAGCCGAGATTGCATCACTGCACTCCAGCCTGGGTGACAGAGGTTCCACCCAAACAAACAAACAAACAAACAAAATCTTAAGTTCTACACTAGTGATATTACCTACAATTGAAGAAGTCACAAATCTTGTAACCTCTGGCTACCTGACTCCTGAGCAGTAAAGAATTATAAAAACTATGCCTACATTTTTGCAGAATTCAGACCTCTGCAATAATCCTAATCTTGTGACTTTTCATCAGTTTTAAAGAGGCAGTTTCAGCCCCTGAACAAGGAAGAGATCAGTTTTAGGGAGGCAGTGTTATCATCCTTGCTTCATAATTAAACTGTAAACTAAATTCCTCCTGTGGTTAGGGTTAGCCTGGCCCATGCTCTTTTCTAAGAGCCAGAACAGCCAGTCTGTGAGGCTAGAAGCAAGATGGAGTCAACCAGGCTAGATTTCTCTCACTGTCACCATCTTCGCAAAGGTAGTTTCATTGTTAATTGGATTCAGACCGTGAGAAAAGAAAAAAGAACAGAATAAATCCAAAGCTTCTGTCTTAGGAAGTAGGTGGTGGCATTCCATAGGAGGAGAGCAGTGAATAAACATCTGTAAGGCCCATTAAACTGGACCAGTCTGCTTCCACTGACTGCCTCCTACCAGCTTCCCACATTTGCACACACAGCTTTGACTTTTCATACTCCCAATCTTGTTCCATCTGATCCAGTCATGATGATGTCCTTGAACTTGGCAGAGGCCGAACATCTAACAATGCTGTTAGTTCTTCCATTGATCAAGTTAACAGCATAAACACTGTTCATATTAATTTACTGTAAAATGCTAAAGACTATTTCAGAGAATATACAGAAAAACAAAAACCCTCTTACAGTTGACATTATAAGTAAACTGAATTAAAAACCAAACAAAACCCCAAAACAAATAAAAACTGAGGCGAATATTAGAAATGCAAAAGGAAAAAAAAGCAATTTGCAAACTCATTCAGTCCACATTTTTTTAATGTATTATAGTTTGTTACTTAGCTATTTTATTATTTATTTGGCTCTTTTGCTGACCTTTCTGCATATTTTACTGCATGTGTACAAGGAGATAATAAGAATGAGGAAGTAAAATTTTCGTCTGTGAATTTTGTTTTCTAAATATGTCTCTGTTTTCTTTTTTGGGACACTATAAGGTCATAGACACATGGAATTTACTATAACTTTTATTTATCTGTACTATTAATTGACAATAGTCTAAATCATTGAAATATGCAACAGCATAGAGATATGACTTAGAACTATAACGGATATTGATAGTGACATTCAGTCATCTCAGTCAAATCATGTGGCAGTGTTCTTGAAACAAGCTTATAATCTTCTTTTGGAAAATTAATATTTCACTGACTATCTGTGAACCATTTGGAATTGCTTGCTTAAGATTAAGGTAAAAAAGTAATAGTTATTTTCACTTTAAAAATTGTCTTTTTTTTCTTTACAGTTTAGCATTCAGTTAGAATGGGAGATAATGCTTATTTGTTAGTGTTTATGTAGATAAGCCTTATCAACTGTGAAGCTATTAACTGTAAAAAGGAAGTCACAGCAGGGATAAGGCAGGAAAATCATTGCCAACAATATTTATATTGGTTAGTCTGTTCGCCAATTTTACATGAAAAAGATATCTGAGTTCCAAATTGTTTAATGTTGAGATTAATTAAAATTTGCTCATCAGTATTCTCAGAGAAATCTAAACTCATGTGTTATTCCTCACCTCCTAAAAAAATAAAGTTTAACTCTGCAGAAGTGCAAATACACAATTAATAAGCAAGGTATAATATGCTGTATGTACTATTTTGGACTACACCCTAAAGACTATTTTAAAACCTTTATTAGGTTTCATAAAGTCATTTATGAGTAAGACAGTGCCTGATTAATTTTCATGGCTATTAATATTTAATAGACTAGTTCTTAAAATTAAAGGAGTAAACATGGTTCATGCAGAAAACACCCAAAATACTTAGGATTAATTTTAAAGTATTTCATGTCTTAAATCACATTATTAATATTGAGTTCAGTTTGTCTGTGTATGTTTTGAGTATCTTAGAGTTCTTCCTCCTGAATTTTCTTTCCTGTATGTACAATCCTGATTATGCAGCCCAGCTTCACCTAATATTGTTATGTCTTAATCCCTCCTTCCCTCGGGCACGCCCTGTGTTATTTTCAAATGTGTAGCATTGTGATAACAAATATATTAAATTAGGACCCTCCAGCTTCTGATCTGAATTTTAAAATGGCCTGTGAGCAGTCATTTTTTAATATACGGAATAAATTTGGCATAAATTATGGATGATTATTTTAGCTACCTTTAATAACCCACCCCCAAAGAAATTGAAATGAAAGATATATAATAGGTACCAAAGATGTGTCATGCACAGGGTGGTTTGTATTTATGTCTAAATACAGACATTTTTGAAAGTAAAAATGGGCAGTGTTAGTAATTATATCAAGATTATAGTAGGACACCCAGAGGGTTCTGTACTAACTGGAATGTGTGTATGAAGTCTAATGAAAAGAATTAATTATATTTTTATGAGCATTTTAGTTTAAAATAAGGGAAGTGAGATATATATATATATATATACTTCTTATAAAAGAGCCTGATTTTATTTCTAATGCAAGGGAATCTATGACATGAACATTTAATATATAATATTTAAATCTCTAACCTAGCACCTTTCTTCCAGTCAAGTGTCACATTCCTGTAACCCATTCTTAATTTTAAACTTATGTGCGTAATGCATTGTTTCTTCATCTCTGATTAGTTCTACTGCCAAGAATTACCCAGGGGTATGTCAGCAACTACAGTTTATAAGTTGTGTAATTTCAGATTTAGACATGATAGATCATCTTCTTCTGTCGGGACTGATCTTTAACAGTTGTGATGAACAGAGGAAAAATATTTCCAATCTTTCTTGGTGAAATACAACTTAACCTTTCATAATGTAAATGATGTGTCAGATTAAGAGTAACCGTAGTCTAAGAATTTTTTCCAAGTCTAAGATAATTTCTCAAAATATAATTTCATTGAATTTATAGTGAGACGGTCAAGTGGCTAGAGAATGTCACATTTTCTCTTGATTTTTAACAAGACTGTAGACAAACATTCAAATGTTCAGTTAATTCTCCTAACATATTATCTGCTTGTCGGTGGACAGATAAAAGAAAAGTGACTTTAATCGTGGCAAACAGAACCTTACATTAATGCATTGGAAAAGGAAATCTTTTTTTTTCTTTTAAACTAGAATCCATTTTATAGAGGTCAAAAAATAAATATTAAAAAGATAGTGGGGTGTAGAGTGTTTGCATATAATCAGCATTAGCAATTTGATTAAAAAGTGACAACTACTTATCAAGATCTTTTAATATTCTTAGGCATAGAGAAAATATTGTCTTTCTTTCCCCACACGAGACCATTATGTCAAAATGTTAATATATGTAGGACCATTCTGTGTTAGGCAGATGTTAGATGCTCTCAGAAATAAACCCTAAAATTTCGGTTGCTTAACACATAGAAATTTATTGTTTGTCCATATGCGTTTTTCAGAGTTGATGCTTAACAGGTAGTTTTCTTTCATATGAAACTTGTGATTCCTATCATCCCTATGGCTCAGGAGTCCCCTGCATCCAGCCTATGGGGCAGACAGAGGAAATAGATGAGATGCGGAAGAACCCTTACAGGTACTCAAAACAATGGCCTAGAAAGATCACCATTGCTTCCAGTCACAAGCCACTGGCAAGAACTAGTCACATGGCCATACCTGATGAGAGTGTTGTGCTGGCCTATATAGTTTCCAGTGAGCAGCCACTTCTCACATGCAGAAATAAAAAACCTAGATTTTTTGTTGAAAAACTAGCTGTCTATGTCATAGTAGCTATAGTAAATTTAATTTGATGGTGAAAACCCATTTGAAATATGAGTATTAGCAAGCTGTCAGAGTGCCTCTAGGGAGGCAAGCTGTTCTCCCTGGGAGAACAGAAATTTAAGTGAAAAATATCTTCAGTAAATATCTTTTTTTACATTTTGAAATAATACTATGTGCATGAATTAATTGTTTAAAAATTAAGGCCAGGCACGGCGGCTCGTGCTTGTAATCCCGGCACTTTCAGAGACTGGGGTTGGAGGACCACTTGAGGCCAGATTCAAGACCAGTCTGGGTAATATAGTGAGACCTCATCTCTGCAAAAAATTTAACAATGTATTGGGTGTGGTGGTGTGTGCCTATAGTCCTAGCTACTCAGGAGGCTGAGGTGGGAGGATCCCTTGAGCCCGGAATTCAAGGTTACAGTGAGCTATGATTATGTCACTGCACTCCAGCTAGGTGACAGAGTAAGATCGTGTCTAAAAAATATATATATATTATATGGAAAGAAATCTTTTAAGTAACTCATTTGCCTTAGTGTTTTAGAATAAGCCTCATACATTTCTTGTTCACTCAGGGTAAGAATGGTAAAAATGGAAATTTGGTCATTTGAAGAGAATAAAGTTGAAAACATAAAATAGGACTTGCTTAATTTTTCTATTGGAAAATGTTCCCATATAAAAAACAAACAAATAAAAAATAACTACCTTTATGCTAGTTAGATTGAACTGTGGCCAATTTAAGCTTATGATGAATGCTTCAGAAATGAAAGCAAGTATAATACAATTCTTGGCATGATTTTGATACCCTTCTGTCTTTCAGCCATGAGGTTATTGTGAATTTTATCAAACGAATCATTTATTGTTGGGAAGCCTTCTCTCTTCACTTGTGACAGATCTCCAAATGATAGTCTGCTAAATGGCTCCTTAGAAACCAGAAACAATAGTCAAAGGCTCACCAGCCACTAGATGGTGAAAAGAATGATAGTTATTTCTGTGTTT
The DNA here is from genome assembly GCF_000001405.40 of Homo sapiens. Classification (NCBI taxonomy): domain Eukaryota; kingdom Metazoa; phylum Chordata; class Mammalia; order Primates; family Hominidae; genus Homo; species Homo sapiens. Next base: position 61,612,438 of record NC_000004.12, read on the forward strand.
TGTCCTGAAAATATACACCTTTTAGTTATTTGTTGGATCAACCAAAAATACGAGGAATCTCTTGACTAGTTTCTAAAGAGTTCACATTAGCACAATAACCTTTTCCTTACTTCTACAGGATAGTTATTACCTTCAGTAGATAGAGTAACGTGCTTTTGAAGATCACTAAAATACTAAAAACACTTTTAAAAAACCTAAAATGCAAAAATCACTCCCTTTTTATCATTTGGAAAATGAAGTATGTTGCTAAAACCAAAAGTGATGGATTTTGGCTTTTGCAACCTAGTATGCAGAATAAAGGGCCATTTATAGGTTTTATTACTCTGAACACCCTTAATTACTTATTACTATATATGGGATGTCTGAAGTGCTGAGCTGTTTAGTTTAGTCTAACCCATTGAGCATAAGATTGGCAGTTCCACATTAGGTTCTAGTAGGTGTAACCCCCAGGGCATAACTGGGAGCTACTGTCTACATAAGGGGAGAAAAGAGAGAAGAAGAAATCTTAGAGCTTTTTAAAATCTCAACCAGGTGCATTTATTTGCTTCTTTTTTTTTAATCATCCTAAATCACTGTATAGGATACCCATATGTGATTTGAAGTAATTTAACAGAAGTGTTAAAGGGGTAAATTAGTTCTGAAAATTAAGTAATCATATCTTGTGCCTTACCATGGCCTTCAATGCTAAACATGACGTGAACCTCTAAATCCTATCATCTCCTGCCGTGTTCCCCATGCTCATCAAATTCCATTCACATGATTTGTGGTGCTGGGTATGTTCTTTTGTTACCTGTTCTTTAGATTGATCTAGGGACTCTTTGAAGCAGATTTAAATGAGAGTATAATTTTTATTTTTCTTCTTTGCTTGTCTTGTTTTGAATATTTTGCTACAAAGAAGAATCATCTTTTATATTTGACATGGTATATTTAAGACATGGTCATGAAATTCTTGTATCCTGAATTTTTCACTGATGTTTTCTAAAAATTGTTGTGTGTTTAAAAAGTTGATCAAAAGTTAGTCCTGAGCCTGATGCAGTGGCTCACGCCTGTAATCCCACCACTTTGGGAGGCTGGGGCAGGTGAATTGGTTGAGGTCAGGAGTTCGAGACCAGCCTGGCCAACATGATGAAACCCTGTCTCTACTAAAAATACAAAATTTAGCTGGGTGTGGTGGTGCACACCTGTAGTCCCAGCCACTCGGGAGATTGAGGCAGGAGAATCTCTTGAACCTGGGAGGCAGAGGCTGCAATGAGCCAAAATTCTGCTACTGCACTCCAGCCTGGGTGACAGAGCTAGATTCCAAGTGAGTCCTGTTTACATGTTGTAGTAATACATTTAATTGTAATCACATTAGTATGATGTTAAACAAAATATGTAAACTGAGATGCAAATGGGGGGAATATATCACCTATAAAAATGAACAATGGAATAGCAGTGCTGCAACTTGATACTGCTGCGTGCAAGATTCCAACTGTGAAGAAAGAGGCATGTATACTGTTTCAAAATGATGTGCATCAAAGTTGTCAGTATGAATTTGTCCAAACTTTAGCGGTAAGGATGGTTAGTGAATAATGAATTTATTTCTCCACGTTTATTTTTTTTAATAAATTGAAAAATAGTATTTTTACAAAGGAAATACAATATCTATAGCTCAAAAAATTACAAAATAAAAAAGTACTGCTGCTAACTATATTTGCAGTATTCACAATTACCAGCCAGCACAGAAGTGAAAATTGTCTGTATACTGGAAAATTCAAAGGCTACCAGCATAATGCTCAATACAGACCTCTCACTAATAGCATTATGCATGCTTACATTGAGAATCACCTCAAAAAAATTGAATTTATTCCAAGTGGCAAACTTCAGAAGGATCTCTTTCCAAACTTTGTAGCATGCAGTTCAGAAAGTGATTGATCTTCTTAAGCAATTGCTGATGTCTGCTAGGAGGCAGTTAATGTTTAAGGTCACTACTTATTCTGTGTGCCATTCATCCCTCCTTCAAATACTTTCACTGCAGGATGTGAGCAATCAGTTGGGATCCTGATGACTAAAATATAAAGACTAGCTTCTGATGGTTTCAACAAGCCACACTAGATTTAAAGCAACTTTTAGCATAGTAATCACCCTACTGCTAACAGAATAAAGGTAAATGTATCAAATCTAATAGAGAAAGAAAATCCAGGATTTCAAGGAAGGACATATTGTATGTGGAATGGTGAGCACTTTTTTCAGTGTCTTCTTAAAAGTCACTTCATAAAATAAGTCTTTCCTGACTTCCCTGTCTAAAATAGAAGTCATAGCACCCACCCGCATCAGACACACTTATTTTACTCCTTTCTTTTGATTTATTTTTCTTCAGACATGACTACCAGTCATTATAATCTATTTTAATTTTGATTTATTTATTTTTGTCTCATCCAACTAGAATATCAGCTCTATGAGCATAGAGACTTTGGATTTTTTGCTCGTTGCTTTATGTTGGTGTTAAAAGCAGTGCCTGGACATAAGCAACATTTTAAAAGAAATAAGTATAGGAATGATATGGAGGAAGAAAGAATGTATTGTTCTTCTTTCTCACTGGGACAAAAATAAGGCATTTTCCGTAAGCAATCTCAGAATATAGAAAGACTTTTAAAAGAACCCTTTATAATGAAAGAGAAGCTATTAATTTATGGCATAATGATTAAAAATGAGTACAGTTTGCAAGTAAATGAAAATATTAGTTTGAGGTATGCCTAAGGATGAAGAGTTTAAGAAATCCACCATTTTGAGAAATAACTCTTCCGAATTTGTTTATAATAATTATTAAATTATCTTTAATGTGCCCAGTGTTTTGCTGGGCTTTACATAAAAAGAGTAATTGATCATTTGTCCTGTCCTTCAAAAGTTCACAGTCGAGAGGGATGAGAACAAGTAGAAAATATTTCTATCAGTAATGTATGTGCTAAAATAAACACCGGTAAAAGGGTCTGTGAGAATAAAGAAGAAAAACGCCTTGCAATATTAAGGGGAAGCTTCAAAAAAGGGGTGATATTCAAATTGAATTTTGAAATATGAATAGGGATTTGTTGGTTGGTTAGACAAAAGAACGAAGAAGAACAGAAGTGTGAGAAAGAATTTTATACGTCGGTTGGAATATTGTGTGTGTGTGTGTGTGTGTGTATGTTTGTGTATGTGTGTTATGTGACAGAATAGCAGGAAACTCTGATGGAGAAAAAGAAAGGATACTTTGGGGTAGAAGGTAAAGAGACCGCCTTACCTTATTTAATGAGTCATTTTGTTGCTTTTGGGAATTTATGACTTGCATTGAAAACTATCATAGATTTATTGACTATATGTGTATGTATTTATATGTATATATATATGGTACTAAAAATTTCAAATACAAGTATACTTGAATTTATTAGTCTGATTTACTGTTCTCATGATTAGATGAAATCAAAGGCAGGGTTCTTTTCAAAAATTCCTTAGAGACACCTTGAGATAAGGAACAAACTTGCTCTATAATGAGTAGGGAAGTTTGCCTCTCACAGTCTAAGAACATACATTTCAATAAAACTGGCTATTTCGTTAGATTCAAGGGAAAACATTGCAAACATTGTACAGGTCATATTGAACATTATGAGGAAATTAGACAGACAGACAATAGTCCAAAAGATATTTATTTTTAAAGGCTGGCAATGTAAGTAATTGGAAAAGAAAATATGAATTTGAATAAGTTATTTGATAGAAATAACTTGATAAAAATGGTAGTTATATAATTGCTATGACTTAGGGATATGTTATTGGAACTATAACAGTATTAGAAATGGGAGTTTTAAAAAGCAGTGTCTTACTGAAAATATGTATGATAGAAGCCTAAAACTCCTATAATTGACATGTGAATATATAATTTAAAGCCATTAATATTTTTATTTTGATAGTAAAAACTGTTGAATAGTTAAGTGGAAAAAACAATTTCATTACTACTGGACATTAATTTTCACTTCAATAATCAGAGAAAGGAACCTGAATGTTGCTGTCCTTAAGATATCATGTAGAATTTTAAGCAACACAAAAACCACAAGAGACGCCTTGTCCTTCTCAAACAGCTTGATTAGTTGAAGATTAAAAAACAAAACAAAACAAAAACAGTGCTGCCAGTTGGAAAAATAGTCTCTATCCAACTATTGACTACAACCTCCCACATTGACCAAGATTTCCTTTATGATTTTGATTGATACTTGAAACGTGAAAGGCTGGATTTCTAATAGTAATTTGTGACTTTCAGTTCTATTCCTCATGCTATATGATGTGCCTAATATAAAAAAATTAAACTTCCATGTTATAAATATATAATCTCTTACTTTGGTATCCAAAATCAGAAATGCTATCATTATTATTTTTTTAACTTTTTTTTTAGAAGTGGGGTCTTGTTATGTTGCCCAGCCTGATCTCAAACTCCTGGCCTCGAGCAATACTTCTGCCTCAGCCTCCCAATTTGCTAGGATTACAGGCAAGAGCCACTGGGGCCAGCCAGTAATGTTATTAATTTGAATGGATTCTTAATATTTATACAAGATCCTATAATTTCTGATTTATCCTTAAAATAATTTTTTATATTTGTGGTACAGTGAACACTCCTTATATTTATTCCATTTAATGAAAATCCAGACTATAATTTCAGGGGTCCCTTCGTAGGCATAGGATTGATTAACTCTGATTCCTAAGATTTGGTCACGAAATTCAGGTGGTCTGCATTGTTCATTAGGATGACATTTTCCCCATATTTTAAATGTGTGAAAAGGTAACCTCACATATAAACAGAGTAGCATTTTCATTTAATAAGATTTTTATTAATTCCAATGTATGTTATTCAAGACAAATGGTAGCCTTTAGAATTTTTGGTGATTGATTTCATTCGTATTTTCCTTATTTTCTTCTCTCTCTTTTTTAAACATTTTCTTCACTGTACCTTTTTTGCACATTTCCTTAAGCATGGTAAAGTAAAAAAAACTTGCTTACTCTAAGCCATTTCATGAACACTATCTTTCCAGGTCTCTGATTCTTCTCATTATTTTCCGTGGTCACCAACTGGTTCTTGCACCTCTTAGATTTTTCCCAAAATTACTGCAAAGTTTCCTGTAAGAAAAACACCTCTGCAACTCAATTAGAAAGAACCTTCCTTGTTAAAGCTGCTCCACATGTATAAAATGGGATAAGTAAGAGGTAGCAAAAAATTCAAACAGCATCTGCTCCCAAATCAAGCCACTTCAATGTTTCTTGCACAGTAGCTCTAGTTTTTGTTTCTTGAAATCTGAATGTTATTTGCATTACTTGAATTCTGAAGACATGCTCCATATTTTCTTCCCTAAGCAAAATCCTCAACGTATTCTCTGTTAACATGTGTTATAAATCCTACTTGAATATCTATCTGCTTCCATTATCTAGCTAGGATTTTCTCTGACTGCTCTGTAGCAAGGAAATCAGAGTGCTTGTACTAGCAAATTTGCAGCAATGAACATAGGTTGGATAGCTACTGTTTGAAATATTTAATACTGGACTGAGTATTAGGGCTTCAATGACAGTAACACATTTGAGAGAGAGTCTAGTGGGGGATAAAGTCACATCAATAGATAATTTCAGTCTAATACTGTAAGCTCTGGAATTGAGGAATAATTGGGGTTATATTGGGATCCAGAAAGAGATTTATTGGTGCAACCTTAAAACCAAGGGAGAGTTTTCTGAAAAAGATGCTGCCTTGAAAAGTAAGTGGGTATGAATGTTTTCTAATAACAGAATCTCTGAGATTGGAAATAGAATGGGAGTAAGGAAAACTATGTTTTATCTTTTTATCTAGTAAAACACAGATTATCGTTAATGCTTGTTTCAAAATGTAATTTTATTATCCTTGTGAATTTCAATCAGACAAACCAAGATTGGGCATAAAGTTACTGTATCAGCTAGCTGTTTCTATGTAACAAATTGCCCCAACTTAGAGTCATAACAAATTTCTCACATTCACAATTCTGTTTGTCAGATGTGTGATTCTGATCTGATCTGGGCCTACTAGGCTGGGGTTTGATGGATCAAGTGTCCACACCAACATTTCTAGTGGTTGGCATTGATTAGTTTGGTTAGGGGAGGAGGGATCTTAGATGGGATTGCTTATCTTAGCTTTACTTGATCTCTGATTCACTAACATAACAGTCATGGTGGTCTCGAGGTTCCAATGAGCAGCAAGAAAGAGCAAGGCCAAATGTGCAAGCAGTTTTCAAGCCTATGATTTTTCCTTGTTCGTTTGTTTGTTTTGTTTTTGAGACAAAGTCTCACTCCATCACCCAAGCTGGAGTGTAATGGCAGGATCATAGCTCACTGGAACCTCAACCTCCCTGGGTCAAGTGACACTCCCTCCTCAGCCACTTAAGTAGTTGTGACTACAGGTGCATGCCACAATACGCAGCTAATTTTTGTGTGTTTTTTGTGGAGACAGGGTTTCTATGTTGCCCAGACTGGTCTCGAACTCCTGAACGCAAACCGTCTGCCCTCCTTGGGCCTCCCAAAGTACTGGGATTACAGGCATGAGCCACCATGCCAGGTCCCAAGTTTGTGTTTAAGTCACATTTTTTTAAATGAGCCTTTAGGCAAAGCAAATCACATGGCCAACTCTTGTAGAAGGCAAGTCACAGAGACAATTTGTGGAGAAAGAAGCAACATTTTTAAGAGAGTAGCTGCAAATTCACATTGAAAACAGAGTATACAGTAGGACAGAAACAACCGGTGGCTGTCTTTGTAATCTACCAGTTGTGCATAGACCGTACAAAGTTTTATCATGAGTATGTCAGCCTCCTCATGGATGTCCTTGTTTTGTCTACTTTTTTAAATTGTAATCTTTCATGAAAAACTTCCTCCAATACCTTTTTTTTCTAGTTTTAATTTATCAACTCTGTTAAGAAATCAGAGGCAAGAAAATTATTTTCTTTGGAAGGAGATATTGATATTATTTTTTAAAGAAATTTCCATGCTACTCAGCACAGACATTTGAAATGTTCCATTTTTGTTTCATTGCTTTATTGCTAGGTTTTTGGAGAATGTGAGATACACACACACACACACACACACACACACACACTCTAATCATAACCTCCTGTGTGTGTGTATTTATGTATTTGTTATACTTTCGATTTACAGCAACCTTTATGATATTTTTGATTCAGTTTTTCCCTGGTGTTCGAAGTACTTCTAGCTAGTAATTGAAACTCATAAGGTGGCTGGTTGCTGCTTTCTGGCCACCAGGGTGCCATTCACAGCAGAGCCACTGGAGCCACTGCAGTTCACACTTGAAAGTTCTGGGGACTGAAACTGATCTCATGTTTTTCTTTCTTTGTTCAATCCAGCTATATCAACCGTTTGAACTCTGTGTTATGGAGGAGGCAAATTTAATTTCTGGAGCTTACTGCTAGCTAAGCAAAAATGTGCAGCTTCTCATTCTTGTAACGGCAAATAGTTAAAATTTCATCTGTGTCAAGTTTCTTTTCTGGGAGTTTTTGTAAGTAAAAAGAGTAGAATTAGTGAGTAAAATCACGAATGAAAAATATTTAAATCTTATTAAGTAATTTAGGATACTTTTTCATATCTTTAGAAATATATATATATATATATGAAATAAGGCTGGCTTTATGCTTCTTCCTTTAAAAAAATGCGAGGGTATCTTTTATGAATAGGAATACTTCCCAGTAAATATAACAGATTAAACTCATATAACTAATTTCTCTACATTCTGAAACCTTTACTAAAATGACAATGAAGAGATTTTTAAGACATACATCCTAGGGCAATGGAAAGAACAAGACACAGGACAGGCGATAATAGCTAGACAGCTTTGGAAACTGGAAGGTAGATGGATGAGTGGTAACTAATTGAAGATACCTGAGAAACTTCAGATCTAAACTGATTTTGAGAAAAGCTTAAAATGACCTTCATCTGAATGTCTAAGGGAGTTATGGTACCAATGATGGCTTTTCCTGAGGTGGAAAATAAAATGAAAGTAAAGCTACTTTGTAAGTCAGACTCCGAAAGAAGCCTAGGTACTTGAAGCCGGGTACCAGTGTCTCTTTTATGCTTGGCACTCTCTTTCCTTCACTTCTTAAAGAAGTAGACAAACAATTTAGCTGGCTTTTCTAATCTGGTGTATGGTATATATAGTGTAAATTGTGACTTTTTTTTTTTTTTTTTTTTTTTTTGAGATGGAGTCTGGCTCTGTCGCCAGGCTGGAGTGCAGTGGTGCGATCTCGGCTTACTGCAACTTCTGCCTCTCGGGTTCAAGCGATTCTCCTGCCTCAGCCTCCCAAGTAGCTGGGACTACAGGCACTCGCCACCATGCCCAACTAATTTTTGTATTTTTAGTAGAGACGGGCTTCCACCATGTTGGCCAGGATGGTCTCCATCTCCTGACCTCGTGATCCACCCGCCTCTGCCTCCCAAAGTGCTGAGATTACAGGCGTGAGCCACAGCGCCCAGCCAATTGTGACCTTTTTTAAAGGATAGTTCTTTTCTGTATTATGAACAGATTTTATGATTATTATTTTATCGGCTTATTTGTTATTTTTGTTTGTTTTTTATTTGTTGTTTTGTTTTGTTTTAAACAATAAAGTATTTTTAGGACTCTTTAGAGGACTTACCTTATGGAACAAGTACATGTTGATAATAAACAATCTTATGGCTTTATTTAACTTTGATTAGTGTTTTTATATCCTTCTTTTTACATTTCTTACTTTCTTTTTTCTAGCTTCATTTTTTATCTGTATCCTGTCTCAATTATATAGTTTATTTTAGTAACATTGATGGATTGAGGCCTTGATGTTACAATGAAATTATCACAGATAAAATTTTTGTCTTGATTTTAAGCAGCAACAATGGTGATAAATACAACAATAGCATTCTTTCTAAGAAAGATATTACTATCTTCCCTTTCTCTAGCCAGCTGACCCCAGTATACAGTATCCTTGCTGCAAATTTCTTAGTGTTTAGAGTTGTTGGAGAACTTTATATGGTAAATTGGTAAAAACCTGAATGGAAAAGGAGAATTATTAATTTTGAATATTTTTAATTAATGAATGTTTAGTGTTGGGATATTATGTGTTAACACCTTGATCCTCTTCATTATCTTTTTAAAAAATACTATAATCTTAATATTAGTGAAAATCTTTGTAAATAACTGTTCTCGGTTTGACAAACATAGCCCTTTTTTTCCTCAGTAGGCTTATTTAGTTCTTCTAAACAGCTAATTTTCCTTTTACTTGTGGTCGTCAAGATAGCAGCGCTAATTAATTGAATAAAACAAGGACATTTTAGTGTTTTATTTCCTTTGTGGTTTTAATTTTTGCTATGAAATTTAAAATTAAAGAAGAAAAATAGTTATATGTCTCCTTTTTTGCCTTAAAAGGAGAAAAAGGCAATTAATCCCCACCTCCAGAATTAATTCATGTGAAGACTAAGGGTAGAAGAAATTATTGTTTTTGTCTATGCCTGTACTTGTAAGCAAAACTTTAGTCAGACAGTTAGACTGCAGTAATTACTCATCAAGAGCCTGCCTGCATGTCGGTAGCTGTGTTGGTATATTTATGGGTTGCTTTTAGTGATTTCTAAGAATTTACAGAACCAAGTTAGAGGCATGTGTACAGAACAAGGAAACTTTGGGGCTGAATTAAACATTTCAAATAAAAGTAGTCTTTTAAAGTAAAATTATATGCAACCATTGACCTGACAACAGTGAGCCAAATCTCTTCATTTTCATTTAAAATATTCTGTAAAGCTTCTATATTCAAAGTAAAATCCCACCATATGCAGACTATTCTATTAAAAAAAGAGAATGCTAATTAATACCAATATTGACATTATATCTATTGGATTAAACAAAAATGTCCATATAATGTTCTCACTGGGTGTTACAAAGGACACATATCCAACAATGAGAGGATGAACTTTTTGGAAAAAATGTCTTAATTTAACATTCTCATCATTGCCTCCCATTTTTCCAAATATTTTCTTATCAGTTTAGTCTGATCCATTAAGAATCTTTTTATACATGAGATGGAATAATAATAATTAAAGTAAAAATCATAATGATAAGAAGAAGGAGGAGGAAGAAGAAGAGACAACAATGAAGATGATGATGAAAAAAGAAAAAAGAACAGTTAACATTTGTGAAACATTTACTATGTGCTAGGCATTCTGGTGTGCACTTTATGTGGATTATCTCATTTAATCCCCATAAAAAATGGGTAGATACAAATTGTGTTTCTATTTTTAAAACGAGGAAAATTGATCTCAGAGGATTTGAATATTTTTTCTCAAAATCACATAGCTAGTAAGTAATAAATTTCAGATTGAATTCAAAGCAGTCATATTCAAGAACTCACTCTAACCATAACATTCTACTCCTTTCTCCTCAATGCCAAGTTTAGTCATATCATAAAGAAACTATTATAATGTCATCCTTTTCAGGAAAAATTAAGCAAAAAATGAGAAAACCACCTATTTCCTCATGAGTTTTTTTATTTCAGAGGGAAACAACGTTCAAAAAATTAATGTTCTAGAGGTCACATTAATAGACCGATAAATAGAAAATGGTTTTGAAATCTCTCTAACTTTAAAGTGTTTGCCTTTATAACCAAGCATTAATCTTTCCCACAATGGCCTGGAATAACACGTATACCAATTTGAAGAACTGACCCAGGCTCACTGACTTCAAACCTTATTCTGTTCTTGCTACCCTCTTTCATTTAGTCTTTGCCACATCTTCTTCCCTAAGTTCCTCAGTTGTTCTTGCTTCTCTTAGTTTAACCGTACACACTGTCCTGATAAAACCAGTTCTCACTCAGCAATGTCTTGACTTTCCAAGAGACCATCCCAATCAGTGTGCTTTGGTTCTTTCAAAAGTGGGTGCAACAAAACTTATCTTTAATTTTTTTTAAGAGAAAAGATTGTGTTCAAGCAGAAGTATGTAGTCACAGCCCTATAAATTTAAAATAATATGAATGAAAAACAGAAAATACTCTATCACCTTATTTTGTGAAGTTTGAATTTTAGGATGCAATCCTTTCAGAAATATTTCTGTTTAGTTTTCTCCAAAAATAAAACACATTTCATATTTCAAGAACTGATTCAGTCTCTCCCATCCTTACCTGTAATTTCCAGTAACTGGTAGGCAATTTGTACCTGACCTTAATTCTTACAGCAAGTATTTACTACATTCTTCATATGTGTTTGGCACTTACTAGGCTATAGGGAGTCTCTACTGAGGAAGGCAAACATTCAGATAATAACCCTAAGAAGTATATTATTAGTCTGATAGATGTCCTCTGAAAGCTAACCGTGTTACATAAGAGCACTTAATAAAGGAATGTGATCTAGTCTGAGGTGGTGGTGGTGGGTGTCATGTGTAACCCCTAAAAGGAACATGAACTGAAACCAAGGAGAACAGTCAGGAAGTGCTTGAAGGTGGAATGGAACTCAAGAAGAGGAAACAACATAGCCAAAAACCAGCCTTAAAGACTCCATTTAAAGTTTGTAACTGGCACTCAGAGTACATGGGGGTGAATAAAGAGTGATGCTAGAGATTCGGGCAAGTTTCAGATCATGCAAGGTCTTACTGGCTGCATGACAACATTTTGGCTTAAGCCTATAGATAGTAAAGATTTGCTGAATGGATTCAAGCAATGGTGAAAAACAGCCTATTCAATTTTCATTTTTAAGGAAATGAATGGCATAGTGAAAAGAGAAAAAAATAAAATCGATTTGCATTTTGAAGAGATATGGCTGTAGAGTGGATTTGATGGGCCAGAGTAGATATTCAAACTGGAGTCAGCAAACAGCTTTTATAGGTTATTAGAGTCTAAGGGAGCTATGATAGCATTTTAGACAATTAGTGAAGAATGGGATATAGAAAATGAGGCCATGAGATGTATTCTGGATGACTCCTGGGTTTTTTGGTTTATATTACTAGGTAGATCATAGTAAGAAAGAAAACCTGGAAGAAGAACAGTTTTGGGCAGAATATTCATTCAGCAAATATTTTATGAGTGCCAACTCAAGCCCTTCCCAACCAGGGTTCCTTGAAAGAATTAAGCCCTAAATGTCTCCTAAAATGTTTATTATATGTAACAAATTACTGCTTTCCTATGCATCTAGAATGATACCAGTCTTGTAATCCTTGGAAGAATTGAAAAAATAGTCCATAAAGTCATTTTATATAGAGTTTAATTGTTTTGTGGAACCCAGGTTGAGAAAGGCTGAGTTACTTTATGCCAGATATTCTACCTATGCTTTGAATCTAATGGATATGAGATGTCATTAAGAATTTGAAGTGAAGATAAACCATTGTCATAAGATTAACTATAATGATGTAATTTTATGTACTAAACTACCCCCAAAAGCAGCTTAAATATTTTGTTATATACAGTTAAGAAATCTATTTTTTAAAACTTATAAATTACTTTAAAATTACACTATTGTAGTAGATATGCCTCATTAATGTCCTCATTCTCAGTTACTTTAGGGACAATTTTTTTGCCTTGTATTAAAAAATGCAAATTATTTTGAAAAATTGCCTAGATAATGATACTGAACCAAAAAGAGCTGCAAATGTAGAACGTGAAATGTAGAAAATAAAACAATGTCATGTGAACTTTGACTCTTGTATGTAGTTACATTAAGGTTAAGTATTGTTTTTCATCCAGCCAAATCATTCAACGGTTATTTATTTAGTGCTTGGTGTATGCCAAGCAGTGTTCATGCCACTGAGATAAAGCAGTGAACAAACTAGATAAAGTGTATATGTTTGTGGGTGGGGTAGGCCATATTGCTCTTTATGTGGAGTGCTCAGAAAAGTTCAGTCATAAACATAATTGGTAGTATTTATTCCAAAAACTACATGAACTTAATGTATAAATATTAGATGCTTTAATGCTATTTTTTACTTGCTTTAGATAATAATGTTGTTAGAATAAAGCATATAAATATATGCACACATGTATATACATACATTCATACCAACATGAATTGGTGTATGTATATATATCAGCACATACATTCGTTACGTTGCTAATTTATAATTTCTCTCTATACAACCCTTACCTAGATATTTTCTACTTATTAATTTGAGTATTTTTGAATTTGAATATAGGCCATTTGTCCCTTCACATACCTTAGATTCCTAATGAGAGGTCAGACAAATATATAAAAATGCATAATACAAAGCTAAGAATTTGGATAGAGGTCAATACAGGGTGATACAGGATGACACTGGTAAATCATATGTCTCAGCATAATATGGTAAGGAAGACTTTACAGAGACAACTAAGCTTCTTAAAGGAGGAATAAAGATGAACAGAAGTGTGGGTGTTGGTATTCTAGGCATAACATTAAACTAATTTTGAGTAGTAAGTAAGTAAAGGGTGAAAACTGCATTCATTAGCAGTGTTCTCTTTTGCTCTATTTTATGTATTTCTGTATAGCATACAACCATGATTAAGTGTCTGCAAGTGTGTAACTATTAAGAACTCCTCAGTTTTTGCAGAGTAAATTAAATGCCATTATACTTTCTTAACACTCTACAGTTTAAAATATATATTTACATGGCTTTCTATTTGACCTTAAAATCAAATTAGAAAACCCCGGATAAAAATATTAAGTCATTTCTCACTTTAAAATCTACAAAAAAAAAATTTACTTTTTCATGTGATTTAAGGATTTATTTTTAAAATATTCCTGTATAGTGATTAAATTAATGTTTTACATAGTGACTTTTGTTTAAGTGTGTCTTTAGCTCTATTTCTTTTTCTCTAAATATCCATTTATTTGGATTAAACTGCTTATCGTCAAGTATTCATATTTTCATACAATTCATAATTCAGCCTATTTCTTCAAACGCAAAATTTAGGTAAGAACCAAGTTGGTGTTATTGACTGTATGCCATTTTTCATCTCCTCAAACATCTTTAAAGGTATTTTTTTCTCTTTTGATCTCTAATTTAATATCCTATTAGTACTGTCTACCCTATTGCAAAGTTGAAACGTGAAATTTCTTCTTTCTCAAGAGGGATGAAGCACAACAAAAACATTAATCACTAATTAAAAATTTAACTTTAAGCCCAAGGATATGTTTCCTAAGTTATGTTTATATAAATCCCTTATTTTATAATTGTATTTTCTATTATAACTTTATGAAGGAAAACTGGAAGTAGTTTGATGCTGATGAAAGAACCTAGTTTTAAAGTGATATAGACGTAAGTTCAGTAACAGCTTTTATTTATCAGTGAAATTATCTTTACATAATCCTCCTGAGTTCTACTATTTTAATCTCTAAAAGGAAATAATATTATCAAATTTTAACATATAGGTTTTTATGAAAATTAGATGAAATGTAATATACTACTCAGACGCTTCAGTGTATCTGACTTAGAGGTAGTGCACAGTTGTAGTTTCTTTTGAGTTCCTCTCCGTATTTTAAATTAAATGTCTGTCATTACATTTAACTATTAGGTTGATGTGAAAATAATTGTTGTTTTTGCCATTATTTTTAATACCTACAATAAGAGTATACTTCATCAATTCATAATTTTAATCTGGATTTGCTCCTTTTCAAATAAATTAAAATAACCCTCTACCCTTTATTGCCTCTGATTAATATTTTTATTATCAATTACCATTTCTCTGATGAATCATGAAACGTTGTATTACTAGTATTTTGCGGAATTTTGAACCTTTACTTGATCTTATATTAATTTTCCCTTATTTAAAATTTGTCTTTTCTACTTGTAGCTTGTGCAAAAAAAATAAACTTACTTTTTTTAGAAATGTTCATATATATTCCTTCAGAGTTGGCACAGTGGTAATTATTAATAATGAATAGTTAGCCGAATGTGGTGGCTCATGCCTGTAATCCCAACATTTTGGGAGGCAGAGGTGGGCGGATCACCTGAGGTCAGGAGTCCGATGACCAACCATGGTCTGGCCAACATGGTGAAACCCCCTCTCTACTAAAAATACAAAAATTAGCTGGGCATGGTGGCGGGTGCCTGTGATCCCAGCTACTCGGGAGGCTGAGGCAGGAGAATTGCTTGAACCTGGGAGGCGGAGGTTGCAGTGCGCTGTGATCATGCCACTGCACTCCAGCCTGGGCAACAGAGTGAGACTCAATCTAAAAAACAAACAAACAAATAAAGAAACACAAACAAACAAAAAAGTAAATAGTGCCTTTCAGTATATTGGAATTACAAAAGACTGCATTTTACAAAATAGAATAAATGGTAGGGTTTGGGTATTTCGAAGGGGATAGTACCCTTCTAAGTCCACCCTGCCTGCTTATATTGCCTTAATTTCCCAATTTTTTAAACCTCTCTTTTGCATTAAACTTTAAAAAAATATGAACACATTGCTTTGAAGATTATCTGAGTCACTGTCATATGTTTTGTGTTTGGGTGGGCTAGGGGATTGAGGAAATGAAAGGAGGACATTCAGAAATAAGGCTCTACAGATAGGCAGGGAGCAAACCTCAATAACAAGGATGCTTGGACCAAATGGGTTCGTGTTACAGAGTAACTCTCCTTGGAGTTAATTTAATAACATGATACACATTCTAATGATAATGGTAATAGTAATAATAATAGCAGCTAATACTTACATAACATGGTTATGTGCAAGGCTTGCTATTAATTTACTTAATTCTGTAACTACCCTTAAATATAAGTACTAATATTGTCTCCTATTACATTGTGGAAAAAAAACTGACACAGAGAGGTTTAATAACTTGGCCAAAAATTACACATCTATGAAGTGGTGAAGTCTGGAGACAAATGTGAGCAGTTCTGTCCTAGAGTCTCTCTGCTCCTCACTCTTACCCTGCACTGCCAATCTGATCAGCCTTGCTGGTCCTATCTACTGCTGACAGCTACGGTAACTTAATGATTAGTGGGATGAAAATAATGCATGTTTCAGATTCTTTGACAAAGTATTCACTTTAAGACAAAGAAGCTCTTAGAGAATAATGAGTATTTATAATGTGGTTTACCCATCACTGAGCTCATTCAGCAATTTCATTTAACATTTTTCATCTTACTAATGACAAGTTTAATTTAATTATAAATGAAGGGTATGAGTCTAAATCACAGTTTGACATATTAACCTCCCTACTTAGAAAGTTCTGGTATGGTTTCCTAGCATGGAAGATGGTTGGTTCTTTTCTCCTGCAGAAAAGATTACTCTTAGCATTTTTTTCATTCTTGTTCAGGTTTTGAGGGAAGTGTTCATTTCTTCTCAAAGAGAGGGCTGTAAAGATGGTGGGAACTGCTTTGCCGAAATTCAACTCATTCTGCTTCAAAATACAGCTCAGGGAGAGCCCTGTATAAGAATCTTAGCATTAAAGAAAATAAAATTGGACTTTGTTCTTGTTGACAGTATATAAAACCCCCAGAGAGTAAGTGCTGCCACAGGATAGTATTGGTACCTTCTGTTTACATAGCACCTATTTCTACAAAGCAAATACAGCTTCACTTGCATGACAGCCTCCCAGTCTCTGGGACCTGAAATCTTGCTACAGCACTAGGGTAACAAATCCATGCTGAGAAAACAAGTGAGACTTTGGTGAGAATGATATGCTTTGCAGAGAAGCAGGGTGAGAATTAGTGAAATTTGTCATATACAGATGGAGACTCTTTGGGAACCTCTTTCGCTTAAAAGTACTATGGAGATAGAAAAGATTCATTTTCATTTTCTGAAAGAACAACCTGGAACATTTGCAAATAATTGATGCTGATACTATTAGAAATCAGTAGAGAAAAATGTTTATCTTCTTGGCAATGTAGTGAGAGTAATTACACCCCTATTATTACTTACTTTGTAGACATGTATTTGCAGTTTAACAACATAAATCTATTCATCTTGTTTATTCAGGGCCATCAACTATTAGTATCTCAAGTTGTTCTATATGGTTTTTCTCCATTTTAAAAAAAAGTCCAAGTGGCCAGGCGCGGTGGTTCACGCCTGTAATCCCAGCACTATGGGAGGCCGAGGTGGGCGGGTCACGAGGTCAGGAGTTTAAGACCAGCCTGGCCAACATGGTAAAATCCCCTCTCTACTAAAAATACAAAAATTAGCTGGGTGTGGTAGTGGAAGCCTGTAATCCCAGCTACTCGGGAGGCTGAGGCAGGAGAATTGCTTAAACTGGGGAGGTGGAGTTTGCAGTGAGCTAAGATCACACCACTGCACTCCAGCCTAGGCGACAATGCAAGACTCCGTCTCGGGGCAAAAAAAAAAAAAAAAAAAAAAAAAAAAAAAAAAAAAAAAAAAAATTCCAAGTCATTTGGATTCATCCAAAAATTATAATGCAGACTGCCAGAATCACAGTCATTTGCATTGAACATGTGTCCTAATTGTATCCATGTGTTGGCATGATATTCTGTAGAGACTAATTCTAATCAATTCTGTCTAAACATTCTGGATTTCCCATCAATTACTATGCTAAGTCCTTGACACAATTCCTGCCAATCTTTGGGCAAATGCCTCCCAGTACTTCTATTTTAACACCCCAGAGTGCGAGCCATATGACAGATCTCTTCATCTATGTATTTTGCATGCACACTTTCTTTAAATGTGAAAGACTACCCCTATGAAATCAGCACTTCAAAGTTATTATGCTTTTCCTGGATTTTAGTGTACTGTATAGATTGGAACAGAGTATTATCCCAGTTTTCTGAACTGAATTGACCATTAAATTCTCATAGGGTTTATACACATGTAATATTTCAGGCATACTTAAACCTTCCTAATTAATATAATGTTTCTTGAAAGGTGAAGTAATTTTTTCACTACTGATGTTATTAAAATTTCATATATGTAATTTATTCATGACATTTCTGTTTTAATCATAGCTCTTTTTACTGCAAGTAATAGGAACTCAGTAAAGAATAGCTTGATTGAGAAAGAAATATTTTTGGAAAAATACTGTTAGCTGACTTCATGTTGTCCTGGGACAAAAACTGTAAAGATATCAAGGAGTCAGAAATCTACATGCTGTTGGTTGTTGTTGTTTATCTTCCTCTCACTCTTTCTCTTTTTATCCTTTACCCTCTTTGTAACTCTCTCTTTTTTTCACTCTTATTTTTGTCATTGTTAAATGATTCTTACTGCTGAAGTGTGCAAATGGCCAACTTTCTCATAGTCATCATGTTTACATGTCTGTAATTTAAGAAATCAGCTACAGCTGGCTAGCCAGATACTGGGAAAGAATATTTGGTTAGGTTGTAAATCATGGTCACAAAGTAGATATACAAATGTGTGCAAAGCACATATGGAGCCGTTTTATGGACAGGGAAATAGATGGTAGTTCTCAGATATGAGGTTTGTAGGCTCCTTGAAAGATGTCTACTTACCTTGTCATTTAGAAGATACCATAGCAGTCATTAGGTATTATGGTCGAAATAGGACTAATTTTCCCTTCACTACCTATCTTACTATTCTAAATAATTCTGAGTGCTAAATAAATGCTTACTACGTGATTAAATGAATAAAGTAATCGATAGCAGGCATGTCTTAGCATAGCTCAACTTGTGTTGGTAATTCTATTATATTCCCATCTCCTGGGCTAAAAATTGTGGCAGTTACCTTTCACTGTTCCTTCTCTTTTGTACTCTTTTACAATACTGTCAAAGGTTTTCTTTTCGTTGTTCCTTTGTTATGTCTAATGAATTTGCACCTTTCTCAATATTTCTAGTGACATCTCCGTAATCCTGACTTCACCTAGATCAGCACTTTCTAAATTCAATTTTATGGAATAGTCATAACCAGTGATGTATTAATGAATGTTCTGGAAAAAAATAATAAAAGGTTTCTAAGATCAAATAAACTTAGGAAAGCTGCATACTTTTTCACCCCTTGGAGATTCACAATGCACATTAATGCCTTTAAAAGTTCTATAATAAAGAAATCCATTTAATATTGATTAACTCAACATTTCTTTAAAGCATCTAACCAAGGAACCCTTTTCATCATAAAGTACCTGTTAGTATCTCATAAGACTGGTGTTGTATAGATCAACGATTAGTAAATGCTAAGGTAGACTCTTAGAAGGGATTCCTGTTTTCTCTTTGCTTATGATGTTGCTGAGTCTCTCCACCCTATACATTACCGTTAAAATAATTATTACAAAATAGCACCAGGTAATGGGCAGATAGAAAGTAGTTACCAAACTTTTGTTGGCTAGATTAACTACACAGATGAAGAAGAAAATGAGTTTAATTAAAATCAGAAATGTGACACTTGTTACTCAACTAAAATAAGCTAAATTTAATTTTTTTTTTCTTTTCTTTTTTTTCTTTTCTTTTTTTGTATTTTTAGTAGAGACGGGGTTTCACCGTGTTAGCCAGGATGGTCTTAATCTCCTGACCTCGTGATCTGCCCCCCTCAGCCTTCCAAAGTGCTGGGATTACAGGCGTGAGCCACCACACCTGGCCGCTGAATATAATGTCAAAAAGAACAATCTAACTAGTAGTGTTTTCTTTAAAAGTAAACTCTTATTTATGTGCCTATATCAATGAGGTGCCTATAAGAGAACTATCAAACAGTATCTAGACAACTTCTTAGAACACACTCACCAAGTCAAAGATAATTACTAATAGGACAAGTCAATTGCTATTAATTTTGATCATTGCTTTCTTCATTTTTATTTGCCTATGTCTAATTTTATTATTTCAGTCAAAATGATGAACACTAGGAAATGAGTTTTTCGTTTTGAAATTCCTACCTAAAAAAACATTTATTTTTGGACACTGGAAATTTTTAAGGTTGCAATAATCTTTTCATGTTAAATAAATGTCTATATATATATTGTGAAAGTCACATTCAGAATGAGAATATCTTACTGAGTCTTTAAATCTCTGTGAGTACTAGCTTGTTCTTTTAAGTTAATGAAAGAAAGCAATAGTCATCATCAAAGCATATATTGTTTAAAAATCAATGAAGGAATTGCCCTCTTTCTTGCTCTTTCTACTTTCATTTTTTCTTCCCCTGCCTGGAAGCTTAGGAAAAGTCTTTGTTCAGCCTTTAGATGTACAGTCTGGTGTCATGCCTGTTAAGTTCATGATAAAATTGAACTAGTGTCATCATCTAGCCTAGATATTGGCCCTTGATGTTTTATACCAGGAAGTTAATTATCAGCTTCCTTTTCAGAGCCTTGTTATACCCACACAACTGTTCTGTTTTCTTGCTTTTTTATTTCTCTTACTAAGTGTAATTACAATAATTCTTATTGTTTCCTTATAAAGTATAAATACATATTACCAGTATATTATAATCACAAGCTGAGATAAATGACCTTTCTGGGTTTCCAGAATGTTTTAACCTTAGTTGATCTACCATATTTGTGTAGGATTGATGCGTTATATACAAGTCTGAGATATTCACATTTTAAAAGGCTCATTACTTATTTTTTTCAGGAAATAACACTGATAACTTTTAAAGCTTAGAGCTTCCCAATATTAATGGGGTTATTCACATCTAATATTTGAAAACTATTTCACAGATTTTCAAATATACCTTCATGTATTACTTTATTTGGTCCTTGCAGAACCCTGTGAAGATTATAGACATTATTATTCTATGTAATGAAGGAGTAAACTGCATAATAGAGAAAGTCAATTGCATTGTGTCCTCATATACATAGTGTTGGAGCTGACTATTGGAGCAACTCTAATGCCAATTTTTCTTACTCTCTTATTATTGAAGGTGTAACTTGATAAAACTGTACCTGCGTTGCAGTTTGGGGTTTTAAAGTGTGAGTATTGTTTTGACACACACACTTAGGCTTGACATCATGTATTATTTTATTTGGTCCTGGCAGAACCCTGTGAAGATTATAGACATTGTTATTCTATATAATGAAGGAGTGAACTGCACGTTAGAGAAAGTCAATTGGATTGTGTCCTCATATACATAGTGGGTGTTGGAGCTGACTATTGGAGCAACTCTAATGCCAATTTTTCTTACTCTCTTATTATTGAAGGTGTAACTTGATAAAACTGTACCTGCGTTGCAGTTTGGGGTTTTAAAGTGTGAGTATTGTTTTGACACACACACTTAGGCTTGACATCATGTATTATTTTATTTGGTCCTGGCAGAACCCTGTGAAGATTATAGACATTGTTATTCTATATAATGAAGGAGTGAACTGCACGTTAGAGAAAGTCAATTGGATTGTGTCCTCATATACATAGTGGATGTTGGAGCTGACTATTGGAGCAACTCTAATGCCAATTTTTCTTACTCTCTTATTATTGAAGGTGTAACTTGATAAAACTGTACCTGCGTTGCAGTTTGGGGTTTTAAAGTGTGAGTATTGTTTTGACACACACACTTAGGCTTGACATCATGTATTATTTTATTTGGTCCTGGCAGAACCCTGTGAAGATTATAGACATTGTTATTCTATATAATGAAGGAGTGAACTGCACGTTAGAGAAAGTCAATTGGATTGTGTCCTCATATACATAGTGGGTGTTGGAGCTGACTATTGGAGCAACTCTAATACCAATTTTTCTTACTCTCTTATTCTTGGAGATGTAACTTGATAACACTGGACCTATATTGCAATTTTGAGTTTTAAAGTATGAGTATTGTTTTGACACACATACTTCGACTTGACATCTATTTTACGTACAATCCTAAGTTTATTTTATCTTTTGTGTGTTCCTTTTATAACATAAAAATAAAGTGGACAGTCTCAGTATTAATGCCAATTGTAAATCACCCCTGAATTATAGCAGTCGTCAGCATATGATTTCACATCCATTAAGGGCACAAAAATGAAGCAAGTGTTAGTATACTGAGAAGTAAAAACAGTGTACTACTTAACAGCTCCATACAAAGTCAGAGTACCGTGGCTTAAATTCATCCATTGCAAGCTCTGTGACCTTGTCCAAGTTACTGAAGACTCATTTTTCTTACATGCAAAGAGGCCATCATTAAAGTGATTTTCTTGTAGTGTTTCTCTGAAAATTAAATGGCATAATATGTGTGAGATATTTAATGCAGTGTGTCTATTTAGTAAACACTTGAAAATTGTTAGCTATGAAAAAAATAAGATGAAAACTTCAAACTATATGCAAGCCCTAGAACATCAAAACACACAGCTCCGAAGAAAAAAGAAATGAAAAGGAAGATAAACAATTGGTGAGATGAGAAGGGGTAATTAAAAAGAAATGTGATGGGCTGCTGTTTTTATTTAAGATGTAGAAAGTTATAAAAAGTGAATGCCCTTCCCAGCTTAATGATAAAAGTAAGCTGCATAACCTAAAAAATAAAATATTTTAGCTCATCAAAGAATAAGGTCCAAAGAGAAAGTAACTGAGTGAATTAAAATCCAAATGTGATCCCTCCTACTATATACAGGATATATAATGACTTTAATTTTTGGAATGAACATTTTTCATTTGAAATCTGCAAGAGCCCTATTTACAAAGGGGAACCTTTTCCTATTCCACATCTCTTTTCCATTCATCTTCACTGAGAACTCATGAGAAAGACTGAGGCGAGGGCAAGAAAACTGAGAAGCAAATCTTTTAAGGAGCAGGCGTACTGAGTCTACTGTAGTCTCACTGAGAACTAAAAGAAGGGCCTTTGCATTCTGGGCCTTACACTGAGCAAGTGGCAGAGACAGTTTACCTCAGGAGAAGGGGAAGGAAAATTGAGATCCCCCTTCCCATCATAGGTACATATGCACAAGACTGGACCTTAAGCTGGGGAAGGAGGGGAGAAAGAAGAGCTGAGACTTCACTTGCAGAGTGCTAAAGCCTGAGAGCAATGGAGAGAACTGAGAGAAGCCCCACAGATACTCTCCATTGAGTGACCCAATGCATATCTTCCATTCGGGGAGGGAGAGAAGAGTTAAGAGAGAAGTCTTCTACCTCACAAGTGCAGTGCATTGATGGTAGAGATAAGAACTGAGATAAATCCCACAGGTGTTCTGGGCCTTTCAAAAGTACCAGGAAATGGCCCTATACCGTTGGGACAGGCAAAAGAGAGTTGAGGTATACCTCTCATGCATCCGAGGACAGCACACAAGAACTAAGAAAAATAGCTCTAGGCACTGAGACTCTTAAGTCCTGCTACAGAGAGGGTTCTGATTTTGACCTCAAAATTTAAGCCCATGGTGAACTGAATTTACTTAAAACAACAAGGCTCAGACCCATTGTATGAGTTTCCTAGGGCTGCCATAACCAAGAACCTCAGACTGGGTTGCTTAAATAAAAATTTTTTCTTATGATTTTGGAGGCTGGAAGTCCAAGATCAAGTTGATGACAGGGATGTTTTTTCCTGAAATCTCTTTCCTTGGCTTGAAGATTGCCATCTCCTCCTTGTGTCTTCACATTGTCTTTCCCTCTGTGTGTATATGTGTCCTAATTTCTTCTTCAAAGGACACCAATTGTATTGGACCAGGACCTACCATATTTGTGTATCACTGCTGCACTATATACAAGTCTCAGTTATTGACATCTTAATGGCCTCATTTAACTTTACCTCTTAAAAGACCTTATCTACAAACAGAGACATGTTCTGAGGAACTGAGAGTTAGGACTTCAACATATGAATTTGGGCAAAAGGGGATACAATTCACCTCCTAACCCCTATCGAAACTACACACTAGACTAACTCATTGGACTGTACTGTCAACCTGTCTGAACAAATGATATACTTTTTGCTGTGTGTGAATGTTACTTCCCTCAGTCCTTATTTTTTATACACAATGCTCACATTCACTAAAAAAATTACAATACACAAAAAAGCAGGAAAATATAATCCTTTGCCAAGAAAGAAGGAAAGAATCAATAGAATCAGAGGTAGACATACCTCAAATGTTGCAATTATCAGTAAAGGATTTTAAAATTCCTATAATAAATATATGAAGGGGCTTATTTGAAATGGTGTACAACATGTGGGCTAGTTTCTCATCAGATGCAGTGGAAGCCAGGAGATAATGGAATAACATATTTGAAGTTCTGAAAGAAAAAACTGTCAACCTAGAATTAATACTCCACCAAAATATCTTTTAAAAAGAAGGTGAAATGGAGATACTTCCCAAAATTTAAAAAGCTAAATTTTTCTCTAAAGCCCTTATACTACAGAAATGCTTTTAAAATGTTTTTAGGCTAAAAAGAAATGTTACCAGATACGTATGTAGTGATCTTTGAGTTGAAGAACATTTCAGAGAATCGTATGTAAATAAATATAAATAAATTTTCATTTATATAAATAGGAATATAATATGTATGTGCATAAGAATATATATTTATGTAGGAAGATATATAGGCAAATACATATAGGATGTATATACATAAATATTTTTATATAATAAATATACATATATTTTTAGTTTTGTTAAACACATTTGTCTGACTTAAGGAAAAATAATAACAATATAATGTGTTTATGGCATATATAAAAGTAAAACGTAACAGTAAGAACACAAGGGATCGGAGGGTGATAATTGAAGGTATACTATTATAAGGTTCTTAGGTTTGTCATGAACTAGTGGACTATTTTTTGAAAGTAGACTGTGATATATATTAAAGGTACATATAACAATATTATGAGCAAAAACTAAGACCAGCACAGAGAGCCACTGTTACAGGTTGAACTGTGCATATGTTCAACTTCTAACCCTCAGTACCTCAGAACATGATCTTATTAGAAAACAGGGTCACCAAAGATGTAATTAGTTAAGATAAGGTCATATCAGAGTAGAGTGGACTTCAAATCCAATATGACTTGTGTCCTTTTAATAAATAGGGGAAATTTGAACACAGGCATGCACACACACATAGGTAGAAAACCATGTGAAAATGAAAGCGGAGACCGGGCTCATGCAGCAGAAGCCAAGCAATGCCAAAGATTGCCAGCAAATCACCAGAAACTAGTAGAGATTATAAATTTCTGTTGTTTTAGCCACCTTGTTTGGTACTGCATTACAGCAGCTCTAGGAAACTAATATGGGCATAAGTAAAAGGTCAGTAGAGGCCTGGCGTGGTGACTTACACCTGTAATCCCAGCACTTTGAGAAGCTAAGGCGGGCAGATCACTGGAGGTTAGGAGTTTGAGACCAGCCTGGCAAACATGGTGAAACCTCGTCTATGCAAAAATACAAAAATTATCCAGGCGTGGTGGCCCGCCTGTAATTCCAGCTACTCGTGAGGCTGAGGCACAAGAATCACTTGAACCCGGGAGGTGGAAGTTGCAGTGAGCCAAGATCATGCCACTGCACTCCAGCCTGGGTGACAGAGTGAAACTCTGTTCCCCCACCCCCCAAAAACGTCAATAGGAAAGATAAAATGGAATACTAAAAATAGTAGAGTTATCTGTTTCCAAAACAAGGCAAAAAGAAGGAACAAAGAAACAAAATACAGATTGTCTGAGATGAATTCAAATACCTGGATAGTAGACCTAAATCCAAACATTACAATAATTGCATTGAATATAAACATCCCAATTAAAAGACAGACTGGATAATAACTGTCAGTTTCTCTTAAAAATTAATACATATCAACTTTATGGCCCTGTAATTTGAATCCTAAGTATTTATCTATGATAAATGAAAACCTTCATCCACAAAAACACTTGTATAAGAATATTCATAGTAGCTTTGTTGATAATAGTCAAAATCAGGGAGTAGCTTAGATGTTCATCCATAGGAGAATGGATAAACAAACTGGCATATTCCTACAATAGAAGATTGTTCACCAATAGAAAGGGACAAACTAGTGATGCATGCAACAAAATGAATGACTCTCAGAAACATAATGTTGAATGAAAGAAGCCAGGAACCCTGAATTTAATACTGTATGATTTCTTGATCATAGAAATCAGATGAGTTGTTTTTGGGGGCCAGTTGAGTGGGGGTTCAGTGAAAGAGAGTATGAAGACACTGGGGTAGTAAGATATCCTAAACTTCATAGTGGTGTGGGTTAAATGAATCTAGGCATTTGTCAAAACTGACCAAAATACATTTAAAATCACTTTGTTTTTGGTATGTAATTTGCAATAAAAAAAGAAACATTTAGTTATTCTGGCATACAGTCCACTTTTTAAATTATAGTACAGTTTATCTTTACTAACCACTGTACACCATGATTTAATCTCCTGTTATGTTACTACTACTACAAATATTTAGCAGTAATGTTTATACACTGAGTTCCAGTTTACAAAATATTCTACACAAATAGTGTTTTATTTAGGCTTCAAAATTACTCTAAGTTAAACAGGAAAGGCTCAGTATAATTATCCCTCCCCTGTAGAGGCATAATGTTGCTCATATGTTTATCCAGAATTGGTGACGTGATCAGTGGTTAAAGCAAATCTTAAATGATGATATTTTGGCTCTGACTCACTTCAGTGAATTTCTTCTATTAAAAACTCAATTATATGTAAATTTAGTTCCTCCTGCTTTCCTCTTCACTTAATTTGAGTGGTCCCATGTCTCATATATGTGAAGTAGTTCTTTTTTAGCATTGTGTGGTGTAAGGCTTGGTGGCCTTTTATGCTGACCACATTTCCTAAGCCAGTCAGACTGTACTCCCACATCCCTCAACAAAACCTGGTTACTGAAAGAAGCCAGAAAACCAAAGACAATAGTGAGGTTATTTCCTATGTGAGTATAATAGATTTAGAAATGGAAGAAGTGACAATTCAAAGTGCCTTTGTACGCTAAAATAGAAAACCCATTTTTAAGCCATATTTGTCTTCCAGTCCCCATTCCCCTATTGCCTCATGAATGTTAGGTGTATTGTGATGATTATTAAAAGATCTAAAGTTTTTGAGGCCTTTGGTCTTTATAAGTGTCTTAGGTGTAAGATATGAGTTTGGGATGATGTTTAATGTAGTATATGAATAAATGCCATACCTATAAAAATAAAATAATCATATACAAAATTTGAAAAATTTGAAAAAAACTATCTCCCAAAATAGGATTGAACATTATTACTGCCATGTTCTGAAATTGGTTATCAAAACCTATACTATATACTTTTAACATAGAAAGGAAATTTCAACAGTTACACTCGCAGACATAGGAAAGGGTGACTATAAATTAAAATCTCTCTGGAAAATAGGTTTATTATCCAAAATAATACTGATTCATTAGGGGAAGTTATTTAACTCAATTAATACTTTCTGCTGAAGACTTTACTGAAGCAACTGTATACTGAAATAGAGAGGTTATAAAATTTCATTAAACAGGATTTTTAAATTGTAGTCTCAGTAGTGAGTTAAATTAAGGAAAATGAATCCACATTTTTCTCTTTCAGAAGTATGTGTTCATAAGTATAATTTTTCAACTTCAATCATATAGCCCATATTAAATTCTAATTAATATTGGCCATCTTTTCTAATGAATTTAGTATCTAGATTTCTACTTAGTCTTTCACGTTACAAGTTACATGGACAAACAATTGAGACTGTCTATATTTCATAGAGGCTAACTAGCACCCACACTCATTAAAGGAGCACAGAATTGTCTGAATAAATTACTTCTGAGTTTCCTGCTGACAGCTGGAACCTGGGGAGCAGTTAAGAGTATAATATTCTTACCTCCCTCTGCAAGAAGTGGCCAGAATAGTTAACACTTCCTTTTACTTTCAGCAGCCTTACTACTTAGAATCATTTAAACTGCTGTGACCAAGTTATCAGATCATGCTGCTGCCACTAATCAAAGCTGTTCAACAAGCGGAATATGGCAAGAGGAAATAATAGAGTATGTTTTCATTTTGAATAGAAAAAAAAATGCAAAAAAAGGAATTAAATACAAACACCAGGTTTGTAACAGGTGTTTTATGAGAATTAGTTACAGAACAGATCGTTCTCCCTCAGACAAGATTCACCAGAGACATCTGCCCTCTATGGTGTTAAATAAAAAGGTTCATGTTGCCCCAAAGATCCCTGTTTACATATTTAGCTTCAGTTGCCTGTTTAGAACCAACAGTTCCATTATGTGGGATTTTGAGAGCAAACCCTCTTTGCTCCATTTTCCCACTATATGATCTTGTAGTTGTGACACATTATCATAAGCCTTTTGATTTATTTATCCATATCCGTCTCTTCTCTGTGGAATAGTTCTATGATGGTGAGAACTATGTTTTGTTCATTTATGTGCCAGTGGTTCTTGGTTCAGGACGTGACACATATTAGACAATCAATAGGAATTTTTGTTTGCATATAACACTTTTTATTAAGAAAACTCTATTGACTTCCACCTGACAGTGCTAAGACAATGAGACAATATTTAGTTTCTTACATATGGTAGTCAGCAGATCTCATTGTCATTCTTGAGTGCTGCTTGGATGGGCTCTTTTGTTTTGTTCTTTTGACAAAAGTACTTTGTCTATAATAAGTTTATTGTCCTTTGTGAATTAACCAGAATTTGAGAGAACAAGGTTCTGCTTAATATTCTTCTAATACTCAGTTTGTTGGATTCAACAATACATTTTTCAAAGTTTTTTGTAAGCTCTTTCAAAATATATTTTTGATCACTATATATTGTTTCCACTTAAACAGTTTATATTTCCTAAGTAATATTGAAATTGAAAAGAACACAGAATGCTGTGGTCATTAAAGGATAGAGTCAGATAAATTTGGCTTCAAATAAAGTTCCTGCTAACCTTATTTCACCTATTTTTTTAATTTAAAAATAGGAATAAGAATAATAATACCAACCTCACACGGCTATTTTGATGATTAATTTTTCATGATTACATGATGTGATGCCTACTTGGCACAGTGCTTGTTATGTAGTAAATAAAAATAAATCCTATTTTTTTTTCGTTTTATTTATTTATTTTTTATTTATTATTATTGTACTTTAAGTTTTGGGGTAAATGTGCAGGTTAGTTACATATGTATACATGTGCCATGCTGGTGCGCTGCACCCACTAACTCCTCCTCTAGCGTTAGGTATATCTCCCAATGCTATCCCTCCCCCCTCCCCCCACCCCACAACAGTCCTCAGAGTGTGATGTTCCCCTTCCTGTGTCCATGTGTTCTCATTGTTCAATTCCCACCTATGAGTGAGAATATGCAGTGTTTGGTTTTTTGTTCTTGCGATAGTTTACTGAGAATGACGATTTCCAATTTCATCCATGTCCCTACAAAGGACATGAACTCATCAATTTTTATGGCTGCATAGTATTCCATGGTGTATATGTGCCACATTTTCTTAATCCAGTCTATCACTGTTGGACATTTGGGTTGGTTCCAAGTCTTTGCTATTGTGAATAATGCCACAATAAACATACGTGTGCATGTGTCTTTATAGCAGCATGATTTATAGTCCTTCGGGTATATACCCAGTAATGGGATGGCTGGGACAAATGGTATTTCTAGTTCTAGGTCCCTGAGGAATCGCCACACTGACTTCCACAATGGTTGAACTAGTTTACAGTCCCACCAACAGTGTAAAAGTGTTCCTGTTTCTCCACATCCTCTCCAGCACCTGTTGTTTCCTGACTTTTTAATGATTGCCATTCTAGCTGGTGTGAGATGGTATCTCATTGTGGTTTTGATTTGCATTTCTCTGATGGCCAGTGATGATGAGCATTTTTTCATGTGTTTTTTGGCTGCATAAATGTCTTCTTTTGAGAAGTGTCTGTTCATGTCCTTTGCCCACTTTTTGATGGGGTTGTTTGTTTTTTTCTTGTAAATTTGTTTGAGTTCATTGTAGATTCTGGATATTAGCCCTTTGTCAGATGAGTAGGTTGCGAAAATTTTCTCCCATTTTGTAGGTTGCCTGTTCACTCTGATGGCAGTTTCTTTTGCTGTGCAGAAGCTCTTTACTTTAATTAGATCCCATTTGTCAATTCTGGCTTTGGTTGCCATTGCTTTTGGTGTTTTAGACATGAAGTCCTTGCCCATGCCTATGTCCTGAATGGTAATGCCTAGGTTTTCTTCTAGGGTTTTTATGGTTTTAGGTCCAAGGTTTAAGTCTTTAATCCATCTTGAATTGATTTTTGTATAAGGTGTAAGGAAGGGATCCAGTTTCAGCTTTCTACATGTGGCTAGCCAGTTTTCCCAGCACCATTTATTAAATAGGGAATCCTTTCCCCATTGCTTGTTTTTGTCAGGTTCGTCAAATATCAGATAGTTGTAGATATGCGGCGTTATTTCTGAGGGCTCTGTTCTGTTCCATTGATCTATATCTCTATTTTGGTACCAGTACCATGCTGTTTTGGTTACTGTAGCCTTGTAGTATAGTTTGAAGTCAGGTAGTGTGATGCCTCCAGCTTTGTTCTTTTGGCTTAGGATTGACATGGCGATGTGGGCTCTTTTTTGGTTCCATATGAACTTTAAAGTAGTTTTTTCCAATTCTGTGAAGAAAGTCATTGGTAGCTTGATGGGGATGGCATTGAATCTGTAAATTACCTTAGGCAGTATGGCCATTTTCACGATATTGATTCTTCCTACCCATGAGCATGGAATCTTCTTCCATTTGTTTGTATCCTCTTTTATTTCCTTGAGCAGTGCTTTATAGTTCTCCTTGAAGAGGTCCTTCACGTCCCTTGTAAGTTGGATTCCTAGGTATTTTATTCTCTTTGAAGCAATTGTGAATGGGAGATCACTCATGATTTGGCTCTCTGTTTGTCTGTTATTGGTGTATAAGAATGCTTGTGATTTTTGTTCATTGATTTTGTATCCTGAGACTTTGCTGAAGTTGCTTATCAGCTTAAGGAGATTTTGGGCTGAGACAATGGGGTTTTCTAGATATACAATCATGTTGTCTGCAAACAGGGACAATTTGACTTCCTCTTTTCCTAATTGAATACCCTTTATTTCCTTCTCCTGCCTAATTGCCCTGGCCAGAACTTCCAACACTATGTTGAGTAGGAGTGGTGAGAGAGGGCATCCCTGTCTTGTGCCAGTTTTCAAAGGGAATGCTTCCAGTTTTTGCCCATTCAGTATGATATTGGCTGTGGGTTTTTCATAGATAGCTCTTATTATTTTGAAATACGTCCCATCAATACCTAATTTATTGAGAGTTTTTAGCATGAAGGGTTGTTGAATTTTGTCAAAGGACTTTTTTGCATCTATTGAGATAATCATGTGGTTTTTGTCTTTGGTTCTGTTTATATGCTGGATTACATTTATTGATTTGCGTATATTGAACCAGCCTTGCATCCCAGGGATGAAGCCCACTTGATCATGGTGGATAAGCTTTTTGATGTGCTGCTGGATTCGGTTTGCCAGTATTTTATTGAGGATTTTTGCATCAATGTTCATCAAGGATATTGGTCTAAAATTCTCTTTTTTGGTTGTGTCTCTGCCCGGCTTTGGTATCAGGATGATGCTGGCCTCATAAAATGAGTTAGGGAGGATTCCCTCTTTTTCTATTGATTGGAATAGTTTCAGAAGGCATGGTACCAGTTCCTCCTTTTACCTCTGGTAGAATTCGGCTGTGAATCCATCTGGTCCTGGACTCTTTTTGGTTGGTAAGCTATTGATTATTGCCACAATTTCAGATCCTGTTATTGGTCTATTCAGAGATTCAACTTCTTCCTGGTTTAGTCTTGGGAGAGTGTATGTGTCGAGGAATGTATCCATTTCTTCTAGATTTTCTAGTTTATTTGCGTAGAGGTGTTTGTAGTATTCTCTGATGGTAGTTTGTATTTCTGTGGGATCGGTGGTGATATCCCCTTTATCATTTTTTATTGTGTCTATTTGATTCTTCTCTCTTTTTTTCTTTATTAGTCTTGCTAGCGGTCTATCAATTTTGTTGAACCTTTCAAAAAACCAGCTCCTGGATTCATTAATTTTTTGAAGGGTTTTTTGTGTCTCTATTTCCTTCAGTTCTGCTCTGATTTTAGTTATTTCTTGCCTCCTGCTAGCTTTTGAATGTGTTTGCTCTTGCTTTTCTAGTTCTTTTAATTGTGATGTTAGGGTGTCAATTTTAGATCTTTCCTGCTTTCTCTTGTGGGCATTTAGCGCTATAAATTTCCCTATACACACTGCTTTGAATGCGTCCCAGAGATTCTGGTATGTTGTGTCTTCTCTTTGGTTTCAAAGAACATCTTTATTTCTGCCTTCATTTCTTTATGTACCCAGTAGTCATTCAGGAGCAGCTTGTTCAGTTTCCATGTAGTTGAGCGGTTTTGCGTGAGATTCTTAATCCTGAGTTGTAGTTTGATTGCACTGTGGTCTCAGAGATAGTTTGTTATAATTTCTGTTCTTTTACATTTGCTGAGAAGAGCTTTACTTCCAAGTATGTGGTCAATTATGGAATAGGTGTGGTTTGGTGCTGAAAAAATGTATATTCTGTTGATTTGGGGTGGAGAGTTCTGGAGATGTCTATTATGTCCGCTTGGTATAGAGCTGAGTTCAATTCCTGGGTATCCTTGTTGACTTTCTGTCTCGTTGATCTGTCTAATGTTGACAGTGGGGTGTTAAAGTCTCCCATTATTAATGTGTGGGAGTCTAAGTCTCTTTGTAGGTCACTCAGGACTTGCTTTATGAATCTGGGTGCTCCTGTATTGGGTGCATATATATTTAGGATAGTTAGCTCTTCTTGTTGAATTGATCCTTTACCATTATGTAATGGCCTTCTTTGTCTCTTTTGATCTTTGTTGGTTTAAAGTCTGTTTTATCAGAGACTAGGATTGCAACCCCTGCCTTTTTTTGTTTTCCATTTTTTTTGGTAGATCTTCCTCCATGTTTTTATTTTGAGCCTATGTGTATCTCTGCACATGAGATGGGTTTTCTGAATACAGCACACTGATGGGTCTTGGCTCTTTATCCAATTTGCCAGTCTGTGTCTTTTAATTGGAGCATTTAGTCTATTTACATTTAAAGTTAATATTGTTATGTGTGAATTTGATCCTGTCATTATGATGTTAGCTGGTGATTTTGCTCGTTAGTTGATGCAGTTTCTTCCTAGTCTCGATGGTCTTTACATTTTGGCATGATTTTGCAGCGGCTGGTACCGGTTGTTCCTTTCCATGTTTAGCGCTTCCTTCAGGAGCTCTTTTAGGGCAGGCCTGGTGGTGACAAAATCTCTCAGCATTTGCTTATCTGTAAAGTATTTTATTTCTCCTTCACTTATGAAGCTTAGTTTGGCTGGATATGAAATTCTGGGTTGAAAATTCTTTTCTTTAACAATGTTGAATATTGTCCCCCACTCTCTTCTGGCTTGTAGAGTTTCTGCCGAGAGATCCACTGTTAGTCTGATGGGCTTCCCTTTGAGGGTAACCCGACCTTTCTCTCTGGCTGCCCTTAACATTTTTTCCTTCATTTCAACTTTGGTGAATCTGACAATTATGTGTCTTGGAGTTGCTCTTCTTGAGGAATATCTTTGTGGCGTTCTCTGTATTTCCTGAGTCTTAATGTTGGCCTGCGTTGCTAGAATGGGGAAGTTCTCCTGGATAATATCCTGCAGAGTGTTTTCCAACTTGGTTCCATTCTCCCCATCACTTTCAGGTACACCAATCAGACATGGATTTGGTTTTTTCACATAGTCCCATATTTCTTGGAGGCTTTGCTCGTTTCTTTTTATTCTTTTTTCTCTAAACTTCCCTTCTCGCTTCATTTCATTCATTTCATCTTCCATCGCTGATACCCTTTCTCCAGTTGATGGCATCGGCTCCTGAGGCCTCTGCATTCTTTACGTAGTTCTCGAGCCTTGGTTTTCAGCTCCATCAGCTCCTTTAAGCACTTCTCTGTATTGGTTATTCTAGTTATACATTCTTCTAAATTTTTTTCAAAGTTTTCAACTTCTTTGCCTTTGGTTTGAATGTCCTCCCCTAGCTCGGAGTAATTTGATCGTCTGAAGCCTTCTTCTCTCAGCTCGTCAAAGTCATTCTCCATCCAGCTTTGTTTCGTTGCTGGTGAGGAACTGCGTTCCTTTGGAGGAGGAGAGGCACTCTGCTTTTTAGAGTTTCCAGTTTTTCTGCTCTGTTTTTTCCCCATCTTTGTGGTTTTATCTACTTTTGGTCTTTGATGATGGTGATGTACAGATGGGTTTTTGGTGTGGATGTCCTTTCTGTTTGTTATCTAACAGACAGGACCCTCAGCTGCAGGTCTGTTGGAGTACTGGGCCCTGTGAGGTGTCAGTCTGCCCGTACTGAGGGGTGCCTCCCAGTTAGGCTGTTCGGGGGTCAGGGGTCAGGGACCCACTTGAGGAGGCAGTCTGCCCGTTCTCAGATCTCCAGCTGCGTGCTGGGAGAACCACTGCCCTCTTCAAAGCTGTCAGACAGGGACACTTAAGTCTGCAGAGGTTACTGCTGTCTTTTTGTTTGTCTGTGCCCTGCCCCCAGAGGTGGAGCCTACAGAGGCAGGCAGGCCTCCTTGAGCTGTGGTGGGCTCCACCCAGTTTGAGCTTCCCAGCTGCTTTGTTTACCTAATCAAGCCTGGGCAATGGCGGGCGCCCCTCCCCCAGCCTGGCTGCCGAATTGCAGTTTGATCTTAGACTGCTGTGCTAGCAATCAGCGAGACTCCGTGGGCGTAGGACCCTCCGAGCCAGGTGCGGATATAATCTCCTGGTGCGCCGTTTTTTAAGCCGGTAGGAAAAGCGCAGTCTTCGGGTGGGAGTCACTCGATTTTCCAGGTGCCGTCCATCACCCCTTTCTTTGACTAGGAAAGGGAACTCCCTGACCCCTTGTGCTTCCCGAGTGAGGCAATGCCTCGCCCTGCTTCAGCTCCTGCGCGGTGCACTGCACCCACTGGCCTGCGCCCACTGTCTGGCACTCCCTAGTGAGATGAACCCGGTACCTCAGATGGAAATGCAGAAATCACCCGTCTTCTGCGTGGCTCACGCTGGGAGCTGTAGACCAGAGCTTTTCCTATTCGGCCATCTTGGCTCCTCCCCGATTTAACTTTTAAAATTGCCTAAAAACTTTGGTTTCATCACTTTGAATTTACAGACGAAAAAATTAAAATTAATTGAGTTTTATTATCTTAGAAAGACAGTAGAACTAGGGTTTGTCCCCATATCTGAGTACCTGTTTTTTCACACATTGGTAGACAACAATATAAAATCGTGACTTTATGCTGCATTGAAGTCTCATTGATGGTTTGTACGTGAGGGGGAAAAAGTATTTTCTTTTGACGTTAGCCTTTTCCTGGTAGGCGTGCCATTCAGATTTTTAGAGGATTATGAGAACATCATTTAAAAAATAAAATTCTGCATAAGAGCTGATATAAATTTATTTTATATTCCAGTGTTTTACATTGATACAGTAATTGTAATATACTGAAATTATCAATAAGAATGCAAAAATTAACAATAGACTTTTCACACTGAAATTCACTTTTTATTGTATAGGAGTAAAAAATTGTATAAGAAATTATATAAATAGAAAACATGCATTTATTAATAGCCCTTTATTTTATTTCCACCAGTTTTCCACTGTAAGTTTTCTTTCTTTCATGGCCTCTCAGATATTGGATATTACTATATTTAAAAGGAAGATTGTAAACTTTCTCCAAAGCAAAATAATCTTCAAGTAAATTTTTATGATCCATAATTTTCCTATTCTGTGGGAAGACGTTTTACCTATAACCACACACACAACATATTCTTATAAAATGTGTATGTTCCATTTCCTTTTATTTCTCATAATAATTCTTTCAGAGAGATTCCACTGAACTGACATGTATTTAAATAATGGCTGTTATTATTTCAATTCCATATGTGCTAATCAGCTGTACCAAAGCTAGGTGAAGGGATAGAAGACACTGTGCACACCCTTTATACTCCTGGAATAAGCTGTATGCTATTTGACTCTAAGTATTCCAGATCTTATACCACCTTAAAAAAATAGAATGGAAATAAAATATGTAAAAGAAGAAATCTTTTATACTTAATCCAGGATTCTAGTGAGTAGCTTTTAAGAGTTAGGAAATGAAATCGGCTTTTTTTTTTTTTTTTTTTTTAATTTGAAGACAACCCTCAATGAGTGATTTTTCTGCTAGGCTGTGTTGAAATGAGAAACATTCCTTTCCAGGTCAGTAAGTTAATCAAGTCCAGGATTTATCTCTTTTGTCATTCATATCAGTCACAGATTAATTTGCATTAGGAATTTTTTTGTTTTTTTTTCTGTTTCTTTTGGGGTTTTTTTTAGATTTTAATAGTCTTTTTCTGTGCTGAGTAATCCTCTTTTTAAGTTTGTGAAACTAAATTTTTAATAAGCTATGCTTCTATTCTCTAACTAGAGGAGAAAGAACAGTCTAGAATATAAAACATCATTGCCTTTCACTAATGAACAGGCAGAAAAATGAGAGAACTGGCATTCTTTTAGTAGCTGCTGTGTGCCAGACACTGTTAAGCACCTTACATATATCATTTCAATTACTTCTCATCTAAACTACTCATCTGGATATTGTTCCGATTTTATTGATGAAGAAATTGAGGCCTAATGGATGTGGTCATTCTTATATATAGTTTTATAATTTAAAATTGTTAGGGACATGATAAGAACACAGTTTTCCATGACTTTGAAGTTATTCCTTTTCAGTATTTTCTATACTATCTTTCTTACTTTTAAGTTTTTCTTTAAATTATGTTTCCCAGCAACCCCAAATCTAATTCCTAAAAGTAACCACTTTTAACAGTCATGTTTTAATGCCACTTATATTTACTATATATAAGAAAATAAGATCTTTATCTACTGATCTGTAACTAGATATTTGCAGTTAAAATGTATTTTGGAAATGCATGCTAGTAAATATAGTTTACTAGCACGCCATTCCTCTTAGTAGTTACATATGGATGTAACATCGCTTATTTGCCAATTTAAAAAAATCAAGTTTATAAATTTTTAAGATAGTATGATAACCAGATATGTATGCCTCTAGGATTTGGTATTATATTAATAAGATGTAGGTTTATAATTAATTCATTCTTAATAGCAGCAACATCTAAATTTACCATATTAAAGGTTTAAGGTTGTAGGTCTTTTTTAATTCTCAGAACCTGTTCGCCTATTGCTTGTATACCTTCAGTCCTCCATAGATTTGTAGGTGGAACTTTGCTCTTTTGTATTTTATTTATTTTCTGGAGATTCTTTACTTCTTTTGCTGGATTTACAGTTTATGTATTTTGTAGAAGAGTTTAGCCTTTTATCATTGTCTTTATTTTGCTAATTGATACTTTTATAACACGTAGCAAAACACAAAACCTCCTCTGGGCTAAATTTAATAATTGGATGTCTTATCATTTTGCATCCTTGTTTGTTTAAAATGAATGTTTAGAGAGACTCCAGTCTCTTTTTTATAGGTAGTAAAATAAGTGTGTCAGTCTTAATATTGTTCAACTAGTCAGCATAATAAGAACCAGAACCAACAGACATGGTACATTTTCTGTATCAGTTATTACCTCTACAAAATATTGACCTGCAAAAATGTGTGTGTATAATATGGACTTGAGTAACAACCCACTTTGCTTTTTTGTTATAGTGACCCTTCATATTTTAGGAGGGAATTGTGATTTTTTGTTCCAGTAGAAGTGACAAAGATTTACTGACTCAGTGTTGCCTAGACTTTACTGTGACATTTTTCAGGATGGGCAAGTGGAGTTAAAGCTGCAGTTTGTTGTCTGGCTGTTTCCTGCTCTTTTGGAAGAATACTGCAATCAGTAACTGTGGGAAAGTGGCGGAACATTTTAGGGCAACTAAATCTACTGAGAGAAATAATGTTATTTAATATTTGTCTTCAACAAGAGTAGATGTTTTATATGCCATCCTATAAGGATGTATACTGTAAATTTATTAAGCAGGATAATTTTTTTTGTAAAAATACCATTTTTAATAAAATAAAATCCTATTTTTAGAAACTATAATCAAAATTAGACTGTGATTAATTCTCTCAAAATATTTACTGTATTACTTTTTAAAAAGTAAAATGTAAAAGAAATACATCCTAAGTAACATGAGAAGCAATGAGTAAAAGCATGTTACAATGCTCCCAAAGATTTTTATCAGTTTCAATATGCAGTTATATTATTAACCCTGTGCTCTTATCTTGGCTGAGGTTTCTCCATATTTTTCGTAATGACATATTGTGAAAACTTAAATAGTAAATTTTATTTTTTAACACTTTTACTCACAGTATTGAAGAGCTTGGAATCCTAGCTCTTGTGGTGGTGGTGGTGTTTTATTTTCTTTAAATATATTTTCTGGGTTCTTTTCCTTTCTTTTTTTTGAGGGTGGGGAATTATGAGATTCTTTGTCATAAAATTGACTACCAAGTAAGCTAAATGAGTAAATAGTAATAATTTGACAGAGGTCTTTATAAACGGAGGAGGACAACTTGACTTTCCAACTGCAAGGTTGTGATTAGAGTGCATACTTCACCTGAACCATAGTACATAAAAATGAAAATGAAATAATTATGAAAATAATGAAAGTGAATATGGTTTCTAGGTTTATAAATGAAGCAGGAGTGAGCTGACAATACTCATGTTTATTTTGAGCAACAAATGATTAATAATTTTAGGAAGGATATCTTTTGAATGTTTTTGTTGTTGGACAAAAATAAAAAGAATAATGGAAAATAGTAAGGAATCAAGGAAATGACAAAGAGATTTAAATAAGTAATCTATCACTCATACTCAGCCTCAATTCTTATGATTCTTAGGGCAAAATTAAATATTTTTCTATTTACTTGGCAGTTTAAAAAGGTTCGGAAGAAAAGTTCTAGCTTATGGAGGCATTTTCTATATGAGAAAAGCATAGAAATCTTAAAAAATTGTTAATTGTCCATTAAAAAGTGGAAATTACTCTATTTTTGGGATCATATTGCAAGAATAATTGCTATCTCCAAACAGCACAAATGGGATAAGAAAAGCGAATAAAGGTACACCATAAATATAAGTCTTTCATGTTTATTCTGATTCCTAAATCATAAAATATCACTAAATATATGTATATTATTTCCTAAATCAAAAATTACCAAAATTCCTGTGCCTTTAACTGCTATATGAAAGCACTTCTAATTGCAGTAGCCTTATCAGCATCCTTAGTTTTGAAAATATATCCCAAGTGGTAATGCTTCTGCAATTTGGAATCAAAACTCCTTATAGACTAGTATTTGTTTGGGGGAGGGCTTAAAATATCATTGAGTAATGTTTTCAAAATAAATAAATTTTTTTTGTGTGTTTGTTTTGTTTTTGTTTTTGTTTCTGTTTTTTTTTGAGACGGAGTTTCGCTCTGTCACCAGGCTGGAGTGCAGTGGCGTGATCTCGGCTCACTGCAACCCCCGCCTCCTGTGTTCAAGCAATTCCCTCGCCTCAACCTCCTGAGTAGCTGGGACTACAGGCTCATGCCACCAGGCCCAGCTATTTTTTTTTTTTTTTTTGTATTTTAGTAGAGACGGGGTTTCACCATATTGGCCAGGATGACCTCGATCTCCTGACCTAGTGATCTGCCTGCCTTGCCTCCCAAAGTGCTGGGATTACAGGAGGGAGCCACCGAACCTGGCCCAAAATAAATAACTTTTAAAGGTCATTTTAATAATGTTTAAAAACAAAATTTGTATTAAAAAAAGAAAAAATGTATTAAGCCAAAAATGAAGAATTAGATTAAGTATTCATTGTTAACAATTTTGTTCTGACATAGTTTCCATGTGCATATTGAAAAGGAATGTATTTAACACCCTCTAAAAGAACTGGAAAAAATGTGTAAGAGAAAACATAGCTTATTTTCTCTATTTTGGCAAGCATTCAAAGAGTGGCCTATAGTGTAGATAACTTCATCAGAATATCAGGAGGTTTTTTTAAGATACCAAGATAATGCATGGAGTGCAAAGTTTTATAATTAAAATAGGATTTTGTTCATATTATTTCATAAAATTTTGAATTATAGAATTTTAGCATTACTTTTACTTATATTTTTTACCCAGTCTGAAGATTAAAGATACATATTATTGTTGAAACCATCATGAAAGTTTCTTTGGATTAATTGATTAAATAAAGCGGAGGTCAGCAAGCAATGGTCATCATTATGAACTAAGCCTGTTTCAACACACTTTATGTGTTTATTGCTTTCTTGCTACAGTGACAGAGTTGAATAATTATAATATAACCCATCTCTCCTACATGACCTAAAATATTTACTATCTGAACTTTTAACAAAAACTCATGCTGACCTCTGAAATATTAATAAATACATGCTATACATACATCATCAGCCATATTATGGTGTATATTTAAAAAATCATTTTGTAGAAAAGCATCTGGACACCTGTATGCTCACCTAAGATTATTTCCATATATGCTTCCCTGAACTACAACATTTATATTTCTGTCATAATTATAACCACTTTTTCCCCCTGTAAGAACAGGTTTCATAAAACTGCTATTAATAGAATAATTAATGCTTTAATCAACTACTGAGCATTTGCTATAGGCAGAAAAATGTGTTAAATACTAATGATATGGAAGTGAATAATGTTCACAATCCAGTGGGAGGGTCATTGATAATATAAATCAATCCATGCTGCTATGCACTGAATAATGTCTGCATCTCCCCACCCTTCCCCCCGGCCATATTGATATGTTGAAACACTAAACCCCAATGTAACTGTTTTGGATGAAATGAGTAAGTTTAACCTTAACTTATTTAAGGTTAAATGAGGTCATAAGGGCAGGGTTCTAATACAATAGGATTAGTGGCCTTATAAGAAGAGAAAGAGAAAGCCTCTCTCTCTCTCTCTCTCTGTCTCTCTCTCTCTCTCTCTCACACACACACACACACACACACACACACACACACACAGAGCCATATGAGAACATAGAAAGAATGCAACTGTTTGCAAGCCAGGTAGAGAGCCCTCACCAGAAACCAAGCCTGCTGGGCCTTGCACTGGGACTTGTAGCTTTCAGAACTGTAAGAAACAAAGTTATGTTATTTAAGCTTCCCTGTCTGCGGCATTTTGTTATGGCAGCCTGAACTGACTAAAATATATGCGTTGTACGCCCAAGACAAAATGGAGTTTGGCTGGAAGGAGCCACAACTATTCAGGACTCTCAGTTGCAAGGAGTTCAGACCTAACTAAAAATGCCTTAGAGAGAAGGAAATTTCTCTTTTAATGGAAAAGTCCAGGGTTTAACTAGCTTTGGGTATCTCTTCATTTGAGTATTACTTCATCAAGTGATGTAATCAGAAACCTGTCTTCCTCCACTTCTTTTGTCCTTTGTATTGGGCTTCATTTTTAGGTACACATACTGTCCCTCAGCACTACCAGATTTATTTGATTAACCTTTCAAACAGAGTTTTAAGATAACCAGCAAACTTTTTTCCATTGTTTTTAGCAAAATCTCCAGATTTGGATATCATTCACCTCTCTTGGATTGCATGCCTATTCCTAAACCAATCACAGTGACGAGGGACATGAAGTGGGCGCACATGGGTCACATACCTGCGCAGATAGAGAATATGAATAAGTGACTTTCCAGAGAAAAATCCAGGTGTTCTTATAGGAGTAAATACTAGGTAGGCAAATAGATGTCGCTACATTCAATTAGCCTAAAAGCTGTTGTTCTCAAGAAACTTCAATAGTATACTAGTTCCATATATTTAGGATTTCCTCCAGTGACATTTTTTAAGATATTTTGGGCTAAAAAGAATGTAACTTTTGTGTTAGGCAACATACATGGGAAAAGTATTCTGCAGGAGAGGATTATACTAACTGCAATTTTTTTGCTAAATTTTTAATTTCTCATATTATGTACCTACTGGTAGTTAGTTAATTCAGAAATTTGAAACTTCCAACAAATATTTTGGTTTTTGTAATATCTCTGATAGTGGAAATGTCATAATTTGTATTGAATGTGACTTTTTTATTTAAAAATTTTTGAATTTTTTCTTAACATTAAAAATTTTACAAAACTCTATATCAAATTTGGATATGCGTACAAATATAGCATGATTTTAATATTACATTTGATTCTTTTTACTCATTATTAACTATGGGGTAATTTTAAGCATTTCCAGATGAATATATAAAATTGTTAATATGCTGTAGGGATGTACTGTCTTTAAATTAAATGTTAAAAGGATTTTAACACTTCTGTACTTTTTAGAATTGTATTCCATTTTATGTTCTATTATTTTTTAAAATAAAAATAATTATGAAATTTGTATTATATAGTAATAATACCTGAGCCTACTTTTAAAGAAACTAGGCTGGGT
Organism: Homo sapiens; assembly: GCF_000001405.40. Taxonomy (NCBI): domain Eukaryota; kingdom Metazoa; phylum Chordata; class Mammalia; order Primates; family Hominidae; genus Homo; species Homo sapiens. The sequence continues at coordinate 61,654,625 of NC_000004.12, forward strand.
GTGGTGGTTGAAGCCTGTAATCCCCGCACTTTGGGAGGCCAAGGTGGGCAGATCACGAGGTCAGGAGTTCAAAACCAGCCCAGCCAAGATGGTGAAACCCCATCTCTACTAAAAATACAAAAATTAGCCGGGTGTGATGGCAGGTGCCTGTAATCCTAGTTACTCGGGAGGCTGAGGCAGGAGAATTGCTTGAACCCATGCGGCAGAGGTTGCAGTGAGCCGAGATCTCACTACTGCACTCCAGCTTGGGCAACAGAGCGAGACTCCATCTCAAAAAGAAAAAAGAAAACAGAAAAAATAAACTTTATTCTTTAACTCATGTACGTAAGTCTATAGAAAGAAATGAGGATGAAACAGTGTTTTGAGGAAATAATTATCTAAGACTTATGACTTTTCTAAATGAGTTGTCTTTTCATTATTATTATTTTATGTGTGACTCTTACTATCAGCTGTATTAAAATATAATAATATTGTGTTCTTTGTGGCCAGCAGTGTACTCACACATAGTATATGACTTGCCTTTAGGGTTCATACAGCAACCCTATCAAGTATGGGTACAATTAAGATCTACACTACGTAGATGAGTTTGAAGACTAGATGAGGTTAAGTAACTTGTAAGCTATAATAGCTGACAAGTGACTAAGAATTCATATTCAAGTTTGCCTAATTTCTAAGAGAATATTTTTAACGGATACAAGCCTGCCTCTCTGCTTCTGTGATGCAATTTGAAAATTATACATTCAAAAAGCACTTTAATAAAAGCAAAAGTATATATATAAATTTTTTCACTAGTAAATTATTTATTATTTTCTTTAACAGTAATGTTTTCTCATGCTTACCCATCAGTCATCAGTATTAACTATAATAAATTAAATTAAAAGTAAAAAATACACTTTGAAAAAAACAGAAATACACTTACACTTGGAAAAAATTAAGCTAAAGTTTGAGTTGTTTTTATGTAAATGTCCGTCTTTCTTGTTTAGCATTTTGGCTCAAAGCTGGGGTTGTGGTCAGTAGCAAGAAGGTCGTCATTTTTCTCTTAATTGATAGATTCATTCAAAAAGTTTTCTAATCAGTGATTTCCATCTGCTGAGTGGTATGGGAAATTGTGATATAAAATGGCAAACTATACTTTCACATGAATGAAGTTCCCAAATAAGATTTGTTTTAGTTCTTAGAGAACTCTAAGTGTACAGTAAACTTGAATTTAATTCAAACGAAACAAATAGAATGTTTGTATCTTTAAATTTTGAGTAGAGACATATTTTTCTTTAAATTCCTGATATTCTAGATATATTTGGAATGTGGTTACTCACTGATATTAAAAAGAAAAATACCTGTTTCCTTGTCAATGTTGAAATTCAGGATTGGTGGTTGACTTAGTTTTCTCTGTTACGTTTTCCCCAGTGGCTTGCAATGCATTTTCTTAATCACAGGTTTTTGATGTTGAAGTAAAGCATTAGATGCTTACTTTGTTGCCAAAAGGTCAATAAAATGAAAGGGCAGTGTTCTAGTAAGGCATACTTTTCATCTTTCAGTAGACAATAACACATATTTTATGAATGCTTCTTAATGCTATCTTTTGGTGCTATCACATATTTGTGACTGTAATACAGGATCTTAAAATGTCTTTAAAAACTTAGTATGACTCAGATTATGATTTCTATATGAAGCTAAACTTATATGTGACCATTTGTTGAGTGAAAAAGAAAAGTACAATGAAGGTACTTTTTTTTGTGGGGGGGGTGAAATATACAAAAGCCACATTCTGTGAGGCTTTTGTTCATTGTTGCATGCAATGGCCTCAAGAAGTCCTTGAAGATTAGGGTAAATACTTATTGAGACCAATATTCCTTAGTTTTGGAATCCAAGCTTTGAAACCACAGGTAAAAAATGACTATATAAGGGAGCTATTTGGTTCCTGGGTAAAATGAAAGTCAAGAAAAGATTTTTCTAAAGATATTTGAAAGGCATGCAAAAGATTTTATTTTGTTTTGTTTTTTACAAAAGGTATTTGTGTAAATTCTGGCAAGTTGAGATGTAGCTGTTGTATGCTACATTCTGAGACTGGGTCACTACTGACAGAAAGGAAATCCAATGTAGGATTTAGGGAGTTACAGTAAAACAATGAATTTTCTAGCTTTAACCGTATTTTCACTCAGCATATACCATCATGCTTGCTAGTTGACTAATTGTTCATGTCAATTTAAACATTTTAGATGTCCATTTGGACATTTCAGCTGCTTAATTTTTCTCTGTTGCTATTTTCTCTCTCTGTTAAACTTCTGCTGCATTTCTAAGCTGGCATGCTCTTAATGGCAGTCTCCCAGTATTCCTTTCCCCTTGCAAAAGCAGCAAACACATCCTTCAGTTTGCACACTCTTGCCAAATGTCTATTCTTTTGATACTTTTTATTTGCAAACGTGTTTATTTATCAAATGGATTAAAATGCTTGAAATACAGTAGCCAATAAAAAACATGTGTTTTTCCCCTCTCTGCTCTTGTGATTGTACTTCACTCTTAGAGTTCTCCATTTTCCCCATCATTTTTATATAACTTGCTTCCAACTGAGAATCCATAAGAGTGACTTTCCCTTAAGCTGACGCAGGTATTGCTCTATAATTAGACTATAGGGAATGCTGCAGAAGGAAACAGCCACCTTCTTTCATGCCTAAAGGGACTGTCATCCCTGCAGCACACTCAAACTTCATATCCCCCAAGAGCCCCAATTGCAGACATAGATACATAGATATACATATATGTCTATATATATATATGCCTTAGGTAAATAAATGTTTATTTATCATTTCATATGTTCAAAATATATTGTCAATCAATGGTAACTCAAATCAATATCTGAGAGTATGGGAATTTTATTCACATAGGTATTGTTCTCTCTATAGATTCAGTTTTTTTAATGGGATATAAAAATTCTCATTTAACACCAAGAGTCAACAAACAAAATTGTCTTTTTAATACTATACTTAACCAACTACAGTTACCTGAACATTTCTAAAATTTTATTTCTGAGAAAGTCAAGGCCTTCTGAATAATTTTGAAAATGTCCGCTTGCTTTGGAGAAAAAAGCAAACAACAATGAAACATTCAAATTTTATAAATGTATGCATATTGCATTGGAAAGGGCTAAACATTTCAGACATATCTGTTAGAAAACCAAATGAATGCCCAAGTTATTCCTTTTGACATCAGAGGTTGAGATTTAGACTAAATCTCTTAGGGACTGCAATAAACATTGGAGAGGAAGAGGGAGGAGTGCTTCTATCTGCCCCCATGGCACATTCTAGCATGGTATTGCAGAGGATCAAATGCTTGATGAAAGACACTGGAGGTTTGGTAGCAGCAATTCAGTGCTCTTACTGTATGCAAATCAACACACAACCAGTAAGTCATTTGTCATTTTCCTAAAGTCAGTCCACCATAATTTATGCTTCTTTTTGTATTCTTTTTCTTCATGGGTTGCACCACCATCCATTCATATTCCAAAGCTGGAGCCCACCTTATTCCCTCCCTCCTTTTAACTCCTGACATTTCAACTAATTATTAAGACTTGCCAATTTTCCACCTTAAATATTTCTTGACTTTACTTATTTTTTCCATCTCCATTATGAGCTCCTTAAGCCTTCAGGCCTGTGCTGTACCAATTCATTTTCTACAAAAATGACAGGCTTACCTGGATCAAAAGCAGTGAGACTGTATTGTTCCTTGCTTATAACATATTCTGTGATTCCATATAATCAGCTATATCAGTCCAGGCTCATATAATTATTAGCTGGATAACCTTTACATAAATAACATAATTTCTCTAAGCCTTAGTTTTTTTCACTTAAATGGTCCCAGTAGAGTCATTTTGAAGATTACACAAGATAAGTTAAGGAAAACATATTGCATAGTGTTGGACACAGTGAAAGTGATGAACGTGTGTTAGTAACTATTAGTTATTAACATGTTATATACAATCTCTGTATTTGAGCCTTGCTTACCTTTCAACCTTTTCTCTTCTCAGCCTGTGCCTTCTAATCTAAGAGCACAATGACCTCCAGATCACTACGTTACCATCCTGTGTCAATTCCCTTTCTCTTTTTATCTGCCTGCCATGCCTTTTCTACCCTCATTCATTTCATCAAGCTGATTGACACTTGTCCCTTAACAATCAATTCTGGAGTCTCCTCCTTCAGGAAACCTGCCCTGAAAGCCCTTACTCTTCCCAGGTTAGGGACCTGTGTTGGTTTCCTAGAGCTGTTGTAACAAAGTACCACAAACAGGGTAGCTTAAAACAACATAAATTTGCTTTGACAGTTCTAGCGGCTAGAAGTGCTAAGGTATCAGCAAGATACTGTTTTAGAAGGTTCTAGGGAAGAATCATTGTTTGCCTCTTCTTAGCTTTTGGTTGTGGCTGTTAATCCTTAGCATTCTTTGACTTGCAGCTGCATCTTTCCAATCTCTGCCTCTATTACCACATGACATTCTCCCTGTGCGTCTCTGTATCTGCATCCAAATTTCCCTCTTCTTATAAGGACACTGGTAAAATTGGATTGAGGGCCTACCCTATTCCAGTATGACCTCATCTTAATTACATCTGCAACAAGTTTATTTCTAAGTAACATCATATTCTGAGGTCCTGGAGGTTAGCTCTTAAACATATCTTTTTGAGGACTACAATTCAACCTGTAATAGTGACCCTTATTTTCGTATCATCCGTGCATAGATGCACTAAACCTATCATACACTGATAACCTGTCCAGATGCCTGTCCCCTCTAAGAGATACTGAGTTCTTGAAAGCATGTCCCATGTCTAATTTGTATTTGTTCCCAGCAGTGGACACATGGTAGTCTTTTAATACATGTTGATTAAATGAATAATCTAATTTGCTATTTAAAAAACAGGTCTTATGATACAAAAGATTACAAAGATTAAAAATGTCACATAATGTCTGATAACCGGCTTTATATTATCCCATTATTACAGAAAAAGGAAGCAGGAATACCTTGAATCGAGAACAAAGAGAAGTTAGTTCTTTTCCCAGGATCTTCATTGTTCATACAGCCTTGGGGAAATTACTTAATTTCTTCATGCATATCTATAAAATATAAATGAAAGAAATTATAGCTTACATATTCACTTTCAGATATTTATATTTTGCATTTCCCATTTTAGAACCACCAGAGACTCAATTTAATCAGAAAGTAGAGACTACTTATGAAGAGCCTGGTATTCATGCTAGGCTGGGTCATGAAAATCAAGTGAAGATTACAAAAAAAAAAAAAAAAAAAGCTGTAGTGAAGCTGGTTAAGAAGGGATACACCAGAGATTAGGAGGAGCACACATAGGATATGGACTGATTGGATATTGGGGGGACAGAGGAGAAAGATATTCAGGGAGCACTCTCAAATGAATTTGTGTGGAACACACCTTAACCAAATGCCAAACACGATGCTATAGAGGCTGGAATCTAAAAGTTTAGGCTTTAGTTGAATGATATTCCTGAAAAATGTGTGAGGCTTTTTAACGTCTTTCTTCGTGTATGCATACCTCAGTGAGACCTTTTTTGAAATTATGATACTATGTAATTATAAAATATTTACATTTCCTCTACAGTTTCCCACACCATGTTAACTTTGATGTAAGGAGGTAAAGCTCTGTCACAGTCCCTATTGTTTTACATGAGTATAGTAAAACTCAGAAGGATAAAGTTGTTTGCTTGCACAATTGTTACTTTGAAAATTGTCTTTTGATTCAGAATCTTTTTCTTAAAGCATATATGTAATTTTAATCATACTTTCTCTGGCTATACCCACATGTATTCCTTTTTTAAATCTATTTTAAATGAATCGATTTTTATTTAGTCATTATTTATTTGCAAGGAGATCTCCTTAAAGCCAAAAATATTGTTTATGTGGAGATGGAGATGGTTTTAAAGTACAGGCCAATTCTCCCTAACTAAATGGTTTCCTATTTTTGTCTCTGTTAATCAGGAGTATTCTAACTAAGCTGTTGATGAATAAAGTATAATGACATAGTGATATAAAGATTACCATGCATTAATAATCTTAGTAGATGGTGAGCCAGTGTAAAGGAAGAAAAGTGATTTTTACAGTGCTAAGAGGTGTCTTTCTTCTGAGTAACTTTCCACATTAAACCCAATTGATCAAAAATGAAACTGTGTGGTTTGGATGTAGAATACTTTACTTGGTTGCCTGTGTAATCATTTTATTTTACTTAGAATCTAAATTAAAAACGTTAATTAGACCAATTGTCTTTAGAAACCCTGTTTTGTTTATACCTTTTCAAATAACTTACTTTTTACTATTTTTAAGTATGATCATATATATCTTAGATTCAGTAACCCATCATTTATTGAATATGTATATTCAACTGGGTTATATGTTGTGTTGCCCTATACGTTATTACCTCAAAATAATCACTGATTAAAATTACAATTAAGTAAATATTAAGGCCTTGAGAGGTTACATAACTTGTCTTGTTTCTCACAATATTAAATGTAGACTTCTGAGTTTATTCACTAATGTTATCTAACCTATTTGCTTTAGACTGAGTTTTTAAAAATTATTTCACATTTTAAGCATTGTCAATATCCTGACATTTGCACATATTGCATTTTTTTAATATGCATACAATCTGTTGTGAATAATACAGAATAGATCCATTTAAAAATAGTAAAGATAAAATGATCACTTTCAATTATTGACTTTTTCAATCAAAAACTAATAAAACTCTAACTACTATCCTGTAGTAGAATTATGGTTTCTTAATAAAGGGAGACTATATTCTTGAAAAGATTGAAAACCACAGCCTTACATCAGAGCATTCTCCTAAGTAACATATGTGAATAATAAAGTCTACTACATAGTAGGTATTCATACAAATATTATTATTTTCATTGTGTGGTTGTGCGTTATAAGAAATATTTATGAAACTTTGTCTCTTTAAAGGAAACAATTATTAAAGGAAAGAACAGTGTTATGACAATATTAATATTGATTAATATTTTATTTCTGAAGTTCAAGACATAAAGTAGAGATCATGTATATTTCATTATAATATCTTTCAGAACATTGCATTAGGCATTTGATTTCATACTTTATATTTCATATTTTTAACTTCATAATTATAAAGCAAACTAATAAAATACAAAAAATGAGCAATCTTATTTGGGATCAATATTAAAAAAGTTCCTTGACTAAAACTTCAAATTTTATGTAATATTCATTAAGTATGTATTTATCTGTTCTCAATGCAGGAAGAGGCAACAAATGCCTATTATTGAAAATAGCAAACTAGAAAATAAATACCTTGTATTTATTCTTTCAAGTGTTACTTCTTACTTCTGAAAAGCAGGTTGTAGTAGTGAAGGCAGTGGTAGCCAATCTGGAGTGGCCACTGCCATAATGCCAGCTACAGTCGGGGAGGCAAGGCCAGGGCTGTGCTCCACAGAGCTGGCAGGAGCCGGGAACAGACGGAAGTCCCATTCCCTTCTGAGGAGGCAGGACAGGAGCCTCGTGCTCCCTGTGTGAAGCTGCGGCCTCCCAGCCATGGCTCTAGACCCAAGCATCCCTGTGTTCCTGAGGGCCGGGCGCAGGAGGAGCCCTACCCTCCCAGGCACAGCTGTAGCTGCCCAGCCATGATTGTGGACCCAGGCATTACTGTACTCTTAGGGGCCTGGGAAGACCCTTTGCCCCTGCAGGCTTAGAAGTGTGTGTTCCCACCACCCTGGCCTCTTCTCACATCAGTTTTGGAGCAAAGTTTAGGCTAAGCCTGAGCGCTGTTGCAACCCAGCCAGGTGTGTGCATACTCAGGGCAGCACTGACATACCAGCCGCCTGCTGCCTTGGCCCCCTCCAGACTTTGGGTGCCAATGAGCATGGGAGGGAGGCCAAAGGTGGGGGCTGAGGGTAGCTCAGCGTGGGCCTGCAGGCACTCCTTGGCAGGAACAGCCTATGTCCCATGGGCACCATGGATGGCAGGTTAATGGCGGCAGGAGGCCGACAGACTTCTGGGTGGAAAGGGGTGGTTCCCAGTGAAACCCCATCTTCAGGCCAAGGACAGCCTGAGGTCTGGGGGCTGGACTGCCTGAAGAATGGAGTGAGAACTTATGGAGCTTTTTCTGGCCATGCATGGACCAATCCCATAAAAACCCTAGGATTCAGCCTGACTTGGGCAGACGATGGAATGACCTGCCTGTGGAGAGGTGCTACCCACTGTGGGTCTCCTCTCTGCTGAAAGCTGAACACTCATCAGGACACCTTGCTTGTGGAGAGGAGCTACCCACTGTGGGTCTCCTCTCTGCTGAGAGCTGAATATTCATCAGGACACCGTGCCTGTGGAGAGGAACTACCCACTGTAAGTCTCCTCTGAGCTGTTCTGTCACTCAATAAAGCATCTCTTTGCTTTGCTCACCCTTCACTTGTCTGTGTACCTCATTCTTCCTGAACATGGGACAAGAACTCGGGACCCTCCAAATGGCAGGGCTGAAACAGCTGTAACAGAAGCAGGGCTGAAAGACACTCCTTGCTCACTACATTGTGGGTGATGGGAAGGAGAGAAGAGAGAAGGTGAGAATAGCTGTGGCCCTTCAGAGAGCCCAGACCTAGGAGCTCCCTGAGCCAGGGCTGTGACACCCTCTTTGGAGCTCTGCAGTTCCTGGCATCTCCAAGTTTCTGGATTCCAGCAGAAACTGCATTCTCCAATGCCAGCCGTAGATGCCAGCCATAGAAGCTGTTTGTACTATGCCTGGTCCAGCCACAGCCTCGCTGGGAGCTGGCACCTGTGCTGCTGCCCAAAGGTGCCTACCCCACCGCAGCCGGTGTGCCTGGTGGTGTGCAGCGGATGGACCCTTTGCTCACTTGCTCACAGACCCCTCACCACTCTGCGCCTGGCTCACCCTAGGCAGGTGTGGGATCTAGGCCAGTAGCACAAGCTGAGTGCAGCCTGCCAGGTCAAGTGGGAGGAATGAGCCCAGCAGGCCGGAGCAAAACTCAGGCAAACATGCCACCAGCTACAGAGGTTTCTGTATGGGAAAGTGACATCCCACGTCTCCTGTGACAATAACAAATTTTTTCCCTTTTTCTCTTTCAACTAAACTTTAAAACATTGGTGGTTTTCTCAGTCATATGTAAGTTATGAAGACTATGTTTCAGATAATTCATTGTTTAGGATTGAGTATTATAGTTCCATTTTACTATGTTTTATATGAAATAAAAACCACAACTTTGAAAAAGAAAAATATGAAACACCCCCTGAAGACAATGTCTGCTCTTATTACAAGATGTCATAAGTTGTCATCAGAGTCATTCTAACACAGGTCAACTAACGCAGTTATCATCTTAAGGCCTATAGCAACTGAATAGATGTCATCCATTTGTATATGATATGTTCTGGCTTCCTAGGCATGTGGCAAGCTAGATTCCCCTCATGCCAGACATCCTAGGTGATCTATACCTGCACAGTATCCCTAAAAAGAGGCTCAGTACTGAAAACAAATGTAATGTTTTGGGGGCAAAGAGATATGTAGTAAATATATGAGAAACTATTGGGAAATATTACAGAAAAAATAATTTCTATGAAAGCTGCATTCTGTAGGTGTTATGTAAAATATGTAAAATTTTTTAAAGCATTAAATTTTATCAGAATATGGAGCTGTTAATTCAGATAGTCCTGAAAGAATATCATCCTCTTTAAATTTTAAATGTGGTTTGGAATAATCAAGAAATAATAACTTCAATTTGTTTTAATAAAAAAAGGAGAAAAAGTATTAAGAAACTGAAAATCACAATTATCCTACACCTCAGTGATAATCACTGTTGCTATAGATATGTTCATGCCATTCTCTACCTTTATACATGCATACAGCTACAATACTTTTTTTTAATTTTTTCATTTTAAATTTCAATATGGATTTTCTTTTTAGGTCAATAAAGGAAGAGTTGCCTCATTTTAATGTCTTTCTAAGATCACATAGTGGGGATTCATTTTAATGTATTTAATCAGACTATACACTAAAATGCCTCATATCATATACATTTAAAGTAAAATATTTGTTCTTAAAGTCTGAAAACATATTTTTTATAGGGTTCAGGTTTATTTTTGTTCTTAGTTATTGTGGTACAAATTTTATAGTATCTTAAATATGAAGTACTTTTCATTAGACAGGGGAACTTGAGAGAATGTTGTGTAATATAATGTTGTTTGCCTACCACAAACCCATCCTCTAACCCCCATCCTCTTCTTCCTTGCTAGAAAAGTCCTATTTGTTCCATCTCCTTTAGGTAGCCAGGTCCTTAAGAGGCAACTGCATGCCTCTCAGGTCCTAAGATGATCGTGTAAACATCATTCCCCTTATGTGATTATTTTAGGCATAAATATGTTGTCATGCCATAGGCAGTGACTCATGTGGCCAATGTTCTTTAAGGGGTAGTCTTCTGAATGATTTATGTGTAGAATATTCTTACTCTTTAAATGGCAGAACTGCCGGGCGCGGTGGCTCCCGCCTGTAATTCCAGCACTGTGGGAGGCCGAGTCAGGTGGATAACCAGAGGTTAAGAGTTCAAGACCAGCCTGGCCACATGGTGAAACCCAGTCTCTACTAAAAATACAAAAAATTAGCTGGACATGGTGGCGGATATCTGTAGTGTCAGCTACTCTGGAGGCTGAGGCAAGGGAATTGGGTGAACCTGGGAGGCAGAGGCTGCAGTGAGCCGAGATTGCACCATTGCACTTTAGCCTGGGTGACAAAGCGAAACTGTCTTAAAAACAAAAACGAAAACAAAAACAAACAAAAAAAAACATGGTAGAGCTTTACTTTCTTCTGATTATGTTATCGTCTCCAAGTAATACCTGGAAATTCAGTAACCGTCTTAACCATCTTAAGACCATAAGAAAAATCCAAGAGAATTTCATAAAATCCAAGCCATGGGAATGACTCTGGTTAAATCTCTGAATTAATCAACTTAGAACCAACCCACCTTTCAATTTTTAATACGCAAAATGATATTATTCTTATTTTTAAGAAACTTTTATTTACATTTGCTGGTTTTTGTCTAAAGCATTCTGATATGAATAGAAATGCCATCACATTTCTATTTATTGCTTACTGGTGATACCATAAATTGAAGCAGTAGGATACAGGATTGAGATGAGTCTCTCTAAAGTCATGGCCTGACTTAATACATCAGAGTCAGCCTGACTAGCCTCAGTACCAAGTGGGAGATAAAACATGTATGGAGAAAGGGGCCCTTGAGATTTATTTGTCTTCAGTCACTGGCATTTGTGAGCTCTGCTTCATGGATTTTTATGCTATGCCATGTCTGTTACATTATTGTTATAAAGCATGAAGACAACTAAGATTATTTTATGTAGTATAACTTACTACTGCACTCTTCAAAAATCTGTAGATGACAGAGGTAGGTGCCAGACTTCATTTCCCTCTGTTGTGTATTCCTGTTTTGGTACTTTTTTCTTTTTTAACAGCTAAGTATATATGCAGACACACACATGCACACAGTTATTCCTTTGCTTTTGTTTACAACTTTATTACAAGCAAATATGAGGAAGTCAAAGCCATTTTTCCTAGCTCATCTTATGTTTTTCTTTTTAAAGGCTTTCATGTTACTTGACTTCAATATCTAGTATTAGTAAAAGTTCCTTTTCTTTCCATTTCTCTTTCTAAAGGTTTGATTCTGTTTCTCCTTTTTTCAAACATACATAAGTCATTTGACTTGGAAATATCACATATTGAAAGAAAAATGTCTTAACTAAGTGATTCAGTATGACATTCCTTGTCTCAGCCCAGTCATGCGGAGAGGACATTTTTGTTGCTCAGAAAAGAAAAGAATGCCTTACAGCACTCCATTGAAGTATAATGAATTAAATCTGTCCCAGATGAAAAAAAAAAAAGGAAAAAAGAGTAGAATAGTAAGTGGTCTGGTAAAATGGATTCAGATAGTAATATCCTAACTAACTCACAGTGAAATGCACATTGTTTTAACTTAAGAGAAATAAAGTAGTATATTATATAACATATGCAATATATAAGGTGCGTATAACATATTGCTCCCTTATATTAGGTGAAAATAAGCAATATCTTTATTTGCTGCACTTTCAGATAATGAATTCAAGTACATACTCCAACTCATTTGGTTAACCATACATACAAATAAAGAATATTCAGCAATAAAATGCTGCTACAAGTAGATAGTAATAAATGAATATAGATGTCATTCCAGTTATTTTTAAATGAAAATCTTTTACCATTTTATCTGCCTATTGATAAAGCATTTAACTAGTGAAAGATTACAGCTTAGAAATCACTGGTACAGAAGCCAGGGCTGAAATGCTTTTCCAAGCAATGTATGTGAACTTGTTAATTTTAAAAAGCACATTTCCATTTATTTTGGATGCATCGTTCTATGAATTTTACTCATGTGTCTGACATAGCTAATCATTTTATTTTTGGAATGGGCTCTGTGAAATATTCTATGGATGTTGACTGATGGATATGATAATTTGTTTTATCAAATATTGTCCAGAGGTATGTGGAGTATTTGGAAATTAGACTTCTTTGCAAGATTACCACATTTTCAAACACATTTCTACATTTTCAGAATATTATTAAGTCAATTTTATATATTCCTAGGAATAAGCCTTTAAGATTCATACATTTATAAATATACATTTATAGTAAGAAAATCAAAAGAAGTTAGTATTTTTTTAAATTGCCACTGAAAATTTTTAGAGCATAGGCAAATAAGATCTTGTAATACGGTAGGGAATTCATAAATTGTATTTTGTCGGAATAAAATGATTTATTTCAGTCCATCAACATGAGTCACTTTTCATTTGTTTCTAGAAAAACATAGTAACACTGAAACATTAATTTAATATAAATCAGTGGATTTGGTTAAAAATTTCTTAATGTTTGATATTTCACATTTTGTGAGGTTTTACGTAAGTCCAAATTGAAAATACATTCCAATTTCCATAAAATGCTTTAAAAGTTTACCTTTCTTGGTCACCTAAAATGTAGCTCAATTTCTGTCATCTATAGCAATATGCTTTGTATGCTGAGAATTTCATTGTGATAAAAGCAAACAAACAAACATAATCTTTTAACCAAATTAAAGTCAAAACATTTATTTGTACTAGAGGATAATATGTATAAATGTGGCTTACATGCCTTTTAAGAAAAATAAGTGTACATCACAGGAATAATGACCACTTTAGCCATGCTCCTTGGCAATGACATGCATCTTACTAGGTCAGATTTCAAGGTGCCCACCCCAAGAGACACTGTTTTCAATATGTCTTTTTACTTAACATGTGTTAGGATGAATAATGACCCCCACCCCACCCTGATATTTGAATTATGATCTTCTCCATAACCTGTGAATGTTATCTTATATGGCTAAAGGGACTTTTCATATATGATGAAACTTTATGGCTTTTGAGATGAGCTGATTATCTTGGATTATCAAGGTGGGCCATAAATGTAATCACATTGGTCCTTTTAAGAGGGACATAGGAAGATTAGAAGAGGGAAAATGTGATGTGACTTTAGAAATGAGGAAGAAAAGGTGCTGTGTTGTGGGGCCACAAGCCGAAGAATGAGGGCACAGCCTCTAGAGTCTAGAAAAAAGGAAAGAAACAGATTTTCCCCAAAGCTTCCTTATGAAACAAACCATGCCAGCATCTTGGTTTTAGCAAGATTTATTTTGGTCTTCTGACCTTCACAACTATAAGATAATTAAGTTGCATTCTTTTAAGACTTTAAGTTAGTGGTAGTTTGATATAGAAGCAACAGAAAAAACGAATACAATATCCTAGGTTCCACACTATTCCTTACTCATCTCTTTGGTTATATTGTCACTTGCTGGATTCAAATTATATTTCTTTAAGGTAAAGGAATGTTATTGAAGTAACATATAAAAGAATATAGGAAATGAAAGAATTGGAGCTAGAGAATCACTTTATGAATCACAGATCTTCATTTACATGCATTGGCATAATGTCCTCTGAAATATCCTATAGTACTTTTAGTTTATGATTTACAAACAATTTTCTCAAAAAAAAAAAAATGGAGGCCTGGCACAGTGGCTCACGCTTGTAATTCCAACACTCGAGAGGCTGAGGTGGGAGGATTGCTTGAGCCCAGGAGTTTGAGACCAGCCTAGGTAACACAGTGAGACCTCATCTCTACAAAAAGTAAATACAATTAGGTGGGCATGGTTATGTGTACCTGTGGTCCCAGTTATTCGGGAGGCTGAAGTAAGAGGATAGCTTGAGCTGCAGAGATCGAAGATGCAGTGAGTTAAGATCATACCACTGCACTCCAGCCTGGACAATGCGGTGAGACCCTGTCTCAAAAAAAATTTTTTTAAATGCCAGATTAAGAGTCTTATTACTTTTATAAGTCTTCTTAAATTGCCCTTAAATTGTAAGTGGACAACGTCATTAAACTTTTTAATAAATGCTGAATGTATGGCTACAATATATATATGGGAGAACTTCTTTTATTTTTAATCATGATTAATGTTTTTATTTCATAGCCATTTAGTCTCTTTTTATTTGAAATCTAGTTGATTCTCTTTATGACCTACATATTTGTTTTCTACCATTAGATAGTTGTCTCATCTTTTTTGGTCTTCTAAGTTCAGAATGAATGTCATATAAGCAAGTCTTAGGATGACAGGCAGTAGAAAATAAGGAAACTACTGTCTTGAGGAGGAAAATAGAGAATTGTTCAGTTGATTGACATTGAGCAAAATACTACTGATATATGCATCTATTTATGTTTTCTTCTATTGCTGCATTCCATCCTGAGAACTAAAAACCCATAGTTACTGTGATCACCTAAACTATTTTGAGATTTTAAACATTAATATTATATGATGTGGCTTTTTAAATTACAAGATATCTGTAAAATATTTTTCTCTTGGAGAATAATTCCATCTTCTTATATGAATCATGCACTGGTTTATCATCTGTTAGATGCTATGAACTTCTTGGGTATACTAAGTGGATATGTGTTTTTGCATAGCACATGCTTTTGTATAATATTATTTAATAAGTGCTAATATAAACTCATATGATTAATTTTGCTAACAAAAAGGCACAAGGCACTCTTTTTTAACATTATCCTACCCTGTCTTTAAAAAGTCAGTGCTTTTCAGTGGAGTTTTATACATGACTGAAACTTCATTTAAAAAGTTTCTTAGCATTCTGAGGAATCATTTGTTTGTGTACACTGACTTTAGAATGTGATAAACATTCATGATCGAAGGGTTTATTAACCTAGAACCCCTGTGAATTACATTCCCAGTATGTAAACACTACAATATTTCACTTAAATTATTTTAGGCTGGGTGCGGTGGCTCATGCCTGTAATCCCAGCACTCTGGGAGGCCGAGGCAGGTGGATCATGAGGTCAAGAGATCGAGACCATCCTGGCCAACATGGTGAAACCCCATCTGTACTAAAAATACAAAAATAAGCCAAGTGTGGTGTCATGCACCTTGAGTCCCAGCTATTCAGGAGGCTGAGGCAGGAGAATCTCTTGAATCCAGGAGTTGGAGGTTGCAGTGAGCTGAGATCACACCACTGCACTCCAACTTGGTGACAGAGCAAGACTTCTCTCAAAAATATATATATATATTATTTTAATGATACCATGTTAGATCTATAGTGCTGTGCAATCAACTAATATCATCTTTATATGTCTATTATGTGAGAATTTTTAAAAATATAGTTATGTTTAAGGCTTATTTTTATATGCTTCACACACAAGTATGTTATAATCGAACATGAGATAGTGGGCTGCTAATTTTTGTCTGTATAATGGAAGTGAAAGAAACACCATTTTGTTGCAGTCTTCTTACACCTTAGTTTAGCAAGGTCCAAATTCTTGTCCCATGACCAAGAAGAATAAGGCATGTAAACACCAGAGAGTGAGTAAGGCAGAGTGGGATTTATTAAGTGACAGAAAAGCTCTCAGCAGCAAGAGAGGACCCAAAGATGGTTGCAAAAAATGATGCTGAGCTCTAGGTCTTTTATGTGTCAGAAAAAGAGTCTTCTGTAGGTTCTGCCTTAATGGGAGAGGTAAAGTTCCCCCCAGGGGTGTTGTGTTTGTGTATGCCTGGGGTTGGCCATAGTAACTCCATCTTGATTACCCATGAGTGCCTAAATGAAACCCACAGAAGGACAAAAGTCACAATGCTCATAGAATTATAAGGAGTTCAGGGTCATTGTAGGATGTCCTCGGTCCTTGTCTGTGCCTGCACAGGCAACTAGAAAGTCCTTTCTGAGCAAGCATTTTGTTATAACAGGAAGTTCTTAACCACATTCCCTCCTGCTAGCTACATAACAGGGGTGGTACAGGTGTGTTCTTGCAGGCATTGTCCCCCTTCTGAGACTCTCCCTCTCTATCTGCCTAAACAGCCCCTACCTGCCTCCTCTCTCAATTTTACTGAAATTAGCAGGAAAAAATAGGCTAATTATTTGAATAGTCAATATGCATGTAAATCCAGCAATATCATTTTTACTATATGGTGCTCTATGTTGTGGCAAATAGAGGAAAAGTTTACCCACAAATGACTTTTTCATTGTCACACTTACTTCACTTACACTGCAATGAACCATGTTGAAATGGACAAATTAACAGTAAATGATTATCTTTCCTAATACTAATCCTGTGATTTGGGAAGATGTGTATCTTCTATGACGGTCATCATATGACATTCTTGAATTAAACAATATTGCTTTAAAATTAGTGCTAATAGCTAATAGAACTCAACAATTAACTAACATTTATTAAACCTGATCAATAGGTGACAGTTACATGTAAATCGGAGGTTTATATGTGGGTTAAATTAAAATTGCATATCTTTTTGATTGCAGAAAAGTCTATATATAAATAAATATGCATCATATTATTACTATGCTCTGAAATTTCTCTTTCCAATTTCTGTATGCCAATTCAAATTGTGAGGGCCTGGTTATATAATGCCTGATCTACATCATGACTGAATGAATTCTGGGGCACTCAGATATTTCACAGATGGTCTTTATTTCATCAGATCATCATAGTACTCTTGAGAACCGATCAGGTCAGGGTGAATTAAATCAGGGTCCCAGAGTGACCATGAAATGTATGACTCATTCTCCCACAAGACAGCAGTATCATGATTTTCAGGCCACTGTTCTGGACTCCACTGACTATTATTTGATTACTGAGAGTCTGAAAAGCCATTTAACATCTCTATTCCATCTTCTGTAAAATTGAGGGTAGCATTATTCATCTCAGAAAGAAGTGACAAATAGGTTTAAAAGTATTTTCTCCCATTCTGTAGCTTGTGTCCTCACTTGGTTAATTGTTTTGTTTGCTGTACAGAAGCTTTGTAGTTAGATGCACTACAATTTGTTTATTTTTGCTTTTTGACCTGTGCTTCTGGGGTCATATTCCCCCAAAATTGCCCAGATCAATTTTAAGAAGGTTTTTACCTATGTTTTCTTCTAATAGTTTTATAGTTTTAGGTTTTACCTGTAAATCTTTAATCCATTTGAGTTGGCTTTTTATATCATGTAAGATAGAGATCCCATTTCTTTCTTCTTCATGTAGATATCCAGTTTCCCCAGCCTCCTTTATTGAAGAGTCAGTCCTTTCCTCATTGTGTATTCTTGGCACATTTGTTGAAAATTAATTGACCATAAACATGTGGATTAATTTCCGGGCTATCTATTCTGTACCATTGGTCTACACGTTTATTTAGGGGTTGATATCCAGTGTATATCAGGAATTTAAACACCTCAATAGCAAGAAAACAAATAACCTAATTTAAAAGTGGACTCAGTCTATCAACAATGAAACATGATAAATATTTCTTGAAAGAAGACAAATGGCCAACAGATATATTAAAAAGTGCTCAACTTCACTAATCGTCAGGGAAATGTGAATCAAAACCACACAGTGAGATATCACTGCATACCTGTTAGAAGGGTTATGTTCAAAAAGACAAAAGATAAGTGTTGATGACAATGTAGAGGGAAGAGAATCCTTATATACTATTGATGGAAATGTGAATTGGTATAGCCATTATGGAAAACAGTATGTAGGTACTTCAAAAAATTAAAAATAGAACTACCATATGTTCCAGTAGTCTTACTTCTGGGTATGGATATGTAAAAGAAATGAATCAATATCTTAAAGAGATATCTGTAGTCTCACGTTCCTTGCAGTACTGTTCACAATAAATAAGATAAATATAATTGGCCTAACTGCCATCAGCAGATGAATAGATAAAAAGTAAATGTGGTATACATAAATATATAATGGAATATTATTCAGCCTTAAAAATGAAGGAAACTCTTGTCATTTGTGATAACATGTATGAACCTGGAGGACATTATGCTAGATGAAATAAGTGAGACATCAAAAGACAAATACTATTTGATCCCTCTTATATGTGGAATCTAAGAAAGTCAAACTTCTAGAAGCAGAAAGTAGAATGGTAGTTTCCAGAAGCTATGGAGATAGGAGAAATGGGGAGATGTCGATCAAAGGGGGCAAAGTTTCAGTAATGCAGAATGAGTTAATTCTGGAAATCTAATGTACAGCTTGGTAACCACAGTTAACAATACTGTATTATATACTTTTACAACACAGTAAAAGATAACTGTAAGATGATGAATATGTTAATTAGCCTTATTGTGGTAATCATTTTACATTGTAAAGATATATCAAAACATTAGGTAAGAGGGATACCAAAAAGCATGTTTTTAATTTATGTTTACTTTAAAAATAAACAATGAAACTAAAGCATTTGAGAACATTAGATTACTTTATCTCACTTTTTTCATCTATAATATTTTAGAATGAATTTACTTTTAAAAATTTTGAAATAACTACAAAAGGAGTCTTTGTGGACTAAATTGTTTATAAATCTTTAATTATATCTTAATTTCATTTTAACTCACAGTAACTGAAGTCATTTAAAAAAAGAAAGCGAAGTAAAGGACAGAACCTTTAAACTCCTGTTTTCAAAATATAGCTAGTTTTTAAACAATCAATATTATAATGTATCCTATATAAAAATAGTATTCCAGAGATTGAATCTACCTTTTTCCATTTTATTTTTTAATAATCATAATTTATAATGAACTTTTGATATAAACATAGTAATAGAATCATAAATTATTTTGAAAGGTGAATGTTATAAATTACTGCTGTTTTATATAGAACAATGATGATAATAACTATAAATATATTATAGGCATAACATTTTTTGTTTTATATACCACTGAACAGACACTATCTCATTAATTAGAAGGCTTTCTTGACTCATCTTCGGTTAATATTAAATAATCTATTTGGAACTCACAATGGTAACTAATATTTACAACAGATCGTTGCTTTTATAATTTTCTTACATATAGATAAATAATTAGTAATTTACAACTTCATAATATATAATATGTAAATTTGTCGATGCATTTTTAGATAGATAGATAGATAGATAGATAGATAGATAGATAGATAGATAGATGTGTATAGACTCCAGGTTATGTTTTCTAATCTAATCTATATAAACATAACCATTTGAAATCCCTATTGATTCAACACAACTTTCTGTGCAACATATTCTTCCATAATTGTAAATTTTAACTATTATGCTCTGGTCAGAAATGAGTAGTAAGCTGATCTGTTTATATCGTACATTGATTATTTAAATAAAATATTTACAGTTGCCTGTTTATACCTGAAAATTACAAGAGTAGATATTGCTTCTAAATACATTTTTTAAAATTAGAGCTATGGTAATTAAAAAGGTTAATAATAGGGAATAAAATGACTATAGACCAAGATAGGAAGAAAAGGAGATATGTATAAATATTCACACATCAGAATTAATATTACACTTACAGAATATTTACATTATATTAAATTTTATAGTGCCACTTTTCCATTATGTCTACTTTGAATGTGTTCCTGATAATTGCTAATTTTTCTATAACAAATACAAAAATAACTTTATGAGTTCATATCCCTGCCTATTGTATTAAAAACTTGACATGGATTTATGAGGTTGTATATTCAAGGTGTAATGTGAAAATTATATTGTTTTAATGGCTAAAAACATGTCACTTGACTTGAAGAGCTTCTTCAAATAATTTCTTTGTAATACGAAAGATCTACTATTTTAAGAAGGTGTGAGTACACCAAAACATCGAGATAACATATTTGTGGTGCATGTGTGAGGACAGCCACATTTACCTTAATGTTATTATACATTTGTCTGATCATCAGCCTCTAACATAGAAAATCCTTACAACTTGTTAACCTTCAGGATTAGCTGTTATGCTAAATTGCCTGATGAGTATGGAGTATTAGCTTTTATTCACCTTTCACTGATAACACAGAATATATTTTTCAGCTTCAGACATTCATTAATGAATCAAATTTAGGGACTAAATAAAATCCTTATTAAGCCTGACAAATGGTAGCCTCAGGTAAACCCAACGTATTTTTACACTAAATCAAAGTGAGTTCTGCTCTAGATGCTCTTTATGTTGCCACTATCCTTGCAAGTATTCTGAGGTCACATCAGAGAACAGAACATCTCCTTAAGGAATTAACAGAAGAATCTAGCCCTGAGGTATTATATTTCTGAAATGAATAAACAAGAACATAAAACACAGGGGATAATTAGAGTATCTCATATTATAGACTTAGTGCCAATATTATGGGTAGGAAAAACCATTAGCTTTTTATAGACAATATACTTAAGGATAAATTTTTGAATTTAGAACGTTTCTGAGTGAAATTCACAGTAATTAGTCCACTGTGAGTATGGGTATCTTTTTCAGAATTATAATTAATTTCAACATGTTTGTTTTTCCCCATGAATTAATCAATTCAGATTTGTTTAGCCTAATTGCCACAAAAGTGCCCAAGTTTGTATTCATGTTTTTTTTTTCCTATGGCTTAGAAAGTTTTATTTATTTATTTATTTATTTATTTATTTTTGTGGGAACATAGTCAATGTGTATATTCATGGGAACATGAGATATTTTGAAAAAGGCATGCGATGTGTAATAATCACATCAGGGTAAATGGGATATTCATCACCTCAAGCATTTATCCTTTGTGCTACAAACAATCCATTTATACTCTTTTATTTTTAAATGTACAATTAAATTACGTTTGACTGTAGTCACCCAATTGTGCTATCAGATACTAGGGCTTATTCATTCTTTCTAACCATTCTTGTACCCAGGAACCATCTTCACTTCCTCCCCCCTCTACCCCTCACTCCGTTCCCAGCCTCTGGTAATCATCTTTCTACCCTACAGCTCCATGGGTTTAATGGCTCCCATAAATAAGAACATGCAAAGTTTGTCTTTCTGTGCCTGTCTTATTTCACTGAACATGATAACCTCCAGTTCCATCTTATATTTATGTTTTATTAGTGGTATGTCATTATTCTTTTTATAAATTTAAATTCATTATTTTATAAGATTTTGACCTTTGTGATAAGTAATCCACGAGGATTGTATCATTATTTGGCTGAACAAAAGGAACGTGACAGTTAATTCCTAAAGTGGTTTTAATAAGTAGTAATATTATATTAATTTTTACAAAATAAATTCAAATATCAATTTTAACATTTAAATATTAACTTTTTACTAATTTGTTAGGCTCAGATAAAGCTTTTCAATACCACTTTTCATACCTTTAAAATGAATGTCATCATAGTCAGTGAATTTATTTTACAACTGCCTAATAAACTCTGTGGTTATATTTTCTAAAATACTTTTTTTTTTGTACTGGAGTGAGTCTTTCCTATCAAATAGTCTTTCCTACTTGTGTTCACATTGGCAATATCCTGTGGACCAGTTAGTGTTGCTTCAGCAATATTTAACTTCTAACTAGAAATTATGCTGTATTCAACCAAATATTAAATTAGCTAATATGAGCAAGCTGAATAGATTCATTTTAATGTGTAGTTTCTAAAAAGTGTACTACAGATATTTTCTTAATAGGCCTAAAGCCCCAAATTAAGCAAAACCTTATTCAAATCTGTATAACAGGAACTAAAATAAAATTAGTGTTGATGTTGATAATAATTTAACTTTGCATAAGCTTACTACTTCTTTTCCTTTCTTTTGACTTCAGATGCAATAACAGAACCCAGTGTGCAGTGGTGGCAGGTCCTGATGTTTTTCCAGACCCGTGTCCAGGAACCTATAAATACCTTGAAGTGCAGTATGAATGTGTCCCTTACAGTATGTATATTCCTATACTTTTCTTGGCAAGAGAAAAGATACTAAACTGTGTTTTGCATGCATTGACAAATATTCTCTATGAAAACATAAATCACGTAAATTAAATGAAAAAATTGGCTAATATTAATTTTTGAGAATCATAGACCCTCCCTGCCATCAGAAGAATTAGATATTGCCTACCCTCTCCTACGGCATTTACTTGTGATTATTTCTGTATATGAATACGTGTTCTAACACACTTTTCTTAATTAATGCAAGAATATAAAACATTTAGAAAAAGGTTGGGGGAGTGTTATACCAATTCTCCAGGTCCAAGCAGATAAGAGGTGAAAATGAGCAATACAATTTTATATGTAATGTATAGCAGTTGATACATTTTGAATTTGATAGAATTGTATCTAAGCTTCATCTGCTGTCAACATTTTGAGAATTAGAAATATATTCATCCAGAAGGAGTAGACCAGAAAGAAAAAATAAAGATTAAAAGAACTTGAAGTACTCTTCAGACTATATGTTTTACAGCTTCAAGAAGTATGTCTTTGCAATGTTTTTATCAGATATGGTATATGCCAACAACATGTCTTTTCTTCAGGAATAATGAAGAATCAAAAAATCTAAAATGAAACATTTTCTGACTTTCCCACTCAAAATAAGAATCACCATCTCAAAACAATTTTTATATCTAACTCGTTAATTATTTATGAGATTATTAGTGAAAATCACTCAGGAAATTATGTATTCTCATAATAGATATTCAGCTTATCCCAGAGATAGAAAACACCTGGGATCATAAACAAATCCTAGGTTTCAACTTCCTTTGATGTTTCATAAGAAGCAAAGTATCTGGGGATCAGCAAGTTTGCGTTTGTAAAGATAGTTCTAGGCTTGCCTCATTCACGCTTATTAAAGAAGCAGGACATTACTCATGAGCTGGAAGTATAAATACTTCAGTAATAGAAATTTGGCCAATAAGAGAAGAATTGAAATTTTAAAATAATAGTGAAAACAATTCAGAGAAAATTTCGTTCAGCTTCATTTATAGAATGAATGATTAGAGAAAGTTTATCTTGTGAAGTTTTATAAGCTGATCTTCATTGTTATGAAAAATCCTCAGAGTACAGGATTTATTGATATCTCATTTAGGTTATGCTTCTTATATTGTTATCTCTATAGGCCCTTCTATGAAAAGGTAAAGCCCCTACTGACGATTATTGTTCACTAGTGATATTTTAAGGAAATAAAATTTGTAAACCATCCTGGAATTGGGACAATTATACTTGGGTTGCATAATAAGACCTTTGTGAAATATAAAGACTCCTGTTCTATCAAGGAATTTTATTTAAAAATAAGTTACACACCTTGATTTTAAAGACAGTTTTAGGCAACTTACATTCATATTTGTATGTTCATATTTTGAAATATAAAAGCTGAAGTAAAATTTCAGATTGTAGATTTTATCATATTTTTTTAATTAAAGAATTTCACGGCTGTCTCTTCAATTTCCTGTATTACTTTAAAATGTCTTTGAGGATAGCCACTTCAAAATCCTCTGCCAAACTCATTCTGAAATATCATCTACTTAAATCACTTTAATATAAATAAGAACTTGCTCATACACTTTTACATAAAAGGATTATAGTTTACCACAGGTTTCCTTTCTCTCATAAATTTTCAGAGATTGGCAATTTGGTTCCTTAATGTCCTACATTTAGAGAGTTCTGATAATCCTGAAAGTTTACTGCCTGCCTTAGAAATATTATATCAAAATATTTATCTAATAATTTTATTAAATAAGAATTATACACTCAGTTATACTCACTTGCCAGTTTATACACTGGTTTAATTTATACGTTGTAGCCTGATCGTGTCTGTTTAAATTATCTGGAGTATGTTTCAGTTAAAAGTATAATGCAGAATTGGAATTCATTTAATAAATTTAACACGATTTGAAAAGAAAATAATCCAAAAGAAAGTATAAATCATAAAATAAACTATAGTGATCATTCAAAAGGTAGATTGGTTTAGGAGAGAGAAAGACAACCAGAGATCAGAGAGCATGGGTGCTTTTGTTAGTCTGTTTTGTGTTGCTATAAAGGAATACCTCAGACTGGGTAATTTAGTAAGAAAAGAGGTTTATTTGGCTCACGATTCTGCAGGCTGTACAAGCATAGCACCAGCATCTACTCGGCTTCTGGTGAGGCCTCAGGGAGATTTTACTCATGGTATAAGGTGAAGGGGGAGCAGGTACCTCATATGGCAATAAAGGGAGCTCCTAGACTCTATTTAATAACCAGTTCTTATGTGAATTCATTACCACGGGGAGGCCTTCAAGCCATTTATGAGGGATCTGCCCCCATGACACAAATATATCCTGCGTGGCCCATCTCCAACACTGGAGGTCACATTTCAACATGAGATTTGGAGGGGACACACATGCAAACTATATCATTGGATTTAGAATACAGTCTGATTACTTAACAAAAAGCTAGGTCCTTTTCCTGGATCTCACCTTGTAGACCTTCCCTGATCTATTAATAAATTCTGATTTATAACAACACTCAGCTATTTTTCTTTTCTTAAGCATAAAATTAATGACTCTTTAATGATGAAAAGATTTACTTATTTAAAATAGTTATAGTTTATTGACACTTAACCACATGCCATTTTCTACATGGATAGTGTTTACATGCATAGGCTATTTAATTTTTACAAGATCCTCCTTGTTATGTGTATCACCATTTTTCTGAAGAGGAAACTGAAGTTCAGTAGATAAAGTGAAATGTCCCATGTGAAATGTAGACTAGCTAGAGAATGGCAAAGATTAGATTTGGGTCTGTTTCTAATACCTGTTCTTAAGAACCTAGCTGTATTTCTCTCCATAATTGTTTTTCATTTATATTTTCATGAGCTATTTAATCTTATATAATAGTTTTAACTCATAATTTTCATCAGTACATTAATGGCATGTGGTGAAAGAAAGTGTTTCAAGGGCCCAAGTCGTTTTTCTTAGTCCTTTACCTGTTTATTTTAAAGATGTTTTTGTCCTTTTTCTTAAAGCAGCTGAATCATTGCAAACTTTTATTTTCCCAAACCTTTATGAAGTAACTAGTTTGTACCATGAAAATACTACTTGCACTTTAGAATGAGGCTCCTAAGTAAAATACTTTTTTAATTACCTGTATTAGAGAAAATCCTTGTGCTTAATTATATTTTATGATTCTTGATAAAAGATCACTATTTCATTAATGTGAGGGAAATTTCAGACTTAGGATTTAATATTAATATTGGAATTAAACAACTGAACGAACAGTGTTAGGTTCTGTTTGTTATACAATTTAGTAATATCCATTTCCATTTCGAATTTATGACCACAAACTTTAGTGCTTGTAGTAATATATGTACTATTTATGAATGTTTCATTCTTAATATTGATGTGTAGAAGAAACTTTTTTTTAAATTTATACATACTCGTGTGTGTGTGTGTGTGTGTGTGTGTGTGTGTGTGTGTGTGTGTTTCCATGGCAATATTCATTTTTAAGGTGAGACTTTTTCATGGACAAAATGTAGAAAAACAAAATTTATAGGAAAACATAATAATGAAGCATATTAAAGGTAATATAGACAGAGTCAATAAAGTTCATTGTATCACATAAGTGAAGTAAAGTATCTGAGAAAAGCTTGCAATAATTCTTGCACGGAATTTTAGGAGTCACTAAATAGGTACATTGAACAATGACAACTTTAGAGGAATCTTAGCTTGAATGAGTCAAATGGTACGACTTTTAAAGATGTCAATGAGAAAGAAAATAAGAAGAGTTAGTTTTTAAACTGTTTACTCAGACCACCTTCTTTGAGTGTTTTGTACTTATTTTTCCGAGTCACTGAAGTTATATTTAATCTTTTCTAAGTCCTACCTTCTTACTTCTGTTCTGTTTTTTCTTGTTTGGGTTCACAGGCACACTTTTCCTGACAAAATTTGGAACAGATGAATCAATACTTTTCTCTGTTCCTAGCACACCTCAGTTCCAGTATGACTTTTGTAGCCTTTGCATTTTCTTAGGAGGTTTGATGTTCTTCCTTAGTGGATATTTTCTCCCTAGGAGATGACCCAAATATTCAAGAGGTTAAACCTCACATTTACCAAAGCCACGTTTTTGTTCTTCCATCTTTCTTCTTCTTCTCACCCTACCTCCTTCCCTTCTGACTTGATTTGAGATTGAAATTGTGTCATCTAGAGCTGCCTTCATTCAGCAGGGTTACAGGGATGACTTGTATTAGAGAGAAGGCAATAAAACAACTAACCACCTACTCAGAGTATTTCTGAGCAAAGAATCTTTACTTTGTATCCTGCTGACAAATTGTCTTTCTTCCGAGGCATACAATTTCACGCACATTACACTCAAAAGGTGTTTGTCTTCTCTCACAGTCCAGCTTTTCTCTTCAATTCTTTGTTTCTTTTTTTTCAGAACAATAAAGCATATATTACTTATTCTAGCAATCTTCTCTCATGGTGAATTTTCTAAGAAAATTGCGGGGGGAAGTACACAATTTGGAAAGTGACTAGAAATGAATGTTTGATTAAAACAACCTTGTTATAGCACTTAAGACTTTCTCACTAGTCACATTAGCCATTTGAATAGTTGTGTGCATGATTGTCCTTATGAACAGGCAAGAAAAATGAGCATTATTGGAAGATTGGTATTTATAAATAATTATGTAACTGTTTCATCATTTTTACTAAAAGAAAAATGTATTACACGTTTAGCATTTAAAACAATCTAAATATTTAATTATAAATGATTAAATACATTTTTGCAACTAATGTCCAAATGAGTGCATATTTAAATGTGTACACATTTGGTTACTATTATGTAAATAAATAATTACATATTTTTAACTCATCGTGCTGAAATTAACTGATATTTTTAATTTTAGAAAGATCACAAAAATGTCCAAGGTATATTTTAATTTCTTTCCAGTGCCTTTTTCTGCTTCATATATACAGTAGACATTCAATAAATATGTATTGAAGGACTGGAAGAAGAAAGAAAATTTAGTCAAATGGCTTCTCCAAAAGTACTGCATTCATTGCTAGAATGATAAACACAAAAACTCTTGTCTGCAAATAAGACCTTATTAATTCAAAAGAAAGATCTATTTTTAAAAATATACATTATATAAATTTCAGTTTCTCCAAATTACTTGGTGATTGCAATCCTCAAGAATGATACCAGCAACCTTTTTTCATATTATTATTATTATTATGTATGCCTTTGTATAATATAGCAAGTATTGTCCCTTGTTTAAATGTTCCTCTCTCTGTATCAGCTATATAAATTTTTTAGAATTATATTTATAACAAGAGCAACAAAATGTTTTTTTCTTCTCTCCCATTCTTTCTCTCCCTTACCACAGTTTCTTTCCCTCCAAATAATTTATCTCTCCTTCACAGAATCTTTTATATAACAGATGATTCATAAAGGTCTGGGAAATGAACCAATGGTTAATTAATAATTAAACCCTGCTTATATGCCAAAAATATTGCATATTCATATATTTTGCTATCATCATTCTGTTTAGAAAATAGGAAGCATACATAGCTGGAGTTACTTTCTTTCTTTAAAAAAATTTTTTTTTTTTTTTTTTGTAGACCTAGGGTCTCACTATGTTTCCCAGGCTGGTCTCAAAGCAATCTTTCTGTCTTAAGCAATCTTCCCGCCTAGGCCTCCCAAAGTGCTGGGATTACAGGCATGAGCCACTGTGCCCAGCAAGTATACTTTCTCACAGGTTCTAGTCATAAACTCCCTCCTACCTTTGTTGAACTGCTTCACATGTGCATGGAAGTTATTCTCAACTAGATTATATTACTTGCTTGTGAGACCTCCTTCTTTTATCTTCCTTTCATTCACCATCTATTGAGTACCTACTGCATACCAGGCACTATAATAAAATATTAGGGGTCAAAAACCAAGATAAAGATTCTGTCGTCCTTCAAGGAGTTCAGTCAAGTGGGGCTTAGAGTCCCTAAATTTACAATGTTAGATTAAGCATTTCACATTAGAAATATACAGAGAAGGCACACTGATCCAAAGTGGCTGATATTTGACTAGGGTGGTGGTGGTGGGGATAGAGGTCTTCATGGATGCTCTTCTAGAGAAGGTGACCCTTCAAGAGCTGTATTTTTTTTTTTTTTTTGAGACAGGGTCTTGCTCTGTCACCCAGGCTGAAGTGCTGTGGCATATTCACTGCTCACTGCAGCCTGGACCTCCCTGGCTTAAGCAATCCTCCAACCTCAGCCTCCAGAGTAGCTAGGACTGTAGGCACATGCCACCACACCCAACTAATTTTTGTATTTTTTGTAGAAATGGCATTTTGCTTGTTGTTGTGGTCTTTCTGCTCTTTAGCTCAGCTAGGTTCAAGTTCTTGTCTCACAACCAGGAAGCATTAGCCACACGGACACTGGAGAGTGAGTAGAGTAAAATTTATTAAGCAAAAGGAAAGCTCTCAGCAATGAGGGGATACAGGGGTGGTTCCCGTACCTGAAGATGAGAAAGTGCCCCGTGTGTCTGGGTCTGGGGTCTCTTATGAACCCACAATGGGGAGTGCATGCTGATTGGTTTGTGAGTGTACAAAAAAGGTTAAAGTGAAGACACCACTCAAAGGTGGGCATGACAGTGTAGAAAAACAATTAGAAAAGGGTAGCTATATGTAAAATAGGTGAAGGGTGGGGATCAATCAGAGGAAAGCGCACCAAACAGGAAGTTCTCAATCCAGTCCAAGGATTTAACTTGTAGCTTGGCTTTCAGGCTTTAAACTGTCTTTGGCTTGGAGGTGGGGTTTCACTGGGGACCCACCCCTATCTGCCTAGGCATTTGCCTGCCTCCTGCTGCTCTCACTTTGACCAGGCTGGTCTCGAACTCCTAGGCTCTAAGGATTCTCTCACCTTTGCCTCCCAAAGTGCTGGGACTACAGGAGTAAGCCACCGTGCCCTGCTAGAGCTGAGTCTTAAAATATGAATAGACTTTCCTGAGAGAAGAAGGGCAATCATTTTTAGCAGAGAGGACAAGCTAGGTAATAAATCGCATGGAGAATGTGAAACCAAAACCATTTGGTATTTGCATGAAATATAAAATGCAAGAGGTACAGAAAATAAACCCATAGATGGGCAAGGCAGAAATCTTGGACTTCCCTGTATGCTATGATTTCTCTGGAATCTAGTACCAGTTACAACGTACAACATGGAGAAGGTAGTGAGCCATTTCTGAATGTCATTAATTGATATATTATTAAGAAATGTTTGTTTGAAAATCTGTGAAAACCAACTTTGGCTAGTTTAAATTAAATAAAGCAGAGGTTTTTTTTGGCCAAATACAAAGTATTAGTTCCAGAAACAAAGGAGAAAAAAGGTGAAAGGCCAGGCCTCTGAAAAAGTAAGAGTCAGTGATCTAGAGATCAAGAACTCCTAGACAGTCTCATCAGGACTCTGTGTTCCTGCTAATCTAATTCCTGTAATGATCTAGGCTGGGACATCAAGACTTCATGAAATCCAGTAGTGGAGTATTGTTACCAAGGAAGAAGAATGGGCTGGCAAAGAGCTTATGTGTGACCAGGAAGGATCAGATCCCCGTAAAGACTTTAGAGCAAAGACTGCAGGGTAGTGGTCGTGGGCCAGATTCAGCCTGCCGAGGGGTTCCCTAGGCCTCCGAAACACCTAAAAGTCAGATTTAACATAAAGTCTGGAGCAACACAGACCTTGCATTCCTTTGGGCAACAACAGGCTAGCTCTGATTTGGTTCTGCCCACTTTGAGTGGATTCTGTGCTTTTCTGTTTGTTGTATTTTTCAGTAATTCATTGTATTGTATTCTAAAGGTTCACCTGAATAATTTTAAATATTTCCTGGCTTCTGAAAGGTATTTAAATTTGCAACTGTTGCTCTAGAGTTTCATTCTAGTAGATTTAAAAGCACTCTTAATTGTTAGCACTTTTTTTTTTTTGAAACAGGATCTTGCTCTTTCACCCATGCTGGAGTACAGTGGCACAATCACAGCTCCCTGCAACATCCACCTCTTGGACTCAAGTAATTCTCCCCCTCAGCCTCCCTCCCAAGTAGCTGGGACTACAGGCGTGCACCATCACACCTGGCTAATTTTTTTAATTTTTAGTAGAGACAGGGGTCTCACTATGTTGCCCAGGTTGGTCTCAAACTCCTGGGCTCAAGAGATCCACCCACCTCGGCCTCCCAAAGTTTTGGGATTACAGGCATGAGCCAACTGCACCTGGCCCATTTTTTTCTTTTAATTCTCAAAAGCTAGTAATAAGTTCTTACAGCAGCAATAATTCTATCAAACAAGTTTATCGCTGCCTACTATGGTCCTATAACTGTGCTAAATGCCAGTGAAGACGTTAGTCCCACGGGTAAGGCAAATAATGAACACATGAACCAATACATGTAAATATCAAAGTTAATGTTAAAAAAAAATCAAAACTTCATGGTAAAAGAGAAGACAATCAATATGATTCTATGATAAAGAACAATGAAGGGGCTGGCTTACAGAGGGTGTGATGAAATATCTGAAGAGGCTATGTGAGACCTGAAGAATGAGAACGAGATAGGCCAAGAGTCTGGGGAAGAACTTTCAAGGCAGAGAGGACAGCTCCAAGGATCTTGAGGTAGGGAAGAGGTTGGCCTGTTCTCGTAAGTGGTAGAAAGACAGTGTGGCCAAAGTCCAGTTAGATGAGGTAGATAGATTTAGAGAGCTACTAACCAGCAATTAGCACTGTCACCACTACTGATAATGAAAATCAGTTTTTTTCAAGTTTCTAGGATCTGTTGAGAATCAAAATATGTTTGCAGAAGAGAATTGAATAAACTGACCTTCTCTTTCTAATATATATTTTAGAAAATATTACATTATACTACAGTAATATGAAGGTAAACTTACATCAAATAAACCAAATATCAGATGGTATAAACATCTAGGTAAGATTCATATAGACTTAGATTAATAATATGTAAATGTACACTTAGATACTAATTAGTAAGGAATCGAGATGAATTGAGAGCATTAAAAAATTAGTTGGATTGACAGAGTTAGGAAAATATTTGGTTTAGGAAGTAAAACTTTATTATAGACATAAAAGATTGAAGGGGTTAGCTCAACCATGCTCATTTAGCTTTATTCAAAATAGGAAAATATAGAACTTATGCATTTAAATTTCATTCAAAGAAATTTGTATAAGTTATTGAAATTGAACCATATAAACATGTAGAGTTAAAATATCTTGTTTTAAAAATATACCGCATACAAGAAGAATAGTAAAAGACATACAAAGGTAGGGTTTTCATCCCAAAGTATTTGTTGCTGAAAAGATCTTATGTTTTGTGTGAGATCTATGAAGTAAATTTCCAGATAAAACTGTTCTAAATAAATGTAAAATTGATTAAAATGCTACAAATTAGCATTGTTGATTTTCTTCTACTCCAATCATGAATCTTATGAAACTAAAAAAATTAAATAATTGGTTTAGAAAGCACTTCATCATTCAAATACTTATTTATTAAAAAGATTTGTTTTAAATTGACACATAATTGTGCACATTTATGGGGTACAGTGTGGCATTTTTATACACCTATACGTTGTGTAATGATCAAATCAGGGAATTAGCATATACAGCACTTCAGAAATTAATTTCTTTATGGTAAGAACATTCAAAATACTCTCTTCCATCTATTCTGAAATATATAACATGTTATTGTCAACTATAGTCACCGTCCTGTGCAATAGAACAACAAAGCTTAAAGGATAAGTCCTTCCCATCTAATTGTAACTTTTTACTTGTTGACACATCTCTCCTCATTCCTCACTCCTCCCCATCTTCCAGCCTCTGGTAGTCACTGTTCTACTCTTACCTCTATGAAATCAACATTTTTTGATTCCACATATGAATGAGATCATGAGATATTCTTCTGTCTCTGGCTTATTTCACTTAACATAATGTCCTCCAGGTTCATCCATATTGTCACAAATGACAGAATTATATTCTTTTTTATGTTTAAATTTAACATGACACCTCATTAAAATTAGTAATTAGTAAAGGAATATATATGTTAATACTTTTGTTTATATTTTGGAAAAAATGTATCAAATGGTAGGAGATCATAATTCCTGTTAATACCATAAAATTTTTAATTGCCCAATTTTTTTTTTCAAAACGCTTTAATAAAATCCAAAGTCAAATAAATACTTATTATATGATAGGCTCAATAAAGTTCCCCCAAAGAAGTCTATATTCTAATTCTCAGAATGAATATGTCACCTTAACAGTCAAAAGAGATTTCTCAGTTGTGATTAAGTATATTGAGATGGGAGGTTATTCTGGATTATCTGAGTAGTTCCAATCTAATTACAAATGTCCTTATAAGAGGAAGTCAAGAGAGTCAATGTTGGGAAGGGGATATATGACAATTGAAACAAAGGTTGGAGTGGTATACATAGAAGATGGAGGAAGGAGCCACTAGCCTCTAATAGTTTTGCTTTCTAAATAAAGATTATTGTATATTTCTAATACATTATTTTTAAAATATAAACATATACCTTCTCTGTCATGGACTAGGGAAGGGTGGGATGTAAAATATACCATTATAGATAAAAGTCATTTTACATTCATTTATGAATATATTAAACCCAAGGCAAATCCAGGTCAAATTAGCATTTAGTAAATTTTATTTTTACTATATTACACTCATCTACAATTTATATAAGGCAGCAAAAATACTGAATGGGTAAATAAAGAGTTGTTTATGAATATACATGTTAGATTAATGGGATGAATAAATGTAGTGAGTTTTCCATTTATATTTTCTCACAACTTCAAATAGAAATTTTTTTACAATAATTGACTTGTAAAATTTGAATTAAATACATATTTATTGACTTACAGTTCTGCTTTGTATGTATTATTTTAATTTTACCAATATTTCATGAAAACTTAATTATATTGAAAACATTCTATGAAGTCCAAATGCCCACACCCTCATGATACAAACATGACTGGTTCCTAACTTCCAGAAACATACGGTTTTCTCATCATTCTGTCATCATCCGAATAAGTATAACAAGATAGGATCAAAGACTGGGAAAGGAACTCCATACTATTTGGTTCTTCATACTATATATTATAAATATAAGCTTCCTTCTCTCTATGGCTAATTGCTTTTCTACCTTGGCTAAAACAGAAACAAATACAGGATAGAATAGTAAGTGATTTGGAGAAAAAATAAGTGGCTGTTTCTTAGTATATCTCTATGGCAAAGACATAATCTAATTATAATTTACATCTTTTTTAGGTCTGACCACATTTTCCCTGTCTTTGCCTTACTGATTTCCCTCAAGCACTAGAGAATGTAACTTAGAAGTTACGAGTAAGAGCTTTGGAATCAGAGTTGAATTTGTGTTCTAGTTTTGCCAGTTACTAGCTGTGTTCTAATCAAGTTACTTTACTGCTCTGAGTGAATGGCTTCACCTAGAAAATGGAGATGATAATCAATTTACAGAGTTTCTGTGAAAAAATAAAATGAAATATATTCAAACAGCTTTGTACCATGATGGCCACATTAGAAATGCTCAGTCTCTCATAGCCATTCGAATTAATACACCTATTGCATGCCACTCATTTGTAATGTCTTCTGATAATCAGTGCTATCAGGCACTGGAGCTTGGAATTATGTAATCCACCTAATTTATCCTAGGATTTGGGGAGCTCCAGCCATCTTAGAGTTATAGTATTCTCTACCTCCCTTGACTATTTGTATAATTTCACAGACAAAACCTTTGCCCTAATTCTTCATTTTTTATTTCAGATCACTGCTGGATTTTATGTCCCACTCTGAACCACACAGAGCTAATTACAAAGGCATCTGTCATACGATTTAGCTCTTAAACCAGTTCTCTTTTATGCAGTTGCTTTCTTTAACCCCAGGTGATAGCTAAAATACATCAGACAAATTTTCTTGTTTAGTTATTTATTTACTTTTATTTTTTGGAGATGGGATCTCACTCTGTGGCCCAGGCTGCAGTGCAGTGGCACGAATAATGGCTCACTGTAGCATCAGGCAAAATTTCTGAATCTACGCTGAGCTCACTGGGTTATTTTGTCACTGAAATTTCCTGTTCTTCAGCCCTTTTGGAGTTGATATGCTGGTACTGACAATTTCACGAATCATATGTCTTTTATTTTCTTACTTTCCTTCAACTGGTGTTAGCTTTTGGTACTAGTTGATTTCCCTCCAGGCCCAGCTCTCCTCATATATAACAAGCCTCTCCCTCTTCTTAAGGAGTTACCCATGTCCATAAATGTCTCCAGGTGGTCTTTGGGCCATGTTCTTTTATTCCATTCAACAAATATTGGCTGAACCTGATTATATGAGTCTTGACATACTGTCTCTAGATAGTAACAATGGATTTTAATTATAAAACAATCTAAACCATCTTTTAGTTCTTTTTATAGGTGAAGAACCTAAGACTTAGAATAAGTGAAATAGTCAATGATTATACAATTAGAACTCATTGGCTCTTAACAGCCATTTGACTTCTCTGTCCATCATGCTACTTTGTTTCTTTAAATTTCCAAAGTGATTTTTCTATACTCTAGAGATGGAAGGAGTTATTAAGGCTTACTTTCAAAAATATAAAAGATTAAAATATAATCTCTTTAATTGAAATTTGCATTCTATCCAGTTTCTCATTTTAATTCAGATTCTTCCAGAGAAATTTCAGTATTCAAAATGATCCTGATGTGACTGATTGATTGTTTGGCCTTTGGTTGCTTTCAATATGATCTATAATAAGGCACTTGGTGGCATACTGACAAATCAAAAAACCAACTTTCTCAATATTATAAAAGAATAGTCTTTCTTTACCTATGATTGGTTCTCAAACTTCATGGTGTTTCTTATAAACTCGTTTCAAAATTACCTGGAGAAAGCCAGTAAATGAACTTTTTATTAGGGAAGGTGGGTGTAAAATTTGCTTTTATGTTCACTACACACTTTTATGTTCACTACACATTAAATCGCTACACACTAACCATTTGCTTTTTGGAAGCCTTCAAATATGCATTCAAATTTATTTGGCAAATCTTTTCTGGGCGTAGTTTTTAAAGAAGTTTGAAATGTGTTCAATGCTCCGTAACAGAAACTTCATAGATACCAAAAGTTGTCTGAAGTTGGCCAGACAAAGTGGCTCACACCTATAATACCAGCACTTTGGAAGGCCAAGGCGGGAGGATGGCTTGAGCTCAGGAGTTCAAGACCATCCTTGGTAACATAGTGAGACCATGTCTGTACAAAAAATAAAAAATTAGCCAGGTGTGGTGGTGCATGCCTGTGGTCCCAACTATAGGGAGGCTGAAGTTGGAAGATTGCTTGAGCCCAGGAGGTTGCGGTTGCAGTGTCATACCACTGCACACCAGCCTAAGAGAAAGAGCAAGACCCTGTCTCATTTTTTTTTTTAATTTAAAGTTAAAAAACAATCAAAGGAAAAACTAATGGAATTATGGACAGAAAGAAAGACTGAATCTCCTAAAAGGTAGAACATAACAGTTTTCCTATTATGGTTTTCCTTGACTTGCTGTCTCCCATATTCACCTTAACTCTTAGAGAACACATTTGATGTTACATTTAACAAGGTAACAGGGAAGGATCAGAAGAGAGATCATATTCACTTTTGCTGGAGAGGAAATGTATTTATTTCTACAAGGCTTCCTTTTTTTTTTCCTCTTGGATTCATTCTGATTGCTCAAGGACCAAAAGAATTGGTAGCTGGCTACTTGTGTGTGTATCAGAGTCTAATAGAAACTTTTAATGGCAGTGTTTGGTCTTGTCCTGCTCTGTTACTTATCAAGAGCTACTCATTCAGACACATCAAGCTATCTTCAAGAAACTTGCCTGCTTAGAAAAGAATATGACTGTGGATATTATCAAGAAAAAGCTCTAAGAATTTCTCCTTCCACTTTATTAGGCACTCACTAATACTCATATTAAATGGGTTCAAATACCAAGTTTGAGTCTCATTAATTATGAATGACTGCTCTGCAACAGATGGCTTGTGTTTCTCTTTTTAAGAATGAATGGTAAGTGTAAAGTGAGAAACATATGTTATTCTGTGTCTTTAGAACTCTGTACTTCTTAATTCACTCATCGATATGGTCTGCATTTGTGATTAGCACTGATTCTAACACACAATTTGAGAATTTATGACGAATTATAGTACTTGATCAAATCTTGACACTCGCTGCTACTTAGGTACCTGATGATAGTTTCTAAAATGTTGAAATACCTTATCTTTATCCTCAGACAGTAGCTTGAACACTATTAGGAGCTGTTTACCAAAAATCCCATTTATTATTGGTTTTGAAGATCTAGGACTGATAGGGACCAATCTATGAAGGCCATATTGGCCTTGTTTTTCTTTTTAACCTAACTCATGGAAAACAGGAACTTTTTTCCTTTTTTATGGATATTGGAGTTAAAGAGTCCCATTGCTTACTACAAATATCCAAGTGAATGTGATGCTTTTGAAAAAGGTTTATTTCTTCAAGACAAACCCTTACCTCATGGTTACTTTGACTATTTGAATAAGTAATGCATATAACAGAATTAAAACAGTTTCCAGCACACAAGTAGTGCTTGATAAAAGTTTGCTATAATTACTTTAACAAAGTCTATCTAATACGGATATTTAGCCTATTGTTGGAAAAACTAAATCATAAAATTCTGAATACCAAGGTATAAAAATTACTGTATTCTTCTGATGTAAGCTCTTGAGATATTCTACCTGGATGTGTTTTTAAGAGTTAAAATTATGACATTGACTAGTGTTCATGTCTCTTCAGATCCTTTTAGTAGACTGTAGACTTTTACAGAAACTCAGATCTAATTTTATATTAGTGATGGTTGCTAGGTAATTTTTTGATGCAAATTAATCATTAAACACTAGCAGCTCATTTTCTGATTGGAGTGGAAGCTAGAATGACTTAGGAGACGACAGCTCAGGAAACAATTGATTGAGAAAGAATATTCTGGGGTGTTTAATAAAAATAGATTATGACTCTCCTACTCGATTTTCTCTTCTTTGTCTTAATCAGAAAAGGAAGAGAAATTGCTAGACAAAATTAAAAGCTTCTTCCTAATAGTAGATGCTGTTCATTGAACAAGTACCATATGCCAGCACTAAATACTTTGCATATAATATTATCATATTCTCACAGTAATCTGTTTAGTTAGGTGATAGGATTTTTATTTTAAACATAAGGAACATAGAAAAAGAATTAGGTAGCTTGTCCAAGTTGGCAATTCTTTTCTACCCTCTTCTCTGAATTTCCTTTCATTCCCCTCTATTTCTCAACCCCATATAAGGAACCCAGAATCAAAGTATGTACTGGTTGCTTAATTCTGTCTGCCTTCTAATTGGTCACTAGTCACCATTTAGTCTCTTTCTCTCTCTTCCTATTTTTTTTTTTTTTTTGAGACAGTGTCTTGCTTTGTCACCTAGGTTGGTGTGCAATGGCCTAATACCAGCTCACTGCAACTTCCACCTCTCAGGTTCAGGTGATTCTCCTGCCTCAGCCTCCCAAGTAACTGAGTTTACAGGCACCTGCCCCCCATGCCTGGCTAATTTTTGTATTTGTAGTAAAGATGGAGTTTTGCCATGTTGGCTAGGCTGGTCTCGAACTCCTGGCTTCAAGTGATCTGCCTGTTGGGTCTCCAAAAGTGCTTGGAGGCATAAGCCACCACGCCTGGTCGTTCTCTTCCTGTCTTAATGATAGTGTTAATACTTCTTTAAATTTTTGAATAGCTATTCCCCAATTCACTCTATTACAATTTTTATTTTACTTTGAAAAATTCTATGATTCTACTCCTTTAACAAACATCTAGTGGGTACCTTTAGCGTGTTCTTGACCAGTCATGGAAAAATGTGAGCTCCTACCTTGAAAATTATTATGCTCCAGTCAGTTTCCTTTTTAGCAGCTCTTCATGTTCCTAAACAAACCAAAGTAACCAAATTACTTTGATTTGTTATAATGCTTTCCTGTGTGAAAGCAGAACTTGCGGGAAAATGACAGTGCCAAAATTTATGAGTAAAACAACTTAAAGATAAGAATAGGTTTTTTTATTATTATTATTATTGGCTTTGTAAGGCTTAATGATCTCCACTTTGTGAAAAGAAAAGTAATAATTGGAATAATAATAGAAAGTATAACCTTTTGTTTGATGCTATTCTCTTATGCTTTAATTCACTATTATTACAATTATTTATTTAGTTTCCTATATAAAGTAACCAAATTAAACAGTAAAGTGTCATGTTCACCTTTCTAAAGCTTCAGAGTAATGAATAGCTCTAGCTCCAACCAAAGTTTTTTCTATTTTTTTTTCTTAATGTGATAGACAAACCAAAGATACAGCATGCCAGAACTCTAACTGGTATGTCTAAAGCTTATCATGCTAGATCCCTAAAATCAGTATTATTAAATCACCAAGAAGTTTTAAAGTAGTAGAATAAAGATTATGTTAAGTCTGAGATTAAGCTGTCACATCAGAGTAATTTGATTTTAAGGCTTGCTCCACCACCTCCATTAGTACTCACATCCTTGACAGAGACAAAGTTCATCCAATATCAGTTCTTGTTGCGGATGAGGTATTGATGTTTTGTGATACTTTGGTCAGTCAATAAGGTTAAAAAGATAAAGTTTATTTAGTTTTCAACATTGCCTTCTTGCAGTCAAATGTCTATTTAATTAAATTTTCCAATATTTGGCAAGAAAGGACTGGCAGTGTCAGCTTTCTTCAGCTTGATATTAAATAGCATCTTGTGAAATTTGGTAAAGACTATCTACAGTGATATGAAACAGATATACTTTGATTCCACTTAGGAGAGGAGTGAGAAGTCCAAATTCTTTGTCAAGGCAGTTAATAACTTCTAAGTTTCTGAATGCTAAAAGTATGAATTACATCTTTGGATCTTAAGTATGACATTCATTTGCTAACTGACTTTTGGTGACTTGTAGAATTCTGCTTCTACAAATACTGAACAACAACAAAATACATATACAGAGTGTAATTCTCAAAAGATAGTAATAATGACTTCAAAACAGTGTATCTTCTATATTTTATCTGCAACTCAGGCACCCATTATATTATATCATGCTATTTTTCTGTCCTATACTATTTTAAAATTTTGTCATTATTTTTTTTTTTTTTTTTTTTTTTTTTTTTTTTTTTTTTTTAGAGGCAGGATCTTGCTTTGTTGCCTAGGCTGGTCTCAAACTCCTGGCCTCAAGTGATCCTCCTGCCTTGGCCTTTCAAAGTATCGGGATTACATGCTCCTGGCCCCAGTCCTTTTAAATATAGGCATACTTCAGAGATACTGTGGGTTCAGTTCCAGAATGCTAGAATAAAGGACATATTACAATAAAGATTTTTATTTCTTGCTTTCCCAGTGCATGTAAAAGTTATGTTTACATTATGCTATAGTCTATTAAGTGTGCAGTATGTCTATAAAAAGAATATGTATTTCTTAATTTAAGAATACCTTATTGCTAAAATGTGGTAACCATCATCTGAGCCTTCAGCTACTCCTAACCTTTTTGCTGGTGGAGGATCTTGCCTCAGTGCTAATGGCTGCTGACTGATCAGGGTGGTAGTTGCTGAAGGTTGGAACAGCTGTGATAATTTCTTAAAATAAAATAACAATGAAGTTTGTCACATGGACTGACTCTCCCTTTCACAAAAGATTTATTTGTAGCATGCAAGGCTGTTTGATAGCATTTGGCCCACAGAAGAACTGTCAAAATTGAAGTCAATCCTCTCAAACCCTGATACTGCTTTATCAATTAAGTTTATGTAATATTCCAAATCCTTTGTTGTCGTTTTAACAATTTTCACAGCATCTTTACCAGGATTAGAGTCCATCTCAACATCTGCTGTTTTTGTTCATTTATAAGTAGCAACTCCTCGTGTTCAGTTTTACCACAAGATTGCAGCAATTCAGTCACATCTTCAGGCTCCACTTCTAGTTCTATTACTTCTCTTGCTATTTGCACCATATCTTCAGTTATTTCCCCCACTGAAATCTTGAACCCTTCAAATTCATCCTCAAGGGTTAGAAGCAACTCCTGTTAATGCTGATATTTTATTCTCCCATGAATCACAAATGTTTATAACAGCATCTAGAATGGTGAGTCCTTTCCAAAAGTTTTTAATTTACTTTGTTCACATCAGAGAAATCACTGTTTTTGGCATCTATAGCTTTACAAAAATGTATTTTTTAAATAGTAAGACTTAAACATTGAAATTACGCTTTGGTCCATGGGCTACAGAATGAATATTGTGTTAGCAGGCATGAAAACAACATTAATGTCCTTGTACATTATCATCAGAGGTTTAAGGTGACTAGGTGTATTGTCAATGAGTAGTAATATTTTGAAAGTAATCTCTTTTTCTGAGTAGCAGGTCTCCACAGTGGGATTAACATTTTCAGTAGATCATGCTGTAAACAGATGTGCTGTCATCCAGGCTTTGTTATTCCATCTATAGAGTACAGGCAGAGTAGTTTACCATGATTCTGAATTGCCCTAGGATTTCAAGAATAGTAAATGGGCACTGGATTCAACTTAAATTCCCCAACTGTATTGGCCCCTAATAAGAGACTTAGCTTGTTCTTTGAAGTTTTACGGCCAGACCTGATCATCTCCTCTTTAGCTAGAAATGTACTAGATAGCGTCTTCTTCCAATAGAAGGCTGTTTTGTCTACATTGATAATTGGTTTTTTAGTGTAGTGTAGCGTAGTAATGTGCTGTTTTATTGACTTTCATCAGTTATCTTAGATCTCTGAATAACTTGCTGCAGCCTCTCCATCAGAATTTGCTGCTTCATTTTGTACTTTTATGTTATGGAGATGGCCTCTTTCCTTAAACCTCAGAAACCAATGTCTGCTAGCTTCCAACCTTTCCTCTGCAGCTTCCTCACCTCTCTCAGCCTTCACAGAAATGAAGAAAGTTAAGGCTTTGCTCTGGATTAGGCTTTGGCTTAAGGTAATATTACAGTTCATTTGATCTTTTATCCAAACTGCTGAAACTTTATTTCAGCAATAAGGCTGTTTTGCTTTCTTATCATTCATGTGTGCACTGGAGTAGCACTTTTAATTTCCTTCAAAAACTTTTTCTTTGTATTCACAACTTGACTGTTTGGTGCTAGAGACCTAGCTTTCAGCCATTCTGAGGGCAGAATTTCTTGATCAAATTTGTCATTTCTGAATCTGCATATGACTTAAGTTCCCAAAGTTATTGGGAATATCTTGTTCCAGAAAGTAGCATACTTTCTAGGATAGGGTTTTTCCTGCCCAGGAACTGGTAAGTTACCTGAAGATGATATTTAATATTTATGGTAATGTTCCTTTTGTAAGACAATGGTAGACTAAGTGTGAATTTAATCATCTACTGTATTTCTTTTCTTTACCAATACTATCAGATTAAGTCATGATTTATTAATTTAACTATTTAGTGTACTTGAAGTTCAACTAGCTTATATTTTAATTTTAATTGTTACAGATATGATATTTCAAAATTCTACCTACCACAAAAATCTTATTTTTTAAATTTTCATTGTATAAATATTTACTGAATGCCTTCTATATGTATGATAGGTGATACATTCCCTAAGTTCCTTTTTTTTTAACCTTTTTTTTTTTTTTTTTTTTTGTGAGATGGAGTCTCGCTCTCTCGCCCAGGCTGGAGTGCAGTGGCATGATCTCAGCTCACTGCAACCTCTACCTCCCGGGTTCAAGCAATTATCCTGCCTCAGCCTCCCAAGTAGCTTGGATTATAGGCGCCTGCCACCACGTCCAGCTAAATTTTTGTATTTTTAGTAGAGACGAGGTTTCACCATGTTGGTGAGGCTGGTCTCGAACTCCTGACCTCAAGTGATCTGCCAGCCTCAGCCTCCTAAAGTGCTAAGATTACAGGTGTGAGCCACTGTGCCCAGCCATATTCTCCAAGTTCTATGTGGTCAGGAACTGTATCTTTCTTATCCATATTCATAACCCCTTATGTATCTCACTACTTAATATAGTAGATACTTAGTAGCATTGATTAAATAATCAATTGAAGATTAAATACAAAGGTAACCTCAATATCCTTAAAAAATTTATCACCAAATAGAAGAAATAATACAAATGTACAAATGCACAAATAACTATTATGATGGATGGGTAAAATCCAAAAATATGACATATCAGGTTTTATAGTAGTAAAGACAAATATTTTTAAATAAATGTTATCCAGAATTGGGACAGGCATGGTGGCACATGGCTGTAATCCCAGCACTTTGGGAGGCTGAAGTAGGTGGATCCCCTGAGGTCAGGAGTTCAAGACCAGCCTGGCCAACATGGTGAAACCCTGTCTTTACTAAAATACAAAAATTAGCAAGGAATGGTGGCAGGTGCCTGTAATCCCAGCTACTCGGGAGGCTGAGGAGGAGAATTGCTTGGACCTAGGAGGCAGAGGTTGCAGTAAGCCAAGATCACGCCATTACACTCCAGCCGGGATGGCAAAAGTGAAACTCCTAAAAAAAAAAAAAGAAAGAAATATTATCCAGAACTTCAAGGAAGAAGTAATATTCTTGGTGAAGTATACTAATAAATAGGCCTCAATAAAGCTTTGAATCAAACATTTGCTATTATTTGAACTCTGATAAAAATAGGTAAAAACATCCAAAAGTTCAATGTAACAAACATCAGCCCAGTATAGGAGGTGTAAGTGGCAGAGGTATTTTCAAGAAAACGATCACCTGGATTCCTCTCTGTTCTGAATTCCCAAGGCCTAATAATTGTAGCATACTTTGGTTACGCTTAAGGGATATTGCTCTTTATATTTATCACTTAACCAGAAAAAAATTCTGTTACATGAAGCCCAGGAGTGATCATTAGGCTATAGCAGATCATCTTCCTCTATACCATTAACTCTCAAGCTATGGGAAAATACTTAGAATCAGGAAATACTGTTCAACAGGCTCCCCCACTATTAGGAATTGGGAGCCATGGAAGAGAATGTAACTCATTCTCTGTGGAGATTCTAACTCTTCCTTTGCGGCACCAATACCAAAACATACTTGCCTATTTGAAGTTATATAGTATTAATGATTGTGAACATCACTGATGCGTTTGAAAAAAAATTACTGAGGCCGGGCGTGGTGGCTCATGCCTGTAATCCTAGCACTTTGGGAGGCCAAGGCAGGCAGATCATGAGGTCAGGAGATTGAGACCATCCTGGCTAACACGGTGAAACCGCGTCTCTACTAAAAATACAAAAAAATTAGCCAGGCGTGGTAGCAGGCACCTGTAGTCCCAGCTACTTGGGAGGCTGAGGCAGGAGAATGGCGTGAACCCGGGAGGCAGAGCTTGCAGTGAGCCGAGATCACGCCACTGCACTCCAGTCTGGGTGACAGTGAGACTCCATCTCAAACAAACAACAACAACAACAACAACAACAAAAACAAATACAAAAATACTTATTGAGCTAGCTCCAGTGCTGTGCTATGCATTGGGTGAAAAGCTGAGGCCAAAGGAGAAAAGAGGTTACACTCATTCAAACTCTTGTGGTATTCTCAAGTATTTTTTTTAATTCCATTAATTATACATGAAATAAATTGTTTACAAAAGTGTTAGTAATTTGTGAGTTTATCTTATGACATATGTGATTAGGTATTATAGAGAATCATTTTGCTGTGTGAGTCTCCATTCAGTCATGGTGTGTTG
The DNA here is from genome assembly GCF_000001405.40 of Homo sapiens. Lineage (NCBI taxonomy): Eukaryota > Metazoa > Chordata > Mammalia > Primates > Hominidae > Homo > Homo sapiens. The sequence goes on from NC_000004.12 coordinate 61,698,746, forward strand.
CAACCTTTGATTGCAGCCACAGCTTATAAACTGAGATAATTGCATATTACATAGGCTTCCCGAAAATCCACTTAAAATTATGTAAATAGAAGACTATTCTTAACGCTATGGGTGGTATTATTTAATCCAGTTAAAATTACTTTCTTTTTAACTGTAGGGTTTTGACTTAAATTAGTTTATCTTGAAGCTTTAGCATCTCACTTAAACCATTAGTGTGCTTCTTCCTCTAGGGACTTCCATTTATACTTTCCCGTTCAGAATGTAATCCTATCAGAAATGGTAATAATACGTTGTATTTGGTAACATCTTTCATCTAAAGAAGTCTTGAGCACTTTAAAACATGATCTTGTTGTTAGTGTTTGCAACATCCCCAAGATGTAACCAGGCAGCCGAAATAGATGCTTTCAGGTTTACAGCTGGAAAAATGAGGTGAAGGAGAAAACTGAATTCTCCAAAAGTGATTTTGAGAGTGCACTCTGATATGACTTTAACAAGCATTTTTAAATGATAGAAAAACTGAGGGAAGGGTGATTAAGGTGAATATCAGATTCATTCCAAAAGGATGTAAATTTTTTTAAAAAATAATATTTCTTAGCAATTATAATATTTAATATTTTCATTATTATTTTTCAGTAATTACACATTAATTGGCTGCTGTATGCCCAGCACTGTACTAGGCACTGAGCACAGCAGGAAACAAAATAAAATAAGATGAAGTTAGGGAGAAAGACACATGGCTCAGATCTTGTGGGGCCTTGTGGGACAGGTAAAGGATTATGGATTGTTGCAGAAGTTTGTTGAAGGGCTTAAAGCCAATTTTGAGTTTAAAGGAAGAAAAATCACTCTTGGTAGAATGTGAAATTGGGGATATAGAAGAGTTAATAGACCCATTAGGATTTTTATTTCTAACATTGTATGTTCGACATTTTTGATCTTATCTTTTAACCACATGTTCAGTGATTCTTAAAAACATAATAATTAATTCTAGAAATCCTATAATTAAGTCTATGCAATCATGCAATTGTATAGGAATAGATAATGTTAAATGTATTAAATTTTTAAATATAATATGCCATTTCATTCATTCAGAAACTACTTGAAAGTTGCTTAACTTGGAAAAAAAGTACTATGGATAAACTATGCTTATAAGAAGTTACAGCCTAGTAGGAAAATTCAGATCTGTGATCAAATAACAAGGAGATACACACACACACACACACACAAAAACACACACAGAGAGAGAGAGAGAGAGAAGACATATGTATGTCATGTGGGCTCTGTAAGTTGTTATAAGAATGCAGAAAACCATTACTTGAGGAAAGAGTAAGGAGGGACGAAGAGGTTGTACATGAGTCAATCCATAAAATGTATACAAATACACTTAACAAATTCAACAAATATTGTATTATTTCCTAAACACTACACAAAGTGATGAAGAGAATATAGATGTAAATAACACATTCTTTCTATATTCAGAGTACTCATAGTCTACTGGAAAGTATACATAATTACTTTAAGGACTCTAATACTGGCTTGTTGCCCTAAGTTTCACAATATAGAATATGAAAAAAAATTTAATTCAACTAGGAAACACAAGTAGGTTTTACATTAGGAAATAGTGGAAAATAAAATAGCAAATTTTGATTGAAGAGTATTACTTGTCAGTTTAAAAGAAGACAAAAGTATTACAAAACGGTTTTATAGAATAATATAGCAGTTGCCTTCAGGGTACCGCGGATTCAGGAAAGAATAGATAGGTAACTGAATTAGCAGATGAATGCCGTACTATGGATGCCAAGTAATCCAACTGAGCTAAGGTGCCAATGATGGTAATAGGAACAAATGAGATTGGGGTGAGGTAGTAGAGAAAAGTGGACAGAAACTAGCAAATTCTTGAATGCAGTGAAAAGTCGGTAACTGAATTTTGAGCCATAGTGATTGTACAGTGGTGATATCATAATTTCCAAAATGAAAATCAAGAAATGTTTACTTGTTGGATTTAGTCATTTGAGGATTAAAAATAAGTCTTAAACATATTAAGATTGAGATGCTGGTGAACTACAGTGCTCAACAGCGCTAATAGCTTGGGGATCAAGAATGAGCTAGGGAGAGAAAGAATAACAATAGCTAAGAGTAAATGTTTGAGGCATTTTACCTGAAAAGTTAATTTAATTCTTAAAACTTGCTGAGAAAATACTTCTTTAACCCCACTTGTAAGTAGAGACCTGAAGTTTGGATTCCTTCAGAGTCGTTACACAGAGTGATACCACAATACTGTCACTCAGAAATGAACTAGACATTTGAGAATCATTTGTATGAGGTACAATTGAAATTTTGAGAGCAGTAGAAATGTCTAAAAATGACTAAAGAAGAAAAGGTAGAGAACAAAAAGTTGTAAAATCTAGAGGACTGGAGAAGGAAGACAAATGAAGACATATATAGAGAAGGTGTGTCAAAGTTCAGCTAATGCAGAATCTAGCAAATAAACTAACGTCACAAAAAGCTGGAGTTTAAAGAAACAGAAGCTCCTTAGCTTTATAGAATTCTGTAAGGCAGCCTATCTCAAAGTAGGTTATATGGAATATCAGCCACACAGTGTATTTGGTGAGGGAAGAAAATGGTTACATAATCAAGTAAGTTTATAAGACAACATAATAAGATATCAGAAGCACATTAAAGGTACAATTTTTTTTTTTTTTTTTTTTTTGAGATGGAGTCTCACTCTGTTACCCAGGCTGGAGTGCAATGATGCAATCTTGGCTCACTGCAACCCCTGCCTCCCAGTTTCAAGTGATTATCCTGCCTCAGCCTCCCAAGTAGCTGGGACTAGATGCATGCCACCATGCCTGGCTAATTTTTTGTATTTTTTTTAGTAGAGATGGGGTTTCACTATGTTGGCCAGGCTGGTCTCAAACTCCTGACCTCAGGTGATACACCTGCCTCATCCTCCCAAAGTGCTGGGATTGCAGACATGAGCCGCTGCGCAGAACCGAAATAATTGAAGGAAGGTGATAACTTCATGATAGCTTAGAAGGCACCTTCTTTTTTTAATCTAAAAAATACAGATTTGAAGATATTTTTTACAATAGAATCATATTTTGGGATATGATGAAGATTCTAGAAGAAAAGTCTTGAGTTGTTAGGATCTGAGGAATGTTAAAGAAGGCGGTACTGAGATAAGAGCACAGTTTAAGTCTGGCATGAGGATAAGGAATAAAAAAATGAAGAAAAGTCATGAAACAAGGAATTATGGAATTGTAGAATTAGGACATAAGTGTAAGATCACTAGTTCAGTGACTGTGTGTTAGAATTACTGAGGAAGGGGTCACTTGCAGGGCTGACCACAGACTGACTGAAGGGGATTTAGATATGTAAAGGATGATAGGAATACCAGGCCATTCCTGTCAAATTTCGTTCTGCTAAATACTCCAGTTCCTTTTTTCATGCTTTCTAGATGTCATTTCTTTCTAATTTCAATCTCCAGACTAGTTGTCCTTAATGATATTGCTCTCAAAATAAGCTACTCGGAACAGAAAATAATACTTTGGTTCTTTCCAAGGCACTATGCATTGTCTCTTTTGACAGCATGATCAGAAGTCTTATTCCCTGTGAATCCAGCCAATTTTATGCCATTTGCATGGATTTTTCAGTAGCTATACAACTTTTGCACATGAACAAAACATCTTTTTAAGGCTGTTTTATAACTTTATTTTATAATTTGCACTTACATTTTAGTAGCATCAGCCCTTTATTCCTGGTTGGCATTTAACTCATTCTTTAAAATATTCATTCTGACTTTCATTTTATTTGAGCCCCTGGTTTTGTGTGAATTTCAGGTTTTACTTTTATTTTTATGCCTTTGATTTCTGCAAGGGAATAATTAATATTAAAGTGATCAGTGTAAGGAAAAGAAATTTGCTGAAAGCCTCTAGAAATCATTATTCAAAATTAACTTACCTGGGAATCCCTTTGGGTACAGTTATTGTGTCCAACTCATTGGCTACAACTTTCAGTCCTCTTAAATGAATCATCACTATTGCTTTTATTTCTGCATTCTAAGCACTTATATCTATATCTATAACTATATCACGATTAACTTTGTCAGAATATTTAGAGTGTAGTTGAAGCTTCACTCCTGTATTTTCTTGATATTCTAGTTATATTCATTTGATATAATTTGTGACTGATTCCATCTTCATTCTTAAGTAATGAGGAGCCATCTCTTCATTCACTCTAGAATCTTGCTTGTGTCTTAATTCAGTATCACTGTGATGTTTTTTAAACATACATTTCCCCCATTTTGACACAAGGTATTTCTTTGTCCCCTTGTTTCTCCATAACCTCCTTTGTATTTTATTATACTATTTGTGAAGTAGTCTTATCATAATGAGAATCCTTAAGTAATTTACGTAAATTATCCATGCCTCAGTTTCCCTGTCAGTAAAATGGGAGTAATTATAGTATCTATCTTATAAAATTATTACAGGCAGTAAATAAATTTAAATGCTTAAAACACTACCTGAAACAATGTAGATGCTCAACAAATCTTGGTTGATATTTTTTTCAGTACTCTAGTCACAAATAAGAAACATGATCCATTTACAATCCTCCTGTGAAAGTGCTTTTGAGAACAGAAAAATTTTGAGTAAAAACAAAAGTTTATTTCAATTACTAAGCTTGAGGAGTGAAAAGGTTATGCTGAGAAATTAGTATTTAATTATTTTTACATAAACATCCTGTGTTAGACATCTATCTGGTTAAAAATATGTAAGAATGAAAACTGCTTATTCTTTCAACACCTAAGAATAATTTTTTGATTTTAGAGTTAAAAAATGAAGTATTAGAACAATAGGATAAGATTTTAGAAAAAAAAAAGATTCATTTATAAGAGATAGGCATAAAGACTGTTATTTCTATTGTTGGAGATAGCAAATTAGGACAGTCTTGCTAGGTAGTGACAGAGGGGGGCAGATGAAAGAGAAAACTGACTAAAAAAAGACCAAACTGTGTCATCACAGAATCTATGTCTCTATTCTCCAGCAGGCTATATGATACTTCTTTATATGTTCCTTCTGTTGTTTGCTTTGATTTTTATTTTAGTCTTTTTTTTTTTCCTACATAAATAAAGGGTTTGTTTGGAAGTTAGAGTGGAGATAAGATGAGGAACAGTATCTGTTCCCCAGCAGGTGGTCGGTTGGCATTGCAGGCATAGAATACTTGCTTAAAAATTGCTGACCAGCATACTCTTTCTTTAGATATAACACCTATGGTTTTTAGAAGACCTAATGTGTAACCATCTTTAAAATCTAATTAACAGTGCTTCACAGGGCAACTTATTACTTGCTGAAAGATTTTAATGGGAACATAAAAATTATAATTGCTAATGAAGTTCATGTATAGGCAGACTTTGTTATTTGATATCATAACACATCCAAGATTGATTGAAAAAATGTATCAGAGTCTCCCACTTACCAGTAAGTAAATATTTCCATATGAAGTGCCCTTCTGTGAGTACAGGCATACCTCAGAGATATTGCTGGTTTAGTTCCAGATCACTGCAATAAAACAAATCTTGCAATAAAGAAAATCATATAAATTTTTTGGTAACCTAGTACATATAAAGGTAATGTTTATACTATACTGTAGTCTATTAAGTGTGCAATGGTATTTATGTCTAAAAAATACATACCTTAATTAAAAATATTTTATTGCTAAAAAATTCTAATGATCATCCAAGCCTTCAGCTAGTCCTAATCTTTTTGCTGGTGGAAGCTCTCGCCTTGATGCTGATGGCTGCTGATTACTCAGGCTGGTGGTTGCTGAAGGTTGGAATGACTGTGGTAATTTCTTAAAATGAGAAAACAATGAAGTGTTCACATGGATCGATTCTCCCTTTCACAAAGAATTCCTCTGTATCATGACAGGCTTTTTTGATACCATTCGATCCACAGAAGAACTTGTTTTAAAATTGAAGTCCACCCTCTCAAATCCCGCCACTGCTTTATCAACTAAATTTATGTAATATTCTTTATTGTCATTTCAACAATGTTCACAACATCTTCACCAGTAGATTCCAACTCAAAGAACCACTTTCATTGCTCATTCATAGGTAGCAGCTTCTCATTGTTTAAGCTTTATCAGGAGATTACAGCAATTCAGTCACATCTTCAGACTCCATTTTTAATTCTAGTTCTCTTTCTATTTGCACAATATCTGCACTGACTTCCTCCACTGAAGTCTTGAACCCTTCAAAGTCATGCATGAAAGTTGAACCACCTTCTAGTGATTGAGTTGAACAAACTCCTGTTAATGTTGAGATTTAAATCTCCTCCCATGAATTACAAATGTTTGTAATAGCATCTAGAATGGTGAATCCTTTCCAGAAGGTTTTCAATTTACTTTGCCCAGATCCATCAAAGATATCACTATCTATGGCAGCTATAGACTTATGCAATTCATTTCTTAGATAATAAGACTTGAACATTGAAATTACTCTTTGGTCCATGAGCTACAGAATGAATATTGTGTTAGCAGGAATGAAAACAACATTAATGTTTTTGTACATTTTCACATCAGAGCTTTGAGGTGGCTAGGTATGTTCTTCAATGACTAGTGGGTGGATCACTTGTGTATATATACAAGTGATACATATTATTTATATATATTAGATATACATGTTATATGTATTAGTTATATGTTACATATATATTTATATATAAGTTATAGATTACATATAGTTATACATATATTTTATATATATATATATATTTGAGACAGAGTCTTGCTCTGTTGCCAAGGCTGGAGTGCAGTGGCACAATCTCAGCTCACTGCTACCTCTGCCTCCTGGGTTCAAGCAATGCTCATGCCTCAGCCTCCCAAGTAGCTGGGATTACAGGCATGCACCACCATGCCCAGCTAATTTTTTGTATTTTTGGTAGAGACAGGGTTTCGCCATGTTGTCCAGGCTGGTCTCAAACTTCTCAGCTTAGGCAATCCGCGCTCCCTCCTTGGCCACCCAAGGGGGCTAAGATTACAGGCATGAACCACTGCGCCCAGTCGAGTGGTAATATTTTGAAAGGAAACCTTTTTCTGAGCAGGTCTCAAAAGAGAGGTTAAAATACTGAGTAGACCATGCTGTAAACAGATGTGCTGTTATTCGGGCTTTGATATTCCATTTATAAAGCACAGGCAGAGCTCAGAGTAGATTTAATGTAACTCTGAAGGGCACTAGGATTTTTAGAATGGTAAATAAGCATTGGCTTCAACTTAAATTCAAATCTGCATTGGCTTGTAATAAGAGACTAGCTTGTTACTGAAGCTTTGAAGCCAGTTGTTTTCTCCTATCTAGCTAGGAAAGTCCTAGATGGTATCTACTTCCAATAAAAGGCTGTTCTGGCCAGGCGCGGTGGCTCACGCTTGTAATCCCAACACTTTGGGAGGTCAAGGTGGGTGGATCACAAGGTCAGGAGTTCGAGACCAGCCTGGCCAATATGGTGAAACCTCATCTCTACTAAAAACACAAAAAAACTAGCTGGGCGTGGTGGCACATGCCTGTAATCTTAGCTACTCGGGAGGCTGAGGCAGGAGAATTGCTTGAAACCGGGAAGCAGAGGTTGCAGTGAGCCGAGATTGCGCCACTGCACTCTGGGCTGGGTGGGTGACAGAGTGAGACTCCCTCTCAAAAAAAAAAAAAAAAGGCTGTTCTATCTACATTGATAATCTGTTGTTTAGTTTAGCTACCTTCATCAATTATCTTTGCTAGATCTTCTGTCTTCTGGATAACTTACTGTAGCTTCTACATCCGCACTTGTTGCTTCACCTTGCATTTTAAAATTATGGAGACAGCTTATTTTTTTAAAACCTCATGAGCCAACTGTCTCGAGTTTCAAATTTTTCTTCCACATCACCATTTCTCTCAGCCTTCATACAATTGCAGAGAGTTAGGGCTTGGCTCTGGTTTAGACTTTGGTTTAAGGGAATATTATGGCTCATTGGATCTTCTATCCAGTTCACTAAAACTTTTTCCATATCGGCAATAAAACTGTTTTGCTTTTTTAATATTCATGTGTTCAATGGATTAACACTTTTAATTTCCTTCAGGAACTTTTCCTTTGCATTTACAACTTGGCTAACCATTTTGCACCAGAAGTCTAACTTTCAGCCTATTTCAGCTATCAGCATGGCTTCATTACTAAACTTAATCATTCTAGCTTTGATTTAAAGTGAGATACTTGTACTCTTCCTTTCACTTGAATAGTTAGAGGCCATTGCAGGATTATTAAGTGGCTTAATTTAAATATTGCTGTGTCTCAGGAATCAGGAAGGCCCAAAGAAGGGGAAAGGGAGAGAGACAGGAAATGGCTGATCAGTAGAGCAGTCAGAACACAAGCGTTTATTAAGTTCACCATCTTATATAGGCATGGTTCGTGGTCCCCAAAACAATTAAAATAGTTACATCAAGTATCACTGATCACAGATCCCTGTAACAGATATGATAATAATGAAAAGTTGGAATATTGCAAGAATTACCAAAATGTGACACAGAGACACCAAGTAAGCACATGCTGTTGAAAAACATGGCGCCAATTGACTTGCTCCATTCTGGGTTGCCACAAACCTTCAATTTGCAAAAAAAGGCAATATCTGCAAATCACAGTAAAATGAAGCTCAATAAAATGAAATATGCCTGTGCTAATACTCTGAAAGGTAAAATACAGAGTGATAATGTTGATTTTTAAAAATAAATAACAACTTGTCCATTTCTTTTAATATGCCTAGTTAGTTCATATTATTTTTTCAATTGATTTTAAAGGTGTTTGACCTTGATTTTTTTAAGGTTATGTTAGATTAATTTTGCTCAAACGTGAACATTTTCATTTTTCTAATCAGACCTTAGAAATATTTTTCAATTTTCTAATCAGACCTTAGAAATATTTGTAAGTGTATAGAGATTAAGCAAATGAAGAAGAAGTAAAAGAAAGGAAAACCCTGGAGTTTCATGTGCTTAACCTTCCTCAAATGTATCCCAGCATGCTTCCACGATATGTAAGACCATCTACTGTTCTGAGACCCCCTGATGATAGGCCCATATGTGCTTGATACCTTCTGCAAGCATAACAAGACTCCATTAGAGACATTGTGGAGGGCTCAACTCACCATGTCACTGCTTGTATTAATTTATTTCAAATTCAATGTGGGTCACTCTCTCTTGCTTTTATTCTCTCTCTTCTTTTGTGGGTTTAATGTGTGATTTAACTAAATTTTCTTAAATATGCTACATTCACCTTACCCAAATTTCAGCTCTTCCCTTCTGAGATTCAAGTTTTGTGGGTCACTTGGTGCTGCTTTATTGGATTATTTCCAAACTTACCGTCTTCTTTTTGTTTAGTACTGCAAATATTTTCATGTTTATTCATGAAAAGTATCATGTGAATTTATATTGGCTCTGGGAAAAAGTGGCCACTGTGCCAACAATGAATGTCACTTGGTACGGAGAGGGATTTAGAGGCATTATATATTGTCTCATTCTAGTGAAGTAATGTATCAAAGTCATAAATCTGACCTTCCAAATGCCTTTTTAAATTTTAGTTGCTACGTTTTTTGGTTTTTGTGTTTTTATATTATTAGCAAGAGAGCTTTGATTATTCTTATTCAATATTTAAAATATGGTTTAAAACATGTTTTTAAAGGTACTTTAAAAAAATCTAGCTACTTGTTATTTAAAGTTTTACAGTCTTTGTTTTTTTTTTATTATTTGAAATTTTCATATTGGAAATTCAGTTTCCTTGGATGATTTATTTTTTTTCCAACTTTTATTTTAAGTTCAGGGGTACATTTGCAGGATGTGTAGGTTTGTTACATAGGTAAATGTGTGCTATGGGTTTACTGCACAGATCAGATGGATGATTTTATTTTTGTAAGAATACAAAAACAATAAAAAATTCAAAGAAGAACATGGTATTTTCTATTTATACGGGTTTTTTCAGCTAAAAATAAAAATAGATCAAAGTTGAAAGGTCTCCTGTTCCATTCTTGCCAGTTCTTAAACTTTATTCATTATTTATTTATTTATTTATTTATTTGAGATGGAGTCTCACTCTGTTGCCCAGGCTGGAGTACAGTGGCCGTGATCTTGGCTCTTGCTACCTCTGCCTCCTGGGTTCAAGTGATTCTCCTACCTCAGCCTCCCCAGTAGCTGGGACTCCAGGCGTGCACCACCATGCCCGGCTGATTTCTGTATTTTTAGTAGAGACAATGTCTCACCATGTTGGCCAGGCTGGTCTCGACTCCTGACCTCAGGTGATCTGCCCGTCTCAGCCTCCCAAAGTGCTGGGATTCAAGGTGTGAGCCACTGCACCCGGCTCAGTTCTTAAACTTCAAGGCCTATTATACACAGAAAATTTCCTAATTTGTTATATTGATCTTATTATTACACTCTTCTGACCATTTCTACCACGTTGTATCAGCTTCTTAAATTTATCCCATTATTTTAGCTAATTTTATTTTAGTCTAATTTATGCATAATTTGATAATTTACTGCTTATTTGAATGTTACCTAATTGGCCTATGTAGTTAGTTGCCTAATTATTACCTGAGTATAAGTCATTTCCTTAGCAAAATTATGAAATCTGTGGAAGCAAGTACTGTGTTTTCCTGTTTTATGTTTACCATTGATCCTTCAGTCATGTTAATCATTTTGCATATAATAATAAGAATATCTGTTAGTTTCCAAACATCTGTGCCAGGCTTTTTATAAGCATCACAATAAGCCAAGGAGGTAGAGATCTTTATTATATTTTTATTTAAAAAGGGGACTGAAGCAAAGAAAGATTATATATAATTCACTCACTGTTACATAGGCAAGCATTGATAGAACTGGCTGGGATTGAATTTGTGACTAATTATGTGCCTCGAAAGCCTGGTCTCACAACCTTGCCAATAACTGTGCCCCTCAACCCCTGAGAAAAAACATCCAATACAACATTTATTGAATAAATTGTTTTTACCTAGAAAAATTTGTATTCTGCCAGTAGTAGTTAGTATTTACTTTATTAATGATTACAATCAAATCCTGGTGTATCTAAGAGGGCTAGTACTTTGGCATGGAGGATTACACAGCATGATAGAATAAAATTTAAGTAGAAAAAATGCATCCAACTTCTGGAAGGGGCTTGTGGGTCTCATTGACTTTTACCATGATATAGCCATGCTATGTCTTAGAAAAGTATTCAAGGAAGCATATATTATTATTATAGTCATGCTGATTTTGTTAACATAGAAAACATACTTATTATTTGTAAAACTGGAATTATTTAACAGAAGTTACTTTTATAGACATTTAAAAATGAAATGAGTTCTTCATCTTATCCAGATAGTTAAACCACGGCTTTAAACGCAGTTCTGAAGTCTGTGGTTGGATGGTAAGTTTGTCCCAGGCTTTGGAGTCAAAGCCTTTCTCCTTTGTGAAATCCTGTGTGTCTATATTTGTAAAAGAAATATTATTGACTCTATTGTTCAGAAACAATAGGGGACATTTACATAAAGAAAAGCTAATGGGGATCAGTCTTGGGGAATGGCCATTGATCCAATCTAGAACTTTAAAATATCCTTAAATTTATGCAGGGGGAGGTGTTGGCCTTTTGAGACTTCACTTTGGAATGTCCCTTATTCTCTAAGAGATTCTTACTTGCAAGATTCCATGTGCCTGCCAACCAGAGCCATTGTCTTTTACCTGAATAATGGATCCACAGGTCCTTATGCCCAAGTGGCAAACCAACAGAACTGTAGCAGTTTATTGAGTATTTGAATTTTCAAGTTGGATTTTTAAATGAATTATACTAAGCAAGGGAATTGTATATTATTCTTAAGGTATAGATAAATGACGCTAAACTTGAGTACATGTTTATTTAAACACATGTATTCAAAAACACATCTAAATGTCAGAATCTTGGTTGTTCTCTTGAATGAACTAAATTTCATTCAATAATGTAGCACTGTATATTCACCTAGTGTGTTGCACTCTCTATGTAACTATTTGCTAATCCGACAACACTCTAATATACTTGTCAAGCAAAGTTCATACACTTCAAATAAATAATATTGATTTTTTTTGTTTGTTTATTGTTTTTGTTTTGACATTGGCTGTACTTCAACTGGTATCTCACATGCTATGACATGACTCTACTAACTTAATTTAACATTCCATCCAGCAGACATTATAGTTCTCAGCTGTATTAATAAATTTTCCACTTTGATCAAAATTTGATGGCACATTTATAAAGGATTTGTAGCACATTATAAATTATGTAGTTGTGGGGGCTATGTCCATGAAAGTTACCAAGAGTTGGACATTGTGCCTAAGGGAGAACCAATCCCAAGATATCAAGATCTAATTGGAAATACCATTTTGGAGCACAACTTCTTCTTATATCAGGGATTGCTGTTCTCATAAAAGACATATTGCAGCACCACTATCAACATTCACAGACAATGTGACCAAATTGTATTTGCCTATTACTATTTTCACAGGAGAATGTATCTCACTGCACTAGTTATAAATGATGTTTAGTTTGCAATGTGGAAATCCTGCACATAAAAAGTAGGCAATGATAGCTAGTGTTACTTTCTGTCCTTTCCGTTACTGAAGTGAAGATCCAATTGGCAACAGAGGACCTTACAAACCTAACAATACTATCTTAAAACATATGCTTCATTATATATATATATATATATATATATATATATATACACACACACACACACACACACAATAGCATGATTGTAGAACTGTTAAAAGAAAAACTTCAGGCACATTACATCTAATTGAGCAAAGAATGATTTGCAAATTGGACAGCCCGTAGTACCAGAATAGGTTCAGAGTAGCTTTGGGGCTGCCACATGATTGGATAACATTTATGGACAGAAAAAAGAAAGTGCCATACAGAAAACAAAAGTGCACTACAAAAACAACTGGTTTGGTTACAGTTAAGTGTGTGACTTATTTGAACCTGCTTTGAATCGTTGGCTGTCTGTGGTTGGCGGAGACTTCACTACTTGTAATAAGACCAAGTTACAGTCTATTTACACATCAAATGAGATTGCAGTTCAATATATATGGAGAAAACTTTAGGTCAAGCTTAAAATATGTACAGGAGCAGCTTTGGGCCAAACTTAATTTAACAGAATAGATGCCATTTTCAGTAAGTCAGTTAGAGTACCAATAGCTTTAAACACTATCAGGGAAAAACATGTTTGAGAGTTTTAGGAATCATTGCAACAAAAATTATATTTCACCTTTGCATTTCATTCCATACTCAGTTACATTCGCAAAGAACAGTATAGCATCTTGGTTAGAAAGGAAGTTTTGGTCCGGGTTTGGTGGCTCATGAGTATAATCCTAGCACTTTGGGAAGCTGCCACGAGAGGATCACTTGAGCCCCGGAATTCGAGACCAGTCTGGGCAACATATTGAGACCCTGTCTCTACAATAAATAAAAAATTAGCCAGGCACAGTAGTGTATGCCTGTAGTTCCAGCTACTTGAGAGGCTGAGGCAGGAGGGTCACTTAAGCCTGGAAGGTTGAGGCTACTGTGAGGCATGATTTTGCCACACTGCACTGCAGCCTAGGTGAGAGAACAAGACCATGTCCTAGGCCAAAAAAAGAAAAAAAAAGGAAGTTTAGCAATCTACAAATGTGAATTGAAATCCTAAACTCATACATTTCAAGCCATGTATCCTTAGACCATTCAGTTCATTTAGCCTCAGATCCCTTATCCACAAGATGAAGATATTATAAGATGAATAAATCAGAAGTTGTATGTAAAGTGCTCAGTACAATGCCAAGTATTTATACTATTTGAATTCCATTCACTTAATTGAATGGAATTTTAAAATTGAAGTGTGTAATTCACTACCATATATCCCAATCCCCTCAAGTTTTGACTTATGGTCCATGCAGTTACATCACTGATACCACTATGTGAACATACTTTGGTCACCTATTTAAATTCAAAAGATGGCTTCCATCTGAATGAAGCCAGTGCTGTCTTATATATTCATCACTGTGGTTTTAGTTCCTTTTGTCTCTTGATATGACTCTCTCTGTATACATTTATGTTCTGCATTTCTGCATTGAAATGTATTGTTTAAAATTTAAAATTGTCCCTGTTGACAAAAATGACTATTACATGCTTTCAAGACTGTATGTCAGTCAAACATGGGGGTATGAGTGGCACAATACCCAGATACCCGAAAAATGATGAGACCTGATATTGCAGCTGCAGCAACGAATTCTGTGCATTAAAAAGTAATTGCATAAATATGTAATGATAAAACTTTATAATTATTTAATTATGTAAATATTAATGCATGTTACTATATCGCTAGCTTGACTCTGGAGCCCTTTTTAACAGTAATAAACATATCCTGCATTTTTATATTAATTATACCAGTAAGTAATGATATCTTGTGCTCATTTCCTGCAATAAGAAGACATTTTGGAGCCGGTTATGCTTGTGTGACAAGCACTGAGTATACTCATTTTTTTCCTGTATGTTCTTTCTCCATCTAGAAATTAGTTCTTATTAACTCATCATTAAGTTCATTAAGCTGATGAATCAGCAAGTATTTATTGTGTGCCTAGTGTTCACCAAAGCATACATTCTGTTGCCTTTAAATTGCGTATAAACATTTCAAGTTCCTTTCTAATTTACTGTGTTAAATTAATCGCCCTTGATCTAATTCTAGGTCTATTATATTCTCTCAGAATCTTAAAAGTTGTGAGGGCTCACTTTTGTATATGTAAATCAGTAAATGAAAGTATATGAGTTGAAATTCCAAGCATTCTCTGTCTCTTTTATACTTTTTATTCAAGGATTTTCTACTCCTTTACATTATACTGAACTAACGATGATTTTTCAAAGTTCCTTGCTAAGATGTACTTTAAAAGACCAAGAAATAAGAGCCCAAAAAATGAACAATGGTTTTTATGTAGAAAGTATTTTATTTAATAATTTCTTACAATAGAGGTCTATCTAAACATATTTTCTCTCATCTAAACAGGAAAGGCTATTCAAGGGCTAACTTCGAATAAATGTTATATCACAAAATGAAGTAGGAGAAAAGAATTATTACTTTGGTTCAAGTCCCAATCATCAGGTGTATCTAAGCTGTTTGTGAACTCAGGATTCATGGTCTAGGTGATTTATCTTTCTCTTTCTCCATTCCCAGGATTGACAAGAAAATAGACAGAATTAGCCACAAGTTCTATCTTATCCCCTCTTTTATGCCTGCAGGAGGAGTTCTATGGAATGCGTAAATGTTAGACCTCTAGCTACAATTCTTTTCTGCACTTTTCACTCTCAGCTGCATGTGAAAGAAAGTGACAAAAAGAAGCTAGTAATGTTGTAGCAGTAAACAAACAAAAAAAAAGTTCTTTTGTTGTTGGAGAATGAAGAAAAGCTGCCATGTAAAATACGCACACACACACACAATTAAAAATACATTTTGCAGTAACAAAATTGAAGTGACAGCTAAATAAATATAAAACTTGATATTATGAGAAAGTCAGAGTTAAAGATTATGGTGAATGTATTGTATTGTTTATGTATACTTGAGTACACACACACACAAACACACACACACACACACATATTTAGCAGATGCCTCTGCACACATGTTGTATCCCCTTGGCCCAATTCTGATTTCGGCCAAACTGAAATGAACTATTTGTGGGCACGCAGGCCTACCTCAGCTACCTAATTCCCATCTCAAATGCCTTCTATTTGTCTTTACACATTCTTCCCTAAGACTTTCCTCCATGCCAGTGGCTTGCTTGGTAGGCACCCTAGCCATCTGCTTGTGTGCTGTGGATGTCATACTGGTAAAGATTGTCCTCAAGCACTGGGGAGGAGGAGCTCATGCAGATTTTTCCAGCTTCCTATTTCAGTTGTACGGTTCTGGGTGGCAGTCTGTATTTCTCAGGGATCTTGACAGAATTTGGTTCTTCTTGCCAATAGCAACAGCTGTAATAATAGCAACATATTTTTGGCTTTTCCTCTTTTTCTTCATCTCCTTTCCTTCACACTTGTTTCCTGGATTCATCCTCCGGTAAACTACCTGAATCAAAGTTCTTGTCTTGGGCTCAACTTTTTAGGGGATCCCAAACTGGAATGCTATGTCACATAGTAATATTTGATCATTTTATGTTTGAGTAACTCAAAACATTTGTAGGCATCATCAATCAATAAGTATTTCAAGTATTTAATTATTTAGTATTATGAAAATATTACATAACCATTCAGAGATCTGATTTGGTAGAATGTTAATTATCTTACCACCTTTTTTAACATTTAACATATTATCTACCTTCTTAAAGAGCAGCTGTAATATTGTTGGTCAAGTAAGACTTACATTTTTGAAACACTTGGCCAATATTATACAAAATCTGCTTCTTTCTTACATTCGACTGGTTATTGAAGTTCTGGTTAACACTGTAATTGAAGATGTCTTACTCAAAGATCTAAGTGGCAAATATCTATAAAACTTTCTTCCTAAGATTTATCTTTTAAAAGCAGGCTGAAAACGTCATGGTGAAGGTGGGATTTCATTCATTTTAAGATGAATGTATAGGAGATTGTTAAAGGCAGTATTCAATGGTAAGTGGTGTGTGCAGGGGTGCAGATATAGGAGAATCATATTTAATTCCAAAACAGCTAATTAAGGAAGAATGGCTCTATAAGCAACTTGCTTTTTCTTGTGTAAAAGGAAAGTATTAATATATGTTCAAGAAAATAACATACATAAATGAAAGCAAGATGTTTATTCACTCACACATAGCTTTTCAGAAATAAGACTAAATGTGTCATAATAAAAATTCTGGCATGTATCTAATCAGTGATATTTTGCACTTGTGGTAGTTAAAAAAAAGATGTCACATAGCTATTTTACAGCTATAGATGTGATCTGGTTTGATAAACATTTATTATTTTCTTTCCACTCTATTGCCATAACTAAGGACAAAGTTGTCACATAGAACTTGGAGAGATGGGCTTTTATTATCTCTGAGCATCTATTCTAAGTGTTGCATGCTTGGCCAATTGGTCAGCATGGCTCTAGAGGCAGTAACATAAGCCATTTTCATAACCATCTCCTTTCATAACAGGAAAGGAATTGGAAAAGGGAGAGTTTGTTTGCCCTTAAAGTAAAAAAAAAAAAAAAAAAAAAAATCCTTTCCTCGACAATACTGTCAGGAAAAGTACTATTTCTACCATTTTCTTTATTCCTCAATTACCAGCTTAAAAATACAGGACTAAATTTGCCTGTATTTTATTTTTATTTGCTCAAATGGAAGCAAATTAGATTTGCTAATGACTTATTTTTTGGTGATAAATTTAAGAAAGGCATCAAGTTAGCATCATAAAATTCAACCAATTAACTTTAGCTGTACTTCCTTCTTCTGTTATTGAAAGACTGGTGTGTGGCTCTAGAAACAGTAGATAGAACCTTTTAAAAATCTTAATACATCCCTCATTGACCCTTTTCTAAATTTTCCTGAGTACATATCAGAAATATAGATCTGGTTCTATTCAACTGCCATTTATTAACATTATCAATGTAGCATTGCTGCCAGGGGTAGAAAAAAAGAAAATTAACCTCTCTCTTCTGCCTTCTTGAAGTTTGCAAGATAAATACGTACCGATTTTAAAGGAAAGTGAACATCAGTAAACTGGACAGATTTATTGAGTTAGCTTGTAGCGAAATGAGTTTGCTCCATTTTCACATAATTTTTCTGGTAGTAAATGTTTTAATCTATCGATGTCATGGAGAAATGCTACATTAGCTATAAAACAGAAAGAGGGCACTGTTCAGTGACAGGACCAATAATATGTATTGTGCAATAAACACTTTGCAAGAATTTAATGGCCCTGAATTCAAATAGATAATATATAGTTCACTAAACCGAGGGAGAAGATTCATAAAAGACTGCCAAATCCTCCAAATGCATAAACTTAGATGTACTATTAAGACATCAGTTTTACAATGGTAGATGAAACTATGCGTGTTTTGAAAAAGAACAAAAAGCCCATTGTCATAGCATTGCAGCACACCAGGATTTTATACTGTCTTTCCTTTTATTATGTAGGCTTTTGATGTTAACTTCCATCACTAAGGAGTTCATATTTTCTGTGATAAATCTCTCTTCTTCTGTAAAATTAATAAGGCACAGAAGAGTCTAGAACTTGACCATGGTGTGATGAATTCATGCATCTAGATGCATGAAAGGTGAACTGATGTTAAGGAGAGACTTGCGGGTTAAGATGTAATTGTTTGTGGTTAGTAAATATACATCTCATAAATCTCAGAAACCTAAAACTTTACCTCCACGCTGTTTCCAAATGTGTGTATCATTTTTTTTGAAGTAGATGCCAAATTCTGTAGGCCACATAGTTTATGTGTGTGTGTGTGTGTGTGTGTGCGTGTGTGTGTGTGTGTATAACAAACCATCCAAAATTCATGACTTGAGATTTCATTTAAAACATCATGCATTTGAATATATTTTTCAAATCCATTGACCTTTGAAATAGGGCATCGGAATTGTGCTACTTCATTTCCTGGGTGAGAAAAAAATAATTCAGTACCAACTGATCTGTAATCTTCTTGGGAAATTATATGCTATCCAATGAGCATAAACCTTGGAGCCAGATTGTCTTATAAATTCCTAGCTCTATTTCTTACCTGATTTGTGACCTTGAGCAAGTAATTTAATGTCTCTGCTCCTCACTTGTTTTATCTGTGAAATGGTGATAATATAGTTCCTATCAAAAAGTCGTTTTGATAAGTTAGTAGTAAGAGTTTACACATAGTAAACATTCAATAGTTGTTGGCTATTGTTTCTATAAATTCTTCTTGTTTTAAAATTATGCACTTATTTAATTATGTTTAAAATGCCCTCAAATGTAAGCTATTTTGTTTGCAGTTTTCATTATTTAAAAATGTAGCATAATGGGGCTGGGCATTGTGGCTGACACCTGTAATCCCAGCACTTTGGGAGGCCGAGGCACGCAGATCACCTGAGATCAGGAGTTCGAGATCAGCCTGGCCAACGTGGTGGAACCCCATCTCAATTAAAAGTGCAAAAATTAGCCAGGCATGGTGGTACATGCCTGTAGTCCTAGCTACTCGGGTGGCTGAGGAGGGAGGATTGCTTGAACCTGGGAGGCGGAGGTTGCAGTAACCTGAGATCAGGCCACTGCACAGCAGCCTGTGTGACAGAGTTGTCTCAAAATAAATAAATAAAATAAAATAAAGTAAAATAAAATAAAATACAATACAATAAAAATGTAGCATAATGGAACAGACCATGGTTATTTGTTTTTTGGGTTTTGGTGGGGTTTTTTGTAATTAGAATATTAACCAAAAATAACAAATAGATGTATTGATTAAACTTTATAATCAGAAAGTATTCACTTCAGCATAGCATTGGTACAATCCACATAGCCATTTTATTTTTTTCTTTAAATTTGCCTTTCTTAATACAAATAAAGTTGTACCTGTTATTCAAGAGCACCTGAGATAGAAAACCCTTGGATTTATTTAATAAATTGAAAATACTTATTGAGTGGCTTGCTTTAAGTGAATATTTCACAGCAGTGAATGAAGCAGTCGTTAAACATATACAGGTTACTTTCTAGTAAGTTAGCAGAATTTGTCATTACATAGTTGTTCCTGAAAACATATAACTTCTATTTGAAATGTATTTGTTCTTTAAAGTTGAATTTTTTTACAAAAAAGATCACCTTATGTGGAAGATGTACTAAGATTTATATAGTACTTACAGTGAATATAAACATAAAATTAAAGATTTAATAAGTTTCAACTCTAATCAGTTTAGTAGATATCAATCACTTTTTGTTGTCTACCAGGAAGCTGATTTAATTGGTGAGAAAGTTACACCTAGTAATGTTATATTGTTGGTAGTTCCTTCCTTAATGATCTCACTAACAAATTTCTTTTTATGACCCTTCTACAGATGGCTTTTAAGGAAAAAAAAATAGCTGGGGCTAGTTAGTTTAAATAGATTATAAAGTATGTTGACAGTGGTCCAATAGAGCAAAGAATAATGTGGTCATTTGTTTCATTCTCTAAAACTGACTTTTCCTCTAATTTGACACATTTCACTAAAACAAACAAGACATGCATTTAGTGAATTGCTTCACAGATGTTGGCTGAGTATGATAAAGAATGAGAGGGAAAGCATACTTTATGCTGTGTTTCTATTTGTTTTAATTTAATTTTTCTATTCAATTTCTCACCTTTGGATTGTGTATCACATTATATACATTTGGATAGCTATCTGCTTATTATTTCCTTTGTCAACTTTGACCTACCCAATTTATAACTACTTTTTAAGGAATATTTATTCTTTCTGTCACTATCTCTCAAAGGAGGAACATAAATTCGTAAGGAAAACAAATAGGGAATATGATGCCATCATTCTCGGAGGCATGCAATTCTTGTATTAAATATCCCAATACTACAGAACTAAATCCATCATAAAGAGTGGAAAATAAGTAGAAACCATTCACTATCCAATTAAGTATATTTGGTTAAGCCAATGGAATCATGCTACTGAATTGTCATGAACACACTGTGATGGTCACTGAAGAATGAAAGAAGAAACAGGAGGAACCACATGAGAAAAACTGCTTCTTCTACAAGTGTACTGTAAGATACATGATTAATAAAACATGATTTTTCTTTCAAGTAAGATAAACACTAGCAAACAGTTTTATGTGTACCACTTTCTTCTTGGCATATTTAATTCTTCTAACCCTGCATTTCTTTCACCTCTGTCATACCTTTTTTTTTTTTTTTTAAGACAGAGTCTCACCCGGTCACCCAGGCTAGAGTGCAGTGGCCATGCTTGGCTCACTGCAACCTCCGCCTCCCAGATTCAAGTGATTCTCCTGCCTCAGCCTCCTGAGTAGCTGGAACTACAGGTGCCCACCACTACGCCTGGCTAATTTTTGTATTTTTTAGTGGAGACTGGTTTTCATTATGTTGGCCAGGCTGGTCTTGAACTCCTGACCTCAAGTGATCTGCCCACCTCAGCCCTGTAAAGTGCTAAGATTACAGGCCTGAGCCACCGCTCCCGCCCCCTGTCAGACATTACTGACTTAACTCAAATGCTGGCTCCTTGCTTTCCAAGTGACCAACATTGTGCCTTGTAAGTCTGGAATGTGATACTGCCTTAAATGATGTCCAAGAAAAGCAATGTAATCTGAAAAGAGATCTTAAATAGATGACTCTGAGAAGAGATTCTTTAGCAAAACTCAGAGTGATACTTTTTTTTTTTTTTTTCTGAGACAGAGTCTCACACTGTCACCCAGGCTGGAGTGCAGTGGTTCAATCTCAGCTCACTGCAAGCTCCGCCTCCCAGGTTGAAGGGATTCTTCTGCCTCAGCCTCCTGAGTAGCTGGGACTACAGGCGCCCACCACCACGCCCAGTTAATTTTTGTATTTTTAGTAGAGATGGGGTTTCACCATATTGGCCAGGCTGGTGTCCAACTCCCGACCTCGTGATCCACACACCTCGGCCTCCCAAAGTGCTAGGATTACAGGCGTGAGCCACCATGCCCGACTAGAGTGACACTTTTTTAAGATAAGTTATTCCTAGTTACTGATATTAACTTTCAAATGTTTTGTTTGTTGAAATCACAATCATATTTTTATTAAGAGCAGGCCATAAAGTAATTTTCTATTTCTGCTAAATATAACTTAGCAGATAAAGCACTGATGGCATGTAGAGAGTAATAGGGGTAGCTGGGAATAGTATTTGCTCTTTAATCAGTGGAGATATTCAATAATAGTAGCTTGCACATGAAAGATAGTGGTTTAGCAGTTGTGCTCTGGTGAGAAGCCTGGCATTGTATCTTGAATGTGGCACTTACTATTTATTTAACTTATCTGTAGCATAGTTTCTGCCTTTGTAATATTGAAATCGTGACACTATCTAATTGCTAATGGTAATGCATTAAGTGGATAATAAGGAAGGCAGTTAATAAATATGAGTTGTTCTCATAATTATCATAATCCTTATGTTCTGTTTTCCCAGGGAGCATAGCACAGAGGTTTAGTGCAGGCTTCGAAGTTCAAACACCAGCTCTACCGATTACTAGTTATATGAGTCTTCTACTGTCTCCTCATCTGCATAATGGTGACAATCATCTCAGCAGGGTTGATGTGAGGATTAAATAAGATAATAGAGGAAGTACCCAGCAAATATACTGTTATAGTGTAAATGCTAAATAAGTAGGACTAAGAATAACTTAAATGTGAATATCAATAAGGAGGAATTCCACAGATTACAAATCTTTCTTAGCAACAGTATTAAGGTTCTCTAGAGGGACAGGACTAATAGGATAGATGTATATGTGAAGGGGAGTTTATTAAGGAGTATTGACACACGATCACAAGGTGAAGTCCCACAATAGGCTGCCTGCAAACTGAGGAGCAAGGAAGCCAGTCTGAGTCCCAAAACCTCAAAAGTAGGGAAGCTGACAGTGTAGCCTTCAGTCTGTGGCCAAAGGCCTGAGAGCCCTTGCAAATCACTGATGTAAGCCCAAGGGTCCAAAAGCTGAAGAACTTGTAGTGTGATGTGTGAGGGCAGGAAGCATCCAGCACAGAAAAAAGATGAAGCCCAGAAGACTCAACAAGTTTGCTCTTTCCAACTTCTGCCTGCTTTATTCTAGCCCCTGCGCTGGCAGCTGATTAGATTGTGCCCACTCAGATTGAGGGTAGGTCTGCATCTCCCAGTCCACTGACTCAAATGTTCATCTCCTTTGGTAACACCCTCACAGACACACCCAGGAACAATACTGTATATTCTTAAATCCAATCAAGTTGACACTCAGTGCTAACCATCACAGTATATTTGAGGGTTTTACATGCACAGTCACTTTCACAAGCAACAATCATTATGTAAGACATCCTTTCCTCCCATCACTCCCCTTTTGAGGTATGTGAGTGCTCAGTGACAAACACAAAGCAGATTAGGTAAGACAAAAATAAAAGGTAAATCAGAAGCTTCATGTAGGTTTTACAAAATGTTTGGCCTTTCAAATATGAATAGAAATTTGATAGAAAGCCTGAAAAACAAATACTGTTTGTATAAAAATTTATTTATAGAGATGGCAGATTCATTGAATTTTCTGAAATTATATAAAAATATATAAGAAACACATATTGGAAGATTATAGTAATGAATCTAAAGATTTGGATATCATTTAATTTGAGCCGATATTTTATAAATGAGAAAAATGAAGCCAGCTAATTCAGATATTAGCCCCAAATCACAGTTTACTTTTTAATCCTTAGGAGCATTTAAAATAAAGTAGTAAGTAATGTGATAATTTTTGATTCACTTAACAATTTTATGGATTGTGAAGGCAGAAATTGCTATCCTGATTCTATTGACAAGATAAACCTTTAGCTGTAAGAAGTCAAGTTAGTTTATTTCTGATAGAATTATAACTATTGTCTCTACCAGAGCTCTTGAAATCTTGTGAATTAATCTTGGAACGGTAAGTTTCTATCATCATTTCATGCAAGAGAATAGAACAACAAAACCCAACAAGACATTCCATGAGAAAAAAACAAAACACCAACAAAACCCAACATCTTGAGGAATAGCCTAGGAATGCTTAAGAACTATGGAATACTCTGTCACTTTGTACAATTCTTTCAACTGCCTCGGTCAACTTGGGGCTGGATTCACTAGCCAAAGAACAGAAAATATTTTGTATTTAATAATAACATGGTGAATAATAATATGTTCCTTAGTACAAATATGATTTCTAGAACTGAAACAAAAAATAAAATTAATTGTAGAATTCTTTAGAAATTGACATGTAGAAAATACGTCAAATATATCCTATATATGTCAACTGAAGCCCTTAGAAGATAGGTTTAAGATCTTTACTCATCAGTTTTTTTGGTGTTTGATAAAATTGGAATGCCAATTAATCTAAAATAAACTCTGATTTGGAGCTAATATCTCAATTATCTGGTTTCATTTTTCTTATTTATAAAATATCAACTCAAACTAAATGGCATCTAACATACTTTCAGCCTCCAAACTCTGGGACTATTAATTTAAAAGTATTTACTAAATTTCTGAAATTAGATCTAGATTCATTTTTAATATCATATTTGTTACATATCCAGAGCTGGATGTATAGAACCCAGTAATAAGAATCAGTCAAAAATACATGTCTTAGGAACAAATAGATGACATTTTCCATAGGAAGTTTAATTTTAGTCAAACTGTTATGCCTTGTGTTTCTAACTTCAGCTTCTCTTGACAATTCCCCCTTTCTCTGTCATTCACTTCTATTCTTGTCTGTTTTTAAAGTCTTTACACAGATTTCTTTGACAGCATTTAAGAACAGCTTATCTTTAGTAAATAAGTATACTGAAAATCACCAATTATTAGACTATAAGTTTCCCTGAAGCAGAGATTAGTTTGTCCTTTATAGCATGGTCATAATAGTGATATGGCTCCAATGACCGGAGAAACACCCTGGTCCCTTGTCTCACACGGATAAGATTAATGACACGGACACACGTGGAGTGGTTTTAAGGAGAGGAAAGTTTAATAGGCAAGAAAGAAGAAAAAAGCTCCCCCATACAGAGGGAGTGGGGGCTCTGAACAGATAAAAACCCCTGCCCCTTCCACAGAAAGCAGTCAGTTATACTGGGAGGCTGGAGGAGGCGGTGTCTGATTTGCATAGGGCCCAGGGGATTGGTTTTACCAGGTGTGTCATTCACGTAGCCAGTGAAAAAAACTGGCCCTCCCACCTTAGCCATTTAATGTACAGATGCAGGTCGCCATGATGTCTTGCACAGGTGGTGTTATCTAGAGGCAGCCATGACACCTGGCGTATGTGGTGACTAGAAGAGGGAGGGAACCGCCATGTTGGGTGGATCAGGTTTCTATTTCCCAGCATTTGCATATCAATGCTTGCCGGTCAGGCTTTTCACTTTTCTATTAGAAAAGAAATGTTTTGGGAGCTTTTTATTAAAAGAAAAAGCCTTACCGAGGACTCCTTACCCTTTCTCCATACCTAAAATAATTTCTTAATAACTTCTGTAATAATAGTATCACCAAAGTCATGAGTTTCGATGAGGATGAAATAAAATGATTCACAGATTGACTCTTCACAGAGTACACATTCAGTAACTGTTAAGTGTTATGATTGTTACTATTTGTCTCTATTCACATCTGTAAGTGTGTTGAGCATAACAGGAGCTCCACAGATGAATTCAGTGAATCTAATATATAAACACGCATATTTAGTCTTATACAATCTGAGGTAACTCTGCCTTTGTTTTTTGTTTAGCTACTTTAAATGTCATGTGGTTATCATATAGTAGTAACAAATCATTGTAACAAGGGTACGTCATTGAAGAAGCAAATGTTGTATCAACTTTAAGTATTACCAATAATAACTTCGAAAAATTATTATTTTTACTAAAGCTATTATAAATAGATTCTCAAAAGAGTCTACTAAGAGAGCTGCATTTTCTTCTAAAAGGCTGAATTAATAGTTTGAAAGGTTTTGCAGATCCATCAATGGCATGGAATGTTAATACAAAATAAAAGGCCATCCCAGTTTCTGTAGCATCTATAGATATTGCATTTAAGTGTTTAAATTAGAATATGGCTAGCAAAAGCATTCTATGAATTATTGGCATTTTCAATCTGCACACTCCAGGATGAAATTCATTAGGAGGTGTTAATTTTGGAAACAAATTATATAAAGCCATTGTAATGCAAGGTACTTGAGCAGCACTTTTATTCAGTGATGCATGGGTATTATTTGAAAAACATAATTTAGAAGCTGAGCTGCAGAGATTACTCCTCTCATTAAATAAAGGATTAGTACTTTATTTACTGAAAGTGACAGATGTCTGTCAGAATTTTTGATATGCAATATACCAAAAAATTGAATGAACTTCACATTTTTTTTTATTTCTATTTACTGAAGTGCTTCTGTATTTCTTGGTAGAAGTGAAATGGAAGAAGAGAATTATCTGTTTTGGAATAATAACTATTAGGGAGACATGAGTTATTCAGCACAGGTTTGTTTCCAGTTATAAGAGAAATCTTGGTTTTCCTTAGTCAAGAAATGTGGAAACCATTTTTTTTCCTGTATTTTATCTTCTCTAGAGAGTTGCTTTGTAACACTAGTACACTAGTCTCAAGGGGTGATAGCACTGAAAAGTGTGTCATTCTGTCCCTTTCTTTGAAAATACCATAGTGCCATTTAGTCATTGCACAAAGCATGGCAAATATTAATTAAGCTCTGTTTATGTGTTGAGCACTGTAGATGAGTAAGATGAATTTTTATCTTATTGAACATCAATAATGAATAATATCGAAACCTGAATTCCTGTTTCAACTTGACCTAAACAAAGCCTAGCTACCTAAACTTATTAGCCATAGAGCCATGGTATTTGTGCCTCAGTTTCCCCATTTGAAAAGTTGGGGTAATGAGAATGCCTGCATTTAAATGTCTACTTAAGGCTGGGTGCAGTGGCTCATGCCTGTAATCCCAGCACTTTGGGAGGCTGAGACGGGCAAATCACATCCTGGCTTACACAGTGAAACCCCATCTCTACTAAAAATACAAAACAAAATTAGCCAGGCGTGGTGGCAGGTGCCTGTAGTCCCAGCTACTGGGGAGGCTGAGGCAGGAGAATGGTGTGAACCCGGGAGGCAGAGCTTGCAGTGAGCCAAGATTGCGCCATTGCACTGCAGCCTGGGCAACAGAGCGAGACTTCATCTCAAAAAAAAAAAACCAAAAAAAAACAAAAAAAAACAAAAGTCTACTCAGTTTTGTATGCAAAATTTCAGTACTTAATGAATGAATATTATACCAGATATAGTGCCTACCCTCAGGGAGATTCTATTTATATTTTTGTCTTTTCTAAAGTATGCTTTTTCATGGATTTGATGAAAATGGAGAGCAAGAGTACAACAATTAAACTGTGTTTCATTGAGTTTGTATGTTGTGAGCATATGGTATTAGACAAACGGCAGGACTCTGCCACCTACCAAGGTTGACCTTGGTCAAATCCTTTAGTGTTTAGACCCTCTTTACTCTTCTCTGATGGGAATAATAAATACAATATCACATTGTTATGCTGTTAATACTTCAATAATTAAATAAGGTGATTCATGTGAAAGCATTTTATTAAATTATAAAATGCTGTTCATATATAAAGTATAGGCTAAGTATCCCTTATCCAAAATTCTTGGGATCAGAAATGTTTCAGATTTTGGATATTTGGGATTTTGAAATATATTCATTGTTCTGGAGAACCTAAATGCTCCAAAATCTGAAAATTTTTTAGTGCAAACATGATGCTCAAGGGAAATACTCACTGGAACTTTTTTTTTTGTTTTTTGAGAAGGAGTCTCACCCTGTCGCCCAGGTTGGAGTGCAGTGGCGCGATCTTGGCTCACTGCAACCTCTGCCTTTTGGGTTCAAGTGATTCTTCTGCCTCAGCCTCCCGAGTTGCTGGGATTACAGTCATGCATCACCCCACCCAGCTAATGTTTGTATTTTTAGTAGAGATAGGGTTTCACCGTGTTGGCCAGGCTGGTCTCGAACTCCCGAACTCAGGTGATCCACCCACCTCGAACTCCCAAAGTGCTGGGATTACAGGCGTGAGCCACCACGCCCAGCCTGGAACATTTTTTATTTCAGATTTTTAGATCTGGGATCTTCAACCTATAGTATTGTGAGCTTTTGATTATGCAACTGGTTGTGATTAGGTAACTGGTTGTGATTTTTTTATTACTTTCTTATTTTGCCTTTCTGCCATATCCCAACTGCCCAGCTGCCATGTGATAAGGGTACCCAAATGTATTTTAATAGTCTAAACCAAATGTTACAAGGAAAATCATTCTTTTAACAATACTATTACATTGCAAGGAAAAAAATTGTTTATAAATTATTTAATATTTTATTACCATGTTATGTCCCCTATAAGTGTCTTTTTTCTTATAGATTACAGAAATATGGGGGCATTATTGGATTGTAACATTCTGCATTGTAAATAGAAAATGTGTTCTATGATTTTTATAGTTTAAAAGAAAATAAAATTTAAACATTAAAATTGAATACAAGTTCATAGTTCTTAGTTATGGCATTAACAATTTTTGGCATGCAACAAATTTATTTCTCTCTATTTTGTGATGTAATTTTAAAAAACTTGGCAGTACATACCTATGCTCTCTGATCCATACCTTTTCTAATTAAACAATGCAATTCAAAGGTATTGCATATGATTCAGAAATGGCTGAACAAATATCTTATTTTTTGAAACAATAACATGACTATATATTATATGTATTTTATAAACTCTTGGGAAATATAGAGGAAAATTTACTAGTCATTTTTACCTATTTCTTTCTTTTATACAGAATAAAATTCTCCTTAGTTTGAATTTGTCATTTATTCTAACCACAGGATATAGCTTATGACATTAAGTTTGAGAAAGGACAACAATGAAATCACTTTAAGGAAATATATAAACATATTTATAGAGGCTGAATGCACAGTAAAAATAGTTTGGAAATTAAAAATGTAGAGAGAAAAGGAGACAAACTCGTTTCAAAAACGTTTGGAAATGAACAATAACAGCTATGCCAGAATTCAGGATATTGGACTAGACTAAAAAACAAGAGATCCTGAAAAAGGCCCTTGCACAGTTGTCATCATGCAATTCATTTATTTATTATCTCATTACAGAGAGGAGGGAAGGGAGTATTTTAGGCCTGTGTTTTTAGATCACTGCAGGCTGTTTTGTAGCAACAAATGTTTTTTGCCAATATAACCCACAATACCACCCATATACTTTTTCTTCTTTTGCTCTCCAGTTTTATATTTAATGGGTTAGAGATACAAATTGCTTATAAATTTTACTTTCTTCCCCACCCATTAAAATACACAGACATTATGCAGATAATGCATTGCAATATGATTTTATATAGTGAATGCAGATTCTATTTCACCACTTTTTCTTTTTACCACATGCTTAAAATATCAAGAAGCAAAATTGTTCAATGTTATTTGGATTATGTATTTAATTCAAGAGCTATTCACTGAGTATTTATTATGTGGTTGTGCAAGATACAGTAGTGTGCTTGTTTCTTGTATTCATGTAATTTGATTATTTATTCAGTGAAGGGAAGCTTCTAGAATCAGAATTAAATGATAGGTAATGACTGGCCAATCCTTAGTGTTACCAAGCTTTTCAATGACAAATTATGTTGTCTTGCCGGTTTTTGTTATGGGAATATGATTTGTGTGCGCTTGTTTCAACTTAAATTATAGGACTGTTTTACTTCAGTCTTGAAAATATCAAATAAATGATAAATGAGCTACAGCCAGTCATGACATGGGCAAGATCATAATAATTTTCTCCAAAGCACAACAGCCTAATAAATCTTCATTTTGAGTAACCAGCAATCAACAGAGGCAAGCTTTACTTATTCTACAGCTTATGCCAATTTCTCTGATATTAAACAGGACCAGAGAATCAAAATCAAAATTTTACCAAATGGCAGTTGAGTTAATAGAGGTTAAAGCTCTTCAAAAAATAAAAATTTCCATCAAAGTGTAGGATAATATTTGAAGAATATAACAGATACCTTTGCCAATACTTTTTTGTTACATAGCCTGTCTTCTCATTAAGTATTTGTTGAAGAGAGAAATAAAACTCACAAAGAAGTTAAGATATTTCCACTCAAAAATAAGATTGTCTATGAGTTTTATGTTAAAAAAGACTAAAGTTCCATGAACGAGCATTTTTGTATTTTAGAATGTAAGTCTCTGTCTCTGTATTTATCAGGAAGATATTGCTATCTAAGGCTATTTCAAGGAACCAAATTAGTTCTGAAAACTTCTTTGTAGGCTAGTTGTTGACAAATGTCAACTTTCATATGACTTTCTATCCCCAACCTCAGCCTTCGTTATAATGTCTATACTTTGGAGACTATCGATTATGCAATTTGTTAAGGTGCTTAGTTGTCAGTCTGAATATAGGTTTGTGATTATTCTGGTATAAGCATGAAGTGCATCTCAGATAAGGCTTGAGATGCCTGTATTAGCCTATTCGAGACATACAGTCCAGTAAACCCTGGAGTTACTCAATAAAGATTGAGGATGATGATAAATATGACAGTATAATGGAGTTTTTAAAAGCATCCAAGAAATATTGTTAAAAATAATATTTGTAGAGAGGGAGGGAGGGGGGTGAGGGTTGAAAAACTTACTGTTAGATACTGTGCTCACTACCTGGGTGATGGGATCAGTCATACTCCAAACCTCAGTATCACATTATATATCCATGTAACAAACCTGTACATGTACCCCCGATGCCAAAATAAAAGTTGAAACTATTTAAAACATAATAATATTTATTAATTAGCGAGATGAAGGATCTAAAATTTGATAACCTTATTTGCAACTTTCTAAGCAGAACTTTTGATATATGCCAGTTTTTCCTTGGTGAGATTGAGGAATATCACCACTCAATATCACTTTGCAACATGATATTGAGGCTTCAAAAAAGTCGTTGGAGAGAAACGAGTATGGTTTTGACAATAACTGGAGACACTCAAGCTTAGATCAAGTATAAAGATATCACCCAAATGTAATTATGCCAAACAGTATTTCTCACTTGTTTTTGAAACCTTACTAGCATTTTAAATTTATTTATTGTGCATATCTCAGTTCATCTCTTCCACTGAAATTGCTTTAGTTTTACATCACTTGAAATCTGTGATTTTTTAAAGTTTGTGTTGTGAACTCGTTCTTCCCTGACATTCTCCTCTTTTTTCTCATTGGTCCCTTTTTCCATGTTAGAATATAGCAAATTGTCTCTGTGAAACAAAATATTTATAAGATAAAGAGATGCTGTTTGATGAGTTTGTGAATACGTTAACAATTTTCCAAAATTTTTACTGACTTGTATTGGTCAGTACCTTAAAAATAATTATGGAATTTAATTTGAAATGTATAAACATAACATGTTTGAGGATCTCTATTTTTATAAGTGTATGTTGACTCTGTTAAGAATTTCAGAAAAGACCAGAGCCAGTGGCTCATTATTTTTCTAAACCTTCTGATAATGTATTTTTCTGAAGCACAGTATTTTTCCACAGTAATATCAAATACTAATGAGCGGGAGGGAGAAAACTTTCTTCAATAAGGATTCCAAATCAATTTATTTAGGGTAAGATCATTCAACATTAATGTGTAGTCTCATGAGGTGCATTTCTCATAAGACTGACAAGCTACAGGAAATCTTAGGCCTTAGGAAATGAGTTGCCGAGTAGTTCCTTCTGAACAAATTCTTTGAAATGCATAGAAAGCACAACTATTATGTGAAATAGTGGTATAAACTATAATATTTATAAGTGAGACTAGTCAAACTATTTGAAAGCTTTCTTTGTATAATTGCCGACCTGCCTTTCCAATGGAAATATTGGTGTTCTTATTATGAATATTGCATTTCCTGTGTCTGTAATTTGGAATGGTGTGTTTATTTAATCATAGTTTGATTAATTTTTGCCCTTTTTCTCAAAGTTTACATTTTAAAGCATATAATATGATTATTTTTAAATAACTGTATTAGAGAGATGGGTTTTATTAAAACATATAATGTTCAATAAAGCAAGTATGAGTGAAATAAATTATTTACTTTCAGTTTGGAAGAGGTGAATAAAAAGTGCTTGGCCAATACCGTACCATTAATCTATTCTCTTTTCTCCTTTCTCTCTTTACTTCTCTCTCTCCAATAGAAGTGGAACAAAAAGGTAATTAAATACCTTTCATAAATTATATACTATTTATAGGCTAAGTTATTTAACAGTTTAACATTTAGTTAAAATAATTTTGTTATTAATTCTTATCTATTTTATGAAAATTTATTTACTACTTCTGCTGCTCAACTTCACTTTAATCTGTATTACTGACAAGAGTCACTTTCTTTTATCTAAGAAGAGTTTAGTAGTATAAAATTTTCAACAGTGTATTTTATTCCCCTTTATTTTTGAGTAGTTAGAAATCCAACTCATGGTGATGAATAGTGGTTGCTTTAATTTGTTTTTATTTCTATGCTAGTTAATTTTTCATAGCTCTGGCATGGTTTCCCCATTCCATTAATTTTTAACTATTTTGGGGAAAAGGGAAAAAGTTTTTCGAACCACCTAAAGTAAGTTACTTTAGTCATCAAGGATGGTTATTTAGCATAAAGCTTATATACAATTTTGATAACAATGGATACTTATCCTTTATAATTATAGCAAGCATATGAAATTCTTACAATCAATATTATTATGGATTGTATATTGATGATGGCCCTCTATCCTTTCTATGGAAGATTTTGGTAGTTAGCCTGTTCCCAAACTTGTTATTTCTCTAAAAGTAAAACTTTGGGCATTTTAGTAATGTACTTTTCTTTTTGATAATCTCCAAAACCTACCTGAGTTTCATCTTAGATTGTTTTCCATTGCATCTATGCTTATAGTTACTGTTTAAAAGCTAATCACTAATGCCAAAATAATAATACTTTAATCATTAAAAAAGGGTCAATATCCAAATTACTGTGATTTTCTAATTTTTTCACCCAGTACACTTCTAATCATTCCAAACATAACAGTAGACTGCATGATTATTTTTCAGTGTGTTTGCTTTGCAAATATATTAGAGCAGTGTTTCCCATGGTAGGTTCAGCGGAATTCTATACTCCAAAGAAGCTCTATGATAAAGGTGCCATGATCCAATTAGTGTGTGAAATTTGCTCACCCTTCCCACTTCTGCCTTGGAGATTCACGAATGTACTTAAGCAATTAGAATCTCTGCCACAATTATATGTAATATAACATTTCTTACACACATGTGGCTAAGGATCCCTTTTTCCTTTCTGTGTAACATCTAGCTATGCCACTTGAAACATGTGATTCAAGGACCACCCTTTGGGAAACATTGCTTTATAGCCCCTTCACTACAGATGAATCAGCCAGGCTTTCTTACCACCATTCACATGATATGCTACTGAATCATACTAAAAATCAAGTGAATCAGATGATTCTTGGCCATTTTCATCCTGAAGTATGAGCAGCAAAATATTATAGCAAGTAATCTTGGGTTTTAATGCTCTTCTCATGTAACAGTAAAAGGTACATGTTTTTAAGTTCCAATACTACTGTATTTAACAGGACATTTTTAACTGATTAAAATCTAGATCTTGGGTTCTTTTCTGTAACCTTTCACCTTTTCTTCTTTCCTTATTCCTTCTTTCCTTTCTTTTTCTTCCTTTCTCTTTTCCTTCCAGTATCCATCCATCACTCATTTTTAATTGTGTGGGTTGCATGCTCTGTGTGTGTTGTAGCAACGTTGAGAGCTTTTTTGCTAAAAGATTCAGTGGCCTGTATTACAGGGCTTTTCTTTTTCCTTTATCAAAAAATTACTATGAGATATTCATCTGTTTCTTAATGATAACTACTGAATGGTGAATTTCATCAGAATGGAAACAATATTTTTGTTTCAAAATATGTTCTTCAATGAACTATTAAAAGTATTGTGTGTAAACATTTGTATTTCTTATATGTCTATAGAATACATAGACATATGTTACATCTGATATATGTTTCCAAAAATATTGTAGCATATTTACAAAGGTAACAATCACAGGAATGCACAGCTACTCACAAAAAGGCTAGATATTTTTCAGTTATCAAAATCAAAATGATTTTGAAATGAAGCCAAAATTAATGTGGAAGAATACTTTGTGTTCTTAAAAGAATGCAGCAAAATAAGTGATGGTGGGTATCTCTTGTTAGAGTTGCATTCCATTTGGTGAAAAATAAGACTATATAACAAAATATGAAATTAATATATTTATTTATTTTAACTGTTTCCCTTCCAACAGTTTTTCTTTGTCCTGGACTACTAAAAGGAGTATACCAGAGTGAACATTTGTTTGAGTCCGACCACCAATCTGGGGCGTGGTGCAAAGACCCTCTGCAGGCATCTGACAAGATTTATTATATGCCCTGGACTCCCTACAGAACTGATACCCTGACTGAGTATTCATCCAAGGATGACTTCATTGCTGGAAGACCAACTACAACCTACAAGCTCCCTCACAGGGTGGATGGCACAGGATTTGTAGTGTATGATGGAGCTTTGTTCTTCAACAAAGAGCGCACCAGGAACATAGTAAAGTTTGATTTGCGGACTAGGATAAAGAGTGGAGAGGCTATCATAGCAAATGCCAATTACCATGATACCTCCCCTTACCGATGGGGAGGCAAATCTGACATAGACCTGGCAGTAGATGAGAATGGGCTATGGGTAATCTATGCAACAGAACAAAACAATGGTAAAATTGTCATTAGTCAATTGAACCCTTACACCCTACGGATCGAAGGAACATGGGATACTGCATATGATAAAAGGTCAGCTTCCAATGCCTTTATGATTTGTGGAATTCTGTATGTGGTCAAATCTGTATATGAGGATGATGACAATGAGGCTACTGGAAATAAGATTGACTACATTTACAACACTGACCAAAGCAAGGATAGTTTGGTGGATGTACCCTTTCCTAATTCATACCAGTACATTGCAGCTGTGGATTACAACCCCAGGGACAACCTACTTTATGTATGGAATAACTATCACGTCGTGAAATATTCTTTGGATTTTGGACCTCTGGATAGTAGATCAGGTAAGTTCAACCTTTTGTGGTACTCTTTGGGGAAA
This sequence comes from Homo sapiens, assembly GCF_000001405.40. Classification (NCBI taxonomy): domain Eukaryota; kingdom Metazoa; phylum Chordata; class Mammalia; order Primates; family Hominidae; genus Homo; species Homo sapiens. The sequence goes on from NC_000004.12 coordinate 61,733,590, forward strand.
TATTTACTGTTTGTTCTCAGCAAGTTCATTTTATGTTTTTATTAAACTTTATTTGTGGTATTCTGGCCTGTGTACCTGAAAATTGTTCTTTGTCTTTGCATCTAAAGAAGGTTGCTGCTGATCACTTTCAGCTATAAAAATGTGTAACTACAAGAAGTAGACTCTCCTTTGTTCTGCTCAACTCCAGTCTTCAGCTCTTCTTCTTTGAAGGGTGTTTGTTATTTTCAACAGGTTAGTTCTTTGTGTAGTGAACTGCACAAAACCATTGCTAAAATAGAACAGCCCGTCTAAACAGCCTGTCTAATTAATTGTGAAATGCCCACAGAAGTGCTGTCTACTTGGAACTTGTCAAAGGGTTAACTTGATATTATGTTTCAGGAGCCCGCACCAATGTAGTCATCTCACAGAGTGCATCATATCTGACCTCCCATTTTGGGAAGGTTGTCAGTTTGAGTCTGTCTGTTCTGAATTAACTTAATTTGTATGTTGAGAAAAATGTTCATAACTGATAAGTACAGTAAAAATATACCTCAATTTGTATAAGACATTGCAATTTTTTATAGAGTTTTAATTGTAATTCTTTAAAAGTGCCCCTTTTCCATTGAAAACATACCATTTCCTTTTAATGTTGTTTAAAGACAATCATAAATACCTTTAATTTTTTTTTCATTTTTATGTACTCAACTGAACACCATTCTCTTAAAGGTTAAAATTTTTAGCTAGTGTGTTATGTTAGTCCATTCTCACACTGCTGTAAAGATATAAACAAGACTGGGTAATTTATAAAAGAAAGAGGTTTAATTGACTCACAGTTCCACATGGCTAAGGAAGCCTCAGGAAACTTACAATCATAGCAGAAGGTGAGAGAGAAGCAAAGGCATGTCTTACAAGGCAGCAGGCAAAAGAGAATGAACAAGTGAAAGGGGAAGAGTCCCTTATAAAGCCATCAGATTTCATGAGAACTTACTCACTATCACAAGAACAGCACAGGGGAGACTGCCCCCATGATCCAATCACCTCCCACCAGGTCCTGCCCTCCACATGTGGGGATATGGTGATTACAATTCAAGATGAGATTTGGGTAGGGACCCAGAGTCAAACCATATCAACTAGCCATAACAGTCTTCTCCAAGATAAAGTATAATGGAAAACTAAGATAGAGGTGTCTGAATTTTGATGGTAATATAGCAATTCGAAAATTAAATTATTTTTGCCGTTCAGCTGTAAAAATGTATAACTACAAGAAATTGACTCTCCTTTGTTTTGCTCAACTCCAATTTTTAGCCCTCCTTCTTTGAAGGGCATTTAACATTTTCAGCAGGTTAGTTCTTTATATAGTGAAGTGCACAAAACCTTTGCTAAAATAAAGTGCAATCCTGTTAATATTTCTTATTTTCTGCATTATGTTTCAAATTACTCTTTTATTAGCATGACATTCTTCTAACTTAGTCTAGTATATGCATATCTTTTTACTGAAGTAGATTCTAAGTTTTTTATGGCCAATGGCCTTGTCTTACTCTTTCTTTTGTTGTATTTTTCTCTTAACATTATTTGTCTTCTCTGACTCTAGTGTAATACATCGCATATATATAATAAGGCTCAATCACTCTTGTGGAATGAATGAATGAATGAATGGCTTTTCACTTCTTATTCAGATAGGATGACAAATTAGGTAGTATTTTCTCTAATCATGGAGAGGCTTCAGTCAGAGTGACAGCACTTGTTTCCACAATCAGCAATGCTGATATTACGTTGAATTGGCTTTTACGGAAAGAAAAGACTAAATATGCAATAGCAACAAAAGCAATTTCTCCTAAGTCCTCAACAAAATCTCCTAGACCAACTCTATTGTCTGACTCACCGCTGTACAGGTAAGGTTTTTTGTTTGTTTTTTTAACCCACTGCATTCTACAGTTTAAAACCTGATCAATAATCCATTATCTAGAATATTCTGAGAAGACACTCCTTTCATAGCTGTGATATTCTTAAACTAAAATTTATGTTTGGTTAGTGAAAACTTTGTTATGGATGGTTCTTAGCCTTTTTTGACTCTTAACTGGAACAAGAAATGATTTCTAATATCTCAAAGGAATAATAAATAATAACTTATTTTTTTAGGTAATCAGTGAATAAGAGGCAATAACATAATTCAAATTTCATTTATTTAAAAGAGCATACCTTATTTTTATTTAGAATAATAGATAGGTTAAAATTAATTACAATTTCAAGTTCTGATTTGATAAACTAAAGCAAGTTCTTAACTCAGTTTTATTAAGTTGTCTTTAACGAATAAGATGGTACCAAGTTCTTAACTCAGTTTTATTAAGTTGTCTTTAACGAATAAGATGGTACCATAATCCCATGTGTTTAAAAACTTGCCAAAAATATTTTTAGCATACATACAATTTTAGCATATAATAAACATATGAATATACTCATACACATATATGACTATATGCTTTTTGTACTATACATATATGTATAAATGTATAGTCATATGTGTATTAGTATACATATTCATATGGTTATTGTTATATGTTTATATATTCATATAGTCATGTATCCCCCTCCATATGTATGTACATATCCCCCTCCATATGTATGTATGTACATACATATGGGGGGGTAAGAGAATGAATCATTGTAATTGTGAACATAAGGAAAATTATACCTTCATTTAATTTTTAAAAATGTATTTGCTTGTCTGTTTATGGGAGTTAAAACATGGTCCATCTCACCCTCACGTACTAGTGCCGATATTTGTTAAAAGGATGCTATTGAAGGCTGGGCGTGGTGGCTCTTGCCTGTAATCCCAGCACTTTGGGAGGGCAAGGCGGGCATATCACTTGAGGTCAGGAGTTCAAAAACCTAGCCTGGCCAACATGGTGAAACTCCATCTCCACTAAAAATACAAAAAAATTAGTCTGGTGTGGTGGTGGGTGCCTGTAATCCTAGCTACTAGGGAGGTTGAGGCAGGAGAATCCCTTGAACCTGGGAGGCGGAGGTTGCAGCGAGCTGAGGTTGTGCCACTGCACGCCAGCCTGAGTGACAGAGCGAGACTCCATCTCAGAAAATAAATAAATAAATAAAAGGATGCTATTGAAGTAGCAAACATTAAGAAGTGATAGACTTCAGCTTTTAAAATGAATTCGTAACTTAAGTCAGGAGATTGAATTTCATTCCTTTTGAACAACGACAATTAAGACTTTGTCTGTTTTACAAATAGTGAAATTTCACCTGTTAAATTTGTCAGTATAATCACAAAAAACTATCAATTTTCATGCATGAATGCTCAAATTGAAAAGCTAGTGCTTTAGCATGGACTTATTGCAGTTTAGAGGTGGAAAGAATATGTATAGAAATAAATTGCATGCATGATATGTGCTGATAGGAAAATTTCAATTAACGTTAATAGAGGCTGTTTATCTTATTTCACACAAACAGTTTCAGCTGGGTATTTTTCTTTAGTAAATTACATTGACTTTTTTTTTTTTCCCCAAAGAAATTGCCTTTAGTGAATTCTTATTACCATTTTATTTTGGGTCCTATGTGTCTATGTACAGAAACCCTCAACTTATTACAAATATGTTAGAGTCAAAAACTAATCCTAAATCTGTAGACCCAAAGTGTATTTGTCGTTACCATCTGTTGGTAGCAGGCTGAGTCTTTTTGCCATGATTTTAACTGTATTCCAATCAATGAAAAATCATTCTTTTGAAGATTTTTATATAAAGGGGTATCTATGTTTTATGTCTCCTGTAAAAAGATCTGGTGTTGAAAAATAAAAGGCAAATATACTTCTCTTGGGTATATAAAGATCCTCTGGTGACACTTGGTGATGGTTACACATAGGTAGCATAGGCTTCTGAACATGAGCTTGGGAGTCAGAAGGACGTGGGTTTGAATTCTCTCTATCTCTTGTTTGACTATGGGCAGGTTGTTCAGTCTTCAGTCTCGATTTCCTCAGACTATAAAATGGAAAAAATAACTCCAACCTCAGAAGATTATTGTTATATTTTAATGAGAAAATATATGTAATAGGCACAATACAGTAACAACCTAATAGATTTGCAGTAACCCTACAAGGACCATTTTTATCCACATTTTCTAAATGAAGGCCCTTTTAAAGCACTGCAGCTCATATAACTTATTCCAAAATTGTCCAGATGTTAGCACCAGGCACCCTCTAGATACAAACATCACTTGTAGTTCGTATTACAAGTTAATCACGATGTATTTGTACTCTAAAAATTGTATCTACTCTTCAACCATGAAATCAAATGATTTGTTTTTATAAGGGTCTTTTTTTTTAGTCTTTTTATCATTCCATTTTTTCTTTTTTTTTAAATTACTTCCATAAGTTTTTGAGGACCAGGTGGTATTTGGTTACATGAGTAAGTTTTTTAGTGGTGATTTGTGAGATTTTGGTGCACCCATCACTCGAGCATTATACCTGAACCAAATTTGTAGTCTTTTATCCCTCATCCCCTCCCACCCTTTCCTCCAAGTCCCCAAAGTCCACTGTATCATTCTTATGCCTTTTGCATCCTCATAGCTTAGCTCCCACTTGTGAGAACATACGATGTTTTCCATTCCTGAGTTACTTCACTTAGAATAATAGTCTCCAAGTCCATCCATGTTGGTGTGAATGCCATTAATTCATTCCTTTTTATGCCTGGGTGGTATTCCATTCTATATATTTATATCACAGTTTTTTTATCCACTCGTTGATTGATGGGCATTTGAGCTAGTTCCATACTTTTGCAACTGCGAATTGTGCTGCTGTAAACATACGTGTGCAAGTACCTTTTGTGTGTAATGACCTCTTTTCCTCTGGGTAGCTATCCAGTAGTGGGATTGCAGGGTCAGATGGTAGTTCTACTTTTAGTTCTTTAAGGAATCTCTACACTGTTTTCCATAGTGGCTGTACTAGTTTACATTCTACAAGTGTCATTTTTAAAGTCTGAAATGGTAACCTTGGAGGAAAGACATGAAAAAAAAGCTTAACTCCTCAAAGTATTCTAAAAGTGGTTTCAGGAGTTATTAATTCCAGTTCCTTACTTTTCCTAACACTCATCCCCTGACTTTTAATTGTCACATTTTTTAAAATCCCTACCTTTTGTTGAGCTACCCAATTGTATGACATGTATGTTTGCATTATTTTTCAGAAGAAATGTCTTGAGAAATGGTACAATCTGTGAAACACTGTTTTCAACAATAGCTATGTTAAGAAATTAATTTCAATTGACTTTTTAAACTTGTATTTAAAATGCTTTCAGAGACTCTAAGTGAAGTTTCTCCTTGAAAAAAATCGTTAATTGGCCAGTTTTTCTTGGCAAAGTTTAGAAGAAGTTTAAAATTCATTTACTATGTTTCTCTAAAAACATTACTTTTGGAACACTATCCTGTTGTCACCTATTCTGCATGATATTAAATGTAAAATTGCCAGCATTTTTGTCATTTCTCAGCATGAAATTGGTGGAAACATAAATCAGAACTTATTTTGATACTGCTATTTAGCATTCATATAGCAAATATATTTGCAAATAATTTCTTAAAATTTTAAATAATATAGTTATATTTCACATATTAAGGAAAATACAAATGCAAAGCATCTCTAATTTTTTATAAAAAGTTTTTTTTGGAACTAAGTAGACTTTGATTCATATTGTAATAATCTTATTGATATTGTTTTAGTCAGTTTCTTCTACAAATTACTTTTTTTTTTTTGATTGGAGACAGAGTCTCACTGTGTTGCCCAGGCTGGAGTGCAGTGCCACACAGTCTCGGCTAACTACAACCTCCATTTCCTGGGTTCAAACGATTCTCGAGCCTCAGCCCCCTGAGTAGCTTGACCTCCCAAAGTGCTGGGATTTCAGGTGGGAGCCACTGAACCCAGCCCATCTACAAATTCATAAAATGTCTGATAAATACTTGGTGCTTTGTAAAGACTGTTGAATGATTAAATGGATAAATGGACTATGTTTTTTAAATCTGCTTTTTCAAGATACTAGGTGAATAGGAGTATAATTTCTAAATGTGATTTATTAAGATTACGTGTATGCTCCTCAGGTAGTCATCTTCACTGTCAGCACATGGATCTATAATCTAAGTTTTAGTAAGTCACTCCCCCCACCCTGTACCACCAGCTTCTCCCTTGCTTCACCCACATTGTTGTGAGCTTTGGTAATCTAAGGGGCAGTTTAGCGTGTGATAAACAGAAGTACATTAATACGTAATGTGTTTTCTTCCAGAAGAAATTAAAGTCAGTAATTTTACAGTATGGAAGAAAGTGGGCAACTGTTTAAAGAATTCTATATTAAGAACATAAATTGTTTAGTTGACAAATTGTAGGGATTTCTTCAACTTGAAGAAAATGGAAAATATATTATTTTTAGAAATGCATAATAGTTGTGTTCTCTTGAAAATACATTTTGTCTAAAGAACCAGTGATTCAGCTTTGGACACAGGTACCAAAATGATTTTAAGCATTAGCACTTGAGTACAAAGTACATGTGAAAGCACTTCCTCTGTTTTTTCTGGGCAGAGCACCAGATACAGAACTATCAAATCTAGAATTTTCTTCAAATATACTTTCACCTGAGCCTATTTCCTATCTTATAAAATACAATATAAAAGTATACCTTTATTATTACCTTTAACTGGCTATTTTTTGTAAGATGTACATTTAAAATGTTCAAATAATACTCAGCTGCTTTGCAGGTTATTTGAGTGATTCTCACATGAGCATCATAACTCTAAAACCATATGTTCTATCCTGATACAGCTGGTGGGAGGGGGTCAGATAGTTGCATCACTTACCTTTAGCTATGATTAGTGCCTGGTTTTGACTGACTTTCACCTTTAACTCTTCTCTCTCCCAAACCACCTTCTGCCAAATTGATTATTCATTAATAAAGAACAGTGAGAAGAGAGGTATTTTCTTTGACTCCTACAGTTTGTTTCTAAGCTGTCCATCAAACATTCTAATTTTCCTTGTTAAATATTCACGTGTTTTCCAGTATTTGCTACTGAAGGAGGATGGGAAAGTAGGTTCAAATTGGTAATAACAGGCATAGAAGCTGAGTTTCAAAAATTTCCTAAAATTAGTATGTCTAACAGATCTAAAAATCTACTGGTTGAGATTTAGTGAAAAACACATCCAGCAATAAGTACTAACAATAGAATGATAAAGAGATGTAGCTACTGTCTTGTTACCTGCTGTTCTGCTTCCCAAACACAATCCACATTTTCTTGAAAGCCGTTTGAGATTATGTAAATATAACCATTCTTATGTACGCTAAAGATGGTAGAATCTAAACCAACAAAAAGCCTACACATAACAGTTTAACAATGAGGATATGGTGCACCTTCTGTCCTTATAATATGCAAATTAAGTGCATTTGTATCTCCAGTAAAAGCTGTGGCTGTGTAGTGATGAATAAGAACTTTAAACACACATGACACCTCGTTAAAATGTAATTTTCACATCATATATCTGAGCCCTTTACTATGACAGCTGAGTAATGTGAGTGCTGGGCAGAGAATCCTGAACATTTTGAAACTGCCACGTGTTTAATAGGTAGCTGAATCTGCTTCCTGAATGGTTTAGTTAAATATGGTGCACCCTCGTCAGAAAATGGAGCCTAAAAGTAGTAGGATCTTAAATCAAACTTGTCCTCAGCCTAGGGTATGATTCCTTCACAGTTCCACTTGAGATACCACATTGTCTCTAAAGTTTAATTTACATCTATCTTAGTAGCTGAGTGAACTTTACAAAAAGGAAAAAATAGTCAGCAACTTGTTGCTAATTTCAGCCCTATCTGTATTTTTATGCATCAGCTGTTTTCTCTGTCTGCAGAGGAGCCCCTTCTTTTTCTTTCCAGTGCTGCTTCTTTGCTTGCAGTGACAGCTGCTGCCTGAAGGACATTGCTGCTGCTGATTTTTCAGGGAGCACAGCCAAAGCTTGTGAAATTTGCAAGAGCTATTCCATTGCCACTTCACAGCAGCTGAATTTTCTCTTACGCTTTTTTTTAAACCTTTCCTGTATTTTTATGTCTTCATAATTGAGGGTAAAACTTCCCAGAATGACATCTGCCTTTCAGGCTCTGAGTAAAAGAATCACAGTCCTGTACAAAGCAAAGCTGAACTTAACTATACAGCTGAACCTAGTGTTTGTTATTCATCTGACTAGGTGACCTTCCAAATGGATGAGAGAAGAGGCAAGGAATAAAAAGGTTCACAAACGCTCTAACGTTAGTTGTGTTTCTACAGAATGATGTCCCTGATAAATGTATAATTGTTAGACATGAAATCAAAATCATTTATATGTGTATTTCACAGTAATAAAGAAAGATGACTTATTTGTGAATAAGCTTCCCACTCACACCAGCTGTCCTTTCTGTAGCCATTTCACTGCTCATTAGCATGTCCACCAGAGGGCAGGCAGGTGGAACTGGAATAGTGTTGTTGCTCTTCATTGGCACGTCTTTTAAGGGTTGGTAACAGTGCCAAAAGTAATGATTATCTAGGGGTTCCACCGTAAGAATCCAATGCTTCTACCCATCTTAGCACAGATAAGTGAGAGTTGACTCTATTACGTAATAGCTGTTAGAATAGCCAAGTCAGACATATGCTTCACTTCTCTGTTTTTAACCTTTTATTATTATTATTCTTACTCTTCTTCTTCTTATTATTATTATTTTTTGAGATGGAGTCTCACTCTGTTGCCCAGGCTGGAGTGCACTGGAGCGATCTCGGCTCACTGCAAGCTCCGCCTCCCGGGTTCACACTATTCTCCTGCCTCAGCCTCCCGAGTAGCTGGGACTACAGGCGCCCGCCACCACGCCCGGCTAATTTTTTTTGTATTTTTAGTAGAGACGGGGCTTCACCATGTTAGACAGGATGGTCTCTATATCCTGACCTCATGATCCACCCATCTCGGCCTCCCAAAGTGCTGGGATTACAGGCGTGAGACACCGCACCCGGCCTGTTTTTAGCATTTTTAAGTAGTGTTCAAATACCTTGGACTAGGCTTGACAGGCAATAGTATGAGTTTTTAAGCACAAAGGTATTTCCTTCTTAATAACTACTTTACCACTAGAAAGCTAAATTATCGGATAATAATGATTAATGACAAAATAATTCAAGATACGTAAATGACAGGTAAAATCTACTATACTATATAATTTTACAAGATGAGGTATGTTAACTGATTTCCCTGAAAACAAATGGAGAACACTTCATCTTATTTACTTAAAAAGAATTCTGGCTGCTTTTCATTATACCTTTCAGTAGTACAAATCAATGGCCAAACTTTTTGCATCTATTTATACTAGCGAAGATACAAATCAAAATTAGCCAGTGCTTTCTATATAAAATGCCTTGTGACTGCAATATTTTAGCCTTAAATTTTTTTTTTTTTCAATAATGTTAGAAAAAACAATTCTGGCTGGGCTCGGTGGCTCATGCCTGTAATTCCAGCACTTTGGGAAGCCAAGGCAGGCGGATCACAAGGTTAGAAGATCTAGACCATCCTGGCTAACATGGCGAAACCCCGTCTCTATTAAAAATACGAAAAATTAGCTGGGAGTGGTGGTGGGTGCCTGTAGTCCTAGCTACTCAGGAAGCTGTGGCAGGAGAATGGTGTGAACCCAGGAGGCGGAGCTTGCAGTGAGCAGAGATCAGATCGTGCCACTGCACTCCAGCCTGGGTGACAGAGCAAGACTCCATCTCAAAAAAAAAAAAAAAAAAAAAAGAAAAGAGAAAACAATTCTGCCAAAAAACATACAGGAGTAAGTGAAGAGTTCGGTATTTGTTGACATTAAGATTTATCTGAAAATTATCTCTAATGCTAGTTATTTTTTTAAGTGAGAATGTCTTTGAAGAAACTTTTGCCTTTCAAAACAAGAAAATAGTACTATATTTAGAAACACACTACTCATTAAATGATGAAATAGATTATTTTTAAAACATGGCAAATCTTTCAATATCTACGATAATTTGGCTGTTAGCATTCATATTTAAATAGTAAGTGAAAGTTAAGACTTCTGTATTTTATGAGAAGCCCACTGAGGGCCATGGGTAGTTTGTGGTGAGGTAAAGTGGAATTGAAAGAATTAAGAAAAAGACAGGGGCTGGAGCCAAGATGGCCGAATAGGAACAGCTCCGCTCTACAGCTCCCAGCGTGAGTGACGCAGAAAACGGGTGATTTCTGCATTTCCATCTGAGGTACCGGGTTCATCTCACTAGGGAGTGCCAGACAGTGGGCGCAGGACAGTGGGTGCAGCACACCGTGTGCGAGCCGAAGCAGGGCGACGCATTGCCTCACTCGGGAAGTGCAAGGGGTCAGGGACTTCCCTTTCCTAGTCAAAGAAAGGGGTTACAGACAGCACCTGGAAAATCAGGTCACTCCCACCCCCATACTGAGCTTTTCCGATGGGCTTAAAAAACGGCACACCAGGAGATTATATCCCGCACCTGGCTCGGAGGGTCCTAGGCCCATGGAGTCTCGCTGATTGCTAGCACAACAGTCTGAGATCAAACTGCAAGGCAGCAGCGAGGCTGGGGGAGGGGCACCCACCATTGCCCAGGCTAGCTTAGGTAAACAAAGCAGCAGGGAAACTCGAACTGGGAGGAGCCCAACACAGCTCAAGGAGGCCTGCCTGCCTCTGTAGACTCCACCTCTGGGGGCAGGACACAGACAAACAAAAAGACAGCAGTAACCTCTGCATACTTAAGTGTCCCTGTTTAAGAGCTTTGAAGAGAGCAGTGGTTCACCCAGCACGCAGCTGGAGATCTGAGAACGGGCAGACTGCCTCCTCAAGTGGGTCCCTGACCCCTGACCCCCGAGCAGCCTAACTGGGAGGCACCCCCCAGTAGGGGCAGACTGACACCTCACACCGCCGGGTACTCCTCTGAGACAAAAATTCCAGAGGAGCTATCAGGCAGCAGCGTTTGTGCTTCACAAAAATCCGCTGTTCTGCAGCCACCGCTGCTGGTACCCAGGCAAACAGGGTCTGGAGTGGACTTCTAGAAAACTCCAACAGACCTGCAGCTGAGGGTCCTATCTGTTAGAAGGAAAACTAACAAACAGAAAGGACATCCACACCAAAAAACCATCTGTACATCACCATCATCAAAGACCAAAAGTAGATAAAACCACAAAGATGGGGAAAAAACAGAGCAGAAAAACTGGAAACTCTAAAAAGCAGAGCACCTCTCCCCCTCCAAAGGAATGCAGCTCCTCACCAGCAACGGAACAAAGCTGGACAGAGAATGACTTTGATGAGTTGAGAGAAGAAGCCTTCAGACGATCAAACTACTCCGAGCTACAGGAGGAAATTAAAACCAAAGGCAAAGAAGTTGAAAACTTTGAAAAAAATTTAGGCGAGTGTATAACTAGAATAACCAACACAGAGAAGTGCTTAAAGGAGCTGATGGAGCTGAGAACCAAGACTCGAGAACTATGTGAAGAATGCAGAAGCCTCAGGAGCCAATGCGATCAACTGGAATAAAGGGTATCAGTGATGGAAGATGAAATGAATGAACTGAAGCGAGAAGGGAAGTTTAGAGAAAAAAGAATAAAAAGAAACAAACTCCAAGAAAAATGGGACTATGTGAAAAGACCAAATCTACGTCTGATTGGTGTACCTGAAAGTGATGGGGAGAATGGAACCAAGTTGGAAAACACTCTGCAGGATATTATCCAGGAGAACTTCCCCAATCTAGCAAGGCAGGCCAACATTCAGACTCAGGAAATACAGAGAATGCCACAAAGATACTCCTCGAGAAGAGCAACTCCAAGACACATAATTGTCAGATTCACCAAAGTTGAAATGAAGGAAAAAATGTTAAGGGCAGCCAGAAAGAAAGGCAGGGTTACCCACAAAGGGAAGCCCATCAGACTAACAGCTGATCTCTCGGCAGAAACTCTACAAGCCAGAAGACAGTGGGGGCCAATATTCAACATTCTTAAAGAAAAGAATTTTCAACCCAGAATTTCATATCCAGCCAAACTAAGCTTCATAAGTGAAGGAGAAATAAAATACTTTACAAACAAGCAAATGCTGAGAGATTTTGTCACCACCAGGGCTTCCCTAAAAGAGCTCCTGAAGGAAGCACTAAACATGGAAAGGAACAACTGGTACCAGCCACTGCAAAATCATGCCAAATTGTAAAGACCATCGAGGCTAGGAATAAACTGCATCAACTCACGAGCAAAATAACCAGCTAACATCATAATGACAGGATCAAATTCACACATAACAATATTAACTTTAAATGTAAATGGACTAAATGCTCCCATTAAAAGACACAGACTGGCAAATTGGATAAAGAGTCAAGACCCATCAGTGTGCTGTATTCAGGAAACTCATCGCACATGCAGACACACAAAAGCTCAAAATAAAAGGATGGAGGAAGATCTACCAAACAAATGGAAAACAAAAAAAGGCAGGGGTTGCAATCCTAGTCTCTGATAAAACAGACTTTAAACCAACAAAGATCAAAGAGACAAAGAAGGCCATTAAATAATAGTAAAGAGATCAATTCAACAAGAAGAGCTAACTATCCTAAATATATATGCACCCAACACAGGAGCACCCAGACTCATAAAGCAAGTCCTGAGTGACCTACAAAGAGACTTATACTCCCACATATTAATAATGGGAGACTTTAACACCCCACTGTCAATATTAGACAGATCAACAAGACAGAAAGTTAAAAAGGATACCCAGGAATTGAAGTCAGCTCTGCACCAAGCGGACCTAATACCCATCTACAGAACTCTCCACCCCAAATCAACAGAATATACATTTTTTTCAGCACAAAACCACACCTATTCCAAAACTGACCACATAGTTGGAAGTAAAGCACTCCTCAGCAAATGTAAAAGAACAGAAATTATAACAAACTCTCTCTGAGACCACAGTGCAATCAAACTAGAACTCAGGATTAAGAAACTCACTCAAAACCACTCAACTACATGGAAACTGAACAACCTGCTCCTGAATGACTACTGGGTACATAACGAAATGAAGGCAGAAATAAAGATGTTCTTTGAAACCAACAAGAACAAAGAAACAACATACCAGAATCTCTGGGACATATTCAAAGCAGTGTGTAAAGGGAAATTTATAGCACTAAATGTCCACAAGAGAAAGCAGGAAAGATCCAAAATTGACACCCTAACATCACAATTAAAAGAACTAGAAAAGCAAGAGCAAACACATTCAAAAGCTAGCAGAAGGCAAGAAATAACTAAGATCAGAGCAGAACTGAAGGAAATAGAGACACAAAAAACCCTTCAAAAAATTAATGAATCCAGGAGCTGGTTTTTTGAAAGGATCAACAAAATTGATAGACTGCCAGCAAGACTAATAAAGAAGAAAAGAGAGAATGATCAAATAGATGCAATAAAAAATGATAAAGGGGATATCACTGCCGATCTCACAGAAATACAAACTACCATCAGAGAATACTGCAAACACCTCTATGCAAATAAACTAGAAAATGTAGAAGAAATGGATAAATTCCTCGACACATACACCCTTCCAAGACTAAACCAGGAAGAAGTTGAATCTCTGAATAGACCAATAACAGGCTCTGAAATTGTGGCAATAATCAATAGCTTACCAACCAAAAAGAGTCCAGGACCAGATGGATTCACAGCTGAATTCTACCAGAGGTACAAGGAGGAACTGGTACCATTCCTTCTGAAACTATTCCAATCAATAGAAAAAGAGGGAATCCTCCCTAACTCATTTTATGAGGCCAGCATCATCCTGAACCAAAGCCTGGCAGAGACACAACCAAAAAAGAGAATTTTAGACCAATATCTTTGATGAACATTGATGCAAAAATCCTCAATAAAATACTGGCAAACCAAATCCAGCGGCACATCAAAAAGCTTATCCACCATGATCAAGTGGGCTTCATCCCTGGGATGCAAGGCTGGTTCAATATATGCAAATCAATAAATGTAATCCAGCATATAAACAGAACCAAAGACAAAAACCACATGATTATCTCAATAGATGCAGAAAAGGCCTTTGACAAAATTCAACAACCCTTCATGCTAAAAACTCTCAATAAATTAGGTATTGATGGGACGTATCTCAAAATAATAAGAGCTATCTATGACAAACCCACAGCCAATATCATACTGAATGGGCAAAAACTGGAAGCATTCCCTTTGAAAACTGGCACAAGACAGGGATGCCCTCTCTCACCACTCCTACTCAACATAGTGTTGGAAGTTCTGGTCAGGGCAATCAAGCAGGAGAAGGAAATAAAGGGTATTCAATTAGGAAAAGAGGAAGTGAAATTGTCCCTGTTTGCAGATGACATGATTGTATATATAGGAAACCCCATTGTCTCAGCCCAAAATCTCCTTAAGCTGATAAGCAACTTCAGCAAAGTCTCAGGATACAAAATCAATGTACAAAAATCACAAGCATTCTTATACACCAATAACAGACAAACAGAGAGCCAAATCATGAGTGAACTCCCATTCACAATTGCTTCAAAGAGAATAAAATACCTAGGAATCCAACTTACAAGGGATGTGAAGGACCTCTTCAAGGAGAACTACAAACCACTGCTCAATGAAATAAAAGAGAATACAATCAAATGGAAGAACATTCCATGCTCATGGGTAGGAAGAATCAATATCATGAAAATGACCACACTGCCCAAGGTAATTTATAGATTCAATGCTATCCCCATCAAGCTACCAATGACTTTCTCCACAGAACTGGAAAAAAACTACTTTAAAGTTCATATGGAACCAAAAAAGAGCCTGCATTCCCAAGTCAATCCTAAGCCAAAAGAACAAAGCTGGAGGCATCACGCTACCTGACTTCAAACTATACTACAAGGCTACAGTAACCAAAACAGCATGGTACTGGTACCAAAACAGAGATATAGATCAATGGAACAGATCAGAGCCCTCAGAAATAACGCTGCATATCTACAACTATCTGATCTTTGACAAACCTCAGAAAAACAAGCAACGGGTAAAGGATTCCCTATTTAATAAATGGTGTTGGGAAAACTGGCTAGCCATATGTAGAAAGCTGAAACTGGATCACTTCCTTACACCTTATACAAAAATTAATTCAAGGTGGATTAAAGACTTAAATGTTAGACCTAAAATCATAAAAACCCTAGAAGAAAACCTAGGCATTACCATTCAGGACATAGGCATGGGCAAGGACTTCATGTCTAAAACACCAAAAGCAATGGCAACAAAAGCCAAAATTGACAAATGGGATCTAATTAAACTAAAGAGCTTCTGCACAGCAAAAGAAACTACCATCAGAGTGAACAGGCAACCTACAAAATGGGAGAAAATTTTCGCAACCTACTCATCTGACAAAGGGCTAATATCCAGAATCTACAATGAACTCAAACAAATTTACAAGAAAAAACAAACAACCCCATCAAAAAGTGGGCAAAGGACATGAACAGACACTTCTCAAAAGAAGACATTTATGCTGCCAAAAAACACATGAAAAAATGCTCACCATCACTGGCCCTCACAGAAATGCAAATCAAAACCGCAATGAGATACCATCTCACACCAGTTAGAATGGCAATCATTAAAAAGTCAGGAAACAACAGATGCTGGAGAGGATGTGGAGAAATAGGAACACTTTTACACTGTTGGTGGGACTGTAAACTAGTTCAACCATCGTGGAAGTCAGTGTGGCGATTCCTCAGGGATCTAGAACTAGAAATACCAATTGACCCAGGCATCCCATTACTGGGTATATACCCAAAGGACTATAAATCATGCTGCTGTAAAGACACATGCACACATATGTTTATTGTGGCACTATGCACAATAGCAAAGACTTGGAACCAACCAAATATCCAACAATGATAGACTGGATTAAGAAAATGTGGCACATATACACCGTGGAATACTATGCAACCATAAAAAATGATGAGTTCATGTCCTTTGTAGGGACATGGATGAAATTGGAAATCATCATTCTCAGTAAACTATCACAAGAACAAAAAACCAAACACTGCATATTCTCATTCATAGGTGGGAATTGAACAATGAGAACACATGGACACAGGAAGGAGAACATCACACTCTCGGGACTGTTGTAGGGTGGGGGGTGGAGGGAGGGATAGCTTTAGGAGATATACCTAATGCTAAATGACGAGTTAATGGGTGCAGTACACCAGCATGGCACATGTATACATATGTAACTAACCTGCACATTGTACACATGTACCCTAAAACTTAAAGTATAATAATAATAAAATAAAAATAAGAATAAAAATAAAGAAAAAGACAAAAATGAAAAATGGAATTCAGGCACACAGATCTGCTGTGAGATGTAGAAGCAGTAGTTGAAATTGGATTTAAGTCAGAAGATGAATGATTCATTGATTGATTCTTTTTTTATTCCTTTCTTTCCTTCAGACAGGTACTATGTCTTTAAGTGGAGCTGAACCGTGCCACTATTCTATGTTCTGTGGTTGTTACAAGAAAGAACAAGGCAGGCATTGGCCCTGTCTTCATGAACTTACAGTCTATTGAAAACAAATTGAGAAGAAAGAAAAAAGGGGATGGTTAAAAAAAAAAAAAAAAAAAAAAAAAGGCAGTATTCCCTACTATTTTTTAGGTGTTTGCTGGCCATTTACAAAGATTATCAGATGTAAGTCTATCAATAATCATGCAAAGGCAGCATCATACTGATTACCAGATGAAGAAATTGAGCATCAGGGAGTTTTAATAATTAAAATGTCACATACGTAGTCCAGAGCTACATTTAGAATCCTCGTCTGCCTGACTTTCTGCTTTGTCACATTGCCTCCATCAGGGATTTAAAAGAATACAGGTGCCACAACTGAAAAACAAGGTAAGGAAAAGCAGGATGGACATATATTAGAACTGAAGTCGGCCGGGCGCGGTGGCTCACGCCTGTAATCCCAGCACTTTGGGAGGCCGAGGCGGGCGGATCACGAGGTCAGGAGATCGAGACCATCCCGGCTAAAACGGTGAAACCCCGTCTCTACTAAAAATACAAAATTTAGCCGGGCGTAGTGGCGGGCGCCTGTAGTCCCAGCTACTTGGGAGGCTGAGGCAGGAGAATGGCGTGAACCCGGGAGGCGGAGCTTGCAGTGAGCCGAGATCCCGCCACTGCACTCCAGCCTGGGCGACAGAGCGAGACTCCGTCTCAAAAAAGAAAAAAAAAAAAAAAAGTCAAAGCAGATAAGCTAAAGGAGCAAATAAATGCAAGGCAACAAGGACATGTGAATCTTGAAGTGGAATCTGGGCAAGCAAACAGTAACCAGTGTTGTAGAGCAGGATTCCTCCGTAGCGGTCTGTGGCCTGTTAGGAGCAGGGCCATACAGCAGAAGTTGAGCCGCAGATGTTGAGCAGCAGGTGAGCGAGCATTACTGCCTGAGCTCCGCCTCCTGTCAGATCAACAGTGGCATTAGATTCTCATAGGAGTGAGAACCCTATAGTGAAGTGTATATGCAAGGGATCTAGATTATGTGCTCCTTAATGATAATCTAACTAATGCCTGATGATCTGAGATGAAACAGTTTCATCCCAAAACCTTCCCCTCAAATTCCTGAGTTAAGAATTTGCTTTAGTTTATCAAATCAGAGCCTGAAATGGTAATTAATTTTAACCTATTATTCTAAATGAAAATAAGGTATGACTTTTCAATAAATAAAATCTGAACTATGTTATTGCCCCTTATTCACTGGTTGACTAAAATCCATAATAAGTTATTATTATTTCGTTTGAGATTACATATTTAACCCTTAAAAACAAACACTATTAGGTACAGAGAAGGGAACTAAGGCTCAGAGATATAAAGTCTCCTGCCCAGAGGAACCCTTTTCGTAAGTGTAGATTTGGGCCCAATTCTGAATTACAAAGCTGAAATACTTTGTGCTTTCAGTAGAAAAAAGTATATAATGCAGACAAGCATACAGAAAATAGTGATATAGTGGTGTGTGGATTGCGGTATGTGTGTGCATTTAGACAAATTTGAAAAAACGATTTAATTATTGGAGGATTAGTAAGATTAGTTAGAAACTTTTGCAGAGATTCTGAACAATTTGAAAGACTAGAGATTTGGAGACTGAATATGTATTAGATTTAACTCTAGCATACATTATTTGCATGTTCTTAATTTTGATGTAAACTGGACATTCAGACGTATTGCTAACAACACTCTCATGCTTATATCTATGAGCAGGATTGACAAAATGGTGGAAATGGTGAAAAGTAGAATGAAGAAAGGAAAGGAGAAATAAAAGAGAAATACATTTTTTATTTGAAAATAAATGAACAAGTAATGGATGGGCTCACTTTCTTCTAAAGAAAGTGATGAAAGAACGGCATTTTCTTATTTTAAAAAGTTATTTCCCAGGATTGATTTAACTGACCTTGGGTAGTTAACAATATGATTAAGGACAAAGTGAGGAGTGCTTATATACTGCTGGTTGGAATATAAAATGTTATAACCACTTGGAGAGCAATTTGTCCATACTTACCTCGGGAAGAAAAGTATTTTGTTCCTGCTCTTATAGATTCTCAGCTTGGGCTCTGTAACCAAAAACAGATTAACAAGAATAAAGAATAGAAATTTTTGCTTTTATTTAATATAAGTTTTGTATAACATAGGCTTCCTAAGGAAATAAAGACCCCCAAAGTGATTAAACTTCAGTGCTTTTACAATAGGCTTGGAAAGCCTATTATATTGCCTATTACTAGCCTGGAAAGCCTATTATATTGCCTATTATTATATTGCCTAATAAGCATATTATTATGGAAAACCATGGAAAAATGTGATAGGACAAAGGGGTATGAGTTAAAAGCAGTAGACTGGAGAAATGTTGGCAAGTTCTGTTCATTCAGATTTCTCTGTGTTCCTTCATCCTCAGAGATAAGAATGCTCCTTTCCTCTGGGTATTTGGAGAGTACTTCTTACATGATGGTCTTATGTTCTGCTTCAGGGGACTGTCAGAGGTATTTTCCTGCACTAGTGGTTTCTCTTGAGGTTATAATATTCAGTATGCTGGCTGGGCACAGAGGCTCACAACCTGTAATGCCAGCACTTTGGGAGGCTGAGGTAGGTGGATTGCTTGAGCCCAGGAGTTCAAGTCCAGCCTGGACAACATGGTGAGACCTCGTTTCTACAAAAAAATGCAAAAATTACCAGAGCATGCTGGCATTCACCTGTAGTCCTAGCTACTCAGGAGACTGAGGTGGGAGGATCACGTGAGCCTGGGAGGTGGAGATTGCAGTGAGCCAAGATTGCTGTACTGCACTCCAGCCTGGGTGACTGAGCAAGATCCTGTATCAAAAATATATATGTATTCAGCATGCCAAGGTGCCATATTTGGGGGTATTGTGTACTGAACCTATTATTACCCCAACTGAAACTTCCCCCAGGAAGTTTTACAGTCCAAAAACTGAGTTGGTAGATTGTCCCATATCCCATTGAAATAGTCTGTCAGTCCTAGGAAGAGGATAGTTCAGTTAAATAATTGTATCTCATTTCGGGAGACACCATAAAGGTAGAAATAGGGAGCTCCCCTCCCCGAACTCCTCTAGATGGTATGAACAATCAAGCATTTAGTAAGGCACATTTCTGTGAAAAAAAAAAAAAAAAACAAAGATGAAAAAGATAACTGGTTAGAACAAACTGTAAATTCTGTTTTTGATTCCAGAAGGCAGTCACTCAGGATTTCAGGACATTTGGCTCAAAGTGTCTTTAGATGATGGCATGAGAATGGAAGTAGCCATTCAATAAATTTCCTGGCTTGTAGTCTGAATGCCTCTGGTGATGAAAGAGTTACGGTTACTTCTCAGAGCATAGTATGGAAGTTTCCAGTCTCAATGTCCAGGGCTTCTTTAGATATTCCTAACAAGAACCTGAGCAGTAAGGTTTTAACCCTCAGTGGTAACAACTTAAGAGGGTGAGAGAAAAACTGGAAACATTAATTTGAAGAGTTATAATCAGGTATTGGAGGATGCTAGAATTGAGCATGATCTAGTCTACTTTACAGAGACATAACAAAGTTTCAAAGACAGAGAACAGGATTAGATTCTATGTTTGAAATAATATTGGAATAATTTTATTCTCTATAGTTACTTCCAATTCTATCAAAGTAAGACTAATTTGATAGCAAAATAAGTCCAACCCCATTAAACTTTTCCTCATTATTTACATTAGTGCAGCAAGAATGTACTTGACCACATAGGTCCTTTTTTGAATTTGCTTCCCTGGAACTTATGATAAGGAATCTCAGATTAGACTTTTAAAAGCGCCTGGAGGCTAGGATACCAAGCCAATGGACTTGCCATCAGTCTTTGCCTGTGGCACCTATAGATTTGGGTGAAATCCACTCTTCCCAAGATACTCAATGTATTTGGAGGTTCCTGAGCCTGCCGGGAAGTGACCTTCCTTATTCACATGTAAGGCTGAGAATTCTGTAAGCCAGGTCCAAGGCCAGTTTCGAAGGGTCTTTGTAATCATTGGCCCCATGAAATCAAATTTAGTTCCTTAAAACTTTCTAGTCATATCTGATTCTATACATATTATTTTCAAATATGACCTTCCAGTCAAAGGCTTAGCAATATAACCAATGTTTCTAGTTATTTTCTGTTATAAAAAGTACATATTCTTATTGAACTTATTCATATATTTATATTGCCTTGAAAATAAGAATAATCAACAATAGTTTCCAAATCTAGAGAGATCAGGCAGAGAAAACAAATAAATATTTTATTTTTCTTTATAGTTTCCCAGATTGTTGTAAGGTATAGACAGCTTGAGAGAAAAAGAGAAGAAGTTTTCTTTAATTTGAAAAACAAAATATTAAAGAACCAGCAATATCTCAATCAAAAAAGTAATTTAAAAATTATAATATTCCTTATGAGTTCATTTAGTTCCATGTAATTAATTCTTTTTATGCTTGATTGTAACCACCCAATGGGTTCACCTTGCCCACTGCCTAGAAAGATCTGAGTGTATATATATATATTTATTTATTATTATTATACTTTAAGTTCTAGGGTACATGTGCACAATGTGCAGGTTAGTTACATATGTATACATGTGCCATGTTGGTGCGCTGCACCCATTAACTCCTCATTTAACCTTAGGTATATCTCCTAATGCTATCCTTCCCCCCTCCCCCCACACCAAAATAGGCCCAGGTGTGTGATGTTCCCCTTCCTGTGTCCATGTGTTCTCATTGTTCAATTCCCACCTATGAGTGAGAATATGCGGTGTTTGTTTTTTTATTCTTGCGATAGTTTGCTGAGAATGATGGTTACCAGCTTCATGCATGTCCCTACAAAGGACATGAACTCATCATTTTTTATGGCTGCATAGTATTCCATGGTGTATATGTGCCACATTTTCTTAATCCAGTCTATCATTGTTGGACATTTGGTTGGTTCCAAGTCTTTGCTATTGTGAATAGTGCTGCAATAAACATATGTGTGCATGTGTCTTTACAGCAGCATGATTTATAATCTTTTGGGTATATACCCAGTAATGGGATGGCTGGGTCAAATGGTATTTCTAGTTCTAGATCCCTGAGGAATCGCCACACTGACTTCCACAATGGTTGAACTAGTTTACAGTCCCACCAACAGTGTAAAAGTGTTCCTATTTCTCTACATCCTCTCCAGCACCTGTTGTTTCCTGACTTTTTAATGATCACCATTCTAACTGGTGTGAGATGGTATCTCACTGTGGTTTTGATTTGCATTTCTCTGATGGCCAGTGATGATGAGCATTTTTTCATGTGTCTTTCGGCTACATAAATGTCTTCTTTTGAGAAGTGTCTGTTCATATCCTTCGCCCACTTTTTGATGGGGTTGTTTGTTTTTTTCTTGTAAATTTGTTTCAGTTCATTGTAGATTCTGGATATTAGCCCTTTGTCAGATGAGTAGATTGCAAAAATTTTCTCCCGTTCTGTAGGTTGCCTGTTCACTCTGATGGTAGTTTATTTTGCTGTGCAGAAGCTCTTTAGTTTAATTAGATCCCATTTGTCAATTTTGGCTTTGGTTGCCATTGCTTTTGGTGTTTTAGACATGAAGTCCTTGCCCGTGCCTATATCTTGAGTGGTATTGTCTAGGTTTTATTCTAGGTTTTTTATGGTTTCAGGTCTAACATTTAAGTCTTTAATCCATCTTGAATTAATTTTTGTATAAGGTGTAAAGAAGGGATCCAGTTTCAGCTTTCTACATATGGCTAGCCAGTTTTCCCAGCACCATTTATTAAATAGGGAATCCTTTCCCCATTTCTTGTTTTTGTCAGGTTTGTCAGAGATCAGATGGTTGTAGATATGCGGCATTATATCTGAGGGCTCTGTTCTGTTCCATTGATCTATATCTCTGTTTTGGTACCAGTACCATGCTGTTTTGGTTACTGTAGCCTTGTAGTATAGTTTGAAGTCAGGTAGCGTGATGCCTCCAGCTTTGTTCTTTTGGCTTAGGATTGACTTGGCAATGCGGGCTCTTTTTGGTTCCATATGAACTTTAAAGTAGTTTTTTCCAGTTCTGTGGAGAAAGTCGTTGGTAGATTGATGGGGATGGCGTTGAATCTATAAATTACCTTGGGCAGTATGGCCATTTTCACAATATTGATTCTTCCTACCCATGAGCATGGAATGTTCTTCCATTTGATTGTATTCTCTTTTATTTCATTGAGCAGTGGTTTGTAGTTCTCCTTGAAGAGGTCCTTCACATCCCTTGTAAGTTGGATTCCTAGGTATTTTATTCTCTTTGAAGCAATTGTGAATGGGAGTTCACTCACGATTTGGCTCTCTGTTTGTCTGTTATTGGTGTATAAGAATGCTTGTGATTTTTGCACATTGATTTTGTATCCTGAGACTTTGCTGAAGTTGCCTATCAACTTAAGGAGATTTTGGGCTGAGACGATGGGGTTTTCTAGATATATAATCATATCATCTGTAAACAGGGACAATTTCACTTCCTCTTTTCCTAATTGAATACCCTTTATTTCTTTCTCTTGCCTGATTGCCCTGGCCAGAACTTCCAACACTGTGTTGAATAGGAGTGGTGAAAAAGGGCATCCCTGTCTTGTGCCGGTTTCCAAAGGGAATGCTTCCAGTTTTTGCCCATTCAGTATGATA
The DNA here is from genome assembly GCF_000001405.40 of Homo sapiens. Classification (NCBI taxonomy): domain Eukaryota; kingdom Metazoa; phylum Chordata; class Mammalia; order Primates; family Hominidae; genus Homo; species Homo sapiens. The sequence goes on from NC_000004.12 coordinate 61,756,744, forward strand.
TTGGCTGTGGGTTTGTCATAGATAGCTCTTACTATTTTGAGATATGTCCCATCAATACCTAATTTATTGAGAGTTTTTAGCATGAAGGGTTGTTGAATTTTGTCAAAGGCCTTTTCTGCATCTATTGAGATAATCATATGGTTTTTGTCATTGGTTCTGTTTATATGCTGGATTACGTTTATTGATTTGCATATGTTAAACCAGACTTGTATCCCAGGGATGAAGCCCACTTGATCATGGTGGATAAGCTTTTTGGTGTGCTGCTGGATTCGGTTTGCCAGAATTTTATTGAGGATTTTTGCGTCGATGTTCATCAGAGATATTGGTCTAAAATTCTCTTTTTTGGTTGTGTCTCTGCCCGGCTTTTGGTTCAGGATGATGCTGGCCTCATAAAATGAGTTAGGGAAGATTCCCTCTTTTTGTATTGATTGGAATAGTTTCAGAAGGCATGGTACCAGCTCCTCCTTGTTCCTCTGGTAGAATTCGGCTGTGAATCCATCTGGTCCTGGACTTTTTTTGGTTGGTAAGCTATTAATTATTGCCTCAATTTCAGAGCCTGTTATTGGTCTATTCAGAGATTCAACTTTTTCCTGGTTTAGTCTTGGGAGGGTGTATGTGTTGAGGAATTTTTCCATTTCTTCTAGATTTTCTAGTTTATTTGCATAGAGGTGTTTATAGTATTCTCTGATGATAGTTTGTATTTCTGTGGGATCGGCAGTGATATCCCCTTTATCATTTTTTTATTGCATCTATTTTATTCGTCTCTCTTTTCTTCTATTAGTCTTGCTAGCAGTCTATCAATTTTGTTGATCTTTTCAAAAAACCAGCTCCTGGATTCATTGATTTTTTGAAGGGTTTTTTTGTGTCTCTATTTCCTTCAGTTCTGCTCTGATCTTAGTTATTTCTTGCCTTCTACTAGCTTTTGAATGTGTTTGCTCTTGCTTCTCTAGTTCTTTTAATTGTGATGTTAGGGTGTAAATTTTAGATCTTTCCTGCTTTCTCTTGTGGGCATTTAGTGGTATAAATTTCCCTCTACACACTGCTTTAAATGTGTCCCAGAGATTCTGGTATGTTGTGTCTTTTTTCTCGTTGATTTCAAAGAACATCTTTATTTCTGCCTTCATTTCGTTATGTACCCAGTAGTCATTCAGGAGCAGGTTGCTCAGTTTCCATGTAGCTGAGAAGTTTTGAGTGAGTTTCTTAATCCTGAGTTCTAGTTTGATTGCACTGTGGTCTGAGAGACAGTTAGTTATAATTTCTGTTCTTTTACATTTGCTGAGGAGTGCTTTACTTCCAACTATGTGGTCAATTTTGGAATAGGTGCAGTGTGGTGCACAGAAGAATGTATATTCTATTGATTTGGGATGGAGAGTTCTGTAGATGTCTATTAGGTGCAGAGCTGAGTTCAATTCCTGGAAATCCCTGTTAACCTGATTCAATTCCTGGATATCCCTGGACAATCCCTGGATATCCCTGAGTTCAATTCCTGGATATCCCTTTCTGTCTCATTGATCTGTCTAATGGTGACAGTGGGGTGTTAAAAGTCTGCCATTATTATTGCCTGGGAGTCTACGTCTCTTTCTAGGTCTCTAAGGACTTGCTTTATGAATCTGGGTGCTCCTGTATTGGGTGCATATATATTTAGGATAGTTAGCTCTTCTTGTTGAATTGATCCCTTTACCATTATGTAATGTCTTCCTTTTCTCTTTTGATCTTTGTTGGTTTAAAGTCTGTTTTATCAGAGACTAGGATTGCAACCCCTGCCTTTTTCTGTTTTCCATTTGCTTGGTAGATCTTCCTCCATTCCTTTATTTTGAGCCTATGTGTGTCTCTGCATAAGAGATGGGTTTCCTGAATACAGCACACTGATGGGTCTTGACTTTTTATCCAGTTTACCAGTCTGTGTCTTTTAATGGGAGCATTTAGCCCATTTACATTTAAGGTTAATATTGTTATGTGTGAATTTGATCTTGTCATTATGATGTTAGCTGGTGATTTTGCTCATTAGTTGATGCAGTTTCTTCCTAGTCTTGATGGTCTTTACAATTTGGCATGATTTTGCAGTGGCTGGAACCGCTTGTTCCTTTCCATGTTTAGTGCTTCCTTCAGGAGCTCTTGTAGGGCAGGCCTGGTGGTGACAGAATCTCTCAGCATTTGCTAGTCTGTAAAGTATTTTATTTCTCCTTCACTTATGAAGCTTAGTTTGGCTGGATATGAAATTCTGGGTTGAAAATTCTTTTCTTTAAGAATGTTGAATATTGGCCCCCACTGTCTTCTGGCTTGTAGAGTTTCTGCCGAGAGATCAGCTGTTAGTCTGATGGGCTTCCCTTTGTGGGTAACCCTGCCTTTCTTTCTGGCTGCCCTTAACATTTTTTCCTTCATTTCAACTTTGGTAAATCTGACAATTATGTGTTGCTCTTCTCGAGGAGTATCTTTTTGGTGTTCTCTGTATTTCCTGTATTTGAATGTTGGCCTGCCGTGCTAGGTTGGGGAAGTTCTCCTGGATAATATCCTGCAGAGTGTTTTCCAACTTGGTTCCATTCTCCCCATCACTTTCAGGTACACCAATCAGACGTAGATTTGGTGTTTTCACATAGTCCCATATTTCTTGGAGGCTTTGTTCATTTCTTTTTATTCTTTTTTCTCTAAACTTCCCTTCTCGCTTCATTTCATTCTTTTGATTTTCCATCACTGATACGCTTTCTTCCAGTTGATCAGATCGACTACGAGGCTTGTGCATTCGTCACATAGTTTTTGTGCCTTGGTTTTCAGCTCCATCAGGTCCTTTAAGGAGTTCTCTGCATTGGTTATTCTAGTTAGCCATTCGTCTAATTTTTTTTCAAGGTTTTTAATTTCTTTGCCATGGGTTTCAACTTCCTCCTTTAGCTCAGAGTAGTTTGATCATCTGAAGCCTTCTTCTCTCAACTCATCAAAGCCATTCTCCGTCCAGCTTTGTTCCATTGCTGGTGAGGAGCTGCGTTCCTTTGGAGGAGGAGAGGCACTCTGATTTTTAGAGTTTCCAGTTTTTCTACTCTGTTTTTTCCTCATCTTTGTGGTTTTATCTACCTTTGGTCTTTGATGATGACAACATACAGATGGGGATTTGGTGTGGATGTCCTTTCTGTTTGTTAGTGTTCCTCTTAACCATCAGGACCCTCAGCTGCAGGTCTGTTGGAGTTTGCCGGAGGTCTGCTCCAGACCCTGTTTGCCTGGGTATCAGCAGCGGAGGCTGCAGAACATCGGATACTGGTGACCAGCAAATGTTGCTGCCTGATTGTTCCTCTGGAAGTTTTGTCTCAGAGGAGTACCCAGCCGTGTGAGGTGTCAGTCTGCCCCTACCTCCCAGTTAGGCTACTCAGGGGTCAGGGACCCACTTGAGGCAGTCTGTCTGTTCTCAGATCTCCAGCTGCATGCTGGGAGAACCACTATTCTCTTCAAAGCTGTCAGACAGGGACATTTTAGTGTGCAGAGGTTACTGCTGCCTTTTGTTTGGCTATTCCCTGCCCCCAGAGGTGGAGTCTACAGAGGTAGGCAGGCCTTCTTGAGCTGCAGTGGGCTCCACCAAGTTCGAGCTTCCCAGCAGCTTTGTTTACCTACTCAAGCCTCGGCAATGGCGGGCGCCCCTCCCCCAGTCTCGCTGCTGCCTTGCCGTTTGATCTCAGACTGCTGTTCTGGGAATAAGCGAGGCTCCGTGGGCGTAGGACCCTCTGAGCCAGGCACGGGATATAATCTCCTGGTGTGCCATTTGCTAAGACCATTGGAAAAGTGCAGTATTAGGGTGGGAGTGACCCAATTTTCCAGGTGCTGTCTGTCACCCCTTTCTTTGACTAGGAAAGGGAATTCCCTGACCCTTGCACTTCCTGAGTGAGGCGATGCCTCGCCCTGCTTCGGCTCACGCTGGGTGCGCTGCACCCACTGTCCTGCACCCACTTTCCGACACTCCCCAGTGAGATGAGCCTGGTACCTCAGTTGGAAATGCAGAAATCACTCATCTTCTGGGTCGCTCATGCTGGGAGCTCTAGACTGGAGCTGTTCCTATTTGGCCATCTTGGCTCCACCCTCCAAGATCTGTATATTGAGACAGGGAAATTGCAACAGAGAAAGAATAATTCACACAGACCCGGCTGTGTGGGAGACCAGAGTTTTATTATTACTCAGATCAGTCTCCCCAAGCATTTGGGTGTCAGAGTTTCTAAGGACGACTTGGTGGGGGGAAGCCAGTGAACCAGGAGTGCTAATTGGTTAGGTAGGAGATGAAATCATAGGGAATTGAAGCTGTCTTTTTGTGCTGAGTCAGTTCCTGGGTGGGGACCACAAGATCAAATGAGCCACTTTATCAATCTGGGTGATGCCAGCTGGTCCATCAAGTGAAGGTTTGCAAAAACATCTCAAACACTGATCTTAGGAGTAGTTTAGGGAGGGTCAGAATCTTGTAGACTCCAGCTTCATGACTCCTAAACCATAATTTCTAAACTTGTGGCTAATTTGTTAGTCCTACAAAGGCAATCTAGTCTCCAGGCAAGAAGGAAGTTTGTTTTGGGAAAGGGCTGTTATCATCTTTGTTTTAAATTATAAACTAAGTTCCTCCCAAAGTTAGTTCAGCCTATGCCCAGGAAGGAACAAGGACAGTTTGGAGGTTAGAAGCAAGATGGAGCTCAGTTATAATTTTGCATGATCTTGGGTTAGTTTTATGAATAAATCAGATTTTTTAACTAGAGTTCTGGAAATTTTTACCCAGTCAAAGCATATGATCTTATTATTGCCAGAGGCCAGGCATGGGTGGCTCATGCCCTTAGCCCCAGCACTTTAGGAGACTGACACAGGAGGATTGCTTGAAGCGAGGATTTCAATACCAGCCTGAGCAACAAAGCAAGATCCCGTCTCTACACAAAATTTTAAAATTTAGCCAGGCATGGTGGCACACACTTGTAGTCCTGCCACATTGAAAGACTGAGATAGAAGGATTGCTTGAAGCCAGAAGTTCGATACCAGCCTGGGCAACAAAGTGCGACCCCATCTCTACAAAAACAAATTAATTAGCTGGGTGTGGTGGCACATACCTATAGTGTCTCAAATCCTCAGGTGGCTGACGTGAGAGGAGTGCTTGTGCCCAGGAGCTGGAGGCTGCAGTGAGCTATGATCACACCACTATACTCCAGCCTGGGCAACAGAGTGAGACTCTGTCTCTAATAAATAAATAGATAAATAAACAAACAAATAAATAAAATTATCAGAAACCTGTACTTCAGAGTATTTATTAGAGTATGTTTCATGAATTTGTTTGAAGATAGAGCAATTTTGGCCTGCTGCTAATTGTGAACATTTTCAGAGAAGAATCTGAGTAAAACAATAATTGTCTGTAAATGACAAAAGACTTAAAGTGGTCATGGTTAAAGATCTGATAGGAGCTTATTATAATGTGGCATATAATGTTCTAAGATAACTGATTATGAGTGATTTATGTAGACAGAAAGAACATTGACAAATTTCTAGGAATTTCATAAAATTTTTGAAACATTTATATTAAAAATATATAGCCATATAAATACAACTTAAAGAAGGTTAAGCATTACTTTTTATTTGACAATGCTTCTTATGTAATTCAGTATCTCAAATAAATCTAATGAGTTTAACATCTCTCTTTTTACAAGATGAGAGAACATATTATTTAAGATTTTCCAGGGGTGCTCTGGGAAATCACAAAGTTAGTTTTGAGGTCAAAAAGACTATTTAAATTTGATATTGAGGTGCTTGTCAAAAATGTGAAAAGTTTTGAACATGTCATTAAGTAGGCTTACTACTATGAAACAATACTTATTTATTTAACTAGTGTGACAATAAAAGATTTCAAAGGCAAATACCGTAAGTTAAATAACTGTGAAAAAAATTTTAGCTCTTCTAATATTGAGAAAACTTGGTTTTCCTAAGCAAAGATCTGATAAATACAACATGAAGCACAGGAAATTATTTTGCTAAGATACAAAAATCTTTGTTTCCTAAGTAGATTACTTAAAAGATAAAGAGAAATCTCTTATTTTTTAATAAGAACAGACCAATAATCCAAGAAAACTATCATTCTGGTTTTACATCATTATGCTTATAATGTTGTCTCATTTTCTTTAACTTAGAAATAAATCCATTCTATCTTAGCAGCTGGCTACACATAAAATTCTTTTCCTACAAACCCTCTACATGTTTTTTAACATCCATTCAGTTTTGGTGCTACTCTTTTCCTTTTTCTCATTCTGGAACAACCAGTCATTCTACCTTAGGACAAAATTACTCTTTTTTTCCCCTTAAAAAAAGAAATATATGCTTCATACCACATTTCTCTTTTTAAATCAAAAACACATCCTACTTTTCTTGCACACTTTGCATAAAGATTTTTTTTCTTTACTCTTTTTATTCATAGTAGTTTCATTTATTTTTAACCGTTAGTAACATTTCTTTTTTTTTTTTTTTGAGACAGAGTGTTGCTGTGTCACCCAGGCTGGAGTGCAGTGGTGTTATCTTGGCTCACTGAAACCTCTGCCTCCCAGGTTCAAACAATTCTCCTACCTCAGCCTCCCAAGTAGCTGGGACTACAGGTGTGTGCCACCATGTCCAGCTATTTTTTTTTTTTTAGTAGAGACGGGGTTTCACTATGTTAGCAGGCTGGTCTCCATCTCCTGACCTCATGATCCGCCTGCCTCAGCCCTCAAAGTAAGCAACATTTCTTTTTCAGAGAAAACTAGGAAATAGACAATTGTGAATTGCCTGTCATATGTCAGTATTCTGTAGCTGAGTGGCACATTTACGAATATACTATCTTGTGTTTTATAGGTATATGCTATTTCCTCACGGTATAGTTTCTCATGTGTATTAACATACCCAAATATATTTAGTTTCTTTATACTGTATAAAAACAAGATGCCAAAAATACATAAATTTAAATTATGTTCAGTAATGAATGTTTCAGTATTGTATTCTATTTGGAAATTTTGAAACACACACATAAACACTATATACATATATATATAATTTAGCATAATTCTAAGGTTGAAAGTTACTATAAATATTTTTTAGAAACTGAATTTAGGCAGACATAGTATAATACCAAACAAAGCTAACCAACATTTTAACTTATTTCCCTCTTAACTATTTTTAACCTTATTTGGCTACTAAATCCAGTAGAATAAAAATGTATGCTCATATTATACATAATGCTAATAACTCAGAATACATAGCTATTTTTATTAAACCAACCATATTAAACTAATCTTTTATATCAACAAACATATCCAAGTCATGTGAACATGAAAACTTTTCACATTCTGTATTTCCTGGGGTTTCAGGAATATTTATTTTATGTAAATGTTCATTTATCTCTAAGCCAATTTGAATAAACCATTACATAATTTTATAAATTAATTTGGTAACACTATTCAGAAGTAGGAGAGTATCATGTATACATTACGTATACATATACAAGTTTTCATGTGCGTCCGTGTGAAGAGACCACCAAACAGGCTTTGTGTGAGCAACATGGCTGTTTATTTCACCTGGTTGCAGGCGGGCTGAGTTCGAAAAGAGAGTCAGCGAAGGGAGATAAGGGTGGGGCCGTTTTATAGGATTTGGGTAGGTAAAGGAAAATTACAGTCCAAGGGGGTTTGTTCTCTGGCGGGTAGGAGTGGGGGTTGCAAGGTGCTCAGTGGGCAGGAGTGGGGGTCGCAAGGTGCTCAGTGGGGATGCTTTTGGAGCCAGGATGAGCCAGGAAAAGGACTTTCACAAGGTAATGTCATCAGTTAAGGCAAGGACCGGCCATTTACACTTCTTTTGTGGTGGAATGTCATCAGTTAAGGTGGGGCAGGGCATATTCACTTCTTTTGTGATTCTTTAGTTACTTCAGGCCATCTGGGCTTATAGGTGCAGGTCACAGGGGATGTGATGGCTTGGCTTGGGCCCAGAGGCCTGACATTCCTGCCTTCTTAATAAGAAAAATAAAACAAAATAGTGTTGAAGTGTTGGGGCGGTGAAAATTTTTTGGGGGTGGTATGGAGAGAGAATGGTCGATGTTTCTCAGGGCTGCTTCAAGCGGGATTAGGGGCGGCGTGGGAACCTAGAGTGGGAGAGGTTAAGCTGAAGGGAGGTCTTGTGGTAAGGGGTGATATTGTGGGGATGTTAGAAGAAACATTTGTCGTATAGAATGATTGGTGATGGCCTGGATACGGTTTTGGATGAATTGAGAAACTAAATGGAATAACAGAAGGAGAAAAACAGGTATAAAAGGTCTAAGAATTGGGACGACTCAGGATATCTGATTAGAGAGTGCCTAAGGAGATTCAGCATAGTCCTGCCAGCAAAGATTATGTATTTACTTCAAGAGTTAAGAGTGGCAGTTTGGGGATAGCACCAGGAGATATCAGTTGTGATGGCTTGGAAAAACAGTGTAAACCAGCAGTGTAAACAAGAGCAGGGCATGTATGAGTAGTTGAGAACGGTGAATAGGAGTATGACTAGACAGAAGATAGTAGGGATGACAGGTTTTTTGGGGCACAGTCTAAGTTGGTCTGGTGTCTGGAATGAGACTGGAGCCTAATAAAAAGGAGCGTCTATACAGGAGCTTAAATGGGCTGTACCCTGTAGCATTCTGAAGACAGGCCTGAATTCTGAGAAGGGAAAGTGGTAAAAGTATTGTCCAGTCCTTTTTAAGTTGGTGGCTGAGCTTGGTGAGGTGTGTTTTTAAAAGACCTTTAGTCCATTCTACTTTGCTTGAAGACAGAGGACCGTAAGGGATATAAAGGTTTCACTGAATACTAAGAGCCTGAAAAACTGCTTGGCTGATTTGACTGATAAAGGCTCGTCTGTTATCAGACTGTATTGAGGTGGGAAGGCTAAACTGAGGAATTATGTCTGACAGAAGGGAATAAATGACTGCGGTGGCCTTCTCACACCCTGTACACACCCTGTAGGAAAGGCCTCTACCTATCCAGTGAAATTATCTACCTAGACTAAGAGGTATTTTAGTTATCTGACTAAGGGCATGTTGAGTAAAGCTAATTTGCCAGTCCTGGGTGGGGCAAATCCTCGAGCTTGATGTGTAGGGAAGGGAGGGGGCCTGAATAATCCCTGAGGAGTAGTAGAATAGCAGATGGAACACTGAGCAGAATAGCAGATGGAACACTGAGAAGTTATTTCTTTGAGGATAGATTTCCATGATGGAAAGGAAATGAGAGGTTCTAAGAGGCGGGCTAGTGGCTTGTACTATAGCATCATCTGCCTTTGCTGGTGTGTGGCGATTAGGCCTGGTGGAACTGCCATCAATAAATCAAGCGTGATCAGGGTGAGGAACAGGAAAGAAAGAAATTTGGGGAAATGGGGTTAATGTCAGGTGGATCAGAGAGATACAGTCATGGGGGTCAGGTGTGGTATCAGGAATAATGTGGGAGGTAGGATTGAAGTCTGGGCCAGGAACAACGGTAATTGTGGGAGACTCAACAAAGAGTGGGGTATAGCTGAAGGAGCCGGGAAGCAGAAAGTATATGCATCAGGTATGAGGAAGAAAATAGATTTTGGAAGTTATGAGAACTGTAGAGAGTGAGTTGAGCATAGTTTGTGATTTTGAGGGCCTCTAAAAGTATTAATGCAGCGGCAGCAGCTGCATGCAGACATGAGGGCTAGGCTAAAACAGTAAGGTCAAGTTGTTTGGACAGAAAGGCTACAGGGTGTGGTCCTGGCTCTTGTGTAAGAATTCTGACCTCGCTAACCATGCCTAGGAAGGAAAGGAGTTGTTGTTTTGTAGAAGGTGCTTGGGTTTGAGAGATCAGTCGGACACGATTGGCAGGGAGAGCACGTGTGTTTTTATGAGAATTATGCCAAGATAGGTAACAGATGAGGAAGAAATTTGGGCTTGATTGAAGTAATGGGGGCTGTCTGTGAAGCTTTGCGGCAGTACAGCCTAGGTAATTTGATGAGCTTGATGGGTGTCAGGGTCAGTCCAAGTGAAAGCGAAGAGAGGCTGGGATTAAGGGTGCAAAGGAATAGCAAAGAAAGCATGTTTGAGATCTAGAACAGAATAATGGGTTGTAGAGGCAGGTATTGAGGATAGGAGAGTATATGGGTTTGGCACCACGGGGTGGATAGGCAAAACAATTTGGTTGATGAGGCGCAGATCCTGAACAAACTTGTAAGGCTTGTCTGGTTTTAGGACAGGTAAAATGGGGGAATTGTAAGGAGAGTTTATAGGCTTTAAAAGGCCATGCTGTAGCAGGCGAGTGATAACAGGCTTTAATCTTTTTAAAGTGTGCTGTGGGATGGGATATTGGCGTTGAGTGGGGTAAGGGTGATTAGGTTTTAATGAGATGGTAAGGGGTGCATGATTGGTCGCCAAGGAGGGAGTAGAGGTATCTTATACTTGTGGGTTAAGGTTGGGGGATACAAGAGGAGGACCCAAAGGAGGCTTTGGATTGGGAAGAAGAGCAGCAATGAGATATAGCTGTAGTCCAGGAATAGTCAGGGAAGCAGATAATTTAGTTAAAGTGTCTCAGCCTAATAAGGGAACTGGGCAGGTGGGGACAACTAAAAAGGAGTGCTTAAAAGAGTATTGTCTAAGTTGGCACCAGATGGGGAGTTTTAAGAGGTTTAGAAGCCTGGCCATCAATACCCACAACAGTTATGGAGGCAAGGGAAACAGACCCTTGAAAAGAACGTAATGTGGAGTGAGTAGCCTCCGTATTGATTAAGAAGGGGACGGGCTTACCTTCCACTGTGAGAGTTACCCGAAGCTCGGCGTCCGTGATGGTCTAGGGGGCTTCCGAGGCAATCGGGCAGTGTCAGTCTTCAGCCGGTAAGCCAAGAAGGAGTCAGTCAGAGAGCCTTGGGCCAGAGTTCCAGGAGCTCTGGGAGTGGCTGCCAGGTGAGTTGAACAGTCCAATTTTCAGTGGGGTCCCACACAGATGGGACGTGGCTTAGGAGGAATCCTGGGCTGCGGGTGTTCCTTGGCCCAGTGGCCAGATTTCCGGCATGTGTAGCAAGTTCCTGGGGGAGGAGGTTCTGGAGGAACGCCTGGCTGCTACAGTTCAGGCGTTTGGAAGTTCTTGTGTGCTGGAGATGTGGCTGAGGTTTGTCTCACAGTGGAGGCAAGGAATTGCAACTTTTTTCTGTTATTGCACACCTTGAAGGTGAGGTTAATTAAGTCCTGTTGTGGGGTTTGAGGGCCAGATTCTAGTTTTTGGAGTTTTATTTAATGTCGGGAGCAGATTGGGTAATAAAATGTATATTGAGAATAAGACGGCCTTTTGACCTTTTAGGGGCTAGGGCTGTAAAGTGTCTCAGGGTTGCTGCCAAACGAGCCATGAACTGGGCTGGATTTTTATATTTGATGAAAAAGAGCCTAAACGCTATCTGATTTGGGATAAAGAAAAAGGAGCATTAACCTTGACTATGCCTTTGGCTCCAGCCACCTTTTTAAGAGTAAATTGCTGGGCAGGTCGGGGAGGGCTAGTCACAGAAGGAAACTGTAAGCCAGACCAGGTGTGAGGAGGGGAGGCAATAAAAAGATTACAGGGTGGAGGAGCGGAGGCTGAGGAAGAATTGGGGCCTAGCTTGGCCTGTCGAGGAGGGGAGAGGTCAGATGGGTCTGTAGAAAAGGAAGATTAGAAAGACTCAGCGACGCTTGGGGTCGGTACTGAGGGGACAGGAGGGAGGGAAAGAAGGAAGATTTGGGACGAGTTGCACTGGGCACAGAGGCTAGGAAGGAACTGATGTGTAAAAGAATGCCTGGACTTCAGGCACCTCAGACCATTTGCCCATTTTACGACAAGAATTATTTAGATCTTGTAGGGTGGAAAAATTGAAAGTGCCGTTTTCTGGCTATTTGGAACTACTCTTGAGTTTGTATTGGGGTCAAGCGGCATTGCAGAAGAAAATAAGACTCTTAGATTTTAGGTCAGGTGAGAATTGAAGAGGTTTTAAGTTCTTAAGAATACAGGCTAAGGGAGAAGAAAGAGGAATGGAAGGTGGAAGCTTGCCCATAGTGAAGGAGGCAAGCCCAGAGAAAAGAGTAGAGGCACGGAGAAGGGGTGGGGGTTTCTTCCCCTCCAGAAAAGCAGAGAAAGGGCTGGGACACGGAAATAAGGGATTGGGGCACAGAGATAAGAGGTCAGGGTGCGGAAATAAGGGATTGGGGTGCAGAGATAAGAGGTTGGGGTGTGGAAATACGCGATTGGGGCACAGAGATAAGAGGTTGGGGTGTGGAAATAAGTGATTGGGGGGTTCTTGCCCCCTAGGAAAGCGGGACTTGCCGCTAAGGGTGAAGGAGAAGGGGTTGAGGGGTACTTGCCCCTGCCCCAGGAAAGCGGGACTTGCCGCTAAGGGTGAAGGACCAAGGCAGGCGTCCCTGCGTGGTCTGACACCCTTGAAACGTGAGTGTATAATCAGAGAGGCGTCCCTGCAATGATTAAATACCAAGGGAAGGCTGCCTTCCCAGTCCGTGACTGGCGCCGGAGTTTTGGGTTCACGGATAAAACATGTCTCTTTTGTCTCTACCAGAAAATGAAAGGAATTGAAATTAAGAGAAGGGAGAGATTGAAGTGTGGCGCCAAGATTGAAAGGAGAAAGAGGTTGAGGGATAGTGAGGGAGGTTGGAGAAGAGAGTAAAAAGAGGCCGCTTACCGGATTTGAAATTGGTGAGATGTTTCTTGGGCTGGTCGGTCTGAAGACCTGAGGTCGTAGGTGGATCTTTCTCACGGAGCAAAGAGCAGGAGGACAGGGGATTGATCTCCCAAGGGAGGTCCCCCGATCCGAGTCACGGCACCAAATTTCATGCGCGTCCATGTGAAGAGACCACCAAACAGGCTTTGTGTGAGCAACATGGCTGTTGCTCACTTCACCTGGGTGCAGGCAGGCTGAGTCCGAAAAGGGTCAGTGAAGGGAGATAAGGGTGAGGCCGTTTTATAGGATTTGGGTAGGTAAAGGAAAATTACAGTCCAAGGGGGTTTGTTCTCTGGCGGGTAGGAGTGGGGGTTGCAAGGTGCTCAGTGGGCAGGAGTGGGGGTCGCAAGGTGCTCAGTGGGGGTGCTTTTGGAGCCAGGATGAGCCAGGAAAAGGACTTTCACAAGGTAATGTCATCAGTTAAGGCAAGGACTGGCCATTTACACTTCTTTTGTGGTGGAATGTCATCAGTTAAGGTGGGGCAGGGCATATTCACTTCTTTTGTGATTCTTTAGTTACTTCAGGCCATCTGGGCGTACAGGTGCAGGTCACAGGGGATACGATGGCTTGGCTTGGGCTCAGAGGCCTGACACAAGTAAACCTAAATATACATAGCCATACAGACAGCTTCAAACAGAGATCTTAGAGTTTTATTCTAAAATTTTAGTCATGATTCAGTAAAACGTATTAGTAAAAAATTACTGGTTTATCTCCACTTTACATTTGTATCCAAATTGTATTTCTGGAAAATGGGACAAGTTAGGGTTACCTGTTTACCTACATTTATAGAGGAGGCTTTTAAGATTTTTGTTTATTGTTGATAAGTAATTTTCTGGAAGTTGTGGACTAAATTTTGGGAGATGGACACTGAAGCAGTTTGTTTTCAAAACGCCTATTATTTTTTTTCCTTTTGTTTAGAAGCAAGAGTTATCTCCCAGGAAGTTTGCATAGCAAAAAGATCACCCGCAGGTCCTAGAGAGGACAGGGTCAAATATTTATGTCTGAAAGGCACAAAGAAAGGATGTATGGTTTCTCTGAGGGCATTTTGAGGCATATCTATTATCATAGATTTAAGGTATTATTTTCTAAGTGCAGGACAATTATATTTCCAATGTTTTGACTTTTTAAAGTATCTGCAAGCATCTTGATATGAACAGGAGAGATTTGGGGATTGTTAAGAAGGATGGGTGGGCTTTGAATTGCTCCTAGTGCTGCATTTCTGTTTGTATAGACTCAATTTGTAAGACAATGGTAGTTGTTTTAAACTCTTCAGAAAACTGTGTTGCAGCTGGAATAATAAAGAGGCTGACCTACCTATCAAATTACATTATCTTGAATTTGCTACTTCATATCGGAGAACATATTTCCAACTAAAATGGAAATAAAGATCCCTATGAGTTGCATGCCTTTAGAAAGTTTTAATAAATTGTTACACAAAGCCTTTCTAATGTTCTTTCTCTCTAAGTGATGCGGGGTTTTTCCTCCTTAGCTCAACTAGATTTGGGTTCTTTTCTCACAACCAAGAATAATTAGGCACAAGGTCATCAAAGAGTGAGTGGAGCAGAATTTATTAAGCAAAAGGAAAGGTCTCAGCAAAAAACAAAAAGGGGTCCTGAAAGCAGGTTTCCAGTTGCTTCCTTCACAGTTGAATACAAGGGCTTAAGGTGTGAATTCTACCCCATCCTTCCAGTGCACATGTGGGTCCTTAGACTGAGTCCCTCCATATTGATTTATTTCTCTTACTGCACATGTGTTAAGGAATGGAATTTTCCACTGTGGGCATGTTTAGGCAAGACCCCTGTGCAAGTTCCCTTATCTGCACAAAACATCTGGTATAAATGCTTGTGGGGTGGGTTGGAAGTTCTCCAGGGACCCTTCCCTTACTGTCTGCCTAAAGCAAGCTGGATAACTCCTTTCATAACTGCATAATTCCATATTAGGAGAGAAGGCCTCAAAAATAGTTCCTCTCAGGCTCTGAAGATCAGCCTCCAGTTAAGCCCATTTCCGACCATAGAGTATTTTGAACAAAAAAATCCTTTCAAATATGATTGTCAGGTTTTGAATGGGACAAACAGTAAATTTTCCTGACACAATTGAATCCCCTTTTGTCCCCTAATTACAAAGACCCAGAAGAGATGGACCCTTTTCCTTTAATTAGTTATTTTTTTAGAGATCAAGAACTCATTGTGTTGCCTAAACTGGTCTCAAACTCCTGGGCTTAAACAGTCCTTCTGCCTCAGCCTCCCAAAGAGCAGGGATTACAGGCATGAGCCAACCACAACCACTCCCCACCACCTTTTTTAAACCAAAGGGGTATCTATTCCATGTGACTCAAAATCAAAATCAATAAGCCTTTTATAGGCTAACCACAGATACAAGAGACTTCCCCAGAGAGGGTGCAAAAGAAGCCACCCTCATGATCCAGTGCCACTACCAAAGATAGAAGAATGACACATGTAGACAAAACCTCCTACAAGCTAGTCATGCCAGTAGGATATCAGCTGCAAATGGGGTGCAGCCCACATTTCTGTTCAGCCATCTTCATATCTCAGGGCCCCTATCTAACAGTTGGCTACCTACAGATGCAGGCCTGACAGTCTGTGTGCCCTGACAGGTGTAAAGTCAAGCCAAGCTCTCAAGATATAAAGTGAGACAAATAGGAACGCCATGGCTGTCCTGGGAGGAAAAGGATCAATAATCACTGAGTACTTAGAACCAAATTTGTGAGAGTCACAATTCAAAGGAATAATTCTTACAAATTTCTCCTGCTAATCTGAATTTGGAAAGGACTGGATAGGAAAAAAAATCTTACCTTCCCTCTCCACTGGCCACTGCAGGTAGAGATCCAGGAAACTGACTCAGTAAGAATTCTTTGCTGGCTTAGTCAGTGGCAGCCCCAGAGTTGTTGAGTGACCTAGCCAATGCAGTCCCATCCTCATCACCAGAAACTGCAGAGAAGGAAAACAATATTTTCATTCTATCCATCTACATTCTTGGCTGGGACTCTGTAACCAAAGACATTAACAATAGAAAAATATACACATTTATTTAATTTAAGTTTTACACGACATGAGAGACTTCCTAAGGAAATGAAGACCCCCCAAAATGGTTAAACCTGAGTATTTTTATGTGAGATTTGATGAAGTGTGCAGTTATGAAAAAGTGTGATAGGGCAAAGTATGGGTTAAGTGAAATAAACTGGGGGAAATTTAGCAAAGCCTATTCATTCTGATTCCTCTTTCCCCTCCATCTTTGGAGATAAAGATGCCCCTTTCCACTGGGTATATGAAGGGCAGCTCTCATTTGAGTTTCTTATAAAATGCTTCAGGAGAAAATCAGAGATACCCTCCTGCATTTGCCATTTCTCAATTTCTTCAGCTTAAAATATTCAATGTGTCAGAGCTCTGTATTATGGGGTAGTGTGTTCTCAACCTCCTCACCTACTAAAACCCATGTTTTCCTACCTTGTATTACCATGTTTTAAAATATTATGTTTAAAATACCCTGTTTAAAAAATACCATGTTTTACATACCTGGTATATTGGAAATCTACTTCTAAGTTTTCTTCCTAGGGAAACTCTCATACTTGTGTGCAAAGACATGCATAAGGTGTTCATTACAATGATGCTTAAAATAGCATAAAAGTCGATCATACTGAACTGTTCTTCAGTAAAAGGTTACGGGGTAGAATAGGGAAGAAAGAAAGAGCACAGTTTACATGCACTTGTCCAGGTGGATAATACCGAGCTGGAGAAGACTTGAATCTGACAATCATCTGCACTAGCACCAGAGACTTTTTAAGCCCTGGACAACATGAAACATAGAGAAAAGCATTATGTGATCAGTTATCCCTTAGTAATATACTAAATCAAATATTGGTATATATGAAATAATGAATAAGAATTGATCTTATACTGGAGTTTTCTTTTTCCTAGTACTATTGTCTCATTCGGCCTCAAGCTGCAATAATAATGCAAAACAATCCAGATTATAACCTCCTAAAGCACCAGCAACCTTTTATTCCTATAATTCTTTCCACCAAATTATTACATTGTTAATAAAAGAAGCCCTCACTTTTCCGAAAAGTAAAATTTTATTCTGAAATTTTAATGGAGTGTGGCCTATAAGAATAACTGCCATGCGTTGCAGGTACTGTGCTTATTAAACAATTCTTGATATTTTAATTTCTTAAAAAAATATTTTTATACCACTGTAGGCAAGGAAAAAAACCCTTTTTCCTTCTAACTTAGGTTCATTGGTGGGGCCCAGCAAATTAGACTGACAAAAGACAGATTAACAAGAGAAAAACAGGAGTTTATTAAGGAGTTCTTCATGGATGCACATGGGAGAACTCTGATGAGTAACTCAACGGGGTGATTGGAATTTAGGGCTATATAGCATCTAAACAAAAAAACAACAGATTTTGTAGAGAAGTGGCAAGACAAAGGAAAAGAACTTTGAGCTTGTAAGGGCAGCAAATTGTGGGAAGGTAAATATATGCGGGAAACTAATGGAACATGAGAGCTACAGTAGTTCCCCCTTATCTGCAGTTTTGCTATCCGCAGTTTCAGTTACCTGCGGTCAACCGAGGTCTGCAAACAGGTGAGTAAACAACATCAGATCAAAAATATTCAGGAAACAGGCCGGGCATGGTGCCTCATGCTTGTAATCCCAGCACTTTGGGGCTGAGGCAGGAGGATCACCTAAGGTCAGGAGTTCAAGACCAGCCTGCCCAACACAGTGAAACCCTGTCTCTACTAAAAATACA
This sequence comes from Homo sapiens, assembly GCF_000001405.40. NCBI lineage: Eukaryota > Metazoa > Chordata > Mammalia > Primates > Hominidae > Homo > Homo sapiens. Next base: position 61,774,202 of record NC_000004.12, read on the forward strand.
AAAAAATTAGCAGGGCACGGTGGCAGGTACCTATAATCCCAGCTACTCAGGAGGCTGAGGCAGGAGAATCACTTGAACCTGGGAGGCGGAGGTTGCAGTGAGCCAAGATCGCGCCATTGCACTCCAGCCTGGGCAACAAGAGCAAAACTCTGTCTCAAAAAAAAAAAAAAGAAAGAAAAAGAAAAAATTCAGGAAAGGGAAACATAAAAAAAAAATAAAAATAAAAAATAATACGATTTTTTAGAAAAACAATACAGTATAACAACTGTCTAAATTATATTTACATTGTATTAGTGATTATAAGTAATGCAGAGATGATTTAAACTGTATGGGAGGATGTGTGTAGGTTATATGCAAATACTATACCATTTTATATCAGGGACTTAAGCATCCACAGAAAATCCCCGAGAAGATCAGGAACCAATACTATGTGGATACAGAAAGATGACTGTATGGTACAATATAATATTTTGAGAGAAAGAGAGACTGTATTCATATAATTTGTATTGCAGTATATTGTTATAATTGTTCTATTTTATTATAAATTATTGTTGTTAATCTCTTACTGTGCCTAATTTATAAATTAAACTTTGTTATAGGTGTGTATGTATGGGGAAAAACCTGGTATGTGTACTATTTGCTGCTATCGGTTGTTTCAGGCATCCACTGGGGGGCCTTGGGACACATTCTCCACGGATAAGAGGAGACTGCTGTAGTTAGTAAGGTTTATTATGTGGATTCTTCTGGTGCCGTCTCCAGGCTGATAAAGGTTTAAAGTTGTCTCTGGTGATTAACTTCTATTTTTCCTAGTAGAGAGGAGAGAGGGGATACCTTTGTAAATTTGTAGTCTGCTTAGAGCTTGCCTTGTATCTATTTCCAATTGTCTTCAGTTCAAAATCATCAATATGCCAAGTGGCATATTTTGGGGCAGCATATTCTGCTACTTTTCATAACCTTCACTGAATTATCCCCCAAGTATGAATATATTGACTTGCCAGATGGTCTGGATTCCTATGACAGCTTTTTTTTTTTTTTTAACTAAAAGCTTTCAGGAACATGGCAAAGTAGCTCAGTGGATGAACAAGACTATTGATTTAGCTGATAATGTTCTAGAGTTAAGAATTTGAAATACCATGACACAAATTCAAGTTCCCAGTTTTACAGTAATGGAAAAGCTAAAATTTTCTTTTTTTTCTTTCTTTGTGTGTGTGTGTGTGTGTGTGTGTGTGTGCCAAAGATTTATGTCTTCATTTCTTGCATTTGAAGTACTCTTCGATGACATCCTTGGCCTGAGACTCCTTGCCATAGTCCTTAACTACTGCACAACTGCAACCAACCACTTTATGAGGCTTCCCCTCTCTGTCAGTTTTACAGAGGCCTACCCTTTCCCCTAGTTTCTTGTTGTCATCAACCTTAATTAGGTTGATTTGGTGTTCAGCACAAAGGGCCTCCACCAACTTGACATACATCACAGGCTCATCACAGTTGGATGCAAGCACACAAAGGTGGGCTTGGTGCTTGTCTAAGCCTTTGGTAGCTTCATGAATTCCACGTGCTAGGCAATCGTGGATGAGGGCAGTCTTCAGCACCTCCTGTAAAGCAGTATTAACGTCCATTACGCTTCCAGCAGCAATACCTTCCTCGGCCATGGCGGTGGGTTACCGGTGAAGACGAATCTTGTTTTTATTTATTTATTTATTTATTTATTTATTTTTTTGAGACGGAGTCTCACTCTGTCGCCCAGGCTGGAGTGCAGTGGCACGATCTCGGCTCACTGCAAGCTCCGCCTCGAGGGTTCATGCCATTCTCCTGTCTCGGCCTCCCGAGTAGCTGGGACTCCAGGCGCCCGCCACCACACCCGGCTAATTTTTTGTATTTTTAGTAGAGACGGGGTTTCACTGTGTTAGCCAGGATGATCTCGATCTCCTGACCTTGTGATCCACCCGCCTCGGCCTCCCAAAGTGCTGGGATTACAGGCGTGAGCCACGGCGCCAAGCCCTGAAGCCGAATCTTAAACGCACCCAAGCCTCCGCCTCTGCACGACTCGGCGGCAGCAGGGAAAGAGGCCTCACGCGCCGAAAAGGTAAAATTTTCTAAACCTAACAGTGAGCAAGAAGACTATTATATGTGAATGAAGTAGGGGTTTTGAGTTCTTTATTTTATTTTTTTTACTACTAAAACAAGATAACCAGAAAAGATTTATAAAAGTTTTAAATTTCAGGACAGAATTCACATAAGAAATTGAATATCTGAAATAATCACTTAGTTGAAGTAAATTATATGTTGGGGTCAGGGTCTGAAATCAACTATTAAAGTTTAGTATAATCAAAATTATTTTTGAAACTTCTTCAATAGATCATAAAATCTACTGAATTTTAAAAAATATATTCCTATGTGCTGTACAGATATTATTATATATTATTGCACAAAGTATGGAGTACATAATGAAAAGTATCTTTACAAAGTATAATTTTATAGTATTGTAATAACATAAAAGAACTACTTGAATTTATGTAAATTAAATGTATCTGTGATGAAATCCTCTGTATTAAGAAAAAGAAAATTCAGTTGCTATTTCTGTGTTGATAAATCTTTTCCGTGAGAACTTTTTCCCAAAACAATGCATCAACAAGAGTCTTCTTGAATGTATTGATTTATACTTTTCCATTAAAGTTGTATGCAATTATTAGATCACTTACTAAGTGTGTCAACAGTGCGACTATTAAATAAACATATATAATGATCTGAGAAATGTTCATTATATATTGCTATTGTTTTTGAAAGCAGGTTAAATGATTTGGAATTTAGATCTTTATTCATTTCCTTGCTTTTGTTTATATTTGAAAATTTCTGGCCAGGTGTGCTGGCTCACGCCTGTAACCCAGCACTTTGGGAGGCCGAGGTGGGTGGATCATGAGGTGAGGAGATCGAGACCATCCTGGCTAACACGGTGAAACCCCGTCTCTACAAAAATACAAAAAATTAGCCGGGCGTGGTGGCGGGCACCTGTAGAACCAGCTACTCGGGAGGCTGAGGCAGGAGAATGGCCTGAACCTGCGAGGCGGAGCTTTCAGTGAGCAGAGATCGCGCCACTGCACTCCAGCCTGGGCCATAGAGCCCAAGACTCCATCTCAAAAAAAAAAAGAAAATTTCTCTAAAAAAAGGTTTTTTAATTACTCACTATATACCTTTTTATTTTATGTAGTACATGCTTTTACTACATGTGATCCAAAGGTTTAATGGTACTAAATGTTTGAGTAGTTCAGATTTGAGCTCTTCTGTATTATACCAAACATTTTAGTGAATATATTCAGTCTTTGAAATTTTGAAATAAATTTCTGAAGATTAATCTAATAATTCACGTGAACACAGGACTGATAGTTCACTTAGAATTCCATGAAGGAATGTATAAACTGCTAATTTTGTTCAGGACAGTTATCCAGCTAACTAATTGGCACCTCCTCGTCATTAGGACACACAAATTCCCGGGAAAGTGCCAAAGTACTACTGTGAAAATAAAACTGCAAGAGAAGAGCCTTACTCTATTTCTAGTATTTATTATTTATTTATTTATTTGCTAAGGAAGAAAAAAATGCAGTTCTTAAAAGTTTTGAGTATCGCTAGGGGATTTGCTTCTGTCTGTTTATTAAATAGCCCTGAAAAAGTATGTAACACATTGAATCTACTCTCCTAGGGAAACATAGGATAACAAAGTGGGTTGGTCTTTCACTCCAGAGACTTAAGAAAGAGTTCTAGTGTCATGTCAGATTGAGCATCTCTAACGTGAAAATTAGAAATCTGAAATGCTCCAAAATCTAAAACTTTTTGAGTGTCAACAACCTCCCACAAAAGGAAAATTCCATACCTGACCTCATGTGATAGATTGTGGTCAAAAGACTGTCAAAACTTTGTTTCATGCACAAAATTGTTAAGTACATTGTATAAAATTACCTTCAGGCTGTGTGTATAAGATACTGATGAAACATAAATGAATTCCATGCTTAGACTTGGATCCCATCCCCAAGATATCTCAAATATGTATTTACAACTATTCCAAACTCTGGAAAAATCTGAAATCCAAAATGCTTCTGGTCCCACACATTTCAGAGAAGGAATACTCAACCTTTATTTGGTTGAGCGGTACTCTCTATTGACTTTCACATTTGAACATTTCAAACAAACAGCTTTCACCAGTTGTTTGTAAGGACAAACGTGGAAAAACATTAAAAGAAAACCGTTAAGTGTAAAAATGCCAACATTGAATTTGAATAAAAGAAGAGTCAACCATTCTAACCAGAGGTGAAACTTTAAAATTTTTGCTTTCAGCTTTCACAATAAAACAGGTAAAAATTGCCTATCTGCAACATTCGGTTTTTTAAAATTTATCCAACTATGCCCTTTTTATGTTGTACTTACATTCCCTTGGAAGGAATAGGTGGGTATATTCATCGAACCTTGTTATTATTAATATTAACCATTAGTATTGACAGCCTAATATTGAGTGAATCCTTTTGATGAGAGAAGCACTACTGATGGTCATTATCATGGTGTAATAATATTAAAAATCATTTGTAAGCTGGGCGTGGTGGATCCCGCCTGTAATCCCAGCACTGTGGGAGGCCAAGGCAGGTGGATCATTTGAGGTCAGGAGTTCAAGACCAGCCTGGCCAACATGGCGAAACGCCATCTCTACTAAAAATACAAAAATTAGCTGGGCACGGTGGTGGGCATCTGTAATCCCAGCTACTTGGGAGGCCGAGTTAGGAGAACCGCTTGAACACAGGAAGCAGAGGTTGCAGTGAGCCAAGATCATGCCATTTGACTCAAGCCTGGGTGACAGAGGGAGACTCTGTCTCAAAAAAAAAAAAAATCACTTGTAGAGGAAATATTAGAATGTTTTACTACAATGTTATGTAATTATTTGGGGAGTCAAATAATTTTGTTTAGTGATCAGTGAGTTTAAATTATTTGGTAAATTAGAAGTGTCCTATCATATTCATTTGTATAATCAAACCTATGTGCATATAGATTACACTTAACTGAATTTTTTTTTAAGGACTGTTACAAAGAAAAATTGTCAGGTCCCACCTTAGACTGAATCTGAAACTCTGCGGGGGGGTGGAGCCCAGCAATCTACTTGTAACAAGCTGCTTAAATTTGAGAATTATTGCCTGTAATCCCAGCTCTTTGGGAGGACTAAGTGAGTGGATCACCTGAGGTCAGGAGTTTGAGACCAGCCTGGCCAACATGGTGAAACCCTGTTCTCTATTAAAAATACAAAAATTAGCCGGGCATGGTGGCAGGCACCTGTAATCCCAGCTACTCAGGAGGCTGATGCACGAGAATTGCTTGAACCCAGAGGTGGAGGTTACAGTGAGCCGAGATCCAGCACTGAGCCACCCAGCCTCGGTGCTGCAGTAAGACTCTGTCTCAAAAAAAAAAAAAAAAAAAAAAAAAAAGGGAGAGAATTATTGTGTATTCCATAGCTACTACTAGGTTAGTATAAGCTACAAAATATAGTAAAAATATGTTAAACTGTTTTTTGTGTTTTAAATTTCTGTGACTATTTTTGTTGATTGCCTTTATAAAGATGTTTATGTAGATGTTTCTGAATCTCCTAATGACTAATTAGATGTTTCTAAATTTCCTATCTAATGCAAGGAGGCTATATAAATCACCCCGGGATCATGTTAAAATGCTGATTTTCTGTCTCTCCCACATCCCATCAAATCAGAGCCCTAAGATGTGTTGATTCAGTATTTGAAGTAAGGCCCTGGGTCAGTATATTTTTTATGGTGATTCTGGGTTTGGAAAAGAATCCCTGTTCTCGACTTCCTAACATTTAATTGAATTTGTATCTTAGCATGAGTAAGTGTATTAATCTATTAAGAAGCTGTGGAGCAATATATATATACTACCTTCCTCTCTAGACTTAGGCTGCTCAGGCAGTGAAGCACATCAGTTTGTTTTAGTAAATGACCCTGTTTTGTGTCCTCACAGAATTACTGCCTGTATGGTTGACAGAGAAGAGCAGCCGCCTGATATAGGATGGACATGTCCCTCACAGGCTTATCTTGGCCAGACAGAATGCCATTTATCCTCACCTTGAATAGCTGTAATCAATTAACACAGTGAGAAGAGCAATGAGACTCTAGGCAGTCATGCAGTGTTTTGATCTGTTCATATGTTGGAGGCGGGAGAGGTGAAAAATGGACAAAAAGACAAATTAGACCTGTTAGTATAGGTTAAAGGAATTTAGAAAAGGAACCAATAGGCTTCTATTCTCACCATGGGCAATACCTTGGATTTCCATATTTTAACTTAAGGCAAAGGTTATGTTTCATACTCAAAAATAGGAACAGGTAGAACTTCAATTTTTCATGTATGTTTGTAATTTTCTCAGTGTACTAACTCATAGTCTATAACACATGATGGATACCTTCTTCCATCCATTCCCACTGATTTCCCTAAACATAGACAGATGAAGAGCTATTTTGAAATACTGTGAGACCAATCCCTCTTTCTGACTGTGTTAATTTATTCTGCCTCTTCAAGGCCAGCATGAATGGCACTCAGCTTTGCCAGCTGAGGTCTGAGTGAAAGTAGGGAACCAGAGATCTTGCCCATCCTGAATCAGGCTGATGTGTTTGTTCCAGACCCTGTTGCTCTTACTTTTCTCTTAAAGACAGAAGCATCTCTTGACTTTGATCCAACTAAGACTATAAAATGTAAAAGCATCTTTTCAAATCTGAATCTGTTGAATTAAATATTCTAATATGGTTAAAAGGGACTCTAAAAACATATCTTTTTAATTTCTAAAATTATGCATGAAAATGTTGTCTCAGCTGGGCATGGTGGCTCACGCCTGTAATCCCAGTGCTTTGGGAGGCTGAGGAGGGTGGATCACCTGAGGTCAGGAGTTTGAGACCAGCCTGACCAACATGGAGAAACCCCATCTCTACTAAAAATACAAAATTAGCCAGGCACAGTGGTGCATGCCTGTAATCCCAGCTACTTGGGAGGCTGAGGCAGGAGAATCACTTGAACCGGGGAAGCAGAGGTTGCAGTGAGCCGAGATCGTGCCATTGCACTCCAGCCAGCCTGGGCAAAAAGAGCAAAATTCTGCCTCCAAAAAAAAAAAAAAAAGAAAAGAAAAGAAAAAGAAAAAAGAAAGTGTTGTCTCACTTAATGAAATAAGTACTTTTAAGAGAAACATTTCTTTATGTATGTTAACCTCTCTCTTCACTTCTTTTCTATATGCATCATTATAGTTTACTTCCAGAAATATTTGGCTTAGTGAGTTAGGGTGAGTAGTAGCCGGTTATTCTGAAGATCTTTGCTTGGTTTTCATTAATTCTTTTAGTTTTATCCCGACTCTAACTCCAATTTAGAAATGAAAATACAGTCATTGATTTTTGTTACTGATGTTGATTTATTTATTCATACTCTACCCTATTTCTATTAGGATGTGTGGCAATTCTGATATTATTCCTGTTTAAAATAATATGAAATAGTAAAAGCGGTAAAATTAAAGTTTACACAAGCCTTGGGAAGTGTAAGCATTTCTAAACCATAAGAAAAAGTAAAGCTTAAAATATGAATCCGTTTCTTGTTTCACTAATAGCCATCATGATTACCTATATTTAGATTCTAAGTATACTGTCTCTGAGATAATTCAGAGGGCTTTTAGGTGTCCTTAATTATTCTAAATGATAAGGTTATGTAATTTTGCATATTTAACTCTTTTAACAAATACTTATCGAATACTTAAATTTGTGCCCAATTCTGTGCTTAAGACCTTAAATGAATTACAGTGAATGTGTAATGGAATTGATCTTTTTAAATTACAAAGCAATTTTTTATGATTAAAATAGGCTGACTGTATTACTTGAAATGGGATGAGGAGGATGTAGTTATCTTTTGGCAGAGTATTGATGAGCACTACAGACAGAGATGCAACATTGATTGCATCCTAAATATGTGAGTTCCCTGTTATTTTAATGTGCACAGCTTATTCTACATTCCTTTCTTTTTCTATTAATGAGAAGGAATAATATTCACTGATTCAGTCAGTAGCACTTGGCCATTATTTGCTGAGCTGTATAAACAATGAGCAGCTGTATCATTGTTTGTATTACATGATTTTGTTTATTCATTTAAAAAATTTTATGACGGTACTGTAGCTTAGCAGCATTGCTTATGGTAATGAAGAAGTTAATTAGCAATATTGAGCAAGACTTTAAGACATGAGTTTTAATAAGTAGTGCTAAAAATATTACAGTAGTCATCCACAGATAAACATAATAAACCTCAGACAAATGGGGAAAATGGTCAAATTATGAGAAAAAATATTTTAGAATGCTTTGGCTTTGTGGTTTCAAAAGAATAGTACGGATAAATACACAGTCACATACCAAGGACACTGCTAATTTCACTGGTGTTTTTTCCCTCTTAACCTAAAACTACTAAATGGTAGAAAATGGAAGCTTACTTTAACAATAAATAAATAAATAAGCAATAATCTTTTAATATTAAATTCATGCTGATAGAGAAAGAAGACTCTGCCAGTAAAGCAGTCAGACAGCTTACAAAGGATACTGGAATTATTTGAGCTTTCTAGCCCAGAAATATTGACAGACATAGTCTGAATGTGTCAGTCTGCTTCATTTTAGAGCCAAAGTCTTAATTCAAGCACTGGGAAATCCATAATTGGAAAGAATCCCATAGTCACTGCTGATATTTTTCTCTAATTATAAGTGACTTTGTTGTATCATAAGCCTCCTTAAGAACTCTTGATTTTGATAAGAAACGTATTCCCAGGCTCCACTGACTAGACCTGGCATTATCAGAAATTAATTTCTATTGGTTCAGCATTAGAGTGTCATGTAGTAGTTGATACAGTGATACAAAAACACTAATATCAGAGTATTTAAATGTGGCATCAATTTTGCCTGAGGGCCAAACAGAGGTTAAACTTGCATTTCTTGATATCAGTGGCTTAAGGGATTCTGTGACTCATTTTGGGATTTCATTATGATTGTGGCAGATGATGTTACTTTACCTTATCCTTTTGTCATGCCACCATCAGCAGTGTCTCTATATCTGAGCCAAGTGCCTGGGTGATTCAGTATGTATTTAATTCCCATAGACCTTCAGAGGTTATGAGGTTATTTTTAATGAAAAAAGGGTGTTTTCCCTCTATATATATATGGTATGTCCACATGTGAGTGGGCTTTGCCAAAAATTATTAAAGCCAATAGAAGTTAGATTGGTGATAGGAAATATCTTGAAAAGAGGTAGTTCTAGGAAATTGTATATAAAGCCTCTCAATGAAGGTTCTTTGCTGAATGAGTTATGACCACACTCAAAATTATTTTATTTTATTTATTCAACATTTGGTGAATATTTATGATATGCAAAATACTTTACTGAAAGCTGTGGGAGATAAAGTAAGAGCCTTGGCCCCATAGATGAGGAATTCATTATTTGATTATAGAGGCAACAAACTTGAAGAGTCAAGTTATGCCAAATAACAAAATTTCTTATTTTTGTAAAATCTATCAAGTTAATAATAATAAATCTTAAACAAAATAATATACATCTTATTAAAGTTATGCATCATGTGGATTTATTTTTATTTAAATGAGATATTTAGCAAAATCTCATATGACACTCCTAGAAAATGAAGAAATGTGGACTACATTAGATTAGGTTAAACTATATGAAATTGCCAATATCTGACAGTTTTGATGTAAGAAAATGCAACTTTTATGACTTGACCTAATATAATGTAACGTCCTCACAAGTAGCTTGAATTACCCAAAGAGAATAAAGTAATATGTTTATTAATCAGAGTTAGCCTAGAAAGTAGTCTTATGAGAATTTTGACAAGCTTTGTCCTTGGCCCTCTCTTGCTCAATATTTTTCATCAATAACTTTGACGAAGATATAGAAGATATGACAATTTGAATTGCTAGATGACAGATTATTTAGAAGGAATACCCGAATAGACCAGATGATAAAATCAAGAATCAAATGGTTTTGAACAGCCTATATCAAGGATCTAAAATTAAAAGATGAAATCTAACACAGCTAAATGTTAAGTCCTCTGCTTAGGTTTTTTTATTTCCTTGTGTATTATACAATTCCGAAATGTGAGACTCTGCTTGACATGTGAACAATGACAAAAACCCCTTAATTCATTTTAGGCCAGCAAATACATATTAGTTGACTCACTTTTTTCCAGTCACTTCACAAGATGCTGCAGATACAATGAATCAAACACATTCAGTCACTGTCTTCACAAGTTTACAGAATGTGGAGAACCACAGGTTCACTTTGTAACAACAGTTTGGGGTATGGGGTGTGAAAGATGAATGCAGTCTTCAGGTACATTAATAATAGTAATAATTATAATGACACCTAGAACAAAGGTGAACATTTTCATGCTATTCCCATTTGGTCAGAACACTTCCTAAGAATTGGGTTCAGAACTCCTGGGTATCAGCTTTTAGGAAGAATGTCAAAATGTGAGAGTTGGTTCACAGGAGGATGCCTGTGTTGGTATGAATTCTGAGAACTATAATCCAATAGACGAAAGGTTGAAAGATGAGGGTATTTAGCTAATGGCTATCGAGTCTAATTGCCTGGGTTCAAAAATGGCTTCACTGCTTTCTAGTTATATAACGTTGGGAAAATTACTGAGCCTTTCTCAGCCTCAGTACCCTTATCAGTAAAAGAGAAATTATAATAGTACTTATATCTCAAGTTTGTTAAGAAGAGTGAGTTAATATTTGTAAAGTACTTAAAACAATGAATGACATGTAAGTGACATGTGAGTGCTACCTGTAAATAAATGAATAGATGGATAAATCTATAAATTGATAGGATTGATAGGTGGCTAGATAGGGGATAAATAAATAAAGGGGGTTAGGAGGGAGATTAAGAGAGAGACATAGAAGGTAGTTTGAAATATCTGAAAAGAAGCTTTGGAAGAGAAAGTATTCATGCTTCATTCTTCCTAAAAGGAGCATGATCAAGTAGCCAGAAATCACTGGGTGAAAACAAATTCTTATTCTTTGATAAAATATACTTTTTTTATTTGGCCAGTTTTTATTCTGCAGTGCTCCAAATCTTGTTCATTTCCAAAGTGATGCAAAATTGGCAAAATTAACTTCAACAACTCTGCCTCTTCACATGATGCCTTTCGTGTAAAGTAGGTGGCACTGCTTTTAAGGTCTAAAATTTCAAAATATTGTTACCTACCTTCTAACATGGAAACAAAATGTAATCTGTTAATGATTGGAACCTGAGTAAATCCAATGTTAAGGCATGGTTGCCTGTTGACTGATAATATAGCTGACTTAGAGGGGTAACTGCAAGTCTTCTTGTCTTGTTTCAGGAGCTCTTCTTCCACAGATTATCTGAATAAACCCATAGAATTTTCTTAGTCTCTCTCTTTCTCCTTCTTTAACCAAATAAAAGCTCATCAATGCAGTGCTATTTCTAACATTATCAGAGATGTATTCTGGCAACTAGGCATACTGCAGTGAGTTTATCCTTTTTATAGAGCTTGATTATTCTTAATGGTTTTAGGGGAATCTTTCTTGCTAAGATTAATTTAATGTAACATTTCCAGAGTAAAAACTTTGGTTAGGAAGAAACAGTGGAGCTTTTGGAATGGTATTTTTAAAAATTACTTCTTTGGGAGGCTGAAGCAGGAGAATCTCTTGAACCTGGGCCAGAGAGGTTGCAGTGAGCCAAGATCATGCCACTGCATTCCAGGCCGGGTGACAGAGCTATTGGCAGTGTAGTGTTATATAATTAGACAATAGAGATTTTTTTATGTGCTTAAAAGACATATATCTAAGACAGTTATATATACTAGCTGGATAATATGTACAACTTTATCTGCAGAATGTTAGTTTCATGTTTCCACTGAACCATACATTCTACATTCATGCTAATAGAAAGCCATTCAATGTTGGTTTGATGGCTGTCTTCAGAAAGGCTGATTTCTTCTTACTAGAAATGTATAAAGTTTGGAATGGATTTGTAAGCAGCCAGTTTGTAGCATTTAGTCAATGGTTCTTACTCTTCTTCCTATGGTTTAAATATTCATTCATTCACTCACTCATTCTGCTTTGAGTGAGGTTATTTGGCAAGCACTGTGAGGATGTAACATATGACTCTTGCCAAAAATGAACACCTTCCCACTGGGGACAGACTTTAAATAAAGAAACCAGATGGAGAAAGAATAGGAAGAGCATTCGTGAGATGATAAAATAATACTCAAAGAGGGAAAAGGGAGACCATGGGGAAAAAGAGGAGATGCAAGGTATTTGGCAAGGCACCCTTAGCTGCTATTGCCATTAGCCATCGGAGTATTACACTTCCCATAGTTTTTGTTTGTTTTTATTTTTAAACAGATTCCCTGTCTGAATAGGACATCATATTGGAAAGGATAAGCAATGTGTTAAAAAATTGTAGCTCTTACCCCATAGATGAGCTTATAAATTAATAAGATTTTTACATTAAATGAGATTTTGTTCCAAAAATATTCTGCCATTTGCCCATTATGCTTTCACATATCTAGGCACACAGCTAGGATAGGCTTATTAATGTATAAATAAAATCAAATATTTTATATTGACAACTCTCATTTTATAGTGGCAATAAAAAAATAGATATTTGTGAAGTCTTAAGCTGATTACTTACGAGATCCTTCAGTATTAAAAAAGAGAATAAACTTGTCACACTGCTAATACTGTGATGCTAAGACTGATGGCATTCATGAGTACACAAAAGATAAAGAAAAATTTGAAACAAAATTAATTAAAACACATTTGTTAGACATTTCTTAGTTTCCTGGGCAAGGTATACCTTGAGAGGTTGCTAGAAGCAACGGGAAAAGATAAAAGGATTCCTCTTATATTCTATAAATGATAAAATTTGTGAATAAGTCAATAACATCACAATTGAAGGTATCATTTTTCTCTAATTGATATGTCACATAAGATGAATTATTGTTTTTCACTAATTGCATATGCTATCCAGACATTATTGGACTTCCTGAAATTCTATAAAGATTTTCAACTATCCTCACGTTATCTTTCAAATATCCTAGCTTTTAGTAAATATTAAAAGTATAGTCATACTTTTTTTTTAAAAAAAAAGCATAGGTACATATATGACAGTGATTTGGGAATGACTAATTTTTTTGCTAGACAATATCTAGCGCTGTATGCTTTGAAAATATTATTGTATGTTCTTTACAATTTTATAAAGTAACAACATAAAGAGTGTACTGGGGACTCCCATATTAGTTTATGCCAATGAAGGAAGAAAACCATCCAGTGGAATTTAATACCCAAAACAAATTCATTCAAAAGAATTATGTTTTTCCGCTAGTTTATCAGTACTTGAAACCTTGTCAGAACTATTTATAAAATATATTCTCTTCTTTTTTGTTTATGAATACCCAGCCTTATTTCCAAAATAGTTTTTCATTATTAAAAAATAAAATATTATTTTTATACAGTAAAATTCACTCATTTTAATACAGCATACAAAAAATTATGACAGATTCATATAAATTCACTGCCACAATCAAGATATAGAACAGTTTCATCACTCTAAAAAATCCAGAAAAGGTTTAAGATGCCTTACCTTGGCACATAAAACAGAGCACATAAATTAAAACTGGAAAATAACTTAGAAAAAATGATAGAAAAAAATAAAGTGAAGAAAGCAATAAGGTTAAGAATGCTACTGCAAAACCAATAGCTGTCCACAACATATATACATATGCCACATTTTCTTTATTCACTTGTTGATTGATGGGCATTTGGGCTGGTTCCATATTTTTGCAATTGGGAATTGTGCTGCTATAACCATTAGAGCAACTCATAAAAGAACAACCTTGCCCTAAGAAAGGAGAAAACAACAGCTAACTCTACCGCCTGTAACATCCTGGCTAACCAGAGGTCCTGAGTCTATCCCATGTGACAACTTTACTGCAAGCACAACCAGCATTAGTGAAAACCAGTGCAGCAATCAAAACTACAACCAGGGTCCCACCTCAATCCCCTCCTACCTCTACTGGAACAGGTACTGGTATCCATGCCTGAGAGAACTGAAGACAGATCACATCACATGACTCTTTGCAGATACTCCCTTATACCAGCCCAGAACCCCGTAGCTCTGCTGGGTGGCTAGACCCAGAAGAGCAATAACAATCAGTGCAGTCCTTCTCTCAGGAAGCCCCATCCCTAGTGGAAGGAGGAGAGCACCACATCAAGGGATCACCCCGTGGGACAAAAGAATCTGAACAGCAGCCCTTGAGCCCAAGATCTTTCCTTTGACATAATCTACCCCAATGAGAAAGAACCCAGAAAAACAATTCTGGTAATTTAACAAAACAAGTTTCTTTAACACCCCCAAAAGATCAAAAAACTCACCAGCAATGGATCCAAACCAAGAAGAAATCTCTGAATTGCCAGAAAAAGAATTTAGGAGGCTGATTATTAAGCTACTCAAAATACAAGACCATGTTAATGTAGACTGAGAGTGTATTAAAGTTTAAGGATCTATGTACATCCATTGATTCATGAGTTTACAATTAAGGAAACTAATTAGTGCTTTTTCCAAAATAAGATTTCAAGATATGGGCAATTGATTTCCAATAATGTCATAGTAAAAATAACCTATTTGTTTTAAAACCAATTATGGAATCTTAAATAAAGATTTAAATCTTAAAGTCTAATTATGGAATCTTAAATCAAGTCTCAGTTCTTCACTTTTAAAATTAGAGAATAAGCAACATTTTAATCAAATTTATCAAAAGAGTCATAATATTAGAAATTCATGCATTATGTCATAAAATAAACAGATGAACTAAAGATATGTTGTTTATCTAGATTTTTTTTACTTATTTTTGGGATTTTAAAAAAGATAACTATACCTCGATTTTAGATTATACTGATTAGAATGAAAAGTACGTATTTATTTACCAAATTTTTGTTTTCTTGGAACACTTTTCACTAAATAATACAAGTAAAATCTTTCTCTCTGTCTCTGTGTGTGTGTGTGTGTGTGTACACACACATATATGTTGGTCTTTATTAACAAAGGAAGAAACTCCTAGAGAGAAGAAATGTTCTGAGGGCTTTACTATATGACACACTTGAAGACAGGCCAATTAATCACCAAGCGTGCTGAGTAAAGCAATTGCTTTGAGTATTATAATCACTTTATGTAAGGATTATCAAATATATTGGCAATTATATGCAAGAAGCTTATTTTTAAGATTTACTTTTTCTTTAAAATACACAATAAAGTTCCATTTGCTTCAATTTTCTAATTATGCTTGAGCGATTATATGCTAGTAATAGGAAACTAACCTTTCTTTTAATTGGCAAGTTTGAAATTTAAGTATTTAATTGATGCTTCATAGTAAAATTGACTGATAGTTGATTTTCAAACAATTTTTAAGGAATGAAATAAGTCTCCATTACTAGCGAAGTGTAATTAATGTTTAATCAGTATTTTCACTTTTGCCAAAATATGCTTATATACTAGAACATACATTATGTAACTACAATGTTAAAGCTTCCAAAACAGGCACAGAAAAAATGTTGAATAATCAAAACTAGAATGGCAAAATATAAAATACAAATGCATGAATGAGCCATACTTTTTCCTCAGCACCTGTTATTAAAAATAGAATAAATCTTTTCCTGTTTGAATCTCTTAAAAAATGAGTCATGCTGAGTAGCAGAATATTCTACCTAAATGAGAGTGTTTAAGCACTAAAACTTTTAGGATACATTTTAGTCATTTGGAAGAGATCCTTTCTGTAACTTTTATACTTCACTGTTTTTATAGCAAAGTTAACTCCGTTTAACTTTTAACTTTTCCTTGGTCACTACAGATTATCATTATGTTGGGGTTTCTTTTTTACCTGCCTCATGTATTTCATATTTAAATTCTTGGTTTTAAAACAAATAGGTTATTTTTACTATGACATTATTGGAAATTGCCCATATCTTGAAATATATGTTCATTTTAAACAAAGTTCTAAACCAAATTTTGGGAATATCACACAACTCCTTTGGCAATGGTTGGTTGTACATTCATTTATGTATAGTAGGCCTGCCCTTATTGTGGGAGATACATCCCAAGACCCCTAGTGGATGCTTGAAACTGTGGATGATACCAAAGCTTATATGCATGCTTTTTCCTAATCATACATATAATAAAGTTTAATTTTTAAATTAGGAACAGTAAAAGATTAACAACCATAATTAATAATAAAATAGAAACAATTAGAACAATATACTGTAATAAAAGTTATATTAATGTGGTCTCTCTCACTCTTTCTCTCTGTTGAGAATGACTGCTTTGTGAATCAGTGTTTCTGATGGAAATATGTCTTAATCCTTTTAAATAACTGGAGGCTAAAAACCAGAACTATTAGTTTAGGTTCTGTATTAGACTGTTCTCATGCTGCTGATAAAGACATACCCAAGACTGGGCAATTTATAAAAGAAAGAGGTTTATTGGACTCACAGCTCCACATGGTTGGGAAGGCCTCACAATCATGGGAGAAGGCAAGGAGGAGCAAGTCATGTCTTACATGGATGGCAGCAGGCAAAGAGAGAGAGCTTGTGCAGGGGAACTCCTCTTTATGAAACCATCAGATCTCATGAGACTTAGTCACTACCATGAAAATAGCAGGAGAAAGACCCACCCCCATGATTCAGTTACCTCCCACTGGGTCCCTCCCATGACACATTGGAATTGTGGGAGTTACAATTCAAGATGAGATTTGGGTGGGGACACAGGCAAACCATATCATTCCACTTCTAGCCCCTCCAAATCTCATGTCCTCATATTTCAAAACCAATCATGCCTTCCCAGCAGTCTCCCAAAGTCTTAACTCATTTCAGCATTAACTCAAAAGTCCACAGTCCAAAGTCTCATCTGAGATAAGGCAAGTCCCTTCCACCTATGAGCCTGTAAAATCAAAAGCAAGTTAGTTACTACCTAGATACAATGGGGTACAGGCACTGGGTAAATACAGCAATTCCAAATGGGATAAACTGGCAAAAACAAAGGGGCTACAGGCCCCATGCAAGTCCAAAATCCAGGGAGGGCAGTCAAATCTTAAAGCTCCAAAATGATCTCCTTTGACTCCATGTCTCACATCCAGGTCACAATGATGCAAGAGGTGGGTTCCCATGGTCTTGGGCAGCTCTACCCCTGTGGCTTTGCAGGGTATGGCCTCCCTCCTGGCTGCTTTCATGGGCTGGCATTGAGTGTCTGCAGCTTTTTCCAGGTGCATGGTGCAAGATGTCAGTGGATCTACCATTCTGAGATCTGGAGGACAGAGGCCCTCTTCTCACAGCTCCACTAGGCAGTGTCCCAGTAGGGACTTTGTGTGGAGTTCCTTCTGCACTGCCCTAGCAGAGGTTTTCCATGTGGGCCACACCCCTGCAGAAAACTTGTGCCTGGGCATCCAGACATTTCTATACATCTGAAATCTAGGTGGAGGTTCTCAAACCCCAATTCTTGACTTATCTGGACTCTCAGACTCAGCACCATGTGGAAGCTGCCAAGGCTTGGGGCTTGCACCCTCTGAAGCCATGGCCTGAGCTGTACATTGGCCCCTTTCAGCTACAGCTAGAGCAGCTGGGACACAGGGTACCAAGAGGAGGGGAACCCTGGGCCCGGCCCATGAAACCACTTTTTCATCCTAGGACTCCAGACCTGTGATGGGAGGGACTGCCATGAAGACCTCTCTCATGGCCTGGAGACCTTTTCCCCTTTGTCTTGGGGATTAACATTCAGCTCCTCATTATGCAAATTTCTGCAGCAGGCTTGAATTTCTCCTCAGAAAATGAGATTTTCTTTTCTATCACATTGTCAGGCTGCAAACAAACTTTTATGCTCTGCTTCCCTTATAAAACTGAATGCCTTTACCAGCACCCAAGTCACCTCTTTAATGCTTGGTTGCTTAGAAATTTCTTCTTCCAGGTGCCCTAAATCATCTCTTTCAAGTTCAACGTTTCACACATCTCTAGGGCAGGGGCAAAATGCCACCAATCTCTTTGCTAAAACATAGCAAGAGTCACCTTTGCTCCAATTCCCAACAAGTTCTTCATCTCCATCTGAGACCACTTTAACCTGGACCTTATTCATATCACTATCAACATTTTTGTTAAAGCCATTCAACAAGTATCTAGGAAGTTCCAAACTTTTCCTTTATTTATTTATTTATTTATTTATTTTATTATTTTTTTTTTTTGAGACCGAGTCTCACTCTGTCACCAGGCTAGAGTGCAGTGGCATGATCTCGGCTCACTGCAACCTCTGCCTCCCTGGTTCAAGTGATTCTCCTGCCTCAGCCTCCTGAGTAGCTGGGATTACAGGTGCATGCCACCACACCCAGCTAATTTTTGTATATTTAGTAGAGACGGAGTTTCACCATGTTGGTCATGCTGGTCTTGAACTCCTGACCTCGGGATCTGCCCGCCTCAGCCTCCCAAGGTGCTGGGATTACAGGCATTGGCCACAGTGCCTGGCCACTTTCCCACATTTTTAAATCTTTTTCTGAGCCCTCCAAACTGTTCCAACCTCTGCCTGTTAACCAGTTCCAAAGTTGCTTCCATACTTTCAGGTATCTTTTCAGTAACGGTCCACTCTACTGGTACCAATTTACTGTATGACTCTATTCTCACACTGCTGATAAAGACATACCCGCGACTGGGCAATTTACCAAAAAAAAAAAAAAAGTTGATTGGAATCACAGTTCCATGTGGCTGGGGAGGCCTCACAATCATGGCAGAAGGCAAGGAACAGCAATTCACGTCTTGGATGGAGGCAGGGAAAGACAGAGAGCTTGTGCAGGGGAACTCCTCTTTATAAAACCATCAGATCTCAGCCGGGTGTGGTGGCTCATGCCTGTAATCCCAGCAATTTGGGAGGCCGAGGCAGGTGGATCATGAGGTCAGGAGGTCAAGACCATCCTGGCTAACATGGTGAAACCCCGTCTCTACTAAAAATACAAAAAATTAGCCAGTTGTGGCGGCGGGCGCCTGTAGTCCCAGCTATTCAGGAGGCTGAGGCAGGAGAATGGTGTGAACCCAGGAGGCAGAGCTTGCAGTGAGCCAACATCGCCCACTGCACTCCAGCCTGGGCGACAGAGCGAGACTCCATCAAAAACAAACAAACAAACAAAAATCAGATCTCATGAGGCTTATTCACTATCACGAGAACAGCACGAGAAAGACCCACACTATGATTCAGTTACCTCCCACTGGGTCCCTCCCACAGCATGTGGGAATTGTGAGAATTACAATTCAAGATGAGATTTGGGTGGGGACACAGCCAAACCATGTCAGGCTCCCAACATTACTTGTCTTTTGCAACAACTAATTTTACCCCCAGCCTCCATTCTCAACATACTCCTCCCCATCCTTATTCCCACTCTCAGCCTACCCTCCAGACAGCTACCGGATACTTCCAAAACTCAAAACGATAAGTTATAAAGTATAGTTTATTTTTTAAATCCCTATTGCTTTTTTTATAAACTTGATGAAACTTACCTTGAGAAATATGACCTCAACATATGGTCATGCCAAAAACAAATGTGTAGTCATAATTTACCTAAATCTATACTATGAATGAGAATGTATTCACATATTTAATTTCAAAAAAGAAAAATAGTAACTTAAAGTAAAATATAGATTTAAAGTACATTAGAAACCTGGAAAAAATAGAATAAATCTCTAATACATAATGACCAGTACATTGAATCATTGGAAATCTATTAGATAAAAAAGGTGCTAGGTGCTATTTGCATGATGTCGTAATTAACTTTGCACAGACATAGTCGTAGTGGGTAAGGTTATATTGCCCTTGAGAGAACCAGGTAGATCATAGTTATTTTTGTTGTTAAAGAGTTTTAAACACGTGAACTAGTTTCATTGATAATATTCAAACAAATGTATTTAGCCATTTCTTCTACTTATAATTTCATTTACCAGTGGAGAGAAAACAAGTTATTGTCACCTGTGCATTAGTCAGGTGGTCATTTTGCTCTCACAAGATAAGGACATGAGTGGAGGAATTATTACATGTTGTCTTTAGTATTTTTTTCACTGTAGTAGCTTATGCTTTTGTGATGTCTTTTACTAATGTATTCAAAAGAGAAAGGAAATTTCTGCTTGTAATACTTTCTGAAAAGACCACATTGGTTGGTTTTTAAACAAGTTAATCTAAGAAGAAAACACCTGTCTCTTGTTAAATAATGAGTGATATTTTTCTGTGAATTCATTTGAAGAAATAATGCTAATCTGTACAGCCATGATTCATTTCTTGTTGTCTATTTCTTCCCATTTGAAACAAATAAAAGCTTCCTGTTGTTGAGATTCCTGGAAAGGAAAGACAAGTGATTGTTCACTTGCCTGTGGAGATTTTCTTCATAAAGAAGAACTCAAAATGTACTTGGTGATGATTGACTGACTTAAAGAATAGGGTAGCAGTGTTGTAAGAGTCACTACCTCATATGTAAGTTTTAAGCCTAAATGAGGTAAACCATTAGGTGGTGGCTCCTTCAGTTTTCTCTCATGTTTGCTTGTGAACTAATGACAATTTTGAGCATAGATCTTAACTGTAAATTATTTTAAGGAAAGTTACTTATTGTCATTGCTTTCACAATTACTTCTACATGAATAACTTCTTATCGCATAACCTCTTTTCATGCCTAAGCAGTTCAGATAATTCCTATGCAGTAAAAGCACTTTACATGAATAATTTTATGTCAGGCTACTGAGAAATTGAAGAGCTATTCATAGGATCTTTTTACCTATCAAGTAAAACAATTATAACTATTCTCTAAAAAATGGAAAAATATCAGTTTTATGCTCAACCTAAATTTATGTATTTATTTTTTAGCTCTGTTGCCCAGGCTGGACTGCAGTAGCATGATCATAGCTCACTGCAACCTCGAACTTCTAGGCTCAAACAATTCTCCCATCTCAGCCTCCTGAATGAGTGGGACTACAGGCACAATCCACTATGCCCAGCTAATATTTATTTTTGTGTGTAGAGGCAGGGTCTCAACATGTTGCTATGCTGTTCTTGAACTCCTAGCCTCGAGTGATCCTCCCAGAGGGCTGGAATTACAGGTGTGAGCCACTCTGTGGGCCGCAACCTATATTTAAAAAGAACACCTCAAGAATGATTAGACAGCAACTACTGATTAGAATTCTTGCATTTTATTCTTTCCAGTTCATATGTGATATTGAGCAAATCATTTGAACTCATTTCCATTTAACTATGTCTAGAGAGTATATATTGTACAAGTTGTGAAATAAAATATATATACATAAAGAAAATGAGTCACTTTTCCAGCTTATCAACTACCGTCTGCAAATGAATACTTTTCAGCTGTTCATGGGGGCTTTCACTATTGCATAGACGTGTGTGTAGTTTATTGAGAAACTCAAAGCAACTACTATTCTTAAAAAATAAAATGAGAGATTTTTTATTCCGCTTCCCCAAGCAGATTATGCATCAACCATGTTGGCAAATAACAAGCATAATCTGATCCTACTTGCATACCTTGCCTCATATCCTACTTCTTTTTGTTTCTGGAGACAGAGTCTAGCTCTGTCGCCCAGGTTGGAGTGCAGTGGCACGATCTCAGCTCACTGCAACCTCTGCCCACCAGGTTCAAGCGATTCTCCTGCCTCAGCCTCCCGAGTAGCTGGGATTACAGACACCCAGCTCCATACCCAGCTAATTTTTGTATCTTTAGTAGAGACAGGGTTTCACTATCTTGGCCGGGCTGGTCTCGAACTCCTGACTTCCTGATTCACCTGCCTCAGCTTCCCAAAGTGCTGGGATTATAAGCGTGAGCCACCCATATCCTACTTCTTATACATTGTAGTTTGCATCCCAACACAATGGACTGCTTGTGGTCCCTGTGCTGTGATATGCAAATGACGCCCTGCACATGCTGCCACCTCTCTGCTGTCTCTATTAGAATGGGGTCTCTTAGGGAAGGATCTAGGCCTTAATCATTTTGAATCTTCGTCATAATTCCTCCACAGAGAGGCTCAGCATTTTTCCACCCCAGCGTATCTGTTGGACTTCTTTCTGTCATCAGTGTCTGTGCCTCTTTACCATAGTAAGTCTTGGTGGAGATCAGAAAAGCTGGGTCTCTCTAGATCAAAGATAAAGGAACCAAATCAGAAACTGAAGTCAGAGCTCTTATGAAATTTGACAATGCCCTGAAGGTAGATTCTGAGGGGATAGGGTTGGAGAATCACTGGCTGTATATATTATGTGGATTCAATAAGGATTTGTTGATGACTTCATAAAAGACGAGATGCCTGTTCTAATAATAACACATGATTAAATCTATCATGACTTTGAAAATGGCTTTACTGTTTTGCTTGAGTTTTTTTCATGCTAACTCTGGATAGCCTCTATTTTTTGGTATTTGCTGTCGTTATAATTTTTATTAGTAATTGTTGATTATTTACCAGATATGATCTTGAATTTTTCTTTAGAATTGTTTAAACATTAATGAATCTAACTGTAAAGGAGTAGATACAAATTTCAAAAGAAAACAAAATACAAAAGGATAAAAAAATACAAAGAAGTATTTCAACATGGAGCAGTTAGTACCCCTTCTATATTTGGGGCTTTGGTAATTGAACCATGTGATTTTGTGGTAGAATTGTTTTCCCCTTATCTTTAGCATTTCTAAAGTTCAGCATTCACAGCCTTCCCTTTCTTTCCTGTCCTGTCAATTTGGCTTTTCCTTTGCTTCTCAGGCATAGCACCCCTTTACTTCTCCAAAGAACTGAAGAGATTTCTCAGAAGCCCTTGCCTTTTATCCTTACATGGCCAAATCAAGTGAAATTAGAGACTTTCCTTCTTTCAGTTCCTCAAAAGCCTTGTGCCTACAGAGAATTTAAGCAAGGTAAATTAAAACATAGGAAAATCAGAGTTTTGGTTACAACTCTGGTGTCTTAGAAGGATATTCACATTTTATTATGTATGAAGACTAATGTTTCAAAGTATCAATTGTTTAATTTTAAACAAATATTGGAATTAAGTACCCTACAAAAAGGTGTTTCTAAAGGATCCTGGGTGTTAATTTGGGGATTATATTTTCTCCGAACTTAACGCAAATTTTAGGCAGAGTATGGGGAAAAAATAAAGCATAATTTAAACTGAGACTTGGTTTCCTCTCCGATAAAGTAGAAAGAACTGTAGCAATTACCTAATTGATTTGTGTGAGGATAGAAAGTGAGATTATAAAATAGTTCACAGAAAGTTTAGCAGAATTAAATATTCAATAAATATCATCAATGTGATCATTATCCTCATCCTCATTTTCATGTTACCTTTTATAACAGTTTATTTTTTACACAAGCCAAATGATAAACCAAGAAAACATCTGCATGTTTGTTCCAAATAGTCACACTACTAGAGAAAAAAACCCAACAACATATTTTCTTTTCTAGATTGTTTCACTATCATGTCAATGAATTCCCAGTTCTTAATGGATTGGTTAATTTTCTCCTTCATGTTCAACTTGTGTATCAGGATCTATGTCATTATCAATGTTAAATAATTAATGTCAAATTATTAATGTTAAATAATGTATTGTCATACTTGTTAGCGATTTTATTTTCACAGTCACCTCTTATGGGCTTTGTGACTTTACGAAAATCGCTGGATCACAGCCATCTATTAATATGAAAAGGCATAGCCTTCTAGAACATTTGGCAAATAGAAGAGTGAGGATGATGTAATGATGTTTAGAAAAGGTATCTTGATCTTTATTTTTCAATTCTGTTTCATTTCCACCTTTGCACCTTATGGGCAAGTAGGGTAGCATGAATTTTCTGAAACAATTTTTTTTTACTAACTTTTACACTATTGTCTTGTGTTGTACTTATTAGTAATAAAATAGCAAGGGGTAACGAGCAACAATTTCTAGGTTTAAAAACTTGTCAGAGCTAAAAATCACATTAAATCCCATTGGAAATTAATTTCTGAGTCCCCTAGTATGTGACTATTGCTTATGATAAAATTGAGCACATGGCAGGTACACACAAAGCAACACCTATGATTCTTTCCTCTCTGTATATGTGCATGTGTGTCTGTGTGTGTGTCTACATTTACATACACATATGTTTCTGAAATGGAAATCTTTGTTGTAGGACTGACTGCCATTAAATGCAGATGTGTGAAACAAAATCATCTAAACTCTTTTTGCCAAATGATTCTTGGCAAAGGTAATATTGTACATCTTCCTCTGCCATATTTAACATATTTTTTGAACCAAGGAAAGTAGGACTCATTTATTTGTTTGTTTATTTATTTATTTATTTATTTATTTATTTATTTTTGAGACAGAGTCTTGCTCTATCGCTCAGGCTGGAGTGCAGTGGCACGATCTTGGCTCACTGCAACCTCCGCCTCCTGGGTTCCAGGGATTCTCCTGCCTTAGCCTCCCGAGTGGCTGTGATTACAGGCACATGCCACTATACACAGCTAATTTTTTATGTTTTTAGTAGAGACAGGGTTTCGCCATGCCTGGGCTGGTCTTGAATGCCTGACCTCAAGTGATCCACTAGCCTCAGCCTCCCAAAGTGCTGGGATCATAGGCATGAGCCTTGGCACCTGGCTAGAACTCTTTTCAGAAAGCTCTTTCTAATGAGTTTAGGATATTTTATATGTATTATAACATTATTATATATTATATATAAACAGTATATATATATATATATATATATATATATATATATATATACCATATATTGTATAGTTATACAGTGGTAGATAGATAGGTAGATGGATAGATAGATAGATAGATAGATAGATCCATAATCAGCAGTTAAAAGGTGGTCCAAGAAGAATTTTGTATGGTGCATCCTTTACTATGTTCTTTAGAGGAATGCTGATAAGTTTAGTAGCAAGAATGATAACTACAATTATGCCAGGTTATCTGCTTAGTATATTTCACATATTAGTTCCTTTACTATTCACAATAATTCTATGACAGGGACTAGCAAACTTCTTCTGTAAAAGACCAGATAGTCAATATTTTAGGTTTTGCAGGCTACATGTGATCCCTATTGCTACCAGTGTTGGAAGTACTTCTGCTGCAGCTGCTCCTCCTCCTCTTTCTCTTTCTATAACTACTTCTGTATGTTTTTTTCTTCTAAACTTTTAAAAATAGAGGAAACATTCTTCTATGACAGACCACACATACTCAGGCCATGGCCAGCTTTTGTCTGGAGACCATGGTTTGCTGACCCCTACTCTATGAAATATCTATCAATAGCCCTATGTTATAGATAGGGATGCAGAACCCCCAAGAGGCTAACCAACTTGCCCAGCATGCCTCAGTTAAAGATAGTGTTTTGAACCTCAGGCAACAATATGCTCTTTAAATACCAGCTTCTTATTCACCAAGCTGAAGTACCCTATGTCTCAGAAGGGATTTGATTAACCATGCTAGTATTGTCTTGTTTGTCTCAGAGGCAGCAACTGTGAGATAGTGATGATACAGGCAATGATGATGACAATAGTTCAACATTTGGGTGCTTATTATGTGACAAGCACCCTGCTTCTTATATATGATTAAAAAAAAAATATCCTCACCACAATCCTATGAAAAGGGATTGTTTGCTTTTTATAGATGAAGAAACTGAAGCTGAGAGATCAATATATCCAGGCCACAGAGTTCATGGGTTATGTAACTGCAATTAGCGCACAAGTCTTGCATCTCTAGAACCTGTCTTCAATGCCATGGCACGACACTGCCTTACCATTGAACCTCTTGTGTACTGGGACATGTGACTTTGATTAAAGTTAATTAAAGTTAGTGAAATTTACTTGGCTCAGCCTTGTAAGGGCTAGCAAAAAGAAACCTTCTTAACCATCTGTAACAATGAGCAAAGAAATGAAACAGAAACAGGAAAAATAATGTATGTATATATTGTATATATGGGATATATAGATACAGATATACAAACATAGCTATGAATATATACATATATAATATTTTAAAGATTCTCCAAGTAAATACAGTTAAGGCAGAACCTGAGTTATCATCACGAAATTCAGGAAGAATGACTGCTGTTTTGAAGCATTGAGTGCACTTTGAACACTGAGAAAACTTGGCACAATCCATTAGCTAATGATTTTCATAAGTCTATTGTAGAGGGTCCATTCTAGTCTGTACCATCTTCTTTTAGGTCAATTGTTTCTTGATAAAAAGCAGAGTGGCATTTAGTTAAGGATACTATCAATGATGTTCCTAACCTCAGTGCAAGTGCTGTCTTAAAAAAGTTGATGTCTGGCGAGTTGTTTTGATAGGGAAGCTCTCCTAGAATTATTCTAGAAAATAACGGAAGATACTTGTTAGACATTTCTGGTCTTTTTCTAATAAGGAAGTTTATTTTAATGGGTTATCCTGAACAGGTAGCTTTAGACTAAATTCATTTAGAGCCTTCTCAGCATCAGAATCAATTACAGGCCATCAGGCATAATTCTGAAAAGATTATCATGAAAATGATCCCTTTTTGTGTGTAATATGGTCAGGATGATGTGATGACAGTGTTCTAGAATTACAATTTAATTTTTTTCTTTAAAGGTACACTTTATAGCAGATAGGACAAATGGCTCTTTTGGAACTTCTTCAGCCAGTTTCAGTATTGATCTTTATACAAACAAGTCTGCTGTCTACACAGTTAACTGCAATTTGATCAGGTTGAAAAGATCATTAATAAGGTCTACTAGCTGCATATTTTCCTAAGCAAATGTTCAGTGGCAGGTGGTTCGGCACATTAGTATTCAGCATTGCTTTTCTGGTTTACACCTGTGGGTGAAAACGTCATGGCTCTTCTGTAAAGATAATCTACTTGAGAATATGCTTTTCTTAGAAATAAGGTTAGTGATTGGTACTTGGTAAAGCCATCTTGATAAAACCATCATGAAGGTGGAAGCAATGGATAATGGCTTTTGGTAGGTATATGTGATTTTTTTTTCTTGAGATATTAATACAATTTCTAGGAACAATTCTTAGAACATCAAGGCTATTTGAGCTCCAGCACCTGATGTAAAATGTTGATGATAAGAACCAATAATTTATATATGACATGATGTGAAACAGGTTTTTAATTAAATTAAGAGTGGATTTAAACTCTGTTGTTCAGCCTGTTTTTAAAAAATAGACTCCCACATTCATGTCAAGGAGGTAAAGTGTTCTGTAGTAGAATAAAGTGAAATAATCCACATTGCTTCTTTGAAACCATAGTTTCTTGTTACAAGTAGAGCTTTGGACTGTGGCATTTTAAATCACTTAGCAATGAAATACAAAAAGAAAAAAAATGAAGGATATGTGAAGCCTCGTGGTATAAGGCATCAATTGCTCCTTCTATACCAAAAGAGGATATAATATCAAGTCCAGCATTCCATAATATAACTTGTTTACAACTTATATTTGTTAAGGGATTTGTTAAGGGTTTTCACTTATGCCTAATGTCCTGAAAGTATATTATCAAGACACAACAGTACCTCAAACATTTTGAATTTTGAAATAATTTTTCAGTAATGAATATGCTCCTTAATGCTTTAGTAATTTCATGTTCTCTGCATATATGTAAAATATATATGAGTGTTTCTCTCTCACTAGCATGTGAAGTGATTTACCATGTTTTTTATTTGCAGACATTTCTATCTGAAATGTCCAAGTTGTCTCTCCTTTATCAACTAATAAGCACTTGAAGAGCACTGATAATGAATATAATTTTGAAATGATCATATGCTAGCCCTCTGAATATTCTCATTCTCAAAGCAGAATATTAAGATGTGTCAGTTGAATTATATGTGGCTGAATTAGTTGAATTGAAACCATGTGAGTAAACTTTTGAATGGCCAAAGAAGAGCTGATAAACTTATTAAAGGAAGAAAACACTTCTGCTTCCCAGACACATATGCACTTTTGCACACACAATATCAGTGAAGTTGCTTTTGTTTGAAAGTGAGAAAATCCAACTCAAATTCGCCAAAACTAAAATAAGGAATTTAATCTCTCTGGTAATTGGGCTTTCAAAGAGTGAGGCTTGCTTCAGAACTAAAAAGTTCATGTTCCACTATAAAGGCTATGTCTCACACCATCACTGTAATTCTGCTTGCTTCTGTGATTGGCTCCTTTTTCAGATAATTTCTTCCAGATGTCAACAATATGACTACGGGCATCTTCAAACCTGTATTTTTCATAGAACTCATATTCTTGTAGAAGTAGTGTTCCTTCTCTCCATGAGCACTGCTCATCGGTCATCAGGGAACAATCTGATTGTGCCTTCTGACATGCTTGTTAAAACCCTCTGAATGGCCAGACCTGGGTAATAGATTCACCTCTCTGATTTTAGAGGTACTGGAGAGAGTAAGCCCTTCCCCAAACAATTTAAACTAAGCAGAATTAATATTGAATGGTATATGGTATCTGGAAACAAGGGATGCATTAGGCATATAATTTTATGACACAATAAAAAAAACTTCTAAATCTACTCTAGTAGAGGTGTTTTGTTTTCTATAAAGATGTCCTTGGTGTCATTTTTATTGCTGCTTTGCTTGTTTCCCCAAAATATGATTTTTAAAAGAAAAATCCTTTATGAATAAGAATTACCACCTCTAATCCCACATGAGGCAAGCTAATATATCTATCAGATACTGTTTCCTTGAAGGAAGAAAATGAGACTATAATATGAAGAATTTTCTCCTTTACATTTTTATTTCTATTCGCTAGTGGTATCAGTGAGAATCTTTAAAACATTCAAATTAAGCAAAATCTATGAAAACTCCCCAGTGATAGTACATAGCCCAGTGAACATTTAAATGGAAAAAGTTTTTTTTTTGTTTAAGCATAAAGTAAATTATCTGAAATTGATTGAGCTTGATTTTTCATACAGGAGTTATGTGAAAAAATTATTTGAGCCTTTGTTTATGGAAGAGTCAAAAGTATTGTTTGAAGTTAATAGTGAAATTCTAAACTATGAATTTTTATATTCTATTAAAGTCACCTCTTCCACTTTTCCCCATTTCAAGTGTTCTCCAGAATTTTAATGAGTATTAGCTGGTACATGTTGTTAGGTAAACAGGTCTGATTTAATACATAAATTTTCTGAATATTTAATCTTGGAGTCTGTGATATGAGAGAAAGCTCTATTCATCTATGACATAGAGCTCTATTTGTCTTTCACTGACGTCTCTCTCACTCATTCACTCACTCTTTCTTTGCTTTAGTAAGAGCTACCTTGAAATGTCATGATATTTTTTATATAATAAAGGAAACCAAAATGGAAATATAATAGGAACCAAATGATTCATTTATTCCTACGTTAACTTGAAATAATGAAATGGAATGACCATTTTAGAAATATTAAGATATCTGTTAAAGAAGAAAACATAAAACTATTAAATAATATGGCATAACTATGAAATGATATTTCTACTAAAGTCTAATACACAGTATCTTAAAATCAATCAAACTCTATACTGTTACTTTGTAAATATTTTCACTTCTATGACAATTTTTACTTTTTATAGACAACTATAATATAAATACCTAGTACCTCCAAATTATGCTAATAATGCTTCCTATTCTTTGAGTGTAAAACTAAATTTTAACTTTTCCAAATTCCTTTGATTAATGCTGCAAACATAAAAGTAGGATGAATCTGTCAAAAATGAACAATTTGCACAAACAATTCCAATTTCTCAGGTGACAGCATTTTAGCACACAGAGGGGAGTTGTCAAAATTTCACTATAGGAAGTTGTATTCTATACAATGATATATTTTAAATTATCTTGAAAAGAATTAGGTGGTAAAATTCACTGTCATCATCCTGGGAGAATATCCATATTTTTTAATTTCTCTATGTGCCAATCTGTTCTCTTTATACTTAGGTCATTCTGATCCCATTTTTGTAAGCCTTGCAATACCTTTGCAAGGAACTTCCCACATTCAGGTCTTTGGGGGCATATATTGATCTCAATCAGCTAACTAACATGCTGTCAAATCTTGCTGGGCCATCCTCCTGACAGATCCTCTCACAGATCACTTGGATTGATGAAACAGAAGAGGAGATTCTGAACTAATTATAAGGAAAATAAGAGTCCCCTTGTCTCTTTTCTTTATAAGAACGTTAATTGGACACACAAGCATTTATATATATTCTGCTAAAAACCTCCTCCTCTGATTCTTCATCAGTTTGCTTAACCATATCATTATAGGTGTAAAGAACTTCTTTGAACACTGGAACCATACTGGAGATATTAAAAATTTTTCACTCTTCTCTCAGCTAAGTTGAGCTACACTTAGTTTATTACGACTCTGGTATTGAAAGACCTCATTCTAATTCCCTTATAGATCTGCCTTCTTTAAGGTCTACTGACTCAAGAGCTTATATGAAGAATGCCTATTGGCCATTATTTGAGAGTAATACATGATAAATAGCTTTTACTTTGAGATCTATATTGTCACACTACATCATTGATAACACTTTTTCAGTCAAATTCAGGCTACTACATTTTGTATCTTAGAGCCTTCCTTGCGGGGAGAGGGTTGGGGAGAGGTGTTAGCATTTCGTTGCAATCCACCTATGAACTTTGTTTCCTGTGCCTTTATTTATTTATTTATTTATTTATTTATTTTTATTTATTTATTTTTTTTTTGAGACGGAGTCTCATTCTGTCGCCCAGGCTGGAGTGCAGTGGGGCGATCTCGGCTCACTGCAACCTCCACCTCCCGGATTCAAGCGATTCTCCTGCCTCAGCCTCCCCAGTAGCTGGGACTACAGGTGCATGCCACCATGCCCAGCTAATTTTTTGTATTTTTAGGAGAGACGAGGTTTCACTGTGTTTCGATCTCCTGACCTCGTGATCCGCCCGCCTCGGTCTCCCAAAGTGCTGGGATTACAGGCATGAGCCACCGCGCCTGGCCTGTTTCCTGTGCCTTCAACATGCTTTCTTATTCTGCTTTTTGAATTAGTGCTACTGAATGTTTTCTGATCTATCAGCAGGAAAAGAAAATTTACCACATTATGTTTTTCTTAGCCTGCCAAGATAGGATTTAAAGCAGAACTTTAAAAACATAAGCACAGCAGGCCAACTTCCTTGGCTCTGTCCTCTAGGGAACAAACCTCTTTGTTGTGACTTCCCTGGTTTATAGTTTTACTCTTGTTGTTAGCTTCTGTGGTTCTAGAGGCAAATTTTCTCCTGCTAGTTCTCCTTTGAAATAATTCTAATATTATTTTTCCAGCACCATAACCCTTTATCCTAAACACATAATTTCAATATTTTCTTTATACCAGCAACATTTTCAGTTCTGTTAAATAGATGGATAATAGAAATATGGTGCCAATTAATCCAAGTTTTTCATATTATAGTTTACTATAATGATACAATTGCCCCCTACCTAATAATTGTATTATTTTGGAAAAATAAACTGAGAAAAGTACATTAGGAGAGTATTTTTAAATAGCTACTTTACATAGGGATATTGGGTTAAAATCACTGCTTGGTGAATTGTTATATCCTTCATTTGTTAGAGACCTTTTTAAGAACTCCATGAATGTTTTCTGCTAGAAAATGGGTAGACAGAGAGTTAACATCGTTATCAAATTTGCAACACTTCTCAATTAAACAGAATTAGTTGCATATAAATTTAACTTTTGAAATTTCCCCAGAATTTCAATGTTTCTCTTTTTTATGATTTGTAATGTAGCAATTTTAACATTTGCCTTACTTTCTTTTATGTCATTGATGTGTGTTTTCACCAGAAATACACTGAGCTCTTACGATGTCTAAGAGATTCTGGTGGGTCCTAGGATGACAGAGTACACATATGAGCTGCAGGTGGTACTTCCAACCCTCGTGGAGTTTTACATCTGATTCATCCTAGTTAGTCATCACTGAATGTTTTCATTTAGGTTACTATTCCAATAAAGGCAGGTTAGAAAAGTGAAAGGATGTTTTGGTTTCATTGTCTTTAAAATTATAGCAAATGTTAAAATATTTTAGAAATTCTAGAATAATTAGTGGGTAGCCAAGGTGTGTGTGTGTATGTGTGTATTTATGTTTATATATAAACAAAAGATATATAATGTATATAAATACAATATATAAATTATATTGCACATACTTGCTAATATAAATAGCAAGTATTTGTATGTAATACATATATTATAAACACATATTTGCTATTAGTATTTTTCTATCTAATATACAATTCCTGGAGCATACAAAATTATAAGTATTAAATACATTTTCATAACAGAATTTGAGTATAGAGCCAATTTCATCATTTTTGCTTCCTTGGAATTTGATATTTAGGCTGCATATTGAAAGGGTTAAATAATTGGTATTTTCTTTTGTTGTAAAGTTTTGATAGGTGAATTGATTTGTAAGTAAAAATACAGATTCAAGAAATTCACAAATTATGCCCTTTATCTAAATTTTGGCATAAATAAAATGTCACAGAAAATGCCTCATCTTTTTCTTTTTTCAAAAGTACTATATAATACGATGAATCGTATTTTCAAATATCACAAGAGAATTGGGAGTATAAATGTGACAAATAATTTTGTCTTGCATAGTCACAATGTCTGCTTTGTGTTTGTTCCTCTACTAGTCTTTCCTGAGTCACCCCAAAGAGATTTTACTTCTCAGATATCAATATTATTTTTGTCTTTCTTATAAACAAGAAATAATAAAAATAAGCATTTTTAAACACCTACTGTGAGTCACACACATACTGATTGGGCTTCCTTTCCTTTAGCAAATGGATTTCTCAATTGAAATCAATAATTTTATATTTTTGATTATGAGTTTCAAGAGTTAAGAATTCACCAGTTTATTTTCAGTACTTGGTATCAATCACATAGTAGACCCACATTACATATTGTCCAAATGAATAAATTAGTAATGAGGGAATTAATGAAAGGTCATTCACATTTTTTCTCTTTTGCTATTATTTGTGTTGAGGTGTTATTTTGCTCAATCTTTGCAAAAAATAATTGCTCTAATTTTTTTTAACTTTTTTTTTTTTAGTTTTTTTGTAGTAATGCTTGCTACAATAGATATTTGAGACGTCATGGAATATATTTTTTAATGGTGCTTTCAAAATTAACATTTGTCATTTAACCACCAAGTCTATTTTTCACGGTTATGAAAGAAAGAAAGCCATTTGTATGGTTTTATTCCCCTGTGTATCTGTGAGTACTTGAAATTTATCATAAATATAAAGCATTTCTCACGCCAATGTAGTTTCAACACTGGGACCAAGTGATTCTTCAGGCTAAAAGATTTTCATCTCTTTCAGATTAGTTGATTTCTTCCTAACAGTTGCTGTATCAAATTTCACACTAAATTCATTTTCAAAATGTATTTTCTTAATTTTTAGGTATCATAATGGTATAAAGAAGCCCCTATATTTTAGAGATGCATTCTCGAATAATTTACAGATGAAATTATATGTCCTGGATTTGCTTCAGAATATTCTGGGATGGGGAAAGCAGCATAGGAAGAAGGAGATGAAATAATATAGCCCCAAATTGATTGTTAAAGCTGAGTGATAAGCGTGTACTTTTATTTTTTATTTTATTGGAACATCTCTGAAGTTTTAATTCTTTATTAGTCATCTTTTTGGCATGTGGGTCCCTGTCCCTTATCTGTCTCACTCCTGTGATCTGTAGGCATCCACTCAAAATGTTCCTCCTGTCCCCCATACACTGCCACAGTCTTTCACTGGACTATGACATGCTCTTCCCTCAGATCTCAGCTTTCTCCAGGTACTGATTGTCCATTACTTTACTCACCTCAGTTAGGTGCCGCTGCTGTGCTCTTCTCTCTCTCCTCTATCAAGGTACATATCAGACTTTCCTGTAACTGCTTAGTCCTGCACCTAGACTGAAATCTCTCAATAGAGGGACAGTGTTATCTTGTTCATATGGTATCCTTAATACCGACCACAGAGTGGGAGCGGATGCTGAATAAATACACAGACAAACACATAGTTACCTTGCTTCAAATTACTCCATGTTTTCTGTGCAGCAAGTAAAATCCGCTGAGAGGCCCATCAGTAACCTTTGCACCTCCATCAGTGACTTTATGTTTCGGATAAGTCAAGCATATAGTTGTTTCTCTGCTACCTCATACTTCACTAAATTCACTGCAAATGTGTAGGATTATTAAGATGAAGGGGGGAAAAAAGAAACCAGAATAAAAGGATAGGTATCAAATTGACTTTACACAATTTTTGTTTGATGTTGACTTTCCATTGGTGTTTACATCATCACCTGAGAGCCGACTTTATAAATGCCAGATGGTTATAGTCAGAGTGGGACCTGAAGACAAAAAAAATCAAGCTGTTATAATGCTAGGCATGTCCAATTTTCCATCAGCACAAACAACACATTGACCTATGGGTTTTTGTGTTTGTTTGTTTGTTTGTTTGTTTCAGCAGTAGAGATTATTTCCAACAAGAAATCGGGCTTTTTTTTTTTTTTTAAGGATCAGAGCTACTTTCATAGTATTTTAAAAACTTAGAAAAATTCCACATGGCATTTTTAAATGTAGTATGGTGTGGGTTCCCTCTTCCCCACATGGAGTTATTATTGTAGTAGAGCAGAGAGATATAACTTACTAACATCCAAAACGTTATAAAAGCAAAATGATAATATTATTAAAAACCTCAAGAGTAAAAATATGGCATCCATTTTATTGTCTTTAAAGAGCAGAAATGTCATATCTCTAGAGTAAAATAATCATGATCAACAGTTGAAAAATTTAAAGCAAACAACAACAACAAAAAGGCATAAAATCTGCCTGGAGGACCATCAGCTATTAAACTTGTTTGCAGCACTATATAGAAAATGGCGAAAAGTTGAGTTGAAAAATGGTATAACTGTAGAAATCAATGGGGATTTTATGGTAGTAAAATGTGGTTTTACTTAAAGAAGAAAGTTGTGTTTATTTTCCCAATTGCATAACTTCATGGTTTATTGATATCTTCTTTTATCCATTGGTCAGTGGTGACATTATTAATATTTCTATAAATATGCATAGAATTTAAAATAAATGGGTTAGGGGAAAAGCATCTGATAGCAGCATATTTAGTTCTTTAAGTCTTACTTATTAAAATTAGGTTTGAGCCTTTACCTATGCATTTATCCTTTTAGAGTTTCTCATAAAAGTCAGATATTACCTCTTGTCATCTCTTAAACTCTGTAAGTGCTGTTCATGAAAATTAAATTAGGCCTTCCTTGAGCACCCTATTTAAAATTGCTAGCTGCTCATCGCACTCCAGATACCCTTTAACCTAAGTTGCTCCCATTGACCTTAGCATCTTGCACATATGATATAATTCATGTATTTATTATGTTTACTGCTTGCTTTCTTCTCACTCTGCATAAGAATATGGACTCTCATTTATTATGGTGTTTTATGTATGCCAAACACCGAGAAAGGCACCTGTGCCTCATGAATTAATGAACAAAAGAATGAACTTCTAGTAATAATAACAGCTAAAAATTACTAAGTACTTTTCTGTGTACTAAAAACTGTTTTAATTACTACCTACGTATAAATTCATCTAATCTTCAGAATGCCCTTATGAGGTCAGTGTTGTTATAATCCTCATTAAACAAACGAGGAATTTAAGGCACATAGAAGTGAAGCAACTTGATAATTACTTAAATAGTTGGGTTATATGACTAATAAATGGCAAAATCTGGGTAGCAACACAGGCTGTCCTGCTTCTGAAGCCATGATCTTACCCATTAAACTAAACTGCCTCTAGTTTGTAAACCTAGCGTTATGGGGAAAAATGTACATATTTTCATAAATAAATAGCTCTCAATATTTTTAATGTCTCAACACACATGAAGGATTATGCCCCACGTACCTTGAAAATAATGCCATTCTAAGAGAGTCTTGAGAGGTAAGAGGATGAGGATTATTGGCAGTTCTCTGCAGGCTAGCTGTAAAGCATCTGCTTTCTAACCAGCCTCTGATACCACTGTTGACAACCACCACCTTGATTTGACTTTTGAAAAAGTCCCCAACTTCTCAAGATGTCAGTTTTCTCATCCTAAAATGTAGATTCTGGAATATAAGCTATCAAATGTCTTTCTCCGTCCTAGTTCCATGGTTCTATAAAGTATTTCTATGCTCAGATGTACAGGGAAAGTATTGACAGTAGAAAGAGAGAAGAGCCTTTTCCTGTACCAAATGCTGGTCAAGTCCTTTTTCTATTTGAACTTTAGTAGAAATTGCACAGGGTTTCTCAATAAAATAGAAATTAAATGAAAGTTGGAAAAGAGATTGAAGATAGAAAAATAAAGGCTTTTCCAGAATCCATAATGGCCTTTGGATTTTTGCTACAGCACTGGGCTTTATTGAGCAGGCCCTTGAAATTTTTACTTCTCTGGCATACCTGACAGTGGAGAGTCCACGTTTTCATTTCAGAACAAAAGGTTTTTTTATGTGTTTTTCTGTTCATTAGAGCATTTTTCTCCTTCTACCCTCTCAATGGGGACATAATTTCTGGCTCAAATTCTCTGCTTTATCTTTCTATACTCAGGGAGATTGTTCCTTTCCCAGATTTTATAGTCATCATAATATTAATCATTTCAAAATCTGGTCAATGCTGACTTAACTATACTATCACCTCAAAAACAAACAAACAAACAAAAACCTCAAAATGTCCCCATGTCATTGGGACCTTTATATCCTGTTATCGAAAAGTAAGATAGTACAGCCTCTTCGGAAATCAGTCTGACAGTTTCTTAAAAGTTTACCCATAACATTACCATATGACACAGTAAATCCACTCATGGGAATATATCCAAGAAAAATGCACATAAAAATTTGTACATAGAGGCTCAAAGCAGCATTGTTCACAATAGTCAAGAAGTGGAAATGATTCTAAATGTTCATCAATTGATGTATGGATAAATTAAATGTAGTATGTCTATGCAATAGACTATTATTTAGGAAAAAGGAGTAAAGTACTGCTTTGTGTTACAACAATGGATGAGTTTTTTTTTAATTATGTTGAGTAAAAGAAGCTGATCACAAAATATACAAACATATATTTTATAATTTCATTTATAGGAAAAGTCCAGAATAGGCAAATCTACAGAAACAGAAGGTAGATGAGTGGCTGCCTAGAGCTGATATGGCTTGGGAGGAAATGAGGAGCGACTACTAATGAACTTAGGATTTCTTTTGGTTTTGATGAAAATGTTCTAAAATTGGTTGTAGTGTTTGCATAACTGTGAATATATTAAAAACTATTGAATTGTTTACATTAAATGGGTGAGCTGTGGTATGTGAATTATGCTTAATTCAGATATATATACATATGGATGTAGTGTGTCTATATCTCCATATAAATGTGTCATTTTACCTAGAGTAAATGTAATCGAAACTAATTCGCAATCTACCCTGCCATTTCTCTATTGCCACTATTCTTTGGTATTAAAATGCACATGTATTAACAAAGTACATAGTGATGGGGGTTGTATGAAAGGAGATTAGGTATGTATGAGTGTTTTGTGGTTATTGTCTTAGGTGATGAAAGCAATGTTCCAGTATTATACAGAAAACCAATATTATTCTATATGCTAAGGTTATTTTGAGCCAATATAAAGTAAATGATATATTTGTATTTACAATATTACATACGATATTACGATATTGTAGTTACGATATTTACAAGATCTACAAAGTTTCAAACCAATCTGTATGTAATGACACAGGGCCTTAAAAATAGAAATGTCTTTGCAACCAATATGTTACATAGGACAAGAGGTGATTTTATAATTAAGATTATCTGAAGTTCTCAATAAACTGTATTGAACATGAACTGCTAACAGTACACAATTAGTGTCTTATTCTTTTTATAATAATGTTTTTAGTATTCCACTGAAACATGGCCAGTGAATGTGCAATATTCTTAGTTACCATTATGAGGGACTCTGTATATTACAGTCTCTCCACTGTCTCTGCTGTTAGCTGGAAAAATGCTGGGAGCAAAGGCAGCTACTATCAACAGGGAGCCATATTAATTATTTGAAATGTGCCTCATAAGAGGAATCAGCGGAGCTTATTACAAGTCGAATATTACTTGAAATGGGAAAGTTACTCCAACTGTTATCATAATCTATGTATCATTAACTTTCCTTGTTTAGGAAAAGAGATTAACAACCCTGTAAATTGCTATAGTAAATGTGTGAAATATATAACTGCATATTCCCATTGTAGAAAGAAAGTAGTGGGTCCTCCACTCCCACTCAAACCTTCTGTATATAAAGTACCTTTAGAAATTGAACTGTGTAATTATGCTTTCTTGCCTCAAAATCCTAATTGCTTATTATTATCAGTATACAAACAATGGCTACTTTGAAAATTAGATAATTCTTTTATATTTAAGCTAACAATTTTTCAAATCAGCATCTTGGCCTTAAAATTCACTTTAATGCTTTCATCTCATAAAACAGAAAGTGTATTACAAATTTGTGTGTTAGCTAACAAAATGTTTTGCAAGGAAGACAGAATTAATCCATCTACTTCCCTTTTAAATTGTGGTTAGTTGTTTTTTTCATTAAATACAGTAGGAATACTTTTGTGTTCAAGTAGTGGAGGTGAATCTTAAAGGTAAAATATAAATTAATCATAATTGTAAAGTGATCTAAATAAACATTTCTCAAAGTGTTATTTGTACATTGGGTGCCAGTCTGCAGACTGTTTATTACTGATCTGCACTGAGGTAGGTGCAGAAATTGCGAGAGTTTAGAAATATTTACAGCAAGCTGGGCTCAGTGGCTCAAGTCTGTAATCCCAGCACTTTGGGAGGCCAAGGCGAGTGGATCACGAGGTCAGGAGTTCAAGACCAGCCTGGCCAACATGGTGAAACCCCATCTCTACTACAAATATAAAATATTAGATGGGCGTGGTGGCACACATCTGTAATCCCAGCTACTCAGGAGGCTGAGGCAGGAGAACAGCTTGAACCCTGGAGGCGGAGGTTGCAGTGAGTTGAGATCACGCCACTGCACTGCAGCCTGGGCAATGAGCAAGATTCCATTTCAAAATAAATAAATAAATAAATAAGAAAGAAATATTTACAGCAAATAAATATGCCACTTAATATTTATTTAATCTAACAACAAAAAATAAGGACTTTTGTTTTATATGTCTTTGCTTTGAGTTTTTTTTCTTATAACTCATTTTTATTGTGTTTTTAAAGTTATCACTCCATAACAAATTTGTAATTTCACAACAACAAAAAAAGAAGAAACATAACTCAGATTGTTGGAAAAGCACTGCTTTAATTGGGTGATGTTCGGATGACACATTGTTTTTATGTTTGGGCAGATATGTCTACTCTTTAATTTAGGCTATTAATTCAGTTTGGAGTGAAATAGTGTTATATCATAAAAACAATTTAAAAAGGGAAAAGACATACGTATGATGTCTTCTTAACAATTTGTTTTGGGTCCACAGGGCAGGCACATCATGGACAAGTTTCATACATTTCTCCGCCAATTCACCTTGACTCTGAGCTAGAAAGACCCTCTGTTAAAGGTGAGTTTTTCTTTATATGAAGAAAAAGTAACTCTGCTCATTCTTTGATGAAAGCAATGATGGTTGTACATATGTATTTTGTAATGCAGTGCCTGTTCAAAAAGCAGGGGTAAAATGAAGTATGTGAGTAATCTGGAGATAAAGCAAGTCTCATTTATAAACAAAAATGTGAAATATTTCTCTGAGAAATGTTTGTAAACTAAAATACAATGGCTTCAATAAATCAGTATTTATAGTGATTCAACTAGTGGAGGACTAGTTGAATACCAATTTAGATTTAGAAATTACCAGATAACCGTTAACTTTTTTACTGGGACCTTCTTTTTCTACTATCTTATTTTTTTTTTTTTACATTAAGATGTCTTAATCTAAATCATATTGACAGATTTTTTTCCCCTGAAAAGTAATATTTTATTATTATTCTAAGTCATTTTATATTAACATCATTTAGTTTTTAAAATATGTGTTAAAATTATGTATTTTTAAATTGGTGCCACCTGTTTCAGTTAAAGATTTTTGTAAATAGTCATACAAAATAAAAATTAAAGGTAACATTTACTGTCTCATAATCTAAATACAAATTTAATCCTCCTGCTTTTAAATAAATATTTACCAATGATTTTCAAAATGTTTCTTGTTCTCACAGCTGATATGTGGACATGCTTTTTAATTTTATAAATACCAAATATTCCAAGGTTAACTTTTTGGTTTTGAGTAATGCAGTATATTTTCTTACATTTTCAACAGTATTAATTACTTAATAAATTAAAACTCATGAGGTCTGACGTTTCTGAACATGTTTTCTGTATAGCCTATTTCCTCTCCTGGGAGTCTCTTATCCCTTCTTGCCTAATTGATAGGTTTCCACCAACATTTCAAGGCCCTCCTCTATATTAGTTTCTCTATTAAGTTTTCCCTGACTGTGTGATAGGGTGGACCTATGTGCACGTGTCAGTTTTCCAAATGCCGCCTGTGCTTGCCTCAGTTATTACACACCTAAGACACTGGATTTTATTTTGTGGCATACATGATCCTTTCCCTTATCTGTATGCTCTGTGAGGGCACAGAATGTCATATTTATTATTTTTCCCTGAGCCATCGGGTCTGCGCTTGGCACATAATGGAAACTCATACAATGATTTCTAAGGTACTGACAGTGAAGGTGACCGCCTAGATCCTGAAGGATGCATCTGTGCTTTATTAGAGAAAAAGAGAGGAAAAATGATAAGCGAATCCCATGAAAGGGAAGAAAAATGAGATAAAACATAAATATGTGAAGGTATTTTTAAGGAATTGTGCTGGATGCACAGTAAAAGGGGAGCGGTTCTAGAGGAAAAGACTAGAGAGATGTAACGAGGCAGATTGTGATGGATTCTGTATCCCATACCAAGGAGTTTGTGTTTTATCCTGGATAAAAACATGAAATATTTTAAATTATTTTTCCCCAGGTCAGTTGGGTGTTACATCATAACATTATCAGTTCGAGATATGAGAAACATATTTCTGGTGTTAGTGTAGGTAATAAGCTGATTGGAGAAGAGATTGGCAGAAGGAGGCTTTTCAGCAGTTCAGATAAAAGATGATGGGGAAATTAGGTGTGTGTCCTGGCAATGTGAGGATCTGATAAGTTATTTTGAAGAGACATGACATTTCAATGAATAGATACAGGGAAAGGGGCAGAAATGCCTCTGAGGTTTCTATATTGATTAACTGCTTGGATGCTACTTGGTTTGAATGTTTGTATCCCTGCCAAAATTCATATTGAAACTTAATCATCAGTGCAACTGCATTAGTATTAAGAGGTGGACATTTAGGAGATGATTACGGCATAAGGCCACTGACCTAATGAATGGATTGATGACCTTATAAAAGGCCTAGAGGAAACTAGGTAGGTCCTTTTTGCTCTTAGGCCTTTTGCAATGTGAGGACACAGCAGGAGGTGCCATCTTGGAAACAGAGAGCAGCCCTCACCAGACACTGAATCTGCCAGCCCCTGACGATGGGCTTCTCAGCCTCCAGAACTGTGAGAAAATAAACTTCCATTCTTTATAAATTACCCCATCACAAGTATTTTGTTATAGCATCACAAACGGACTGAGATGGATGCTTATGACATAATTGTTCATCATGAGAAATAAATATGAATTATAAATCAATGCATTGCTTTAGACACATTAATTCATAGTAGAAGATTCCTACTAAACTTGAAAGGTAAGAGTCCTACTAATGTGAGTTGGTGACTTCGGTAGAATTCAGTTCCTCATACAAGATCCCAATATGATTTGAAAAAGAGTACTACTTTAGGGTCATGGATAAGACAGTATAGTGATCTACTCCAAAACTTAGTGACTTAAAACAAGAAATATTTATTATAGTTTTGAGAGTTAGCCAATGTCCACTGAATTAGCTGGGGCTGAATGTTTTATAGTTAACAGGCTGGTTAGTTTTGCAGAGGAGGGGACTCACTCACGTTTTTGAAAATTGCCCTGGTGTCTCTAGGGTGATGGTCACATGTCTCTCTCTTTATTCAGCAGGTTACTGTCATGTTTGCTGATGTCCCATTAGCCAAAGCAAGTCACAGAGCAAATTCAATTTAAGAGAGCAGAAATAGATTATATCCCTTGATTGAGGAGCCACACTTCAAAGGACCATGAATATAAGAAGAGGAATTAGAACAATTTATAAACTACCATAGGTAGTCATATAAAAAGTAAAATAAATGTAAAATCAAACGACAAAAAAACTGACTGATAAAGGGATTTGGAAGCCAATAAATGGCCAGGCAAGGGGCTCATCAGTTTGTAGTTCCAAGTGACCTGTCTGGAACAGCCGCTGTGGGGATGCCAGCTGCAGCAGGGGAGGCATGCCTGGGGCTTCATGCTCTGCTGAGCCGGCAGGGGCCAGGAACAGGCACCCCCTACCAAGTTAAAGGGACAGCTTCCTAGTAGCAGCTCTGGACCCAGCCATCCCTGAGCTCTCAGGGACCCAGGAAGCCACCACTGCCACTGCAGGCTCAGAAGTACCTGTTCCTGCTCCCTGACCTCTCCCTGCTCCTGGTGCCCACTCCAATTTTGGAGCAAAATTGAAGCCAAGCGTGGGCATTG
Source organism: Homo sapiens (assembly GCF_000001405.40). Taxonomy (NCBI): domain Eukaryota; kingdom Metazoa; phylum Chordata; class Mammalia; order Primates; family Hominidae; genus Homo; species Homo sapiens. The sequence goes on from NC_000004.12 coordinate 61,816,994, forward strand.
TTGCAACCTGACTGGGTGTGCATGTGCTTGGGGTTGTGCTGACATCCCAGCCCCACTCCACCACCTTGACACTCTCTGAAACTTTGAACACTGACAAGCTCAGGGATGGAAGCCCAGGTTTGGGGGGCTGAAGGTAGCTTGGCACAGGTCTGCAGACCCCCCCCCCCCCACCAAGGCATGAAAACCCTGGGCACCATGAATGGCATGTTGAAGGCAGGAGGCAGACAGGTTCCCGGGCTGAAAGGGCCGGGTGTCCGGTTTAAACCCCACTTTCAAGGCAGGGATGGCCTGAAGCCTGTGGGTTGGGCTGCCAGTTCTGGATGGAGTCTGTGGCCTGGATTGAGAACTTATGGTCCTTTTGTTCAAGCCCTCCCATGGCTGCCCATGGACCAATTGGCATGCACTTCCACCCTTCTGAGCCCATAAAAACCCCAGACTCAGCCATACTTGGACAGACGTTGGGATGACCTGCCTGCAGAAGGGAGCCACCCACTGCCAGTCTCCTCTCCACTGAGAGCTGAACACTCATCAGGATGACCTGCCTGTGGAGAGAAGCTACCCACTTCAGGTCTCCTGAGAGCCATTCTGTCCCTCAATGAAGCTCCTGTCCACCTTACTCACTGTATTAGTTTGTTCTCACTCTGCCAATAAAGGCATACCTGAGACTGGGTAATTTATAAAAGAAAGGAGGTTTAATGGACTCACACTTCCACATGGCTGCGGAGGGCTCACAATCATGGTAGAAGGTGAAAGGCATATCTTATGTGGTAGCAGACAAGAGACAATGCAAGAGCCAAGCAAAAAGGGAAACTCCTTATAAAATCATCAGATCTCATGAGACTTATTCACTACCATGAGAACAGTATGGGGGAAACTGCCCCCATGATTCAATTATTTCCCACTGGGTCCCTCCCACAACACATGAGAATTATGAGAGCTACAATGCAAGATGAGATTTGGGTAGAGACACAGCCAAACCATATCATCCCATCCCAGCCCCTCCCAAATCTCATGTGCTCACATTTCAAAACCAATCATGCCTTTCCAACAGTTCCCCTAAAGTCTTAACTCATTTCAGCATTAACTAAAAAGTCCACAGTCCAAACTCTTATCTGAGACAAGGCAAGTCCCTTCTGCCTATGAGCCTGTAAAATCAAAAGCAAATTAGTTACTTACTAGATATAATGGGGGTAGAGGCAGTAGATAAGTACAGCCATTCCAAATGGAAGAAATTGGCCAAAATGAAGGGGCTACAACCACCATGCAGGCCCAAAATTCAATCGGGTAGTCATTAAACCTTAAAGCTCCTTTGCCTCCATGTCTCACATCCAGGTTACACTGATGCAAGAGGTGGGTTGTCATGGTCTTGGGCAGCTCCACCCCTGTGACTTTGCAGGGCACAGCCCTTTATGAGCTGGCATTGAGCATCTGCAGCTTTTCCAGGTGCATGGTGCAAGCCATCAGTGGACCTACCATTCTGTGGTCTGGAGGACAACACTGTGGAGCTGTAACACAAACAGGGCTGAAGGGGGATGGTGCTAAAATATTCGTAAGAAATCTGGCCCCATGGTTCAGTCACCTCCCACTAGGCCCCACCTCCAACATTAGGGATTACAATTTGACAGGAGATTTGGGCAAGGACACAGATCCCAACCATATCAACCAAAGTCCAACAGTCATTTCTGCTTGATATCTACCTCAAATTGTGCTCTCTACCTTAAAATGGTTGTCCTGATAGATTCTACTTCTTATTCGATTTAGGAGGAATTATATAAATTCCTCTGCATGCACAGATCAGACTCTCCTAAATTGTTCTGTGATTAATTGTTCAATCCAATTGCAGTTATAATCACTAGCTCATGTGACCCTGCCCTGCAATTTTCAAAATAAAAATAAAATTAATTAGACAAATAAAGAGATTTGTACAAATTACCAAAATAACAATGCAAAAACTCTTACTCATTTTTCTTAAGATTATCTTATATTTAAAGACAAATATTAGAAATGAGGTAGAGTTGGTATAATAATATCATTAGCTTGGAACTATAAAATATTTCCTTTCAACTATAACCCCTCATCTTAATTTATAATTTAAAAATATACTGTACACTATTGTTGATATGTATATGCATTCAAATTATACATGCAAAATGTACATACATCTCTATATCTATCTGCTCATCTGTTGACAAGGGACATGGGAGAGAGAGGAGGAAGAGAGCGAGTTTCTCTTGTATGTTATGGGTTTTTATTTGAATGTAAAAAATATGACAAATTACGTTCTTTAAATAATTGAAATTCTATCTCCAGTAATTTTTTTTGTGAGATTATATAGCAATATCCTTTGAATTGCCTACAAACTAACACTAGCTAACCATCTTACCTTTTCTTTTTCTATTTTTCTACTGTAATTTCATACGTATTGAAAATATGAGCAACATCTCTAGGTTTTCCCCTTACTCCATTCACCCATGACTCTCTACATCTTTTTCTTTCTCTTCCTGAAGCAATTTCACCAGTCTACATATATGTTAATGTTTCAGGAATTATTGCTTTATGTATTAATTCCTTTTATAGTTTATGGACTTGACTATATTCCTATAGGAAAATCATACTTAATTTTCTGTTATTCATCAGTCTAGCAATATGAAACAAAAACATTTAAAATATATTAACATAGTCATAAATATTAGCAGAGGAAACTCAATCTAACAATGTGAACTCAATCTAAAAATAACAGAGAAGACTGCTTCAGATACTTTGCCATTTTATTCTTTTGTCATATGAAATATCTTGGATTACTTGATACTTACTTTTTATAATAGTGATTGTGCTTTGAGTGTTTGAGACAATAAAGTAATTATTGGTAACTTTGAAACTGAGTTTTAAAACTCTATTTTGAAAATTATATACATATATAAAATCACATTCTAACCCCCTTCTTCCCCCTCACCTGTGAATCATTTTAGTTTTAATCCATGGGTCACCATTCTACCTCCTTTCAATTCGCTTGATTTATTCGACTTTCACTTTCATATTTTTAGGGAAAAAGTATTTTGTGTTATTGTTACATTTGTTTACCATAGTCACAGTGTGTTTCTTTTCTGATAGTGTTCATTTGAATTATGTTCAACCTGCTCTTAGTAATCAAAAGGAAAATATAGTAACAAGTTACAAAATACCTTTGAATAAAATGTTGTACTCTCTGCAGTTGCAAAGTAGCCACTGAATTTATATACTAATGAGCAAAGTTGAGAGATTCTGTTCTTTAAATCTAATGTGTTCGTACATAGCATTTGGCTGCATAATTTATGGCTGTGATGGCTTTATGTGCATTCTTCAATTTACAGATTTTATTACTGAATAGGGGTGTAAATTCCAATAGTTTACTAGTGCATTAAAATCACAATACATTACAAGGTAATTAACTAGAGCTGCCACTATAAATAGAAAAATAGTCACAGCCTTCACTATAAACGACTTAATAAAAATAAGGTTCTGAATCAGCATTCAGCATTATAGTAATTCCTCTTGCCATACGTCTCATTAATCAGGACTTTTTTAAAAAGCTTCTTCTCAAAGCACTATTATTTTTAAAACTTTCATTATTAAAACAAGTTTGTTATAATTTTGTAGTTAATTTAATGGGATTGATTATATATTTCTGTACGCAAGTAAGATCTACATGCTTTTGAGGCATATTTCCCAGTTTTACTAAAGTGGAAATGAAAGAAATACTACTTCGGTGATTTTATGGCAGATTTGTAAATAAGTACATGAGAGTTCTTAGCAGGACTCATTAAAAGTTAGAGTTCTGAAGGTCATATGTCCCCACCAACTCTCCTTTCTCCCAACCGTTATTTTGCCTCCTGACTACTCACATGCAAAATGCCCTACCCTAGAATCAAATCTTAATATATTACAGACAGAGTCACTCAATGAAGGTGGTTGGGTGGGAATTTGTGTTAAAGGTAAATCAGAATCCTAAGCAGAGGCATATATTATTTGAGGTTTACATATACCAGTTGGGACACATCCTTCAGTTGAGACTTTGTTGTTTTTATTTTGTGTTTGTCTGTTTCATTGTTTTCCTGTACAGTTTGGTGACAGCCTTAGCAGTCCATTATAGAATCCATTATAGAAATTCTTCACAGCATCACTAACAATTGAAGTTAGACAAATTCCTGCCAATTACCAAAAAAAAAAAAAAAAAAGACATTAACTTCTAAAAAATGCCCTCCTAATGCCATACTAATGATGCTATTTTGAATATTTTCCTATATAAAAAATTGACAATTATTGAATATATTCCACCTTCCAATATAGTGAACTACTTTTTATTTATTTATTTATTTATTTATTTGTTTATTTATTTATTTATTTTTTGAGACAGAGTTTTGCTCTTGTTGCCCAGCCTGGAGTGCAATGGCTTGATCTCGTCTCACCACAACCTCCGCCTCCCGGGTTCAAGTGATTCTCCTTCCTCAGCCTCCCGAGTAGCTGGGATTACAGGCATGCACCACCATGCCTAGCTAATTACTACTTTTTATAAATCTAGTGAATTTTGTTGGGTTTTTTTATAGGTAGTGTCTTAATAAGAAGTCTAATATTGGATGCTAATTTATACATTTGCAAACTGTTGACAGTTATGATATATACTCTGAGACAAAGCTAATTTTTCACATTTGAAAAATTACAATTATTTTTACCTTTTTTCCCTCAAATAAACCAAGTAATATAAATATGGTTCAACTGACACATAATCAATGAACTAGAGAAATGCCAGGCATTAAGTTTCATGTGCAAATTGAATTATATTCAGCAAATCCACTCACTGAAAATATTTTTTAAAGTTCAAAATAAGCAGGTGGTTCTGCCTAGTGCATCTATATTAGAAATAGGCTGTAGCCAAAGATTTACTATTACAAATTGGAAACATTAACACCTGCTATTATCTAGTTAAGTATAAAAACAGTCGAAATTAACTAAAATAAAATAGGAATGTCACATCTGGCATTCTCCTTGAAGAGTCTGCAGGCCAGTTCTCTAATATTCTACGATGATGCTTTTCTAACTTATCTGATTAGCAGACATTACAGGGGGAGGGAACATAAATTCCCTAGTTTTACCTACTCTTCTCCCAATAGAATACAAACGAAACTTGCATATAACGGAGTTCTTTGATTGCATTAAATTAAAACTCTTTTCCTGTGTTCCTATGCTTGTAAAGCCAAACATTTTTATTGTTATTTAGAGTACACTGTGAACACCTAGAAGATACAGGCAGAGAGTATAGCTTGTTAATATTAACGGTAAAGACAATTCCCATTTATTAAGTATGTACCTTGTATCAAACACAGAAAAATATATTTCATACACATTGTCTCAATTAGTCTCACAAGGATCCTATTACTTTTTTATTCAGACTTAATGATCATGATTATCATATCTCTAGGTTCCTGCATGATACCATAATACTTTATAATACTAATAGAATGTGTTGACTTTAATTAAAATTATATTCTAAACTTAATGCTAAAATGTATTTGTTATTCAATATTGTCAGGAATAAGTATGAGGGTTTTGCAAACCTGTAACATACTTTCCAATTATAGGTTTTTGTTTAAAAGTTAACATTTATAATTTGAAATAATTTAGCATACTCTTTCTGCCCCTTGTGGTCTATAATTCATATACTGAGAATAATTATCCCAGAGAGTAGAATGATCTGGTAGTTTTTCATATTGGTTGTTAGTCAGTTTGTCCTGGTGGTCTCTAAAGGAGCCAATTGAGAAGGGAAAAAGAATTTGTTCAAATTCTCTTTCCATGCTGGCTGATGGAATGGTTATTCTTAGTATTCAAAGGGTGTTAAATAAAGGCTTGGTACTGTCATGCTCTGAACATTCTTCTTCAGGTTTGATGTGACTGGTTGCAGATCCAGTGATAATGATGCTCACGTTGAATACAGTGGCTCCCCGATGTTGATTCTCCCCTTGATCACTGTTCCAGAGAAGAGAAATCACTGTTCCAGAGAAAAGAAAGTCACCGGGATTAGTATGTCTCTAAGTAGCTATGATCAGGCTCAGTTCTCTCAACTTCACCTCTCCCCAAATCCCATGCGGAGATTCCTGTGTTCTCTCTTCTGAGGTTATTCACTGGCCCAGCTTCCCTAAGATTGCTACTATAGGTTCCAGGGCTTATTTCTCATTGTCTTACTTTGTTTTTAGTCTCTTTCAGAAAAGTGGTGGTATAGCTGTGTTTTTTTGTTCTGAAAAAATATGTTTAATGTCTAAATATCACAAGTTTTGACAGAGGTATTGCTAGTCAGTAATGACAATGATAATAGCTAATATTTACTATGCAAATTAACTGTGAAATCATGTGTTTGATCTAATATAATTCATATGACTCCCTCTCTTATAATTCCTTCCCGAAGAGAGCTAATCATACTATTCTTTAGGATTTTCCATAGATATCACCTTTTTGAGTGGTATTAACATTTATTTGTTCCCAGCTCTATTCTAAGCACTTGACATGGATTATTATTTCATTAATCTCCCAAATATCATGAAATAGGTAGACAATTATTATTGTCTTTTTGTGAATGAGAAAACTGAGACATAGAGAAGTTGTTTAACTTTATAAAGGTAAGACAGATAATACTAAGCCTTGGAGCCAGGATTCAAACCTAGGTATTAAAAAAAATCTGCTATGGCAGTTTTTCATGTATATGAAAGGAACTACGACTTAGTGCCCAGTCCTATACACTGTACTAAGTAATCCATAGGCTGGGCATGGTGGCTAACGCCTGTAATCCCAGCTCTTTGAGAGGATGAGGGGGGTGGTTCACGAGGTCAGGAGATCAAGACCATCCTGGCTAACATGGTGAAACCCTGTCTCTACTAAAAATACAAAAAATTAGCTGGGCGTGGTGGCACGCACCTGTAGTCCCAGCTACTTGGGGAGGCTGAGGCAGGAGAATTGCTTGATCCTGGGAGGCAGAGGTTGCAGTGAGCCCAGATCGTACCACTGCACTCCAGTCTGGGCGACAGAGCGAGAATCCGTCTCAAAAAAAAAAGTAATCTTTAATGAAACATTATCAGCAAGGAGTGGGAGGATCTGACTATCCATAGTATAGTATTTTTAAGAAAATCTTTCATCATCTTATTTATTCATCTTAAGAATGCAATATGACACAAGTAGTTTGAAGACATATCTACTATTTACTCACCAAGTGACAAATAATTTTTTGTGTGCTTGTTGTTTTCTTTAAAACATCTTTGTTCTAGTGCCACCCTTTACCTTTTACTGTTTTCATAAACATGTACGCTTCTCTCAGAAAACGTATCTAAAATCATACTGCAAAAAGAGGTCAGGCATTCTAATGATGTATTACAAATTGTATACAAGTTAATGTACTAAATCTTGTAAAATATTAAAATGTAATCTTTGATAAAATATCCTATTTTTTAATGTTTTCAATATTCTCTTCCCCAAAATGGTTAATGTTTATGTAATCACCAGAAAATAGTTTTATACCCGTATAGTAAAAATTAATTGTCTTACTGCCTGGAGCAGACAGCTGGCTGGTAGTTGTGTTGGCTGTTACCACCAAAGCCTGAGGGGGTGAAGTAAGAGGTCTGCCTTGACCTCCAAATGTAACAGTCTGCTCAACCCCACCTGCTGCATATCCACAGCTGCAAGGTTCCAAATTATTTGGCATACTCAACATAACACATGCATATATGCACACACACACATGCCACTCTGGAGAATCTTCTTGAATATAACAATTCCTACTTGACAATAGATGTAGAAGATATGTATGATAAAAATTATATTCGGTAATCCTTGCATTTTAAATTTTACTTTTAGAGTTAATTGCCTGCATTTAAAGATCTTCTTTTTTGAGATCTTTTAGTAGGGGTTGGAATTGTTATACATACAACATCAGCCTACATAGTACCACTTGGAGAATGAGAATCTTTTCTCCTTAGCTGCTAAAAGGCATATGCTTCTTAGCATCGACACTAAGAAGCACTTGGCTCTCTCAATGCCAAGAAGCACTTTTCTCTTTGCTAGTGATAGCTCTGGGTCCAGCAATTATTTCCATTTTTTAAGACTGCAGCAAAAAACAATATGCCTCGCTGTTAAATGTGGCATCAGAACATCCTAGGTGGAGTCAAATGTAAGTACATAGCATGAATACCAATGCCTGCATTTAATCCTGATATCCCACTTTGCTGAGTATATGGCCATGGACAAAACCATTGCCACAGTGCCTCAGATTTTCCAACAAATCTCCTTCCCAAGATTAAGTATCAAATATTGGTATGATATTATATGTGAAAATGCTTTATAACCTAAAGAATGCTATACAAATATTGGTTAATTTAATTTAGCAGCAATACTCTATTGCTCTAGTCAAAAGCTTAGTATATCTCACATATAGTAAGATCAAATAAAAAAGTTCTCAACAGAGTTTTCAATATTTTTATCCTCCTTAAATCCTATTGGTTTAATTATGATACAATTTTAATTTTATATAAAAACATATTTGAGTTGTGAATGGCTATATACTAAAAATCTCAAATATATGTAAAATAATTTATTACAGTCTTATGTAAAACTACACATGAGTTTTTCTCTGTGTCCTTCCTAAGGGCTCCAACTGTCCTTCAGTATTCAACAAATATTTTTTATGCAGTTGCATCTTATGCATGGGTTAAATTCTGAAATTATAGGGTAAAGCTAACCAAAAAAAGATCTTGAAAAATTTCTTAAATTATTCATGACATGTGGTCCAATAGTGAGTTATTCCTTAATATCAGAAAATGTGAATTTAAAAATGTCATAAAATTGCTCTGGGGTGTCTAGATACCTATGTGATGAGGGGTGTAGGGAGACACAGACAGCATTGAAGGAACCTGATCACTGCTCCTCAGTCCCTCTGGGCTGTGTGGTCACTGAGTAAAATGGCAAATAGAATCTTTTCTCAAACTCTTTTTAAATGCATACAGTTGAATTTAAATCAAATTAATTTTTGATGTGACGGTACAATAGTGAATGCCTAGGAGAGAAAAGATTTTTGCCCTCATGGACTTTACCTTGTAGTGGGAGATTTGGACAATAAAAAAATTATTGATTAAACAGTCAAGATTATAAATTGATTATTATTATAGCCATAAAAGACATATAAGATGGTTAGTCAAAGGAAGCCACTCTAGGGAGGTGACCATTGAGCTGAAGCATGAAGAATGAAAGTGAGTTGGCCATTATTACAGTTGAATAGTGTGTTCAAAGGCCCTGAAGTAGGAAATTTATAGTATATTAACTAATTTACTCACTAAGCAAAACTAAGTAAGGCCTCCTATTTGCCAGGCATTTGTGGGATTGAGCAGTTTACAAATCTGTCAAGATTTCTATTCTCATGGAGTACACATTCTAGACAAAGGAAAGTATAAATAAACAAAAAAGTAAACAAATAAATGGATAAGCTAATTTCTAGAATATAATAAGAGGAGAGAGTAGGGATATAGGCAGAGGATGTAGGTGGGACCTAAATCATACCACAATCATGCAGGGTCTTGTAAGACGTGAAGGAAGTTATGGTCTTATTTTAAAAGCTGTGAATAACTCTGAAGGGTTTTTACATAGAGTACTACATACTATGGTTTCAATTTTTAAAAATGACTGTAGCTACACGGTGGAGAATGACTTAGAGAGAGGTAAATCCAATCATATTGGTGTGGCCTTTCCTTAAAATTTTATTACAGGGTTGGGGGAGAGGGGAGGGATAGCATTAGGAGATATACCTAATGTAAATGATGAGTTAATGGGTGCAGCACACCAACATGGCACATGTATACATATGTAACAAGCCTGCACGTTGTGCACATGTACCCTAGGACTTAAAGTATAATAAAAAAAAAAATTACTACAGAATTCCCTCCTGCCCCTTCTGTTCTCCGAAGATTCCGTTTCGTTCTTTCCCTTCCATTTCCCACACTAGTTATAGTCCCGTGGGCAAAATGGGTTCACTTTTCTGATCAGATGTAGCAGAATAGTTTAGAAACAGGCATATTCGAATTGCAGGACTAAATTCTGAGTCTCTAAGAGCAGCATCTCAAGGAACACATGCCTGGATTCCAATAAATACCCTGGGGTTAAAGCCTTTGCTAAGCATAAGAGCATTAACTGCTAACGGATAACCAATGAAAAGACCGCATTTGCTGTGCCCACACAATCAGATTCTCATGCTGAATATTGATTCTGTTAAATCACGGATAGTGTTAGACTTTTGACTGGTGATTGTGAATCTGTTAATCTATTGCCAAGGTTAGTCTGTATTGCTTCTAGTACTCAGTAGGGCTTCAGTGTGAACAACTGATGTGGGGCGAAGTGGGAAGAAAGACACTGACAAAAGAAATTATAGCCTAGGTTATAATCGATCTTTGTATACTAAACCTAGCAATTCCAAATATCCTACAGATAGTGGGAAACCACAAAGGACTTCAAGCATAGAAGGCATTAATGCAATTAGTTTGCATAGAAATATTGATTCCAGTGCTTAAGGTGGATTGAGAGCAAAGAGAATTAGTAGGATATTTCATAAAATGCTCTTGAGAGTGCAAACTAAAAGACAGTAGCAATGGAAATAAAGACATGGTGGATTCAGACACTGCAGTTAAAGCATAAATAGACCTCCTTGATTGTTTAGAATTGTTGGACATGTCAAGAGAGAAATTCCTTGATTTCTAATTTAGATAATTTGGGTGGATTTTGGTACTGTTCTGGAAGACAAGGGCAATTCATGTTCAGACTAAAGATCACCCATTATTGATTCTTTGAAAGTACATGTAGCGTGAAACATGACTGCAAAGTGGTTCCTTTCAGTCTATAAAAGATGAAAAAAAATAATTTTAGGAGTGTCTGAGACCTTTAGCCTTGTCTAAGTAATTGAATTGGCCCTTTGGTCACCGGGTGGTTAGTTATCTTGAGATGTAATTTATTTAGAAAAGTATTACTAGTGGATTTATGTGATACTGAGTCTGATAAAGATCTTTCCTGGAAGTTGAAAAGCATGCCTGCCAGAATTTATTTAGGTTTTAATAAGTGAATAAATGAAGCCAGGGCTATAGAGTGGGAACCACCTCTGGTCACCAAATGGTCCATGCCTTTTCTTTGTTTCACAAATTTGAATAATTGTAGTTCTTCATTTCAATGTGCCTGTTCATTTAAGAGGGAACCCTTAGGGCATACTTGTTTGTTTGTTAGATAAAACCATCCTAAGACACAACACAGAGCATACAGGCTGCAATGCAAGCACATAAAACCTGAGATACCAGATGGAAAATGTCTTAGGCTTGTAGTTCTGATTTGCTAAAATAAAAAAATAAAATATAAATTAAAAAAAGCGCAGGGTGCGGGGGATGGGGTGGTGGATGTAGGGGCAAACATTTAAATTTTGCTTCTGTTGTTTTCCCCTGTTAATACAGAAATTTGATGTTGGTATCTTACAGAAAATGAGCTTTTAAAAGCAAATCTTCAGAGTTTAAAAATCATCCCACCCTCCTCGCAAAAATCTGCAATATTATTTTTCTTTATAAAATCGACCCAGCTGAAATATTTTCTGATGAGTTTAAATGCATATGAACTAGTGCTCTAGAGACTGTCTTAATGGAGTACTTCATTTTGTACTTTATTGAAATGTGTACTTTGAAAACATTGGTGAAATTTGCCATTTCCCACCTGGCATCAGCAACAGCTGGAGCCTGGCCCATTTACGATGGCCTACACTCACGCAGTACTAATCTAAAGCAAATGTCATATGAAAAGCTATGTCCCTGCCCCTTCTCCTGTTAAATGCATCTAAGACAAAAGTAAGAGCATAATATTTTATTTAAGCTCAGCTATTTTTCTTTTTCTCCTCTTCCCTTACCATTTCTGTTGCTCTAAAACTATTTCTCGTGGTCATGCTCTTAACTGAGATATTTGTAGGGAAATGATTTGTTTTAAATGAGCAGATGGGCCAGACTTAAGACAAGCTGCTACATTAATAAACATGTGTGGTACTTTATCAGTAAAGGAGCCTATTTTGACATTTCTTCTGGATGATTTGTATAGCCTATCACTATCACACCTGGTGCAGGGACAATAAATGGGCACTTAATAGTCAAGCAGTGTGCGAACACCTTCCATTATAACTTCATTATGTCAGATATGATCATCTGTTACTGAATGTCAGGCACTTAATTTATGATCAGTTGCCCTATGGAATTAGTGACCAAACAAATGAATAGTCCATTCGTGTAACTTTTGCTGTAAATGTATTTCTCCTAATACCAACCCCCTTTTTTTAAGCACATGGACTTAATCTGATATCCTTTGGGATTTTAAAACATAAGATGTTTTGTTTTATATTTGTGAAATTTGAGAAGTGGGAAAATGTGAATAACATATGATGTAAAATTCCATACTCAATTATGTTAATGCCCGTATCTGTTTAAAATAAGCACAATTCTTTAGTTTCGTTTACCAATGAATTTCAGTTTGATTTTGGTAAAGTGACAATGCTTTTTGGAAAAAAAATAGAACTTCTCCCTAGAGATCTGCTATACAATAATGTGCATATAGTTAATACTGTACTGTACACTTAAAGTTAATTGAGGGTAAATTTCATGTTATGTGTTTTTTACCACTTTTTTTAAAAAAAGAACTTCTCCATTGGACAATATAAACAGGGTATAGTTAGTTAACTGTGGCACTATCAAAGCAATAGGTACAAAAGACACAGTGAAAAGAGAAGCTTAGGTTTTTGAGAGAGGCACCAGGAGGAATAAAGACAGCCAAGGAACTGGTACTTTGTAGGCTTTAATAATTAATGTTCCTGGCTGGACATGGTGGTTCATGCCTATAATCTCAGCACTTTGGGAGGCCATGGCAGGAGGATCTCTTGAGACCAGGAGTTTGAGATTGGCCAGGGCAACATAACAAGTCTCCCATCTCTACAAAAAAAAAAATTTTTTTTTTTTTGAGACAGATTCTACTCTGGCACCCAGGCTTGAGTGTGGTGGCACCATCATGGCTCACTGCAGACTTGACCTTCCAGGTTCAAGCAATCCTCCTACCTCTGCCTCCCAAGCTAGGACTACAAGCACATGTGCCATCATGCCCAGCTAATTTTTCTTTTTTTGTAGAGGCAGGGTTTTGCCATGTTGCCCAGGCTTCTACAAAAATTTCTTTAAAATTAGCCTAGCTACTCAGGAGGCTAAGGCAGAAGGATTGCTTGAGCTCAGGAAGGTGAGCTGCAGTGAGCTAACTCCACAACTCTATACTCCAGCCTGGGCAACAGAGTGAGATGAGACCTTCTCTCTAAACAAACAAACAAAACAAACAGACAAAAAAGAAGTAATGTTCCCTGCTGGCATCTGCAGAACCTTTTTACCCTCTTCTTTGGACATAACAACATGCCATCAGAACTCCACCATGTCTATATTCAAGATCATTATTAGAGAAATCCTTAGACTCTCAATTGAAGTTACTATCTATGAAAAGATTCTTTCAGAGATGTCTAGCCTATTTTCTAATGAGGACCTTAGAACTGGGGCAGTGATAAGACCAACTGTAGGGGGAAAGAAGTCTCAAAGCCTGTTTAAGAATCAATTAAACTATTTGACCAGCCAGATTAGTAGGAAACCGAATGCTACAGAATAGGAAAATATTAACAAACTGTTAATAGAGAAGGATGGTATGAGAATTAATCTACAATAGACATATTAGAATTGTCTTAAGCTATTTGAAGGGCTAGAGATGCCAAAAAGGAGATCGTGTCTGTGTCATAATATTATTGACCTAGCTTTATTCCTCCTAGTTCTAGCTTTATTATTTTGTTTTATTTTATTATTTTATTTTTTGAGACAGTCTTGCTGTGTGCCCAGGCTGGAGTGCAGTGGCGCCATCTTGGTTCACTGCAACCTCTGCCTCCTGGGTTCAAGCAATCCTCGTGCCTCAGCCACCCAAATAGCTGGGATTACAGGCACCTGCCACCACACCCGGCTAATTTTTGTATTTCTAGTAGAGACAGGATTTCACCGTGTTGGCCAGGCTGGTCTCAAATGCCTGACCTCAAGGGATCCACCCACCTCTGCCTCCCAAAGTGCTGGGATTACAGGCGTGAGCCACCACACCCGGCCTAGCTTTGTCATTTTAAATAACAATTAAGAGAGGGAGAATTTTGATTCTGACAACTTTCATAGTATCATTGTCATGACCGATGGCACTCACACTGGAAACAAGGTGATAGAAAGTCATTAACTTCTCTGCCAGGCCTATAGGCTTAAAGAAACCATGCATTTTGGAGATGTCTTCAACAGCTAAAAAACGTCATGAAGATGAAGAAAGGAAAAGATGCTAAGTAAAAAAAAAAAAAAAAAAAAAAAAAAAAAAAAGATGCTAAGTGGGGGATAACCAGGAGTGAAGCAGGGGAGGTGGGGTAGGTATTCCTAACATTCTAAATTTAAAAGCCCTGGTACTGTGAAAGAATGCAATTTCAAGGTCTGGCCACACCAGTGCATTTATAACTGGCATGGACAGCCTCTGAGATTTACTCCCAGTGGACACTAGTCGTCAATAGATACATTAGTCTCTAGACTATCCCTTTGACATAAATGGCTGGAAAGTTCATTAAGGTATCCAGGTTATGGGGGAAGATACTTTAATAGCCAACTCAAATAAAATTTTTAAGGTTTAGTAGGTGAAACCTCATGCTAAGGTGACCTAGCATGGCTCTGGCTGAGACTGTTTAGGGGGTGCAAGCTTCCCAAAAGAACTGATCAAGACTGCGGTCTTTTACATATCTTAACCTTCAGGCAAGCATAACCAGAATGAAGGGGTAGCTGGCAGCAAGTCTCCGCTGGCTGGCAAAAAAAAAATCTAAAGCCTGCAGATTAAGCTTCATATAGAAGAGCCCTGAGCCAGTTCAAGCCCTAGACACCTGAGTAGACCTCAGAGCCTGTTCTAAACCACCAGATGCATTTGGCAGTGTAGAGGCCAAGGGAAAGCATTCTTTCTGCCCTCTAATGTTCACTGAACATGAAATGACAAAAGGAGAAAAGGGCATACAAGATTTATTTAATGCACATATGGAGTTAGGAGCCATATACAATGTATGAGACTTGGAGAGGGGCCAAGCAGTTTAGGCTTTAATACTCTCTTCAGAGGCGAGAGATGTGTGGGCCTGGCAGGCAAACATTAATTTGTAAATGATTCTCTTAGGACAAAGGATGGGACCTACAGGTTATGACTTATTGTGCAGATGAAGTCTCCCAGGTAATCTCTTGGAGCTGTCCTCAGGACAACAGATGAAAGTCAATCTGTGTCAGTCTTTTTTCCAGTGTTTATTTTTCCTGGATATTTGTTGAGATTCCTAGGGAGGGGAGTCTTAATACAATTGCATTTCTTTTAGAAAGAAGCTTTCTTAGTCAGAAAAGGAAATTCTGCAGAAATCCCTTCCAGTGCTTCCAGAAAGACCATCAGACCTGGTTCTGAGACGTTTGAATTTTTAAAGCACTGAGCATGCCAAAGCACCATATTGTGGGGAATTATTTTCTGTGCCCTAATAGCAGGGACCTCCAATAATCTACTGTTCTTTCCTTATCATCTGATATGTATTTTTCTAACACCTTCACTGGATTGACTATATCAAAAATCTAGCTTAATCATCTGAAACCTTGTTGGAAAACCTGAATATATAATCAATCACTTGAGTGGCCTAGAATCATTGTTTTTCGCTTTCTTTCTCTCTCTGTTTTCTTTTTCTTTTTTTTTTTTTTTTAAGAGAAGGGGTCTATGTGCAGTGTTCTTATCATAGCTCACTGCACCCTTGAACTCCTGGGCTCAAGCAGTCCTCTTACCTCAGCCTCTTGAGTAGCTGGGACTACGGGCATGTTTTTCTCTTCTTTCTGACCATTGAGTTCATGTAGAGCCATGTATAGTTCCTGAAGTGCCTACATGCAAGATTTCGAGGATTTTCGTGTGAAAATAAAACCATTAAGTAATAGTGCCATCTAGAAATTAAAAGAAAAAAGTGTTTATTTGTATTTTTATCTTCAAATTTATTCCATTTTTGCTGGTTGTGCCAAGACTGAATCGCAAATTGAAGTGTGTATCACGCTTTATAGGTGGTAGAAAAAATACTGGCTGCATGGAAATTTTATATAAAATAAGGAGCATAGTTCTTGCAAGGACACTTGGTTTATTTTGCATTAAAAAAATGTGTAAAGGTGAACATGTAACCACCCAATGGGTTCACCTTGCCCGCTGCGTAGACATAGCAGATTTATCAAGACAGGGGAATTGCAATAGAGAAAGAGTAATTCGCTGAGAGCCAGCTGTGTGGGAGACTGGAGTTTTATTACTCAAGTCAGTCTCCCCGAGCATTCAGGGATCAGAGTTTTTAAGGACAACTTGGTGGGTAGGAGCCAGGAGTGCTGATTGGTCAGGTCAGAGATAAAATCATAGGGAGTCAAAGCTGTCTTCTCGGATTGAGTCAATTCCTGGGTGGGGGCCACAAGATTAGATGAGCCAGTTTATCAGTCTGGGTGGTGCCAGCTGATCCATCAAGTGCAGGATCTGCAAAATATCTCAAGTAGTGATTTTAGGAGCAGGTTAGGGAGGGTCAGAATCTTGTAGCCTCCAGCTGCATGACTCCTAAACCACAATTTCTAATCTTGTGGCTAATTTGTTAGTCCTACAAAGGCAAACTAGTCCCCAGGCAAGAAGGGGGTTTGTCTTGGGAAAGATTGTTATTGTCTTTGTTTTAGACTATAAACTAAGTTCTTCCCAAAGTTAGTTCAGCCTATGCCCAGGAGTGAACAGGAGCAGTTTGGAGGATAGAAGCAAGATGGAGTTGATTAGGTCAGATCCCTTTCACTGTCTCAGTCATAATTTTGCAAAGGCAGCTTCTTTTTTTTTTTTTTTTTTTATTGTACTTTAAGTTTTAGGGTACATGTGCACAACGTGCAGGCTAGTTACATATGTATACATGTGCCATGTTGGTGTGCTGCACCCATTAACTCATCATTTAACATGTTAATGCTATCCCTCCCCCCTCCCCCCTTCCCCCACCCCACAACAGGCCCTGGTGTGTGATGTTCACCTTCCTGTGTCCATGTGTTCTCATTGTTCAATTCCCACCTATGAGTGAGAACATGCGGTGTTTGGTTTTTTGTCCTTGCGATAGTTTGCTGAGAATGATAGTTTCCAGCTTCATCCATGTCCCTATAAAGGACATGAACTCGTCATTTTTTATGGCTGCATAGTATTCCATGGTGTATGTGCCACATTTTCTTAATCCAATCTATCATTGTTGGACATTTGGGTTGGTTCCAAGTCTTTGCTATTGTGAATAGTGCCACAATAAACATACGTGTGCATGTGTCTTTATAGCAGCATGCTTTGTAATCCTTTGGGTATACACCCAGTAACAGGATGGCTGGGTCAAATGGTATTTCTAGTTCAAGATCCCTGAGGAATCGAAAGGCAGTTTCAATCCCTCCCTTTGGGTTTTAAAACTTGTTAATCTTAAGGTGTAGGCTATGACGATGGGAAAAGGCCATCAAGGGCTTTGGCTTCTTCCTGCTGACAGGGCCATAGTGAGAATGGGAGTTGACCCCAAGGTGAGAGGAGTGAAACCACTTTGTACCTGGCTGAGCAAACTCACATGAGCCAGGGTGGGGGTCCAAGGCTTGCATGACAAAGGCATTAGTACTTACATCCATAATTTTAGTACAGTGTTGAAGTGAACAGCATACTATAAGGTAAATAATGAGTACTAGGATGAAGACTGCAATTCCTAATTTTAAAGGTAAAACCCAAAGTCAATCAGCGCATTTTGTAATCAGCCCATTCCCCATGGGAGTGTCACTTCTCAGTAGGGGTGCAGATGTTTCCATATCTTCCATGTGGCCAAGAGCATGATTCTCTGATCCAAGCATGCAAAGAGCTAAGTATCTCTTCATAACTGACATTAGCCATTTCTTAAAGTGTATGTTTTTACCTACTTATTATACACCAAGGGTAAAAGCTTTCCCATAATTCAAAGTAATTTTTGATAACCCCAAAACTTAAAACCATCAGATAACTCGAAGCAAAACAGAACAGAGTCTTAGATATTGGGAGGAATCTATCTGCTTTTAATTTCCAGGGTTTCATGAGGAAAACAGGGTTTTTTTTCCAAAACGAGTTCTGCGGCTCCTCCTCTGTTTTTCCCAAGGAGTCCCAGGCTACCACTACCAGAAGTTATCTTAGGACCTCTCATGTGTGCATTAAGAGTGGCAAGACTGAAAAAAAAAAAAAAAAAAAAAAAGGAGAAAAATGATTCAGCTGACTGAGAAGAAAAAAAAAAAAAACCTTTTTCCAGAAAAACAAGATCCAAGAAGAGAAAAACATAAAGGCCTTTTAAATATTCCTGTAACTTGTTTATCCAATTTTAATTAAGCTGATGTTTAACCATAGTGCTCTTTAAAAAAAATAAATCCTTTTAAACTTTTATTATCTGACTTTAGCCACATCAAGTAGCCAATATTTCTGGCTTTTGAGCTTTGCCAAAGGTAACCTCTCAGGTGCTTCAAAGACATAGTAAGGAGTTTCTTTTTTACAAGATTTGGAATCTCCCCATGGGTAGTTTAGAGAAAGGAAAATTCAAGACAAGAAACCAGAAGCTATCCATGGGGGGAAAAAACCTCAGTAAATGGCAAAGTTACATAAATAGCAAACCAGAAACGAATCATTCCAGAAGCCAAGAATTGAACCTGGGCCACCATTGTCAAAAGATAAAGGCTTAACTACTGAGCTACACAGCATTGGGCAGTTTCTATTGTTTTTCCCAGAAGGAGCCTAGAGAAGCCAATTTTTAGCTTGCAAAGGCTTTTAACTGCTCAAGATAATTTTTAGGGGTAATCATGAAATGAACCTCAAAATTCCTGTCCTCCAGATGGCAGAAACCAAGAAAAAGTAGCCTGACATGGTCGCAAAGTTAAGCTCTTAAAGACAAAAAACAAGACAGCGAGATTTTATCCAGTATTGCTTTGTGTCCTTAAAAGCTTAACGTTGTTACCATTGAAGAATATCTCATCTAAAAATAATGACAAATTTTTGAGAATTCACACTTTCCAATTTTAGTCCTTTCTTATATTTCACAAAGATTAATCTCTTTAAAATTTCTAAACTAGAAAAACTATTATATTAAAGCTGCAACATTCTATGATTTCTGAGAAAAACATTCTATAATTAGGTTTCTCTTAAACTTTGTAAATCTGTTATTGTCTGTACTATGGAATAATATTTGGGACAAAAATTATTGAAACATTGGAGTCATAAAAGTCATAGAAGCCAAGTGGAAACAATTTAAGTGTAGTGTTTCCTTTATAAAATCCACTGGATATTTTTTTTCTGTGATTTAGAGTAGATAATGTTAAATGGTTGATATGAAACTTTATAGTCCCTTTTTCAATTTTACCCATGAAAGTTGAATGTGTGATATTAGGACATTATGCATTTCTAAAACTATATGAATCTGAAGTACCCATAATTTCAAATCAAGAGACATGTAAAACCCAAATGTCTTCCTTATGCTAATATTTTTCCTTGAATAACAACGTTATTCATGAATACTTATGGTACCTATTAACATTTCGTTTTAAAATGACTGTATTTGTCATGAAACAAATTTACTTCTGTTGAACGTTTTATATGTTCTTGATTAGGAAAAAATTGATAAATGGTTTCCATTTATTCCGTCATGTAAAAACTTTGACTTTATAAACATGTAATTTAAAATATGACTTCTACCTCACTGTAAGTGTAGTAGTAATACTGAATAATACAAGAAAAATCGAAATCGAAGACTTAGGAAATATCATTAGAAATTGCAATACCAAATAAAATAAGGATAAGAAAGGTCACCACTGACTGAATGGCAATTCTAAACCTGGTACATTGGTGTTTCATATAGGATATTTCAAATTCTTTTGAAAATTTGACAAGATAAATATTTTTATCCTCATTATAGAAATGAAAGGCTGAGGCTTACAGAGATGAAGTAGTTCATCCAGCTATTAAGTGCTAGAGTCAGGACTCTGGAATAGATTCTAAAGAGTAACTACATTTTTTAGAGTTGGTAAAAGATATGTTAAAAGTAGCAAAATACTGTGCCAGGGAGGAAAAACTTTTCTTCTACCCACCTAGGTCTTATTCTAAGAGGTCTACAAAGTAAACTGACAAAAGACAGATTAACAGGAGAAAAAGCTTATTTAAAAGTGTAATGCACTTGCAAAGACTGCTCAGTGGTGAGTAACTTATTATCACTACACAAAGGCAATTAGAATGTGGTGCTTATATACCTAACTTAGTTGGGGAAAGGGAGAGGGGAGAAAGGCTTCCATAGTTTCTTTGGAAAAGACAAATGGGTTTTTAGGAGAACGGGAAGATGTTAGGAAAGTTTGTGATAATGTTCATCTATACAGGTATGATTGGTCTATTTGTCTTCCTTAGGGCATTAAAATTTTCCAAAGGGGACTCAGAGTCGGTATGTTCTCTTTCTACCCACTAGGAGTAGTCTCACCCTGAAATGGGAATTTATGGCAGCCTCATATTTTTAGAAGTTCTGTTTTTAGGGAAGTTCTGGGAAGGCTTCTGTCTGCATCTATAGATTCTCAAAGGTTTTGAGCTTAAAATAATCTTCATGCCAACTGTGAAGTTCTTAGTGGCCCCTCACTATCATCTCTTATGAAACAACTTAAAAATAATAGTCATGGTAGTCTTCTAGGAAGAAACAATTACACGCTGTTGTCAGTAAACAGACCTTATTTCCTAGGGATAGGGTGGGGAGCTGGCATTGCATGATCATTTTAAAGTTAAATGAAGTGAGAATTCCATGGAAGGTGCTCTCAAATGAAGAGTTCCATTGTCATGATGTGCTTCATACAGTTGAGGAGTAAGCTCTAGAATGGCATTGTTGTTGTTGTTGATAAAGTTTGTTTGGGGGAGGGAGCAAAAAAAAGAAAGAGAAAGAAAATAAAGTTTTTTTCTCATGAAACTCTCTTTACCATGAATCACCTTCCCCAGATCCCAAGCTATAGCTAAATAAATACCTCATGGTGCTATTTAGTAGTAATTATACTTGCTGGATTCCATCATAAGAGGAGAGAGAAAGAAATGTCTATAAACCACTTTGACCATTTCATTGCATATAAAGATAAAAATCAAATTTAAATCAAGAAGCCTTGTAAACAGTTTCTGAAAAACACAGCTATTTTAAGAGGGTGTTTACAGTGGTTTAAAATTACTGGGCACAGTATTAACCTAGCTCTATAAAAAGGAAATGGAAATAAACAGGAAATGTTTATAGGATTTCTCATGGTAGTTAAGCATTTGCCTTATTTAGGATTCTGTTTAAGGATGTAAGATTGTCAAGCAGGTAAACTCAAGATCATTCTTCTATTTGTTAGAACTTCAAATTTTGTTCATGTGAGGTAAATTAAAACTACATTTGAACATGTATGATTGAGTTACTTTGGTTTAATAAAGATGTACATGTCTAATACAGAAACACAAATGCTTAACATCTTTGACTAGAAAAATTGAAGAATAACCAACTCTATTATATTAAGTTAATGAATCAAGTTTTATCATAAGAAAAATCATAATTTCTCCGGTTGAAAGTAAAAATGGTCTATGCCTTTTATCTTTAAGTAAAGGCATGAAGGTACTGTTTTATTCAATTTCTTTTCTTTGTTATTTTTTATTGCAGAGGAGGGAAGAGAGTTGGCTTAATTTAATAAAATATGAAAGGCACTGCCTATAAGTTAACTTACATTCTTTTCTTTGTGTAAGTGCCTAGAGCAAATGGGAATGATCTTTAAAGAAATCTAAGTTAAATGCCAGTTAGAATAACACAAAAGTGATCTTCAAAGTCATCTAATATAAGGAGTCCTGTTGATAGAGAGTGTTTTGTTTTTTGTTTTTGTTAAGGAAACTTGGGTAGGGTGGAGCAAGGAAATGGGGAAGGAAGAAAGGGAGCGTGTACTGGAGTATTTAAAAGTAATGCAACTTATGTGGTAGTTTTAAATATGTATTGCTTTCTGTGGTATACTTTTTTATATAACTGTGAAGTTTGTAGTTAGATTGTGATTTTGTTTTGTTTTTCTTTTTTTGAGATGGAGCCTTACTCTGTCACCCAGGCTGGAGTACAGTGACACTTGTCACAGCTCACTGCAGCCTCGACCTCCTGGGCTCAGGGGATCCTCTCACCTCAGCCTCCTGAGTAGCTAGTCCCACAGGCATGCAACACCATGCCCAGCTAATTTTTTTTTTAATTTTTTGTAGATACAGAGTTCTCACTATGTTGCCTGTGCTGGTCTCAAACTCTTGTGCTCAAGAAATTCTCTCACCTTGGCCTCCCAAAGTGCTAGAATTTCAGGAATGAGCCACTGTACCTGGCCATGTGATTCTTAAACTAAGAGGAAAAAAAAGTATACTTATGGTAGTTTTTTGTTGTTATTGTTGTTGTTTTCTTTATAATGGGCATAATTTGGCAGGTTTTTTTTTTCTTTTTAATTGTTTGGTTGATATTGCTTAGGTTTTGGAGATAAGACATGTGAAAAGGCCAGCTCTCATGCCTGTAATCCCAACACTTTGGGTAGGCCAAGGTGGGTGGATTACTTGAAGCTAGGAGGTCAGGACCAGCATGGTCAACATAGTGAGACCCTGTCTCTGCCCACCCCTCCCCCCGAAAAAAAAAATTAAATTTGCTGTACATGGTTGTGCATAACTGCAGTCCCAGCCACTCGTGGGGCTGAGGTGGGAGGATCACTTGAGCTCAGGAGTTTGAGGCTGCAGGGAGCCATGATTAGGCTATAGCACTCCAGCCTGGGCAACAGAGCAAGACCCCCATCTTAAAAGAAAAAAAAAAGGACATTAAAAAAAAAAAGCAAATCCAGGTTCTTCTGTAATGAATGATGTACATAGAATAATCTTACCTTTTTAAAAAATGAATTAACCATCAACTAGTTTGTCTCATTTATTTATTTACTTTTATTTTTATTTGAGAAGGAATATTTCTGTGTCCCAGGCTGGAACACAGTGGTGCAATCTCGCCTCCCTGCAACCAGTGCCTCCTGGGTTCAAGCCATTCTCCTGCCTCTGCCTCCCATGTAGCTGGGATTACAGGCGCCTGCCACCATGTCCGGCTAATTTTTGTATTTTTTGTGGAGACGGTGTTTCACCAGGTTGGCCAGTGTGGTCTCGAACTCCTGACCTCAAGTGATTCACCTGCCTCAGCCTCCCAAAGTGCTGGGATTACAGGCGTGAGCCACCGCACCCAGCTTGTTTGTCTCATTTAACTTTCACAAATACATGTTATGATATTAAATCCTATTGACATATAACGAAAGGTAACTCCATTGGTTTGTACTTGGTAATAACACATTTTGAATGTACACTTTTTTGAGTCTAAGCCTGAGAGCATCTCCTTTTATTACCTTCAACTGCGGAAATACTACTGGACTTCTCTACTGTTGCTTTCCTCTTTTTCAGTCTCTGTTTTACTAGTTACTGTACTAGGGCCTTTGGGAGGTTATAATAAATGTATTTGTTTGTTTGTTTAGTTTCCTTGATAGCCCCTCCTTAGATGAGAATTTTTCCCTAAAAGAGTAAATCAGATAATTTGAGAAGCAGGAATAGGTAGCCTATGTTCATGAGTTTGCACCTGAACTGGGAAGAGAAAAAGGTTTGAAATAATTAATGCTGCTTCTGAATGATTTATCAAAACATGCTACTGGGGGAAAGTTTCCTTCTTTGGCAGAAGGAGAGGAAATTGGGTTTTTGTTTGCTTGGTTTTGGCTTAGATTTTATCTTTTAGAATTGCTTTCTTCCTTCCCCACCTCTTTTTCTCTATTCCAAATCTAATAGAGCTTTCTCCTCAAACTTCCTCTAATCACAAGGGGGAGTAATAACTAGATGCTAGGTGTACTTAACATTGTGAACTAAAGATTTACAGTGGATAGGTTTGTAAAGCTATAAACTCTAGATTCCCATAAAAGGCAAGCTATGAGCTTACCTCCTCCCCCTTTCTTTCTTCGTCTCTTGCCATCCCTACTCTACCCTCTCCTCTCTTTCATATTTTGCAAAAATAAAAGCAACAATGAATATCCTAGTTCAAACCTTAAACATTTGAAAATCCAAGGAAAGAAAATCCTTAGGCATAACTGAAAATTGTTGATCGCTACCAGGTTATTCCAATAAGCTGGAGGCTCACGTATTTGCATATAAATTAGGTCATTTCTTAAATTTCCATATATATTCTTAGGCCTTGCAAATAGTATCAGGTGATGTTCAAGTCCAAATTACAGTAGCTTGTACCCGGGAGGAAACTCTTGAATTTTTCTGTTCTTCACACCATTTCATCAACCGCTCATTGTAATTGACCCAAAATTTTATGTCAGCACCACATAATTGATAGAGATTTTGAAAATGGAAGGTGAGAAAAAGGGGTTAAAGAAGGCAAAAAGATTTGTTTTGAAGAATATTTCATACCTGAGGACAAATTCTCTCTAAGGAGAAAAAGGAATACACCTGTGAGATCATTTAACCCATGAGAGAATTTCAAAATTGTAGAATGAATTTTTTTTTGTTATTGGATAAAGTAAAATAAATTACTTATCATGAGAAAAAATAATTTCCACTGCTGAATGCCCATAAGAATACTAAATCGTCTGTACTTGGCTGGAGTTTTCTTGAAAGTTTCGAGTTCCTTGCTGTCTAGACTTTACTCTTGTGTGTGCACACATTGTTATTATAATACATACTTGTCCTGGGGGTAGGATGAAGGCATGAGAAAAGGCCAGCATGGATGGAGATAAATGACCGAAATTTGGCTTTAGCTGTCCTTAGTAAGAGCCAGCAGGGTTGACACCATGGGTATTTTGCAATCATTTGTTTAATTAGCTGAATCTCCTAAGGGAAAATTATATGAAATGGCAAACTCTCAAAGCCTAATTTAAATCTGCTTTTTTTTAAATGTACAACAGAATTTCATAACACAGAGATGTTAAAAAGGCACTAGTGAATAAATTCTATACAGTTAAAACATTTTAATACCAAAAGCAATAAACTACAGAGAAAAGTGAAAATAAATTAGGTCAAAATATTATACACATGACAGAACTGAGGTAAATATTTGCAGGTGGCTAAGAAAATTATACTTTGGGTGGGAGAATTTTTCCTTACACACCTTCTATTTTCTCTCATTTTTGTTTCCTGTAGATTTTTCTACATAGATAAGTATATGATCAAGTTTACATTATCTTCTGACTAATAAATTTTTTAGCGTACAAGATATTTAATTATTTTGGAGTAATTAAAGGGACTAATCTAAAAGGACTAAATTCTTCATCATTCTGCTTTGGGGCATTCTTAGTTTAGATCTAGGTAGCTGGCTGATTGAAAGCCAGTGAGCTTGGTTTTCTTCTGCATTGGGGTACAAACACAAAGACAGCTGTGGACTGTGAATTATCTTCCCCTGGTAGAAAAAAAGCATCTGGCTGAAACACCATCTTCTCAGGTGTTTTTCCTTAAAAAAAATCGACTATGTCACTAAGAAAATCAGAATCTTATTAATGTATTGATTCCAGATGAATAAAGTCCATCAGGTTTGTTGCAATCCTAACGCTAGAGGGTAAATTCACCTGAAAGCGGTTTGTGTTTTGTAAGAAGCTGCATCATTTGCTGTTTTTGGTGGATGATAATTTTAGTATAATTTCATTGAAAAGATCAACTCAATGAAGACTTCTAGTCGTGAATGCATATAGTCTACACTGAAGATGATAGTGTCTATATTGGAAATTGGAAACAGGTGTTTCAGCACTGGTTCTTTAAGGGCTGTTACAAATTGCTTTCAGTAGTAGGCTATGAGGAAACACATGTAAGAAGAGAAAAAGAGCAACTTATGATTCTTGCAATTATTACCTCCTGTATACTGGTATTGAGAGATTCAACTGAAAAAAAAGGAGTAAAGAGCACCAAGGATTAAGTCTTTCAAAATGTGGGTCTTTGTTGGAAAGGTATGATAGAAGAAAGACAGACAGAGAGACTGATTCACTCCTCATACTATAAAACTTCTTTAATTTCCTTCACTCTCAGAAATTGGGTAATGGTGATGTCATTTCTAAGTTTATGGATATAAACTTATAGATATGCAAAAACCAATGTAGGAGAGGCTGATAATGTCCACCAATATACTTTCCCTTTCTTCTGCAGTGTTAGAACCTCCTGTTTTTGGCTGGACACTTAACTTCTGAGAATAAAGATGTTTTCCAACTTTTTCTAGCAGCTAGGTGTGTCTTGGCCAATAACATTATAAATAATGCTGGTGTGTGCAACTTCCAGGAAGTGTTATTGAATGAAGGTCTCATTCTCTTTCCCTTTTCTATCCTTCCTGTTGGCTGATACAATATGCAAGAGGAGCCATTGTGGATCACAAAGTAGACTCTATGAAGGCAAAACTAAGAGCATGATAAAAAGATGGCTGCTTTTGTACCAGCTCTGGAAACCTGTTTTTTCCTCGAAAGAGAAAAAAAATTATCCTTTTAATAAGTCATTGTTATTTTGGATTTTCTGTCACTAACAGACCTAATCCTATTATAATTTGCCTAAGATCCAATAAAGATTTCACTAGTATGTCAGGTGTGGTGCTTCGTGCCTGCAATTCCAGCATGCTGGGAAGCCAAGGCAGGAGGATCACTTGAGCCCAGGAGTTCGAGACAAGCCTGGGCAACATAGCAAGAGCTCCATCTCCATAAAAAAAATAAAAAATTAGCCAGGCATAGTGGGTAGTGTGTGTCTGTAGTTCCAGCTACTTAGGAGGCTGAGGTGGGAGTATCACTTGAGCCTGGGAAGTTGAGGCTGCAGTAGTGAGCTGAGATGATGCCATTGCACTCCAGCCTGGTGACAGAGCAAAACCCTGTCTTGAAAAAAAAAAAAAAAATCAACAGTAGACTATATCAACGTCACATTCACAGGGGTCTTGCCTGCTCAAAAATGCATAAAAATTTTGGAAATCGTATATTTTGTGTTTTCTGTTTTATCTTTGCTTCCTATTTGTTTTTTTCTTTCTATACTGGTCTTACCAGAATATAGTGGCTGCTAACAGTATAACAAAAATAGCAGTCAAAAAAGGGTTTCAGAAAAATAATTTAATTAAAATGTCTATAGATGGCCAGGCGCGGTGGCTCACGCCTGTAATCCCAGCACTTTGGGAGGCTGAGGTGGGTGGATCACCTGAGATCAGAAGTTCCAGACCAGCCTGGCCAACCTGGTGAAACCCGTCTCTACTAAAAATGCAAAACTTAGCTAGGCATGGTGGTGGACACCTGTAATCCCAGCTACTCGGGAGGCTGAAGCAGGAGAATCACTTGAACCCAGGAGGCGGAGGTTCCAGTGAGCCAAGATCATGCCATTGCACTCCAGCCTGGGTGACAAAGCGAGACTGCATCTCAAAAAAAAAAAAAAAAAAAAAAAAAAAAAATATATATATATATATATATATTTACTTTATTCACCCCAGAAAAAGAGGGAAAAGACTGACTAAAACGAATAATCGTAATAACCTCATTGTTTTGTAGTTTGAACATCACTGCTTGAAAGATCCTAACTGATAAACTCTCACATTCATTGCAACTGTCTTGCCTTAATGCAGACTCTGTTCATCTTTTCTTTGTCTTTTTCCAACAGACTCAAGCTACTTTCACTGCTTTTGGACTGCTTCCTTCTTCTTTGACCAGCTCCCTCACTCCCTTCTGCTACTGTGTATTTATGTCTCTCTAACACTGAACTATACACTGCACAATTATTCTTCACATGTCAGTTAAAAACAGCAGAACCATTAGTTCCTACATGACTAGTGGGTATATGGTATCTACCCACTCAATATTAAGAAAGAAAATAGAAGAGAAAGTGGGAAAGATGGAAGGACTTTTTCTTAAAGTAAGCCAGCTTTCCTGTTTATATTCACTTTTAGAATCTTATGTGGCTAGGTGTAGTCATCAAATACGTTTCTAATCTGTTTGATAATCTTTATTACAATATTTTTGTTTTCAAAGTCTGTTTGCATTTTAATTTTCTTTGATTCACAAAATGTTTTGGAATGCCCCCTCACCTTTTCTTTTGGGGACAATCTCTTATATTGTCCAAAATATTAGAGAAACATGAAAAAGCTATGCAGATTTCCCATTATCTTTTTCTCTTCTTCTCTTTTTGCTTTATTTTTATTTTTATCTTTTTATTTATTAATTAACTGTTTTGTAATTTTTATTTTTTGAGACAGGACCTTGCTCTGTCACCTGGGCTGGGAGTACAGTGGCATGATCATGGCGCACTGCACCCTCACACTCCTGGGCTCAAGCCATCCTTACACCTCAGCCTCCTGATTAGCTAGGACTACAGGTGCATGCCACCATGCTTACCTAAGTTTAATTTTTTTCTTTTTTTTTTTTTTGCAGAGACAGCAGTCTTACTATGTTGCCCAGGCAGGCCCTGAAGTCCTGGGCTCACGTTACCCTCCCTCCTGGGCCTCCGAGAGTGCTGAGATTATAGGTGTAAGCCACAGCACCCAGCCTCCCTCTCTTTTATTAACAATTATATAGTTCTCTACTAAGTTTTATTTGATGTCCCAGAATTTGCTCAGTGGTATTATTAACGCTTAATGACAGAAATAAATGGCTTTAGTGAGAGACATGGCCATCTGGAGAAAAATCAGAAATTAATAGGAATATACTGATACACTTAAAATTGGACAATGCAGATGTTTATATCATTTGATGTAAACCAATTCCTACTAGCAATTGCTTACTAGTACCATTCCTATTAACGTGTAGTATTTAGTAGAATTTTATACCATTTATTGGCATAACATTCTGTTATCAGCAATTCCTTCATTTGTTCATTGCAAATGTTTATATTTATGCAAATTAAAGTCCTTTCTTGGCCAGGTATGGTGGCTGAGGTCTGTAATTCCAGCATTCCAGAAGGCCACGGTGGGAGGATCTCTTAAGCCCAGGAGGTCAACACCAGCCTGGACAACATAGTGAGAGCCCCATCTCTACAAAAGATTTTAAAAATCAGGGGAGTATGGAGATGCACACTTGTAGTCCTAGCTACTTGGGGGGCTGAGGCAAGAGGATCTCTTGAGCCCAGAAGTTTGAGGCTGCAGTGAGCTATGATGGCATCACTGCACTCTAGCCTAAGCAACACAGTGAGACCCTGTCTCTAAAAAAAAAAAAATTCATAAAGTACTTTTTATTAAAAAGTTACACATATTCATGTAGAACATACTAAAGAAAGTGAATAAAATAAAAAAATTTTCAATTGCCTACTTTCCACAGGTTATCAATATTACCATCTGCATTTACAGCCATCTAGCCTTCTGTTAATGTTCATGCAGGTAATCCTACGGTGCATTCTGTTTTGCAAGCTTTTTTATTATTTCAAAATAGGTCATTAAAAAACCTTCCACATAAATATTTTTCTATAATATCATTGATGTTCATGTAGCATTTAATTTGTGTGGTATGTTAGTCTGTTCTTGCTTTGCTCTAAAGAAATACCTGAGACTGGGTAATTTATAAAGAAAAGAGGTTTAATTGGCTCACAATTCTGCAGGTCGTACAGGAAACATGGTGCTGGCATCTGCTTGGCTTCTAGGGAGGCCTCAGGAAACTTACAATCATGGCGAAGGTGAAGGGGGAGCAGGCATGTCACATGGTGAAAGCAGGAGTGAGCAAGCAAGGTGGGGTGGGGCGGGAAGAAGGAGAGGTGCCACATGCTTTCAAATGACGAGATCTCATAAGAACTCATCATCACAACGACAGCACCAAGCCGTGAGGGATATTTTATATATTATGTGTGTGTGTGTGTGTGTGTGTATATATATGTATATATGTATATATATATATTAGAGGGGCAGATCCATGACCCAAACAACTCCTCACTGGGCCCTGCCTCCAGCATTGGGGATTACAATTCAACATGAGATTTGGATGGGGACAAATATCCAAAGTATATCATATGGGTATTAGATAACATATTCAACTATTCATATTATGGTTTATTTTGGACAATTCTAATTAGTTCATATTAATAGCACTACAGTAAGTATCTTTATAAATCATGTGGTTATATTTTTGTACGTATTCATGATTGTATCCTTAAGACTGAATTCCTAGGTATGAAATTTCCAAAGTAAAGGATAAGCAAAGTGCTAACTTGAATAAATTCACTGACAATTGCCCTGCAGAAGAAGTATTATACCAAGTTACAGATCAAGCAGCAGTGTATGGGGGAGGAGGGCTTTCCCCAAAACCACACCAAATCTATAGTGCCATTTTAAAAAATGTCTGCAAACCTAAGGGGCAGGGTATGTGTGTACTACATGAAGGTAGATATACTTTTCTGTGAAGAATCCTTAAACTTTTATCATAGGAGCCTGTTGTTTAGAAGTCCCAAATGAGAAATTATAGTACATTAAGTGTGTGTGTGTGTATATATATATAATATATAATATATTATATATATAATATAAAATATATTATATATATAATATAAAATATATTATATATATAATATAAAATATATTATATATATAATATAAAATATATTATATATATAATATAAAATATATTATATATATAATACAAAATATATTATATATAATACAAAATATATATATAATACAAAATATATTATATATATAATATAAAATATATTATATATATATAATATAAAATATATATATAATATAAAATATATTATATATAATATAAAATATATTATATATAATATAAAATATATTATATATAATATAAAATATATTATATATATAATATAAAATATATTATATATATAATATAAAATATATTATATATATAATATAAAATATATTATATATATAATATAAAATATATTATATATATAATATAAAATATATTATATATATAATATAAAATATATTATATATATAATATAAAATATATTATATATATAATATAAAATATATTATATAATATATATATTAGAGGAGCAGACTTTTAAAATCATGTATCACAAATTTTATCATATGAACTGGTTTCAATTTTGCTTTGTAAACGTAATAGTTCTAATTCTGAAGCCATGTGCATTAGTTTCCAAGGCTGCTGTAACACATCATTACAAATTTATCCTTTTACAGCACTGAAGGCTTAAAGTCCAAAATCACAGCATTGGTTGGGCCATGTTCCCTCTGAAGCCTCTAGGGTAGGATCCTTCTTTACCTCTTCCAGTGTCTTGTAACCCCAAGAAGTCCTTGCTTGTGACAACATAACTCCAGTTGTCTCTGTCTTCACAAGTCCCTCTTTCCTCTGTATGTCTGTCTCTGTGTCCTTTCTTTTCTTATAAGGAAACCAGTCACAATAGATTAAGGGCCCACCCCACTCCAGTATGACCTCATCTTAATTGAATTACATCTACGAAGACCATATTTCCAAATAAGGTCACATTCACAGGTACCAGGGGTTAGGACTTCAATGTATCTTTTTGAGGGACACAATTCAACCCATATCACCCTGTATTCTAAATTTTATCCAAGAGACTATTGTCTAATTCTGGTAATAAGACAATAATATTTCTTACTTCTGGGTTAATAATTTTAGTATTATTGACTCATGCAAGGATAAATTAAATGATCAAACTTTCTAAAGGCTTAATTAGCTTCCTATGGCTACGATCTGTTCCAGAGGTTCTCCTGTGTATAAATAATATCCTAATTAAAATACACTGAGGATTTTCTAAGATTTGCTACTGATGTCACAAGTGTCTAGATCATGACAGAGGCAGTGAAGAAAGCTCCAACCCATTCAGCTCTCTGTCCATAGCAGCATTCAGAGAAGTACTTTATGAAGCTAAAGTTAGTTCGTAACTGAATCAACTCCCATAAATAGGAAGTGTATACATTTTAGCAAGTTATAAGTTATACACAGTGAAGTTATGATAGCAGTAACCAGCATCCTAATGAAATGCCTCAGCCACTGTTGGAAAATAATTGTTCCTCTAAAATGGTCTGGATTCCTTTTTTCTCCACTTTGTCTAAGTTCTATCGATCCTTTGCTCTATTTGAAATTGTTCTTTTCTCACCATAACCTTTACCACAATGTCACTTTCTTTTATTAGGACTCTTACTACTCTTTGTAAAAGTCACAAAGAAAGAGATCCTGAAATTGCAGTTTAAGTCCAATGATTTTTAGCAGTGCATTACCAATGAAGTATTGTTTCCTTAGGGCACAAAATCTAAATACTGTCTGTTTTCCTTACTACACAGCCTCACTTAGCACTAAAGCTCTGTATCATTAGGATGGATTCCAATATGTGTTTTCTGCATTGTTTTGAAGAGAGGAATATTTTTATATTTTTTTTTTGTGGAATATGATTCAAAAACTGGATCCATTTTCTCCCATTGAGCCCAAGCAGGCGTATCTTGACTCTTTCTATGTAACTCTATTAAACATCCTTCTCTGCAGCATTTTTGGGACTGTAATCCATTTTACATATAAACTATGTGGAGCATTTAGAAACAGTTCTGTGTGTTCTGTTTGTAGTGTCTGATTTTAATTATCTTTAGGTTAAATTTCCAATTCTTTCTTACAAATATTATGCTCGTTTAATATCTAAATGCCAGCTGTGACTTTATTTCTTACAAACAAAGAGAAAATGCAATCAACATAACCAAACCCATTTAGTTTATTTCTAATTTGAGGAGACCTTAAAATGTTTTCATATTCCAGTAAACATTGCCATGGGTATTTTAGGTATAAACACATTACATGTAAACAGAACGCTTTTGCCAAACAGATTGACTTGAAGAATATTCACTTGAATTATGACATAATGTAGCACTGTCAGGCAGATTTGAGGCATTGTTAAGACAGTCTTCTAAGAAATGTTATTTTGCTAGTTTTGACCACTGTGAACATCAGGATCTTCATTCCTAATAAATATATGTGGTTCCCTAATACAGGTCTTGACACAAACAGTGCTTTAACTAAGAACGTTGTGATGGTCAATCTACATTTTCTAATATTTACTGAGCACATACCATGGGTATATGCATTGTGCTAAGCATCTTATGCTACTTATCTCCTTTTATCTTCATGAAAGTTCTGTGTTATTATTTTTCTCCAATTTATAGGTATAGACACTGAATCTTAGAGAAATTAAATATCGGTTGGTGCAAAACAATTGCAGTTTTGCCAATGGCTTTTGCACCAACCTAATGTGTAATAACTAGCTTCTTGCTCTAATTTTAAATGCTATTATTCAGCTTACCAATAACTACTATTAGTAAACTATAAAGAATAGAATGGGCTCTGATATCAGACTTTCACTTCTCTTACCATTCTTAGTGAAATGACAAATTTAACTTGAGTAACCAAGTGAATAGTCCTGATCTATTTTAGCTCCTGTGTCTAATTTCTGTAGGCCAAAGAGCTCAAGACAATGGAGGAAAATGGTATTGTTTATGACATATAAAACGACAGCATAAAAACATTATTCTCTGGGATCTTTTCTAAACAGCATTTTCTTTGCAGCATTGTAAACTTAAAATTGATATTCTATTTCGGCAGGGCTATTACTCCTTAATAATAGCTATCAATATTTTGGATGTTACAGAAGGATTGTAGTTAAGTGGAAATTTAAATAGAGATGAAAAATATAAAATTTGGTCAATAGACTATTTATATAGTATCATCTGTGGATCAACAAAAGGGAAGAGAGAAAAAATAACTTTAAGTAGAATTAAATAATAAATCATTCACTTTTACAATAATACTGCTGTTGAAAATTCAGTTCCCAAATGCAATCATCTTCCCCAATGGCATTACCTTATTGAAATTTTAAAAAGCACATTTCCTAATATTAAAAGTGAATAAAAAAGTGAACCAAGTGTCATTTTTAATCATTCACCTGCTGAAATTTGAATTAATTGCCTCATATCCATTATTTTTAAACGTGTAATTTTATTTTTCTATCTACTGTTTTTAATTACATACTTAATATCCAAGTCTTTTAGTGTTTCTTTTTAAATATACTGATATATCTGAATGGCAGAGAAATTATGAAGATCTTCAGTAGTAACATAAGTGAGCAAAGGCGTGTAACTCAGAAAGGGATATATTTATTTCAAGAATATTTGTTACATACTTAGAATGTTAATAAAAAGTGAGGTGTGGCCGGGAGCAGTGACTCACACCTGTGATCTCAGCCTTTTAGGAGACC
This sequence comes from Homo sapiens, assembly GCF_000001405.40. Taxonomy (NCBI): domain Eukaryota; kingdom Metazoa; phylum Chordata; class Mammalia; order Primates; family Hominidae; genus Homo; species Homo sapiens. The sequence continues at coordinate 61,851,353 of NC_000004.12, forward strand.
AAGGCAGGAGGATCACTTGAGACCAGGAGTTTGAGACCTGCCTGGACAGCATAACGAGAGACCTTCTCTCTACAAAAAAATTAAAAATCAGCCAGGTGTGGTGGCACATACCTATAGTCCCAGCTACTTGAGAAGCTGAGGCAGGAGGATAGCTTGAGCCTGGGAAGTCAAAGCTGCAAGTGAGGCATGATCATGCCACTGCACGCCAGCATGAGCAACAGAGTGAGACCATGTCTCAAAAAAAAAAAAAAAAAAAAAAAAAATTGAGGCTTTTGATTCAATGCATTTGAGTGTCATTTTCAGGGGACAATTACTGACGAACAACTTTAGAAGATCATTTGTTAAGAATATCCCTCTAAAATGGTGTTTCCTAAAAGTAGATTTTAAAGTTTGTTATTTTCTTTTTGTGTGATGTCATGTAGAACAAACCTCCAGTGCCATGTGAAACTGTTTATGTGGTGTTGGCATAATATAATAGATCCAATGTGTTGACTTTTAAAAATCTTGAATAGCACTGTCAATATACGATAATAGACTTGTTTTGCCACACACCTAGAGAAAACACTGGCATAGTTTTTAGTTTGTCAGGAACTGATTATGTCATCACGCACGTGTTTACGGAGAAAAAAGTGTCATAGGTAAATGTATGGTTAGTGTCTAAGTAATTCCAAAGCAAATCAAAATTTAGATCTCAAAGTTTACATGTTGGGAATCTTCGAGGGTGGAAAATAGCAAAACTGAGGGTAGCCATATTACTGTGTTCCCTTTTACTTCTTAGAACCCTTTTTTAAAAGATAAAAAAGGAAGGTTTTTAAATGTTTTCTACACTCTGCTTAGTTAACACTGATATACATTGTTGCATTTAACTATTTAGTAAAATAAAAAACTGTTTCTGAAGTCCAAAATTGGTGCATTTAACTACTTATTTTATTTTAATTTTATTTTATTTTATTTTATTTTATTTTATTTTATTATTTTTTGAGACAGGGTCTCACTCCGTTGCCCAGGCTGGAGTGCCGTGGCACAGTCTCAACTTACTGCAACCTCTGCTTCCTGGGCTCAAGCCATTCTCGTGCCTCAGCCTCCCGAGTAACTGGGATTACAGGCATGTGCCACCATGCCTAGCTAATTTTTGTCTTTTTAGTAGAGACGGGGTTTCGCCATGTTGGCCAGGCTGGTCTCAAACTCCTGACCTCAAGCGATCCGCCCGCCTCGGCCTCCGAAAGTGTTGGGATTACAGGTGTGAGCCATAGCTCCTGGCCTATTTAATTATTTAGTACAACAAAAAAATTTGTTTTGGAGTGTGAATACCCCAGTTAGTTTATTTAGTCTGTTTAGTACATTTAGTTAGAATGTGTAAAATTAAATATGAAAAAGTCTTTATGAGTTAAGTCTAAAAGTGTGTAGAATTACTGAGTAGGTATTTCTCTCCATAGAGGAATCCTGAACTCATCATCTTTTATTTATTTATTTATTTATTTATTTATTTATTTATTGTTTTTTACATGCAGCTGTGTTTAGAGCATGTTACTTTTAAAAACTACGGTTAACTCCGCTCTTGCCATCACCAGCTACTCACTAGAAAGGAAACTTTAGTGCTATAGAGGTGTTCTTTTTGGTAGTTTATCCTTCTTTCCATGCTTGTTTTTTGTTGGTTGGTTGGTTGGTTTTGTTTTGTTTTTTGAGACAGAGTCTCGCTCTGTCACCCAGGCTGGAGTGCAGTGATGTGATCTCGGGTCGCTGCAACCACCCGCTCCTCTCCAGGTGTGGAGCCACTGCCCCTGGCTGAAAGTCCCTAACTGAATTCTGTGTTTGGTCTTTCTGGTGACCAGCCCCCATCCTGATGCCATTAGAGGCCCCACTTTGGGTCACCCCATTAGCATAAACTCAGCTGTGTTTGAAGGGGCTCCTTATGAATAACAAAAGACATTCCTATCGCTCATGAAATTCTAGGGTTTTAGGAGATCTATGCTAGGAACCAAGGCTGAAGAACAAATATGTTTTTTAGTATACCACAGTCTGACTTCTGGGGAGGGTGAAATATTACTCAGATTGTCCCTTCGCAAACCATCAGTAAGCTTTCACAGTTGTTTGCTGTTCCATCAGTTGCTAATTGTTTTATGTTTTACTACTTAATTTCACTTTTGGCTGCAGAGCTTTAGTATAATGGCTATGAAAATACTTGGAAAAATGTAAAAGCACCTTCTGGCTACAAAGTTTTATTATTACTTGAGTTATGTTGAAGAACATTTCCCCCGTAGAGACACTAAAGAAGCCTGCTTGTGTTTGTGTCCTCAGTCTCTTACCCAAGCAAGAGTGTTACCTGAAAGCTACCTTCTAAAGCTGTTTCTCTTTAACTACATGATTTGCATTCCTGAAGTTGATGATTACATATGGTTCCTAATATTCGAGATTTATTCTTACTTTCCAGGTTTCCCAGTCATAGTCCCAAAAGACAGGTTTCATTTGTAAAGCTCAACAAGGGAGAGCTAGATGTAAGAAGCATGAGGTGTAATGATTCCCTAACATAATTGTTTTTATTTATAGCCTCTTCTCTATAGCCTGAACTTAAGAGATCTATTACTTGGCATTGCAAGCATATCTATCTTTTCTGGTAATTATGGATGTTGATACATGACAGTCATGACAGTTATCATTTGCAGATATGGTTTAGTTTATTTTCTAAGAAATCATCTCTTTGTATGTTTATAAGCCAGAGCATCTGGGAATTTATTGCCTCTTTATTGGTAGGATTGTATATGTGTGTGAATATGCTTCTATTCATATTCATTAGAAGGAGTGGTGAAATTGTAATGGAGGGCATCCAGAGAATTTACTGGACAATACTTTCCTCCCTCGCAGAATTGAAGTAAAAGTAGGAAACAGAAGAAACCATCCAGCACCCATGTGTTGTTTTCTAGTAGGATTCTCTAATAAAAACACCAGCCTCCTTGGAGGAAGGGCTGATTCTAGGGCTAGGGGATGAAATATACAAAATAAATCTGGAGAATCTTGTAGCACCAAAAGTAAGGAAGTGCTCAAAAAATAATTTGATAGGAATATGTCAAAGTGAGACAGGAGCAGTCAAACTAAAAGATCTCTCATGAAAAAGCTGAAAAATTTATGCAAAAATTAAATAATGTAATATTGGATTATCTCCTAGAATATAAAAATAAAGTCATGAGTTCCTACTGATAAAAATAAATGCATGGGTGAGTAAATACGTGAAGGAGAAGAGACAAATCTCCTGTAGAAAAGAATTCCAAGTAATTGGTGCAGATACTTCTTCCTTAATGAGATGGAGCTTAATCCCTTCCTCTTCAGTGTGGGCTGCACTAACTTGCTACCAAAGAATACAGTGAGGAAAGAGGAAAAAAGTAAGTTTTCACTTGAGAAAAAAACTTAGAAGACACTACCTTTGTCAGATGATGAAGTTTAACATCATTAGTGATAAGTCAGATTAATAGTACTTACTTTTGATTATGATGTGATCAAAATGGTATTTCACCTCTGTGGTCATCCTTCCAAAAATCTATGATCTCAGTATAACCATGAGAAAAGGACATCAGACAAACACAGATTTAAGGACTTTCTGCCAAATAGCTGACCGGCACTCCTCAATGTCTTTAAACACACCCTAAGTGTAAGAAAGTATCACAGACCAGAGGAAGCTAAGAAGATATGACAACTGAATATAATGTAGTATCCAGGATGGGATTCTGGGACACAAAAAAAAGACATGAGGAAAAATTAATGAAATTTTAAAAACTATGGAGTTTAGTTAATGATAACTTACGAGTATTGGTTGATTAGTTGAGACAAGTGTACCACAGTAATGTAAGATATTAAAAATAGAAACTGAATGCTGGCTCTAGGGAAACCCCATGTGTTTGCAAGTTTTGTGTAATAAACTAGGAACTATCATCTTTCTAAACTGTAAAATAGAATGTTAATTACACAGAAAAAGAAATAAAATTAAGAGACCAAAATATCAGATTCATGTAGTTGACTTAGTTTTTATATTGAAGACTATTTTCTGGAAGCAGTCAAAGCTAGAAAAAACTCTGAAGAATATAAAGTACATGTTTGCTTGTTTTTCCACAGAAAAGAGTTCTGACTTAAAACTCATTGTTTAGTGAGTGGATTAACTATAGATAAATAATATTGATATATTGATAAGAAATACTGATAAACATTATTTTTTCACTTTTTAAAAATTAACTGGGATTATAGAAAATATCAAGAGATTTATGTTCTTTCTGATATCAGCATGCTGTTGACAGGCTTAAATATATGGAGACCTTAATAACTCACCTTAAACCATTCAAAATAGTTCCATGAGGATTATGAGCTATTAATGAAGAAAAAAAAATACTTGCCTAATAGTCACCTAAATAGTGACAGATGTAATTTCTTTCTTTTTTTTTCAGCCACTATTTATTGAATGCCTACCATTTTCTAGGCTATAGGGATATAAACCTAGTCCCGAATTTTGAGGATGTTACAGTAGAAGGCAATGGGTATATAATTAAAAGAGCAATTAAGTAAACTCTGTGAGGGTTCATTAAGAATATTGAAAAAGGAGTCATTAATCCCAGACAATAGGAGACAGTTGAAAAAGGCTTTACAGAACAGGTGAGTCCAGAACTTAAACATGTCTCACCATACCGAAAGAGTTGGGAAACCTTAGGTATAGTCAGAGGCATGAAGCAGTCTATCAAATTCAAGGAACTGGCCAAGGACAGTGGCTCACACCTGTAATCCTGGCACTTAGGGAGGTTGAGGTGGGAGGATCACTTGAATCCAGGACTTGGAGATCAGCCTGGGCAACATAGCCAGACTCCACCTCTACAAAAATAAATAATAAATAAATAAAAATTTCAAGGAACTGTTTATGTCTGTGAATTTTTCTTTATTTCTTTCTTTCCTTCTTTCTCTTATTTCCTTCCTTCCATTCTTTATTTCCCTTCCTTTCTCCCTCTCTCCCTCCCTCCCTTCTTCTTTCCTTCTTCCCTTCCTTCCTTCCTTCTTCCTTCCTTTCTTGGAACTTGGAACTGTGTCTGAGAATTCCTTCCTTCCTTCCTTCCTTCCTTCCTTTTTTCTTTTCTTTTCTTTTCTTTTCTTTTTTATTTTCTCCCTCACCTCCCCTCCTTCTTTCCTCCCCTTTCATTCCTCCCTCTTTTCCTCCCTCCCTCTCTCTCTCTGTCTCTCTCTCTCTTTCTCTCTCTCTTTTTTCTCTCTCTCTCTCTCTCTTTTTTTTTTTTTTTTTTTTTTTTTTTTTGCGATGGAGTCTTGCTCTTATCACCCAGGCTGGAGTGCAGTGGTGCAATCTCAGCTCACTGCAACCTCCACCTCCAGGGTTCAAGCAATTCTCCTGCTTCAGCCTCCTGAACAGGCATGTGCCACTACATATGGCTGGTTTTTGTATTTTTAGTAGAGATGAGTTTCACCATGTTGGCCAGATTGGTCTCGAACTCCTGACCTCAGGTGATCCACCTTTGCCTCCCAAAATGCTGGGATTACAGGCGTGAGCCAGGGAGCTCAGCCTGCCTGCCTTCCTCCCTCCCTCCCGCCCTCCCTCCTCCCTCTTTCTTCTTCTCTTTCTTTCTTTCTTTCTTTCTTTCTTTCTTTCTTTCTTTCTTTCTTTCTTTCTTTCTTTCTTTCCTTCCTCCCTTCCTTCCTTCCTTCCCTTTCTCCCTCCCTCCCTCTCTCTCTCTTTCTTTCTTTCTTTTTTTCTTTCTTTCTTTCTTTTCTTCTTTTTTCAGACAGGTGTCTTGCTATCTTACCCAGGCTGGTCTCAAACTCCAGGCCTCAAACAATTCTCCCACCACAGCCTCCAAAAGTACTGGGCTTGCAGGCATGAGCCACTGTGTCTGGCCCCTGCTAATTTCTTAATCATGCTGGGAGTAGAGTATCTACAGGAGAAAAGGTTCTATAAGGGAAAGCCTAGAAATACAGGCATAGTTCAGGTTGTAATGGGCTTTGTACATTAGGCTAGAGTAAGTAAGGAAATAAGATTATCAAATCATTCTAACAGCTTTTTATCAAGGAAAATGAGGTTGGCTTCCCTATCAGAATGTCTTGGGGGGATTTTAATTTTCTGCCAACCAACCACTGCTAGTTTTCTCCACTATGATGAAACAGTGTACTTAAGAGTGGTGTCAAAACAGCCTCGAAGAGTGATGGGTCGGAAAATTGAGAAGAACTTTGGAGGGGGTCTAAGATTATAGATTATACACAGCCGAGAAAGGTGTTGGACAACTGTTGTGTTTTTTTTTTCTTTTCTGTCTTTTTCCTTCCTTCCTTCCTTCTTTCTTCCTTTCTTTCTTCCTTCCTTTCTTCCTTCCTTTCTTCCTTTCCTCCTTTCTTTCTTCTCTCTTTCTTTCTTTTTTTGCAGTCAAAATCTTGCTGTGTCACCCAAGCTGAAGTGCAGTGGTGCATTCATAGTTCACCAGGCTCAAGCAATCCTCTCGCCTCAGCCTCCCAATTAGCTGGGACTGCAGGCAAGCACCACCATTCCCACCTAATAGCACAATTGTTTTAATAGTCCATTTGGGAGGGTTACATTAAGGTTTAGTAATAATAATAGGGACAAAGGCAGATGTGAGAAACTTTAATGAGGCAGAATCATTGGGAACTTGATCATTGGTAGGTGGTAAGTGTAAAGAAAAGGTCACAAATGACTTCTCATTATTGAAAGGAACAGAGGCCGCTTTGTGGGAAAAGATAATGTATTAAGTTTTTGCATATTGAGTTTGAGATGCCTACAGGATACAAAGGTAACATAACCAATGGCAGTAAATTAAATGATCTAGAGAGAACTTGGCAAACTTTTACTATAAAATACCAGATAGTAAATATTTCAGTCTTTGCAGGCTATGTATGGCCTCCCTCACTGCTCAGTTCTGTGGTTGTAGCCTAGAAGCATCCATAGATAATATATAAACAAATGAGCATGGCTGTGTGCCATTAAAACTTTATGAATATTGGCCAGGCATGGTGGCTCACGCCTGTAATCCCAGCACTTTGGGAGGCCGAGGCAGGTGGATCACCAGGTCAGGAGTTCAAGACCAGCCTGACCAACATGGTGAAACCCCACCTCTACTAAAAATACAAAAACTAGTCTGGCGTAGTGGCGCGTGCATGCAATCCCAGCTACTCAGGAGGCTAAAGCAGGAGAATCGCTTGAACCTGGGAGGCAGAGGTTTCAGTGAGCTGAGATTGTGCCACTGCACTCCATCCTGGGACACAGATGGAGACTAGGTCTCAAAAACAAAAAACAAAAACTTTATGAATATTAAAATTTAAATGTCATATAATTTTCCCATAATGAAGTATTTGTCTTCTTTTGTTTGTTTGTTTGTTTTTCGAACTATTACAAAATGGAAAAAACATTCCCTACTTGTGGGCTGAACAAAAACAGAGAGTGGGTCAGATTTGGCCCTTCGTTCTTAATTTGCTGACCCTTGATCTAGAAAGAAGTCGGACTTAGAAATGGGAGTTTTCTGTTATTTACATATAGAGAAAAGTCTAAAGCTGTGGCTGTGAATGCAATCACCTCTTTGGATTGATGGGGATAAAAGGATGGCTAGGATATGGCTAAGAGACAATTAAAATTTAAAAGATCGGAGTCAATAAAAGAGATTTGGGAGGAAAAACAAATCCTGAATTGTGATGAATAAGCCTATAGTATTGTTTAATACATACATTAACTTTATAAAATATATGTGTATATACTATCCTGTGAACACTTCTGGACTCATCCCAGCCTTCTTTGTATTTTTCAGTGCTTGGTGTAATTGTACCACCTGAAATAGAGCTGACATTTGAAAAGTCTGTTTAAGGGATGGATGGTTAGCAAAATGTTAAATACCTCCTTATTTAGAGGTGTTTCATTTAAAACCTGAAGTTGTGGGCTGTTTTGTTTTTTCTACATATTAATTTAGATAAGCAGAAAGGAAGCTACATGAAATACTTAGAATCTTTGAAGTAATTTGCAAATCAAGTAATAATAAAAATATCTGTAGTGACAATATGGCAAATTAGTGACTAAATTTAATTTTGTTATACTCCAGTCATGATGATGTTAAATGTTTTTGTTTTCATAATTCTGTGATGTTGAAAAATGATTAGTTAAAAACACATTAGTTAATAAAGCTCCTAATCATTAGGTAGGTTTTAGTGAACCAAACTTCACATTGACTCCATACCATTTTTTCTCTTTACAATGTATAAGTTGTCCAAAAGCATGACATAGAAACAACAGTAACCTCATGAAGTTCTGTAAGATACAGAAGAAATTTAAATGTAAATAAGTTTTAAAACACTATTAGAACATATTTATAACTTAGTTCAGATTAAATGCTGAGGAATAACTGAGACTATGTGTCTGCGATAATGATCTATTTCTGTGGTGTGTAGTACTAAAGTGACATTATTCTTACTAAAAAGGGAAGCACTCAACAGAGCTGGTTTTCTCATCAGGAAAACCAATTTTAAGGGAAACAAGTCAGTGCCTAGTTATTTATGTTAAAGAAATAAATGACATTGTCTTTTTCCAGTGCTTGTCTGAGTTAGAGAAATATGGTCTTAACTGCTTTTAGGTTGACAAAATAACAACACTATACTAAAAGTGAAGAAATATTTCTCAAAATAAAAATCCTTATACTCACCTGAAAAAAATAGAGATAAAGGTGTATATCAATGTTTACTGTTTTGAAACAAAGCTTCTGCTGCAGGGCATGCTTCAGAGTTCCTTGTAGACAGTCTTGATTCAGTAGGTTTTGGTTGGCTGGGCATTGGTAAAACCTTCCCAGGTGCTTTCCAACATGTAGCTTAAAGTTAAGAAACACAGTTGTGTTCTGTGGGTGTGCATGTGTGTATGTTTTTTTGGTTCTTTCTCTGCAACCAACTTAGGACAACTGAACTGAACAACAGTCCCATTTCTCCATCCCCTCACGTCTTTTTTGGTCTTTTTCTTTAACAATATACAGATAAACGTAAGCCCTTTTACTTAACTAGCATTGTCCAAAATCAAATTATCAGAGTTGGAAAGAAATGTGGAATTATTTGCGTTACTGATCGGAAAAATGAACAAATTTGCCCACAAGCAGAGATCGGGTAATAGCCACTGCCAACTAATCCTTTTATCTCTCTGGATCGGTGTGGAGTAGAAGACTTTTATGATGCTGGCATCAATTCAGTGTGCCGATGCCAATATCTGGGCCCCTTTGTTGTTGCCAGCATTATACAATTCTTATCCACTCTACTCCATCTGCGGTCCTTCCCCAGAGTGTCATGGCTAAGTTGTGAGTGAAATGCCTCATTCCAGTGCAGTCATATCTCAGAACCCTTTCATATTATTAATAGCTGCCATGAGAGTGCCTGTCATATGGCAATTACTCTTCTTTGTGTTTTATACTTTCTCATTTAATGATCATCATAATATTATTAGATAGTTATTATTATCATCATCCTCTTACCACAAATAACAAAACTGAGCCTTAGCAAGTGCAAAGTAACATAACAGCAATAGAAAGTGATAGAGCCAGGATAGGAACCATGTTCAGTCTGATCGTTAAGTCTTTGCATTTTTTCCTAAGCCACACTGCCAAATATTACGGCATTAAATCACTCATCATTTTGTGTCAAACTGAAGATTTCTACATAGTAAATATTGAAATCTATTTCCAAGTATAGTGAAGATGAAAACACAATTTTGAAATAGGATAGGTTCAGCAGAGCAATTGTGTCCACTTGTTTATTAAGAAAACCAATTTCAGGATTACCAGGGAAGGACCAGGGAAAGCTGAGAGTAGGGGTGTATATCATGATTGTTAAAAGCAAGGATTTGGAAATAAGGCATATATTTGAATTTATATCCAGTGCTTATAAGATGTGAATTTAGGCATCTGGGAAATGGGGATAATAATTGCACAGGGTGTTGTGAAGATTAAATCAAATAACCTGGGTTATTGATTTATGGTAATACCTGCTAAATGTTTAGTGCTCATAAATGTTTGTTTGGAAAAGGGTTCTGAAAGACTGGGTTGGAGGGTTGCATTGAATCAAGGAATTAATGGGTTGGAAAATTAAACCAAGAAATAGTATGCTTGATTGAGCAACAATCTTGACAAAGTCAAGCCAAAATAGATACAAAGATGATACCTTTTGGATTAGGTGGGGTTGTGATTATCTGTTGGTGCACAATTACCTCAAATTTGGTGGCATAAACTATCATTTTATACTGCTCATGACAAGAATTCATGAGCAGAATAAAATGAATTCTTGTCATGAGCAGAATAAAATGATAGTTATTGATAGTTTATGTTACCAAATTCATCTAGGGCATAGTAGGATTGGTTTGTTTTTACTCCACCATGTCTACGGACACAGCCAAGAAGATTTGAAGATTGGAGGTGACTTCGGTGAATGGAATGGAGTCATCCAGGAGGTCCTACACGTACATGTCTACTGCTGGGCTTGATTACTTGAAGGCCCGCCCTACCTGGAACTGACAAGCGGAACACCTGCATGTGGCTTTTCCACGTAGGATTGACTTCACAACACAGCTTCTACTTTCTGAAAGGGAGTGTCCCAGATGAAAGCTTCTAAACAGCAAATGTTCCAAGAAATAGTAGAAGCTACACAGCCTTTTTTACATAGCTTTGCAAGTCATATAGCATCACTTTGGGAACATTCTACTGGCACAAGGCTGTCATTAAGGACAGACAAGATTGTAGAAGAAAGGAATTAGACTATCCCTTTTCATAGGAAAATGGTAAGGTAGAGTGATAAAACTTCTTTGTTTCCCCATGACTTAGGGGGTTACCATGACATGGGTCTTTCCATTTTAAAACTAGGAAAGTCCCAGGAAAACTAGAACAAGCTGGTTTCTCTATGGCAAGGTCACATTCAAAAGAACATTGGGAAGAAGAGATTTTTGCTCAAAATACAGTCTGCACCCCAGATGAGAACTAAGGGACAGAGCTGTAACTATGACCAGCCAGAGTCTAGATCAGCCAAATCACAGGCATTGGAACGATGTTTCAGCCGGCATGGCCCACTTTTTAACTCGAGTTGTTTGTTGGCATTGTCAACTGTAGTTCAGGAGAGAAGGAGATGGGACCGGGATATTATGCTGAATAATCTAACCCTGAGGTAAAACAAAGCCTGTAGTTCTCCTCTCACACATGTTCCTTGATATTATGTCCCACCACCACCAGCTTTGGGAATTAGGGCTCCTCTGCTCCAAGTCTCTGTAACCAATAATGGCCTTCCCCTCCTTAGTATTGCAATTCAGAGTGTGATCCCTGGACGAGCAGCATTAGCATCCTCTGGGAACTTGTTAGAACTCCAGATTCATGGTCTCTATCCTAGACTGCTGAATTCAGAATCATTGGGAGGTGACCTAGGACTCTTTTGAAACAAGATCTCCCAGTGATTCTGATGCTTGCGAAAGTTTGAGAAGCACTGCTCAACACTACCACTAGATCAGTGGTTCTCATCCTGGGAGTATATCCAAACTAAATGTTTGGGATTTTGAGGGGGTGGGGGTGAAGGGAGCTTATTTTAAATCAGACTAAATTCAGCTTCCTAAGTCCTGTCACCACAGTGATTCTAATTGAGTAGGCTGGGGAAACAGTGGTATAGGTGAAAAACATGACTTGGATTTCAGAAACCAGGGTTGGCAGTCCAGCTGAGCCACTCCAATACTGTGTGACTCCTCTCTGAGAAGTGCTAGTGGAACCAGATGAACAATGTGATCCTTTTTCATTCCGACATTCCACAATGTGCATGATACCCTGAAGTGACTAACATAGATCGACACATTATTGACAAGGAAACGTGCTTGTGTACATCATGTCTGGGCATCATTCTTTTTTTTTTTTTTTTTTTTTTTTGAGACGGAGTCTCGCTCTGTCGCCCAGGCTGGAGTGCAGTGGCGGGATCTCGGCTCACTGCAAGCTCCGCCTCCCGGGTTCACGCCATTCTCCTGCCTCAGCCTCCCAAGTAGCTGGGACTACAGGCGCCCGCCACTACGCCCGGCTAATTTTTTGTATTTTTAGTAGAGACGAGGTTTCACCGTTTTAGCCGGGATGGTCTCGATCTCCTGACCTCGTGATCCGCCCGCCTCGGCCTCCCAAAGTGCTGGGATTACAGGCGTGAGCCACCGTGCCCGGCCTGGGCATCATTCTTTCTCACTCATTCCATTCCACCTCTTTTAGGAAAGTGGACATTTATCTTGGTAGCAATATGCAAACAGACACACATATATGTACATATGAAATAGCTTTCTTTTCAACCATGATTTAATAGAAGGCTTACAAATATATCATATTAGTTGTGGGAGGAATTTAGGCATTTTGTAACTTTAAGGTAATAACTTTTTATTGGCAACAAAAGGCACAAAAATCACTGCCAGCATGAGGGCAGTTTGAAGAGATTAAAATCATACAAGCATTGTTTCATAAACATCCATTTTTGTCTGGCATGGTCTTAGCAAAAGCTGATTTTTCAAAGGATATTTTAAGTATGCTCAATCAGGTGTTTGGAATGAAATCCTGTACTGCAGTTCTCCCTATGAAGGTTTGGTCAGAATTGATTATTTCTAATGTCTAGTTCTGCAAGAGAATAAAAGGAAAATGCTCTCAAACATTTATAACATATATTTTACATGACAGTAGCTAGGTTGTCATCAAAATCTTGAAAATAACCCGGACATATTTAAGTGGAAGATACTGTACTCAATGCTGCTATAGGAACAAACTGTACTATGTACCTTATCTCTGGAAATTCAGTTACTGAGTAAAACTTCTTAGTTTTAAAAGCTGGTAATAATCTATTTAGATCTTCTTTTTAAATCAGATTATTCATTAATGATTGCCATATATTAGTTCTCATATATCAGTGAATTGGCAAGAAATATTGAAAATTGGCCCATAAAAATAACTTCTCTAAGTCAATAACAATTTCCCCATTGGATTTAAGCTCCAGATCAGAGCATGAAGGCAAACTAACTAGTTTTGTCTGCTGTGCAAAAGGACTTGCATGACCCTCAGTAAATATCTGAATGTCAAACATAAAACCTTGGCTCTTCCCTGTCTTGCATTTGATTCTGAACATTTCAAAGCCCCAGAGTATCAGATACTTAACGTTAATTGAGCTCCACAAAAAGCCAAGCTTTTAGATGTTATTGTGATAGTCACTTACTGCCAAAAACACATGCAGAAACTATAGTAATGCTGGCTTTAGAAGGACAGAATTTTTGTCTATGATTCCTTTTATTTGTGCTTAGAATAACTTTATACTGCTGAGACAACAAATAAAGCTAAGGTCACCAGCAGAAACTGGAGCAAATCATGGAATTTTCAACGACGATTCTTTTGAATCTGGTGCTGAACCAACTGAGAAAAAATAGTGTTAAATTTACTGAGCTGAGGGAGTTCTCTGAATAGAGCCCCAAAGACACATAAAAATAACAGTTTTGGAAAACAGGTAAAATTGTGAAGCTGTGGAACTAAAATGAAATCAACGGAAGCATAGAATGTAATGTTTCACTTAATTGTATTTTGTTGTTGTTTTGTTTGAGGGACATACACTATCACGTTTGTTACTTTGACTCAAATGGCCAAATATGCAGAACCTAGTGATTTTTAGCCTGTTAGGGTAAACTATAGAAGCTCTTCTTTATGCATGAATTTTTGTAATCTGCATGTCACTCGTCTCTCGCAGAATGAGATTGGTTTACACTAAGCATAAACTACGAAATAAAATTTTGGTCTTAAGAATAAAATGAGTATTTTCATAATCAATTTTCTGTGGACAAAAGAATTCTCTAAGATATGTTTGGCTGACTAATAACTGTATCTGTAAGCAGTTAGCTATTGCCCACCCCCATATACAAGCTACTTTAAAAAAATTCTCTAAATCTAAGTAGTTTTGAAAGAAATTATTAGGCTTTTACCTTTCCACCAATTTGAAGCTTGTGGGGGTGTCATCTGGGCAGGATTTTTTTAAAATAGCATATATAACTGGAAGGCTGTGGTTTGACATTTCAGTATACTAAAATAACCAGCTAGATTGTAAATAAGCACATTCAATAAGGAGGATTTCAAGACCAATCATAAAACAACTTTATTCTGACTGTACCATATGCTTTCGTTGCCCATATAGCTCCTCCTTTGCACCACAAACATTACTTTTAGTCCTAAAATAATCCAGTTATTGAAATTCAGTGTACAGTTCCAGATGACAGTAAAATTTCTGAACTTCATTTAAAGTAAGTTTCTTCACAATGTTCTCCTCTTTTCAGTTCTTGCCATGCAAAACAGGTGTTTAGTGGGTTTCTTCTCAGTTTCTCCACCTGATATTTCCACTTGACTCTTGTTTGCTAGACTACCTCTGACTCCTACATGGTTAAGATGGAAGGAAGAGGGAGAGGGGAGCATAAGTTTGGGCAGGAAAGGTCTTAAGTGACTGTCTTTGACAGAATCCAGTTTCAGTTTTTTCATAGGAAGATGGATAAAGATGAATCTCTCACTTAGGCAGATTTTTGAAAGCTGAATGGTAGTATAAGTGATTTCATGGGATTTTTGTATTACCCCATTGAGGAAAGTTTGACAGTGAAAATGAATGATGCATGTTCTTCCATCTGGATGACCATTTACATTTCCTTTTTGTGCTCCTGGGAATCCAGTTGTATACCTTTTCTGTGGATATCACAGACACCTGCAGAAAGTTGCTTTGGGCTTCCAGGCAAGCACCATCCCCTGCCCCTGAGAAATTTATGCAGCCTTCCTTTCACTTTTGTAGTGGAATTGTAGCTAGCTCCCTATGCATCTTAGTCTCTGTTTCTCTGCTTTGTCCTCAGACTCTACGGCAAACGTACTAAGCTTCCATGAATCCCTTATCATTACGTTTAAATGAGGGGAAAGCATCAAATCAACCTCTGTTCTGAGTATGGCAGAGGGACAAGAGAGGAGAGAAGAGATGCCATAGCCCTTCACTAACGTAAATAGACCTGCTAGTGGCATGAGATACTCTGCTCATTGGAGTGTGTTCTTCATGTTCACGCACAAGTTTTCAGGAGCATAGTGAACTTCCTCAGGATCATCTGCAGTCTTTAATGACATCAGGTTTGTGTGCTCTGCAGCTGGTCAGCCTGTCCTCGGCATTATATTCTCTGTGTTAGGAAAAGCTCAGGTGCTATTAGTACTGGCCCAGAGCTACTTCATTCTCTTGCTTCCTGTCAGTGCTGAGGCTGGAAAACACTCAGATTTGAAAATGCCTCTAAGCTTTCCAATATGCCTTCTGAAACTTCATAATGAAGGAACTCCTCATACAGCCAGTGCTTTCTCTGAAGACTCTTCTGGCATTAACTAAAATGCGTCTCTCCCCTGAGAATACCCTCAGGCCCTCTTTGAGGGAAGGTTATTTTCTCATGTCTGTTGTAATTCTATTTTAAGGATTAAAGGTAGTGTCACATCAATCAATCCTCCATGTGCTTGTTGAATAACAAAATTAAACAAGACAAAGAAAAGTCCCTCTGCTTTTTTGAAGATCCTGGTATTGAGATGCACTCCCAGAGAGTCAACAATAAGCACAGTAAAGATTATGCACAGACCGTATAAGGATTATATTGACTTTGTGGGGAGCTTCTTTTAGTTACAACATGGAAAATTCATATGTACTTGGCCTTCAAATCCTGTTTTTTAGGTAAAGAATTTTAATAGTAGAAAGAATTATGATACCAGCCCATATCTATTTTTTTAGCAGATATCCTAAGGAATTTTGCATTATTACAATTAGATTAAGCCAAACAAAAATTGGCATCTAAACATAAGTGATTTAAGATTGTAGGAGAGGCAGGCACAGTGGCTCATGCCTGTAACCACAGCACTTTGGGAGGCCAAGGTGGGCAGATCACTTGAGCTCAGGAGTTTGAGACTAGCCTGAGCAACATGGGGAAACCCTGTCTCTACAAAAAATGCAAAAATTAGCCAGGAGTGGTGGGCTCATGCCTGTAGTCCCAGCTACTTAGGAATCTGAGGCGGGAGGATCACTTGAACCTGGGAGGTGGAGGTTGCAGCGCACCGAGATGGTGCCGCTGCACTCCAGCCTGGGCGACAGAGGGAGACCCTGTCTCAAAAAAATATATATGCATATATATATATATATATATATATAATTGTAGGAGAGAAAAGATTTCTTACCCATCTTAAGATTTATGACTGAGATCCCTATAACAAAAGACAAATTAACAAGAGAAAAGCGTATAGATTTATTTAATATGTTTTATGTGACACAAGAGCCTTCAGAAATGAAGGCCAAAAGAAGCAGAGAAATTTGTCTGTTTTATGCTAAGTCTGATGAAGTCTGTGTTGTGGAGAAACATAACTAGACAAAAGGTGACAATAATCTAGAGGCCACTTAAGCCATCCTCAAACTGTGCATATTTATAATCCTTTCATCTTCTTGTTAATAGATAGCATAGATGTATCACACTTTTTATAAATATGTGGATTTTTTTATATTATTTTCTTGAGATATAGTCCCCTAAGTGGGTGTATAAAGAGAAGGGCTTATAATGGGGTTTTCTTTCATTCTCTACATGTTGTCACTTTATAGCTTTGATTTTCTTTGCTTGAAGCTTTATAATATCCTGTTTTAATATTAGTTATAGAAAATTCAGCTTAGCTAGTGGTTTACATATGCACAAAAAATTTAAATTGAATCGTATACTTTCTTGTGGAGATATATATATGTGTGTGTTTTCTTTTGTTTGACAATACATAAAATATGTCTTTGGTTCTTAAATATCCTAGAAATATCAAAGTAATTCAGTGATTGAGACTGAATTGAAAGTAATTCAGTGATTGAGACTTTTAACAAGTTTCTGTAGATTTTTTTTTCCATCCATTTCTCTCCCCATAGATCTCAGGGAATCTCAAATTTCAGCTCTGATTCTTTTAAAAATCAAGCGATTTCTATCTCTTTTTCTTCTCTCTTTCTCTCATTATTAGCATCATCTATCCACACATCTAACTCTAGCACCTTTGACTAGGTAGCCACCAGATCTACATATCTAGCCCAACCATTTTCTGAGCCCCAGTTATGGATTTCCAAATCCCTGCTTGACATCTCTGTCTCTATAACAAACGAATGAAAGGAATGCACTTTACAATGCACACTACCTTTTTCACTACCACTGTCACTGTGACCCTACTTGCCTTTAACTTTACTGTTGATTATAATAACAACCTCTAAACTTGCCTTTCTTTTTTTTCTCTTCTATATTCTCCAGCTAAATTAATCTTTCTAAAACAGAACTCCATTCTATGTTCACAAACCTCAACAGAAGCTTTAATATCTAATTTGGTAGACAATTAAAGTCCTTGGCAAGGCATTTCCAGCTGCTGAAAAGTTTCACCTCAGCCTATCTTTGCAGCTTTGCCTGCCTTGGTTCCTATGCTCACTCACTTTCAGACTCTGCTTTTGCAACCCTAATTAAACTGCTTTCCAGCGATGCTATTAATTGTCCAAGTACTACCACAATGGACCCAAGATCTACCTCAAAGGTAATTTTTTTTTTCTTGAGACAGGGTCTCTATATGCCACCAGGCTAGAGTATAGCAGCTCACTGCAGCCTCGTGATGGCAGCTCACTGCAGCCTCGACCTACTGGGCTCAAGTGATCCTCCCACTTCAGCATCCTGAGTAGCTGGGACTACAGGCACACACCACCATGCCCAGCTAATTTTTTTGTACTTTTTATACAAAGGGGTTTTACCATGTTGCCCAGGCTGGTCTTGAACTCCTGGGCTCAAGCCACCTTCCTACCTTGGTCTCCCAATGTGCTGGGTTTATAGGTGTGAGCCACCATGCCCAGCCCATTTTTTTTTTAACATGCCAAACATTTACCAAGTTCCTATTATGTAGCAAGTACTGAGAGATTTAAAAATGAGGCCGGGCGCGGTGGCTCACGCCTGTAATCCCAGCACTTTGGGAGGCCGAGGCGGGTGGATCATGAGGTCAGGAGATCGAGACCATCCTGGCTAACAAGGTGAAACCCCATCTCTACTAAAAATACAAAAAATTAGCCGGGCGCGGTGGCGGGCGCCTGTAGTCCCAGCTACTCGGGAGGCTGAGGCAGGAGAATGGCGTGAACCCGGGAAGCGGAGCTTGCAGTGAGCCGAGATTGCGCCACTGCAGTCCGCAGTCTGGCCTGGGCGACAGAGCGAGACTCCGTCTCAAAAAAAGAAAAACAAAACAAAACAAAAATGAGACTGGGCGTGGTGGCTCACACTTTGGGATTCCAAAAGTGAGGAATAATCCCAACACTTTGGGAGGCTGAGGCGGGCGGATCACCTGAGGTCGGGAGTTCGAGACCAGCCTGACCAACATGGAGAAACCCCGTCTCTACTAAAAATACAAAATTGGCCAGGCGTGGTGGCACATACCTGTAATCCCAGCTACTCCGGAAGCTGAGACAGGAGGATCGCTTGAATCCAGGAGGCGGAGGTTGTGGTGAGCTGAGATCATGCCATTGCACTCCAGCCTGGGCAACAAGAGCAAAACTTTGTTAAAAAAAAAAAAAAAAAAAAAAAAAGAGAGAGAGAGAGAAAGAGAGAGAGAGAGGGAGAGAGAGAGAGAGAGAGAAAGGAAAGAAAGAAGAAAGAAAGAAAGAGAAAGAAAAGAAAGGAAAAAACGTAATTCCTATTGTTGGGACTCAATGTGGTGTTGAGATTTAAAACAGCACAGTTCTATAATTGTTGACAGTTTAGTAAAACTTGAGTTGCTTAGATGATGGAAGGTGCCCACCAGACACAAGAAGTTAATGGCAACTCAATGAGGGAAAGAATAGTAGTCTTTTCAACAAATGGTTTTAAGACAACTGGATATCCACATACCAGTGAATGGGGTTGGACCTATCCCTTATACTATACACAAAAATTAACTCAAAATGTATCATAAATCTAAGCATAAGAGCTAAAACTATAAAAGTGTTAAAAATAAATAAATCTTCTTGACCTTGGATTAAGCAATGGTTTCTTACATTTAACACCAACAGCACAAGCAACAACAGAAAAATAAGATAAATTGGACTCCATCAAAATGAAAAACAATTGTGCTTAAAAGACACTGGCACGAAATGAAAGGACAATCCACAGAACTGGAGAAATGATTTGCAAATTGTATATCTGATAAGGGGCTTATATTCAAAATATATAAAGAATCCTTACAACTCCATAATAAAAGGACAAATACCAGATTAAAAAGTGAGCAAATAGACATTTCACCAAAGAAGATATACAAATGGCCAATAAGCACTTATAAAGGTGGTCAACATTATTAGCCATCAGGAAAATACAATCAAAACTATAATGCAATACCACTTCAAAATCACTAGATGACCTGTAATCAAAATGACAGATAACTTTAAGTGCTGGCCAGAATATGGAGAAATTGGAACACTTACACACAGCTGGTGGGATTATTAAATGGTGTAGCTGGTTTGGAAAACAATCTGATAGTTCCTCAAGTGGTTAAACATAGCATTACCAGATGACCCAGCAATTCCACTTCTGGGTATATACCCAAGAGAAATTAAAGCATATGTCTACATTAAAAAAGTGTATACGGGGGCCGGGCACGGTGGCTCATGCCTGTAATCCCAGCTCTTTGGGAGGCCAAGGCGGGCGAATCACGAGGTCAGGAGATCGAGACCATCCTGGCTAACACGGTGAAACCCCGTCTCTACTAAAAATACAAAAAATTAGCCAGGTGTGGTGGCGAGTGCCTGCAGTCCCAACTACTCAGCAGGCTAAGGCAGGAGAATGGCGTGAACCCAGGAGGCGGAGCTTGCAGTGAGCAGAGATCGCACCACTGCACTCCAGCCTGGGTGACAGAGTGAGACTCCATCTCAGAAAAAAAAAAAAAAGTGTACACAAATGCTCATAGCAGAATGTTAGTTATAATAGATAAAATGTAGAAATCATCTGAATTTCCAGCAACAGATTAATGGAATATTATTGTGTAATCAAAAGGAATGAGGTACTGATTCATGGAATCTCATTGTGCGATCAAAAGGAATGAGGTACTGATTCAAGCTATAACAAGGATGAACCTTGAAAACAACCTGCTAAGTGACATAAGCCGGTCACTAAAGGCACATACTGTATGATTCCATTTATATGAAATCTCTAGACCAGGAAAATCCATAAAGATAGAAAGTAGATTAGTTATTTTCTAGAGCTGGGAGGTTGGGGAACATGGGGAATGACTACTATTGAGCAAGGGCTTTCTTTTTCAGGTTATAAAATGTTCTAAAATTTGTTATACGCACAATTCTATGAATATACTAAAAATCATTGAATTGTACACTTAGGTAGCTGAATTATATGGTATGTGAATTATATCTCAATAAAGCTGTTATTTTAAAAAAGCTAAGAAAAAAAGATGCAGAGAGGCATATTCTTTTCTCTTGCTATCCCCTCTACCTGAAATGATCTTCCCTGTTTATCTGTGTGGCTCACTGCCTCATTGCCTTCAAATGTTACCTTTCAGTTACGCCTGCCTTGATAACTAATCTAAATGTCAAAAATTTCTTCTTTATACTTACTACTAACATCCAAATATTTGACTTATTTTCATATTTATTGTCTACTTCCTTATGAAGTGAGGAATTTTTGTTTGTTTGATTGCTTGCTATAATTCTAGCTTCTAGAAAATGCCTGGCACACAGTGTATGTTTAGCGAAAATTTGAAGTGACAGATAACACTTAGGTCTCAAGCAGCCTGGTTTGTATGGACACCGCAAGTGGTTCTTAGTGGCTGGATCATAGTGTGTGTCGGATGTGATGATAAATAAGTCAGTAAAGGAAGGGAAAAGCCCTGTGACTGAAAATCTTACATAGACATATTAAGTACAGACAAATAGAGAATGATGGAAGGAAAGTGAGCAGAGAAATAAAGTGATAGTCATGTTGCATTAGTGGCAGCAGAGAATAATGCCTGCCAACATACCATTTCTTCCTTTCGCCCTTCCTTCTTTCCTTTTTTTTTTTTTTTCTTAATAAGAAGTGGTCTCTGAAATTGTTTGTTTTTTTATTCTCCCACCCTTTCCATAATAGTTTATGTTATCAAGTAGTTAGAAGTATTGGTGACACTAAAGATATATAATTTGTAGGATTAATTTATAATTGTTTATTATTTTATTTTAGACTATTCTCCCCCAGGTTTCATTCAGACATTTACTTATTCAGTTTCAAGTCAGTTTCTAGTCTCAATGTTAACCTTGTTTAAAAAAAAAAAAAGAAAGAAGAAATTTAGACAAGATAAAACACTTTGCCATCCAGAAAAAAATATATATGTCTTCCCAACTTTCCTTGACAATTAGCAGCATTTAGATTTTCATGCCAAAATCAGGGTAACAAGCAATGTCCATGGGCAAGGTGAGAAAAGTAACAATTTTTTATTTGGTTTGAAATTATTATTTAGGCCAAAAATTGTGAACCTAAACTGATTGGTGTTTATTTTACCCTTTAAGGGAAAAACCTATTTATCGACCAATAAAGAAATTACAATGCTTTCTTTCAGTTCTTTGTTTAAAATGCACTGTAGTGCCGTATGATTTGCATGTTAATGATGTGAATCTAACTGTATAATAAATAGGAAGAGGAAGATAAAACTTGTTTCAAAGAGCAGGCTTGTTTTACTTGATTTCCTCCTTAAATGTTTAACTTGAGAACGCATCTATGAGGTATGCTTATGTGAAAGCTAATAATTAGTGATCATCAAATGGAGTGTCAATGAAGCCAGAAGTTTCATTCTCAGATTTCTCAGTCAGAAAGCAACTGGACACTGGAGGCATTGAACATCGTTGAAAGGCAGATATAATGTAGTAAACAAGAGGCACACAGAATTTCTTCTGTGCAGTATAATCTCTGAAATCAAAAAGCATGAAGCCTCCACAATTTCTGTTTCTCTCTCCAACTTCCCTCCCTAACCTAATTCAAGCGTGCAATTGAGATGCTTTGTATTTTGTGCTTTGCATTAGTTTCCTGATATGTTGTTACGCATGTTCTCCTTAAGTAAAATAGCAAAATAAAACCAATTTTTAAATAGTAATGTGTGATTTGAGGAAGTGTGTCTTAGAAGCACTGAATCACTAGAAATTGAAAAAAGCATAATCTGTATTTCTGAAAGCCATCCAGTTTCCGTTTATTTACAACCTTTGAGCCATTTCACAAATTGAAAAGCAACCATCCAGCCATTTCATGTTTAGATTATTATATATTTAAAAGATCCTAAGACCATTATCAGCATGCAGTAGCCCTCTCACTGAACAAAGACAGATTAGAGGTAAATGAAGAAATTCCTCTAAATCATTGTTTCTCAAACATGGGTGATTTTCCCTTCCAAAGGACATTTGGCAGTTTCTAGAGATATTTTTGTCACAATGAGAGGTGGTGAGTGCTACTGGCATCTAGTGTGTAGAGTCCATGGTTGTTGCTAAACATCCTACAATGCAAAGAACAACTCTTTACACCCAAACTCACACAAGAAAAGAATTGTGTGGCCTAAAATGTCAGTTAGTACCATGTTTGAGAACTCTTGCTCTGAATAAAGATATGAAGCCAGATCATATCCTAAATTTTAAAAGCTTTTCCTATTGTGGAAAGCATTAGGCTTGTGTTACTTACTAATAAATAACAATGCTACGGCAAACTTAATGGCTTAAAACAATACACATTTATTATTTCAGAGATTCTCTGTCAGGAGACCAGGTACAGCACAATCCTAGTGCTACTCTGGATGAAGTTCTCATCTGAAACCTTGACTGAGGAAGAATCTGTTTCCAAGCTCATGTGGTTGTTGGCAGTGTTCAGGTCCTTGTAGACTGTTAAACTAAGGGCTTCAGTTTCTTGCTGGCCACTGGTCTCAGCTCCTTGTCCCATGGCTCTCTTCTTGGGTAGCTCACAACATGTCAGCTTGTTTCTTCTAAGCCATATGGAAAATCTGCTTACAAGATTAAGTTAGAGTTTGCTATAATGTAATCACGTGCACATAATCACATACATCCCACCACCTTAGCCTTATTCTATAAGATATAAGCAAGTACAGGCTCCACCCACATTCAAGGGGTGGGAAATACACAGAGCTGTGAATATCAGCAAGAGGGGCCACTCTAGAGCCTGTCTGCCCTAGAAAAGTCATCTTTCTTCTCGTTTGTTTGCATGTGTTTTTTTTTTTTCATTTAAAGAATATTGCTATGTATTTAAAGTTAATAGTCTAAATGTGAAAAGTCTGCTAGTAAAATATACATACCATTATCCAGACAACTAAGAGAAGGGGAGACCACAGAACCCCCTCACGTGATAACCATCACCACTTTTTCATTTGTGTAAAATATTTTCAACGACATCAAAATGCTCTTTTTTTTTTTTTTTTTTTTTTTTTTTTTTGAGACGGAGTCTCGCTCTGTCGCCCAGGCCGGACTGCGGACTGCAGTGGCGCAATCTCGGCTCACTGCAAGCTCCGCTTCCCGGGTTCACGCCATTCTCCTGCCTCAGCCTCCCGAGTAGCTGGGACTACAGGCGCCCACCACCGCGCCCGGCTAATTTTTTGTATTTTTAGTAGAGACGGGGTTTCACCTTGTTAGTCAGGATGGTCTCGATCTCCTGACCTCATGATCCACCCGCCTCGGCCTCCCAAAGTGCTGGGATTACAGGCGTGAGCCACCGCGCCCGGCCCAAAATGCTCTTTTATAGTCAACACACAAAATTGCCTAGTTTTATTTGTGCCCTTTGTTCTGTAGACCTGCACTTTGTCACTCTTCTTTCTGTTTCATTTTCTTTCTCTATGTAAAAGACTTTCCACATTATTTGGGGTTGGAGGATTGAGGAATGGAAAAGCCATCTTGGATTTTTCTTCATTGCCAGTGGTAGATGGAAATTCTCTTGCATTTAGAATACATAATTATAAATAGGATAAATGGAATAGTGAAAGACTAATAAGGTAATGTGAGTCACATAACACAAAAATAGTTATTGAATCTCTCTCTACCCTAAATTAAAATGGACTTGTTATAATAAATTTTGTTTACTAGATCTTTGCTGGAGAACATTGTTTATTATACTTTTAGTATAAGCTGAATGTTCATTCCTTGATACTGAACTCTGTTTTCCTTTGCTTATAATATAAGTCAACTTAATTTCTACATAGTGTTGGAAACTAATTTCAAAAGTGAAAGGGTAATACTAAAAAGATAATATTAAATAGATTCACTGTTAAGCAAGGTGATACAAATATTGCTAAATACGAGTTTTATGATTACATTGAATTTTTTTATCCATTGTCTTCTTTCGAGGTCTACAAATAACTAGAGTTCTTTTCAGATACTATTTTATCTATTTGATTTGTACTGTAAGGCATATTCTGTGGTCAACATATGTGAGGACTGATGATACTGCATTATGTCAGATTGAAAGTGTACTTTGCACTTTTTTAGGAGACACCAGAATTTCTGTTTTACATAAATTGAACCCAGGCCAGGTGCAGTGGCTCACGCCTATAATCCCAGCACTTTGGGAGGCCAAGGTGGGAGGATCTTTTGAGTACAACAGTTCAAGCCCAGCCCAGGCAGCATACAGTGAAACCCTGTCTCTAAAAAAAAAATAGAAAAGAAAAAAAGAGCTGTATTCATAATGCAATTTTTAGGAGATGTGGAAATTATATCATCAAATAGTTTTTTTTTCCTTTTTAGATAATTTCCCTATATGTTTGCACTGCTTGCATATCTCATATGATTTTTCACATGTATATCAAATATTTAAAACCTTTATTCAGCACTTGTTATGTATCAGAAACTGTGCTGGATTGCTGGATGCTCAATATTACAGTATCATTCATAAGTCTATTTTATCCAATTTTGTTTTTTTTTTTAAGGGAACAACACTTAGTCCAGTTTAGGGACTTGCCCAAAGTTTCACAGCAAGAAAATACAAGAACTGATACTCATAAAGAACTGTTTCTTCCCCTGATGCACGGCCTTGCCTGGCTAGTGGTATAAAATATGACCACTTTCCAGCAAGAATGAAATTTTGAATTCTTTTCCTGAATTAATGTCTAGAAAATAGCCATATGATGAATACAGATGTAAGTAATCCAAAAATGACAATTTCACTCTACTTTTTTTATTTTCTGCTTACAATCATTACAAATCACAGATATTCAAACAATTAGTGATATAATTAAGTAAACGGAGTTGGGCCTGGGAGGGAAGAAGAGAGTAGAGAGTATGAGAAATAAATGCCTGGGAGGGAAGAAGACAATAGTGAGTTTGAGAAAGAAATAACCCTAAAACTTAAAGTATAATAAAAAAAATAAAATAAAATAAAATAAAATGGGGAGGCATGAATAATCCACCCCTTGTTTAGCATATCATCAAGAAATAACCATAAAAATGGACAACCAGCAGCCCTCGGGCTGCTCTGTCTATGGAGTAGCCATTATTTTATTCCTTTACTTTCTCAATAAACTTGCTTTCACTTTAAAAAAAAAAAAAAAAAAAGAAAGAAATATCCACATCATTGAAGATGAGAAGGGACCTTTTAAGTACACAGGAAATAAACCCAGGATGATTAGAAGAGAAAGAGCAAAGGTGAGGAGCTCAAGTGGAGGTTTGAGAGGTTAGCAGAACATGGATTGGAGGGCTTTTTACAACAAGTTTGAGGATTCTGAATTGATGAAATCGATGGGAGTTTTTAAAGTGAGAGAACATCAAATTTGCATGTTTCAAAGGTCAATCCTGCTGCAAGATGAAAGATAGATGGTAGGAAATCATGGGATGATGCAGAGAGATGATTTAACTATTGGTACACACAACAACGTGGGTGGACCTCAAAGCATTATGCTTAGTGAAAAAGTCTACCTCAATGGTTCCCTGCTGTATGATTTCATTTATATAACATCCCTGAAACAGTGAAACTATAGAGTTGTAGAACAGTTTAGTGGTTGCCAGGAGATAGGGATGGGGTGAGTAGTTGGTATGAATACAAAGGAGTAGCACAACACAATTCTTTAATAGTGATGAAACAGTTCTGTATCTTGAATGTGGTTGTGGTTATACAAATCTGTACATGAGATAAAATTGCAGAGAACTACACACATGCACACATGAATGGAGACTTTTTGAAATGGTGATGTATTAGTTTGCTAAGGCTGCCATAACAAAGTAACAGGCACTGGCTGGCTTAAACAACAGAAATTTACTGTCTCACCATTCTGGAGGCTAAAAGTCCAAGCTTCAACTGTCTGTAGGTTTGGTTTCTTCTGAGGCCTCTCTCCTTGGTTTGTAGATGACCACTGTCTCATTTTGTCTTCACGTGGTCATCCTGATATGGTTTGGCTCTGTGTCACCACCCAAATCTTATCTCAAATTGTAATACCCACATATCAGGGGAGGGACCTGGTACATGACCATTAACTTGGGAGGTGATTGGATCCTGGGAACAGTTCCCCCATACTGTTCTCATGATAGTGACTGAGTTCTCATGAGACCTGATGATGATTTTAAAAGTGTTTAGCAGTTACCCCTTCACTCTCTCTCTTGCTTGCTGTCATGTTAGACATGCCTTGCCTCCCCTTCACCTTCCGCCATGATTGTAAGTTCGCTGAGGCTTCCCTAGCCATGTGGAACTGTGAGTCAGTTTGACCAATTTGGTATAAATTACCCAATCTCAGGAAATGTCTTTACAGCAGTGTGGAAACAGACTAACCCACATCCTTTTGCTGTGTAATCTATGTCCTAATCTCCCCTTCTTATAGGGACACCAATCATATAAGATTAGGGACCAACCATGTGACCTCATTTTACCTTAGTTACTTTTATAAAAGCTCTATGTCTCCAACTAAAGTCACATTCTGAAGTACTCAAGATTAGAACTTCAATGTATGAATTTTGGGGAAAGGGGAGCATAATTGAGCCCATAACAGGTGAAAACTGAATAATGTCTGCAGTCAAGTTAATGATCATATAATCAGTGTTTGTTTTTTGGGTTTTGTATATTACTATAGCTATAAAAGTCATTGTCATTGAGGGAAGCTGGACTATCTTTGCAACTTCCTGTAAGTCTATAAGTATTTTGAAATAACATTTTTTTGAACAAGCTATTGTAGTAGAACAGACATATTAGTGTGAGAACAGTCAAAAGATGAAGTAGGGTGATCTCCTCTGGGTACATGAATGATCACATTTGTGAGTCCCAATGTTAATATTTTGGAGTAAATCAAGATTGTTGATGTTAGAGTTCACTTATTTATCAACTATTATTTGACCCCTCTTCTGTGTCACATGCTGCTCAAGACATTGAGAGTTGTTGTCAAGCAAAACAGCAACAGTCTCTGTCTTCATGGTGCTTTTGGGGTAAAATTTGGTCTGCAGAGTCTTACATAAATTTTTTACATTCCCTTGTGTGAAGATCAGTCTATGCTTCCAAGGGCTAAGGTATGAGTAGAATTCCATTATCACTCATTGACTCTTAAATTCTATGGGCCATCTACAATTATGATTCCAAAATAGTTTGATCTTCTTCATATTGTACATTTTAATATTGATGTAATATGTCCCTTTAAGATTTTTTTGAAAAGATTGTTATATTCTTTATGCCCCAATTTTCTATCATCTGAAATGTTGAAATATCATAGAGTAGGCAAGAGAATTTGAAGAAATATTTTTCTCTCTTTAGAACTCTCCTGAAACAGAGTTGACAATATATTGGCATAATCTGAATTTGATTATAATGTTACTATTGCTGAATAACATTATGTGTTACTGAATAACATATTGTGTGTCAGTATTACTAAAATAAATATAAGAATTCTGATTGATCCTCTGGGCAGATTTCCCTAAGCAATTTGCTGCTTTGACCCATTTATTACTACAGATTGTATATCCCTTATCTGAAATGCTTGGGACCAGAAATGCTTCAGATTTCAGACCTTCTCAGATTTTGGAATATTTGCATACACATAATGAGATATCTTGGTGATAGGATCCAAGTCTAAACACGGAACTAATTTATGTTTTATAGTCACCTTACACATGTAGCCCAAAGGTAATTTTATACAATATCTCTAATAATTTTGTGGACACATCACATGTGGTCAGGTGTGGAATTTTTCACTTGTTTTCATGTTGGCACTTAAAAACTTTTGGATTTTGTAGCATTTCCAGTTTTGGATTTTCAGCTTAGGGATGCTTCACATGCACTTGTGGAAAGCAAGACTCCATATTCTTAAAAAGAAAACAATCAAGAGAAAGCAAAATTGGGAGGTCTTCAGGTCTTTATTACTCTATTAATTAATTAATTGTTATTATTTGAAACACGG
This sequence comes from Homo sapiens, assembly GCF_000001405.40. NCBI lineage: Eukaryota > Metazoa > Chordata > Mammalia > Primates > Hominidae > Homo > Homo sapiens. The sequence goes on from NC_000004.12 coordinate 61,879,747, forward strand.
TCTCATTCTGTCACCCAGGCTGGAGTGCAGTGGCACAATCGTAGCTCACTGCAGCCTTGAACTCCTGGGCTCAAGAAATCCTCCCACCTCAGCCTCTCGAATAGCTGGGACTACAGACATGCACCACCATGCCTGGCTAATTTTTTAAAAAATTTTTAGTACAGACAGGGGGTCTTGCTATATTGTCCAGGCTGGTTTCAAATTCCTGGGCTCAAGCAATCCTCATACCTCAGCATCCCAAATTCTTGAGATTATAGGCATGATCCACCATGCCCAGCTACTCTATTAATTTAAAAGGCGGTGGGTAGGCTTGGTTGGCCATAACAGTAGAAAGAAAATAAAGTGGTGCATAAGTGATTGAGGAGAAGTTACTAAGTCCTCAACCTACAGACTAACTGAAAATATTTGTCTTAGAGATAAACATCCAGAATTCTCTTTCCAAATCCATATTTAAAAATACATTGTCCTGATTACTCAACCACTTAGTCATTAGTTCCAAATAGGTGATTCCTGTTCTTTCTTTTATTTCTAGAGGAAAGTAATTATGAATTAGTGGTATCTATACAAATACTTAAGGTTCCTTGAGACACTAGATCTATAATTTCTGATTCTAGTATTATGATGACTAAAAATATGCAAGTTAAAATTTAAAACTTGTATTAAGTTTTGTTATAAAATTTAGTCTGGAGTGTTAATCAAATTTTTAATTCAAATTTATCAAAGTCACAGTATAATTCAGACATAGTAGTATACATAGATCTTCTGAAAATATACTTTTCAAAATAAATTACAGATATTTATTTTGTCACTCACCCATTATGCATCTATTGAGTACTTACTACAAGGCAGGTAGTATAAGGAAAACAAAGTGGAATGCCAAATTTCCTTGCACTTAAGAAGAACTGTATAGTTTACATGTGGTTGTGGTAGAATGACTTAATTTATCTATCAAGTATATACTCTGTACGCTGATTATTAAGTGTTTTAGAAGGATTTACAATTTTTTTGTGGTTTCACTTGAATTCAGGAATCATTTATATGCCAATTATGCAGCTCTTTCTTTTTCGTTATTTAAATTACTTGAAAAAAATGAAATGTTTAATGGCCTCACCAGTCTTAGAGAAAATTCAGTGAGTCTCATTATTAGATAGTCACATTGAAGAGTCAAGCTTTAACTCTACAACCCACGATAAAATTAGACTCCTCAAGGAGTCTCAAGCTCTTTGAGGAAAGGGGCCTTGTTTTACTCAACCATGTATTCCCATTATAGCACCTAGTTGGATCCCCTGTTTGTTTCATCCTTATGTTTATTTGATGAAAAATCAATACTAAAATTTTTTTAAAGATATATTTTGAGATACGGTACTTGAAAAGTAATATAATCTCCTCTGTGTTCCAGACTCTAAATATAAACAACAAAACAAATAATCAAAATAGGGCCTTACATTTTATCTGTTTATTAGAAACGAACAGATATAACAAAGATGAATGCATGTTTATTCTCTAAGCATCTGCAATAGATCAAAGTTACCAGAATTGCATTCTTAAAAAGAAAAATACTTGAAGCTTAAATTATAGGCTTGTTTTTACTGTTCACTTTAAATTTTCTATTTCCAAACATGGAGGATAATTTTCTTTTTCTTTTTTTTGGAAACGGAGTCTGGCTCTGTCGCCCAGGCTGGAGTGCAGTGGTGCAATCTTGGCTCACTGCAACCTCCGCCTCCCAGGCTCAAGCAATTCTCCTGACTCAGCCTCCCAAGTAGGTGGGATTACAGGCGCATGCCACCATGCCCGGCTAGTTTTTGCGTTTTAGTAGAGACGGGGTTTCCCCATGTTGGCCAGGCTGGTCTCGAACTCCTGACCTCAGGTGATCTGCCTGCCTCGGCCGCCCAAAGTGCTGGGAACACAGGCGTGAGCCACCACGCCTGGCTAATTTTATTTTTCTTGAATTTGTTTTAACTTCATACTTATGCATAACTGAATCTTCCACAACATTTATATTCTGGTATCCCTTTATCATCATAGGTAAATTACAGTTCACAAGTTAATATAAAAATATGTGTCACTAGAAATATTAGGCAATAACTTCAGTAACTAGGTGACAATGATGTCAAAACTCGAGAAATAAAATACAATATTGAGGCTAGCCCTAAGAAAAGAGTCTAAATCTATACCAATTCAACTACTTAACGCCCTTGGTATGTTTTGTTGTTCACTGAGAAATCTGTCAACTCTGATTCAGTTGAACTGAATCTCCCAGTTTGTTTCTTTATTTGTTTTTATGTTTTTCTCACTGCCAAAGTTTGTTTGAAATTTCCATTAGTTAAAACTTCTAGCAATTTCACAGTAATGAGAACACTAACATAATTGTATTAACATTTTCGTACTGTTCGAGGTCAGTATATTTATTTGGTTGTTTCAAGTTTAAACAATAATAATTGAAATGGAACTATAGAAGAATTTGTATAAGAAGGACAAATTCATTTCACTACAATGAAGAAGCAAACATTAGTTCAATTCAACCAACAATGACTGAAGGGCTACCATGTGCCAGTGAGTATCATGGTATCCATACTCAAAAGCCACCGCCACGTGTCTTACACCCCCATGCTGTATTATGTATGTATATATCCATATCATTCTAATTGTCATTATCACCATTACCACCACAGATGTTTAGCCAAATAGGTACATGGACTCCTCTCCCATTCAGTCACTCTTCAACACAACAACTCAAGTGATCCTATTAAGTGAAAGTTGTATGACATCATTTCTTTGCTGAAAGCCTTCCAGTGGCTTCCCACACCACCCAGAGTAAACGCCAAAGTTCTCACTTTGGCCTGTCAACACCCATATGCTGTAGCCCCCATCACCTCTCTGTCCTCATTTCACACTGCCTTTCATATGGCTCACATACTGCGCTCCAGCCACATTGCCACCTCACTGTGTCTAGACCTTTGCAGATGCTATTCCCTCTGCTTAAAAAGTTATTTAACTCCCTCACTTTGCCTCTTTTATCAAAATCTTTATTGTCATCTTAACAGTCAGGCTATGCTTGACACCCACTTAATACTTGCAGCTGAGCATGGTGGCTCACGCCTATAATCCCAGCACTTTGGGAGGCCGAGGTGGTGGATTGCTTGAGGTCAGGAGTTCAAGACCAGCCTGACCAACATGGTGAAACCCCGTCTCTACTAGAAACACACACATGCACACAAAATTAGCTGGGCATGGTGGCAGGTACCTGTAACCGCAGCTACTGGAGAGGCTGAGTCAGGAGAATTGCTTGAACCCAGGAGGCAGAAGTTGCAGTGAGCCGAGATTGTGCCACTGCCCTCCGGCCTGGGCATCAGAATGAGACTCTGTCTCAAAAAACGAAACAAAACAAAAAAATTTGCAAGTCGCCTCCCCCAACACAGCCTATCCCCTTCCTCTGCTTTTCTTCTTCTTCTTATCCTTAGCACTTCTTAATATCTAATATAATGCATGTTTTTACTTTTATCCTATTTATCGTCTGTCTCTCCTACTAATGTAAGCTCTATAAGGGCAGAGATTGTTATTTTTGGTTGTTTTCATTGCTTACTTCTGTATCGCCAGCACTTAGGATAGTAGTTGGCATGTGGTAAGCAATCAATAATTCTTGGTTGAGTTAAGGAATAAATAACAATATTACTACCATTATGAAACATTTATTAAGCTATTATTCTCTGCCATATACTTTGCTAGGTACTTTAAATGCATATTTCCATTATTCTCCTCAAATAAATACAAGTATATTATTATCTCCATTTAGCAGATGAAAAAAATCTAAGGCACAGAGAGGCATTACAATTTGTCCAAGGTTACATCGCTTTTAAATGATGGAGTGTTTATTTCATTATATTGTAAGAAGATATGTCTGTTACTACTACAGTTTTTCATTAATTCTAATAGTCTCATTATTTTACTCTTAAACATCTCATGAGTTGGGATGTGCCTAACCATTGAAGGCATGTCAGAGTTAAATTGACAGATTTTTTTTTTCTTTCTAAGTGGTACATAGAATAATTGATGATGTTGTAGCGTCCATAAGATACAGTTTATTAACTCTTCTTGAGGGTAGTACTCTTTGCTTCATCTCTGAATCCCCGATGCCCAGCACAATGTGTAATGCAAGACAATTACACAATGTGTAATGCAAGACAATCAATAAATATAGGCTGAATGAACAGAGTTTGTGTATTTCTCCTCTTTGTATTTTCTATCTTCTTTGGTAGCTTTTTCCATAAGGCTTTTTAGAGAAGGCTTCCATGAGAGCAAGGAACATAATAATTATTATTCAACATTTTATTCCCAGTACAATGCCTGTCACATGATAGTTGATTAATAAATATGGATGGAATAAATTAATCTTATAGTTCCCAGAGCTGAGCTCTCTCACAGGCATATAACATATGCCATATTCTGATACTTTTTAAAAATTACTTCAAACCTTTATCGGTTCATCAGAAAATATGGGTACATATAGGTTCTTGAGTCAAACTGCCTGCATTAAAATTCTGGCTCTACCACTTGTGAATGCTATGAGATTGGGAAATTTATGTAACCTCTCTGTGCCTCAGTTATGCATGTAGAGCTTTAGAACACTGCCTGGTACATAATAAATGCTCAAGAAATGCCAGAGATTATTTCACACTATTGTTTCCTTGTTGTTTATTGACTTATTTGTATGCTGAACTCTATAGCAAGCTTTCTAGAATCAACAGTTTTTTCCTTAGGTGGTCCTGAATCCTTACTTAGGGGATTTAAACTGCCGTAAACAAAAATAAATTAGCTCTATAAAGATTACTTCCTCTACTCTCAACTGCAGTGAGCAGGCTGCTTTCTTTTATTATTTATTTATTTATTTACTTTTTTGAGATGGAGTCTCGCTCTGTCACCCGGGCTGGAGTGCAATGGCGCGATCTTGGCTCACTGAAACCTCTGCCCGCGGGGTTCAAGCAATTCTCCTGCCTCAGCCTCTGGAGTATCTGGGATTACAGGCGCCTGCCACCACGCCCGGCTAATTTTTGTATTTTTGGTAGAGACAGGTTTTTGCCGTGTTGGTCAGCCTGGTATGGAACCCCTGACCTCAGGTGATCCGCCCACCTCGGCCTCCCAAAGTGCTGGGATTATAGGTGTGAGCCACCGCGCCCGGCCAAGACCCAACTCTTAACTGTAATAACTTGGAATATTGAGAACCTGAACTTGATCCATAAGGAAACAGCCTGGCCGGGCACTGTGGCTCACGCCTATAATCCCAGCACTTTGGGAGGCCCAGGCGGGTGGATCACTTGAGGTCAGGAGTTCAAGAACAGCCTGAACAACATGGCGAAGTCCCGTCTCTACCGAAAATACAAAAGTAGTCTGGCGTGGTGGTGCATGCCTGTAATCCCAGCTGCTCAGGAAGCTGAGGCAGGAGAATCGCTTGGCGCGCGCCTGTAATCCCAGCTACTCAGCAGCTGAAACAGGAGAATCGCTTGAACCCAGGAGGCGGAGGTTGTGATGAGCTGACGTCGCACCATTAAATTCCAGCCTGGGCAACAAGAGTGAAACTCCTTCTCAGAAAATAAAAATAAATAAATAAATAAAAACAGTGGGTCTCCTTAACAGTGCCCATGTTGTTCCATTGTTCTACTTATGAATTTGTAACCTTTGGAGAATTACTGAATCTCTTCGAGACTCAGTTTTGCCATCTGTAAAATAATGATAATTAATAGTGCCTTCTAACAGATTTGTTGTCCTAATTAAATGAGTTAGTCCTTGTAAAGTGTTCAGAATATTGCCGGGCCCATAATAAGTGCTCAGTAAGTTCCCAGCAGGTCTGGACCATAGTAACGCCTATAAAAGCATATGTGAGCAGTATTTGGGACAAATTAATTTCCAAATCCATTAAAATTTTTACATATGTTCACATATGTGTTAAAGTTTCAACAGCATTGTCCTAGTGGAAAGGGATAGATTTTAATAGACCTGGATTAGAATCATGATCCTATCAATTACCAGCTATGTAAGCTCGGGGGAATTATTTAATTTAACCTATTTCATCTCTGAAATGAAGATGAGTATGCTTACCCAAAACTTGTTGGGAGTACTAAATTAGACAGCACATATGTAAAACATTCAGGACAGTTTCTGGCATGGTAGGGGCTAAATATGCACCAGATAATATAAATAAATGCCCCCCAAAATCTTATATTTTTGCTTATCTTATATGATAAAGCCACTACAATTTTGTGTTTATTTAAACAGATAGCTTCCTCAATATCCTTGCCATGAAAGAACTAGAAAGTATAAATGGATCCAATTACAAAAATAAATATGCTTTCATATTGCTGATAGTCTGTGGAGTTTCACTATCTCGGGAGGCCATGGAGCCAAGTATTAAAATGAATTCTGAAGAGAATTAGATAATTTCATGACCGATAATATGAATGCTTCTTTTTAAAAACTAGATGTAATCAAATCTGCTGCCACCAACTGATAGCCATGGGGTCTCAGGCAGAATTTCCTCTTTCTACCCAGGGCACTGCACAAGTAGCCAAAAGCTACTGACAGCATTGTTATGGTTTCAGTTTTCTTATTTCCTTTATTAGGCCCTTGGGAAGGTTTCTTCAGTAGTGGACTTTGGATGTAAATGAACACTTAAAGGGTGGGGAGAAGGAAATGCTTCTGTAGTCAGCCAAAAGATTGTCTACTAGAGTGAAGTTAGCACAAAAGAAAGATTTGTAAAGGGAAAACCATGAAGAAAGGTACATATTTAGAGAGGAAAGGAAAATATGAAGGAGAATAAAAAAGAAAATTAATACATTTTATGAGTAGAAGATAAACCTTTCTTCTCTTGTGAAGTTTAGACTACATTTGTTTGTTTGTTTGTTTGTTTGTTTGTTTGTTTGTGACAGAGTCTCACTCTGTCGCCCAGGCTGTAGTGCAGTGGGGCAACCTGGGTTCACTTCAACCTCTACCTCCTGGGTTCAGGCAATTCTCCTGCCTCAGCGTCCTGAGTAGCTGGGATTACAGGCGCCCACCATCATGCCCGGCTAATTTTTTTTTTTGTATTTTTAGTAGAGACAGGTTTAGCCATGTTGGCCAGGCTGGTCTCAAACTCCTGACCTCAGATGATCCGCCTGCCTCAGCCTCCCAAAGTTCTGGGAGTACAGGCGTGAACCACTACACCCAGCCTTCTTTGCCTATTTTATTACTGATATCATCAGTGAGACTATAGACACCCACCACCATGCTCTGGCTAATTTTATTTATTTATTTATTTTTTTATTTTTAGTAGAGATGGGGTTTCACTATGTTGGCCAGGCTGCTCTCAGACCCCTGACCTCAGGTGATCTGCCCTCCTCAGCCTCCCAAAGTGCTGTGATTACAGGCATGAGCCACTGTGCCCAGCCTAGACTATTTTTGATTGTATAATTTTATATTCTCTCTTATTAATTTTTTTTAGAAGATGCCCATCCCAAATAATAAAAATATTTGTGATCAAGAATAGTAATGCTTTACTAGATTCTTTTTATTTCCTTCAGCTTCTTCTTAAAGTGTTAAGGAAGACTTATAATTATATAATGCATGAAATCATTGAGAATGACATTTTTAATAGCAAAGTATTAAAAACATGGAATATGGAGTCAGAGAATGCCTGTTTAGTTACTACTTGTATGATTATAATTCACTTACTAGTTAAGCCTATATTTTCTCATTTTTAAAACTAGGAATATATAGTAATAATTACTCTACACATTTTTTTGGTCTGAATTAAATGAGATGATAGTGACTTTAAAATATTGCAAAACGGGCCAGGTGTGGTGGCCCACACCTGTAATCCCAACACTTTGGGAGGCCGAAGAGGGCAGATCGCAAGGTCAAGAGATCGAGACCATCCTGGTCAACATGGTGAAAACCTGTCTCTACTAAAAATACAAAAATTAGCTGGGCATGGTGGCACACACCTGTAGTTCCAGCTGCTCAGGAGGCTGAGGCAGGAGAATCACTTGAACCCAGGAGGTGGACGTTGCAGTGAGCCAAGATTGCACCACTGCACTCCAGCTTGGCAACAGAGTGAGATTCCATCTCAAAAATAAAAAATAAAAATAAAATAAAAAATAATTGCAAAATGTAAAGAACTTTACAAGTATTTATTTTCACTGTTTTCTATTATTGTACTCCACAAGTTATAACTCGTAATAGCATTCAAAATAATGTTTATTCTTTTCAAGGCAGGCTGAAGGAAAAAAATTAAACAAATCAAATTCTAAGAAAGAAACGAGTTATGAACAGTAAATTTCAAAGGACAGGAGAATTAAAATTTTCTTTGGGAAGCAAGATTATGAGGGTAAAATGCTAAGAAGGAGTTTTGTTTAGTTATTTTTATGAAAATACTAGTCCGTATAAGCACAATGAGCACAAAAACAGTGATGATATAAGGAAAATTGCAAAATTTTAATAAAATGTCATATGTAAATAGTCACTCAAACTTAATTTCTTTTAGACAATGACTTTTCTCTGATATACAAACACACAAAGCACTTATAACACATAGTTTTATTAAGCTAGCTATGTCATCAGGTAAGATTCAATAACAGTATATATTGAAAAAGTGTCATATCGCCTCTCCATTGCTGGAATATAAACTCTCATAGCCTATAATATAGGCTAGAACTTTGCCAATCAGTGACTGTTCAGCAAATCTATATTTTTTTCTCTTGTATTTAGCAATAAGATGAATCCTTTCTTGGGCGCTGGTGACAGCATGTCTATCACTAGTACCTATTCTGCCAAAAGTTGGCATTGAACAGAGCCTGCGGTAGTCTTACATAGCAGTAAATGGAAGGATGGGTATGGGGGATCAGGGACAGCCTTTAAAATCAATTTTAATTCTGCTTAAAGTTAAATGGAATGGTATGACCCTGCTTGTAGACATCTCTCTGTGGCACAGTTCCATGAAAATAAGTTCTATATTGATCCCTAACATTAGTATGTCTATTAAACTAAGTCCTTCCAATGTCTTTCATAACAAATTGAAGTTTTTTAAAAATACCGTATCATTGTTATTGCTTCATAAGAGTATATTCACTTTAAATCTAATTGTTCTGAGATAGGATCATTTGGGGGAGAGGGAGCTTTATTTTCTTCCTGAATATTTCCACTTTGTCTAATGGACAATGTAAAATGCATTTAAGAAATAATTTTTTCAGTCTGTTAATTGTACACACTCTTAACCACCCCATTTGCTTGTCCCACTTTATCCTTTCTCTTATTTTGTGATGCTTCTCTTTTTGTGGGATACTATATTCTCCACTGCCTTCTTGACCTAGTCCTGATGTTCACCTACCTTTACTGAGAGCTCATTTACTCCTAGTCGGGCACAATACTAAAAGCTAAGGAATTAATCCTAACAACACATATTAGTGTATAACCCAGTCTTGGTAAATTTGAAAAGGCTTCTTGATAGAAATAACATCCAAGCTAAGCTGAAAGGATAAATAGCAGTTAGTTAGCCAGGTGAAAATGGGGGCAAGAACACATTGCAGGATGTGCAAAGGCCCTGAGGCAGAAAGAACAGGGTGCAGCTGGGGAACCACTGGTAATTTTCTATGGTTTAAAGAATATACTTAAAAGATGAGGAAGCATTATAATGAGTTGGAGAGAGAAATTCATGAAGGGCTTGGGCATGAAGAAAACAATTCAGCTTTTGTTTGAAGGGCAGACAGAAACCATTTAAGCACTTTAATCAGTAAACTAACATATTCCAACTTATACCCTAAGAGTATCTCTGGAAAAAGGTAGAGAATGATTTGAATAGGGTAATTTTAGAAAAAAAATAAAGAACATTAATTTTCATTACATGGTACTGGTGCTGTTGTTAAATTATGTTTGGTTTCATTCTATTATCTTTAAAAATCTGAAATCTAAACCACTTAAATAGAGGACAAAGATATATTATTAAACCCATGCTAAAATACATATATCACACAGCAAGCAAAAATCTTGTGGTGGTGTGCCATGGCCCGCTGTGCATGATTTGTGCAGTTGAGACAATAGGCTGGAGAAATCTTGCACTACGTGTGTAACTGTGTAGTTTGTCATAGTGAAAATGATTGCTGAACAAATCTTTTCACCTCCCAGAGAGTTATATGCTGATTAAAATATCTAATCGAAGAAAGGTACCTTCATTTAGAAAGTATTCATCAGTACCTACATAATCCTCGAGAAGGGAAAGAAGACAATTGAAAAACAGAGCTTCTATTTTACAATTAATTCTTACTCTAGTTCAGAGGCATCCTGAACAAGTTCATTTGAGCATGAGATTATTTAACTAATAATAGGTAACTGCTATGAATCTCCATTTTTACATGATCAAACTAAAGAAGACAAAGAAGAAATAGCAATGCTTTGTTTGAAACAAAAACTGTAGCTTATTATCAATGAAAAGATTATAGTCCCTGTCAAAAAATTAAAAGTTGCTCAAAACGGTCCCTTCAGAAGTACAAATGAGAGCTGGCATTATTTGAATTAAAGGAGTTGGAGAAAATAGTTGGAGTTAGCTTTTAACTATTGCCTTACTACTTCCCTATCTTAGTTCATTTTCTACCACTGTAACAATACCCAAGACGGGGTAATTTATAAAAACAGAATAGTTTCTTATAGTTCTAGAGGCTGAGAAGTTCAAGGTCAAGGGGCCCACAACTGGCAAAAGTCTTCCTGCTGCATCATCCCATGGCAGAAGGCAGAAGGGCAAGAGAGCATACAGTTGAGGGGGAGGGGCGGGGACAGGTGGGAGGGGGCCAAACACACATCCTCTTATCAGAAACCCATTTCCAAGATACCTAGCCCTCTCCCACAATAATGGCATTAATCCATTCACGAGGGCAGAGCCCTCAGGACTTAATTCCTTCATAAAGGTTCCACTTTTCAACACTCTTACACTGGGGATGAAGTTTCTAACACATGAACTTTGGGGGACGCATTTAAACTGTAGCATTCCCCACGTAGTATGATGTCAAAAAAGATTTTTTTGTCAGCTGGAAAAATAGCACAAAATGTTCTTACATCTCAGCAGTGACACCATTGACACACTTTTTTTTAAGCTAATACTATGTAAAAATTTAGTTTTTAAGTTACTCAATTTTCTTTATTGTAGGTAATGTTTTCTTTTTAAAACATTTGATTTATTATATATGCAAATTATATATATTAGAGACATTTTTATTGTGTATAGTTTTAAGCTTTCAATTGCACTTAATATTTTGAAATATGTTATTGAATTTTATGTTGGGATTGTGTTATATGTTCAGTGTCAACTTTATTTTATGAATCACGAGCTTTGATTTGGCAAAAGTAAATATTGAAATGACTATATTGCCATTTTGCTCTGCTACTGCTTTCGTTAACAAATGTTGATGATGGGGAGCTGAACGTAGATAGTGATGATTAGAAAGAAAAAAATAGATGGATTTCAAATAGAGGCATGAGACAGAATCAAAAAGACTTGGTTATTTGGGAGATATAGTATATGTGGAAGAAGGAGGGAAAATAAGACACTCTGCCTTCTTGTATGAAATTTGAGTAGATGCAATTCTGAACATTACCATTCATATGGAAAGGGACCATGAGAGAAAGAGAAGGAAAGTTGAGAAGAGAGGGAGGGAAAATAGAAGAAAGAGGCAAAAGACACATAATAGACAGCATCACTTCAAAAAATACTACAATTTCAGTGATGAAATATTCAAAAATATCCCATCCCTTCACCATGTCTCTCCTGTTTCTTTGGAAGCTTTATATACACCAAATACATTGTGAATGAACCTGGGGACCTCCTCGGGGCAGCGGAGATGATGATATTTTAAGGGAAGTAGAAAATGAATTACAAACAGCTAGAGACTCATATCAGAATGCCCTACATCTCCTTAAACATGAGTGATCTTGAATCAGACTAGAGCCAATATCCCTACAGTTTATTGCCAGTAAGTGAGGTTAAGAGTAGTTTCTAATCTTACAGCTAGGTATGCAGTCTGTGTACAGGAAGGACAAGCATACTCTTGCATTTCCATGATGAGAATATGAATATATTTTCCGAGAAAGATGATTCTTTGCAGTGGTTAATTCCATAGTATGCCTATTCCTTGGAAACATAGGTTCAATTACCTAACAAAGAACCTAACTATTTTATTTGGAACTTGGAATACATTTTCCCATTCAAACAATCTTGTTAGAGGATAATTTAGGGTTGTAACTATTTGGAAACTACTTATACTTTACATTAATGAAAATCAAATTTGAAAATTGTGTGAAGGTGAGTCAGTTCTAAGAGCAATAAAGTAGATCACTAAGCTACTCCAGTTTGTGTTTAAGGAGACTATATTCAGGATTGCTCTTTATTTTTTAGCTTGTCAGCAGTTTAATTTCTGTTTCCTTTTTTTTTTTTTGTCCTCTCACCTATTTGCTGCATATTTAGAAATCCATATTACACTTCATGTGAAAATAAAATTTTATATATAGTTCTCCCTTCTATACAAAGTTTGATAATTCTAAGGAGAGGGCTTAAAGTTTTAATCATCTAATTGTCAAAAAGGCTGAGAGCATTAGGAAGCTTACTGAAGAGTTGAGTTGTGCTGTAATTTTGTTTCTGGGATTTGAGTTTCGAAGAACCCTTAAAAAGCTTGTGTTTGGCAGTGGTCAGATGGTTGTTTTGATACTCAAGTGGCATCCTGATACCTTGGTATTGGCTTATTTTTGCCATGTTTAAAATGAAAATCAGGTTGAAGACTTCTAGAGCTTTAAAGCTCTTTGAACTGTCAAATAAAAACAATTTCTAAAGTACTAGGACATCTTGAGGTCCTCCTGTGAACAAGCAATGTAGGTGTTTTCTTTCTAATTTTATTTCAGATATCTCTACCACAGGACCTCTTGGCATGGGAAGCACTACCACCAGTACCACCCTTCGGACCACAACTTTGAGCCCAGGAAGGAGTACCACCCCGTCAGTGTCAGGAAGAAGAAACCGGAGTACTAGTACCCCATCTCCAGCTGTCGAGGTACTTGATGACATGACCACACACCTTCCATCAGCATCGTCCCAAATCCCAGCTCTCGAAGAGAGCTGTGAGGCTGTGGAAGCCCGAGAAATCATGTGGTTTAAGACTCGTCAAGGACAGATAGCAAAGCAGCCATGCCCTGCAGGAACTATAGGTAAGTCTGTGCTAAAGCACTAAGTTAAAACTGTTGTGTTGCTTTGGCTTTATTTTCTAGTATTCTTTTCCTTTTCCTTCCTCCTTTCCTCCCTCCCTCCCTTCCTCCCTCCCTCCCTCCTTGTCTCTTTCTTTCTCCTTCCTTCCTTCCTTCTTTCTTTCTCTCTTTCTCTCTTTCTTTCTTCTTTCTTTCTTTCCTCTTTCTTTTTTTTCATTACAACATATTTTATTACTTCACATTTGACTAAATTCTGAACTCAGCTAAATTACAATTTAAAGCTATCTATTTTCCAGAGTTTGAAAATGTAACCTGATTAAGTCACAGGTAACCTGTGAGACCTGCACTTTGCCCTCATAGTTTCAGGTCTCTGGGTCAAGGTAAAGTTAGGCTGTAGATGTACTGGCTACTCTAGAGGCTCAGCTTTTCTATACAGCAGTCCAGAGGGGATCACTTGATTGCTGGGAGTTAGACTCATGCTTGTCACCAACCATCAGATATTGATTGCAGAAAATGAGGTTGAGGACTTCTATATTAGAAGATTATCATGGAAATGACCTAATATGTAACAAAAAAGAAAGTTTGACTCTCCTTTTCATCAGCCATTGTAGTTGTCCTCTGATGGTCAAAGGCTCTTAACACTGTCAGGGACCATGCTGCAGGAGTCAACCTGGCACTCACTCATGCATCCACCAGAGAACAATCCTGCATTGTTTCCTCTAGGGGATAGATAAGAACTCAATATTTCTTTGCCTTTTTTTTTTTTTTTTTTTTTGAGACGGAGTCTCACTCTGTCGCCCAGGCTGGAGTGCAGCAGCATGATCTCGGCTTACCCTCCGCCTCCAGGGTTCAAGTGATTCTCCTGCCTCAGCCTCCTGAGTAGCTGGGATTACAGGCGCCCACCACCATGCCCGGCTAATTCTTTTTTGTATTTTTAGTGGAGACAGGTTTCGCCATGTTGTCCAGGCTAGTCTCAAACTCCTGACCTCAGATGATCAGCCCGCCTCAGCCTCCCAAAGTTCTGGGAGTACAGGCATAAGCCACTGCGCCTGGCCTTCTTTGCCTATTTTATTACTGATATCATTCATAATATCTTCACCTGTTAACCATATTATTATTTATTTTGCTTAAGCAAAGGTATTCTGATTTTCTTATTGTTACGTACATTGGTATTCATAAATGAATACTTGGCACATTTGCATTATTCTCTAAAATATGTAAATAAGAGAAATTCACAACGTCTGTCATCCAGCATTCTCAGGGACTTTCTCCTTGGGTATTATTGATTTGGATACTTTAAGGAAAAAAGTTTTTCTTAGAAAGTTCTGATATGGGTATATCATTTCATATTCCATGGTATAGGAAATGGTGGGTGGGAAGACCAAAGGGTATCTTGGTTTTTATAAAAAATACACTTTTTTCCAGCAAAATATTTTAAAATATTCAAAAATACTCATTTTATTTAGGAAAAAGAGGGAGAATCCTGTGATCCTGGAATCAGAGAACAGTTGGAAACCATCTTTTTTCTTAGCTCTGTTTTCTTGGTTGTGGTCTCAGTTCCTTTACTTCTAAAAGAAAAATAATAATAGCCCCTTACTGCAGACCTTTGTTTTGAAGATTAGTGAAACACTTTATTTGAAAGCACTTTGCTCTACAGAAATGTGTCATTATTTTTCAGTGACAATTGGAAAAGATATTTTCTGAAGCCCTCAGGGATTACTGTCAATACACCCCAGTCTCATTTTTACCCATCTGTGTCCATTCTGTTATGCCTTTGTCTAGGCCCCCACAGTCTCTCACTTGAATTATTGCAATAGCTTCCTCACCATCACGCCATTACTCTCTGAAATTCATCTTCCATGTTTCTGCCAGAGATATCATTCCAAAACTCAAATTTGCTCATCATCTATCTCCTCTTTTAATATTCTCATTGATTTTCCGGCACCCACAAATGATAGACAAGGGAGTTTATGATCTGGTTTACTTTTCTACTTTCATTAAATACAACTCCCCAGTCCAGTAGACCCCAGTTCAAAAAAACTTGAAGTTTCCCAAAGAACATATATTTTTCCACCTGGAATATCCTTTTCCACCTTGTTTTTTTTCTGAAAAACCTGCACACTTATTTTAAGACTCAACTGCTACCTTGCCTCTACAAAGTCAAGCACTAACCTCCATGGAGGCACATATCACATCATCTCATCCATGAAATTCTTTAAAAACAGTCCTCGGCTGGACACGGTGGCTCACGCCTGTAATCCCAGCACTTTGCGAGGCCAAGGCGGGCAGATCACGAGGTCAGGAGTTTGAGACCAGCCTGGCCAATATGGTGAAACCCTGCCTCTACTAAAAATACACAAATTAGCCGGGTGTGGTGGGGGATGCCTGTAGTCCCAGCTACTTGGGAGGCTGAGGCAGGAGAATCACTTGAACCCGGGAGGCAGAGGTTGCGGTGAGCCGAGATCTTGCCACTGCACTCCAGTCTGGGCAACAGAACAAGACTCCATCTCAAATAATAATAATAATAATAATAATAATAATAATAGTCCCCATACCTAATGTGGCTGCCACAAATGCTTCAAACATATTGTATGTTTTTGTTTGGAGTACTACATTTCTCTAGTGCTAAATGCTTACTGGCACTGTATCTGGTGTTTTAATAAACATTATATCAATTTAATTATCTCATTTTTACCTTTGCTTATTTTAAAATATACCATGGATGTGAAGTCATTCTAAGAAAAAGAAACAGATACATTTCTCTCATTATTACAGGTGTATCAACTTATCTATGCCTTGCTCCTGATGGAATTTGGGATCCCCAAGGTCCAGATCTCAGCAACTGTTCTTCTCCTTGGGTCAATCATATAACACAGAAGGTAAATCTTGTGACTGACAAGAAAGTCTTTGCTAAAACTATATCATCTGTTGTTGATGATAGCTGTTGGAAAAAAAACAGTCAAGAATTCTTTTAAAATCAATGTAGAAAATTTCACATTTAATGACAACCTCTAATATGTTATGAGCTAATTCTAGAATTTTGTTGTTTTTAAAGTGCAAATCCATGAATTTCTTCTTATATTGCTTATAATAATTTTATTATTAATAAAATTTCTCTGGTATTGTGCACTACAGCTATAAAAGTCCAAGAGGCATTATACATTAAGCAAGTAAAAGTTTCTAGCATGTATACTTACGAGTTTTCTTGTGGAAATAATTATAATTTTTCAAAGTCTACCTTTGGAATCTTAAGCCATCTGATAAATGTTCTGTAACCTAATCATTTATCAATGATAAAAATATACACATGTGTGACAGAATCTTGCAGACTCAAATTTTCAGGGCTTATTTGGTTGCAATATGTTGAACATTTTTATTATTAATGCACTGTGGGGCTTTGAATTGATTTCATTACAAACAGAGACCAGATGTGCATTTATGCCAAAAGGGTTATGGGATGAATCCTTATTATAGCAATTTATGTGGATTTATGCACTCCTAAAATGGAGAGTCCTTCTATGGCACATTAGCTATGCTGAGGAATTTCTGAGAGAGATTTTCCCGAGAAATATTACAAATGATGGCCTTACTAAAAGCCTGCCTGTGCCATTTGCTCTTTTCTCTATTTGTTTTTAACCAGACTTATCCTCAATAATATACTGTATAATAATCCATAAATATCTACCCAGTAGATCATTTAGCAGATGAGCCATAACTATCTATTTACCCTAAATCATGGAAGAATAGTGGTTATATTGACTCTAGTTACCCTCTTACATATGCATCTCCGTACTTGTTGCTATTCATAATGATGCTTCTCCAGTTTCAGCACTGTTCCTGCCACAGTTTTTATGTCCTTTGATTTTATTACAATGTAGCTCAGACCCCTGGGCAAATAACTCTTGCTGGATGTGATCAGATTAAGAGATCAGTAGCATATCTCCCTACATTAGCAATTCTTTAAAAACAGTCCCTAGATACTTAGCCCAGGGGTGAATATAAATTCAATAATAATTCTTCTAGAAAAGGCTGAATGTTTTCACGATAATTTCTGAATATAGTTGGACCATTTTATTGTAGAAATTACTAGGTGACTTTAACTGATAATGATGCTTAATTCTTTTCTTTTCTCTGCAGCCCAGCTAATCTTAGGACAAAAGATAATTCCTTTCAAAGACCAGACAGCTGTTGTCCATCTGATTTATGGACAGGATGTTTTTGTTTTGTAAAAAAATACCTCCTATTCTTCCAGTGCATTTTGTTTCATCCTGTAGAGTCTGTAAAACTATGTTATGTGATCATTATATTTAAACTTAAAGAACTTAGTTGATTGGAACTTATTAAAAAAACCTTAGATTGATTACTCAAAAATTTATAAAATCTTAAAAAGTGTAACAAGAGGCTTTTGAGCATTCTGAATCAGCTTATGTAACTTGTCCAAGGTCAGTGGTGGAGCTAATATTTTAGTTGAGATTACCTTCATCAAGACATCATACTTAACCACAACACTGGTTAAACCATGGATAGCTTATGATTGGCTTCACAGCCTTACACTCAGTTACCTATGCTGTCCCTCTGCACTCTGCCTACTCTTTTACTTGGTTGTGTCCCTTATGCCTCCAAATATTTATGCTACTCATTGACTATAAATGATAGTTGAGCAGGTTTCTTTACCACAAAACTCTAACACTTTTAAATATTAGTATTGAAAACTTCAAGAATCTGTTGTAGTGTTCACAGGATTGTTTGTCTATATTTTATCCCCCACCTCCCCAGCTGTCTTTCATAGAATTCATCCCTTTTCTCATCTCCTTCCTCTCATTGTAATACCTGTGTAGTACCAGAGTCCACACAGATGGAACACTTGAGGAGGTTTTGTTTACAATGGTATTGGGGCAGTAAAGGCAAACTGCAAGGGATTGAGCAGAAACCCAGAGCTTGTAGCAGGGAAGGAGCTGTTCCCAACCCCAGGCCTGTAGGGTACCAGATCAAAGGAGTGACCAAAAATAAGGAGCAATTTGTCCTTGGGAAGAAAGATGATCTTAAGGCAAGGGACACAGCTTAGCCCCAGGTGGCCTTTCAGAAAGGAATCCAGGAGAATGAATACCCTGACCTTACTTACCCTCCACCCTCCATTTACCTGTCAAGCGACCCCACTGGCCAAACCCAACCAGAAGCCAAAGAAGGACACACTTAGTGACTATCATGTAAGTCCACCACGTAGGGCAGAAGGCAGGATGGAGGAGGGTAGAGAGTAGCCCTGAACTAGCAAATGGGAGGTACCCAACATAGTCCTTGGCTTTTCTCCACTCCCTTCTCTCACCCTTCTTCTTTTTCCCATTGAATCAGCATTGTTGTCTAAGGTAAATACCCATGGCTCATCATCTAGAGCCAAGAAGATTAAGGACACAGACACACACAAGGAGTGAGTTTAGGAGCAGAGTTTTAACAGGCAAAAGAAGAGAAAGGAGAACAACTCTCTCTCTTGTGAGAGAGAGAGGGGCTCTAGAATGGGAATTCTGGCCCAGAGTGGTAGTGCACCAGATTTTATAGGCAGGCTTGAGGAGATGGTGTCTGATTTATGTAAGGCCCAAGATTGGCTGGACCAGGTGTGATGTTTACACAGCCTGCCGGGAAGACTGGAAGGCTAGAAATCTCACCCTAATCTTTTTTTTTTTTTTGAGATGAAGTCTCGCTCTGTCACCCAGGCTGGAGTGCACTGGCACAATCTTGGCTCACTGCAACCTCCAACTCCCAGGTTCAAGCAATTCTCTTGCCTCAGCTTCCTGAAGCTGGGACTACAGGCACACACTGCAACACTTGGCGAATTTTTTGTATTTTAGTAGAGATGAGGTTTCACCATGTTGCCCAGGCGGGTCTCAAACTCCTGAGCTCAGGCAATCTGCCTGTCATAGCCTCCCAAAGTGCTAGGATTACAGGAGTGAGCCACCATGCCCCACCACCCTAATCTTATTATGCAAATAGGCTTTCCACTTGGCAGGCCACGTTGCCTGCTCCTTACTGTACACATGGCTGGGAAAGGGAAGGAGCTGCCATTTTGATGCCTACTCCCAGGTAGCCTTCTCCTGTTGGCACAGCTGCCACCATTCACCTGTGCAAGCTTCTAGCTTGCCTTTCTACCTCTGCAGCTCCATTTTACAGGCTGCTCTTTGTTAGAAAAGAAATGATTTGGGGGCTGCTTTTCATTAACAGGAAAACCTTACTGAGGACTTTCTTGCCTCACTATCTGCCTAAATAATTTCTTTTTAATTCCTATATCACCATCTCCTTCTCTTTCCTTTGCCCTTCACCTCCCCTCTCCTCCCTCTTTGATTTCCTTTTTCTCACACCCTTCTGCTCTGATCTCCTACCTCTTTCCATTTCTGCAACTGATTTTTTTCCTGCCATTTGCCATGTTGAAAAATTGAAGTCAAATAGATATCTTTAATGTTTCATTCTCCCCTTTACCCTCCCCCTGCTGCCAGTATAGTTTTGTGAATTTCAAACTTGTAAAGCAAAGGAACACTTTTTACCCCCAATGGAAACACAGGTGAAAAAAAACCACAATATACACATGCAAAAAAAAAGTATATATTTGAAATAGTAGTTTTCTTCTTCTCAGGGATTTTGTGAATTAATGTACCCTGAAGGGTGAACCACTTCTTTCTTAGTCCACTTGGACTGCTATGGTTTATGGTTAAAACAAACAAACAAACAAACCAACCATAGACTAGGTAGCTTATAAACAACAGAAGTATATTTACTATGGTTCTGGAGGCTGGAAAGTCCAAGATCAGGGTGCTGGCAAATCCTTTCTCTGATGAGGGCCTGCTTTCTGGTTCATCAGCAGCACCTTCTCACTGAATCCTCACATGGTGGAAGGGACAGCTCTCTGGGGCCTCATTTATAAGGGTACTAATCCCAGTCATTAGGGCTCTGTCCTCATGATCTAATCCCTTCCCAGCGGCCCCACCTCTTAACACTATCACATTGAGGATTCAGTGTTAACATGTGAATTTTGGAAGGACACAAACATTCAGACCGTGCAACCTCCTTCTCATCTTTACAGTGTCCCTGGAGAACTCCTGAGGACATGAAGGAAAGAGCACTGACTTGAGGATCTTGATAGTTGAGTTATGGTGGACATATCATTAACCTCTGGATTCGTTTCCCCATCTGTAAAATGGAGTAGATCATTAATTTTATTATCAGTATGTGCTCACTGTATGTCACCACCATTATAGATTGCATAGGTAGCAATTATACTCAACTAAATGCACCAAGTTGCTGACTTTAGTTCAAAAAAGAAATTTTACATTTACATTTTCTTGAAAACATGAATTATGTTTTTTTTTCCCCCAGCAATCAGGCCAAGTGGAAGAAAACAGGTAAAGAATCTTGATGGTTTCAACTCAAAAATGAATTTGAGTCACTCATGTACTGGTAAAGTTAGAGATTAAATTCTGTGTGACACTAAAGAGTGGATTACTTTTCACTAGAGAAGATGTAAGCTGTTAAAGTTAGAATATCACAAAGGAATTTGTTGCGAATAAACTAGCTGGAATACATTCATAAAGATGAGATTTAATAAAAAACATAATTTGTGCAGAAGAGAAAGGAGAAAAGCATAAGTTGTACAAAAGGGGACCTTTACTCCAGCAATGAGATAGAGAAAAAAGAGAGGGAAAGGGAGAGGAAAAGGAAGACCAGTAGGTGGGTGGATGGAAGTCTTGATGGATGTAGGTGGATGGATGGATGAATGGATGGAAAAATAGGGAGAAGGATAAATGAACAGATAGATACATAAATAGATACATATCTATATACATATCTACATACATTGGAAGATAGATATATGTCTCCAAATTAATGTTCTTAAAAAAGTTTCCAGTTTTTATTGAAAGCCAACAAGTTGACTCAGAGCCATGCCTCCTGAAACATATGCGGCAAAATACCCGATTTCTCACCTATCTTAATGACTGCTGTAAAATCATAGTCTCTTGCCTCAGCTTGATCTCCAGCTTGCACTCAGTTTTTCAAAAAGGAGACTATTTTGCATACTTTTAAAGAATGCATTGTGGTTTATAATTTCACCCGTCTTTTTTCACTTCAACTTTGGTGATAGTATAGTTCTGTATAGCTTCTTTATTATTTACATGCAAAGAGAAGTCAGCTTCCTACTCTGTTACATGATTCCACTATTACATGAAAAAGAATTGTCTATATTGTAATGGTGAGAATAGTCTCTTCCTATTTCTAACAAACCAAAGTGTCTCTGTTTCTGTTTGTATACAAGTTACTGATAGATTTCCAGATACCGCGAGGTTATTCCTGTACTTTCTAAAGAAGGATGTGAAAATCTAGAAATAATGTTGCCATTTTACATCATTTGACATTTTACAGTATTTTACAACGTTTGACAACGAGTCAGTTATTTCCCCTAGAAACTAGGTTGAATCCTGTCTCCTATATCTTAAATTCCCCATTTTATCTTCCTTAGATCCAGCATGAAATGAAAATAAATTGCTTCTTTATTTTATCAGAGATTGGTGGCAATTCCAAAATTTTAGACTTATTTAACTTATGTTTAATTGTAAGATAGAAGCATTTTGTTGCTTATATACCCACCTGACTCAGATTTATAGTAAAATAGACAGATCTTTCAAAGAAATGGTAGCTATGTACTTCAATGCTATGTGTAATTCCTTTATAAATTGTTTTGGCCCTTGATTAGTGGTTGATATGATAAAATCTCAATGCTGAATTTTAAAAAATTGTTTTGACTTGTATCAAAACTTAACATGTTATCTGTCTCTGTCATAATTATTATTTTTAACTAAAGCTACTGGGTTTTCCCTCCCTGATTCAAGTCCTAGATATAATCCCACCATATCAATATAGGCATTAATTTACTAATCCTCACAAAACTCATAACATTTCTCAGTGTGTATGTGCTTATTTCTGAGAAAAATTTTAGTAGAATTTAGTAAAAGAAGTTAGTGAGGTCTTTAAGCTATGAGATGTGGAATAAATGTATTTCAGCCCTGCCTATGTGCACAGAAAACTTGAGGCACATTCAACATATATGTATATTTTTATATGGAAATAAGATCATTATAGTCTACAATAACTGGAGTGAGAGAAGTAAACAGGGGGATCAGAAAGATATTCACTTTGGGTGCCACTGGAGAGGATGTGGGCCATTACAGCTGGACAGAAAATGTGGCCATGAAACTGAATTGGGAGCAGCTGTGGGAGAAATCAGTTAATGGTACCACCGTGGAGTTAGGAAAACCAGAAACCCAAGAATGGCTTTTGGTGACTCCCTTTCCTTCCCCTCCCGCACCCAGTCAGACACTAGTCCTGTCAGGTGTAACTGTAAATTCCTCTCAGGCCAGGCCACTGCTTTTCACTTCTCTCCATGCCCACTACCCCAATCCATAGCAATTTCTCATCACCCAGATCTCCTTTCATTCACTCCTGAACCCTCTAATCCTTTCCCCTGAATTTGACTTCAAATACAAACCTAATTAGACGGATCCTATTTAAGCTCTTCAGGACCTTCCCATTATTCTTAATGTAATTCCCCAAATCTTCATCATGACTTCTAAACCAGAACTACTTACTCTTCTCCTTGCTCACCTCTCCAGCTGCCTAAACTCCAGATATGGTGCCCTTTGTGCAGTTTCTCTAAGACTCCATGCCCCTCCCTCCTAAAAGCTGTTCCCTCTGCCCAGAGGCCCCTACCCACATCCCAATCTAATTTCTTCTTTCTATTCCATCTCAAATGAAACATTCTTCCTCAGAGAAGCATTTCCTAAATTATTCCCTAATCACATACACCAGGTTAAAATGTCTACTCTACCACACTGGGATTCTGTATTGCTCTCAACAAAATTAAAATTATATATTTGTACAGATAAATTTTTAATAACTCTTTCCATGGCTAGTATATAAGCTCCCTCTTACTAGAAAATATTTTATTCAACACTGACCTTAGCACAGGACTGTAGAGATTCAAATGTTCATCAGAGAACAAATGAATATGTAGGCTGAATGAACAATCAGTGAAATAATAGATGGATAGATAAGCGGATGGAGATAGCTAGACACAAACACATGGATATGCAGGTAGCAATATTGGATTCTGAAGGTATAAAAAATGTTTTTTCTTCTTGTTGTACCTAGTACTATGTCTACTCAAACCATGTTTATTCTAGACCTTACTTTTTATGTATCATATTCTTGGCTTATTCTTTCCCCTCAATAGCACCCATTAGTATTCCGTTGTACCTTGTATCCCTCAACTTACCTTTCAAGGTTTCACTTGGTGGTTACTTCTTCTTGCCCTCCCTCACCTTTCCAGTTGTTCTGTATTCCCATAATACGTCATACACTTTCCTGTCACAACAGCTGAATTGTTGAATTCATATGATCTTTTATGCACCTCGTCCCAAGCCCATGAGGGCAAGAGCTGTATAAGATTCATCTTTTATTTCCTCAGGAAATAACAAGTGTGCAAAGAAGCATTGAAAGAATGAAACATTTTTGCTATGATTTATTCACTTTAAGATAAAGAGAGGGCCTGTAGCCCTAGCTACTTGGGAAGCTGAAACAGGAGGACTGCTTGAGGCCAGGAGTTCAAGGCTGCAGTTAGCTGTGATTCTGCTGCTGCACTCCAGCTTGGGAAACAGCAAAAAAAAAAAAAAAAAAAAAAAAAAAAAAAAAGAATAGAGGGTCAGAAAATAATTTGTTATAGCAGTTTTTATTTTACTTTAAAAAGATACTTTTTATATTTTTACTATAAACATATTTATTTATTCATTTATTCATTAAAGACAAGGTCTTACTCTGTCACCCAGGCTGAAGTGCTGTGGCATGGCCATGTCTCACTATAACCTCAACCTCTCGGGATGAAACAATTCTCCCACCTCAACCCCTCAAGTAGCAGGGACCACTGTGGGCCCTGAGAAATTTTTTTTTTCTTTAATTTTGTAGACATAGGGCTTCCCTATGTTGCCCAGGCTGGTCTCCAGCTCCTGAGCTCAAGTGATCCTCCTGCACTGGCCTCCCGAAGTGCTGGGATTACAGATGTGAGCCACCATGCCCAGCCTACAAATATTTTTATAACCTATTTCACTTCAGTTTTTTTCCTTCCAACATTTTTGTTGTTAAACATTGAGTTCCCAGGCTCTTTTGAAGGATTAAGTTTATTGTTCATTAAAAAAAAAAAAAAAACACTTCTTGAATGCCAAAATACTGTTACTATTTTCAAGAGAATTCATTAGAGATTTTCTTATTTTACTTTCTGGTTTATAAAACTGCACTGTTGTTGACACATATATGGGCAGATGAATTTGCCTGGCTATTTTTTGTAGAGATGGGGTTTCGCTGTGTTGCCCAGGCTGGTCTCGAACTTCTGAGATCAAGTGATCTGCCCACTTCAGGCTCCCAAAGTGTTAGGATAACAGGTGTGAGCCATTCGCCTGGCCTTCTTTATTATCTTTTGTATTGAGAATAATTACATTTTGACTTATTGGTCATCTACAATTTCAACTTTTTCATTACTGCACATAAAGAAAATGTTTAATTTTTTACTACCCTTTGATATCAATAAATTTTTATATAAGAGAATTGCATAGGCCTTCTTTTCCACCTTTTCGTTTCCCACTCCAATAATACAATAATTAATATTGAAAACTATGTTTGTATAACTACACAGAAAAAAAAAAAGAAATGGAATTACAATATGAAAATACCAGTACCACTATTTCATTTTGTTCTCTATTTGATGACTAATTTTGCTATTCATAATGATCATCGATAGATGTAATTAAAGTCAATACTTGTATCCTTCGTTTTGAAGATATATTAATGAAGGAAATGAATTACCTAATTTAGTAGATCTCAAACTTTTGTCACCGTGGTACATTTAAGTGAATCATAAAACCTCAGAGGTCCATCAAACTCTGACTTTTTTCTTATAGAAACAATATTGTGTGGTAACAAAGACGGAGAAGGAAACTTAATAATAATAACAACAAAATAATTACATAAGAACCCATGATTAACAAAATAAAACAATAGTAATTCTACAAACATATTATTATAAGAGTATAACAGGTGAAAAATTATAACCTGCAGAATACTATGAATGGCACATTAATTAAAATAATGTCCCTTTGGAACATTATAGGAATTCCAGCTATCTTAGATATTCCTATGCCCAGTGGGGGAGTTTTGCAAAGTATGAGTTGTATCAGATATCTAGACTTCTTGATGGAATATTGAATTTGAATACTTATACTATACCAACATCTCACTAAATTAACTAATGAATACTGAATTTTAGAATGCGTTACTTGATTTACTGTATTATCAGTAAGTAGCCCTAATTTATGTACAGAAATTTAAATGTATGAATTTTAATCACATTTATATCACTTTATGAACACTTAAAAGTACATTCATGACCCACCAGTGGGCCACAAATGCTACTTTGATCTACATTGAGTTTGTTACATACATATCCTTGAACCCTATAATGTATTCCATTTAGTCTTACAGGTATTTTAGGTATAAAGATCCTGACCATATTTTACAAATTTATTATACTCAGTCCTGATATTTTCTATTTTAAGAATTTCTCGAAAGTTGGGCCAGGTGCAGTAGTTCACGCCTATGATCTCAGCACTTTGGGAGGTCGAGGCGGGCAGATGGCTTGAGATCAGGAGTTCGAGACCAGCCTGGCCAAAATGGCAAAACCTAATCTCTACTGAAAATGCAAAAATTAGCTGGGCATGGTGGCATGCACCTTTAATCCCAGCTACTCGGGAGACCAAGGCATGAGAATCACTTGAACTGGGGAGACAGAGGTTGCAGTGAGTCGAGATCATGCCACTGCACTCCAGCCTCAGAGACAGAGGAAGACTCTGTCTCAAAAAAAAAAAGAAAAAAAAAGTAATTCTAGAAAATATTGATTATATAATAATTGTTTAACATATTTTTCATGTAAAATTTTAACATTATAAGTAAGGATTTCTCTTTTCATTATAGGTAAGGATTTCTCTTTTGAGTCTCTTTTTAGGCTTTGTTCTATATATTTAAATATATAGAAATTCACATATATAAATAAACAAAAATATTGTATATATTATCTTTTTCACAAGTAGCATATTTACAATTACTTATGTAGTGTGTTTGTATTTCTCAATAGCATGCAAATATTTATTAGCATATATATGTAAATAACTCTCATATCTGCATTTATTTTAACTCAACAATATATCCTGAAGACTAATCTTAACATTATTGATCTCCTTCATAATTTTACACTTGGATAATATTTCATGGTATGGGCTGATCAGATGGTAGTGGATTATCAAAATTTATTAACATTAGTGTCAATGTACTTGCTATACAACCCCCACACTGCCAAATTTGACTGTCTTAATTTAAAAAATTAATTTAAAAAAATTCCAGGGTATGAATCTGCCTGCAGAGTTTTATATAGTCATAATCCATTTTATTGTTTATCATAAACAAGCTGGAATCAACATCCTTGAACATTTCTCTTTGTATATCTGTGGGATTATTTCTTGTGGTTGATACTTTGAGTTACACAGTCTTCACATGTCAAAGTTTAATAGACAATGGTAATTTACTCTAATAGGAGCAATACAAATATACACTACCAATAGTAGTTTATGGAGGTGATATTCATTGAAACAAACCCTTGACACCACTTAATGATATTAAACTTTTTTTTTTTTTTACTTTTTGAGTTAGGCTTTCCTACATACATGAGAATATGACTGTAAATAATTTAGGTGTTCTAATCAGTTTAATTAATTTATTGTTTCTTTAACATTCAATCCTGATATAAATGCTAAGCATCCCAAGTAGATCATGATAATCGATAACCTACCTATTTAAATAAGAGTTTTAGTTGTGCCCCTTTGAGCTTTCTGAATACCCATTAGTCAAACAGCTTACAAAGAGAATAGCTTTCTCTTTATGTTCCCATGTTCTGTGTTGGACTGCCTTTAAAAAGGGGAAGAAAATAATTTTGTACATAATGATACTGTTATATATTTAAATAGTAATGGTGTTACAGGAAAGGGGTTCAGATCCAGACCCCAAGAGAGGGCTTTTGGATCTTGCCCAAGAAAGAATTTAGGGTGAGTCCGCAGTGCAAAGCAAAAGCAAGTTGATTCCATAGACAGTATAGGATGTTCCCAAAAGTAAGAGGAGGAATGCATCCACCCTAGGTAAAATGCTTGTATATATTTTTTCTATTTATTTATTTAGTTAGTTAGTTTTTGAGACACTCTTGCTCTGTCACCCAGGCTGGAGTGCAGTGGTGCGATCTCAGCTCACGGCAACCTCCACCTCCTGGGTTCAAGCAATTTTCCTACCTCAGTCTCCCAAGTAGCTGGGACTACAGGCATGCGCCACCATGCCCAGCTAATGTTTGTATTTTCACTAGAGACAGGGTTTCACCATGTTGGCCAAGCTGGCCTCGAACTCCTGACCTCGTGACCCACCCGCCTCAGCCTCCCAAAGTGCTGGGATTACAGGCATGAGCCACCGTGCCCAGCCCAGTACTTGTATATGTATATATATGATATATACATGATATATATATGATATATGTATATACATACACATATATATATACACATGATATATATATATATGATATATGATAAAAAGAGATATTGGGGAGATGTGCTGTGCTCCAAGGGTTTGTGATAAAGCATTAATTTTCTTAATTGCTATATTTTGCAAAAATTGATATTATTATCTTTAAAGAAAAATTAGAAATGCCTTTGTTCTCTAGATATCGGGATATCTCCCAAGCCTGGGTCTGTTTAGCAAACATTACTAATTTGTTCCCTTAACCATAAATATCTAGAAGCTAGGAATGCCTAACTTTCTGAGAATGCAGGTCAGCAAGTCCCGGCCTTATTTTCCTAGCCCTCACTCAAAATGGAGTTACTGTGGTTGGAAGGCCTCTGATAGTAGGACAGGTTAAAGTTTGAAAAGATACATATCAAATGATTAACAAACTCCTGGTGGCTAACAACTATACTCTCAGTGTTTTGGGAGGCCAAAGTGGAAGGATAGCGTAAGACCAGGAGCCCCATCTCTACAAAACTGAAAAAAAAATTAGCCAGGCATAGTGGGTGCACACCTGTAGTCCCAGCTACATTGGAGGATGAGCTGGGAGGATGCCTTGAGCCCAGGAATTCAAGGTTACAGTGAACTGTGATGAGCTATGATTGTGCCCCTGCACTTCTTCAGCCTGTGTGACAGTGAGACCCTGTCTTACAAAAGAAAAAAAAAGAAAAGAAAAAGGCCGGGCGTAGTGGCTCATGCCTGTAATCCCATCACTTTGGGAGGCCGAGACGGGTAGATTGCCTAAGGTCAGGAGTTCAAGACCAGGCTGGGCAACATGGTGAAACCCCATCTCTACTAAAAATACAAAAATTAGCTGAGCATGGTGGCGGGCGCCTGTAATCCCAGCTACTTGGGAGGCTGGGACAGGAGGCAGCTACTTGGGAGGCTTGAACTCAGGAGGCAGAGGTTGCAGTGAGCCGAGATCATGCCATTGCACTCCAGCCTGGGCGACAAGAGCAAAACAACGCCTCAAAAAAAAAAAAAAAAGTCTCTGGAAAGTGAGAATATAGCAAGGTGAAATAGAGATGTTCATTATTTTTACTTTGTACACTTTTTATTTATTTAGTGTAAATGTGTTATAATCCTGTTTTAGTTTATTAATTTTAAAACAAAGAAGATTATAACTTGGGAAATTATGCTTATTTACTTATTCTTGTTTCTTCTTTCTTGTTTCTCATGACTTTCTTACCAATTAATATATATTCCTAACTTCGAATTACCCATGGCTATCAAATTTGTTCTAGTGATGATGAGGTATTAGGTCTTTATCTGTTTTAATATTTTTGGAGTGTTGACCATTTGACATATTCTTGTAGAATGTACTTGAAAAAATCAGCATGTAGTTTCAGAGAAGAAAAATACTTGAAACTAAGCAATAGTTTGCTACCCAGCATACTGGGAGCAAAATTCCTTATACAGTTAGTAAGAAGATGAAAATCACTTTGAAAAGCCTGGATTTTATTTCTGTCAATTTTCACAGAGCTTAGTAGCTGATGAGTATTCACTGTGAACTAAGTGCTAAACCAGACACAAAGGAAAATTTGCACTTGCCTCTGAGAACTTACAATGTGGTTGGGGATTTACAAGACACACGCAACTAAGTCCACTTTAGAAACTCACAGAGAAAATAATAGGGCAAACCTTAGACCTAACGACCCAAATAGATAATTAAGGTAAGCATGATTTTTCAAAGTAAGTTTCCTCAGGAGGAGCTTTCTGAAGACATGCGTTTAAAGTCAAGTTTTCAAGAAAAAGATTAATTCGCAGGAAAAATTGGGGAGTGTATTCCAGATGAAGATGAAGTTTAACAACTATTTCTTGAATCGATGATTACAATTACATGCAAACATGATCGTTGAAAGAAAGCAATAAAAGTATTTATGTGAGATCTCTTTCCTTTGTATTCCATTTAAAAATTATAGTTGAAATCTGGTGAAACAGCTGCCAACATTGCTAGAGAGCTGGCTGAACAGACAAGAAATCACTTGAATGCTGGGGACATCACCTACTCTGTCCGGGCCATGGACCAGCTGGTAGGCCTCCTAGATGTACAGCTTCGGAACTTGACCCCAGGTGGAAAAGATAGTGCTGCCCGGAGTTTGAACAAGGTAAGGACCCTAATTATGTGTGTGTGTGTGTGTGTGTGTGTGTGTGTGTGTGTGTGTCTTTAAAGTTGTAATAAAATCAGAAAGACTTCACTGCTTAATTTTCCTCCTTCTACAGAATATGATCATTATAAAGAGAATCAACAGTTATTTTCAATTCCTTTGTTATTATAATAATAGAACTGTGGTTCTTAATCTAAAGAAATGATAAATGATAATCTCTCTATATATATTTTGAATTTATAATTCTGTTTTCCATGGCAGTTATTCTGTTATGCTAAATTCAGACAGGGTTAATGTAGATAAATGCAATTTCTTTTTTCTTTCAAACTTTTATTTTAAGATAATTGACAATAAAACAAATGTCTAGTCAATAAGTAAAACTTTAGAACATAATAACAAGAAGATGTTATAGATCTTCTTGTGGAAGAATGGATGGATCTCTATCATCAATTATAGATGATTTAAAAACTGAGATAATTTATCCTAATTAATAAAACTTTAAAAAATCTCATAAGGCAAGAAATTAATTTCTACTTCCTTTTGACTTTGAAATCACTCAGATTTTGTATCACTAACATTAAAATGTTAAAAGCTTAAATATATTCCAGCAAATTTGAATTTGTAAGTAAAATAAATTATTTTTTAACTTCAGGGAAAATACATTTTATGAATTTTCATTTATATTTACATAAATGAAATAGGCATTTAGTTACATAAACATATAAAATATATTTCATATATTTATAAATAATATAATTTATTTATTTAACAAAATATCAGGTGGTGAATTAACCCCATGGTAAAACATATTAGCATAGCTACCTTCAAATGACATGGGTTCCCTGACTGGCATTTGTGTAGTAGAGATGTTCAATGATTGAAACAATTTTAGGGCCTTGAATATCATGATAGCCTTACTACTTTAAAAAACAAGAATTTGACATTGCCAGACTAATATTCCTGTATGGAATTCACTAAAAGAACATTCTCCTTTAGAATGAAAAATGACTCTGCAAAGTAGTCTTTTAATATGGTTAGTTCTTCTGTGTCTTACTAGGGTAAGAATTTCAGTCATCAAAAGGAAAGAAATTTTCTAAATAATGATTATTCAACACAGAAAAGCCAGATATTTTATCTGGCAAACAGTTTTTTTTTTTTCCCCTGCAATTTCATCTGTAAAAAACAGGTAAAGTTTTATTATTAGATATAAATTATTATTATTATTATTTTTCATTCTGAGCATAAAGGAGTTATTTTTGTCACTTATGCCCTTGATAGAATCACAACCAGTTGCCTGATGGAATATAATCCACAGCTACCTATATAATCTGGGCGTGCTGTGATTTTAATGCGTTGTTGCCCAGACTGGCTGGATGCTATTAATGAATATTGCTGCCAGCTATTGTTATCATAATGTACCGGATGTAGTCATTTCTATTAATGTTACATATCCATAACATGACTTGTTATAGCAATACTTTGTATCTTTATTTAAAAATGGTGTTGATGTCTGACAATATCAGGTAAAGCTGGCAATTAATGTCACATTCTAACTGGCTACAGCTAATCAGCTTGCCTACTCTGAATATCAAATAACTAAATAATGGGCAAATTTCCATTTGTGAAGCTTTTTAATGCTTTTCTTTTGTTACCCATTTGGCTCTTTTCAGTTGTTTATATAATGTGGTTTGTCATATGTTAATTTGCATGATGGGGTAAGGAGATGGGAGGGCAAAGGTTATTCACATGCTTGCTGGCTTGCTCTCATTTCCTGTGGTTCTCACTTTCCCTGAAGCAGTTATAACCTATCAGATTTGCAAAGTCAACTCAGTACAAATCAATCGTGCTCTGTATTGAAATTCTGGAGGGTTTAGAGTCCTGCAAACCACGATGCAAGTCAGTGATCCAAGTGACAGCCCTGGCAATTTACTTGCACTCATTCCTTACTTAATTCTTTAGAGGAGTAACTGCTCTATGCTCATTGAAGAATGCATGAATTAGAATTGGGAGAGTATAGGCCACACAAAAGGCATCTGGGTAACTGCTTCTTAAAACTGGGTAATTTTCTCCTTCAACAATCAAGGCTACTGAGGAAAAAAAAAAATTGGAAAGAAGAGGAAAACCCACAAATGAATTTATAAAAATTTGGCTTATTTATTTAAACATGGTGGATGAACTGTTATTAGTTATTCATTTTATCACCAGGAAATAATGTTTGGTGTGTAACAGGAGTTGCTGCTATCCTTTTGCCCAGAAAGACATCACTCTCTATGCAAACAAACAAACAGAAATATACTTCTTAACCCACCAAAGTTTCTATCATTTGTTTTTTGGTCAAAACTGTCAAAATAAATTCTTCAAGAAATAAAAGCAGTGATTAATCAGAAAATCACATCCTTTCAATCAGTAGCTAGTTATCTCTAGTATGTGCCCATTAGAATCAAAGAGTCATAATGAATGGGCATTTCTTTTTTCCTGATAAATAGAAGTTTTTGTATATATGAAGAACATATGATTTGTGGTGTACATTAACCGTTTATATTATCTGTAAACCACAAATAATCTATCTTTGAAAAATGGGTTCCAAACTTCTGATGCAATTTCCTTAACTTCATGTCTTTGTCACCCATAAATTCATAACTAACCTAATGTGAAATGAATCATTTCAAACGAATGAAGTATATTGATTTTTACTAATTTCTACGAAATGTATTCAAAGATTTCTTGCTATCATTAACAACTTTATACCATAGAGTTTTCACTTAGGTTGTTCTGAAAGGATGTTGGCTACTATTTTTTAAGCCATTGCTTGCTTACATTTTGCTGCTGCTTAGCTTTCATTTTCTTCTGAAAAGTAGTGAATGACAAAATAAGGTGTTTTGTGTAGATGTGTTCTTTTATTTTTCTTGTTTTCTTCTGTCACTAACTTGTTTTTTCTATTCTGTGTTTAATCTGCTGTCTTAATGGATTCAGCTTCAGAAAAGAGAGCGCTCTTGCAGAGCCTATGTCCAGGTACTTTCTGCGTTTTTATAAATGTGTTAAGTTGTTGAATGTCTCTGTTGTGATGGCATGAATGGACACCTGATAGAAAAATGATAATGTACCTTACTGAAATAAAGGAATTTCATGGAGGGGGAGAAGGGTGGGAACAGAAAGCATGAAAGCATTGGCAGTGCCAATGCTCTGTCAAACAAGAGGAACACAGACTGAGAAGGAGGTGCAACTTGAGGTGTGAACTTTTTCATCATCACCAAGAGGTGAGTTGGGTATAATCTATAAAATCCCTATTTTTTTCATAGAGGTGGGTTTGAAAACATTTCATTTTTTCATTGGGTCAGCCAATATTTGAGTAGCAAGTCATTCAGAAATGAAACTAAATCAGTCTTATAAGACAACAAGTAATCCAGGATACTTGGAATATCATGCTTCTGTTCCTTAGTAGAGCTGTTTATTGGTTCAAGGCACGATTGTGACTATCTTACTCTCTTACTTATTGCAAAAACTGTAATCCCAATGTAAATGTACTTTGTTTCGGCTGACATGTTCTAATTTGTAAGCATGTTGTAATTTATAAGCAATAAACCATACCTATGTTTATGGATTTTGTATGACAGAGAACAACCTTAGAAGCAAGCTCTCTAGTTTTTTGTTTTGTTTTGTTTTATAAGAAATGAAGGAAAGAAACAAAGAAGGCAGGAGGAAATATGAAAATGTTTAGCTGTAAACTTTATTCTACATGTATACATTTCACAGCATTTTTAAAAAGGCCATCTGCATTTATAAAGAGATACCCTCAAGAACCAAATTAATGGGTATGAGATTGGCAGTTTAAAAACAAAACTTTATCAGTTAATTTGCAGGTGAACATAATATCAAGGTGTTTACTTTTTTTAACCAAAACTCTTAAGTTAGGTTGATATAAATAGTAAAAATTGATTTGTTTGTTTATGCCTTTCCAATGATCTGAATATTCACATCCGCTATCCTCGGTAGTACAGAATTGAGAACTGGATTTATAATTAGAAAGTGACTTAGTGAGCATAAAATCATAGCAAAAGGAATTGGATAGCCTTGGGGCAAACTTAGTCAGATTATGAAAAGCACAATACAGTAGACTTTTTAATGAATGGAAATATCTCTGTGTGCCAGCTATAATCATTTGCTTAATTCTGGCTGGCAAATTCTTTTTCTTGCAGCTATCCCATTTGTAAATTCTATACATGAATATCTTGATATCCTCAACAAATATTAGTGAACAAGGCAAATATAATACAGTCCCTGTCTAGGATTTTACTATCTAGGAGAAAATATTGATGAATAAATGTTAGTACACTAACACTTCAGAGGAATGAAAATGCAGTTGAGTAGATTCAGCTTTCTTTGGATATACTCTCGTTCTGGAAATGTATACTGATCACTTTGATTGGATTTGGTGTCTTCCAAGTCTCCTGAGCAACACAAGAACACATTACAAATGTTCCCTATAAGTCAGCTAAATTTGTAGTTGGCCAAACGTGTCTATTACGATTATGCGTGGTTTCCGTAGGGAAGGAAAGATTTCTTTTCCTGATCTATAGCTAGGTTCATGACTCAGGCCCCTATAACAAAAGACAGGTTAACAAGAGACAAACATACAAATTTATTTTATATAAGTTTTATGTGAGATAGCAGCATTTGGGAATGACCCCAAGAAACAGAAAAACTTGTATTTTTTATGTGTAGGTTTGATAAAGAGTAGACAGTCATGGGAAAGTGCAACTGGACAAAGGGGGAATTATCTAATGGTAATACATGGGAGGGGGAACTTAGCAAGGCATTTGTTCAGATTCTTCTGGGCATCTCTGTGTCTTGGGATCCTTCCTTGCAGGTATAGGGAGATGTGAGTTAGGTTGATGTAAATGCTAAAAACCAATTTGTTCATTTATGCCTTTCCAATGATCTGAATATTCACATTCCACTATCCTTCTGGGTAGTATAGAATTGAGAATTGAATATTCTCTAAGGAGAATATTATGATCTGATTCAGGGGAAGGTTAGAAAATTCTTGCTCAGTTGTTTGGTTTGCATCAGGAGAAAAAGGCAGGGTAAAGATGAGAGTTACCTTCCTGCTTTTGCTGTTTTCTCAAATGCCAATGTGCCGTATTTTGGAGTCACATGTCCTGAGTCTCATCAATTCTTATTACTTTAATCTCAGCATTGTTTTGCAGAATGAGCAATTAGAAACTTAAAAACCAGAGTGAAAAAAATATTATTTTATTCTTGCGCATTTCATTCTGAATGTGAAGTGAAGCCATTAGAATAAGGCTAATAAAGGCATTTTGTGAAAATATTATTTAAAAGGAAAAGGAGAATTTCAACATTGAACAGAGATTAGGAAGATAAACTTTTAATTTGCATTTTATTTTATAAAATAATGAATCTTTTTGTATAAGAAACTGTTCAGGTTTATTTTTCTAAGGTTTTGGGGAAAAATTGCTTTGGGAGGTATATATAGGTGTGTTTATATACATATACATATATATCTGTATATATAAATATATATCAATATATATCTGTATATATAAATATATATCAATATATATCTATATATGACCTATACTCTAAGTGAATGCAATAGGTAGAGAAATCAAAATATCCTTTACCATCAAAAGCTGAAGATCATTTCTGAGCTGAGCAATGTTAGGATTGTTTTTGATTGCAATCTATGCTATCCTTTTAATGGGGCCTTTGGGATAATTAGTCTTTTGGTATTTAAACCTATGAAACACATGGTCATTCAAACATGAATCTCTGGTGGAAAATTAATAGCAGTTTATTCAGTGGTTGATTTCCTGGGTTATAATTGACTGACTATGAATAAATGTTTCAGCTATTGAGTAAACATCTTATAAGACCAAATACAAACAGAATATTGGTGAATCAGAAATGCTCTGCTAATACATTGCACTACCTCTCTTCCTCTTAATGTAGATCATTATTCCATGAAATTCCAGAGTGAATAATCCTTTAAACTTTAGTCTATTTGCATTTTAAAGACTTGTTTTATGTGTCCTATTTCTATTTTCAGAGTACATTCAGAGCTACCTACGAAATAGGTGTGAAATATGCTTGAAGTGCTTTAGGCATTAAATTTGAAATAAGATGATTTCTAAGTCATCATAATTGTTTTTTTTTTAATATAGCCTTTTCATAAGCGCAAGCAATGAATCTTTTAGGGTTGATTTTGGCTGTCTAAATCCATTTAGATGTCAATTACTTAGAAGTTCAGTGTCTATTTTATGAATTATCCAGAGTTATCTTTTGTATGTTCTGACTTTTAACCTTTTGTTTATCTCACACACAAATGAAAGCACAGTGAAATTTTAACTATCAGTTGTCAACTATGATAACTGACCTGTAGTTGTACAATTAAAAGTGGCTGGTGTGATATTTTAAATAATATGTGAATCTCCTAAAAGCCATTATGTTTGCATCCCAAGAGTTTTAACAACAAAAAAAATTAAGTTTAATATACATATTTTAATTTTAATTGTAATTTTAGATTTGTGTTGAGAATCACAAGATATAAATTGATATGTGTCATAGTAAAACATATTACTTCCATATCTTAGACACAATGACATGGGCCTACATAGCCCCAGCTACTTGAGAAGCCAAGGTAGAAGGATTTTTTGAGCCCAGGAGTTCGAATATAGCCTGGGGAGCATAGTGAAAACCATGTCTCTTAAAAAAAAAATAGAGAGTTTTAAGTTTTATACTAGAGAAAACAAGTAAGGCTTGTGTTACACATGCATATCCTTATAGATGAAGATGAGATAGTGTACTGGCCCAAGGCCACACAAGTAGCACTGATGGTACCATTGCTTCTCTCCTGACATGTGTCCTATGCTGCTTCAACACCATGACTAAGAATAACAGTGATTTGTTATTAAGAATAAATTAATTTCCTGTAAACCCAGCACTTTGGAAGGCCAAGGTGGGCAGATCACTTGAGACCAGGAGTTTGAGACCAGCCTGGCCAACATGGTGAAACCTTGTCTTCACTAAAAATACAAAAATTAGCTGGGCATGGTGGTACATGCCTGTAATCCCAGCTACTCAGAAGGCTGAGGCAGGAGAATTGCTTAAACCCGGGAGGTGGAGGTTGCAGTGAGCTGAGATCGCACCACTGCACTCCAGCCTGGGCGACAGAGTGAGACTCCATCTCCAAAAAAAAATAAAAATAAAAATAAATTTATTTATTAGGCATTAATTATGTGCCATTATTGTGCAGAGCAATTAGAATACATTCTTATTTAATATTCACAAACACCGTATGATATAATTATTGCGATTTTTAACTTAACAGATGAAAAAATGGAGACCCAGGGAAGGTTAAATGACTTTCACAAGATCACACAATAATAATTGAAGGTGCTTTAAATTCAAAGCTAAGTCTTTCTAATTCAGAGGCGTGTCCTCCTAATCTCTGAGATACTGTTACTTGCAGGACTGACCTCATCTTTTGGTGATAGGAGGCAAGACATATCATTAGGTTTATGTTTGTTGATTTTTTGCACTGTATTTCAGGGATGGAATGCAGTACAACAATTTTTTTCAATCTCTTTTTTGAGACAGAGGTAAAATGGTATGTGATAATTATTTTGTGCTGCCATATTAAGGTCATATCCAAATATAATTTGCTTTGAGGTCTTTTTACTTTCAGAGGAGACTCTGATGAAAAAGTTACCATCTTAAGAGAATAAAAAACCAGCAGAAAGATATAGTAACTATGTTAAAGGAGGAACTGTCTGTTTTCCAGAGACAGTACTATTTTCCACCAGCAATATATGAGGATTCCAGTTGCTCCACAACCTCACCAACACATGTGATTTTCTGTCTTTCTTATTATAGCCATGCTAGTATTTGTGAATTGCAGAAGTTCTTGACTCTAGTCATGGGATGGGGGGCAAGAAAGCAGGAAATGAATTACCGAGGTGATATTTGAGCAAAACTCAGAAGGAGATAAAAGGAGTCAACTATGCTGATATGCAGGAGCGAGCATTTTAGCAGAGAGAACAGAAAGTTCCTGAAATGGAAATATTCCTGTTGGTGATGAAGGAGGCTAGTGCAACAGGAACAGAGTGAAAAAGAGGATCACAGGGTGTGAGCCTGTGGTAGTTCAAGGCCCAGATTCTGATAGATCATTGTAAGGACTTCAGCTTTTATTCAGAAAAGCCTAGTAAACAAACCACTGCAGGTTTCTGAGGAGGGCTAACTCTCTGATGCGTGTTACAAGTGGACAGTAGCCAACAGCAAGAAAAGTAAGGGCCGAAGCTGGGTTACCATTTGGGTAATGACAGCCACTTGGATTAGCATATTAGTGCGGGATACTGAGGTAATTATTCGGATTCAGAGGTTTTTAAAAAAATGAAATAAGATTTGCTAAGAGATTGTATAGAGTTTTCAGAGAAAAAGAGGAGTTGAAATGACAGAATGCTTTTTGCCTGAGCAATTGGAAGGATGAAGTCGTGGTTTGTTGAGATGGTCTATTTGCAACCAATTTGGGAGGGGCAGAAAGAGAACTCCACTATGGCTCATGCTAAGTTTGAGATTCTTATTAGACATGCAATATAGAAGTTAAATATGTCATTAAATATACAAGCATGGTGTTCAATTGTGAGATTAGCCTAGAAATAATTATTTGGTAGTGTTTTACTTAGAGTGGCATTTGAAATCAATGTTCTAGATGAATTCATCAAGGGGATGAGTGTAAAGAGAGAAAAGAAAAGAATCTAGAACTGAGCCCCAGGACACTGTAATATGAAGAGGTTGGGGAAATGCAGAGAAGCCAGCAATAGAGACTAAAAAACAGGCTTAAGGAATGAGGAGCACCAGGAGAGCATGGTATCCTGGAAATCAACTGAAGTTATTGCAGAGAGGATGAAATGATGTGAAGCACTGCTGAATCTGCTCAGAAATGCTGATACAGCTTTTCAAAGATAAAAGTAATGTCAACTTTTGATAATTAAAAAGATTCCAAAGCCCACATGTCTACATTATTACATGCAATATCTAAACATTTTTGCCCATTCTTTTCAACTTTTTTGTATTAATGCACACTTTCTGTGAACCAAAATTGCTATTGCACCTTTGACAAAGTGCAAATTGAATTATGCCAGTTTTACTTGCGTGCCTTTGGTGCATAAGACAAGAAGGATTCTAAGCTCCATTTATACTGCTAGGAAGAAATTAATGAGTATTTTCAAGTTCCTTGTTTGGTCACTTAATTGGCTATGTGACAAAGAGCTCTGTGGTGCATGTCAAACAACTTTCAGAGTCCTCTAATGATTTGTGCGTTGCTTGACTTGTGATACTATTCTGTGTGGCCTGTCAGGCTGGATGTCCTTGTTAAAGTGGCTAGAATAAATTGGCTAGCAGTGTGCATACAATGTAGTATATTAACTGCAGCAACAGGGAGTACTTTTAGCAGCTCTTTC
Source organism: Homo sapiens (assembly GCF_000001405.40). Taxonomy (NCBI): domain Eukaryota; kingdom Metazoa; phylum Chordata; class Mammalia; order Primates; family Hominidae; genus Homo; species Homo sapiens. Next base: position 61,919,225 of record NC_000004.12, read on the forward strand.
AAGAGATTTCGATGTTTGCCCATAAGCATCAAAGCCAACCCAAACTTTCATTTAATATAATTAAAAGGACATCTGAAAGTAGTTTGAATCACAGCAGGTTCTTGTGGTTTGGTAACCCTTTGTTAAAACCCTGTGAACTTAATATATTTCACAGCTTGATAAATCTGCACTTGATTTATGTCAGTAAGAGAGAAAATATAAATCTGCACCCTGCATGTTTCTGGTGCCCTAAACCTATTGTTAAAAGACATTGAGATCAAAGAAAGTGACTTCTATCTACAAAACCAGAGTACTGTAGTTTTTTTCAGATAAAGAATGGTTATAAGAATTCCTTTCTATAAGTTGTAGACATTAAACGCTACTACATACAAAGCAATCATTGAATCAGAAGAGTAAAATCATATGTAATGTAAGCAGAGTAATTCATACAGGTATTATTGAAGAATGTGAACAGGTCAAGTTGTAAATCTAATGATTTAAAAACTTCCAAAGGACAATGACAGATGTTGATCATGGAGATTCTGCATTGACGTGGAAAGAACATCATTCTGGGAATCTCTCACAATTCCCCTGGCGAATGTGTCAGGTTAGATAGAAATGGCTGCTTTAGAAAGCCATTTCTGCCTCCTCCATTTTGCACATTTCCTGTAAATAAACAAATGTTCCAGCTGCTGTTTGTATATACATGGTTTGTGAATGCCTCAGAAAGTAATTCTAATGAGGGTATGGGAAAAGTGTCTTTCTGTTTTTAAATAAAATGTTTTCATCTAAAACAAAAATATTTTCTCTCTTCTTTGCACCAACTTGTATTCTCTTCTCTTATTTAATTTTCTGATCAAAGCCTGGGCCATTATGTAATTGTAAAACTGTTTACTTAAAGCCCATTCTATGCATCAGTGCTTTCTGAACATAAGTTTACCTTCAGAAAAGTTTTAAATACATAGAATATAAATAGATATTATTTCTATGCAAATGCAAGAGAATACACATCAATTTACTTTTCTATTTCTTTAATAGCTTGATGATTACATAGCTATTAAGGTAATTATATTAAGGTAATTAATTAAGGTAAAGGATATTAAAAACAGCATTACAGATTTAAGATCCTGCTTTCTGAAACTATCATTAACTTTTTTGGTACAGGTCAGAAAAGCAATGGAAATTTTAAAGTGCAATTTACAGTAAAGTAGTTGTCTGAGAGCGTGGATCCAAACAAATGATTTTTCAGGACTGCTCCCAGAGTTACAATTTTTATGTTTTCCTTTATCTAATATACGAATCTTGTATAGCTGGTAGTAACAGAAAGTTAGCTATGGTAGCTTAAACAAACCAGGGCTTTATTCTTGCACATGAAAAATGCAGATGAGGCAGTCCAAGATTAGCTTGGAAACTGCATGAAATCATCAGAGACCAAGGCTGCATCTGGTTTTTTGCTCCATTATCTTTAGCACATGGGTTTCCATCCCCAAGATGACAAGATGGCTACTTAGGTTCCAATCATCATGTCATGCTAATCTTCTAAAAGGAAGAAGGAAAAGGATAAGTATCAGAAGGATTTGTCCCTTTTAGTACTTTCCAGGAGTCTCTCCAAACTATTCCTTATTATATCTTAAGGGCTACCCTATTTGCATGGTTAAATACTTCATTAGTAGGTGCAGCTTTGCAGCTGGGCATAGTGTCCAACGATTCTGTGTCTAACACAAGAGGGATATTGGGCAACTAGCAGCCTCAGATGCAACGAAAATGCTTTTTCTTTTTCTTATTTAATAACACAGTGAAATCTTATTCAGTTTTACTGTAATAAACTACCATAGATTTATGACAATACAAGGGTAACTTTTGAACCCTAGATATAGATAAAAATGTTCTTCTGCTTGTTCTGTTAGTCATAGTTTGAGATTAATCATTTTGTCTAAAAAAAACTTTTAAAAGCTATTTGAAACTTCTCAGATTGCATTTTTCTACCTTTTAAGTAATTTTTTGAATAGCTAATATAGACACATGGTATAAAATTCAAAAGATAGAATAATAGCTATTTCTCCCTCCCACTAGAACCTCTGCATTGCTAACTCCAGGGCACGCCACTGACATTTTTGTCTATTTCAGTGGTGCTCCCTTGCGGTTGCGTAGTTCAACCCTGCCTCTCATTTCTCTCCACAGACTTTCAGCAGTCCTTTTCCAAAGCGTGATCACTGTTAGCTTTTTTGTTGTTGTTGAGTTGGAGTCTTGCTGCCAACAGGCTGGAGTACAGTGGCGTGATCTCGGCTCACTGCAACCTCTGCCTCCCGGGTTCAAGCGCTTCTCTCCCAAGTAGCTGGGATTACAGGCATGCGCCACCATGCCCAGCTAATTTTTGTATTTTTAGTACAGACAGGGTTTCACTATGTTGGCCAGGATGGCCTCCATCTCCTGACCTCGTGATTCATCTGCCTCGGCCTCCCAAAGTGCTGGGATTACAGGTGTGAGCCACCATGCCCGGCCTGTTAGCTTTTTAAATATCTTACCAGAGAAGACTATTTTTACTCATATCTATATTTTTATACTGTTTCTTTATAAATCTTGTCATACAATCACAAAACAGTGTTGTTCTCCTTGCTTAGAGAAAAGACTTTGGGGATAACTTGTGGCCGACCCACACAATAGGGTAGCATTCTGCCATGGAAAAGAGTAAATGTGTAGACAGGATCACAAGCTAGATTTGGGTAGTGTTTGTATCAGCAGAACAACTTACCTCTTCATCAGTAGGAAATCGGTTGAATAAACTACTAAACTAAATAATGGAATACTTCCTAGCCACAGAAACAGTGAGGTAGAACTTGTATTGACTTAGAAAGATAGATGTGATATATTTTCAAGTAAAAATAAACAAGCAAGCCAAAAACAACAGATAACAGCCTTATTGTCCGGACTGAGTTTGCTCTTATCAATGTGTAAATATTTACAGGTCTAGAGAGACCCACAATAAACTGTCTAAAGTGATTCTTTTTGTATGGAGTTTTACAGTGTTGTTCTATAAATGGAATTTCAGCTTTTACCATATATACTTCTGTAATTTAAAACTGTTTATAAATATGTCTTTTTAAAACTAATAGATATTATTTTTTGAAACAGTTTTAGATTTGTAGAAAAATTGATCAAGTCTTATAGAAAGTTCCCATATACCTCCCATTGACATGAACAGCTTCCTCTATTGTTAACATCTTACATTAGTATGGTATATTTATAATAATTAATGAACCAATGTTAATATATTATCATTAACTGAAGTCCACAGTTTACTCAGATTTTTAAATTTATTATCTATGTCCTTTTCTGTTTTAGGATCCTATCCAGGATATCATATTACATTTAATTAGCTCTGCTAGGCTGTGGCAGTTTTTCAGACTTTCCAACAAGTATGTCCTTTTCAAAGTCTGAAAAATACATTTTTTATTAAAAAATAGTAAACACATATACTTTAAGAAAAGCGTAGATTTATTCATTCATTCAATCAGGCAGTATTTGTTGAGCTCATTCAGACACTGTTTCAGGTGCAGGGATTCACGGGTGAACACAGAGTTTCTGTCTCGTAGGGCTCAAACCCTAGTTCAGCCTGGAGTTATGGAGGAAAATAGCCAGTAAATCAGTCAATCAATCAAAGTAATAAAATAAGATTGCAGAAATGCTATTCAAAGAATTAAAACACAGTCATATGAGTAAATATGACCCATATGAGTAAATATGACCTTTTGATTACTTCACTTCGTGCGGATCAGGGAAGACTTTCTAAGGAAGTGATAGGCAATTCAGCAATGTGACTACCTGGAGAAGAGCATTCCAAGATCAAAGGTCACCCAAGGCCAAGATGGTCAAGTGACAAGTGGTTGGAGAGTTCAGGGAATAGAAAGAAGACAAATATGCCTGAAGCAGTGGGTTGAGGGAGAAGGCTATGGAAAAAACTCAAGAGTCTGAGTGCTATTAAAATCCTTTGACCAGGGTCATGACATATTTTTTGCAAAACGACTTTGGCTACAAACTTTGTTTTCCTCTGATACTGATTCTTATAACTTCAGCTATTATCCTTGTGTAGATGATTTAAAAAAGAAAATTAACTGCTTTACACATTGCCAAATTCTTCTGTTAATCCATTCCACCTACTGTCTGAGTAATGTTTTAAAAATGCAAATCTGATCCTGACTTAACCCTACTCAGCCTGTCCCTTACTCTCTTTTGCCCTTATAGAAAAAAATCCCTTTTTGAACTACAGTGCTTGAGTATCAGACTCCTGTTGCTAATTTCTCACACCTTTAACTGGCTCCTCCTCGGATCCTACACTGCCAGGAGATGTAAATACTTTCAGTGCGTGTCTCTGTACCTTTATAGTCACAGTTCCTTCTACTTGGATTAATTCTAGATTTGTTCTCCTTTCTCCTTCTCTTCATTCCAGTAACTTTGACATATGAAGTCAACACCCACTTCGTATGTCAATTACTCTAAAGAAGCATTCTTTGTCCCACTTAGTCTGAATAAATGACCTCTTATGTGAACTTATAACACTCTCAGTTTTCCTCTATTACAGCAATTATCAAGCTGTATTTTAATGTCTCTTCACTCCTCTATCACTAAGCTGCTTGCGAAGGAACAGTGCCACTTTTATTTCTACATCTTCAGGACCTTTTAAATTGTGCTTAGCACACATTAAGTGGTCTCCAAATATTTACTGTTTAATTGAAGCTCCAGGCTCCAATTTCCAATTGCCTACTAGTATGTCCACTGCAGCAGAAATTCTGACAACACTTTTCAACATTTGCCGTTGTCAACCCCTCTCCTCTCATTCTCCCTTAAATTCACCTCCTGAGGCTTGTGTCCCCACTACACCACCGAAACTGCCCTTTTTGAGGTCATTAATGACTTCTAAATGCTGCTAAACCAATGGTCGGTAGTCAATGCATACCTTACTTGATCAATTAGAAACATCTAACACAGCTGATCACCCCCTCTTCCTTGATATATTCTCTTCAGGACAACTCACTTGATTTTTCTCCTACCTAATTGACACTTCTTTCCAGTCTCCTTCATTGGTTCCTCCTCTTCTCCTCAAACCCTTAAGCTTGGAGTGCCCCCTAGCACAATAGTTAGTCCTCTTGTCCACACTTTATACATTCACACCCTTGGTGATCTCATTGATTTAAATACCACCTATATGTCTATGACCTACAAATATTATCAATGGCACAAACCATTCTCCTGAACTCCAGAATTAATTTTCCAGCCAATTTCTCAATATCTTCACTTTGTTGTTTAATAAACACCTCAAACTTTCCATATCTGTAACTGAATTCCCAGTCTTCACTTGCAAACCATTCTTCAGCATCTCAGTTAAAGTGGTTGAGCCCCACCTCCCACCTCTACTGTTTCCTTTCACTTTACTCCAAACACATGCCGTTTTAAGGTTTTGGACCATGCAAACCTTCAAAAGTTCCATTTGAAGACTTTTATTCTGGCTGTTCCCTCTGATTGGAATGCTTCTCTTCCAGATGCCTGCATGGCTTACTCAATTCCTTTGTCTTTTTTTGAATTGTTACCTTTTCAGTGATGCCCATCTGTACCATTCTATTTGAAAGCCATCCCTGATTCTAAATCCTCCATCCTGTCTATTTTCTTTCATTTCACACTGTACATTTTACCTTCTAACACTATATGGTTTATTATTTGCTTCCCTTGCCAGAATGTTCAGTTCTAAGATCATTTTTTCTCTGCTTTGTTAAGATATATCTCAAGATTCTAGAACAGTGTTGGCAATATGTTAAGTGCTCAAGAAATATTAATTAAATGAATAAATGTCCCGCTTTGAAGTAATGATATACAATTGTACTGATTGCCCCTCAAAAGCAGTATCTCTGTGGTTTTCTTTTTCGTTTTACAATCACTCTGTTACCCAGAACAAAAATAGAGTTATTATTTCTAGTTCCTGAAGAAGAATTTTTGGATACTTTCACGATTATTTTTGAAACTAAGGAAAACCCTCTTTCCATCTGTGATACTGCACTCTCTGACTGCTTACTCTTTCATCTTCATTGTCAACTATTCTTACTTCATTTGCCCCTCTATTTTGTTAGTGTTTCTGTACCATCAATTCTTCTTCCTCTACTCAGTTTTTCTGGGTAATTTCAGACATACCAATGGCTTTAATAAGCCTACTTAAATTTATGATGCGTGCATTGTATTAGGCTGTTTTTGTGCTGCTGTAAAGGAATACCTGAGCCTGGGTAATTTATAAAGAAAAGAGGTTTAATTTGCTCATGATTCTGCAGGCTCTACAAGCATGGCACTGGCATCTGCTTAGCTTCTGGGGTGGGCTCTGAGAGATTCTACTCATGGAAGAAGGCAAAGCAGGAGCCGCCATATCACATTGCAAAAGCAGGAGCAAGAGAGAGAGAGTGGGGTAGGTGTCACACACTTTTAAACAACCAGATCTCGCAAGAACTCACTCACTATAGTGAGGACAATACCAAACCATGACGGCTCTGCCCCCATGACCCAAACACCTCCCACCAGGCCCCACCTCCAACACTGAGGATTACAATTCAACATGAGATTCAGAAGGAAAAATATCCAAACTATCTCATGAACTATATGTGAATATCAGATATCTTATATAAGCTTCAGGCCATCTGAATTGATGCCATACAATTATAGTCATGCATTACCAGTGAGGATACATTCCGAGAAATGCTTCATTTTGTTGTCATGCAAACATCATAGGGTATACTTACGAAAACCTAAATGGGACAGCATGTTACACACCTAGGCTACATGGTATAGCCTACTGCCCCTTAGGCAACAGACCTGTACAGCATGTTACTGTACTGAGTACTGTAGACAATTATAACACAATGGTATTTGTGTATCTAAACATAGAAAAGATACAGTAAAAATATGATATAAAAGATCAAAGCTAGTACACCTGTATAGAGCAGCTCCATTTTAATTTTATGGGACCAGCATGGTATACATGGTCCATTATTGAGCAACCCATCATTATTCAGTGCACGACTGTATATTGCATTCAAAGTAGGCAACCTGAATTTACTATGTTACTCATACTGTCCACCCACACATATACTTTTATACCCACTACCTTTACCTTTTGAAAAACAAAGTTCCCATTTGAAGTGAGTGCTATCTCCTTGACTATCCCAAATTCTATGCGTTGCACCTCTTTCTTTTCCTCATCAACTGGCGTTAACTAATCAGCAAATCATTTTAAATATCTTTGGAATAATCTCTGCTTTTCTTTTTCTCCAGAACCAGAATTCATGGATTTGAGTCCTGGTTCTACTCTATGTTAGCTAATTAGCCTTTAGCAAGTTACTTAACTTCCCTGAGTCTCAATATTCTCACTGTAAGATGAAGATAATAATAAATTCTACCTCACTGGGTTATTGTGAAAATTAAAGGAGTTAATGCATGTAAAGCATTCATATCAAGGTCTGGAATACACTCCACAAATATTAACCGTTACTGTATATTGCTCTATTACCTTACATGTTTTTTCAGTGACTATTTGTCGTCTTTAGGAAGAATTGTAAATACCTTAACATAGTTTGCAACCTCTTTGAAATCTATCCTTCACTTACCAATCTTGCCACTGAACCCCTTATACTCTCTGCTCTACCATAAGGAATTTGTTTTCAGTTTCTTTGCAGTGCCTATTCTCTTTCACCTCTGTGCCTGTAAGTACACTCTGTGCCCTTTGCCTCTTTGTTCAGCGTTGAGTTTCATCTTGGAATTCTCCTACTTCATGGAGCTTTTCCAATACAGAGCTTGAACCCTATGTTTCCATCATTATAATGCTTGCCATGTTGGATTTTAATTACTTGTTTAATTGCCTGGCCTCACTATATTGCCATTACCTTGAGGGAAGGGAGAACATCTGTCTTTCTTGCTGCATCCCAGTTGACTGCCACATTGAAGATGCTCAGTTAATATTTGTTGAATGAATATTAGGTTAGCAAGGAGTTTAAGTCAGGTCTGTAGATCCATTTAATTCCTGTAACATGATAGAGATTTATTTGACAGCATTTGGTCATTTCATTCTAAAGTAGAATTAAAAAGTGATACGATCAAATACAGTTTGCAAAAAGACAATGCTTTTTTTTAAAAAAAAAAATAAGAGGTCTCTTAAAGACACAGTCTGTTCTATGAAATTTTAGTTTCACCTTGTTTTACTCTTAAAGGTCCCTATTACTATATTAAGGTCACTTGTGTTATATGATTTAATTTTAATTAAGACTTGAAAATGCCAGCACTTCACTGTAATATAAAAGGTAGTTCAGAGATTAGTAGTTTTATATACTTAATAATATTAAATGACAGTGGTTATAAAAAGTACCTTAGGTTTATTGATCAGATGTATAAATATCAGTCACTCAACTTGACTTGTAATAAAAAACCTGCAAGTTATAAACTGTTTTGAAGACACTTCTAACACTTGACCTTTACATTTTGATTTGAATCAATATCTAAACGCATATTGCAGTACAATGTGTCCTATTCAGTAATGATTTTAAACTTTTGCTTCATTTTACTTTATTTTCAACTGATAAACCTTATATCAAGAAATCAAAGAATTAAAGAAAATTTTGTTTTTATTATTTCAAATTATAAATCAATGGATACTATTTTCATCTGTCTATCTATCTATCTATCTACAGTGTATACATTCAGAAAGCAATAAATGGGAGCAGAGACCTGAAAACTTATTTTTCTTCCTTAATATATCCTGATATTTAGATGTGAAGAAAAATGTTTAAATGTAACTGTATATATAATATAATAAAAATAATAATATAAAATAGCATTATTCAGCGTGATTATGGCATATATTGCTAAGGAAATAATGCATTCAGGAAAACATATTTAAAAAGTGGAAGTAGAGTAAAATATAATTTATATTACTAGGCCGTTTTTCAAAAGAGTTTAAGCAATTCATTAGTATAAATGTATCTATTACTATGAAATAATTGTTCCCAGCTTTCAAATGGGCTGCCTAATACCAATTTGCTTTTTTTATTTTACCATCATCAACTTGCTCATTATGTACTTTAGCTTTGGATTTCCTCTTCGGAGTCAAAGAAAATGTATTCATCCTTTAGCGTCTAACTCAAAAATAAACATTTTCTGGGATGTTTTTATGGTCCTCCTCAGCAAGAGTCTATTACTTTTGTACTGTATGCTGTGGGTTTCTAGATCTGTTTTGTGCTGGAGCATAGGTAAATTGAAGAAAAACTCTTATGTTTTTCTTCTCTAACCTCATTCAACAGTGCCTTACCTAGGTCTTTACACATAATACGTATCTAATGAAATCTTGTTAAATTACATTGGAAATTACCTTTGGAAACATTATGGAAAACTTTTTATAAGATAAATATGCATTTCTTATTCATAGTGTCCTGTATGCACTACAATAACCTGTGGTTCAGATTTTCTTCTTCTGAACTCTGTCATCTTAACTTCGTCTCATTCACCCTGCCTCCCTCCCAAATCATGGTGATATCTGAACACGTTATTCTCTCAGAAGTCTTTGGGGAGACAGGGCAAAAATTAAAGAAATAAAAAAGGATGCTTTCAGTTTTCCTATTGTATATAATGGCATTAATAATTTGATAATAAAAGTAACTTACCTTTGTGTGATAAATATTAATGAATACCCAAATGGTATCACGGCACTAAAATTTACTCCGAGAAAACACAAATGAATATGATGTCTTCTCTAAGGACATGATAGTCTGGTGAGAAAATCAGAACAAATATAGATAATTCTGTTAAAGATAAATAAATACTGAAATGGGAGCTTTCTGTGGTCTGACTGCTTGTGTCTCCCCATAATTCATGTGTTGAAACTTACTCCCCGGTATAGTGGTGTTGGGAGGTGGGGCTTCTGGTGGGGTGATTAGGCCAAGAGAACAAAGCCTTCATGAATGAATGGTACTAGTGCCCTTACAAAGGAGGCCCGAGATAATTTGTTTCTCCCTTGTACCATGTGAGGATGCAGAGTGAAACCTCACCAGACAATGAATCTGCAGGTACCTTGATCTTGAGCTTCTCAGCTTCCAGAACTGTGAGCAATAAATTTCTGTGGTTTATAAAATTGTCCAGTCTAAGGTATTTTGTTCTAGCAGCCCAAATGGACTAAGAGCCCACTGGGGTATTGATTCTCTGAAGTGAGACTAATTCAAGAAAGTATTGGCTAGTTAATAAGTTTTATCATTTCTAGTTATTCTTTGCTCTTATACTCATCAAACTAATAACTTCAGAGATTTTTATTTTAGCTGATATGAAAATGGAGAAAACTGACTTACATATGAGTTATCCTGCATGGCAAATCCCTCAGCCAAGAGTTAGGGAACACTGCTTTTGGCTCTTGTAAATGAGACAGCATCTCCTCCTTCATAAAGCTTGCCGTCTGTCCAATGGGAGGTTTAAGATAGTTGTGCAGGGAAACAAATATGAGACATCTTTAGATAATGACGTATGACACAAAGAAAACAAAACAGGTAATAGGTTTAAGGATGGGGGGATTCCCCTCCCCGCCCCCCAGTTGTGCTAATAATGGAAGACCTCTTGGAGCAGATGATATTTGAGATAAAACCTGAATGAGCTAGTGACTTAAAAACTTGTCTGCAAGGTCAGACACAGTGGCTCACGCCTGTAATCTCAGCATTTTGGGAGGTCCGAGGCAGGCGGATCATGAGGTCAGGAGATTGAGACCATCCTGGCTAACACGGTGAAACCCTGTCTGTACTAAAAAATACAAAAAATTAGCCGGGTGTGGTGACGGGCGCCTGTAGTCCCAGCTACTCGGGAGGTTGAGGCAGGAGAATGGCATGAACCTGGGAGGTGGAGCTTGCAGTGAGCAGAGATCGTGCCACTGCACTCCAGGCTGGGCGACAGAGCAAGACTCTGTCTCAAAAAAAAAAAAAAAAAATGCCATGGTGGTAAAGTTATACATCTTTCCATAAGGCATTCCTTCTATTGGGGTATTTATTTTTACGTTTTTCAAATGGAGGAAGGGGGGTAACTAGGTTCCCCCAGATGATTCTGCTTACTTTCGTAGTTTGATATTTACTGCTTACCTGGATAAGAAGTGCCACTCATGTGTTTCTCATCATTCATTATTTTGTGTATTCTTCCTGAGAAATCTTAAGCTATTTCACAAATACATCCTCTTGGAATAATGACAAAAGTTGTCATTGCAAAAATATGTAGCAGTTTTTCCCAAAGGTTTTTGCAGTAGTTATAACAAATAAACTCTGTATTTTGAAATATAGAAAGTGTAATTATAAAGTATATAACATCTTAACGAACATATCAGAGTTATATGCTATGAGTAATATTCGTCAACTGAATTTGCCTAAGGTCTGAATTTAATGATAAGAGTCCTAATAATGTCGCATTAAAAAATAATGCAAATGTGTATCTAGTAGGATATGGTATGTCCATAATCTTGGTGTGAATCAAAATGACTTTTGGCTCTTTCCCATTTATATTCGATTTTTAGAAACAGTCAAAAGTCACTGAGAGTTTAGTGAGTATACTGTACAATGAAAAGGATAATACTCACCCGTACCTACCCTCAAATTGAAATATAATGAGTCTTATGTTGAGCTTATGAAAATAATGCAAATAACTAGTTGGAGAAAAAAAATTATTTTGTGACCAGATGTCATAGTGTGTGAATAAAATATACAATACATAAATGTATAAGGAAATCCAAATATAGGTATTCATTGAGGAGTTGTAGCTATTTAATTAACCTTCATTTAGCTAGTAAAGGGACATGTCAGCAAGCTTCAGAAAGTTTAAATCATTTATGATTATAAAGCTTCTAAGATGGACTTAATTGTGCTGTCTCACTAGCAGAAAAGGGGTCACATTATTTAAGTCTCTAAAAAACTCATTATGAACTATTTAATACACATGTTGCCTTTACTCTCCAATTCCTCAAAGCTCCAGGTAGTATAGGCTTCTGTAGTTGTGTAAGAGACCAAATTATGAAGATTGCATTACCGAAGATTTATTCCTTCCAGATTTCAATTCAGTGTGGCTATTTAGCAATTATCAGACATGAAATGTGCTTTCTAAGTGAAGACGTCCCTTCTTCCTACACTGTACTGTGATATCAAGCAAAAGTAAAAACAAGGTTGCAACTTGAGCACTTGTTATGAGCCAGAAAACTTTCTGAGATGATTATATTATCATACCACATTTGTAGATGAAGTATAGAGAAGTTAAGTAACTTGCCCAATGTCACACAGTAAGAGGCACTGTGCAGGTACAATTCGGGGATGTGGTTCCAAATCCCACACTCTGATTTTACAGAATACTGTCTCTCTATCCTTGTGTAAACATTTCCTTGCAGTTATACTTAAGCAACTGTGAACAGGTGCGTTTTTGAGCAGATTAAATAAATGTTAAATTGGTGTCATAACTCACCAAATTCTAGGTTTGGGGGCCACATTTTGAGTGTGTTGCTTTTTAGTAAATTTGGCAATTGTTTGGGCTTTAGTAGAAAGCTTCCCTAAAGACTGCCTTATCTTGAAGAATACACTTGTTGAAAACTTATAACTATGAAAAAATATTGCACCTTGTAGTTTTTTAGTTGCAAAACTAAGATAAATTAATAAATGGTGCCTTTGATTTATTTGCCATCAGTTCAAAGACATACAAAGTTTTTTAGATAAAGCAGTCTGTTGTAAACAGGTTCCTGAATCTGTTCATTAGTTTATATATATATATATTTACACACGTACACACACATATACATTCATATATATATACACATACACATACATACAGTCTTTTATGTATATATATATTTAATGGAGTCTTTCAGGTTTTCTGTATATAAGATCATGTCATCTGCAGACAGGGACAATTTTACTTTTTCATTTCAGTTTGGATGCCTATTATTATTATTACCTAATTGCTCTGGCTAAGGACTTCAAATACTATGTTGAATAGTGGCAAGAGTGGGCACCTTTGCCTTGTTTTTGATCTTAGAGGGAAAGCTTTCAGGTTTTCGTTGTGGAGTATGATGTTATCTAAGAGCTTTTATACATGGCCTTTATCATGTTGAAGTAACTTCCTTCTGTTCCTAGTTTGTTGAGCTTTTATCATGAAAGGTGCTGACTTTTGTCAAACACTTTTTATGCATCTATTAAGACAATCATGTGATATCCTTTATTCTGTTAATGTGGTGTATCACATTTGTTGATTTTTGTATGTTGAACTCTCCCTGTATCCAGGGATAAATTGCACTTGATCATGGTTTATAATTTTTTTCTTAAATGCTGTTGGATTTAGTTTGCTAGCATTTTGTTGAGAATTTTTGCATCTGTATTCATCAGGATATGGCCTGCAGTTTTCTCGTGGTGTCTAAGTCTGGCTTTGGTGTCAAAGTAATGCTAGCCTCATAAAAAGGTGTTTGGAAGTGTCCCCTCCTCTTATATTCTTTTGGAGTTTGAGAAGGACTGGTGTTAATTCTTCTTTAAGTGTAGAAAAATTGAGTAGAATTCACCAGTGAAGCTATCTGATCCTGAGCTTTTCTTTGTTGGGAGGCTCTGATTACTGACTCAATCTCCGTATTAGTTGTAGGTCTATTCAGAATTTCTATTTTTTCCTGATTTAGTCTTGGAACATGTTCTTTCTTAGAACATTCTCGGAGTTGACCATAGTTGTTTCTTTTTCCTTTTTTCTCATCTTGTATTTTTTTTAAATTATGAAAATAAAAACAACGAAGGACAGAACAGAAATATATTATCCCCAATAAAATTTCCCCTTAGGTAAGATTTTAATTAATTATTATAAGATTATTAACTAACTATTAAGATTATCAGCAGCTAAAATGGCTGCTCCATAAGGAACAGACATAATTTCTGTTGCATGTGGGATTTTCAGAGCATTTTTAATGAATTCACAGTATCATCTAATCCCTGAAGGAATACTTCTTTACACTGAAGAGGTCCAAGTTCTCTGTTTGGCTTCAGAAAATATCTAAAGTTTTTTTATTTTTATTTTTATTTTTTTGGTTTCCTATCTGGCACCTCTTTTTTTGGCATATCCTGTTGGCATTGCCCTTATAGAGAACTTCCAGGAAAGCGGATCATTTTGTTGTGATCCAGAAGTACTTTTGTCTGGCTACTAGGTCACGCTTTACACCAAGAACAAATGACGGAGCTAAGCACACTATATGAAAACGTCCAGTGTTTAAACTCGTGAGAGACTTTTTCGATTTGTTTGTGTTGTTTCTCTTTTAAAAAATAATCCAAAGCATGCAAGTTGTGAGTAGGATTATTTTACTTAAAAGTACAGTGATGTTGATTTTTGGCCAAAACTTGGAATAGCTGGGAAAATATCAAGAAAAAAACAACTTGTATCAAAAGGCAAATTAGTTTTTGAAGCTGGTGTTAATTGGCAGCCAAGGTGTTTCATTATGAAGCTGCATTTTTAACAGTTGTTACTTGGTTACTATGAAAACACCAGCCAGGAGAAAACACTGCATTGTGGAGGGTATTTCTCTAGTCTCTCCCAGCCCCTCGGCCAATGTGTCAATAATGTGAGTCCTGTTTTAAAACACTTATGTGCTGCCTGTTAACTGTGCCTGTGTTGGCTGTTTATTCAACTTTATTTCTGGATTAGATGCATATTTCATAATGAATTGGGTTCAGGGATGATCACTTTCAAGCTGCAGGTATTGTATTTTTCTGTTTTGCAATTCTCTATGTTTGAATGAAACCCAAGACCTTACTGGAAGAACTGTTTTTCTTTTTAACCTACAGCATAAAGCAAACCACAGGAAATATATAAATTGTAACTACAGAGATGATTCTTTTGGATGAAGCAATGAGAATTGTAGTGCTTTGTATCTATGTGTGGGTGTACCTACTGCTGATTTTTTAAAAGATAAAACACCTGAGGACCATAGGTAGTAAGGTTCAACTGTTTATTCCCCTCCCTAGTAGTAAACAGCATGAAGGAGGTTTCTCTTTATACATAACATATCCAAAGCCCCTGGGAGTATGTATGCTTTGATATTTTCCCCATTCTGACATTTTACTAGCTGGCTAAAAACAAATAGGTTTGCTATGTGAGTCATCAACCTATAAGCAACAAATTCTTGGATTGTCACATTTATGGTCATCCTTTTAATCTCTGTTGTGTTCAGCATCCAGTTTTATGGTAACCTACAGAAAAAAATTATTTTCTCTGAGTCATGTGGTAAAACTCTTGGTTGAATTTTTTTTTCAACAGTTCCCCAGCCAAATAATTTAATTATGTGATCATAGTCTTGTTGAAGCTTGTGCTATTGATTCTAAGAAGCAAGCATGCCTTTATTTGTTGTCCTTCAAAACAAAAACAGGTTTTCCTCTTGCGTTGCAAAGTCTCAGCTAGGGTTTTACAGAACAAAATAATGAATGCTTCTGCTGCAGCATGTCACAGGGGAGGCTGGGACAATACTGAACTCATGCACACACTGCTGATCCTTGCTTGCTGGGCAACATGTACACCTGGATTTCTGACAGCTATGTGGGTTCACTAGAGACCTCTGTCATTCTTTTCATCCTCTTGTAGGCAATGGTCGAGACAGTTAACAACCTCCTTCAGCCACAAGCTTTGAATGCATGGAGAGACCTGACTACGAGTGATCAGCTGCGTGCGGCCACCATGTTGCTTCATACTGTGGAGGAAAGTGCTTTTGTGCTGGCTGATAACCTTTTGAAGACTGACATTGTCAGGGAGAATACAGACAATATTAGTAAGTGGCCTTTGTTATTCAGAAGGTCCAGACACTCTTGTATATCAGAAGAGGGAAAAGAAAAAAGTATCTCTGGTGTCCTAGATATGAGTGATGCTTTATTTCAATGGAGAAAAGTCATTCTTTTTCTAAAATAAAGAGGGCATCACTTGTCATTGGCTTAAAAGGATACAAGATCATGTGTGCTATCTTTCTTAGGACATTTCAATATTAGGTTCAAAATTGAAAACATAGTAGCCTGAGATCACTTACAGTGAGGTTCGTTTTTTTAAAGGACTTTTATGTATGTATTACACTATTTAAAATTTCATCCTCTTAATACAGGACTGTTAGGAGTTATTTCAGTTATAATGAGAGTATCTTTGAATTCACATTATAAAGAAATAAGTCATTTGAGTGAAAATGATAAAACAGTGTTTGATAATCTTGTTATTTGGCTTATAAAGGATATCAGTCTATTTTTATTGTGGATTAGGAGTAGCTGACAGTTTTATTTCAGAAGTTAGGAAAAAGCTGTTTGAAATTTACTGGGCTTAAAGATAGTTTAATATTGATATGATAGTACAGCTCTAGATTATCAAAGGATTTTTATTTAATTTATAAAATAAAGATTATATTTTGAAACTTAAGACCAATGACAATGTATTAGAATTTGGGATTGAATTTAAATTTTAGGCTTTATTATTGACATGTTTGTATTATTTACATAATTTTAGTAACTTTTTTGCATTATTTTGATAAAATACTAACAATATATTTTCTTAAAGATTTTCATAAAGCATGACAAATAGAATAAGAATTCCAGTATTTTGATTTCAGAAATACTGCAATGGTTTAGGAAATTATTGTAGCTTAGGTATGTTTCTCAATGAGCACTGATATCTCTTTGATATTAACAGAATTGGAAGTTGCAAGACTGAGCACAGAAGGAAACTTAGAAGACCTAAAATTTCCAGAAAACATGGGCCATGGAAGCACTATCCAGCTGTCTGCAAATACCTTAAAGCAAAATGGCCGAAATGGTAGGTTAGAGTTTATTTTTTAAGCTTGAGGGAATTGAACTTGCATCAGTTCATTTCTTTTTGGCCGGGAATATTAGGTCCACTATTTAGGAGCTTTTCCCCTCTTCCTCTTCCTACACTATTCTCTTTCTCCTCCTCTTCCTCCTCTTTCTACTGTACAGCACCATCAATATTACAGTGATATTTGTTGTACAAAATTCTCAGATTTGGAAATTGTTCCATTACTTTTCAGTTGTAAGAAACTTAAATATGAAGGAAATTATGGACAAGAAAATACAGAGGATCTGACATCTTTCCTCAAAAAGAGGAACTCTCACTGAGTTTGCAGATTTCACTTGTAAAATTTTTAATGTAAATTTTACTTGTAATTAAAAAAATATTTTTTGGTTATTCAGCTTCTTTTTGAGAGTGTTTTTGTGCTTTTCTTTGCAAAGCATACAAACATTTAAATGTAAGGAGATGATTTTGGGAAATTGAACTGTAAATCAGCTTAGCTTCTTACTAAATTGAATACACTGAAAATAATTAAAATTCAATAAATAATCTTATAAAGTATGTCCACATTTCACTAATATTAAAAAATGTTTAAACGTACACACATATATGTGCATGTATCTGTATGTGTGTATATATGTATGTATAGATGTGTGTGTATATATATATAAATATGTATATATTTACATCTCCTCTAAAGTAGACCCCTCTTTCCCATATTTGTACATATGTACATATGCATACACACACACACACACACACACACACACACACAGAGATATATTTCTCTTTTGCCAAGAAAGGGAGATCATTTAATCTGCCAAGTGATAGGAAGATGACCTCAGTTCCTAGCAACCAACTTAATACTAATATTTCATATTGCAGGGTGAATAGTTTTGATAAATGATATCAAGAAAAACAACTTACATTTGTTGTCATCTGAATAAAATGGTCTGTAAATGTTAGAAATATTGTAAGACTAAACTTAGAAATCATTTTTGTGTTACTCATTTGACTAAGAAAATTTTGAGACAGCAATAAGATTCAGTAGAGCAAAATTAGATTCCTGCATTAGCTTCCTAAATCGTTTCCCTGCCTCCACTCTTTTGCCCTCCAACAGTATAGCCTGTTGACAAAGGGTTCTTCTGAAGCATACATCTGACCAGTTGACCTCCAATTACACTTAGAATGAAATCTCATGACTTAACTAGGCCCGCCACATGCTACCTGGTCCACTTCCTTCCTGCCTCATTTGCCACACCTCACATTTGTCTTCAGCATGTTCTGTGTGATCCAGACAGAGTAATCTTGATTCTGGTTCTTGAACACACCAAGCATGTTCCTGCATCAGGTTTGGGGCATTTTTTTTTTTTTTGCATTTTTTTAAACCTTTCTTCTTAGAATACAATTTTTACATTTTTTTTGAATGGCAGCCTCTCTATCATTCACTTTTTAGAATAAGTCTACCTCTATAGGGAGAGTCTTCCCTATCTCCTCTAACGTAGACTCCTCTTTCCCAATCACTCTTTCCCCATTAGCCATGATTATGCCAATGTTTCTTCATAGCATTTATTCACTTACCATTATAAGAAATAACATTATTATTATTTTTTAATCTTCCTGCTTATTGCCTAGTCTCCCTCCAGGCAGTAAGTTCCATGAAAGCAGAGGCCTTGTCTAATCTTGTTCACTGATGTAACCCTAGTACTTCAGTGCCTGGTCCATCTATACATCTATATACTCACTACTTACGTATACAATAAATGTGTGAACCTTCAGACGAAAAGCTGTGTATCTGAAGACATGTAGAAATATATTAGTCAAATTAAGTTGTGTGTTCATTTGTTTTCTAAATTAACATATAGTTTTTCTGTGTGTTTTGTTTTGTTTTGTTTTAATAGAGAAGAGGGTCTTTCTATGTTTCCCAGGCTGGTCTTGAACTCCTGGCCTCAAGGGATCCTCCCAACTCAGCCTCCCATAGTGCTGGGATTGCAGGCATAAGTCATCACACCCAGCCTGTTTTTGTTTTTGTTTGTGAAAGTCACATTTAAGCATTAATTTTGGAGCAGAGAATATGAAAGAATTGCCAGTGACTAAGTGTGCTGGTAACTCACGGTGGGATGGCAAAATGACACCATCCCAGAAGTGGAAATTGGCATGAATTATCAGCCAATTATAAACCAATTAAAATTAAAGTTTTTAATGTCAACAAGAAAAATGCATGGATGTTCTTAATTTTCACCTTTCAAAAATCAGCATTTTAATATCAAATCTAGAGGGAAAGAACAAAATTAAATTATGTTATAACAGATAAGTCTTTAGTGAATTACTATGATTTGCTCAGTACTGTATTAACACTTGTAGATTAGATAAGAATGCTCTCTTCCATTATGTAGCTCTCATCATAATCTCTTTGCTGGATTACTGAAATGATAATGGATATCTCATAGAATCACTGAAAAGGCTGGAGAATCAGTCCCAGAAGATATACTAGAGCAAGGAGGCTGACAGCAGCCTTTACCACATCACAGAATCACTGCTGTGAAATGTCACTGCTGCCGCAAGTGAACTCTGTTGCAGTAACTGTGCTGCCGCTGCTGCTGCTGCTATTGCTGTACCACTTCCTGCTTCTTTGTGTCACTAGCTCCTCATCTGGTATCTGAGGCTTCTGCATCTGATTGGATGCATCTAGCGGAAGTGCCCAGAGCAACGTCTCCGCAATAAGCTAGGAAAGCAAATATATGTCCATTTTGTGTCTATAAATTCTGAAAAGTAGGGAATTTCCCAAACATGGGAGTTAGATGTTAAATAACCCTCCTCCTCAAAAAAAAAAAAAAAAAAAAAAAAATTTTTTTTTTTCCTATCTCCCCGCCTGACTCAATTTTCTTTTCTTCCACTTGATTCTAAGGTTCAGCGATAGGGACTATGACTCCCTCATCTTAGTAACCATAGTAGTTGGGGCCAGAAATAAGATATAGGGCTTGACTTTTTAAAGTAAAGGAAATAATACAATTTGAAAAAGTGTGTTAAAAGACAATTCACTTCATAGAGGATTAGATTTAAGAGACTGTCATAAAGGAAAAAATAAGGTGGAAAGACTTGGTGACTTTGTGGAAACAGTGACCTTAAAATAACATGACAGTTGAGTTTTAAGACAGGTAAAGATTGTGAATTCTTGTGTGTTTTCCTTAACATTGCAATTGAGAAATAATTTACATACACTAAAATATACATTTAGCTTGAGGAAGCATTTAGCTTGGGAATTTGACAGTTGTACATAATTTTATAATATCACAAAAAGAAGGAAAATAAATCTCTTCTGTATGCAGAAAATATTCCCGTGTCTCTTACCAGTCTTCTTATTCCTCTCCTCACCTAATAAAACTTTCTTCTTATTACTATTTCTGTAGACAAAATTTGCCAGTTTTTTTTTTTCTTTTTTTTTTTTGAGACGGAGTCTCACTCTGTCACCCAGGCTGGGATGCAGTGGCACAATCTCAGCTCACTGCAACCTCCACCTCCCGGATTCAAGTGATTCTCCTGCCTCAGCCTCCTGAGTAGCTGGGATTACAAGCATGTGCCACCACGCCTGGCTAATTTTTGTATTTTTAGTAGAGACAGGGTTTCGCCATATTGGTCAGGCTGGTCTTGAATTCCTGACTTCGTGATCTGCCCGCCTCAGCCTCCCAAAGTGCTGGGATTACAGGCATGAGCCACCACACCCGGCCAAAATTTGCCAGTTTTTAGACCTCATATAACTGGTATCATACAGTGTATACCATTTGCTGTCTCAATTCGTTAACCTGACAAAATATTTTTAAGACTCACTGATGATGTTCCACGTATCAATAGTTTGTTCTTTATTGATGCATAGTATATTCTATTTTTTTTTTTAATTTTTTTATTATACTCTAAGTTTTAGGGTACATGTGCACATTGTGCAGGTTAGTTACATATGTATACATGTGCCATGCTGGTGCGCTGCACCCACTAATGTGTCATCTAGCATTAGGTATATCTCCCAATGCTATCCCTCCCCCCTCCCCCGACCCCACCACAGTCCCCAGAGTGTGATATTCCCCTTCCTGTGTCCATGTGATCTCATTGTTCAATTCCCACCTATGAGTGAGAATATGCGGTGTTTGGTTTTTTGTTCTTGCGATAGTTTACTGAGAATGATGGTTTCCAATTTCATCCATGTCCCTACAAAGGATATGAACTCATCATTTTTTATGGCTGCATAGTATTCCATGGTGTATATGTGCCACATTTTCTTAATCCAGTCTATCATTGTTGGACATTTGGGTTGGTTCCAAGTCTTTGCTATTGTGAATAGTGCCGCAATAAACATACGTGTGCATGTGTCTTTATAGCAGCATGATTTATAGTCCTTTGGGTATATACCCAGTAATGGGATGGCTGGGTCAAATGGTATTTCTAGTTCTAGATCCCTGAGGAATCGCCACAGTGACTTCCACAATGGTTGAACTAGTTTACAGTCCCACCAACAGTGTAAAAGTGTTCCTATTTCTCCACATCCTCTCCAGCACCTGTTGTTTCCTGACTTTTTAATGATTGCCATTCTAACTGGTGTGAGATGATATCTCATAGTGGTTTTGATTTGCATTTCTCTGATGGCCAGTGATGATGAGCATTTCTTCATGTGTTTTTTGGCTGCATAAATGTCTTCTTTTGAGAAGTGTCTGTTCATGTCCTTCGCCCACTTTTTGATGGGGTTGTTTGTTTTTTCCTTGTAAATTTGTTTGAGTTCATTGTAGATTCTGGATATTAGCCCTTTGTCAGATGAGTAGGTTGCGAAAATTTTCTCCCATGTTGTAGGTTGCCTGTTCACTCTGATGGTAGTTTCTTTTGCTGTGCAGAAGCTCTTTAGTTTAATTAGATCCCATTTGTCAATTTTGGCTTTTGTTGCCATTGCTTTTGGTGTTTTGGACATGAAGTCCTTGCCCACGCCTATGTCCTGAATGGTAATGCCTAGGTTTTCTTCTAGGGTTTTTATGGTTTTAGGTCTAACGTTTAAATCTTTAATCCATCTTGAATTGATTTTTGTATAAGGTGTAAGGAAGGGATCCAGTTTCAGCTTTCTACATATGGCTAGCCAGTTTTCCCAGCACCATTTATTAAATAGGGAATCCTTTCCCCATTGCTTGTTTTTCTCAGGTTTGTGAAAGATCAGATAGTTGTAGATATGCGGTGTTATTTCTGAGGGCTGTGTTCTGTTCCATTGATCTATATCTCTGTTTTGGTACCAGTACCATGCTGTTTTGGTTACTGTAGCCTTGTAGTATAGTTTGAAGTCAGGTAGTGTGATGCCTCCAGCTTTGTTCTTTTGGCTTAGGATTGACTTGGCGATGCGGGCTCTTTTTTGGTTCCATATGAACTTTAAAGTAGTTTTTTCCAATTCTGTGAAGAAAGTCATTGGTAGCTTGATGGGGATGGCATTGAATCTGTAAATTACCTTGGGCAGTATGGCCATTTTCACGATATTGATTCTTCCTACCCATGAGCATGGAATGTTCTTCCATTTGTTTGTGTCCTCTTTTATTTCATTGAGCAGTGGTTTGTAGTTCTCCTTGAAGAGGTCCTTCACATCCCTTGTAAGTTGGATTCCTAGGTATTTTATTCTCTTTGAAGCAATTGTGAATGGGAGTTCACCCATGATTTGGCTCTCTGTTTGTCTGTTGTTGGTGTATAAGAATGCTTGTGATTTTTGTACATTGATTTTGTATCCTGAGACTTTGCTGAAGTTGCTTATCAGCTTAAGGAGATTTTGGGCTGAGACGATGGGGTTTTCTAGATAAATAATCATGTCGTCTGCAAACAGGGACAATTTGACTTCCTCTTTTCCTAATTGAATACCCTTTATTTCCTTCTCCTGCCTGATTGCCCTGGCCAGAACTTCCAACACTATGTTGAATAGGAGTGGTGAGAGAGGGCATCCCTGTCTTGTGCCAGTTTTCAAAGGGAATGCTTCCAGTTTTTGCCCATTCAGTATGATATTGGCTGTGGGTTTGTCATAGATAGCTCTTATTATTTTGAAATACGTCCCATCAATACCTAATTTATTGAGGGTTTTTAGCATGAAGGGTTGTTGAATTTTGTCAAAGGCTTTTTCTGCATCTATTGAGATAATCATGTGGTTTTTGTCTTTGGCTCTGTTTATATGCTGGATTACATTTATTGATTTGCGTATATTGAACCAGCCTTGCATCCCAGGGATGAAGCCCACTTGATCATGGTGGATAAGCTTTTTGATGTGCTGCTGGATTCGGTTTGCCAGTATTTTATTGAGGATTTTTGCATCAATGTTCATCAAGGATATTGGTCTAAAATTCTCTTTTTTGGTTGTGTCTCTGCCCGGCTTTGGTATCAGAATGATGCTGGCCTCATAAAATGAGTTAGGGAGGATTCCCTCTTTTTCTATTGATTGGAATAGTTTCAGAAGGAATGGTACCAGTTCCTCCTTGTACCTCTGGTAGAATTCGGCTGTGAATCCATCTGGTCCTGGACTCTTTTTGGTTGGTAAACTATTGATTATTGCCACAATTTCAGAGCCTATTATTGGTCTATTCAGAGATTCAACTTCTTCCTGGTTTAGTCTTGGGAGAGTGTATGTGTCGAGGAATGTATCCATTTCTTCTAGATTTTCTAGTTTATTTGCGTAGAGGTGTTTGTAGTATTCTCTGATGGTAGTTTGTATTTCTGTGGGATCGGTGGTGATATCCCCTTTATCATTTTTTATTGTGTCTATTTGATTCTTCTCTCTTTTTTTCTTTATTAGTCTTGCTAGCGGTCTATCAATTTTGTTGATCCTTTCAAAAAACCAGCTCCTGGATTCATTGATTTTTTGAAGGGTTTTTTGTGTCTCTATTTCCTTCAGTTCTGCTCTGATTTTAGTTATTTCTTGCCTTCTGCCAGCTTTTGAATGTGTTTGCTCTTGCTTTTCTAGTTCTTTTAATTGTGATGTTAGGGTGTCAATTTTGGATCCTTCCTGCTTTCTCTTGTAGGCATTTAGTGCTATAAATTTCCCTCTACACACTGCTTTGAATGCGTCCCAGAGATTCTGGTATGTGGTGTCTTTGTTCTCGTTGGTTTCAAAGAACATCTTTATTTCTGCCTTCATTTCGTTATGTACCCAGTAGTCATTCAGGAGCAGGTTGTTCAGTTTCCATGTAGTTGAGCGGCTTTGAGTGAGATTCTTAATCCTGAGTTCTAGTTTGATTGCACTGTGGTCTGAGAGATAGTTTGTTATAATTTCTGTTCTTTTACATTTGCTGAGGAGAGCTTTACTTCCAACTATGTGGTCAATTTTGGAATAGGTGTGGTGTGGTGCTGAAAAAAAATGTATATTCTGTTGATTTGGGGTGGAGAGTTCTGTAGATGTCTATTAGGTCTGCTTGGTGCAGAGCTGAGTTCAATTCCTGGGTATCCTTGTTGACTTTCTGTCTCGTTGATCTGTCTAATGTTGACAGTGGGGTGTTAAAGTCTCCCATTATTAATGTGTGGGAGTCTAAGTCTCTTTGTAGGTCACTGAGGACTTGCTTTATGAATCTGGGTGCTCCTGTATTGGGTGCATAAATATTTAGGATAGTTAGCTCCTCTTGTTGAATTGATCCCTTTACCATTATGTAATGGCCTTCTTTGTCTCTTTTGATCTTTGTTGGTTTAAAGTCTGTTTTATCAGAGACTAGGATTGCAACCTCTGCCTTTTTTTGTTTTCCATTGGCTTGGTAGATCTTCCTCCATCCTTTTATTTTGAGCCTATGTGTGTCTCTGCATGTGAGATGGGTTTCCTGAATACAGCACACTGATGGGTCTTGACTCTTTATCCAACTTGCCAGTCTGTGTCTTTTAATTGCAGAATTTAGTCCATTTATATTTAAAGTTAATATTGTTATGTGTGAATTTGATCCTGTCATTATGATGTTAGCTGGTGATTTTGCTCATTAGTTGATGCAGTTTCTTCCTAGTCTCGATGGTCTTTACATTTTGGCATGATTTTGCAGCGGCTGGTACCGGTTGTTCCTTTCCATGTTTAGCGCTTCCTTCAGGAGCTCTTTTAGGGCAGGCCTGGTGGTGACAAAATCTCTCAGCATTTGCTTGTCTATAAAGTATTTTATTTCTCCTTCACTTATGAAGCTTAGTTTGGCTGGATATGAAATTCTGGGTTGAAAATTCTTTTCTTTAAGAATGTTGAATATTGGCCCCCACTCTCTTCTGGCTTGTAGGGTTTCTGCCGAGAGATCCGCTGTTAGTCTGATGGGCTTTCCTTTGAGGGTAACCCGACCTTTCTCTCTGGCTGCCCTTAACATTTTTTCCTTCATTTCAACTTTGGTGAATCTGACAATTATGTGTCTTGGAGTTGCTCTTCTCGAGGAGTATCTTTGTGGCGTTCTCTGTATTTCCTGAATCTGAACGTTGGCCTGCCTTGCTAGATTGGGGAAGTTCTCCTGGATAATATCCTGCAGAGTGTTTTCCAACTTGGTTCCATTCTCCACATCACTTTCAGGTACACCAATCAGACGTAGATTTGGTCTTTTCACATAGTCCCATATTTCTTGGAGGCTTTGCTCATTTCTTTTTATTCTTTTTTCTCTAAACTTCCCTTCTCGCTTCATTTCATTCATTTCATCTTCCATTGCTGATACCCTTTCTTCCAGTTGATCGCATCGGCTCCTGAGGCTTCTGCATTCTTCACGTAGTTCTCGAGCCTTGGTTTTCAGCTCCATCAGCTCCTTTAAGCACTTCTCTGTATTGGTTATTCTAGTTATACATTCTTCTAAATTTTTTTCAAAGTTTTCAACTTCTTTGCCTTTGGTTTGAATGTCCTCCTGTAGCTCAGAGTAATTTGATCGTCTGAAGCCTTCTTCTCTCAGCTCGTCAAAATCATTCTCCATCCAGCTTTGTTCTGTTGCTGTTGAGGAACTGTGTTCCTTTGGAGGAGGAGAGGCGCTCTGCGTTTTAGAGTTTCCAGTTTTTCTGTTCTGTTTTTTCCCCATCTTTGTGGTTTTATCTACTTTTGGTCTTTGATGATGGTGATGTACAGATGGGTTTTCGGTGTAGATGTCCTTTCTGGTTGTTAGTTTTCCTTCTAACAGACAGGACCCTCAGCTGCAGGTCTGTTGGAATACCCTGCCGTGTGAGGTGTCAGTGTGCCCCTGCTGGGGGGTGCCTCCCAGTTAGGCTGCTCGGGGGTCAGGGGTCAGGGACCCACTTGAGGAGGCAGTCTGCCCGTTCTCAGATCTCCAGCTGCGTGCTGGGAGAACCACTGCTCTCTTCAAAGCTGTCAGACAGGGACACTTAAGTCTGCAGAGGTTACTGCTGTCTTTTTGTTTGTCTGTGCCCTGCCCCCAGAGGTGGAGCCTACAGAGGCAGGCAGGCCTCCTTGAGCTGTGGTGGGCTCCACCCAGTTCGAGCTTCCAGGCTGCTTTGTTTACCTAAGCAAGCCTGGGCAATGGCGGGCGCCCCTCCCCCAGCCTCGTTGCCACCTTGCAGTTTGATCTCAGACTGCTGTGCTAGCAATCAGCGAGATTCCGTGGGCGTAGGACCCTCTGAGCCAGGTGTGGGATATAGTCTCGTGGTGCGCCGTTTCTTAAGCCGGTCTGAAAAGCGCAATATTCGGGTGGGAGTGACCCGATTTTCCAGGTGCGTCCGTCACCCCTTTCTTTGACTCTGAAAGGGAACTCCCTGACCCCTTGCGCTTCCCAGGTGAGGCAATGCCTCGCCCTGCTTCGGCTCGCGCACGGTGCGCACACACACTGGCCTGCGCCCACTGTCTGGCACTCCTTAGTGAGATGAACCCGGTACCTCAGATGGAAATGCAGAAATCACCCGTCTTCTGCGTCGCTCACGCTGGGAGCTGTAGACTGGAGCTGTTCCTATTCGGCCATCTTGGCTCCTCCTCCTAGTATATTCTATTATATAATGTGCCATAATTTATTTATTCTCCTATAAATAATAATTGACTTGTTTCCAGTTTGGGCTATTAAGAATAAGGATATATATCCCCATATATTGTGGTGGATATATGTTTTCGGTTACCTGGGAAAGGTAGATGTATGTTTAATTTTATAAGAAATTGTCAAATATTTTTCCAAACAGTTGAACTATTTTACACTACCACCAGAAGCGTACGAGAGTTCCATTTCTTCCACATCCTTATCAACATTAGTGTGGTCGGTCTTTTCAATTTTAGAGATTCTTGTGGGTATGAAATTGAAACTCAGTGTAGTCTTATTTTTCATTCTCTAATTACTAATGATACTGATCATTTTTCATGTGTCTATTGGCCTTTCCTTTATTTATTTTTCTAAAGTGTGTATTTACATCTTTTGCCATTTTAAGATGCCATTATTTTATTTTTTGTTGGTAAAAATGTTTTGTATAATAATGAATCTTATTTTTAAATGTATTTCAGTTTCCTTGTTTGTTTTCTTAATGATATATTTTGATAGATTGTTGGTTTTGATAAAGTTTAGTATATCATTTTATGATAAATGTTTTGGAGTCTTATTGAAGACATCTTTGCCTTCTTCAAAGTACAAGGATATTATTCTATATTTTGTTCTAGAAGCCTTATGATTCTGGTTTTTATGTTTAGGTGTATGATCTATCTTAAACTTAGTTTTGAGTATGGAGTGAGATAGGGATTGAGGCTCATTTTAAAAAATATTGGTATGTAGTTGTTTTAGCATAATTTGAATTTCCTCTCCTCATAAATGACTTGGTACTTTGGTTGAAATGAATGCTGGATTTTTTGTGTGAATACATACTACATGGATTTAATTTTCTATCTCATTAGTACTAACTAATTTAAGTAGAGTGGACAAACTAATCAGAGTTTGCATTTACTTTAGGAGAGATCAGAGTGGCCTTTGTCCTGTATAACAACTTGGGTCCTTATTTATCCACGGAGAATGCCAGTATGAAGTTGGGAACGGAAGCTTTGTCCACAAATCATTCTGTTATTGTCAATTCCCCTGTTATTACGGCAGCAATAAACAAAGAGTTCAGTAACAAGGTTTATTTGGCTGATCCTGTGGTATTTACTGTTAAACATATCAAGGTAAGAAAATGGCATATTAGCTTGGTTGTTCATATTATCTGTATTTTTATAACACTGAACATTAAGTGTATTAATTTTCTTTTAATGTTTTTTCTATTTGACATATAACAGTTCATTATCTGTACAATGTAGTGGTAATTTTTTTGTCAGAAATAAGATTTGGAGGAGGAGAATAATCCTTATATATGTAAATACTTATGGTGAAAGCATTCATAGATGGATTTATAATTGCTTCTCCATAACTAAAAAGAGCTAGCTCAAGTGTAGAGAACTAAATTACAGCCTGAAAACCACAGATAATATTACAAAATTCTGCTGTATTTGGGATTCATGTGAAATGAATAGATTTTTAGCTGCTCTTGCTGCAAAAACAAGAAAACAATGGGTAACTATGTGAGACGATGGATATATTAACTCACTTCACTTTGGTAACCTTTCTACTGTCTACATGTATTTCATAACATTATGTTGCATACCTTAAATATTCACAATACTATCTGTGTTTTTAAAGAAGAATAGGAGTACATTAAACAGAACTAGAGATGGTTCTATATTTGATATTTCAAGCAATTATGTCCACGTGAAGATATATTTTTGCATATATACAAAGATTGAGGTTGTAAATTCAACAAAGATTTCTAAAGATCATCCTTTCAGATGTTGGTTGTTAAGAGCAATTAACCTCTTTATTTTGCAATGTGTATTAGAATTAGTGTGATTTTGAAACATTGGTACTAGTATATTATTTTAGTGTTAATTTAAAAAAATAGTGCACTCTTCTCTAGTCAAAGGGAACAAACAATAGCATATATTCAATTTCACTTAGAATTGTTGAGGCCCACTTATGAAACCATTGGTAGACATCTCTAAAAAATTGGAACAGAATATGAAGTTGTATTATATGTAAAGAAAATGCCAACCTAATTTACATGATCATAAAGTAGTTGTTGATTTTATGGATTTTTTTTCCCCTGTAGCAGTCAGAGGAAAATTTCAACCCTAACTGTTCATTTTGGAGCTACTCCAAGCGTACAATGACAGGTTATTGGTCAACACAAGGCTGTCGGCTCCTGACAACAAATAAGACACATACTACATGCTCTTGTAACCACCTAACAAATTTTGCAGTACTGATGGCACATGTGGAAGTTAAGGTAAGATATATACCATACAATGAAAATGTTTTAGTATATTATATGGTCACTAACTGTAAATAGTCCTAACTATATGGGCTATCATATTTCAATGTTTTCCTACTTTCATAGTAATTCTATTAAGGAACTCTCTGATGTTCAAACCATATCCTTGTGGATGATTCAAAGAACTTGTTATCTCTTTTCCTATTATCAAAATAGTTCATAAAATTGAAGTTTGCTTAATAAACTTCCCCTAGTCTCCCTGTTATTTTGTATAATAAATGTCAGACCATAACCTCATGAACAGGGTAAGATAGGACTCCAGGACCAAAGGCCAGTGGGGTTGGTTTAGAAAGCTGGGACTGGGGAGGCGGAAGAATAAAGAGCTATGCATAGGTTAAATACAGTCAAACTGACTCTTGGGAAAGCAACCCTCAAGCACGATACCCAGAGCATGGTAGTGCAAAGGACTTGGCATACCCTAACATAAGGAAATGGGTTCTGCCCATGCAAGAAGACACTACTCTAAGGAAAAATCCAGATGATAGGTAGTTTCCAAAGTCAGAAACATGGCTACATCAATTTCCTCCCAGTGTGACTAGCTTTCATATGTATTGAGGGTTGTGAGATGGAGTCTATGAGTTTGCAAGGGAAGAGAAGGCTGGCAGGGTTTCAGGAGATCAACTCAAGCAGGCTAACAGTGAAGGCTAGAAATGCAGTAACTATCAGATTTTAGGAGGCCTAGGTCAGGAAACTCAGAAAAAAAAAAAAAACACTAAGCAGGTCAGTGCATCAGTAGTAGGTAAGATTATTGCTAACACTGAGTAATACTAATACTCAACCTGTAGAAATGTATGGGGTTGAAAACTTCAGTTTTTATTTCAAGCAAGATACTTCATGGCCAGAGATGTTTGAGAATGCAAATATCTTGCTTTCCTCATCTCAATGGTTAAGAACTGAGGCTGACTCAGATCCCGTGTTGGGTTCAACCAATTGTTATATTTGGAAGAAGGCTATTAATAAATTATATACATTATGTGGCATTAAAAATTTAATTTTTGAACTTTCAAACAAGATGCTCAACAAAAATAATACTTTTTTTCTGAATATTGTATGTCATAAACTAAATGGATAATTGCATTTAAAATCTTAAAATAGGCCGGGCATGGTGGCTCATGCCTGTAATCCCAGCACTTTGGGAGGCCAAGACGGGAGGATCATTCAGGGTCAGGAGTTAGAGACCAGACTGACTGACATGGCAAAACCCCTCTCTACTAAAAATACAAAAATTAGCTGAGCGTTGGTGCATGCTTGTAATCCCAGCTACTCGGGAGGCTGAGGCAGGAGGATCACTTGAACCAGGGAGGCAGAGGTTGCAGTGAGCCGAGATCGCACCAGTGCACTCCAGCATGGGAGACAGAGCAAGACTCTGTCTCAAATAAAAAAAAAAATCTTAAAATATAACTTCATAGTTTTTTAAAATGTCTTTATAAGTTAAATTCAATTTCATATGCATTAGTCTTTAAGATTATTAATCTTGTATAATATATACAAAATTATTTGTCATTAGAACTAGCATTGGTATTTTGCTTTGGTAGGGAAAAGCACTCATAGCTTCAACACTTTATGCGAAAGTTAAAGCTTAGTTTTCACAGCATTTTATATTATAATATCTCTGCTATAATTATCTGGTACATATTTCATTGTGGAAAGAAAATGACTACTTAAAACCCTGGAATGGCTTTTGCAAAGATCGAACATTCTTTCATACAATTCATTAAAATTTTTCACTATTTAACTAACACTACTTAGCTTTCAAATTTAGTAACTGGTAAATAGTATTTTCAAAACAATTGTCTTTATAAGTTCAATAAAATGTGAAATAACATGTATTTTTAACCATACTGTTCAGTTCAGCACATATGTGTTAGTAGTGTAATAATAATAAATAAGATATGAACACTGCCTTCAAAGGTTTACAGGTTTTTTTTTAGATGAGACAGAAAAAAACAGCTATATAGTTAATAAGGTAGTGATAAGAATGAAGTTTGAACAGTGTACTGTGGGAAAATTGAATAAGTATAATAAAAGTCTGGAGAAGTTCTTAGAGATTTAAAAGCTGTATATTAAGAGATTAATGTATTAGCCAGAAAAGTTGTGAAGAACATTTCAATCAGAGAAAACAGCAGGAGCGAAAACATAAAGATATTATATATCATGGTGTGTAGAGCATGGTAAAAGAGTTTAGAATTAATACACAATAAGTATAACAAGGCTAGTGTTTAAGTCAAAGTAAAAACAGAAACAAATATCTAAATTTAAGATTTGATTGGGGAAACAAGAATTGCAGTTCAGGGTATACACACAGACTGGGTGGTCTTCCTTATGCCTGAAGAACAAAAAGAGGGTTGGAGATTTCATAAAAAGAAGAAGTGTTACATATTGTCTTCCCAGAAAGTTCATTGGCACTAGTAAAGTGTGGAGAGCTGGCAAGCTCTGATTGGTGAGTGACAGGCGATGCGTCTTGGAGTCAAAGGAGGTTGTTTCAGTAGCTATTGGATAAAACTGGTTTCAGATTACAACAGGCAGTTTCAGCATGGGGGCTTACAGTGAATTCCATTCTTGGAGCCATGTTTTGTGCCCTGAATGCTTTCTTTCCTGTCTTTTGCCTCTGTTTTAGTTGGTATAACAAGAATAACCCAATTCATTTGACCAGCTTTCACTGTAGTTAGAAATTGGAGGTGAACTGAAGAACTTATTAGAACTGTGGCCATGAAGGGCATAATATAAAATTTTATTTTTTATTTTTACTTATTTATTTATTTCCATCTCTTGTGCTTGAATCAGGACAATGTGGAAATTTAGATGGGCTTAACATCTGCAGGCTCAGAGTACGAGTCTCAATATCCTACATGTCTAAATATTTACAAGTAATACTTAAAGCTGAGAAAAATGAAATATAACCTGACTTAACAAAATATAGCTTTATAATCACCAAAGACACACAATCTGAACTTAGGATTCTCAGAATCCCCAGAGTTCTGCACCTGTACATGGCAGTGTCAGGGGAGCCGACTCCTGGCTCACAGTCAGTGGTTTACCCAACCCCTTCAAAAGTAGGAGGCTCAGGGTTGGGGGCTCTCTTTCCAGGGTCTCAGGGTATACCTGTAATATGGATCTTTGCTGTGATTCCATGGGCAACTAAGAAACGATTGCTAGATCTCTAAACAATAATAGCACCAGTTTATGTTGCAATGTTAGACAGATTATTCCCAATTCTATGTGGATGATAGATGTCAATTAGATTTCAACTTTAGATTAGACTGGCTGGGCGTAGTGGCTCATGCAAGTAATCCCAGTACTTCGGGAGGCTGAGGTGGGTGGATCACTTGAGGTCAGGAGTTTGAGACCAGCCTCGGCAACATGGCAGAACTCCCTCTCCACTAAAATACAAAAATTAGCTGGGCGTGATGGTGCATGCCTGTAGTCCCAGCTACTCAGGAGGCTGTGGTGGGAGGATCACTTGAGCCCAGGAAGCAGAGGTTGCAGTGAGCTGAGATCAACCACTGCAACTCCAGTTTGAGCGACCAAGCAAGACTGTGTCACAAACAAACAAAACAAACAAAATGATTAGACTGGTTGTAGTGTGACAGTTATTTCAATAAGTCCTGGTAAAGGGTGTCTAGGGCGTAGACAAGGGCTGTTGTGGTAGTCATGAAGAGGATTTATATTTCAGATATACTAGGATACAAAGATATAAATGGCTTATTACCTTGGTTATAGAGGTCGATAGAAAGGCTATCTGCATGTACATTCTCTTCTCCCTGCAGTCAGTAAAAATAGGGAAAGTATTAATCTCCTTTACATTTTACAAAGTAAAAATGATGGCAAAATTTTTAGCTACCTTATGTTATTGATCCAAATAATTTCATCCAGACCAGGCGTGGTGGCTTACAGCCTGTAATCTCAGCACTTTGGGAGGCTGAGGCGGGCAGATCACTTGAGCTTAGGAGTTCAAGACCAGCCTGGGCAACATAGTGAAACCTCATCTCTATTTAAAAAACACCAAAATTAGCCAGGTGTGGTGGCATACCCTTGTAGTCCCAGCTACTTGGGAGGTTGAGGTGGGAGGATTGCTTGAGCCTGGGAGGTTGAGGCTGCAGTGAGCTGTGATTGTGCCACTGCACTATAGTCTGGGCAACAGAGTGAGACCCTGTCTCAAAAAAAAAAAAAAAACAATTTCATCCAAAATTTTATTTGACTCAAATTTAGAGAGAGATGGTGCAGGTATACCAGAGGGAGAACAAATTCATGCTCAATTAGCAGCTTAAAAATAAAATTACCTTACCTGTGTCAGCACAGTTTAAATTTTGATGTTCGAAGGACTACAAACTCTATTTTGTCAGAGCATCACAAATTGATCCATCTTAGCAAGATTGGCTATATATTAACAAGTAATAGATTTAAATCTGGATTGTATTACTCTGGCTCTGAGATTCTACATTCTAGCCTAGGTAATAAACTCAGACTCAGAAAAACGAATCAAATTTGAGGCAGCAACAAAATATCATTTTATGCTCAGTTCATTGCCTAACAACCTTTCCGCAATCCATTGTATAACAGTCATGACTGTGACCACTATTGTGTGTCAACAAGAGATAAAATAAATGGAAATCAATATTTTCCTTTAGCAGTCAATCACAAAGCATGTGTGTCCTGGAATTCTTATATCATAATCTCTTGTGATTGTTTACATCAACCCTATTTTGATCTTACAACATGATTTTGGAATGTTAGCGATCAATGAAAAACAGAAAACAAGGAGACTGATCATCTCTAGAGTTTCAAAAAGAAACACACTAACCAAACTTACCTTAGACTGATGTTTCAAACAGAACATTAATTTATTCATACACAGAAGTACAGCAGCCAGTTGGAACAGATATTTATGTCTTCTAGTTGTCAGTTTCTAACTCTACAGGAAAATCTGTAAAGGAAACAAAATTATATTGGAAAATTTTGTTTGAGGAATTTAGAAAGAGTGCAAGAAGAGTTAGCTCAATAATCTTGATAGCTATTGGCATCAAGCTGTGGTATCCTGATGCATCCTTCTCCACTCCAGAGCTCTCCCAATGCACTGAATTGCTTTTATTTGTCATATGTGTTCAGTCAACATTTTCTTTATTCTTTTATCCACATTTTTGATCACCTAAGTTAAGATAAACATCATAAAGATACTGACACACTGCCTAATACACAGTAGGCTCTGAATAAATGTAACTTCCTCCTTCCTAATTGTCAGATGTATCACTGAATTCCAAGGATTCCAGTGGAAACTTCAGGCACTCAAAAAACTCATATTTTTAGAGAAGTGGAGATAGGGAAGAAGGACACAGAAGAGAAACTGCAGCTAGAGTCATAATTTTATAAGAATTATAACCAAGGCCTGCCCTGTGATTTAGAGACATAGGGGAAGATCATCTGTGTGACCCAGGAGTCCTCAGAGAGGGCTTATCAAAGAAGTGTCCTGTTATAAAGATCAGATGTATTTCATAAGTTAATGTGTGGACACTGGGTTGGCCGCATTCTTGCAACACGTTCTTCAGTTTGCCTTGGGTACACTACTCCTTAGTTTCTTTCCTTTCTCAGCAACTTGTCCTTTTTAGCATATTTTACTGTTTTCTCCTCATCTGCTTGACCTCTCATTGTCATTCTGGTCCTGAGCATAATCCTATATACCTGCTCTTCTCCCTCGGAGATGTCATGCAGTCATATGGATGTATACCTCATCTCATGACTCTCACATATTTCTATCTCCATTTTAAAATTCCAGACTCAGATTGCACCAGTGGCTTGATATAACTATTCTAGAACTATATACTTATGATATTCTCTCATCTAAGTCTTCTCCATTTTAGTAAAAGGCTACTCTGTTCTTTCAGATGCTCTGGTCCTAAAGCATGCATCACCTTTTATTTGTTTATTTTCATTCATACTGCACACTCAATCCCATCAGCATCTCCTGCCAGATCCAGAATTTGATCTCTTCTCAACATCCTCCCTACCACCTAGGTTTAAACCTCTATCATCTCCCCTCTGCTTGTTTGCTATAGCTCCTTAACTGCTGTCTGTTTCCCTCTTTGTTTCTCTTAATTTAATTTTCAACATAGTTGCCAGAGGGATACTTTTAAAATGTGAGTTAGATCATGTCACTCCTCAAATTTATTCCCAAAACCCTTTAAAATGCAAATCAGGCACTTCATACCTTTGATTCAATCTCTAATGACTCCTTATCTCAGTAAGAGCAAAATCTCAAATCTTGGCCCGCATTAGCATCTCTCGACATCCTCTCCTACCACTGTTCCCCTTGCTCACCTGCTCTAGCCACTGGCCTCCTTGCCTTTCCACAAAAACATCAGATGTGTCCTAGTTAGACCTAAGTGTCTTTCTCTTCTCAACACTCCCCATCCCACCACCACAAGGACAGCGCTTGCCAAGATTTCTCATCTCTTTCAAGTCTTTGCTCAAATATTACCTACTCAATGAGGCTTTCCTTGTTACCCTATTTAAAATTTTAGATTGCCCCATCTCCACAAAATATAGAGGGAGTAAGCAAACCAGGTCCCTGGCCTCAGAGAATTTATGGTTTATCAAGGGAAGGTTGTGTCAAGGCTGATTTGTTCACTGGGGTGCTCAGAGAGATTTCAGCTAGGTCCCCTCAGGCAGACAAGAAAAGTAAATGGCATGATTCCAGCTGAACGTTGCTTAGAAAATTAAATAGGAGCACTGAAGCTTTTCTGCCTTTTCAATAACATTACATTTTGTTCTATAGAGTAGGGGATAGTGGGTTAGCGTAGGTGTTTTTTGTTTTGTTTCTAAATTTTAATTCTTTCCTATTTTGATTATTTGTTCAAAACTTTTACTTTAGCACCAGAGGTCTGAATAAGAAAATACTGAGTAACTATTTTTCAGTGATCTAGCCCTTAGCTTTCAAACTAGACAGTAGTAAAAACATTGTAAATATACTTTAAATTAGACTTACTGATTACTTGTACCTCAGATATGTTCTTCAAACTTTAGAACATAATAACTTAAACAAATTAAACTACATAATAATGAATGCTTACTAAATTAATTAAGATACATATACTTTCATTCATTGTAGCTATCCCATATCAAAGATCAAATATACTTTGAAATGATTTTTCTTTAAGTACATGACAGTTAAACACAAAAACTAATTTGAACTAATTAGTGATGAATTTCTGCTGGGGGAAGTCATTTCAATAAAGAAACACCTCTCAATTATTATTATTATTTATTTTACTTTAAGTTCCAGGATACATGTGCAGATTTGTTACATAGGTATATTTGTGCCATGGTAGTTTTCTGTACCTATTGACCTGTCATCTAAGTTCCCTTCCCTCACCCCCCAATCCCACAACAGGGCCTGGTGTGTGTTGTTCCCCTCCCTGTATCCATGTGTTCTCATTATTCAACTCCTACTTATGAGTGAGAACATGCAGTGTTTGGTTTTCTATTTCTGTATTAGTTTGCTGAGGGTGATGTATTCCAGCTTCATCCATGTCCCTGCAAAGGACATGACCTCATTCCTTTTTATGGCTGCATAGTATTTCATGGTGCATATGTACCACATTTTTTTTATCCAGTCTATCATTGGTGGGCAATTGGTTTGGTTCCATGACTTTGCTATTGTAAATAGTGCTTCAGTAAACATGCATGTGCATGTATCTTTATAGTAGAATGATTTATACTCCTTTGGGTATATACCCAGTAATGGGATTGCTGGGTCAAATAGTATTTCTGGTTCTAGATCCTTGAGGAATTGCCATATTGTCTTCCACAATGGCTGAACTAATTTACATTCCCACCAATAGTGTAAAAGTGTTCCTATTGCTCCACAGCCTTGCCAGCATCTGTGTTGTTTCTTGACTTTTTAATAATTGCCATTCTGACTGGCATGAGATGGTATCTCATTGTGGTTTTAATTTGTATTTCTCTAATGATCAGTGATGTTGAACTTTTTTTCCTATGTTTGTTGGCTGCGTAAATGTCGTCTTTGGAGAAATGTCTGTTCATATTTACCCACTTTTGGATGGGGTTGTTTGTTTTTTTCTTGTAAATTTGTTTAAGTTTCATGTAAATTCTGGATATTTGACTCTTGTCAGATGGGTAGATTGCAAAATTTCTCTCCTAATCTGTAGGTCACCTGTTCACACTGATGATTGTTTCTTTCACTGTGCAGAAGCTCTTTAGTTTAATTAGATCTCATTTGTCAACTGTGGCTTTTGTTGCAATTGCTTTTGGTGTTTTCATCATGAAGTCTTTGCCCATGCTTATGTCCCAAACGGTATTGCCTAGGTTTGGTTCTGGGGTTTTTGTGGTTTTGGGTTTTATGTTTAAGTCTTTAACCCATCTTGAGTTAATTTGTGTATAAGGTATAAGGAAGGGATCCAGTCTCAGTTTTCTGCATATGGCTAGTCAGTTTTCCCAGCACCATTTATTGAATAGGAGATACTTTCCCCATTGTTTGTTTTTGTCAGGTTTGTCAAAGGTCTGAAGGTTGTAGATGTGTGGTGTTATTTCTGAGATCTCTGTTCTGTTCCATTGGTCTATATGTTTGTTTTGGTACCAATACCATGCTTTTTGGTTACTGTAGTATTTTAGTGTAGTTTGAAGTCAGGTAGCATGATGCTTCCAGCTTCATTCTTCTTGCTTAGGATTGTCTTGGCTATACGGGGTCTTCTTTGATTCCATATGAAATTCAAAGTAGTTTTTTCTAATTCTGTGAAGAAAGTCAATGGCAGTTTGATGGAAATATCATTGAATCTATAGATTACTTTGGGCAGTATGGTCATTTTCACAATATTGATTCGTCCTATCCATGAAGATGGGATGTTTTTCCATTTGTTTATGTCCTCTCTTATTTCTTTGAACAGTGGTTTGTAGTTCTCCTTGAAGACATCCTTCACATCCCTTGTTAGCTATTTCCTAGGTATTTTATTCTCTGTGTAGTGATTTTGAATGAGAGTCCATTCACGATTTGGCTCTCTACTTGTCTATTGTTGGCATAAAGGAATGCTTGTCATCTTATAGCTCTCAATTTATTAGAGTTGGCTATGTGAGAACTTTTATATAAAAGAGTAGTTATGCCTGGCCATCTCATAGTCCATAAATAAGCATAGCCAAATTATAAGTAATCTCTCTATATAAAAGAGGATTACTTATTAATTTAATGGTACATTTTTTTCTCTCTTGGTTACATTTATGTATTTATTTATTTATTTATTTATTTATTTATTTATTTGAGACAGAGTTTTGCTCTTGTTGCCCAGGCTGGAGGTTACATTTATATAGTAGTTTACAATTTGGAACTGACAAAGACCTTAGGAAAAAACTAAATTAATTTTTTTTTTTGTACAAGGACACTGCTGTTGATACAAATAAAACTAGTTAAAGCTTTGTTTTGATTATTTCTTAAATATTTAAATTTATGAAAAACATAGCTAATTGCAATTTGAAAAATGTTGAACCTTTTAGTGAGTCAGATGTAAAATTATCCTGTAGCATCTTTTTATTTCATTTGTTTTCTTTTCTTCATACATGCTGTCTGCCAATAAAACACACTCTGCCTCTTGCTTTCTATAAAAAAAGTATCGTTTTCAGTGTTTCACAAATGTTACTAATTTCTAATCTGTGTATTCAGAAATTGCTGCAGTTGTGCAAATTTAGAGATTTGGAGCTGTGCTTGTCACATAATGAGTATTCAGTAAAAGTTAACTTTCTTTTCACATATTTCTGAAATACTTTGTGTACCTCTCATCAATTTATATTATAATCATCTCTTGAAACGTATTTATCTTCTCTAGACTGTGACTTCCTCCTATTAGGGAATGTCTTTTCTTCTTGTTTGCAACCCCAGTGCCTTTTATGGTATATAAAATAATTTTTTTTGACCAAGTGGACAGAATTCATTAAAAGAAAAACCATGTTATATGGTATAAGACCTCTTACATATCCAAAAAGTGTCTTGTTTTGCTTTGTCTTCATTCTTGTTTCTAATTGGTTGTAAGTTTATTAATGCTAATGTTGTAAAGGTTTCTTTCTTTCTTTCTTTCTTTCTTTCTTTCTTTCTTTCTTTCTTTATTAGAAACCACAACACTAACTGCTGTGAGGGATTGTGTTAGTTCATTTTCACACTGCTATAAAGAATAACTGAGACTGGGTAATTTGTAAAGGAAAGAGATTTAATTGACTCACAGTTTCACATGCCTGGGGAGGCCTCAGGAAACTTATAATCATGGCAGAAGGTGAAGGGGAAGCAGGCACTTTCTTCACAAGGTGGTGAGAGAGAGAGAGCAGGGAAAACTGCCACTTTTAAACTATCAAATCTCATGAGAACTCCCTCACTATCACAAGAACAGCATGGGGGAAACTGCCCCCATGATCCAATCATTTCCCACCTGGTCACTCCCGCCACACAGGGGGATTCCAATTCAAGATGAGATTTGGGTGGGAACAGAGAGCTAAGCCATGTCAGGGTTATCTCTGAATTCCCAATTATGCTAACATCCAAAGGTGAGAAGAGCCTGTCTCATCTACTTGTAACTTTTCTGAATTGCTACCATAAACCCCAAGGTGGCAACACAGCTGGTTAACTACTGAATTCCCCCTGCTTCTACTGTCTAAGGAAACATTTGATTGTCTTCTCTTTTAGACCCAAAAGTAACCATTATAAAATTTAGGTAATGTAATTGTATACTTAACTGAGTTATAGTGTTTATGATATTTTAAAACCTTCCATTATTGGGAATTGCAGATTTCTCTGTTGTTTAGAAGAATGTTAAAAAACTAAATCCAAATGTCTGTTCATCTCTTAGTACTAATTCTCTTTTGTAACCCCCTTTGTGGAGGGAATATTTTAATTTACAGCAGCATAAGTTTCAAAGTAATTAAATTAACATTTCTACTGTGGTTTTGTAGAGCACCGTAACATATGCCTCAGAAAATGGTCTTATAATTTATACTACTAGCTCTTTTCTCTAGTCAAATTATAATTCTTTGGAGATAATACAAAAAGTCTGCCTACTCTCTCCTGTCAATTCAACTTGACATTGATCTTTATTATCTTTAAAAGACTTCACTTTCTTTAGTTTGATGATTGTATTTTTTTTAAAGATTACTATTATCACCCCATCCCAACTTCACCTCATTCCAAGTATGGGCCTTTATTTGTTGTTTAAAGCCATTGTATTTCTTTCTAAATGTAGGATTGATTCAAAACAGTCACAGTTTGGAACATTTTAATTCCATACCATGGATTCTGTGTGTTGAATATTTTATGGCTAAACTTTTTCTAGGCTAGAAGAAAACACTAGGTAGTTTAACATTGTAAGGCTCTACCGTTGAACATGAAAGTACTTGTTTTTCAAAAAGAATATTTTTACTTTTTAAAGCCCCAAATTTAAGAAATTAGCTTTATTATTAGAAATTTAGAAAATTTAAGAAATTAGCTTTATTATTAGAAAACAAAATATTGAATTTATGATGCTAAAGGTTGCACAATCCTATTCCTAGTTCTTACACTCATTTTGTATTTTGCTATCTATAGTATGGTGGGATTTAGGTGGAGGTGGAGATTAAAAATCATAGCTAATACTTTAGTATAATACTTTAGTATAAATAGTACTTTAACTAATGTATTTATTTAAGGAAAAACTACATAACTTGCATGTTGAGTACCTCAAAATATAGAAAATTTCTTGAAAAGAAACTGGTTTCAAAAACGTAAGATTTTATTACATTATCTTGAATATTAACTTTATCCAAAAGCTAACCTTTTAGAACCAAGAATTTTTTGGTGTTTTCTCACTGAACACTCTTGTCATAATATATTTCCTTCATGCACTTATTCAAATTTGAAATTATGTATTTGCTAGTATGCTGTTTTATTGTTTACTTCTTCCTCTTGTGTCCAAGTTCAGTATTAGGAGCAGAGTCCTGAAGGAAGTGAGAGAGTAGGCCTTGAAGATCACCTGGGGAAAGACAGAGGGAACAAAAACAAGACCCTGAACCAGGATGATTTTGATATGTTTGAGGAGCTGCAAGGAGAACAGTGTGGTTGGAGTGGAAAAAGTAAGAGAGAGTATGTTAGCAGAACAGGCCGGAGGGTCTAGAACAGAAGACTTCGTAGGACATAGGAAGGACTCTGGGTTTGGGTTTTACTCTGAGCACTCTGGAAAGCCACAGGAGAGTTTTGAGCAGAGGAGCAGCATGGCCTGTTTTATAAATACATAACATATTTAATGTTTTACATTTACCAGTTTTATATTTACTGAGAAGGAAACTTCAGCCATGCCCATGTGCAGATCCTAAATGATGTAATGATGTACATACTTCCTAAACATATGGATTAGTGTTTTTTGTTTTGTTTTGTTTTATTTTGTTTTGAGACAGAGTCTGACTCTGTCGCCCAGGCTGGAATGCAGTGGCACAATCTCGGCTCACTGCAAGCTCCGCCTCCCAGGTTCAAGCGATTCTCTGTCTCAGCCTCCCGAGTAGCTGGGACTACAGGCGTGCGCCACCACACCGAGCTAATTTTTGTATTTTTAGTAGAGATGAGGTTTCACCATTTTGGCCAGGAGGGTTTCGATCTCTTGACCTCATGATCTGCCCGCCTTGGCCTCCCGAAGTGCTGAGATTACAGGTGTGAGCCACTGCACCTGGCCTAGTTTTTACATTAAAATAAATCTGTATTTTGCAATACAGGTCTTTACGTCTAACCCCTCTAAATTTTGAGATCAGTTAGCATATTCACCCAGGCCTCCTATGTATCTAGAGCTAGTTCTTAACCACTTATAATTGTCTAGAACTAGATATTAACCATTTGTAAGAGTTGGTTAAATTTTTGCCCAGGCTACCAAGAAAAAACACATCCCTTTTGCTTAAAAAAAGATAGCTGCCACCTTCCTTGCCCACTTGCTTTCCCTCCTTCTGTGCCAGACACTTGCAAACACCGATCTTTTAATTCCCCAGGTTGTGGAGAGTATGTAGAACTATATTTTGCTTGCATACAATGGGCAGAGAAAGGGTATTTCAAAATATGAATGAGTATAATGGGAGAATTGTCTTCCTACCATGATGGCTCCTGGAACATCAACCTTGACTCTAATTCTCTTTTGTGCATTTCCTGTTATAAAACAGGAAAAGGAGAAAGCTGCCTTCCTTACTGCTTTCTCCCATCTACAGTGGACCACCAATTACCTAAAGCCTCTTTTATTTCATTTCTGATGAAGTTGTTGTGAATAGGAAAAAATCATCGGAGGAAGAAGAGTAAAAGTTATATGTATTTTCCCCATTACTTATCTCTGTGAAGTGCAGGGAGGAAAAAAAGAAGAAAGAGAATCTACCTAGAGATATTGAGAAAGATAGTCTTTCTATTTGAGGAGGGGAATTGACACCAACTTGTGGTATATCTTCTTAAATTCATGAAAGAAAAAGATATGTCTAAAATTATTCATAGAAAGAGAGCAGCTAAAATTATGGATTTGAAGAAAAACAAACCATTAAAATCATTTTATTTCTTTTTTCTCCACTCTTTTACAGAACTTTTATAGAAAAGTTGGAAGAATGATACAATAAATACTCATATACCCCTTTTTCTGAATTCATATCTAACTATTTGACACAGTTGGCTTTCTGTATATGTTGTGCATGTGTGTATATTTTGCTGGATTATTTGACTTTTTGAAAGTAAGTTGTTCAGCCTGGGCAACACAGTGAAACCCCGTCTCTACTAAAATACAAAAAATTAGACAGGCATGGTGGTATGGGCCTATAGTCTCAGCTACTCAGGAGGGTGAGGCAGGAAAATTGCTTGAACCTGGGAGGCAGAAGTTGCAGTGAGCCGAGATCACACCACTGCACTCCAGCCTGGGTGGCAGAACAAGCCTCCATCTCAAAAAAAAAGAAAGATAGAAAGTAAATTACTGATATTATATTACTTAACTCCTAAAATTTCAAGCAATTATATTTTAAGAACATTATTGTTAACACAAACAAGATATTTAACATTGATACAATACTATAATCTACTATATAATCCACAAAAAATTTTCCCAGTTGTCCCAAGAGAGTCATTGTTTTTTCAAGCAGGACCCAACCAAGGATCATACGTTGCCTTCATTTGCCTTGTTGCTAATCTTCTTTTATGTATTTCTGCCTGTTTTTGTCTTTCATGAGAATGATATTTTGTAAAGTCCAGGTCAGTTGACCTGTAGAATGTTCA
Organism: Homo sapiens; assembly: GCF_000001405.40. Taxonomy (NCBI): domain Eukaryota; kingdom Metazoa; phylum Chordata; class Mammalia; order Primates; family Hominidae; genus Homo; species Homo sapiens. The sequence continues at coordinate 61,962,567 of NC_000004.12, forward strand.
CAGTCACAACCTTTCTTATTTTTTTCCCTCATGATTAGATTTGGGTAAAACATTTTTGTCAAGAACACCATGTAGTAGATGCTGTATCCTTCCCATTGCATCAAGATGTTCAGTTACTATCAATTTAGTCATTTGTATTACTGAATTTGGATCACTTGGTTAAAAAGTTACATTGTACAGAAACATTGAACTTTTTGTAATTAAGAGGAATCTGTGGGAACGTATTTGGAAACTTTGTTCTATTAATTTTAATTTTTTAAATTTATAATGTGCTCAATCCATCCTTTATTGTTCCCCAAATAGTTGAGTACCATCTTTGTGACAAGCAAAGCTTACAGTTTATTTAGTAGTATAGACAACTTATCAGCAAAATCAGCATCTTGTGAGAAATGTGTTATAGTTCTCACAACTATAGAGGATGCTGTGGAAACACATGGGAAAGAGCTTTACCTGGACCTTGAAGAGTCAGAGAAGACACCCTAGAGGAAGTGACATCACTTCCTAGGACAGTTTGTTTAAGCAAAATGAGAGACACAATTATGATAGCGTGATATAAGGCTGTATTTTTTTTTTATTTTGCAATATATATTTTTTCAATAAATTTTATATTATTTAATAACATGCTTTCTTTGAGTTTTTTTCTGGATTATGGCAGAATTTATTTTTTTATTTTACTATGACTATTTTTTTTTTCCTTTCCAACTTTCATTTTAGGTTCAGGGGATACATGTGCAGGTTTGTGACATGGGTAAATTGCATGTCACAGGGTCTTAGTGGGCAGATAATTTTGTCATCCAGATAATCAACAGAGTACCTGATAGGTAGTTATTCAGTCCTCACCCCCTCCCACCCTCCACTCTCAAGAAGGCCCTAGTGTCCATTGTTTTCTTTGTTGTGTTTATGTGTAGTCGATATTTATCTCCCACTTTAAGAGAGAGCATGCAGTGTTTGGTTTTCTCTTCCTGCATTAAGTCTCTTAGAAAAATGGCCTCCAGTTCCATCCATGTTGCTGCAAAGGACTTGATTTTATTCTTTTTATGGCTGCATAGTATTTTATAGTGTATATGTACCACATTTTTCTTTTTCTGGTCCACCATTAATGGGCATCTAGGTTGATTCCATGTATTTGCTATTATGAATAGTGGACAATAGAACTTTTAAGCAGAAAGAATCCTGTGATCCTCCTATGCACAGCTTGGATCCTCACACTTAAACTATTTAGGTTCTGTTTCATCTTCAGCAAATAAAATTGGCTAAAAATAGCAGCTAGAGGTTCATCTGCAATTCTAGTGAGAAACGTTTTGTAAGAAAAAAAGTAATCAAGTACATAAGGGATCCTAAAATGTGGACACTGGATGAAGACTTCAACTCTCAGAAGGGCCCAGAGTGTCTCAAGACCTCTCATAATAAGGATGAACATCATTCCTTTAATGTCTACATAGATTATCTCATTTAATCCATAGCATCACAAAAGGTATTGTCATCACAATTCTTTATTTCCCAAGTTTATAATTCAGGAAAGTAGGAATAAGAATTAAAAATCAGGAGGCTTAGGTTTCTGATTCCAGTGTTTTAAGTAATTCCTTTTTGTTCTTAGACAAATCATCTGAACTTCTTGTTCCCATTATTAATTGATCAAATATGACTAACACAATTTTTTCTAACAGTTTGTCAATTATTTTAGGGATTGAATAACAAAATCTATAAGAATCGTATTGAGAATTATAAGGTTTTCTGGAAATATGACTTATTAATTCACTATTTAACTATTCTCAAAGCCTTTAAAGCTCTTCATCCTGGATGTAGTTAACTCTCAAGGCACAAACACATGATTGAGATTCTAATAAAAATAATGATTTTATCTACATCTAATCAGGTAAACTTTTCCTGAAAGAGAAATGTTTAGGCCAGTGCTTTGCCTTGGGTTTAGAAGTGACAGACTCTTTTTTTTCATAATGAAATTGTCTAATAATAGCTTTGTGGCAAAATATAACTACATATAACTTCCCAACTCTTTCAAATGTTGGTTATGTGAACATTGGGAATTCCCACAATATCAGTATCACTAAATTTAGTTTTAAGTACAATCATAAATCAGTACTAAAAATAAATAAACTTTTTCATTGATTTGTTTTCTTCTTCATTAGTGAAATGATTTTAGCATTGCTTAACTGAAGGAATTATTATTTTAAAAAAATTTAAATATAATGGTTCTAATCATCCAATTTATTCATGCTTAAGAAAGCATAATCAATCAACCAAGCAGAAGAAACATAGAAACCTTTCCATCCTAATATCCTAAAAAATATTTTCAATTGTGTATACTGTTCTTGGTAAGAACTAGTTGAGGTGTTTATTAACTATACTCTATTTGTTCCAGATCACAAAATTTTACTTTAACATGGCAACATTTCCGTAATTGTTTTTCTTTTTTTCTGGCCTATTAGTTTTTTGGACAGGATCTCACTCTTTCACTCAGGCCGGAGTGCAGTGGCATGATCATGGTTCACCATAGCCTTGACCCAGGCTTGGGTGACCCTCCCTCTTCAGCCTCCCAAGTAGCTGGGACTATAAGCACCCACCACCATGCCCGGCTAATTTTTGTATTTTTTTGTAGAGATGGGGTTTTGCCATGTTGCCCAGGCTGGTCTCGAATTCCTGGGCTCAAGCGATCCCCCCGCCATTTCCTCCCAAAGTGCTAGGATTACAGGCGTGAGCCACTGTACCTGGCCTTTTTCTGGCCTATTTCATTTGGCTATCTCTAGTAAATAAAGTGATAAAGTTAGAAAACTACTAGACTCTACTGGAATTAGGCTAGGTTTTCCAGAATAGTTATTTATATAGCTTTATAAGATAGACAATAATGACAAATTGTATAAACAAGATTTTAAAAGCATTTGAGGCCGGGAACGGTGGCTCACGCCTGTAATCCCAGCACTTTAGGAGGCCGAGGTGGGTGGATCACGAGGTCAGGAGATTGAGACCATCCTGGCTAACATGGTGAAACCCCATCTCTACTAAAAATACAAAAAAAATTAGCCAGGCTTGGTGGCAGGCACCTGTAGTCCCAGCTACTCGGGAGGCTGAGTCAGGAGAATGGCGTGAACCCAGAAGGTGGAGCTTGCAGTGAGCTGAGATCATGCCACTGCACTCCAGTCTGGGCGACTGAGCAAGACTCCGACTCACAAAAAGAAAAAAAAAAGCATTTGAACAGAAATATGGCTAAACTAAACCATTTTGCCTATCTTGATAAGTACAATTCAAGGGATTGCCAATTTACTCTGCGTATCATTACAATGTAAATAATACAATTTAAAGATCTCCTATAGTTAGTTACTGGCTAATTTAAAAATCCAATTCATGGAACTTTTAAGATGTTAATTGTTTTTTGAATTTTATATTATCTCACATTATTGTCACTAAGCCTGTGGGATAATTGTCTCTAGAATATCTGGAAGATCCGCATTCTGCTTAAAATGCAATACATTTATTCATGAGAATGTAAAAAAGATAGTCTAATAAATATTCTTTTTTTCTGAAATTGCTATAGCTAAGAAAATCAAATGAAAATGAAATAAAAATGACATGGGTGTGCGTATGTGCACATGTACATATTTATATTTATACTTATATTGTTTTGTTCAGTACCTGGCACATAATAGGTACCCAATAAATATTCTTAGAATGAATCTACCAAAATTTTATTGAATATTTCTTGCCTCATGCAGTGTCTATTATATGGTTTTTATAATCTAGATATAAAAAATTACCTTCTCCTTTAATTCTAATTCTGTTCCTCTATGATTCAAAATTTTCTTTCTCACTGTGGTGAATTTCTCTTTTCATCCAAGCCAAAGGTAATGACTCTGTAAGAATGATAAAGTGATAAAAATATACATATCTGGGTAACTCATATCTGGTATTTCTATGATTACTTTTCCTTACTCTTCAGCTGTTCTACCCTACTCCACATCACCCAACACCTTTAAGAAGTACTTTCAAAAGGGGTGTGTGTGTGTGTGTGTGTGTGTGTGTGTGTGAATGAAAACAAACAGGAGAAGTTATCCATTTTATCAGAGAATAAGAAAATTTAGAGCTAGAAATGAGCCCAGAAAACTCTGTTTCAATGAGATCTCTGGGTTTAATCATTGTATTCAAAGGATAGTCAAGACATTTTTACCCATGAAAGCATTGCTCTGTCCTGTTCTAAGGGGCTTAGTATACAGATGCTCCTCAGTCTATGACTGGGTTATGTCCTCATACACCTATTGTAAAGTCAAAAAATCATCAGTCAAACTACTGTAAATCTGGGGCCACCTATATTTGGTCACAGAAGGAAATATAGGCAAGCATTTGTGGACCTTCCCACTGTTAATGAAGTTGCTAAAAACTTGCAATATTTAGCTACCAGTTAGGGTGACCAAGTTTTTAGAGAGCCAATGGGAAATAGCACTGCAAGACCAAAAATATGCTTAGTACACCATAAATATTCATATATGTGTTATTACTATTTAACAATGAAAATTAATAGTACTTTAATGCTAGTTAATAGTAGGGCCAATAGTGTGAAAAAATGTATTAATTTTTTTAATTTTTCTTTCTGTCTTCTGATCCAGACATTTGTTTTCATGCTTTTTAAGTCTTCACTGGATATTTAAATTTTTAGGCTATATTATTGTGCATTTTTAAGTAAATATAAGAATTTTTTTAAAAGGTAGATACAATGTAGTAATTAAACATATATTACCTTTATTTAATAAAATAACTATGGCATGTTTATATTTGCCTTTCATTTCTTTTCTTTTTAATAGAGGTAAAAATGAATACAGTCAAAAGTAAAATTTACTTTGACTCACAATCCTGCCCCCATTAAGTCCATATTACATTAATTACTTGTGTCAGTCCAATGTGATAACATAAAGCCAAATATCCTCTCAACAAAAAGGTTTGAGCATGGAATGCTTTTGATTTTACTGTGTAGCTTTACTAAATAGCTTTTTAGACTTGTAGGAATTCCCAGCTCTGCAAAAATACCCATCCACTTTTTATGTACATGCTTATTTTGGTAGACCAGCTGCCTTTCAATCAAGTCCTTTGCATCTATGAATTCATTCTATATGTTGTCTATGTCCAAAATGTCCATCATTTTTAAACACTTACAAGTACATTGGATGTCAACATAAATTAAAACACTATCAGGATTAATAGTTGTAAAGCACATAGTTTTACCTTCTGAAATTGTGCTGTTTCAGTCTACTTTGTGTTGCTATCACAGAATGTCACAGACTGGTTAATTTATAAAAAACAGAGATTTATTTCTTACAGTTCTAGAGGCTAGGAAGTCCAAGAGCACACCACCAGAATCTGGCAAGGATACTTTTGTCAGAAGGCAGAGGGCAAGAGAATAAGGGTGCTAAAGAGGGCAAGAGAGGAAGAGAAGGCCGAACTTGCCCACTCCCATGATAACAATATTAATCCATTCATTAGGGCAGAGCCCTCATAACCTAATCACCTCTTAAAGTTCCTACTTATCAACACAGTTGCATTGAGGATTAAGTTTCCAACTTAAGAACTTTGGGGGTCATATTCAAACCACAGCAGATTCTAAACAAGTTACAGCTTTTAGTAAATACGTGAGAAATTCCTGTTTAACTTGACTGCCCTTTTCTGGTGACATTTTTTGAAAGCAGTCTTAAATTCTAAAAATGAGTCGTTTTTTCACTCTATGGCTTTTTGTCCTAAACTACACAGAACTTCAAACAACTCAAGTAGAGTCAGTTCACCTTTTTCTAGGTTTCTTACATCTTCTTTAGAGAACATTGAACAGTTTTAGAGAAACATCATTTACATTTCTGTCTCATGGAAATCTTTTTCTTTGTTCTCATCTGTCATATATTTAAAAATCAAAGAGAAACATTCCTTTTGCTCCATGCTTTGAAAATATAATTTTACAGAAGGCCAATATTTTAACATATTTTTATGGCCAGCCACAATGATAGGCATCTTGTCAGCATATGTCTCAAAGCACATATCTTCTCCCATTTCCAGAAAGTCAAAAGGCCCATTAAGTGCTTCTGCACATTCTGGGGAAACTGAAAAGTGACCAAAAAATTTCATTATAAAACCGCAATATCATAGCAAAGAAAACCACTTACCTTTCTATTAATATTGTGTAAAGATGTACAGGACATTTAATAGGTAAGAACTGTTCATTTTCTCTTATAAGACATTTATAGGCTGAATGGAATTTTCCAACATTTACATTTGCACAGTCTGTCAAATATGCAGATAGATGAGTACAGTCTACTTTAAATTTGGACAAGATGCTACATCTTTTATGTCATCTGAAGTTTCATTAAAATCTTTACAGAAATCAAGGAGATGATTTGAAACTCCATTTTAGAATTCAAAATACCGAAGAGCTAGAGGGAACATGGTTTTGCTGGCATGATTCAACGTATCATTTGATATATTGTAGCACCATGATCATTAATAAGACCTGACAAAATCAGCTCTACACTCTAAGCGGTCAGCATATTGGTCCTCAAAATTTCCTCTCTTGTTTACCCTCAGGACTTTTTAGTTGCAACCTTTGAATCAGAAAAAAGTAACTGTACTCAGGTGTGTTGAGCAATCAAGGGAACAAAATGATAATGAATGTTTATTCTTATTGTATATTCAAGCTAATTTAACAACTGCCATTTTCAAAAGAGCGTTGATTTTTTTGGGGGGTGGGAGGAGATAAAAAATGGTTTTGATTGACTTACAAAAACTTGCCTGTCTCATCCTAAACTTGTGAGATGTAGGCTCCACAATTGTATTCATATGACCTTCTGTCTAGTCTCAAATTTATTTCTATTTATTGTAGACTACTCTGTTTTGATTTTCTCCCTAATCTAGATCCATGGATCGTTCTATGTATTTTTAAAGTAACACAGTTGTTTAGCCTTTTTTTTTCAGTATTGTCATGTTAGCTTTGGTATTATAGTCATACTCATTTGCATCACTGAACTGTAAGAAAACATGGTCACAATATTCACAATATAAAAATTAAAGTAGCACAATCTTCATACAAATCAATACAGTTAATTCACAGGCAAGATCAAAGAGGAGCTCAGGGTCACAATGCATGTGGGTTAAATACTCAAGTCACAGAATCTAGAGTAATGCAACAGTGGATGAACTGGTGTTAGGATCACAGATCTTGACTACCAACATCAGTAGTCAGGAGAAAACTTGCAGGAGCCATTAAGAAAAATGGACAATTGATGCTTCATCCATTCAACACTAAAAATACTGTGGCATGCAGCCTCCATTTTCTACGTGGTCCTGTGGATTTTGTACATTTCTTTTAACCTTCTGCATCCATCTCTGAAATCTGAGGCTTTTTATGTCTTGGAGAAGGGTTTTCCAGAAAGCAAAAATTTACTGCTAAAACTAAGACAGTAGTGAGCAAACCTGGGCAGTTGGTTGCCCTATTATTAATTCTATCTCTACTGCATACTAGTAGAATGATTGTGGATAAATTCTGTATACTCTTTGCTTCAGTTTCTTCATCTGTAAGTTGGAGATAATAATAGTATCACATCACAGTGTTTTATAGAATTAAAATGAGTACCTTAAGAAAATAAATAAGCTCTTCTAATAGAATCAGACATTTTGAAAATTATGTGTTGGTTATTACTGCTATCATCATTAGTCACTTTATTTAACTCAGAAATGCTAAGGATAAAATTTTCTATCTGCCTAGCTTCATTTCCTACCTTCATTCTCATCCCAGACACTCTTAAATTATTTTCTTTCTATTGATTGATCATTCCTTTTCCTTTAACAATTTCTGCTGTTTTCTTTCATTCGTTATGGTAGTTGCAAATCTGGTACAACAAATGTAGTTTTGTTTAGTTTGGCTTTTTTTTCTTAATTCAAAGCAAGAAGATCGCCAATAACTTAGAGTGTGCTAAGCATAATAAGTATGCTTCTGAAGCCAGAAATTTTGCTAAATAAGTTCCATTGAATTCAAAGGACAATTGTATATGAATGTTGTATGCTCTTAAGAGCACACACTTGCTAGTGTTTCTCTTTTACCAGTTAAAGCATGAAAATATTTAGATTGGTTTTTCAATTTGATACAAACTTGAATGTTGTTGGTAGGTTGCTTCAGTTAATTTGCCCTAAAAAGAAGTAAGAAATATAATAATATTGTCCTTCTTACTGGGTTACCCAACTATGACAGGTTCTGCAAAGGAAATCCTAATTTCTTCAGACCATTAATCCTTTCACTTTCCCAAGAGCTTGTGAGGTGACCTCTGTGTCTGATGACCTGGTTCTCAAGAGTTAGATCAATGCCAGGAATTTTTTTCACAGAGTTCATGCCACGTTTATCCGAAAATAGGCTTTTTGGAATCCTGCTGGCTTCAGTTTAATTTATGATTCAAATCAATGTTTTATGCTCATGGATATGTTAGTAGTAAGGTAAACACTCATACATTTTCAGTAAAAGAAGAAACTCAGCTATATTACAAATATTTCAGAATACAATATGTTGAAGAGGCAATTTAATTTTTTAAATTTTTTTATTTATTTTTATTTATTTATTTATTATTATTATACTTTAAGTTTTAGGGTACATGTGCACAATGTGCAGGTTAGTTACATATGTATACATGTGCCATGCTGGTGTGCTGCACCCATTAACTCGTCATTTAGCATTAGGTATATCTCCTAATGCTATCCCTCCCCGCTCCCACCACCCCACAACAGTCCCCAGAGTGTGATGTTCCCCTTCCTGTGTCCATGTGTTCTCATTGTTCAATTCCCATCTATGAGTGAGAACATGTGGTGTTTGGTTTTTTGTCCTTGCAGTAGTTTACTGAGAATGATGATTTCCAATTTCATCCATGTCCCTACAAAGGACATGAACTCATCATTTTTTATGGCTGCATAGTATTCCATGGTATATATGTGCCACATTTTCTTAATCCAGTCTATCATTGTTGGACATTTGGGTTGGTTCCAAGTCTTTGCTATTGTGAATAGTGCTGCAGTAAACATACATGTGCATGTGTCTTTATAGCAGCATGATTTATAGTCCTTTGGGTATATACCCAGTAATGGGATGGCTGTGTCAAATGGTATTTCTAGTTCTAGATCCCTGAGGAATTGCCACACTGACTTCCACAATGGTTGAACTAGTTTACAGTCCCACCAACAGTGTAAAATGTTCCTATTTCTCCACATCCTCTCCAGCACCTGTTGTTTCCTGACTTTTTAATGATCGCCATTCTAATTGGTGTGAGATGGTATCTCATTGTGGTTTTGATTTGCATTTATCTGATGGCCAGTGATGGTGAGCATTTTTTCATGTGTCTTTTGGCTGCACAAATGTCTTCTTTTGAGAAGTATCTGTTCATATCCTTTGCCCACTTTTTGATGGGGTTGTTTGTTTTTTTCTTGTAAATTTGTTTGAGTTCATTGTAGATTCTGGATATTAGCCCTTTGTCAGATGAGTAGGTTGTGAAAATTTTCTCCCATTTTGTAGGTTGCCTGTTCACTCTGATGATAGTTTCTTTTGCTGTGCAGAAGCTCTTTAGTTTAATTAGATCCCATTTGTCAGTTTTGGCTTTTGTTGCCATTGCTTTTGGTGTTTTAGACATGAAGTCCTTGCCCATATCTATGTCCTGAATGGTAATGCCTAGGTTTTCTTCTAGGGTTTTTATGGTTTTAGGTCTAAAGTTTAAGTCTTTAATCCTTCTTGAATTAATTTTTGTATAAGGTGTAAGGAAGGGATCCAGTTTCAGCTTTCTACATATGGCTAGCCAGTTTTCCCAGCACCATTTATTAAATAGGGAATCCTTTCCCCATTGCTTGTTTTTGTCAGGTTTGTCAGAGATCAGATAGTTGTAGATATGCGGTGTTATTTCTGAGGGCTCTGTTCTGTTCCATTGATCTAAATCTCTGTTTTGGTAGCTGTACCATGCTGTTTTGGTTACTGTAGCCTTGTAGTATAGTTTGAAGTCAGGTAGCGTGATGCCTCCAGCTTTGTTCTTTTGGCTTAGGATTGACTTCACGATTCAGGCTCTTTTTTGGTTCCATATGAACTTTAAAGTAGTTTTTTCCAATTCTGTGAAGAAAGTCATTGGTAGCTTGATGGGGATGGCATTGAATCTATAAATTACCTTGGGCAGTATGGCCATTTTCACAATATTGATTCTTCCTACCCATGAGCATGGAATGTTCTTCCATTTGTTTGTATCGAAGAGGCAATTTTAAACTCATATTATTCTCCTTTACTAAATCCAGCTCAACATTAAAATAATGCATTATTGTGCAAAAAGTAAAACAGGTTCTTGATAATTATTGGCAAGCAGTTGATAATTATTACAGGGTGATTGTTCAAGCAGTCTGAAAAATACAACTCTCTAAAATTATTTTTTTCAAAAAAGAAGAAAAAAAACCTATCCAGAAGCATTCACAATTAATTTGTATAGTTTGTATCCCATCTGGAAACACTTCCATAGTTAAAATGAAAACTATTTTAAGATCTGTCTCTCTATCTCGTTTGCTGACTTGCTTTTTTGACAATAAAGTTAGAAATATCAACAGTTTCACATAAAGTCTTAGTGTACTTTATGTGATTATTATTTTTTTTAAATCATAAGGCAAAAGTCACATTTCCCTGTTCCAGAAATTTGGACTTAGTATCATTGAGTGTACCTCATGGTATATTTGAGGGTTTTACATGGACAGAGTCACTTTCACAAGTGACATTCATTGTGTAAGCCGTCCTTTCCTCCCATCACTCCACTTTCGAGGTATGTGAGTGCTCAGTGACAAAGACAAAGCAGATTACCTAAGACAAAAATGAAAGGAAAATCAGAAGCTTCATGTAAGTTTTACAAATATTTTACAAAATATTTGGCCTTTCAAATATATGAATAGAAATTTCATAGAAAGCCTGAAAAACAATTATTGTTTGTATAAAAATTTCTTTCTAGAGATGATAGATTCATTCAATTTTCTGAAACTATCTTCTGAGGAATAATTCTGTCATTCTCCTCTGATTTTTCTCTCACATCTCCTTATCTTCCTTTAAGAAGCTAATTTCCTTGAAGTCTTTGATATTTTGTTTATTTTTTTTTAATGAGTTTTCCAAGAGTTCCTTTCAAAAATTAACACTAGTCTATGGTACAGACCCTGACAAAATTTTTTAGTGTCATCTTTGTTTGCTACGTTATTTGTCTTTTTGTTCTAACTTAAGGAAAAGTATACAAATGAATTAGTATTTTTCTTGTTTTATCATTTAAAAGTCATAAGTGCAATTGTACGGTAATCAAGATGCAATTCAGATTCAAAAGTTAAAATCTGCTGTCTTCATCTGCTTTCTTCGGATGCTTTGGACATTTTTTGTTTTGTTTTCTCCCAGACAAGGTCTGGGTCTGTCACCCAGGTTGGAGTGCAGTGGCGTGGTCTCGGCTCACTGCAACCTCCACCTCCCGGGCTCAAGCCATCCTGCCACCTCAGCTTCCTGAGTAGCTGTGACTACAGGCACCCTCCACCCTGTCCAGCTAATTTTGGTATTTCTTGTAGAGATGGAGTTTCAGCATGTTGCCCAGGCTAGTCTTGAATTCCTGGACTCAAAGCAGTCCACCTGCCTCGGCCTCCCAAAGCGCTGGGATTATAGGAATGAGCCACCATTCCTGGCCACTATAGGCATTTTTATAGCCTTAATTTATAAGTACCACAAATATTTAATAATAACTAAGCTGGAAATGTTATAAAGTGAAATTAGATAACTCATACTTGATTGGAATATTTTTTGGTGTTCTTAGTTAAAATAACATTAGCATTTATTATTGTTATGGTTATTTTTCTGATCCTCTCTATATCATTTATATAGGCTTTTTATTAAACGAAAATTGCTATTGAGCATGAAAAAATTCAGAATACATTCAGATTTAAAAAAGTAAAGAAATATTCACTTTCTTGCTTTCACATATATTATGTGAATTACTTATCACAATATCCTGAAGCCTCAGTTATTTTACTGCTTTGTGGATAAGGCTTCTGATACTTGAAGAGATTAAGTACTTTGTTAAAAGTAACAATGACTAAATTGAAGTGACAAGATTAAATTCAAGGCTTTAGACTCCAAGAATTAATTACTCAAGATTCCTCTTATTTACATCTGTACTTTTGTCTTCATTTTTATACTCGTTTGACACGCTGACATTACAGGACATCTTAAGGTATTATGATGTAACAACCTTCTTATTTTCTAGCTCTAATTTTCTTTATCTTTTACTCAACATTTTAGAGCTGATGATTTAAGAGGAAGAGTCCCAAGGACTGTTTAGTGGGCAGCATGATACAACTTGTAGTTTGAATCAAAATCCATTGTAGAAGAGAGAGATGATTAAAGAGAGGTCATTTATTCAATCAGTGCATTAATTGTGCAGCTACTGTATATTACATATTTCTCCAGGAGCTGGAGGATTGGTAATCAGAAGAGATGAAACAACTTATTCTCTTAGAGCTTTCTTTCAGTTAGGGAGGGCACAGAAAATAAGTAGAAAAAATATTAAAATATATAGTTTAAGTAAGTGATAAGGAGTAAGGGGAAAATAATGCAAGGAAAGCAATAGAGAGAGTCAGAATACGGAAAAGGGGTCTGTATTTTTAGATACGATGACTCAGAAAAAACCCTCTGTGAGAAGGTGACATTTGAATAAATAATAAAAGGAGTGTGGCAAGTAAGCCACGCAGATATCTTTTGGAAGAGTATTCCAGTCCAAAGGAGCATCAGATGCAAAGACCATGGGCTGGAATATCTCTCAACCATTCAAAGAACAGAGCAGGTCAATGGAAGTGGAATGAACTGAGGCACTGAAGGAAGGGAAAAATAGGAAATGATGTCACAGGGGTGCAGTTCTTAGGGCTATCTAAGGCTTTTGTAAAGACTTAGTTTTATTTTCATTGAGTGGGAGCCATTGGAGGCTTTGATTAGAGGAGCAATGTCGTGTGACTTATATATAAAAAGAATCTCTCTGCTCTGCTAAATATAGAGAGAAGTGGGATTAGGGCCAATGTAGGGAGATCAGTTAAGAGGCTCTTCATAAGAAATCAGATGGCTCCAATCAAGTTGGTGCAGTTGAGATGATAAGAACCTGTCAGGCTTAGAGGGTAAGACCTATAAGATTTCCTGATGGATTAAATGTAGTGCGTGAAGGAAATAGAGGAGTCAATATAACTCCTGAGTTTTTGGCCAGAACATTTTCAAGAATGAAGTTGCTGTTTGCTAAAATGAGGAAAACAGAAGGAAGAGCAGATTGGAAGCAGGAGGGCAGAATAGGATAAGATCAGGAGCTGTTTTGGGCATATAATATTTGATATCTTATCAAATATCCAAGTGGAGATTAAATGGGTGCTTAAGCTGTACTGACATGAGAGGGTCCAGCTCTAAAGCATTTAGCCTAATAGAAGTGGGAATATAATCATTCAAAACCAAATATTTTTTATAGATTTTTTAAATGTCAAACACAGTACTAGGTGCTAGGATGTAATATTAATAAAATTGATATAATCCCTGCTCTCAAGGTACATAATGGTATATAGTTTGTTTTATAGGTGATTGAGTTATATAGTGTTCACAAACATGCAATCTCAGAAATAGGAATCCTTGTGCCATTATCACATTGGTACAACTATACCTAGGAGTTTAATTCAACTGGTCTTCCTCTTGAAAGGAGTTTGCTTTTTTCTATGCACAGACCGCCTTCCTAGAAGTTCTATTATGGCAGACTATTAATTATAAACAAGGCTTTTCATATTTACATCTGTTATTTACATTCAATGTCCACTTGATATGGTTTGGCTGTGTCCTAATCCAAGTATCACCTTGAATTGCAATAATCAAGTGATAAGGAGTAAGGGGAAAATAATGCAAGAAAAGCAATAGAGAGAGTGAGAATACAGAAAAGGGGTCTGTAATTTTAGATAGGATGACTCAGAAAAAACCCTCTGTGAGAAGGTGACATTTGATAATTGAATAATGGGAGCGGTTCCCCCATACTGTTCTCATGGTAGTGATTAAGTCTCATGAGATCTGATGGTTTTATAAATGGGAGTTCCCCTGCACAAATTCTCTCTTGCCTGCTGCCTTGTAAGACGTGTCTTGCTCCCCCTTCGCCTTCTGCCATGATTGTGAAGCCTGCAAGTGGAACTGTGAGTCCATTAAACTGCTCTTCTTTATAAATTACCCAGTCTTGGGTATGTCTTTATCAGCAGCATGAGAATGGACTAATGCACCATTGTTCTTTCCCATTCATGTTACTGGTAAAATTCAAGTATTGAGTTGTATTTGATGAGTGCTGCCCTCCCAGTGTCATGGACATATAGGTGGTTGGTGTTGATGTTTTCCTGCTAAACAGTCATACTTAAAAGGTGAATTATTTACTAGGATTTTTTGTTCTATGTTTGAGAGTTACAAATTTTTGCTACTGACATTTCAAGATCTGATATTCTTCTCTTAGTAACTCTGCATGGAGTTTTTGAAGAGCCTACTAAGGCACTGAGTAAAACAAATACATTTCTAATAATGCACCTACACAGATAAAAGTGGGAGTTCTTTGGTTTCTTTTCTTTTTTTCTTGTTCTTTTTTTTTTTTTTAAAGGTGTTTCAGGTCTTTTGGATACATTTGAGATGGTGTTATACCTGCCATTTTTCCATTATGAAAGACTGCTGTGCTAAACGTTGGTGCTTGATTCTCAATCGCAGCATCTTTCCTTTGAGTCAAAGAAGAGAGCAAATAGCCCTCTATTCAGGGAACCAGGTAGCACTAACCACCCTCCACTCTCAAACACTAAAAGTAATTTAAGCTGTCGCAGACCCAACACTGCTTTGGTAGCATCCCCCGGAGAACAAAGCAGTTAAAGCAAAATTTCATGTGGTTTTCTTTCATGACTTGAGCTCCTTCTGAGAAATATATCAAGAGTTATGCAGGAATATTTCAAAACTGCTTCATTGACAGTATTCTAGTGGAGGTCTTCATCAAATAACAACTGTGAAGTCGTATCTGGCAGTATGAGGAGTGTTATGATTCAGATTACAGCATGGTGGCTTACTTCTAAGAATTTCCACATCCAGAAAAATCTTTGAAAGGATGAAGTTAAAAAAATGAAGAAAACCTGGATATGTGTTTTTTAAATGTCTGCCTTTAAAAATCAATTTTTTTTCAATATTTATTTTAGATTCATGGGGTACATGGGCAGGTTTGTTACATAGGTGTATTGTGTGATGCTGAAGTTTGGGGTATGAATGATCCCATTACCCAGGTATTGAGTGAGCATAGTGCCCAATAGGTTTTCTACCATTGCCCCCTCCCTCCCTACCACCTCTGGTAGTCCCAAGTTTCTATCGTGGCCATCTTTATGTCCATGAATACTCAGTGTTTAGCTCCTGATTATAAGTGAGAACATGCAGTATTTGGAAAACGTGAATATTTATATAGGTTAAAATTGGGCTTAGTGTGGAAGCCAACTAAATGTGGCAACTTCCATCCTAAAACAAAAGTCAGTGTGTATGATCTATATAGTTGAAAAAAGTATCAATTAGAAAGACAACTCCTTCTTGTCAACTCAAAATTTTCCCATGTACATGTTTATACTTTTACCAATTTTGCATACATCCATAAAAATCAATGTCATTGATTTTCATCTTTTAAAATTTTGCAAAAATGCTGTCATAGTGTGTAGATCCTTTTGATGCTTGCTTTTTAAAAAAAAAATATTAGATTTTTGTGTATTATCCATGTTTGTGACTTTAAATATAGTACACTGATTTTCTACTATTCTTTAAAATATCATTGTAGGAATTAACCTTTTACCCATTCATTTATCTATTCTGCTACTGATAGAAGTTAGGTATTTATGGCTCTTCAAAAAACCTTGAAGGAAAAGAATTGACAGTCATAAACAATTTCTCAACTTTGCTCCGACATCTTGATCTACTTATTTGTTGGGCCTCTGTAAATTCTAAAGATTCACAGAAGTTTTTTTAGTGTAGGGACAAAATATCTTAAGGTGGAAATAAGAGTTCTGAATCTTAGAACAAGGACAGAAATGAAGTAATTGACAACCAAGGAACATGGCAGACGTGGAGCTTCCTGGACTATTTTAACAGAACCAAAACATGATGTTTCAGTACAGTTCGTGAACTTTTTCTTGTTTCTTAGCTCTACTGTCTTCTATATGCTGCTGTTTAATACAGCAATTCTGAATATTTATTTTCTGTCAATGTATAACAGGCTCTATTCATGCAAAACCTTTCAAAGATCAAACTTGCTGATGTCTTTAAGCTATTCAATATGAATATAAATCCAATGAATATCCTAATTCTTTTAGATCTTCCCCAAAATAAATAGTGCACATGTGTGGCTATTCATCAGAATTCACTGGGGATCTTTATGAAAATACATACTTATATGACACAACCTTGGAAATTATGATACAAGATTTAGAGGACAAAGGAATTGCATTTTTAATTTTAAAACTCCTTAGATGATTCAAAAATTAGTTGAGATACAACTTCCCCAAGTGTAAAGCTTAAAATTGTAAATAGTATTCCCTACTGGAGATGGTCTGAAAATTAGTCTAAAAAAGTGATATAAATTTAAAAAATAAAATGTTTTAACCTTGAAATCTTTGGCCAGAATTAAGTCGGTCTGCTTTAACTACTTATATTCTGAAAATGCTTGTAGCTAAGAAAGAAGCAAACGCTATTGGCGTCTCTGAATATCAAACTGATTCACACCTCACGGAAAAGACAAAATGCTTTATCTGTGGAAGAGAAAACCCAAATCATTAAGTTACTTTATTCATTGTGGGTATAGAGGGTATTTTGTGCATTATTACTATCATGCTTTGTGCATCCAGGCCCTTATAAAACTTTGTAATTGGTTATGCATAAGCGCAACTTATGGCTTTTTCATTGTGTTTCCAGCACAGTGATGCGGTCCATGACCTCCTTCTGGATGTGATCACGTGGGTTGGAATTTTGCTGTCCCTTGTTTGTCTCCTGATTTGCATCTTCACATTTTGCTTTTTCCGGGGGCTCCAGAGTGACCGTAACACCATCCACAAGAACCTCTGCATCAGTCTCTTTGTAGCAGAGCTGCTCTTCCTGATTGGGATCAACCGAACTGACCAACCAGTAAGCAACCTACATTGATACCAGTGAAGAATTTTTCCACTTCCAGCTTTTCAGTAGCGCCAATACTAAAAATACTTATGTTTGAAAGTATCATTTCTTCTAGTCATCTAAGATAGATACTAATTTTCAGGCCTTACTCAGTTTTCCATTTTTCATATCCCATTGTCATAAATAAGCAGCAAACTTTATGAATAAGGTGTATATTTCATTTTTAAATAGACTTTTGTTTTTTAGAGCAGTTACTGCTTTACAGCAAAATTAAGCAGGAGCTACAGACATTCCCATCTATTCCCTGCTCCCACACATGCATAGTGTCCTTCATTTTCAACATCCTCCACCAGAGAGGTACACTTGTGACAACTGATGAACCTGCATCAACACATCATTATCATCCAAATCCCATAGTTTACATTAGATTTCACTCTAGGGATTGTACATTCTCTGGGTTTGAGTATAATTTTTTCACTGCCTTGAAAATCATCTGTGCTTCCTCTGTTTATCCCCCCTTTCCCACTAACCTCTGGTAACCACTAATTTTTTTTTTTTTTTTTTTTTTTTTTACTATCTCCATGGTTTTGGCTTTTCAGAATGTCACATAATTAGAATCATTTAGTAAGTAGCTTTTCCAGATTGGCATCTCTCTGTCTCTTTCTTTCTTTCTTTGTTTTTCTTTCTTTTCTTTTTTGAGAAAAGGTCTCACTCTGTCATTCACGCAGGAGTGCAATGGCATGATCCTGGCCCACTGCAATCTCCACCTCCCAAGCTCAAGCGATCCTCCCACCACAGCCTCTGGAGTAGCTGGGACTACAGGCATTTGCCACCAAGCCCAGCTAATTTTTTGTATTTTTAGTAGAGACAAGGTTTCGCCATGTTGTTCAGGCTGATCTCAAAATCCTGGATTCAATCGATCCACCCGCCTCAGCCTCCCAAAGTGCTGGGATTACAGGTGTGAGGCACCATGCCTGGCCAAGGCTTCTCTTAAATGGTCATATATATTTGAATTTCCTCCATGCCTTTTTTGACTTGATAGCTTATTTCTTTTTAGTGCTAAATAATATCCCGTTGTCTGATGTACCACAGTTTATCTACTCACCTACTGAAGGACATCTTGGTTGCTTCCAAGATGTCATCTGTGCTTTTGTCAATTATGAAGAAAGCTGCTATAACCATATGTGTGCAGGTTTTTGTGTGGACATATGTTTTTAACTCCTTTGGGTAAAACCAGGGAGCACAATTTGTGGATCACATGGTAAGAGTATATTTAGCTTTAAAGAAACTGACAAATTGTCTTCCAAAGTGGCTGTACCATTTTGTGTTCCCATTAACAATAAAGGAGATGTACATTTCTTCGGAAATTATTTCATAAACTTGTCTTTCTAAGGAACTACATATTGTCATTATTTTTTTCTTTTGTTTTAACCATAGGGCTCAATATTGAGGAAACTTTGGTAAAATTATTTAGAAAATGAAAGAATATCTTTTTTTTCCAATTAATAGAATAATGCTTTAAAGTTTGTAATATGCCTTAAAAACAGCCAATATTATATTAAAATCTGCAGGTCTAAAATGGGTTTTTCTAATTGATGTATTTTGGAAAATAGTACAACCTGCAAAGCATTTTTATTATATGTAAACTCTTCCCAAATTTATTTGGCACTTTATATTTGCATGAGTTCTGGTCATGTCTTTAATTGCCAGCCTTGTACGTTATTGCAACCTACATTTAGTCATATCAAGGAAAGGAGGAAGAAAAAAAGGGAAAGAAAAGAAAAAAAAAAGAACAGCACTAGCCAACTGTTGGTAAAACCAAACAGAAAATATAAATAATAGACAATATCTTCATATATTACACAAACTTTATGCCCACTTATAATTTTTGTGAGCCAGTTTCAGTTTACTTAAGATTTATGCACATGTTACAAGTTTGTTATCATGAGTAAAATTGCAAAATAGCAGAAAAGTTTCATTTTGTAGAAGGCTTTTGAGCATAATAAATAGTTCGCTTACTTAATGCTGTTTTCTGGTATGTGTCCATATGTATGGAGTGCTTTACAATAAAAATGCAGTTGGATTCATGTTTGTGATTACACATTCATGATTAATGACTGTAAAGGGTACAATTATGGTGATTATATTTTTAATTGGGCATCATATACTAATGTGACAGCTTTCCCCATAAATGCATACCTATGAATAAGCAATCAAAGTACACATTTCTTTCCCCAAAAAAGTAAAGCCTTATGATAACAAAAATTAATAGTTGACGTTCTAACTCTAAAAAGCAAGAAATGGAAAATTGTGTTATTTTCCAAGAATGTATCATTTTATTCTCTTGTTAGCTTGCAATTCAAATGCTGTGTGATTTCTTTTCATTTAGAGACCTTATTCTTATTTTTGTTTCCTGATGTTATATATGGTATGAAAAACTTCGCCAAATATTGCATACTACACAAAACTCATTTCTAACAAGTAATATAAAGAACAATGATTGATATGAAAAACATGGGTAGAGTGCAGCTCAGCAAAACTTGTCTTTACTCTCCTTGCTAGCGAGGTATCCTTTTCTGCACTCCACATAGTGTTTAGGACCAGCTTTCTTTCTAGCTCCTCAGATGTAAGACTTGCTGATCTCTCCTTCATTGTCATCTTTGTGACCCAAAATTTGACCTGCCCTTTTGTCTCATTTCATAAGGATCATACTCATCAATGAATTTCTGTTACTCTGATAACTTCGGTAAGTTTGTTGACCTTTTCTAGTAGCAGTTATAGATTTTAGTCAGGGTTTCCTATAAGGAAGAATAACTCAAAGAAATGAGAATTAAGGAACTGACATAAGAGTAAGAAATTGATAGTTGGTCAGCTGAAAATTGTAGTACTTTAGAAAATATACAAAAATAAGAGCTGGCTGCCTTTTCTGACCAAGCTTGTCTAAACCAATATTTAGTACAATAACAAAAAATCAGAGAAAGAAAGCAGTTTGGGAACATTTAATTTTAAGCAGATCCATTTTTATTCATGTTCACCATGAATTTTCCAACACCACCTTAAATCATTTTTGAAACAAGGCAGGGTAGAAATAAACAAACAATTACTAATAATTAATTTCATCATGAAACAATTAGTAATAATCTCATCATGAAAAGACTGCAATTAACTACACTAATTTTCCCCTTAGTTTTAATGTTTCTCTTTCACTGACTATTGAAGAACTTACTATGTTAGTATGTTCTAACTCTAACTCTGACTCTAACTCTAACTCATGATTATGGCCAAGAGAAAAAATTCTTAAAATCTATTTTAAAATATTTACGCTAATATCAGAAATAATTATTCATAGGCTCTTATTAGAATTTTTTCTAAGTATTATTTTTTTTATTCTAATGATACACTGTCATCTATAAGCCATTATTAATGTTAAAGGCAGTTTTCAAAGATAGATTATATTTAAGTATATTAGTTTTAATATCTGTGTTTTAAGAATCTTCCCTAGGTTATTATTTTGCAGATCTATTGTAATGCAGTTTTGGTAAATATTTAATTTGGTTTTATGGCAGTTGACTAGTATCCCATGTGGTAGAGATTTGACTAAATCATTTGTTCCTTTTCCTAGATTGCCTGTGCTGTTTTCGCTGCCCTGTTACATTTCTTCTTCTTGGCTGCCTTCACCTGGATGTTCCTGGAGGGGGTGCAGCTTTATATCATGCTGGTGGAGGTTTTTGAGAGTGAACATTCACGTAGGAAATACTTTTATCTGGTCGGCTATGGGATGCCTGCACTCATTGTGGCTGTGTCAGCTGCAGTAGACTACAGGAGTTATGGAACAGATAAAGTGTAAGTTTATTGTTTTCTTTCTTTTTAAATCTAGGTGAAATAAAAGTGTTGGACTTTCTTGGAAGCAAAGGTCTTTATATTACCTCACAGTGAAGAAACTGGGCAGCAAATGTGTATAATTCAATCCATGGTTATACTTTGGTTATGATGTAAAAAGAAAAAAATACCTTGAGACTTATCATGATGCTGTTTTAAAACAGCGTAATTTTTCTACATCTACATCATAACCTTGTGTAATTATGAAGAGATCATAATTTTATTTTTCTTCAGAACATTAAGACATTAGTCAAAGGAAGAACTAGCTGTATGAAGAGCTATTTGCTAGCATAGGATGGTGCAGTCCCTGACATTGCTGGCTTATCTTCTTCCTGCCAAGTCCGTTCAAGTCACTGGAAAGCCTTTTATGTCATCAACAGAAAGAGTATAGGAGCAGGGACAGCCTGTGTTTTTCCCCTTTTTTCCTGGGTAGGCATTGAGGTAGAGTGATGAATTTTGCTTTCAACATAGCTTTAAACTGTTAAGACATATGTGTCGAGATGTGAAGCATATTAGCATGGAGTTCAGATAAAAATATGTTTGCAATCTACATACATGTAACAGTTGAGATACCCAGAGTAAATCAAAGTTTTATGAGAAGAGATTAGAAAGTAAACCAAGATAGACCTCTGATGAATAATCATATTTAGAACTAGACCCAGGACTAAAAAATACAAGTAGAGAAAAAGAAGAGGTAAGCAGAGGCTTAGAAAGATTACCATGAGGTTTAGATTCAAGGCAAGGGAGAAGAAAGTCTCAAGATGGTGTTTCAAAACACCATCAGTGGCCAGACACAGTGGTGCATGTCTATAAAGCTACTTAGAATGCTGAGGCAGGGGAATCGCCTGAGCCCAGCCTTTGAGATTACAGTGAGCTGTGATCATGCCACCTTACTCCAGCCTGGATGACAGAGTGAGAACTCATCTCTAAGAAGCAAAACAAAACTAAAACAAAAAACCACCATCAGTGGTGTTTTATGTCAAAATTAATTTAAGTAAAAAACAAAAACAAACAAAAGAAACCATTTGACCTCTGCAACAAGTCTGTTTTTTTAAGAGGCCCCCAGAGGTCGCTATGTTGCCTGGGCTGCTGGAACTTCTGGGCTCAAGTGATCCACCTGCCTCAGCCTCCCAAGTAGTGCAACAGCCATTTTTGCAAAGTACTAGAAGCAGAAATCAAATTGGAAGGCGTGAAGACATAAGTTAGTAGTAAGAGCGTTATTTACACCTGGAAGTAAGTTGATTGAAAAATAGTGAAAATATTAACTTACGTGATAATCATGAAGCAAAATTTTAAAGATGAAGTCTTAAGCATATCTAGGGTGAGAAGAATCAAATTAATAGGAGGAGATTCATAGAGAGAAAATTCCTTATAGTATATATGGGCCAAATGAAAGGGAAAAGTCTTGGGAGGTAGAAAGACACAAGACTAAACACAAGATTGGAAAATCTTGATTTATTACTAAAAGTGGTTTTAGAATTTGCAAAGTCCATGGCACTAATTTTACAGGTGAGAAAATAAAATACTAGATAAATTAATTGCATTGCCTGTGGTTATAGAGTTAGCTGGTAGCAGATTTGAGATAAACCAAGTCAGGTTATTTCAAATAAACTAGGATTTTTTTTTTTTGAAATTGTAAAATGACCTCACTTTTTTGAGGTGAGTGTGAAGAAAAGGACAGGCAAGGTACATTTTGAAGCAGAGGAACTTTTCCTTCAAGTAAAAGATGCTGATTTCTATTGAGTGAATAGGTGAGGTCATGTCAAGAGAACAGATTTGAAAAGCTTTGAAATGAACACTATGGAAAATGTGCTAAGGAGCCAATTAGACATTAATAAAAAGATTTTCAAGCAGCAGTGTAGGCTCAGATGAGGTTAGATAACTTCAATTTGTACAGAAGTTAATAAGCCAAATTTCATGACTTTCCACCGGCAATCAGCAGTCTGAACATGTTGGCAATAAAAGAGCTTGCTTCTCAGAAGTGAGGATTCATAAAAAGGGAACGACAAGAAGAGGACGCCAGAATTATTGGGAGCATAGTTAAAACAGCATATGTGAACTATGCTATTTTAAGCACCAACAATACAATTAAAAGAAGACTTATTCCCGTTGAGTCCTTTGTCTTGAGTATAGTGACAGGCTATATAAAACCATTTGTCTAAATATGCCAATAACTATTATTTTTTAATCTCAACTTTGTGAATTGTAATCAAGTCTGTGATTTTTCTGTTGATTCCAGTGACATCTGTGAAACAGACTAGGATTAGTAAAAAAAAAAAACAAAAAAACACGTTATCTGAGGTTGTCCCTAAAGATGTCTTAGGGGAGGGGTGTTAGGTTGATATAGGTTTGTTTTTTTTTTTAAATAACATCTTTGATATATTCATGTAACATAAAATTCAGTCTTTAAAGCATACACTTCAGTTGTTTTTAGGATGTTTGTGGTATTATGTACTCATCACTATTGTCTAATTTTAGAATATTTTCATCGAAACAAAAAAGAAACCCCTAGCAGTCATTTCACCTAGATCATGGGACTTTACATTTTTCTCAATGCATTTTCTACCACAAAATTGAGTAATATAGTTATTTGTGACCTTATGCTATTTCAAATATTGTTGCTAAGTAGCTCCATTTTGCTCTCTTGAAGTTCCAAATTACATTTTTCTTTTACATCAATTTTTTTCTCCTTATTTGGAAATTGTCCTGTTACTACTGAACTCATTCAATTTGTTTTGTTTGTGTTTTAGTCATTTACTTTGAGACAGATGTCATTTTTTGGATAGTAGAAATCTATCTTTTCTTAGAATCAATAATATGTAGCCTCTTGTGGCTTTGTTAAAGCTTTGGCCATCATTGCTTTAATTTCCTGCACCGTAACTGGAAGCTCTCATTTACTGACATTATTGCTGTGTGAGACTAGGGGCTAATTTATTTCCCAGACACTGATTTAAAACAAGCCTTAATAATAGTTCAGTTTTGCAATTATCACTTTTTCCAACACAAAGAGAAGCAAAACAGATACAAAGAAAAGGGAGGGTAGATGGAAGAGAGATAGGAAAAGATAGGGAAAATTTCATTATTTCAATTATATCACAGGGGGGCATAACACATGTTAGTGTCTTGGGGTACATTGTAAATAAATTGTCCACACAGAAGCCTTCAGAATACATGTAAAAAATGTTTAACTTCTACTTTTTCGGAATTCATGCAATCCAACATCTATACAGTGCTGTTTTCCCACTGAAGAAGCAGATATTGAAAAGAGAACCAGTACTGAGCCATGGTGTTTACTTGAGAAGTTGAAGTGAACAGATTGTTTCCATCAGGGCTTAATCAAGACATCACAGTGAAAATATGAGCCATTAATTTTTACACTCAAAGAATTTCTGTATATAGAATTATATGTCTTGTTTCCTATCGTCGAGACTCTTTGTTCCAGTTTCTCTTGCTGTTGTATATTGCTTTTATTTTATTTTATTTTATTTTATTTTATTTTATTTTATTTTATTTATTTTATTTTATTTTATTTTATTTATTTTTGAGATGGAGTTTCACTCTTGTTGCCCAGGCTGGAGTGCAATGGCACGATCTTGGCTCACCACAACCCCTGCCACCCGGGTTCAAGCGATTCTCCTGACTCAGCCTCCCGAGCAGCCGAGTAGCTGGGATTACAGGCATGCACCACCACGCCCGTCTAATTTTGTATTTTTTTAGTAGAGATGGGGTTTCTCAGTGTTTTTCAGGCTGGTCTCGAACTCCCAACCTCAGGTGATCTGCCAGCCTTGTCCTGCCAAAGTGCTGGGATTACAGGTGTGAGCCACCATGCCCAGCCTGCTTTTATTTTATTTAATATGGCATTTCCCACTCCCTGCTCACCACGTGCATCTTTTTTTCACACATCTCTGCTGTCTCAAGTTTGTTTGTTTGCAGTGTTACCTCCCTATGTACTACACTGATTCTTTAAATATGAAAATGTATAGTCCACAGCCTATAATAAAGTGTAGTTAGCCAGAAATCAGAGATATATTGTCAACTATTTTCTTTAAATTATTATTAAGCTCAATACAGTAAAATTGTATGTCTTGGAAATCTTTTTTACTTGTTTTTGGAACTTCATGATTCTTAAGTTTTTATTCTTCAGTCTTGCCCACTTACAGTACATCTAGAATAAAACCATTGAATATCTATTACAATAATTCAGATAATAGACATGTCTCCCTTTTCTCTCCTATTAATGTATTTGTTTATTATACTGACAATGAGGTTTTATTTCTGAAATCTTTAATATAATAATAATACCTTACATTTCTAAAATTTAGAGAATTATATTAATGGTACGAGATAAAATTAGAGATAAAATTGTTTCGTAGGTTAAATAAATGCTATTTTGACAGATATGGAGATAAATATCATATTCCATCTGGCTGATGGATTTTGATGTTTTTCTATGAAATGTTGTTAGGGCTATTGAATTTATTATTATGTATAAAACACATACACACAAAGCATACAAATTTGATTCTGAGAAGTTGCTTAGTTTGCCATCAATTTGCAGTGCTTGTAAGGAGCCATTATTTGTTTAACAAAACCTTTTTATCTGTACTGACATTATATTCAAGAATGTACTTAGAACTAACATTTGGTTAAAATAATTAGTTATTTAAAAAATCCATTTTAAAAAACAATAATCTTAAAAAAAACTCTGCTAGTAGACCACAGGTATAAATTGCGCTGTTAATAATGGACATTTATTTTCATTTATCTCTTTCTTATATCTTTTTATGTCTCTCATACTGTTATTCATATGGATATTCAGTGGGATGCCATCAATGTGATACTGTCAGAAGATAATTATAGCAAAGGCTGTCATTGACTTAATAGTAATTCAATCAGGAAACATTTGGAAATTCAGTGCTAAATACTTTGGTTTTATGACCTGAAACTAATCACTTCATTTAAACTTTAATTATTCCAATATTACCAAAACATGCAAACTGTTTGAACAGTAAATTTTTACTTTTAAAAAAATCACATTGATAGTTTATAGCATTTTCGACTCAGTCTCATGTATGAAAAAGCAGTGGATTGGAAGAAGGAATTAGAAGTGGGTACCAGGAAAAGGGAGAGAGCACACTGGGAAGGGGTAAAGCCCAGAGAATTGTCTAGGAGAGAAAATCTGGGCTAAAAAATTGATGAATAGTTTCTAAATATGTGGATGAAGTCATGAACATTTATAATTGATAAGAACATTCTTGAGTCCTAGAAGAATAGCCAAGCTGTTAAAAATAATTGAAATCAAATTTTATGATCTGAAAATTGTTGTAAATTATCTATTAAACTTTACATTTGTCTTCCCAGCTCACTAGCTTAAGAGTATCTTTCAAAGGGGTACTTTCTCCTCTGTTAATTAAAAGACCCCAGACTTCCTTATTTTCACTTCATCATCTAACCAGCATAATCATGTAGGTAGAAAAGTGATTATAGATTTCTAAAAAATATCAGATTAGTGTATTATTCAAGAAAGAGGTTAGTTAAGGAAGATTGAACTTGATGGTATATGCAAGTTATATGCATAGATTTATTTAATTATTTTGTTCACAATTCCTTAGCATTTCAAATTCATAGAGAATCATATTTTCACTTAAGGAGTATTTTGCTAAGCAATTATTATATGATGTTATAAAATGTTCTTATAACACTTCATTGACATAAAGCATTTACCTTGCTGTAATGTTATCACCAGGTGTGTTTGACTATAGCTTGGCCAGTAGGAAATAATACAGATAATGAAGAAGTATTTGTTATTGACATATGAAGGTCATCATTCAATATGTCTACAGGGAGTACATGTGTATGTTTATATACTATTTTATTAAAGGCCAAGAACATTTTATGTGTATGTGTAGTAAATACTGAAGGGTTATTGTGTCACCATTTTATCATCCAGAAAGCCAATGATTGATTGGACATATACAATTATCATCATATCTAAGAATTCTGGGTTAAGCATAACTTTTTTCTATTAAGAAGTTATCCATACCAGGACTATATCAGAGATCATCAGGACCACTGTGCTGTTATTTTTAAAATGCAATGAAATGTTAGACTTAAAATTGAATATTAGACCTGAGTTCCTATTGGTACCAAAGAAGTATAACAACTTCCACAGCTATCATTAGACATCTAAAGATCATGTATAATATATGATGACTTTGTCCACTAGGATGGCTACAATAAAAGGTACATAGTGACAAACATTGTTGAAGATGTGGAAAATGAGAACCCTCATATATTGCTGGTGGCAGTGTCAAATGGTGTAGCTAGCTACTTCAGAAAATCGTTTCACAGATTTTCAAAAGGTTAAACATAGTTTTGATCCAGCAATTCTACTCCTAAGCATTTATAAAAAATAAAAATAAAAACTAAGGTCCATGTTAAAACTTGTATGCAAGAGTTTATAGCAGCATTATTTATGTTAGCCAAAACATGGGAATACCCAATGCCCATCAACTGATGAAAAGGTAAACTGTGTAATACCTAAATGATGGAGTATTTTTTGGCAATAAAAATGAAGTATTAACACATGCCATAAAATACATAAACTTTAAAATTATTATGTTAAGTGACTAAAGCCAGTTATAAAAGACTATATATTATATGTTCCCATATATATATAATGTCCAGAATAGGCGAATCTTTAAAGACAGAAAATATAGTGGTTGCTAAGATTGGGGAGACTGTGGATGGATCATTGTAGAGCAGTGGGAGGTTGAAAATGGGGAGTGACTTTTGGTGGGTACAGAGTTTCATTTTGGTAAAATGAAAATATAAAATTAGATTATGCTGATGGGTTCACAACTCTTAAATATACTAAAAACCTTGGAGTTATACTCTGTTAAATAAATGATTTATGATATATAAATCATATTGCAGTGAAGCTGTTTAATAATACTAAAAGTTTCACTAACATCGAGATGACCTTATATTTAGAAAGATCTGATATTTTGACTTGAGACCTGTTTCAGTAATCTGTGCATTATATACAGCATATAAATTTCTCACCTACTCATTGAGAATTTATAATTATCAACCAATCGACACCTTTAGTTGTTTTATAACTTATATCATTATTCTCTGGAGAAACATCTAGTAGCCACAGAGAGTTTGGAGTCAGGTAGACTAGAATAAAATTCAGTCTCAACTACTTATTATCTGTGTGGCTGTGGGTAGTTTACCCGAGTATCACATTCCTAATCTGTAAAGTGGGAGTTATTATAAGTACCTTGCAAGACTCTTCCGATGTTTGAAACTGTGTGTGTGTGTGTGTGTGTGTGTGTGTGTGTGTGTGTACGTATTTATGAATCAGTGTATATATGTATACAACGTGTATGTATGTATGTAAACAGTATGTATATATGTAAAATATATGCTAGACATCTATGTCTAGCATAGTTAAGTATTTATTAAATTAGACCTCTTATTATTACTGGTACTATTATTTGGCTGATACAAATAAAGAAATACAAACATGATCAGCAACGTTGTTTTCAATTACAAAATAGATTGTATTAAAAAGCAACCATTTACTAGAGTAGCGATTACAATTCTTGTTTTATTTTTACTTTCAGGTTCAGGGGTACGTGTGAAGGTTTGTTATATAGGTAAACTTGTGTCACGGGGGCTTCTTGTACACAATTCTTATGATATCATCTTCTACTAAGATGAGACCATGGCAATCACTCAACATTTAGTAGTATTAATAAATTATAATAGCCATAATTCTTATCTTTATAGTCCATCATAGAATGTAGGATGCATTTTGCTGAAAAAACTAATGAAACTCTTTTAAAAAATATAACATGTTGAGGAAATAAAGACAACACAATCTATTTTTGATATATTAGAAGTAGTGTTTAATTCTAAGATCCAAAACTGTAGCAGAACCTCAAATGCTAGTCTTGACCACCACTGATTGCACTCCATCCCTGTATCACTCCACCAACCTTTTTTAAAAATTCATGCACTTGCTTGCAAAGCATTTCAACATTAGATGTATGAATGTGCTGCAATGAAAATGGCATTAAAAAAATTCCTAACAATCATATTATGCAATAAGCTGGGGCCTAGATTTATTATACTTGGCATATATACCTGTCCCTTTTCTCTCTTCTGTCCTTCTTTTTTGCCCAGTTTATTCCTTTCTTATTCTCTCAATCTTGCCATATATATATAAATATAATACATTATATTTATAAAATACATTTATATATAAATATATTTATAATATTACATGATATATATAATATACATATATAATAAACATGAGTGTGGTCAGAATGCACTTGTTTTCTCAAGTCTCTTATGTCTTTTGTTACAGTACTTTTATAAATATAATGTATAGATGATATACATATGATTGAATTTCATTTATAAAAAAGAAATTGCCATATCTTAAAAATTAAATGTGAATGGCCAATCCAAATTACTAATTTCACAAATTAAATGTTGCTAGGTAGATAAAGGCAATTTTCAGATAAATTGTATTCTTCAATAGCAGGTCTGTCTTACCATTCACAAGCTGGACTTCAGTGTGTTTAGTGTGATAAATTGTTCTTCTAGCTTTGTCTCACCTTAACCAGTGTTTTTACCTTGTATCTAAATGTCATTGAATGGTGAGACTTATAGAACTGTGAGGTAGGATATATGTGCTCAGGCATGTATGTATACACCCCACATAACGTTCTTCTCCACCTTAAAGGCTGAATGAATTGTTTTAACAGCCACAGTGAACTGGGACAGGAATCATGCAAATTTTTAAGGTAGTTAATAGGAAGAGGAGGAAATACAGAAGGCTTTGAGAAAGCCAGCATGTGGCCAGAAACAACAGCAGGTGTGGCCATATGGCAATCAAATTAGAAAAGGGATTCTTGCCACACAGCCTTCCAGAAGAGAGTAAAGCCCCAGCAGCCCTCATGGAGGGATGATTTACTAAGTACATTTTACGTATTTTATATTGCCTCTTTCACTGTTCAATTCCAAAGGAAATGTAAATCCATTTTACCAAATAGATATAAAATTTTTTCTCAAAGAATAAAAATAATCATTTTGAAATGCTCCTTTACATTTAGAAAAGATCACTATGCCAAAAGCACATTTCCAAATAAAGCATTGGCTAAGCTGAGACCATTTTCAAAAAAGCAAAGTTTTGCAAGGCTATAATTTTACTTTAACAAAACATTTGGTGAGATTATTTAATATTTTAAAATTCCCTTAGTCCAAGACAACTGTTAATAATATAATTAAAGGTATTTGTTTAGATTCCTTAACTTGTAAAATAATCTTCTATAGAAGATTGTGAAGCACATTTCTTTTTCTGAAAATGTGTTTTAGTTCTCAGATTAGCTTTCAAAAACTTATTTGACCTACAAAATAATGAGAGCTGTATTATTAAGTCATTCTTAAAACGTATTATTACTATTATATCATGTTGCTATAATTTCAGCAGCATTCATGGGCTGCAGTTGTGTGTGTGTGTGTGTGTGTGTGTGTGTGTGTGTGTCTGATCTAGTCTGGGAAAATGTCCATGTTTTGGTTTTGTCCTTCATTGTTTTTTTGTTTTTGTTTCTGTTTCTTTTTTTCTTTCTTTCCTTTTTTTTTTTTTTTTTTTTGAGGTGAATTCTCATTCTGTCACCCTGGCTGGGGTGTAACGGCATGATCTTGGCTCACTGCAACCTCTGCCCCCAGATTCCAGAGGTTCTCCTGCCTCAGCCTCCCGATTAGCTGGGATTACAGGCATGCATCACCAGGTCCGGCTAATTTTTGTATTTTTAGTAGAGATGGGATTTCACCATGTTGGCCAGACTGGTCTCGAACTCCTGACCTCAAGTGATCTACCCACCTCGGCCTCCCAAAGTGTTGGGATTACAAGCCTGAGCCACATGCCCAGCCTCCTTCATTGTTTCTACCCTGAGGGAAAATACAATTACGATCTTTGTTCAGAACTTAGACCTTTGAAAATCTTCCTTCCCCAAGAGTTTCTTTTCTGTCTCTCTCTCTCTCTCTCCCTCTCTGTCGCTCTTTTTCACTCTCTCTC
Source organism: Homo sapiens (assembly GCF_000001405.40). Classification (NCBI taxonomy): domain Eukaryota; kingdom Metazoa; phylum Chordata; class Mammalia; order Primates; family Hominidae; genus Homo; species Homo sapiens. The sequence goes on from NC_000004.12 coordinate 61,993,736, forward strand.
ATACACACATACACCCTCTCTCTCTCTCTTTTATTAAGTTGGTGACAAGCTAGCCTATGGTCAGAATGAAGACAATGTTCATATTTCAACCTTGAATTCTCTGGTTTGTTTCTGCTTATATTTAGCACTACACTTCTGTTTCATATGACCAAGTTTTTTGAACACCGTCACAACAAAAGGGTAACTAATTATCCAAAAAAACCAATGGTGTTTAACTGAGCGTTGATTGCTTCACTAATAGCATTTTTTCGAACAGGTTTATTGTGTTTACTTTGAATAAAGAAATTATCTTGTCTACATAAAAAATGAGAACTTGTAGTCAGTTTCTTGTTAGAGTGCCTATTGTACTTCTACTGAAATTAGTTTACATGTATTTAACTTAATAGAAGAAGGCCAGACTTCGTTTTTCGTTTTTGTTTTGTTTTTGTTTGAGACAAAGCCTCACTCTGTTGCTCAGGCTGAAGTACAGTGCCGGGTTCATGACTCACCACAGCCTGGACCTCTTGGGCTCAAGCCATCCTTCCACTTCAGCCTCTCGAGTAGTTGGGACCACAGGCATGCATCACCATCCCCAGCTATTTTTTTTTTCTTTTCTTTGTAGAGATGAGGTCTCACTATATTGCCCAGGTTGGTCTTGAAGTCCTAGGCTCAAGCGATCCTCCTGCCGTGGCCTCTCAAAGTCCTGGGATAACAGGGGTGAGCCGCTGTGGCTAGCCTCTTCATTGTTTTAAAATGGGCTTTTTGTAGGCAATCTGTTTTGGTTCAAGGTTTTTTTTTTTGCTTAAAAATCTAGCTCTTAAAATGAGTTTAAACGTTATAGCAAAGTAAAGGAAGCCAAAAACCATAATAAACATCATTGCCTCCATTACTCAGATGTTAAAATTGTTAGCATTTTAGTGTATTTGCTGTCAGTAATTACTAACCTAAAACATATGGCTAAAGCCCATTTTGTTCACTTCTAGTGCTCTCTACTCTTATGTGAGAGGCAACCACTAACATGAGTTTGGTGATTTTTTTTTCTTTCCATTAAATAACATATATATATCCATCAAAAATATATTGTGTGTAGTTTTTAATGTCTGTGTGTGTATGTTTAACATGTATATATACACACTATATTATATATACATTTGATATAGTTTAGATTCTGTCCCGTACTTTTTTACTCAACTTTGGTTTTCTTTTTTTTTTTTTTGAGACAGGGTCTCACTCTGTCACCCAGGCTGGAGCACAGTGCCGTGATTTCAGCTCACTAAAGCCTCAACCGCCTGGGTTTAGGTGATCCTACCACCTCAGCCTCCTGAGTAGCTGTGACTACAGGGGCACACCACCATGCCTAGCTAATTTTTGCAGACACAAGGTTTTGCCATGTTGCCTAGGCTGGTCTCAAACTGCTGGGCTCTAGTGAATCACCCTCCTTGGCCTCCCAAAGTGCTGGTATTACAGATGTGAGACACCACACCCAGCCCCCAACTTTTTTTTTTTAATCCTATTGACATACGTAGATCTACTTCCTCCTTTTTAACTGTTTTATAACATTTCATCATATGAATAGAAAATATTGTATTTATTCATTACTTTTTTGATAGGCATTTCTAATTTCCCTTCTTAATAGATTTCTGTTATTCCATTATTGCTTAGGTTTAAGTAACTTTTATAATCACAGAAATATTTGAGTACTTAGGATTTCCATGTTTATATTATATAGCAAACCAGTCTTGAATATTTACCACTGGAGTTATTTTCTTCTGATGCCTCAATTATGGCAAAATGGCAAATAATTCAAGATATTATTTTTAACATCAAATGTAATTTGTTCAAAATTTACATTAATCTTTCTCATAACTAGTCACTTCCATTTTGTCTTCCTGTCATCCTGAAGAACGAAAATGTAATTTCCCAGAGGTTTTAAAAATTGGGGGAGTATTAAATGTAGCTGAAATTAAGTGATTAATAATTTACTTTTGGGTCATGAATCAACTTCATGGGATGCTAAGGATCATTTGCAACCCCAGAAGTATGAGCAGTAACAATGCACTTTTTAAGACTCCAGAAATCTCAAAGGTTGGCTGCCCAACCTAATTAAACTTCAATCTTCTGATACCAAATTTATTTCTTCTTTGTACCACATTTCCTCAGATCTTCTTGACAGGAAAATGTCACTTTGCCTGACAGCTGATAGACAGGTTATGTAGCACCATAATCGGAGAGAAAAGGATAGCTTAAAGCTACTTGATTTAATGGCTATGTGTATGGCTTTTTCTTTCTTTATCTTTTTTTTTTTAAAAGTTTCTATGACAGACACAAAAGGCCTTAGCAAATAGGCCCAGTGCCATATTTTCCTGCTTCCTCCAGGGCTAATTATCTTACTCCATCAATAGTGCTGTCAGAAATTGGGCACATAATTCAGCATTTAAATGAACAAGCAATGTAATATTTCCTGTCTCCCAGTGGAATGCTTTGCAGCTCACATTCTTCTCTGTCACAGGTTCACTCTTGATGTATGTCCCATACCCAGTCCTTGAATACCTTCTCTCCCTTGTGTTTCATTGCAGATGTTGGCTCCGACTTGACACCTACTTCATTTGGAGTTTTATAGGACCAGCAACTTTGATAATTATGGTAAGAATTCCTAATTAACTATGTGTTTCCCAGATCAAGAAGTAAAACTTTCACTATCCCAGTACTGACTGTCTTTAATTTACAGAGGTTAATTTGGGGAAAGCATGTACTTATTTGACCCTACATAATTCAAGCAATTAAACACTCATTATAGTCTACTTTTATGTTGTAAAATGGTTAATCAAAACAGGTGGGAGAAGAAAATATTCATTTGCAAAAGCTTATGGAGTGTTATAGCTACTCAAGGGTCCAATCCAACATAATACATTTGGTTTTATAGATATTTGAACAAGGATGACTCTAAGGTTGAAAACAGTGTATTTCCATTATTTTTCTTTTGGATAATTTGAATTGGGAACTGACAGAACTTAGAAAGGTGGGAAAACACCTGACTGTTCCTATCAGCTTTGTTTTTTATATGAATCTTGAAAACTTTAAAATTTAAAAGCAAAACTTTAACATTTTACTTGAGAATGGCACAATCACATTAAGCCTGCATTCTGGAATCATGCTTCCTTTTCTGTTTTTAGATCCATAATATTCTGATTTCAAGAATGGATTAACTTAATTTAGATAAAACTGTTAGTATAATTGCTTATGTACTTATAATTTTAAAAATACAAAGTTGCTATCCATTTTGTGAAAAAAATGTTAGCCTATTGACTTTGGATAAATATAGGTCTCCAGTTTCTTCTCTGAAATCTTTGGGACAAGATGTATTTTGGAATCAGAAATTTTTCAGACTTTGGAAAGATAATGTGGTACATATATTGCGTAATACACAATAACCCTAGTGAGGAATAGGCAGTTACCCAAAATCAAACACATCAACAAATACTCACAGTGGAGACTAGGCAGCACTCTGTAATCAAATACAGTATTTCAACAGAAAAAAAAAAAAAAAGGAAAGGTAAGAGCAAATAGTGGAAAGACCATGGACAGCCTTATGTCAATTCAAATTAGGTTTTCCCACCACATAGATTTACTTCATGTTAGGCTTTTTGGCCACTGAATGGATTTTTTTTTTAACAACCTTCATTTTGCAGATTTTTTGGATTTGGGGATGATTGATAAAGTATTGCGAACATGTATTTTTGAGAGTATTTCAGGAGGGCTTTTATTGCCAAGTTGTGGAATACATAAATTAATCAAGTGGTAAAGGGCAACTCACTATGTGGTTTTTTTATACAGTTTACTTGTGTGTGATATATGAAGTTTACATGAGAGCTTTCTGTTTTTCTGTTTTGTTTTGTTTCAAATTTTATGCTTTCTCTGTTTCCAGTGATATGACAATACCATTGGGGGTTTCCTTTACTTTAGTCCTCATTTATTGTAGCATCAGAATTTAAACAACATTTTATCATCCTTTTGAACTAGCTACACAAAAATATATTGATTTTAGTATTTGTATTTTTGTAATACAGTATTTGAAAATGTGTCACTAAATAATAAATTTAGATAAATGTTCAGAGTGTAGAAATAGTAACACACCTAAAAAAGTATTGTTTTTGTTTTGACATGCACTAGACTTTGAATTGTTTCAAAATTTCCACAGCATCACTCCAGCTGATGCTGATTTTATATTTGTGTGATTTGGCATAGCAGGCATAGTAGTGCTTTGTAACTCAGTAGTATCCCAATTCTCGAAACTGGCTTATTGCCTTTACTAAAACACTAGGCAGTCATCTACGATCCAATTCCTTTAAAAGTGTAGTGAGACCTAATTTCCCAGAACAACTCATGTGTTATAGAGAATAAATTTGCTTTTTTGTTCCTACTCCAATTATGCTACATAACACTACCTTTTGCATTCCAGCTTAATGTAATCTTCCTTGGGATTGCTTTATATAAAATGTTTCATCATACTGCTATACTGAAACCTGAATCAGGCTGTCTTGATAACATCAAGTAAGTGATTTTTATTTTTGTTTTCTATAGGTTGTGTTACATTTATACTCCAAACTATCCTTTCTATTATATCAAAATCTTATGACAAAAGGATAAAGAATATGGGTGTATTGTCTTTGCTAAATAAGATTATTGATTGACTATCAAAGTGACTTGATCTGCCTGAAAATAAGTATAATAGAGTTCTGTTTTCAAAGACACTTTTTCTCCTAAATTCTAATTTGGAACATGATAAGTTTTAAATATCTATATTCATTGTGTCCTGAAAACAAGCACAACGTTTCCATTTAGGGCAGGTTATTCTTTTTTTTTTTTTTATTTAATTTTGAGATGGAGTTTCGTTCTTGTTGCCCAGTCTGGAGTGCAGTGGCGTGATCTCAGCTCACTGCAACCTCCTCCTCCCCGATTCAAGCGATTTTCCTGCCCCAGCCTCCCGATTAGCTGAGACCACAGGTGCCCACGACCATGCCCTGCTAATTTTTTTGTATTTTAATAGAGACGGGGTTTCACCATGTTGCCCAGGCTGGTCTCAAACTCCTGACCTCAGATGATCTGCCTGCCTTGGCCTCCCAAAGTACTGGGAGTACAGGCACGAGCCACCGCACCTGGCCTGATTATTGTTTCTTAGAGCAATTACCGCATCACTTCCTCACACTCCATCTCCCCCTCCAGAGCAATGTGATGAGAGCCAGATGATGGTACCTACATGTACCAAAAGGGGAATTTTACATCACAGAAGAGGAACCCTGGAATTATGAATGTGGGCATTTATATAGGAGCTGTTAGATGGCTGCCATCCCCTTCTGAGAGAGATAAAGAAACCTTCCTAATGTAAATAGATACTTTGTAATATAAAAATATGGCTCTAAGTTTTACCTTCCTCTGAAATATTAACACTTAACCTCCTAGGAGCTAAAGCTAAATCTCTCCAGAAGTCTTTATCTATTTAATCATCTTTCAAGTTTGAAAGTTTGTTCTTTAACCCAAGTTCCACTTTTGTACGTTCAGAAAGTTCTGCCATGCAGAAATATGAAAATATTCACATTACTTTTCAACAGTAGTAGTACTTTACACAGGCAAAAAAAGTAGCTAATTTACATTTTCTGAAAAGAAAAATAGTTGCAGTCCTTGATATAACAAAAAAATTATCGTGTTTCTTTGGAATGTATAATATTTTAGAAAGATAGTAATATTTAGATGCATATTAGTTATTAAGATATGATATATTAAATTGCATTTTCATATAATTTGCCTATGCTGGTGTTATATTTATTAAACGCTTTTACTTAAATGAATGTATTTTCAGAAGTTTCATGAGGTAATCTGTGACTTTTCTGTGCTACTGACATTCTCCTTGAACTACCTCAGATAGCAATTATGTCACCCATTTCCCATCTTTCTACATTCGGTGCCTGACAGTTCCTGGCCCGTAGTAGACCCTCAATGAATGGTTACAGAATAAAGTAATATATTAAAGACTTTAGTGACTAAGGTGTATTGACATTAAGTAGTTAATTTTGTTGAAGGAATTATTTGTCTACATTAAATAAAAAAGATAACCAAGGAATTAGAAAAATTAAAATATAGTGGTGCAAAATAGACATTATCTACAATGAGTGATAGTCTTTTGTAATTCTCAATATTACTTAGTTGAGATAATAGTCATTGTATTGTTTAATTATGTACAATTAAACTGTCCTTCTAAAGTACAGTGTTGGTTTCTTAGACTATTTGTTCCTGATGAAATTGAATTTGCATAAATTAAATAGGCACATAAATTTATCATATTGTACTTTTACCCACGTTAGCACAAATTACATCTTTGTACCTATTTTGTAGTATAAAATAAAACATAAGTAATACTTTATTTATTATTTATATTATGTATTTAAATACTATCAGAAATAAGGGAATAAGACTTTAACATTTATGTAGCACTATGTTATAAATTAGCAAAAAGGATCATTCTTTGTCCTATATTTCAAGTATACTTTTTAGGTAATTTTTTTTTCTTTTTTACTTTTTTGTCTAATTCAACAAAAGGTAAAGACTTTTGCTTACCTTTATGATTTGTATTTAGTACTGTCACATAGTTTAAAATATCAATTTGTTTGTATAATGTTCATATGTATTTCTTTAGGTAATGTGGGTGAATCTTTATGATATCATTGTTTAGAAAAATAATTAAACATGGAAAAAATCAATAATTATATTTAGTGGCATTGGTAGCATCAAGTTTTATATTACAAAGCAAATAAAGTCTTAAATGAAAATATCTTAATTTCAATTATGTCTAAACTGTTTTCTAGGTTATATTCTTTGGAAAGTATTTAATCTTTCTGTGGCTTCCTCTCTTTGAAATGGGTATAATAATGACATATACCTGACCATTAAATGGGCAGAAGAACATAAACCTTTGATGGTGCTTTTTAAAAAATTTAGTAAATGAAGAAGATAAATTGGGTAGTTGTTAGAAGGGGTACAGAGGATTTTTTTTCTTTGTTTTAATTTTTATTTATTTATTTTTTTTTCAAGAGGTAGAGTCTTGCTCTGTTGCCCAGTTTGAAGTGCAGTAGTGCCATCAAAGCCCACTGCAGCCTAGACCTCCTGGGCTCAAGATACCCTCCCACCTCAGCATCCTTAGCAGCTGGAACCAGAGGCATGCACCATCACACCTGGCTAATTTTTTTGTGTTTTTTATAGAGATGGGCTTTCACTATGTTACCCAGGCTGGTCTCGAACTCCTGGCCTCAAGCTATCCTTCCGCTTCAGCCTCCTAAAGTGCTGGGATTACAGGCATGAGCCACTGCACCTGGCTGAGGATGGTTTTAAGTTGAAAGAATTATGAATATAGATATATTGTTGGAAAAGAACCAGTGATAGAGAAATTAAGAATATAGGAAAGGAGAATTACTTTTATAGTTGTGATCTGAGGTTGTGTAGAGAATGTGATCCAGAGCAGTGGTAGAGCAATTCCACTACATTGGATTTCAGGAAGGACATTTTTCCAGTAAGCTAAAAGAAGCCACACAGGAGGATCCGTTTCCACTGAGACTGGATGGAATAAATAACAATAGGTGTGATGCAGATATGTTGGTGGAACTGGGGTAGCTCAGTGAATTGAGGGATTTCTGCCTAGTCTCCTCAATGAGGTAGGAAAGATAGTCTTTGGCAGGATAACGGGACATGTTGAAGAAAAACAACAAGGAAGGTATCTCCAGAAAATATTCCTTAATCTTTTCCAGAATCTGAAGAAAATTTCATTTTTATTTAAAATACATTATATTAACAATTTAACAAGTGGTTGTAAAGAAATCAGCAGGGCATAATTGCTAAAGAAAAAAGGAGTTAAGAGGAGTAATAATGATTTTGAACATTAAGTAAAACTGAAAATCTGGCATGTTTTTAAACAAGAATAAGGCTCTGTATAATATGTATTCAAAATGGTATAGTAAATGTGAGAGTGTTCGCTTTAAAGATATAAGTATCATTTATCTGGAAAACTTTTTTTTAGTATATTGGGGAAAGCATTAAAGTTAATGTTTACTTGTATTTTTCAAAAATGTTTGTAAAATGGTGAACAAGACAGGCCCCCTTGTTCAATTCATTAAGAATAAAAAATCACCACGTAAAGCCCTTTGGAAGTCAGTGTCTTTCTAAAACAAGTCATTCATTCAGTTACCAAGTATTTGTTGCTTTGATTATACACGTTCTTTCACACACATATATCTCCTTTATCTAAAATGTGTTTGCTTCTCACCATATTCACTGCCACTGTTTTCTTTAAGCCACTATCATCTTCAGAATCACTGCAGTGGTCTCCTAACTTCTCTGTCCACATCAATTCTTGTCCCTGCCTTCACTGGCTAGAGAGATCTCTTGAAAAACTTAAATCTGATCATGCAACACTCTGAGGTAAAACTCTTCAAAAGAGCCCATTACTCTTAACTGAAGGTCGGACTTCCTGCCAAGGCCCATTAAACCTCCCTGATCTAGTTGCCGTTGTCTTTCTTCAGCCTCATTTTATGCATTTTGGCCCTCTGGCCCTTCTAGATATGCTCTCTTTTGCCTCAGATCTTATCTCTGCTGTTTCTCTACTCACTTTCTTTTCCCTAACGCTATGACTGGCTGACTCCTATTTATCCTAATTAATTAAATTATTATTTTATTATCTTAAAAATTAACTTTTTAAAATTCTAAATTTATTGCAAGTCATCATAGAAAACCCCTTTTGATTTTAATAGAGAACATTTAATTGGTTGGCTCATTACTATATTAAAGAATTCTCTAGAAAAAATAATAAAAAATAGAGTGAAGTAATATAGGTAATATGATTACAGGGGAAATGAGGTATGCCAAGTCTTGGATTTAACTAAAAAAGTAATTAAAATTAAATAATACATGCCTGTATTATTTGCTGCTTGCTTACTTGTCCTTTGTCTCTGTTTCATCCAAATAGGTAATTATAGTTAGAGGAAAGAATTCCAATCATTTGAATATTCTCATTGAGTTTCTGACAGGTCAAAATCAGTGCTTACAATAATCATAGCAAAACTCTAACCTAATTTAAAAATAGTATATGTAAATATGAATAAACCTGTTATTGAATTGTTACCAGCACAAAATTAACTTACAGTATGGCTGAAGTACTATGACATGTGAAACATTTGTAAGGAGCCTTTAGAACTCTCTTGACATTTACCTTCAAAATAAAAATTGATAGTTTCTCTAATCACCCACTTCTATTATTGAAAAATATTAATTAACGAATGTATTTCAAAATAATTTGCTTAATAACATCTCAAGTTATTTTGAAGAAAAAGTGAAATAATGGCCATTTTAAGACGTAGAAAAGAACATTGGTGCCTATGTGAAGGGAACACGGAATCTACCAGGCTTTGCTTTTCTGTATCCGTCCCTTTGCGCCTTCTCATCAAAGGACTTCTGCATAAAGACTTATGATGTCACCGGGTCATGTTTTCTGATTTCTAGTCTCTCTCCTTAGGTTTTATATGAGTGATAGGTTGGCAAAGACTCTGTCAGATGGTTTAAACAAGTATTTGCTTAAAGATACACCTTTTACTTTTTTTTCTTCTTCCCTAGTCTCTAATTGTCAAGGAAGAAATAATGGTCAAGGAGAGTAATAACTTGAGTGTCAAACCCAGTTGGGTTTGAATTTCTGTTCAGTCCTGTAATGTTTACACGACCTTGGCAAGTAACATCAGAGGTCTGGGTCTTACTTTCTTCTCTGAATGGGGAATAATTATACCTATTTCATAGAGCTTTGTGATAATTACATGAAATCACATATGTAAAGAATACAGCATATAATTTGTTGCCCGTAGAGGATGGTTTGAATATTTTTAACCACTCTGTATGGAAATGCCCTGCTGCCTTTGATTCCTTGTGTTTTTAATGGTGAAGCTTTGCTCAGCCTCTATCAAAATCCCATTAGAATTTGACTGGTTTTGTTTACCATATGGTATCATGAAGAATTATGCATGATATGATCCTTTCTTTTTTTAAGCCAAACTTATCTTATTATGAAAGAATTGGCTCCAGGGGTGGAATGCTCATTTGATTAATAAATAGCTAGTTCTGTTCTTAGTTCTGGAGGAAAAGAATAGTATCCTCAGTGAGCTTGGACACCTGCCATATGCTAAGAAATCTAAGAAGGCTTCTGAATCGCTTCAGGGATGAATAGTAAAATACCTTACCAGTACCCATAATAACTTATTATATTTCTTAAGAAGGTAACCTTTACTTTAAGAAACATGTGTCTAAATGTTAGTAAAAACAAGTCAGAATTACATTCAGCTTGATGAGTATTATATTAGTATTTTGTGGTTGAGGTCTATAAAAGTAAAGGCAGAAAATCAAATGGACATATTCCTGAAAAATACAACAATATCGCAAGAATATTTTAATGCTTTAATTTTTCAATTTCACATTAATATAATGTATATACTTATGAAAAATGCATCTTAATGTTAATAATAAATATATATAGCCTACTTGCTAAAATTATCTCGTTTCTATACTATAGTCAAAGCAGTAACTTAAAAGTTTAAGCCTTTATGAGAACAGTAAATCTAGCTCTGAGTTGTATAGTAAATAAAAATTTCATCAATTGCAGAGTTGTCTGGATGAGTTTGAGGAAAATTTTTAGAACTTTCTTATTCTCAAATACTAGTTACTGATAAAAAATACTGATATACCGATTTTTATTTTTAAGAAGGAGGCTCAAAATTGTCTATGCAAACAAAAATATTAGCTTATATCTCTATATATTTTATTCATGGTTTGTCTTTCACCATCAAAGCTATTCAATTAAAATCAAGATTTTACAGATTTCTAATTATTTTAAATATTTAGAGATAGTACGTTTAAAAACTGTTACACGTTTTGTAAAAAAGATTATTAGGTCAACATGCTATACTGAAGATGTGTTTTCCCAAATTTTAAAAATCAAATGTACTTCTCCATGCCCATGTATATACTGTGAACACTTTAGTTTTAAGAATTAGCTAGAAAAAATAATACATTTATTTTATTCATTGTAATAAGATAGAATCATTTTTAAAGAGAATTCTGAAAGTGAATTTAATTTGTCTGTTTTCCCATTTTTTTCTGTCTTCCTCTATTTCTTTGATCTGTGTTTAAACATTACTAGAAATCACCATAACAATATCATAAGCAATCCAAGTGTATTTAAAGAGTAATACAATCCAAACAACATTGTGTGGAGCTTTGTGTATTTTTAATGACACTACTAGACTTGCTTCAGACAAGTTGAGACTTTCCTAAGGTAATAGTGGGTCCTTTGCTGATTGCCTTAATTTTAGCATTTAAATGCATTTAGCAATCACTTCTTTGAAAACTGAATTTCAGTCACTGATTCAAAAAGCTGTTCATTCTGCAAGTGTTATTGTCCATCTCATTGTATCCTTTATTTTAGGCTATAGTTTTAAGTTTTCTGAAATGTAAAAGGGCTGCTCTCTTTTTTGGCTTTTCTTTAAAATGCATTAAATTTCCCATATGATCTTTCTGTGAATCAGGGTTTATGCATAAGTGTATTTAACATATTTTGTCGACTGGAAGCTCACATTTGAGAAAACTGGTTTGAAGGATGACTGCCATAGGCACAATGGAATTGTTTTACATTAATCCTTGAGATCAAATTATAGTTTCACTTTTCCCCAAAATAATTAGGTTTCTATCAGATATAGGAGAGTCAAGTGCTAAGGATGAGAAAGTCTAAAAACCTATCTAAGGGGAAAATGTCTTCTTCATAATGAAAACATAAAAATTAGCAGGTTCTCTGTTCTTTTTATAGAGCTTAGACTCAGATTACCTTTATATCCCACAAGAAATGTGCAGTCAGACTATGGAAATGCTTAAAAATCTGAATTAATTTAAACTAGCTATTCATAAGACTATAGTTTTTCCCCCAAATGGTGAAGAGTAAGATTTCATAAGAGTAGAATAAATCAGAGAATAGTTACAATAATTAACTTTTGTGTTCCATGTTATTCACATATTTTAATTTTAATTTTAATGTATGAACTTTGATTTGATTTTATCCTTGTTTATTAATTTATTCAACAAATGAGAAATATGAAAATTGTGGATATGTTTCAGAGTTTACAAAATTTGCTAGTTTTTATTTTATTTATATATATACATACATATATATACACATACACACACACACACACACACACACACACACACACACATATATATATATATATATATATATATATATTTTTTTTTTTTTTTGAGAAAGGGTTTTGCTCTTGTTGCCCAGGCTGGAGTGACTGCAGTGACATGATCTCGGCTCACTGCAACATCCACCTCCTGGATTTAAGGGATTCTCCTGCCTCAGCCTCCCAAGTAGCCAGGATTACATGCATGTGCCATCATGCCCGGCTAATTTTTTGTATTTTTAGTAGAGATGGGGTTTCACCAAGTTGGCCAGACTGGTCTCGAATTCCTGACCTTAGGTGATCAGCCCGCTTTGGCCTCCCAAAGTGCCTGAGCCGCGGAGCCCAGCCTACATTTTTATGTAGATTCTAAGAGAATGGAGTGGAGTGTGACTCCAGGGTTTTTGGCTTGGGGTACTAGAACAGTGAGTGGTTATTACTGAAATGCAGAAAACTGTGGAGGTTTCACTTTTGGGGGTAGGACAGTTTTTGTTTTTGTTTTTGTTTTTTTGCAAGATAACTTGCTGGACATCTCAGTGCAGATGCTGAGTTGGAAGTTGGAGTAGTGAAAGCTGAAGATACAATTTGGAATCATCAATGTATAGATTTTTTTTTTTTTTTTTGCATTTAGTGTTACTTATGTTTTATTTATTTTTGGTATTGGTTTCACTTTATATATCTATTATTTTCTATAATAGCAAATTATCCTGGTTTTCTAAAATTTAAGGCAGTTATATATTTACTTTTAAAACATTAAGAAAATAAAAGTGAGATGATTTGAAAAAAATACAACAGTGAAAATGGCATAAAGATAGAGCAAACAATTGAAATGGTGACTTTCCAGCCAAACTAATTTCTCTCACTAGTCACTAAAAAGTATGTTTCTGTTAGAATGGCCACTGCTGGAAGTATCAAATGCTGACCACTATGGTGTCCTAAATCATAGTGGCACTGGTGATACATGAAACTTAAAATTCAGAAGTAAGTGTTCTAGAGTTGGTTCAAAAGCTCAATAATGTCAACAAGGACCAAAGCTCTTACATCATCCTCAGAATGCTGGCTGTTGTCATTCACTGTATCATCTTGTGGTCCAAGAATGACTTCTTCAGCTCCAAGCATCATTATATCCTTTCTTGGTTGCATTGAAAAGCAGGAAAGAAGAGATAAGAGAAGGGATTCTCTTCATGAGCCTTTCCTCATGGGCTTGTCTCCCATGTTCAGGATGTAAAATATTCCTCAGAAGCCCCTTGCTGGTATCACATGTCTGAATCAAATGACCACTCCCGGCTGCAAGGGAATCTGGGAAAGCAAAGGTCTGGCAAAGGGGCTGTGGGAACAGGACATTCTCAACATTTGCAGAGCTCAGGGCAAGAGGACAAAATGATTATATATATATATATATATATATATATACACACACACACATATATATATACACGTATATATATATACACATATATATATATATACACACACATATATATACATATATGTGTGTGTATATATATATATATGTATATATATCTCCTAACCTCCTCTGGTGATAGATTACACCTTCAAAACCACTTGGAAGATCAAGTATGAGTTTAGAATCCTTTGACATCTTAGAGTTCCATCCAGGAGCCAGGATGTGGCTCCTGGCTCACTGCCTGTCTTCCTTCTCTTCCTGCCTCCAGCTAGATACCACAACATGTGGGGCCTCATGCACAGGTATGTGGACACTGTGCCCCACACATTCAAGCTCTTTCTGCCTCTCCCAACCAGCCACCCCTTGGCCACTCCTCAAACCTAGACAACCTTGGGAAAACGGGTCAGGGTCGATTTTATTTTAAACCCATGAGACTGGGTAAGATATTGAGATTGAGGGTAGATAGTGAAAATAAGAGGACTAGGGACTGTAACCCTGAGACACTCTGACTTTTAGAGATCTTAGAAGTGTAGAACCTGCAAAGTGGATTGAGGAGTAGCCAGTGAGATAGGAAGAAATCTACAGATCCTGGAAGCTAGGTGAATCTAGCTTTTCAAATAAGATGGGAACTTAGACTTGACCACTGAATTTAGCAACATGGGGATCTTTGGTGAACTTGACAAAGGCTGTTTGGCAGAGCCATTGATGAAGACTTATTAGAGTGGGGTGAAGGGAGAATGGGAGGGGAGGAGTTAAAAACCACAGGTAAAGACAATCTTTTCAAGTCTTTTGCTGTAAACAAGAGCTGAGAAATGTAGTAGTGGACAGAGATCTTAGGTTGGGGAGGTTGTTGTTGTTGATAATAATTGGTTTGTTTTTAAGCATGAGATATGTTACAGTCTCTTCCTTTTAATTTGGTAAGAATACACAATTAGTTGATATTGAAAAGAGAGTAGAAATTGTATGGCATCTGGCATCTACACGAGTAGGCAAAAGAGTATGGGGTATAGTGTACAAGCGAAGGCTGATCTTATATAAGAAGGACGCAGACAATACCATTATTTCTTTATGTGATAAAATTATGACTGAGACCGGCTAACCTATTGACCAGTAGATGTTTTCTTTTAAAGTAGTGCAATAAATTATCATGGTTCATAAGTATTCAGTGTGTTGAAAAACGTTTATCTACCTAGAAAAGAATTATGTAATATTGAAAAATATAACATTATTATGAAGTTGTTTTAATCTTCTATTTTTCTCCTTCATATTAATATATAATAATATATTTACAGGTTAAAAATTAATATTCCAATTATAAAATCTATTTATATCTATATGTATATATGCATGTGTGTGTATATATAGATACAAATATACATATATATGCATATATATAATCAAAATAGATACACGCATATCCAGGCACACAGTCATGTACTGCATAATGACATTTTAGTGAATGACAATCGCATGTATGATGGCGATCTCATAAGATTGTAATACCATTTGTTTCCTGTACCTTTCTTATGTTTACATTTGTTTAGATATACAAATACTTTTGTGTTACAGTTTCCTACAGTATTCAGCCCAGTAACATGCTATACAAGTTTATAGCCTAAGAACAATAAGCTTTACCATATAGCCTAGATGTGTAGTAGGCTAAACCTTTTAAGTTTGTGTAAGAACACTCTATAATCACACTACTACGAAATCACCTAAGGACACATTTCTCAGAATATATTCCCATCATTAAATGACACATGACTGTATATGCTTTCTAGAAAAGGCAACTGTCGAAAGGCTTTATTAACAAATAAAAATCAGTTAGATGTCAAACACATTTAGTAGCTTTGTTGTGTAATTTCATGAATTTAAGAAACTAAATAAATTATATCTTCTGGAGAAAAATTATTTGTCAATGAAAATTACCTAAGCAACACAATTCATTTTCTTCAAGCAATAATAAGGCACACATTTTGATACCTTATAATTTTTTATTTAACTATCTTTCTAAAAATAAAATATAGAGTTATATATTATAAAATTTTATGAAGCGTACTTTATAAAATAGCTGTGTGTAATACATCTTTTTGGACATTAAATGTACACTCATTGTTATTTGTCAGAAATAAATGGTTATATATAGAGAAAAAAGAGACTAAATAGAAATGTACTGAAGTTAATAATGATAATGTTTTAGTGCCAGGATTATGCATAATTTAACATTTTCTTTTTTAAGCACTTGCATGGTATTTTCTGACACCACTTCTGAACCAAATACATGCCATTTTTTCACACATCTACCAGTGCTCCAGCAGCAACTGGTGTCCAACAATGCAATTCAGTTTTGAAACTAACTCTCAGGATTAGTGCAGACCCTACAGGTTAACAGCTCTGTCCCTCAAGACCGCCCCCACTTTAGGCAGCAGGTGCCAGTAGAGTGCCCAGGATGCCCACATTTTGCTCAGGCCACTACAAATTCAGGAGTCCCCATGACCATCCCTCAAATTTAATCGTTTAATAGAACAATTCTGAACTTAGAAAAGTGCTGTACTTCTGAGTACAGCTTTATTATAAAGCCTACAACTCAGAAACAGCCAAATGGAAGAGATGCACAGGGCAAGGTATGGAGGAGAAGGCATGGTTTTCATGCCCTCTCCAGGAAGCCACCCTCCCACACATGTAGATGTTTTCACCACCCTAGAAGCTTCTTGAAACCCATTCTTTGGAAGTTTTCATGGAGGTTTTATCACATAGGCATGATTGATTCAACATTGGCTGCTCTATCTCCAGCCCCCGTTTTTTCCCCAGTGATTGTGCAGGAGGGGAGAGGAGGCTGAACATTCTACCCTTTTAATGTTAGCTTGGTCCTTCTGCGAACGAGGCCCCATGCTGAAGTTATCTAGCCTCCCGCCATCGCCTTACCACACACCTTCCCCCTCAACACACCTAGTCATCTCATTCGTATGCAGAAGGCACATGGAAGATTCCAAGGGCTTTAGGAGCTCTGTGCCAGGAATCAGGTACGAAGAACAAATATTTATTTTTTATTACACCATTTCACTCTTGAGTTTTCAGAAGCTAGTATGATGAATACATAGTACTCTTATAAAAACATTTTATTTTAAAAATATCTCACCCTACATTATGTCTGGAAATATATTTGTGAAAGAACAATATAAGAATGTCATTTCCCTGAAAGGATTATCCTTCTATATTTTTAAGCTGTGAAACAGTTTTTAAAAAATCAAGTCTAATATTCTATTGTTAATATGCTACTGTGGCTATATCTACGTAATGAAAATTTAATGAAGTCTTATGAAAAGGGAACATTTAATTATTGTAATTTATCTGTCTTCAAATTCTTTATGAGGTAGAACTCACTCTAATATTTAGAATTGCTCTTATTTATATCATTAAAATATTAGTGAAAGAATCCAGTTATGATTCAGGGATAAAATTTTTAAAACTTACTCTGTTTTTAACTTTTTTATTCACTTTTAAAAGGTAATTGCTGTTTATTTACCTTGGATTTTAAACTTTAGAATAAAGTTTCAAAACCAAGTTCATATCTTTAATGATATTTAGTTTCAACTTGTAAAATTGAATCTCATGCGCTATAGGTAAAACTCAAAAATATCCTAAAATGACTTCATAAACTTTTTAGCTTATTTATTTTAGCGTAGTTTCAGCTCCTAAACAACTACACAAGAAATAAGATTTGGAACTGTACATTCAAAAATAAAGTATTTGATTCCATAGGGGAGAAAAAATTTCTTTTCTCACCCATCACTAGGTTCATGGCTGAGACTCCTATGACTAAAGATTAACAAGATAAATGCATACAAATTTATTTATTACAAGTTTTACATGTTATGAGAGCTTTCGGAAATGGAGACTCAAGGAACACAATTAAACTTGGGAATTTTTTTAGTAAGTTTGATGAAGAAGTGGATATATGTGGAGAAATATGATTGGAAGACAAAAGCTTACGATTCAATGTTAATAAACTGAGGAGAGCTTAGCAAGGCCTTTTTATTCAGATTATTGTGGGTGTCTCTATGTCTTAGAGTATAAAAATGTTCCTTTCCTCTCGGTATAGGGCGGTTATCTCTGGGGTAAGTGTCTTATGATCTACTTCAGAGAGAAAGGTCAGAGAATTCTTTTATGGTCTATTTCAGAGGAGAAGGGTGAGGGGAACGTCAAAGAGACCTTCCTACTTTTGCTGTTTTCTCAAATCCAAAGGCATCATATTTTAGCGTAGTATGTCTGGATCTGTATCAAATAAATCTCTTTCTAATTATTTCTAAGCATGTCTTTTTTTGTTTGTTTGAATACGGTTTTCAGAAAAATGAACAAAACTTTTTTAAAATATAAAAGCCAATTTTTCACCAGTTAGTTATTACTTAAAGTCAAAGTTCTTAAAAGTCTTAATCAGAAAATACAATTTCTTCTAAAGGCTAAGTGAAATAAACATGAAATCTCTTTGATAACATAATCTTGTGGTTTTTAGGAGTTTGGCTTGGCTGCTATAACAAAAACCAGCTAGGAATACATTTTTTTTTCCTAACATAGCTTTCTTTAAAATGACACAACTTATTTTAAATTGAGGGCTTTATTTAGTACAATGATTATATGTATTAATATATATAATTTTATGTGAAAATTGACCAAAATTTGCTGACTTAAAAAATTTGTTGTGAGAGAGCTTGAATAAGTGATGTTAGACTGAAAGACTTTGGGCCTCCAAATTCAAACCAACCTCTTTTTAAAGCTTCTTGGAGATAAAGTGAAACTTTGTGAGGCATTGAAGTTAAACATTCCACTGTATTTTGAGTCACATACTCAAAACGTAGTCATAGATTCTGAAGTAAAAGACAGGTGCTCCCTGGTTCTGCCCTCATATCAACTGTAATCTCTGCTCCTGATTAAACATCAACTTGAATTTTAAATATTGTGTCTATTTGGAAAATGTGTGCAAAATAATAAGAATAGTTAGTTCATTGACGTTTTACTATGTGCTAGGCACTGTTCTAAGTTCTTTACATGTGGTAATTTATTTAATCTTTGCAATAATCCTTTGAGGTTTCTGAGAGGTTAATTAACTCACCTCAAACCTCAGAGCTAGTTAGTGCCAGAACCAGGATTTCAACAGATAGTCTGGCTTCACTGTCCATTTACTTAACTCTTAGATATACTCCTTGTCACATCAAATTGCATACCTATAAATCTAGTAAAATGTGTTTAATTTTTAAGAGATTGCCATTTCAGTAAACATATCAGTTTAGATAATTTTCTAGGCCATGCTCAAAAAGCTTTAATCCTGATATTGACTGGATAGCAATGATCGTTAAGGGCCCTGTGTTTAACACCTATGATTATATTAATATTTTAGATTATGAACTATAAAATCTGGCCAGCAGAATGCAATTATGAGGTATCTTAGTGTACAGTAATCTTCTCAGGATGAGAGACAGGGATTTCAGCGTTATTAGTATGTAAAGTTAATTACTGAGTGAAACTACTCAAGAAGAATATTGTTCTGGTGAAGATGACTTGGGAAGAAAAGTCACTGAGGTAAATGTAAAAACAACATGTCATGGAAGCCAAGAATCAAAGGGAGCAGCAGCTGGGGATGAGTTTGGGAGCTGTACAAGAAATTGACAGGTTTGGACAGTGCAAACATTTGCGACTGTCAGATTGTTTCCATTTTTTCAAGAAACTAGGAAATATTCAGCTGAGGGAGTTGTGATGGGAAAGAGGTTTGGAATTCTGAAATATTCCTGATGGGGAACGGGAAATCATATGCACTGGGGAAGTATGATTGGCCTTCAGATATTGTTAATTGCCATTAGAAATTTGTTGTTATAGGCTGGGCACCGCAGTGGCTCACGCTTGTATTCCCAGCACTTTGGGAGGCCGAGGAGGGCAGATCATCTGATGTCAGGAGTTCAAGACCAACATGGTCTCACCAACATGGTGGAACCCCATCTCTACTACAAAAATACAAAAATTAGCCAGGCATGGTGGCACGCACCTGTAATCCCCGCTACTCAGGAGACTGACGCAGGAGAATCACTTGAACCTGGGAGGCGGAGGTTGCAGTGAGCCAAGATCACACTGTTGCACTCCAGCCCGGGCAACAAGAGTGAAACTCCATCTCAAAAAAAAAAGAAAGAAAGAAAGAAAGAAATTTGTTGTTATGAATTTAACATGTCTTCAAAAAACGGCCGGGCATGGTGACTTATGCCTGTAATCCTAGCACTTTGGGAGGCTGAGGTGGGCGGATCACGAGATCAAGAGGTCGAGATCATTCTGGCCAATGTGGTGAAACCCTGTCTCTACTAAAAATACAAAAATTAGCTGGGCATGGTGGCGCATGCCTGTAGTCCCAGCAACTCAGGAGGCTGAAGCAGGAGAATCGCTTGAACCCGGAAAGCGGAGGTTTCAGTGAGCCGAGATCGCACCACTGCACTTCAGCCTGGTGACAGAGTGAGATTCTGTCTCAAAAAAAAAAAATTTTTTTTTTGTTTGTTTGTTTTGTTTTTTCTTCAGCATTATTCAGCTACTTCAATATGTGTGTGTGTTTTTTTCAAATCATTAAAGAGGAGAGGGGATATAAGAAAGTAAATGGTCATAGTATCTGGGCTGGTCATGGGGGAAGGTATGAACATGAATTGGGTGATAATGTAGTGAAAAGATGGAGAGACAGAAGAAGAAGAGGTCTAGGAATGTTCAAGTTACCAAAACAAGAAGATAGTAGTAAATAGCTCATGGCAAAACCTCAGAGGATTTGGGGTTTTTACACTGGGGAAATCATGATCTGGTGATGGCACTTCCACCACCTGAGGGATGGGAGAGAACCAATCCTTTGAGTTTGTGTGCTCCTCAGGGAAAGTGCTGCCAGTGGGCAACAATTTCACTTAAAAGCAGTAGGTGACAGAAACACCCAAAAATGAAGTTTAGGGTATAAGGGAATTTGTTGAGTTTGGACCATGAGTTTCAAATTACAGGATATAATTTGTGGGGAGAAAGGGAAATGGTAGAAAATTAGTTGGTCTAGGAAGTATACAAAAATGTCAGAAGAATGGAAGGAATAGCCTATAATACAAGTTTTTTATAATTTTTGTTGCCTAAATTCATTACTTACTATATTCATGCAGTCACTTACAATCTTGGGCAATAGAATCCCACTCATTAGCAATAGAAAAGCCCCATAGATGGGTGAGAACACTACTTCTGCTTTGCTTTAGATACATACACATTCTCCCCAAATTCCAGAAAATACTGTTATACATAAATCTTGAGAATCATGGCTCAAGCTGTTCAATTTTACCACTGTTCGTAAAAGGAGTCTGTAAAATGCTCTATCATTGAAGTTACCACAGATGATCACTGATTAGCAAATTAATCACCACAAAGGTTAGTGGATTACACAAATGGAATGCCTAACGTGTCACCATACTCCAGGTGCTTATCAGTTTCCCCAATTCCAAGCAAATACCTCCCCTTTAAGCAAAACAACAATAAGGTAACAGATTTCAGCTTTTCTCATTCTCCTATTTTTCGGCAGTGGTTTCCAGCAGGAGTGTTACTTGGTTTTAAAATGCTATTTTTTCTTTACCTCATTTGAAAAGTGCTGAAAGTATACAAGTCAGAGTTACCTAAGACAAAAGACTGTATTAAATCATTGGATTTGTAATTAAAATGTGCAGACAGTATAGTGGAGTGTTAAGCATCTTGAGCCGCTCAGTCCTCACTTGAAAATTTCCTAATCTAATTTTCTCTTGGCTGAGAACCAATTGTTGCTGGTTTTCTCCACTACATACAGCTATGTATTCTAAAAAGGTCTGTCATCAAGGTCCCTGGCACTTTTATAAATGTGCTACTTTAGCATGCATTCTGCAATACTCTGGATTGCTGCCTATGGAAGTCGATATTTTAAACCAGATACTTCAATGTGCTAACTCAAAAACCCTCTTTGTTCCGCAACTGAGATTGACAGTCTAAGGCTATAATTTAAAACTATTTAATTATGAGATTAAGATAATAACCCATGAGCATAAAAAGGAACAATTTATTAGCACAAGTATTGACAATATTAGATAATATATTATACATACCAAGATATGACTCAAAAGGTAGCACATTTTCTTTGTAATAGTCATCATCACAGTGCTCTGATTTTTCTGCCTCCATTGAATTTACTGCATCTTGCACAATTAGCTGTGGAAAGGTTTCTAAAATTGCCAGATCTCCCATTCTGTAAGTTTTAATAATGTGCATATCCCTTAATTTTCACAGGGACATTTTAGTAAAACTTGTGTGCCTATTTGTTTCTACTAGATTTTCTCTCTCTCTTCTTTAATGGTTTTCATTTTTTCCACTTTTTTCTGTTAGCTTCCCTTTCCTTTTTCTTTTACTTGCTGATATACATTTTGAATGCTTTTGCTATTACAAATATCTTCTTCAAGTCTGTTACCTCTCTGTTAATTTTTCCTTTTGGTACAAATATAAATAAGTATATAATTTATAATATATAAACTATCAACTTTTTCCTCTAAGGTATACGCTTTCAAAGTCTTTTAACTGAAATCCTTTTAAACTAAGAATTTAAAATTTTATTTTTCCCTTCATTCCCTTTTATTTTCTTTTTTCTTTTCTTTTCTTTTTCTTTTTCTCTTTTTTGAGATGGAGTCTCGCTCTGTCACCAGGCTGGAGTGCAGTGGCCTGATCTCGGCTCACTGAAACCTCCGCCTCTCAGGTTCAAGCGATTCTCCTGCCTCAGCCTCCCGTGTAGCTGGGACTACAGGCACATACTACCATGCCCAGCTAATTTTTGTATTTTTAGTAGAGATGGGGTTTCACCATGTTGACCAGGATGGTCTTCATCTCTTGACCTCATGATCTGCCCCCCTCGGCCTCCCAAAGTGCTGGGATTACAGGCATAAGCCACCACGCCCGTCCTTTTATTTTCTATTCTATATTTTATTTGTCTCAGTTTTACAATTCGTGTTACAATCTTTAATCTCTTTGAAGGATATTTTCCATTTCTTTATGTAATGAGCTAAGTTTCCAACACCATTTGCTAAATAATCCATCCTTTTTCTGAACATTGATGCTACCACAGTATCCTACATTAAATCTGTTTCTGTGCTTTCTCTTCTGTTCCATGGGCATACTTTATGTTTTTCTATCATTACTACAGTATTACTAGAACTTGCTTAATATCTGGTAGGGCGAATCCTCCCATTTTGATCATCTCTTGCAAAACTGTTTTAGCTACTCAGGAATTTTTTTTATTTCTTCACATAAATTTCAGAATCAGTTGTTAAAATTCTTTCAATATGTTTGTCTTTTTTAATTAGAATTACATTAAATATATGGATTATGTTGTAATAACTGGTATCTTTATGAGGTTAAGTCATACCATTCATACACACGTCTATATCTTCTTTTGTTGAGGCCTTCCATTATATCCTTTTATAGGTTTTTAAGATTTTTCTCCATTAATGTCCATTCATTCTTTGCTGGGTTAATTTGTATATAGATTCTTTTTGTTTTGTTGCTATTAGGTATGATATCTAATTTCCCTTTAATTTTTTAGTTTATTATTACTAAGTAAGAAAATATTACTGATTTTTGCATGTTGATCTTATATCTGACAAATGTATTGAACATTATTAAATAGATAGAACAACTTTTCTCTGCACTCATTTGTGTTTTCTATGGAGATGATGATATCATACTTAAATAATAAGTTAAAAATTATCTCTATACTTCTAAGGTTTATACCAGTTATTTATTTATTTTGGTATTTGATTTGGATCGCAATTGAGCAGGTCCCAGGATAACCTACATCCTTACTTGGGTCCTGAAGTTTAAAAATACACATATTGAAGTTTTCCCATTAAATATAATATTTGCTATGAATTTTTTTTTAAAAAATGAATGATTCCACCAAGTTAAGGAAACTACTATATACTAGTTTTCTAAATTGTTTTGTATTTTCTTGAAAAATACTAAAGTTCATAAATAGTTTTTTTTAATTTACTTGGGAGTTTTTTTTTTTTAGACTATTAGACTATGAAGTAAGTGACATGATTGATTTAACTCTCTTTACTGTCTGGAATAAATCTTAATTGATTATGATGTTTATGCACCATTACATTTTGTTATTTAATAGCTTATTTAAGGCTTTTAACTAAGTTCTGAAGTGAAATGTTAGTATAATGTATTGTTTGTACTCTGGTAAGGATATTTTTTTGTCCTGGTAAAGATAGTTTCAGAGGACAAAAAATATATTATAAAAACTTTTATGAGTAGACTCATTCAAGTTTTTCTTGAAAGAATGGAAAGGAGAAGTAGGCCTTCAACCCACTGGCTGTGCTGGAGAAGAAAGCATGGTTCCTTTCTTAAAGAAATCTTCCATGTTTTCTCTAAGTAACCCTTTGTTGAGCATTTAATGTGGACATACCAAAAGTAGAGCTTTGTTTTTTTTGTTTTTTCTTGTTTCTATTTTGAGATGGAGTCTCGCTCTGTCACCCAGGCTGGAGTACAGTGGCGTGATCTTGGCTCACTGCAACCCCCAGCCTCCCGGGTTCAAGTAATTCAAAGTAGAGCATTTTAATGCTAATAAGAGGCTGGCACTTAAGATGAGAGATTCAAAAGAATATAGATTCCTGAAAAATTTCACTGTTTGCAAATTGAGCAGTGCTGCAACATGTACTGCACGGAGGTCATAAAATATAACTAGTTATGGATGACACACTTTAACCTGGTAGGTGCTAGATCTTAATAGACATCCCAAAGGCCAGCAGGTGCTTCCTTGGCTCCCTGTGATGGAGTCTAGGCGTATTAAAAGCAGAGGAAAAGACAGAGCTCTCAAGAGCTTTGTGTTGTGTTCTTACTAGAGTTTGCAGAGCAGTAGGCATCTCAGGATAACAGATTCTTATTGAGTAGATCAGTTAGGAGACTGAGGGTGTCAGGAGAGGAGTCTCTGATATAAGACTCCTGGTTCCCAGAAGAGACTCAGTTTCATTGAAGTAGATACAGATTTAGAGGAGAAAAGACCAAGAGATTTTCAGCATCGCAGTGGTGATTGCAATCACTCAATTATTAATGAAAGTCTGTGCAAGACAAGACCTAGGAATGACCAGATATTTTGTAGGCATAGATGTCAGGAAAAGGCAGAATACTGGCAAGAAATGAGGAAGAGAGAGAGAGAGAAGAACAATATAACTTTCTTGAGTGCGAAGGTGGCAGACAAGTAGGAGCCCAGCTGGGATTGGCGTAGGAAGGACGGAATGCTGACTAGTGTGACCTCATTGCCCCAGCTTTCCTTTCAGAGGAAGGCCTGTCCTGCTGGAACTGGGGCTGAGGGAGGCTGTCTGTGGAAGCAAAAGACTTGGAAGAATTCAGGCACTGGGGGCAGTAGGTACGGTATTTGTAAACAGAAGGTGGTTGATGTAAGCCAAAAGGAGATACCATCCTGATATGCTCTATGAAAGGGAAGATGTGCCTCATGTGTGTGATGCAGCTGGGGTGTGGAAACACTGAAGAGAACAAGATGAAGGAGTTTGCGTAGCAGTGGGCATATGTACAATTTAACACCTGGACTCTTATCAGTGGAGCAGGAAAGTGACTCTGTAACCAACATTAACATTACTTTGGATTTGTAATCAAAATGGTTCTATGATTTATCTCTCACTATTCACAGGTAATTATAACTTCTGGTTTTGTAAGCCCAAGCCATTTTACATTTGCTTTTCTAAATTTGAATTTTTAAATCCTTTATATATATATAAAAGTTTTTCTTTTTTCATTTAGGCCTAATCTAGATTAGAAGAAGAATTATTCGTTGAGTTTTAGGTAGAACTTATTTGCTAAGTGTTGTGGGGCTTGAGGCTTTCTTAGAGAGAGCAGCAAATGGATAATTGTCATGTAGTCATATGCATATATACATATTTTATTAGTTATTGGTATCTAATTTAACTTTATTATCATCAGAGAGTAAACTCCAATTGATGTTAATTCTTAGCACATTTCTGAAGCTGTCATTTGGCTTAGAATATGTTTGATTTAAGATTTTTTATTTTGTGATGTAGCTTTTTATGTATTTATAAAATTTGAATTATTATTTTGTTTAAATGTTCTATAATATTTCTTAATGTTTTTCTCATTGACTTTTTTAAGAAGATTATCTTTCAATTTCTTTTAACAATTTGAATTAGGAATAATTATATCTCATTGGGCTTCTGTATTAAAAGCAGAATTGAGATAGAGCTCTTAAGTAATTAATCAGGTCTGCTCACTGACACAATAATAGCTCTTGTGCAGTAGATGTGCAGTGTAATTTTTTTCAAAATCTTTACAAGAAAAATGACAATGGACATTCACTGTTCCATATAAATGATAAATTCAATAATTCAGAGTATACTTCAAAAGCTTTTACTAATTTATAACTTTTTAAGAACTATCGAATATTCTTTTCTTGAGTCTACTCAACTCTAAAAAGATCCCAGTGAGATTATCTTATTTATTGTGGAGGCGAGAAAACTGAGGCTTATAAAGGATAAGATACTTCCAAAATTAAATAAACCTTGCCTGCTTCCAACTGTGCTGCAGTGCCTTTGATGGTTCAATTTGTTGGAATCTTTAGTTAGTACAGATGTATTTTAAATACTGAGTTGTGCTTTTCTTGTGTTCTAGTTATTCTCCCAAGCAGTTTATAATCTGTTGTTTATTCAATGAATGTTTCTGTTGGAAGTTGGTGAAAAGAGAGGTGAAAATCCCATACAGTATGAAAAAGAATATAACAGAATTTCACCCAGTCAGAGCATGTTTGGCAAGGATTACAAAAAGTTATTAATTTCTTGACTTATTTTACTTAAATTAAAAGTTTGTATATTCTCTTAGTGGAAAAAAGAAATCCTGAGAGTAGGTAATACAGTCCTTAAAGTACTTCATCTCTTTACATTCCAATGACCCTACTTTATCAGCCCCACAGTTATAGGTTCTAAGGAATTCAAGGCTCAATATAAGTAGAAAATACTGGACCTCCAAAAGTGAACCAGGAAACATTGTAAATTTTAATCATAAATATCAATAAGTAAGGTATGTCAACTTGCTAAAAATATTTTATGGATCTTGAAGTGTTACTGACTAAAGTAAGTTTTCACTGATTACAAAATAAAAACAAATATAAATGTGTATATACAGGCATCTTCTCATTTGTTTCATTTTTCCTATTCAAATTTCAAAGTTTTGAAAAGTCATAAGAAAAAAACATTAAACGATCAAATTCTGGAACTTAAATTTCTAATTGAATCTTTAGGAACATTCCACATGTGATGTTATGTCTTATGCTTTATAGTCAAATGATTGCACTTAGTAGAACATTGCCGTCATATAGTGGACTTTTCATCACTAAGGATATAATATGAGTTAAACTTAGATTTCTCATGTAAACTAAAGTACTTTGGTTATCTCTTTTAATGTTCATTAGGAATTTTGGAAATACTTCCATTTCAATTCAGAGTATGAAAATTCATAGCATTTACTAAACTTAAACTAATAATCTAAAAGAAAATGCTACTTTATATAAACTGAGGCCCTTTAAATGTATGTATTAAAGATCAACTCAGAGACAGTGTCTCCTTCATCTTCTTTGTATTTACACTTAATATATAATTTCCAAAATACTTTAAAAAAAAACCTAATACAGAATCGTGTATTTTTTCCTACAACCCCTTTTTTGAGGTCCGAAGGTCAATACACAACAGCAATTATAATAGCAAATATTTATATAGTACTTTTGCACATTAAAGTTTGTATATTTGCATAATTTTGTGTAGCAAATAAAACTACCAAGATCTTTTACTTGATACACACAATGGTCCTGTGAAGGAACTTCAGCATGTATCCCCACTTCACAGAAGAGGGCTATGAGGTGCAATTAGCGAAACATTGCAGAGTTATTAAAATGCTTGGCTGGCATTCAAATTCAGGCAGGCTGGTTTGCACGTCCATGTTTTCAGTCACTGACATAGTGTTTCATACTTTAATATTAATAAATAATCATGGAATGATATTATTATTTTATTCAAACATAAGACTCAAAAATTGCATACAGGCATACCTCATTTTATTGTGCTTCTCTTTTTTGTATTAATACTTCCCAGACATTGCATTTTTTACAAATTGTAAGTTTGTAGCAACTCTATTTCAAGCAAGTCTATCAGTGCCATTTTTCCAACAGCATGTGCTTACTTCATAGATCTATGTCACATTTTGGTAATTCTCACAATATATCAAACTTTTTCATTATTATTATATCTGTTAGGGTTATCTGTGGTTACTGATCTTTGATGTTACTGTTGTAATTATTTTAGGGCCCCATGAACCTCACCCATATAAGACAGCAAACTTAGTCAATAAATGTGTGTGTTCTGACTGTTCCACCGACCAGCTGTTCTTCTGTCTTTTCCTCTGCCTCTCCTTGGGTTCCCCTCTTCCCTGAGACACAGCAATATTGAAATTAGGCCAATTAATAACCCTGCAATGGCTTGTAAGTGTTCAAGTGAAAGAAAGTGTCTCTCACTCTAAATCAAAAGCTAGAAACCATTAAGCTTAGTGAGGAAGGCATGTCGAAAGCTGAGATAGGCTGAAAGCCAATCCTCTTTAACAGTTAGCCAAGTTGTGAATGCAAAGTAAGGTTCTTGAAGGAAATTGAAAGTACTAATCTATTGAACACATGAATAATAAGAAAGCAAAATAGCCTTATTGCCTCAAAAGTTTTAGTGGTCTTGTTAGAAGATCAAACCAATGTCAACAATCTCTAAAGCCAAGCCTAATCCAGTGCAAGGCCCTAACTCTCTTCAGTTCTATGAAGGCTGAGAGAGGTGAGAAAGCTGTAGAAGAAAAGTTTGTTTGAAGGTAGCAGAGGCTGGTTCATGAGATTTAAGGAAAGAAGCCAGCTCCATAACATGGAACTGCAAGATGAAGCAGAGAGTGCTGATGTAGAAGTTGCAGCAAATTATCCAGATGATAGAGCTAAGATCATTGATGAAGGCAGCTACACTAAACAACAGATTTTCCATGTAGACAAAACAGCCTTCTATTGGAACAAGATGCCATCTGGAACTTTATTAGCTAGAGAGAAGAAGTCAATGTCTGGCTTCAAGGCTTCTAATCCTCAAATAATAGACTGACTCTCTTGTTAGGAGATAATGCAACTGGTGAATGTAAGTTGAAGCCAGTGCTTACTATCATTCTGAAAATCCCTAAGAATTATGTTAAATCTACCCTGCCTGTGCTCTATAAATGGAACAACAAAGCCTGCATGACAGCACACCTGTTTACAGCATGGTTTATTGAATACTTTAAGCCCATGTTGAGACCTACTGCTCAGAAAAAAAAAAAAAATTCTTTCAAAATATTACTGATCCCTGACAAGGCACCTTGTCACCCAAGAGCTCTGATAGAGATATACAAGGAGATTAATATTTTTATACCTGCTAACACAACCTCCATTCTGCAGCCCATGGATCAATGAGTAATTTCTCCTTTAAAGTCTTATTACTCAAGAAATAAGTTTTTTAAGGCTATAGTTGCCATAGATAGTGGTTCCTCTGATGGATCTGGACAAACTAAATTGAAAATTGAAAACCTTCTGGAAAGTATTCACTATTCTAGATGTCATTAAGAACATTTGTGATTCATGGGAGGAGTAAAAATGTTAACATCAATAGGATTTTGGAAGAATTTGAGTCCAACCCTTGTGGGTGAATGAGGAGTTCAAGACTTTAGTGGAGGAAATAACTGCAGATGTGGTGGAAATAGCGAGATAACTAGAAGTAGAAGTGGATCCTGAAGATGTGAATAAATTTCTGCAATCTCATCATCAAATTTTAATATGTGAAGAGTTGCTTCTTACAGTTGAGCAAAGAAAGTGGTTTCTTAAGATAGAATCTACTCCTGGTAAAGATGCTGTGCACATTGTTGAAATGACAACAAAGGATTTAGAATATTACATATTTCGTTGAGAAAGCAGCAACAAGGTTTGAGAGGATTGACTTCAGTTTTGAAAGAAGTTCTATTGTGAGTAAAATGCAACCAAACTGCATGACATACTACAGAGAAATCTTTCAGGAAAGGAAGAGTTAATCGATGTGGCAAACTTCACTGTGGTCTTATTTTAAGAAATTTCCATAGCTCCCATAACCCTTAGCAACTCATCACCCTGATCATTCAGCAGCTTTTAACATCCAGACAAGTCTCTCCATCACAAAAATATTAGAACTCGCTGAAGCCTCAGAATATGGTAACTTTTTTTTAACAATAAAGTATTTTTAAATCAAGGTATGTATAGTGTTTTACTCTATTGCGTGCTTAATAGACTACAATATAATGTAAACATAACTTTTATACGCACTGGGAAATCCCCAAATTTGTGACTCACTTTATTGTGATGGTCTGGAACTGAGCCTGCAGTATCTCTCAGGTATGCCTGCATCTTATTTGCATGCAACCTACCAATTCATTTTTGTAAATCTGATAGAGAGGGATACTGAATTCTAATAAGTATTTAATTGTATAAATGAAGTACAACTTAATACTTCATTATTCATTCTCCTTATTGATACCCTTAACTTCTCTCACATATAAATTAATTCTTTGATAGTATTAATATATTGAGTTAAAGAAACTTATATAACATTGACTTGTAGAGGAAACATAATTTGTATAACATTGAGTTGTAGAGAAAATAAAATCTTATCTGTCATTGATCTGATATTTATTGGTCTTAATTTATTATACTCAGTTTTTCCTAATTTCAGACTTAACCTGATTCATAAGCAGCACACAATCTATTATTTAAAGTTTAATATTGGTGTTTTGCCTTCAAATTTGCAATATTGATATGGATCATTGAGTCATAGGGATAAAATATTTATGATATATTCTAAAATGTTTGTGATGTATTCTAAACCATTTATTTTATTTATTTGGTTCATTTCATTCTCCTCTTAATACATTTCCTATGAACAAAACATAGGAATATAGCTTTTGGTAGTAATACTTAAATGGTAATAAAATTCATAGTTGAAATATAATAATCTCTGTCATTTATAATGTTTACATGTATATTATGTGACTTTCATGTTTTTGAAGAATTTTTAATATCTTTAATGCTTATTTATTTATGACCATAGAGAAAAATTATTAATATTTTACTCAGAACCATTGAATTAAATTCTGAATGCCAGGCTGGGCACGGTAGCTCACGCCTGTAATCCCAGCACTTTAAGAGGCCGAGGCGGGCGGATCACAAGGTCAGGAGTTTGAGACCAGTCTGTCCAACATAGTGAAACCCTGTGTCTACTAAAAATACAGAAAATTAGCCTGGTGTGGTGGTATGCGCCTGTATTCCCAGCTACTCAGGAGGCTGAGGCAGGAGAATCGTGTGAACCCGGGAGGTGGAGGTTGCAGTGAGCCGAGATTGTGCCATTGCACTTTAACCCAGGCGACAGTGTGAGACTCCGTCTCAAAAAAAAAAAAAAAAAAAATTCTGAATGCCTTTTATTTTTATTCTTCCTATAGTGATGAACAAAGAACAAATATAATAATATAATTTCAGGATGGTATAGTCCCATCAACATAAGGTACATTTGGAGGAAATATTAAGCTGTCAAGATTTCTATCATAAGTATAACCATTTGATTGAACATTTTTAATGTAATAGAATAAAAGATGAAATGTTTAGATTTTTTTTCTGCTCACTAATCTAGCTATGCTATCTTAAATATCCTTAAACCACTGGGTAGCAGATCACTTACTGCTATTTTAGATATACATTGTAATGTTGCCAAGCTATTCGTGTTATTATATGTCTGACCAACTTAAAACTTTAATAACATATCCCACGTAAAACATTCTTCCTCCACTGCCTGCTAAGATCTGTGACTAGGGGATTAGTATAAGAAAAGTTGTTTCTTCTTTCTACTATTTAATATATTCTGTGAACACTACAATCCTAAAATGGTCTTGTTTGTCCCCTTGCATTTATAAGGACTTGGAGCACCTGGCCTGGTAGTATGGCAAAGCAGTGTCTCTTAGATCAAGTAAAGCTTGTGGAAGTCCTTTATCTCAGGTTACTGCTGGCTCCTTTTCGAATATGGGTAACTGAATCTTCTTAGTCCTCAGTTTGGAGGCCTCGTTGTTGATTGAGGAAAAGCCCACTCAACATACAGATGCGTTAGTATATATTACCTGTTTTTTCTTCTATGAGGAATAGTTTTATCTTGAGAAATCTGTAAGTCACTACTTATAAATGATAAGGTAAACCTATAAGTTCCTCTTAACATCTGCTAAGAACATATTAGGCCTTTGCATCCACATTTTTACAAAATTCTTAAATATACTCCAGTAAAATTGTTTTAGTCATACAACCTGTAACGGTATTTTGTTTAAATGGATTATCATTAGTAAAACATAATAAAAATTATTCAGCTATAGAAACTAGTTCTGTGGATCTGCTTTTTCAAATTAAAAGGAATCAACAGCATGGCAACATTACCATCAATTTAATTTGGATTTGCTAGAGAAAACTATAAAACTAGATTATCTAGGCCAGTAGAATATTTGACAAAAATTATGGAGGGTACTGACATATCCTAGGTAATCTTTAGTGATCTTTAGATTTTAAATCATTATATATTACTTATCTCATTTTTGGGATAAAATAAATGCTTTGTTAATTATTGCACAAATCAAGCCACCGTAAAAAAATTCTAAAATATTGTGCCTTAAACTCTGTTTTGTGAGAGTCTCATAGTAGGCAGTCTAAACCTAATATTTCAGCTCCACATAAATAAGCAGCTTCCATTTTGATGCCTAAGGCTCTGCATCACTTTCTTCTAGTCAAAGGACAGCAGCAAATTGTAAAGAGGAGACCAATTCCAATCCTTTAATTGACAACACCCAGAAATGTCACAGTTCACTTGTGGCCACATCTCTGTGGACGCTACTTCTACATATAACTATAGCAAAGTATAAGTGAAGCTGGAGTTGCTGTTGTCTTTATTAAATGGAGCAACTAAATGGTCCCCACCAGTTGATAAAAACTGCTGAATTGCACCCTGATATCTCTATTTTTTGATATTTCATATTAAAAATAAAAAATATGTCACCTCACCATTGCAAACTTTGTATTTTAATTTTTAAAAACGTTTTTATAGTACAGAGATAGAGAACAAAACACAGGGGCAGGGGAAAGAAATGGGGAGATGTAGGTCAGAGGAAACAAAGTAGCAGATATGGAGGATGAACAAATCTAGAGACATAAGGTACATGAGGGCTATAGGTAATAAAATTGTATTGTGTATGGGATTCACTCTAAATGAGTAGATTTTAGCTGCCCTGCTACAAAAACAAACAAACAAAAAATTGATAACTATGTGAGATGATGGATACATTAATTTGCTTCAATATAGTAACTGTTTTACTATCTACATGTATCCCATAGCATCATGCTGTGTATCCAAGATACACATAATGAAATGTATTTAAAATCTATACAAAGCTTAATTCATTTTGTAGAGCATTTTTGCATGGATGCCTATGTGTCAACCTCTGTAACTTTCTTTTCTTGACATTGTACTATACGAATTAAGGTAGAATTATTCGAATCGTGAACAGGACATCACAGATGGAATATACTGATGCAATGGGAATGCATATAATATAATAAATATCACATTATTATGTTTTATAAATTTTTGATGGTAATATAAGTACAGGATTTTTCTTTCTAGGCCTGTTTCACAGCTGTTAAATACCATCAGTTCTTACAAATTCTTCTCTCTTTATCTTTCACACATCCATGGCATTATTCAAATATCTCTTGGATTTCCGTTTCTTGGCTTAAAACTCTCTTTGAATGTCCCCGTCCAGTACTGACCAATAGAACTTTCTGTGATGATGGACATGTCCATTATGGCAGCTACTATGTGAAGCTTTTGAGTACTTGTGTTGTGACTGATATGACTGAGGAACTGAATTTTAAACTTAATGTCATTTAATGAATGTAAATGTAAATAGCCAGACATGACTAGTGATCACCCCATTGGACGTACAGTTCTAGTCACTCTCTGCTTCGTTTACCAACTTATTTCAGCCACATCTATTTTACTGCATCATATTACTCCTGAAATATCCTTAAATAAATTTACTTACTCAACATTTATGTATTTGGGGTTTTATTCTCTGGATGAGAAATTTTGTATTTTCGGTGTGATTTTACCCTAGCTTTGAATAGTCTAATAATAATAACCGTATATAGTATTCATTGAACACATTTTGTGTTAGACACGGTTCTGAGCATTTTATTCATAATAAATTGTTTCATTATCACAAGAAACTTGCATTATAATTATCACCATCTTATATATGTATAAAAGGACACAACCACAGGTTAATTAATTTTTGTCTAAGATCAAATAGGTAGCTAGTAAGTGGCTGAGCTAGGATGTAAACCTCAGGCAAACTGGCTTCAAATACCATTCTTTATTATTTCATCATTCTGGAGAGTGAGTTTTCATCAGTGGTTCTCTTTATTCAAAATACATCACAGTTGCAGCCTGTCTAGGAGCTTTATTTGTGTATGCATAATATAGGAAACTATCTTGCCTCTGGCAAGAGAGAAGAGAAAGGAACAGTTTCTCTTCTTTCTTTTTCTTATCACAAGCAAAAAATACATTTATAAAAATTGATCCAAAACATTCCTTATCTTCACTAATTGAGTATTAGGATCTTATTTTATCCAAATGATATTAAAAAATTAGTAAACATAAGTGAAAATAAGCAGGCGTTGTATGTTTGTTCCTATTACTACAAAAGATTATTCAGGTTTATCTTACTCAGAACACAAACAGAAAGAGTTTTAAAGTACTCAAGATAGATTATTTTCTAAGGGCTATAATGTTAAGATTTAACTCAGGTCAATCATCTCCAAGTTAAAATTACTTAGAAGCCTACTGTCCATAATTAAGTAATCTTACCTACTAATATTACGGAATAAGAATACCTTTAGGTGACATGAAATCTGTCATTTTAAGCATGCCCCCAAGCCTTTCCAAGATTGCTCATAAAATTTCTTATTCTCTAGAGAAATGTGATCTCTAAGAAATAAATGTCTCTTTCAAGTCACAAGTAATATGAGCACATGATAAAAAAATGGAATTTTGAGTCTTAGAAGGGATATTGCAGTATTATAAAATTGCTTTTATTTCTTGTTATTTAAGTTCTCATGGTCATTTTAGGATTTACCTTCTAGATATAAAGGATAATGATTTCTTTTAGGGAGGTGGGGGACAGAGGCCTTTGGGGACCAGGAGAATATTTTTCATATGAAATTCTTTGTCATAAAATGCTAATGTTGGTGTTCTTGTCTTTATGTCTATGCATTCTTTAGCTATGAGGATAACAGACCCTTCATCAAGTAAGAATGACCTGAATGGCTGATAAATTCCGTTTATCAGTGTGGTCCCATGAACCAGCTGTCAGATCAGTACTGAAAAATCATTAGAGCTTCTGTCATTCACGTAGAGGCAGAAGAGCAAACTGTGCAGGAAAATAATCTGGCATACAACCTATATGCAGAATAAATATGCTGCAGGTGTATTGCCAAAAAAAAATTCTGCTTCACCTCTGTTAATTGGATATCACCTGAATTCAGTGCCACAGCAATAACAATTTCCTGTGGTACAGACTTGTTTCTCTTTTAATAGCTTCCCTTTCATTGTGATGTGTTCCTCTGTGCCACATACGTCCGCTTTTCTGTTGTTTGTTTGGGCATCATTCATCTAAAATTATTGTGTCATTTACTGGTATATCTTCAAAATGATCTTACGGGTATAAAACTACCCAATTGCAATTGATATTAATGAATTGCTATACTAAATATAAATAAAGAAAAAAATGCCTTCTTCAAAATTCATTTTTACATATGCAAAATTATCCCTTTCAAATTTGACACCTGTCACTTGATTAATGATCTAATCTGTATGAATATATTTCAGTGTCTGAAATAAAGCTACAAGTCTGTACTAATCTAACAAATATGAACATAAATGTTAACATTTAGACATTTTTCGGATGCATACTTTAAAATTACAAGTCCTGCAAGAATAAACTAAGATTGGTAACCTATGGGCAACCTTGCTATAGACTTTCAGTTTGTTCTTCTGGTGAAGAGTCCTTTGTTTTCATTTTTCTCCAGTGCCATTTCACTTCTTCATGCTTCTGCTTTCCTTCTTTTGTTGTTTTTTTTTTTTTTTTAGAAATCGGGGCTCATTGCAGTTTTCTACCAATTAACCCTTGGGCCCATCATGTGTTTTCCAGTGGTTAATACCTGACTTAAGTATTTGATCCTATTATTTTGTTTTTAAATCTAAATGGCAATATTGCCTTGATTTAATGGCAATTCTTATTTTTTCTTTTTCCAACGTCCATAAGAAGCTGAGAGCTTTTCCTTGAAAGTTAGTATACTTCTGAATCCAGTTGTAGTATAAAATATTAACACCTAAAATGTTTTGTAATTCATATAAGCAAACATGTAATATGTAATAGCAAAACTCCCTTAGAGATTTTTTATTCAAGAATGTTGATGTTTTCAATTAAACATGTTAAATATAGTGGGCATTTAAAGATGAAATATAGTGGCTGATTGTTATGGGAGAAAAACAGTAAATATTTATAATTATTTTTAATAAGACTTTAATAATTAACTACTTTGGGACCATATCTTTCTTAAGATGCAGTTCTCTCTAAAAAACAAATTGAACTCAGCTTCAGATTATGATAAACATATATGATTTTTCCCCTTCATTTTACAAAGTTTCCATCCCTGTAAATATATCTTCCTAAGTCATTATAGTGGAGGATAATAATCTGCTGGAAAGAAATATGAATTTACCCTATTCAAGGAAGATGTGCTGGGAATAAAGAGGTTGGGCTTATTAGTGTATAGCGATCTCTACTGATTTGGTCCTGTTCTCCCATATACTTGGGAGTTGAGAAGGATTTCATTTCAGTTATGAGTCCCATCTGTTGCAAGAACATTTTATCTTGATATTCAATACATAACTTAACCACAAATATATGAATTTTGTTACCTGCTTATACTCTTGCAAATGACATCTTGGAGGAAACTAAGAGAATGGAGTGGGAGTGAGAACTTGTCTTTTATTCTATACTACTCCATTCATACCACCCCATCTTCATTCTCAGCTTCATCTTCTCCCTTGAGTTTACAGACACTTCAAAAAAGTTTCCCTGAGCCTTCAAAATTTTTTTCAACAAAGCTTCCAAATGACTGATTTCTAAAATCTACTACAGCATACCATAGAAGTGAGTGATCCAAAGCCTGAAGGAGGGTAGAAACAATGTTTCCGATAGAGTGGAACTACTTTTTCCATCTACTATCCCTCACGCTTAGTCTTTATAAATATAGAATTAGACAAGTGGGGCTCATTAAATTCATACATGTACTTCAAATCCATGTATTTCCTCCTAATACGAGTTATATTTTTGTCAGTAAACAATAAAATTTTTGTGGAAAAAGAGGACATTTTGAAAAAGCGAGGTAAAAATGTATCAGAAGAAGCACTAATAGAGGGAAATCAATCAAACAAATGTTACCACTGTGAGACCAGTGAAGACTAACAGCTTTATAGCCTGCTTTCCTGTTGCCATTCACCATAATTACACCTCATGCCATTTGCATATGTGCTGCAAATACATGAATAATTTATGGTACAAATCTGCTTTTGCTTAAATGAATTTCTGTGTTCATAACATTTTCATTCATGTATATATCTCCTCAAGCTTGAAAACTTGTAGTCTCATTAAAACCTTAAAGTACTTACACCACCTGTCTTACATTTTCTGTCA
The DNA here is from genome assembly GCF_000001405.40 of Homo sapiens. Lineage (NCBI taxonomy): Eukaryota > Metazoa > Chordata > Mammalia > Primates > Hominidae > Homo > Homo sapiens. Next base: position 62,031,335 of record NC_000004.12, read on the forward strand.
ATAAAAGTTACTGTAACATTTTTTTCAGTGTCGTATTGTTGATCTGATATGGTTGTTAATTAAAGATCAATTATTTAATAACCCTTAATTTTCTCTTCTCTCTACAGGTCATGGGTTATAGGTGCAATAGCTCTTCTCTGCCTATTAGGATTGACCTGGGCCTTTGGACTCATGTATATTAATGAAAGCACAGTCATCATGGCCTATCTCTTCACCATTTTCAATTCTCTACAGGGAATGTTTATATTTATTTTCCATTGTGTCCTACAGAAGAAGGTAAGCTAGAATTCTTTTTTTAAAATAAAAATGGCATACATTTCATGATAGCAAAGCAGCCACAACATATTCTAATATATTATTCTTGATATGTTTGTCTACAAGAAATAAAGATACTCATCATTTATAACAGTAAAGCAAAACAAACACAAAATACAAGCATAATAGTTGGTGGGAGTGTCCAATAGTAAAAAACAATAAAAACATTTTCTGATTTAAACAGTGAACAAAAATTATTTTCTTATAGATTTGACTTTATAGTCTTTAATATTCCCATTGGTGGCCAAATGGATTTGTGTATTAGGAAGTAATTATTTTCTGAAAATGTTGTGGAGGCATGAGTTATACACACACACACACACACACACACACACACACACACATGGATATATATCACAGTATAGGAAATATACATGTGTATATGTGTATATATTTCTGTTTCTTCAAACACTAGTTTACATTAGAACATATAAATGTTTACACAGCTTATGGTAAAATAATATACATTTATATTTTTTGAATGAATGATGGAATAGTTAATAATGGTATCTATATTTCTTTCCCTTAAAAGCATTTATTATGAAATCTAAGAGTTGTATTATTAGAATGCAATCTTTTACATGTATCTGTTTTTGCAAATGTTTACATTTGTAAGGACATAATATATATATATAAATTTTCAAAGTTAATTTTAAACACTAAATATTTTTATTACTTTTTTTAAAATCCCCAGATTGATTTTCCAATCTTATACACTTTAACTTTATTTAAAATGTGATCTCGATAGGTCCAGTCACAACGACCCCTCAGCCAGATTGCCTGGGTTTGAATCTCTGTTTTTCTATTTAAAAACTTATGTGACTTTCGGCAAGTTAATTAACCTCCCCATGTCTCAGTTTACTCATGTGTGACATGGAGGGGGTAAAAATAATTTAAAAATATTCAAAGAAATGGCTCTGAAAATGAAATAGAAAATTATGTTTTAAAATTTGTGGGAAAGAAACAATAAGACTTATAATTTTTCTTTGGAAAACAAAGGAAATAAAAAGTAAAGATATCCCTTTCTAGGATTCTTAGTTTTAGAGACTGCTGGGACCAAAACAAGAAGTTGAAAAGAGTGTCCACTTGTGAAGATGGACAAACATAAAAGAAAACACTACTCTTTTTTCAATTTTAGATGGTGGTAGATAACTAAAATGTGTTGACATGATCGCAAATACAGAATAGAGTAGTAAAGATGAGTCAGGTTTCTAAATGTAGGTTACAGAAAAGAAAAGAGGTTACATTAGAATGGATGCATTCTAATCTAATTCATTAGAATTCTTAAAAAGAGGTTGTTTTAAAATAGATGAATCCTGCTATAACAGGATATTTAAAAAAATAAAAACAAAATAAAATAGATGAACCCTCCAAATAATTAATATGTACACCCCCCAAATTACAGAAGCCTGCCTAAACATATGTTTATGTTTTACTCATTGCCCAATGGATGGGGTTGCCCCATGAAGGGACATAGGCTGATGAAGATTCAAACAACCTCAATCTATGATATTATAGTCCTCTTGGGTTTTGACATCCAACAGGAAGTCTGGGAGAGAGAGAGATGATTTTGTGGTTTGAAAGTGGTTCACATGGCTTCTACTCATTTTGTTTTTTTTTATCAGATAGGGTTCTATCGATGGTACCACCTAAACTGCAAGGGAGACAGAAAAACATAGTATAGCTTTTTTAGTCAGAAAGAGAAGAAATTGGATATGGTGAAGAGATGGCAGTCTGCCACACTTAATGTATTTAAAGAATAGGAGACATGTAAATGGTGAGTGAGAATAGAGCTGTAAGGAAGAACGAGAATCAAGATGATACACTGAATTAAAGATAGGAGAAAATGTCAAGAAGAAGTCAGTGGTTGGTATTCTAAAAGACTTCAGAGAAGTCAGAGAGACTAAAACTTGAGGAAGATGTCTAGATTTGGATAGAAGAAAGCCATAACTGATGCTCAAGAGAAATAGATGCAAAAAATGTGAGCAAAATCAGGAGATTAAGGAAAATGGTAGCATTTGCCCATGATAAAAAGGGAATATATTAGGTCATTATGATCAGTCATAACATACTGAAGTATAGTAGATTTATTTGCCTGTCGTCTTTATTTTGTACATTAGCTGGAAATTTGGACCAACATAATTTTTAAATTTTATTTAAATTTTTTTACTAACTCATTAAGAAGTAATTTTTAAATGTTAAAGTTAATTTGGAAATTTTCTACAAAGCAGAAAAGAAATTTTTGTACTTTACACACATTCTTTTGCTTTGAGTATTTTTTTATTAGCCAATGCCTCTTTCAGTTTTCCCAATATTAATAAAAATGTTATTTTAATTTTTCGTGTCTTAACATAAGCATATCACTGGAATAAGTAAGAATTGCATTTGGTACCCAGGTAGAGATTTTACATCTCAAGACCCTCAAACAAATTTAGAGTTTTTAGTATATTTAACATAAGTTAAATTTTAAAATATATATGTCATCAAGTTCAATTTTGTGATTCATTAAAACAGAGTTCCGGAAACTGTGGCTCATGAGCCAAATTCATCCAGCTGCCTTTTATTTTTACAGCCAGGAAGTCAGGAATGGTTACTACATTTTCAATACATAAAGTTTAAAATAAGTATATACACCCTATCCTTAATTTTGGCTCCTGAGTCAAAAAACTTAAAATTTTAACTATCTGGACCTTATAGAAAAACTTGCCAGGCCCTAATTTTGAACGCTTATTTTCATGATTTACAATAACAAGTAATACATATTGTTCTTTCATCCATTCTGTGTTTTGAATTTTAAAACTTTGGTCACATTTGTATTTGGTGTCAAGAATATGGGCCAACATCAGAAAATACAGAAAACGTATAATTATTTTTGGTTTTTATTTTGTATAAAAACTGTCGTGTACTTGTCTTTGAAACTGAAGAAATGGTTAGGAGGTACTTTTTCTTTTAAGCCATCTGATTAAATTTCACTAATATGCCATCACTGGTATAGTTGCTTATATATTTTGATTAGAGAAATATGAAATATTTCATATTTGAAAATTGCTGTCTTATTGAATTATTTGTCGAATGTTTCAACTTACTCATAAAATTAAAATTTTTGTATCTCAGTCTTTTTCTGAGTATGGATTGTGTAAACAGTTTTCCACTGGTCACATTAAAGTGGTCACTTTTACTTTTGTCATACATTCAAATATTTGATATATTCCCAGAGCTTCCACAATCATTTTATTTCTGATATGAGAAATATCAGAAATATTTTACTGGTAAGGTATATTCTCTTTCCTGTCTTCTATATTCTAGAACAGCATCACACTAAAATAGGATATCATCTGACTAGGGTAACTAAGATGCAGTGCCATGTGAAATAGTAGATTAGAATATGCAAATGATTGAACAATCAAATAACTGCTTTTTTGTAATCTAAAAAATGTTTCCTGGACATGGTCCATGTTATTTTTTTTCTTCTTTTTAAGACATATGCTTACCATTTCAAATCAAATCACAGCAAAATAAAGTCAGTATAATGATTCAGTAAGTAATGTAGCTAATGCGAGACTTGGCATCACCAAATATCTTGATTTTCTGGTTGTTTATATTATCGGTTCAGAACATTTAATCTTTGTTGGAAAATGCAAATAGCCCACGATGAATTATTGTGGCTTAAACAATATTGCTGATTTTGTAACAGGAGGGAGAGTGGTTCTCTTTCTCTCTTCTTTGCCTTTATTCCTCATTTTACTGAAATATTTGTTTAGGTTTACATCACTTCATTCAAATACCCTTTCTCATCTAGAAGGAAATATACCATTTTGCTGTGTACCTCAGGAAAATAATGCGGGATGTTGCAGGGGGAAGTTATGATCAAAGTTTAGGTTCTTAGAGATGCTTCATAAATCAGTAGAAATTACTAAACTATCATTGATAATGCTTACTTTTGGTTAGAGATTATTTTAAGCCTTCTCAAGTTCTAATTAAAGCATTTGTCCTCATTCTTTCCAGACACAAAGAAGGAGATAATTAATAGATTACTTTAATGATAATATTAGTAATATACAATGCCTGTGCTGGTCAGTGATTTCATGTTCCAAATGTGGCATCTTAGAGCTTTTTGATCATAGAGCACCCATGAAATTTAGATTTTTCTCCTAAGGCACATCGCTTGACTTTTCAGTCTTGTAGTTTACTCTCATTGCTTAACCCATTTCAATCTCCTTATCTATAAAATGAAGGTAATAGTTATTTTCAGAGTCATTTTGAGGGACATACCTAGCACAATTCCTGACACATAATAGTTAAAAAGTAGAAGTTTCTTCTTTTCACCCTCCCTACAGATGCATCTTAGAAACACACATAACTGGCTACAGCTCGATTTCTTTTTTTAAAATACACAAAATATGGACTGACTTGTAAACACTAAACAAAAATAATTATCTCTAATTCTAATCATTGATAAATGTAGCACAGAAGAGACTGGTTGCAAAACAAATCAATAGCATTTTAAATACATTAAAAATAAGTAATTTTGCCATACCAGAGCAGAGAAAGGCCTTAAAGACCAGCACATCATAACCCTGTTTTTTCATTCTATTCTTTATGGTGAGAATGCCTTTTTCTCCTCTTTTCCCCTGTCCTTTATTTCAACTTCACTCTGTAAATTAATTCCAGCCACTCTTTTGAAGACTTTCTGGGAAGCCCTCTTCCCCAAGAAGCCGTTCTTGGCCTCCCACACCTACTTCCCGCAGGCACTCCTCTTCTATGCTTGAGTCACCTGACCCTATCTCTATCATTTTTCTTATCACATAATAAGCACTCAATAAATGTGAGTTCTTTAAGCAAATCTGTATATGTTCTGTCTTTAATTCTCCTATATCTTTGACACAATGAATTTTACAATAATAAGATGAAATGTTCCCATTTGGAATACTAAATTTAATGTATCATTTACATACCTTTTTTGCTTTTGATTCTAAATAACATCCCTTTTTAAAGCACATGTTCAAAACTTTGATTTAAATAAAATCTTATTTGAATATTACATTATCATAAGTTGTGGGAAAAAATGCACTAATGCGAAATCAAATACATAAAGGCTTAAGAATAGTTTATATACATGATGTTGTTTCATAATATAAATTCCTGAACATATAATTGATATAATAAGATGTCCCTTTGTTGTTATTGGTAATAGATATGTGATTTAAGGCAGTTACTGTTTATTTTTATATGCCTTGTTCAATTAAATAGGCGGTAATAAAAATTTTAGACATGATAAAATTTTTACCAAAAGTTGATATATTTCTCTGCTTGAAAACATCAGCTAAAACTCTTCTTTTTCCCTGTAATTTTATACTACAACCAAGATTAAGTATTTAATCAAGAATGCTATAAAGTAATTATATTTCTCTGTGATTATTGAGTAGAACTATTTTGAAGGACAAAATTTACAATCTTTTGAATTTTTGTTCTCAATTTGAACGTTTGATCTCTTTTAAGAGAAATAAACTTCAGAGAAATATAGACTTAGAAGAAATGATTAGCCCAACATATTCATATTTTCTGTCTTTAAATATCTTTTCTCTGCTTCCTCACTTTCTCTGATATTTCTCTCTCTCTCTCTTTCTCTCTCCCCCACTTCTTACCCTACTTCCTCCACCCCAGTCTCTGTAACTTCCTAAGTAGGCTTCTACCTAAAGAACAACAGCTACAATGCCCTTGCACCAACAGGCTACTTTATATCAAATTTATGAAGCTAAAAATAGTATCTTCAATGGGCTTAAGTATATGTTCTTGGAACTAAGAGAAAGTACCACTATGATGTGATGGGAGGTGTGTGAATGTGTGTGTATAAGTGTGTGTGTGTGTGTTTTAAAAGGCTCCAGTTAGGCAAAATTTCAAGCTTGACAGTATGAATATAATTATGTTGTATTGTAAAATATATGCTGAACAGACTTTCTTACATCTGTAGGGCAAGGAAATAATTACATTATCTAAAAATAAAACTCACATACATTGTCTACTTTTGTTCCTACCTGCAATGAATTACTTGCTAACAGAAGTTAATATTTAATTGGCTAGGTACGAAAAGAGTATGGGAAATGCCTGCGAACACATTGCTGTAGTGGCAAAAGTACAGAGAGTTCCATTGGTTCAGGGAAAACATCTGGTTCTCGAACTCCTGGACGCTACTCCACAGGCTCACAGGTAAACAATATTTGTTCACTGAAATGAAGTAATTCTTAACTATACCAGTTACTGTCCCTTATGATTGGAGCTAATTTCTAGCCTGTGTTTAACACATCGTTTGTTTTTGTTGTTTCACTGTGTCTCACATGGGAATGATTCTGACAGAAATGGAAGAAACTAAAACTGTAATAATATGATGAAATTTGAGTCTGCAAATTTGAAGTTTGCATAATAATGACTTCAGATTGTTTTCAGTTCAATAAATGCAGCAGGTAAAGAAAGGAATTTGCCGTTTCACCCAAAATTCTAAGAAAGTAACATTTCATATATATAGAAATGTGATATATTGATATGATTCTAATTCTTATAATTCTTCTAACTAGTATAATAATTATCACAAACTGACACAATTTACATATAATATGGTATGTTTAGTAAAAATAACTATGACTCAACTATATTATGTGCTGAGAAGTTGAAGAAAAGTCAGGGCAGTGAAGAATACTACAACAGCATTATTAACATACCTGGTCTAAGCTCCACTCCCATTCGCCCAGCACTAGACGTAGCAGTATAGTACCTTACCAGAAAAATTTTAAGCTTTTAGGTAAACTGTGTGCCATTTTTCCCAGGGCACAGTATCAGCTCAAAGATTATTACATAGAAATTTTAGCAACTCTTGGATGTTAAGATGAGCCAGTCAAATAAAAGACATAGAGTGGTGTAGGTCATGAGTGCGTTTGGTTCAAGCTAGCAAACTAGTATTATTTGTTTGTTTTTTGAGACAGAGTCTCACTCTGTTGCCCAGGCTGGAGTGCAGTGGTACAATCTCAGCTCACTGAAACCCCTTCCCCCTGGGTTCGAGCAATCTTCCCACGTCAGCCTCCAGCCTCCCGAGTAGCTGGGACCACAGGCGTGTGCCACCACGCCCAGATAATTTTTGTGTTTTTTGTAGAGATGGTGTTTTGCCATGTTGGCTAGCCTGGTCTCAAATTCCTGGCCTCAAGTGATCCACCTGCCTTGACCTCCCAAAGTGCTGGAATTATAGTTGTGAGTCACCCAGACTAGTGTTTTTAAGATTGCATGATTCAGTAGAAAAAAAAAGCATGTTTTCAGTGTTGCCAATTAATTTTTTCTGAGGAAGCCTTGAGTTTAAATTGATAAATAAACTTATAAATCAAGAATTAATTTTTCTTAACTCTTTTAGCTCAACCTATATATCTAATTATTGTTTCATAAATTTGGTTATTTTATATAAAATAAGAGTGATTGCTTCATTTTTTATTTGATGGATGTTCAATTGGCTTGTAAGCTTAATAGTTTAAATTTCCCTAAATAATTTCATTTATATGCTTAGAAAATTTAATTTCTTTATACCTTTCAAATATCATTTATAAATTTAATATATCTGATTGTCTCAAACACATCAACTGTCAGACTAGTCATACACACCTAGCTAGCACTTGAACACAGTTATAAATTAATGGATGACCAGTGTTTTCATAAACAATTTCCTCACCAATTGAGTTTTAATCTTACAAATAAAACCATGTCTTTAATATCAATCTAATATTTCCAATTAAAATTTTAAAAACTAACATATAACTGTCAAAAATATCAGGCTATGTTAAATAATTTTACTAACCACAATCATGAAACTTAAATATAATTGCATGATTATTAATAATCTGAATTTGATTTATTTTTTACACACCACACTGAGGTTGTAAAGTTGCAAATCAGAAGAACAATTGTCCCAACTCAGATGGATGGAAATTTCTGAGTTTAGGACTACTAAATTTGCCAAACAGAGATCTGAATTTTCACATAAGAGTGGGGGCAGACCAGGATGATGCTTATAGCATGAGCCCCTTTTATAATTAATGCCTTTATTTTCAGACTCATAATCCCTTGCTCTTCCTCTTTTTGTAATAACTTTTTCCACGACTTTTCAATTGATATTGCTAAGATTCCCTATATCATCCAGCATGATTAGATCCCGCATGCTTTTCACATTACTGAGTTCATCAGCTACCATCCGATAGTCATTTTATTGACATATGTCATTAATATTATAATAATATTTAGGAGTCTCATTTACTACTTTACGACAGAGTTGTGCAATGTTTAGCAATACTTCTAAACTACAAGTTAAGGCAGTGCAGCTCAATGGAATAATAATAAACTCTGTGGGTGGGTATACCTTGTTTTGAATCCTGGCCTTGCCACGTACCAGCTATGACACAGAACAAGTTACTAATTTCATTGACACTCAGTTTTTCCATCTGTAAAATGGTGATAATAAATACTGACATCTTAAGTTGCTAAGAAGATTGAAGTAATATACACAAAACAGAATAAATAGTGGGTGCTCAATAAACGGTGGTTGCTACCATTTATTACTGTTGTTATTACAGAATATTATTATATATATTTTTAAGTTGTATCATATTTTTCTCCTTACTCTTGTAATTTGTAATATCACAATTCTACTCTTGGAAAATAATTTACATTTTTTCTTATACTTAATATAATACTAATTCTGATTAACTATGACCAGCCAAGCCTATGTAAGGTTATAGTTACTTAAATCTATATTATTTGTTTAGGTAAGACTAATAAATACATTTCCCACTAATTATGGCCACCCATAAGCAAATGCTAAAATATTGATATTAAGACAAAATTTGGGGAGTATGGATGCATCTTTCACATAAGAGCACTTCTAAAATAACTATCTCTATATATTATGATTTTTTATTTAGAAATATTGAGTGCCTCCTATATAATGCCATCAATCTTCTAATCTCTGGGGATAAAATGGTTAAAAGACATATAACTTCCCCTGTGATCTGGAACTTTTATTCTAGCGTTGGGAGACAGAAAACGTATTAATAACAAACAACCCAACAAAAATATCAAATGGGAGAGCTGACGGAGAACAAAAATATGATGATGTCAATTAGCCAGGTGGCTACTTGGATTAAATGCTGGAGAAAGACTACCTTTGGAAGTGATACTTATGCCAAAGTCTGAGTTACAAGATTCTAAATGAAAGGAGAAAAGGAAATTCAGGGAAACAGAATTCTAAGTGAGAAAATGGCTAATGCAAAGCCTTTACAGTTTGGAGAACTTACAAAAAATATTGGCCAAAGTAGGTTAGAGGGAGAATGAGATAGAAAGTCAAGGAAAAAGGGAAGAGACAGATCCCTAGGTATTTGTAACAGTATGAAAATTACATTTTATTTTGATTACTTTGGATAGCCAGTGAGATACTTTAGAAATGAAAGTGACAGGATATAATCTGCATGTAGTAAACATTATGTTGCTACATTGTAGATAATGCAGGGGATGATGGCCAAGACTAAAACGTAAAAATCCTCTTCACCTCTTGCTCCTCCAAACTTACTTCCTGGTCCTAATCACTTATAAAAGTTTTATAATATGCATCAGTCACACAAACATATATTCACAGAAATGGGTGTAACTTTTTTTAAACTATGGACTGAAATAATATCTTTTGACTTTCTCGTAATTGTTTTGTCATTTATCTTTCATATATTTTATTGATTTTTAGATATATTTGCTTTTTATTATATAATATTTGAAAAATAAAAAAGTGAAATATGTATATGAAATATTGAAACATTTTAATAAGATGAACACCTGTGAACTCAACATCCAACCTAGGAAATAGAACATTTTCAATATGTTTTCCTCTTTATTTAACCTCCGTAACCAATCCCTATGCCTTCCTCCAGAAAGGCTCCTAAATTTTGTTTTTCCATTCCCGCAACTTATTCTAATCATTTCTCTCCTTCCAAAAAATCTTGTTCAGCATTCCTTTATTAAACCTTTGTTTAAAAATGGTATTTTTTGTGTGTAGTCTTCTCTGACTTGGGTTTTTCACTCCCATATTCTAAAACCCTTCCTGGTTATAAGTGTGGCCTCTGTGCAATATACTATATACTTTTTCCTCTGCCTGCAATACTTCTCCTTTTTCTCCTTTTCCTCTTAAACTATATTTGGTATAGTGCAGTGAGTTGTTAACCTCCTGCACTCAGGAGCCAGATGACTGCATTCCAATGCTGGTTATAAGGTCTGTGCCATCAGACATGTTCATTAACCACTGTGCTTCGGTTTTTCTAGTGTATAGTATTACCTACCTCATGGAGTTCTTGTGAGGTTTTGATGGGTGAATATAGGAAAGGTATATAGTATGGAAAAGAGAGCATAGAAAAAATTAATTTATATAGATGTATATGCACACACATGCACATATATAATATACATACACTATGTATGTATATGCCAAGTATATGTACCTCAATGAACAAAAAAGACAAAAATTCTGTTTTCATAGAGCCTCAAGCCTAATGCAGACATAAGACATTAAATATTAGACATTAAATGGATAGCTATTAAATATAAATGTAAGAAATAATTATATAATACATGGTATTATAGGAGATGTTAGTGACTGTTGGGGGAATGTAGTAGGGGAAAAGGGACTGAGATGTGATTGGATTGTGTGGGTAGCCTACAGTTCTAAGTAGGGTGTTATACCTTCAGAAAAAAAAATATTTTATATTTAAAAGAATAAAGGAATTATGCATACCTGTATCTGGAGAAGAGCACCCCAGACAGAGAAAACAACCAGCATTGCCAACCTCTGAAGCACAAACATGCCTGGCATGTTAGAGAACAGCAAGGGGACAGGTGCAATTAGAGCAGACAGGGGAGATTAATAGGAGATGAGATAATGGGGACAGCTCATATAAATATCACCTAACAATAATAACTTCATCAACTCCTAGATAAAATGTTACTTCCTCAGTCTGCATTGTTCTCAGACTCCCTAGACAAGGACATATCCCTTAATATATGGTAAAAATAAATGGTATAATTGGTAAAAATCTTTAAAAATTCTGTAGTATAATGAATAGTCACAAAAGTATACAAAACATAAGTGTATGGCACAATTAATTATTACCACTTCCCAGGCCAAGTATTAGTATACTGAGAATACCTTGGAAACCCTTTGAACCCCTCTCAATCATTAAGCTCCAAACATAACCACTATCTTAGCTTTCAATAGCACATTTTAGTTTGCATATTTTGATACTTACTCACCTGAAATCATTTAGTACATACTCTTTTATGTTTTCCTTTGTTCCCAAGACATCTACATTACTGCAGGAGGCTATGAGCTTTTAATTTTCTTTGTTTTATATTATTGTATAGTTTATTCATCCATCCTACCATTGACAGTCATTTTGGTTGATCATATTTCAGCTATAATATTTAATGACTGTATGGAGATTTGTGGGCATATTGTACTTTTGCATTTATTTTTGTGATAATTTGACTAATCTGTTCCTAGTTTAACATCTCCATAAGGGTCAAGACATTTTGTGCTTACATTTCACATTTGTATCTTATAAGTTAGTATTTGGCAGGCAATAGAGGGTAATTAATATTTTTAATTAATTAATTAACCAACTAATAAAACAAATGTGAGAGACTGGCTCCCAACATTGTCCTTTCGTTTATTAGTTTTCTGTCTATGTCTGTGTCTGTGTGTGTGTGCATGCACACATTTGTCAACCTAGGGAAAATGTGATATACAACAATATTTCTGAAGAATAAGCATGTTCCAAGATTCATAAAATCACTTGTCTAATATTCTAAGATTGATTACTCCCATTATTCAAGGAGTTCAAATGTATTTGGAACATAACCCATTGTAGGCATGGTTTCATAAGTAGTAGCAATGTTTCTTATAACTATTTCAGCCTTGGAAAAACTTCTGAAAATATTTTGTTTCTTCCTCACAAGATTGTTAATACTTTTTTGACCCATAACTCAGTAAACTGATATAACAGAATAAAAAAGAAAAAAATCCCCCAATGGAAAAAGTTTATAATATCTGACCCTTAGAAATTTGAATTTAAGAATGTCAATAATAATTTGAGAATTTTTAGTTACCTGTAAAACTTCCTATGGAAGCAATGAATCAACTAACTTTATCTTCTTCAAAGAAAGAAAAGTCAGGATAGTTATGTAATCCCTAAAATTACATTGATCTTCCTCTAAAAGTTATGGAAAATTTAAGTTCAGTAGCATTTTAATAATGTTCTATTTTCTTTTCTTAGCAAACTCTTTTGCAAGATTCTGATTTCTTAAACTAAATCTTTTGTTAGAACTGGCAATTTAATGCATAGTTAAACATTCCCATTCCAATAAAAGTTATAGTAAAAATAATTTGTTTTACCTTGGAAATTAAAATTTTCTAATTCTGTCTGAAGATATATACCTCTGTATATATTCAACATATTTAAATTGGTATAGTACTTTACATTTATTTCTTTTTTCATGGTTATAATTATCTTTGGTATATAGGCATTTAGGAATACAGTTAATGAGAACCATATATTATCATGAAAGTTATTTCTGATGTTCTCATGCTACTGTACTGCAAACATGTAGTTGTCTATTTGCCAAATGCTAGAAACAAAGGTCTCATATAATTATGACAGAAAAGAAAAGAATGATTTGTGTGAAAATTCACTGCATCATGAGTTCATTTTCTTTCTGCCTTTTCCCCCACCCAGAGCCGAATCCGTAGAATGTGGAATGACACGGTTCGAAAGCAGTCAGAGTCTTCCTTTATTACTGGAGACATAAACAGTTCAGCGTCACTCAACAGAGGTAATTAGAAATAATTTTTCATATTTATTACTTTTCTGATTACTTTAAGAAGTCCTTAAATTCATTGCTTTATTTGCAACTTCTGAACCTGTTCCACATGATAGAAACATTGTAAGAACATAAAACTTGGTTGAGTGTAGCAATGTGTTCCATTATTCATAAGCTACTTTAAAAAAATCCTGAATTTTCCAGAAGTCTTTTCCAAAAGGAAATTAGAAAATAAAAAACTTTTTTTCCTAGTCATCTGCTGCTGCTATAAACTGGAGAGCTGTCAGGCCTCATTGGAAGCAGTGAAAATGGGCAATTATGTGGCTGTATAGTCGGCTAAGCATCATAGAGTTCCACATTGTCTTAGATATAAAGCAATTTCATAGTCTTTGCGGAAGTAAAAGTATACTGTCTAATACATACTTAAGGCAACCTGTGTACTTGGAAAAAATCACGTCTTAATATCTAAAAGACTTATCTGGATAATATTGGATATTTAAAAATATAGGAGAAAAGATACTTTTGGGTATATTATGATTTTTGTGTATGTGCTTGTGGTTCAGTGCTCCCTGGGTGGCATTTAGATTTTTGAAATGAAGAAATGACGTTCCCTTAATCTATTGTTTTGTTTGTGGTTGACTTTTTTTCCTTGATCTTTGCATTCTCTCTCTCTCCCTTTCTCTGTCTCTCTTTCTCTTTCTCTCTCAACCTCTCTCTCTTTCTGTGTGTGTATGTGTGGGGATATGATTAGAATTCATTTTGCTGCAGTAAAAATGACTAGATGCAACATTTGTGGAGACCAAGAGGCTACTACAGTCAGCAATGGGAAATATTTAGAATATAGTTTTATCTGGGAAGGAGGCATTTGCATGAATTTAAGGTATTTTTATGATCGATATTATTATTTTGTATCCCCAAACTAGAATTATTATTTTGTTTTTACCTTATTTCTGTTAGTTTTTTGTTATATTTTATGCTACTTAGGAAGAAATAATGTAATAATTATGGCTTATGATTCAGAAAGATTCAGATGCTAGTACTCTCAATTATTTGTACTCAAGTAAGTTTCATCTTATCTATATGAAGAAGTTAGAACGGGCAGTGTCAAAATTGAATTTGATGCAGGGATCCATGTTTTAATATAATCTTAATTGAGTTTCATGTATTATTTGGGGCAACAATATAGTAACTATAAACTAGTGATGATTTAAAATTATCTACATCACTTTGTCTTGATTAGTAAGAATAGTGAGTGAGAATATTCCTCCAAATACGAAGAAAACGTATTAAAATAAAAGAGCTACCTCCTGGTATTTTGTTTCGTTATTAGTTTGTTTTTATTGGCTAGAATATATTAATTTAGACAATATCTCTCAAGTATTCTTATCTTTTTCAATTTAGTTTTAATGTTTAGTTTGTGAAAATTTCTTTTAATATGAGTATTCTAACTTTTTGACATTACTTTTAAATCATAAAGAACAAATTACTTACAAACGCCTCCATAACCTAGGATTAATTTGCTTACATATGACTGATTTTCTGTATTCTTTAAACAATTCCATATATAAGAAAATTTACTGCATGTTCCAAGAAAGAGAACTGTCCTTACCTATAGGATTTATTGATAGAACTATCTTTCATTTAATGATCCCGGAAGCCATTGAATAATTATTGATTAAACAAAGAATGAGGTAATATGATTTTAATGATGAATTGTATGTATATTAGGATAAACAAAATATGTAAAATTATTTTGTCTAATATTGTTGTCTAAATTCATGTAAAGATAGTAAGGTGTGTCAGTTCAGTAAAAACTGCTATGAATGCAAACTATTTATGGGCTTAAAGTTAATCACTATATAACGCTACTAGTTTCTTCCTTTTTAATTGCTTCTCAAGAATTTAATCAACTTTGAATATAGTGATTTGTGGATAACTGGATCAATTTGAAATATATTTAAAGGAAATAATATTAGTTTATATTGGCCGGTCATATGTTTAAGTCTGTTTATCAAAATCTCTAGTTTTAAAAGATATTTCATACAGCTGTTAAAGGAAGGGTATACAATTTCTTGTGACGTTGAATAAATTAATTTAATGATGACTTTGTGTAGAGAATTAAATTGCATTTATAATTTAAAGGGTGCCCAGGTAGTGATCATTTCATCAGGATATATATTCTTCCTTTCACTTAGTGACTTTATTTGTGCTAGAAGTCATAGTGATCTTCATTTCCTGGATTAATTTCTTAGTCCCCCTCAAGTCAGAAACTCCTAGTTTTATTCTC
Organism: Homo sapiens; assembly: GCF_000001405.40. Classification (NCBI taxonomy): domain Eukaryota; kingdom Metazoa; phylum Chordata; class Mammalia; order Primates; family Hominidae; genus Homo; species Homo sapiens. The sequence continues at coordinate 62,046,825 of NC_000004.12, forward strand.
ATCTTATTTTTTTATCTTAGATGAGTGGACTACTTGAAATTTTGTTTCTTCATATTATGTCTCTGAAGATAGTCTTTAACCTCCTTCTTTAATCTTGTCTTATTTCCCAGGGTCTTATCTTCCCTGCATTCAGGCGTGTGTATCATATTTAGGTAGGTGACATCGAAGATTCATCTTTTCAGATAAACAGTCACCTAAGCAACATAATTATTCACTTCTGTTTATTCAAAAGATTATATTCTCTATTACTAAAATAAAAATCTAGATACTACATCTTTACATCTTCATATATTCTAACTTCCAATTCATTTAGTTTTTTATAGATAGTGTTTTTTTTTAAATTCAGACTCCATTTTCCTTTCTTGGTAAGTTAGATGTATTGAATCTCTTATTTTTGTCTTTAAGATAGTTCTGACCCTTGAAAATGAGAAGCTGTTTTCCAAAAATTAGTCCTATTTTTACTTTAGGTTTTCTTCCCTGTTCATTCTACTGGTTAATTCATTAAAAGAGTATTATTTTAAAATTTTGTATGTCTTATCATCTATTCTTACAAACAAGAATCAATCATTATCATCTTTAGGATCCATTAGGAATAAAGAATACATCATGCAGTGTAGAACTACTTTTCAATGGTATTTATTTTTTTAAACCATCTCAAATATTCTGTTCTTGAATCAGCTTGTTGTATCATAAGTATGAGATTACCTTTCTAGATTTCCCAATGTGATAAATTTGATTACTATTGGGATTTTACTCCTTGGAAGCATGTGAAACCTTGGCAGATTTATTGATATAATAATTTTCAATGAGTATATTAATTCCTTTATATTCTCTTTGGAAGTTTGTTGTTTCATCACTTTATCTCTTTAAAATCTTTCATTAAAATTGTACTTCGCATATCTATAAATATGAAGGTGTTTCACAAAATGTTTTCTGTATATTTTCAAATATTTTTCTCCAGCCAACTTGTTTGGCACAATGTTACACACTTAGACAAATTCAGAATTCCTTGAGGCCAATAGGCCAGCACTACTATCAAGTTAACTTTAGCGATCCAACTATGTGCACAAGTAGAAGGAGCTTTAGAAGAGCTGTAAGGTGATGGTTGATTATAGAGAGTTTCAACAAAGATGAACTCTAGGCCAGACCCAAGTTTTTACAAACTCATAGGACTTCAGGATGGTTTATTCATTGGTTCATTTAAATATTTACTATTTTGCTGATACCTTGAAGGTGTAGTCAGCACTCAATCCTCAGTCTCCTCCCAGGGCTGTTGGAAATCTAATTCAAATCTCTAGTAACTCCAACTTTCTGGTAGTGGTGGAAAGGACTTGCAGCTAGAGTAGTCTTTGCCACCCATATCTCCTACCAATAATTTCTGCAGGTCAAATCTTATCTTGAGCTGTTTATCTATTTATTTACTTTTATTTATTTTATTATTTATTTATTTATTTTTGAGACAGAGTCTTGCTCTGTTGCCCAGGCTGGAGTTCAGTGGCATGATCTCAGCTCACTGCAACCTCCATCTCCCCAGTTCAAGCAATTCTCCTGCCTCAGCCTCCTGAGTAGCTGGGATTACAGACACACACCACCACACCCGGCTAATTTTTGTATTTTTAGTAGAGACGGGGTTTCATCATGTTGGCCAGGCTGGTCTTGAACTCCTGACCTCGTGATCCACCCGCCTTGGCCTCCCAAAGTGCTGGGATTACAGGCATGAGCCACCACGCCCGGCTATTTTTATTTTTTTGAGCCAGGGTCTCCCTCTGTCACCCTGTTTGGAGTGCAATAGCATGATCATAGCTCAGTGAAGCCTCAAACTCCTGGGCTCAAGTGATCCTCGTGCTTCAGGGTCCTGAGTAGCTAGAACTAGAGGCTCCCACACCATTTTCTTTTTTTTTAACTTTTTTTAGGGATAGGGTTTTGCCGTGTTGCCCAGGCTGGTCTTGAAGTCCTGGCCTCAAGCAGTCCGTCTGCCTCAGTCTCCCAAAGTGCTGGGATTACAGACAAGAGCCTCTGTGCCTAGCCTTGAACTATTTAGATTAACAATACCTCTAAAACTTCAGTTTGATCCAAAAATGAAATGTTTACTGAGACATTTCCTCTGACAGTGGCATGAATTGTTAAATATTTCTACTTTTTTATTAACTCTATGTAGAAATTAGGATATTTTCTGAAATTAGGCTTTATCTTATTGTAAATATTATATTTGTTAGGCTTTATGTCATCACAAATATTTTATCTATTGGCTTTATCTCATCATAAATATTATATTTTTCATTTTCTTTTTATTTAATTAGTTAGAATGAGGTTAGAGACTTCCATGTGAAAATCAAGTTTTGCTAAGTAGCTCTTACCAATATGGATCTTTGAATCACAAAAGAGTGCCCCATTCCCACCCCAGCCCTGAAGTTATTGTAAAAATATTCAATTTGAGTGGTAGAATTAGAAAAAAGGGCATTTTGTTTTCTTCTGGAACAATTGCTTGGCTAGCATCATGGGTTTTTATTTTTCCCTGATCTCCTATCCTCCATCTTGTCAACCTCCCACACAAGTTAATTTGATTTAGATTTTTATGCATAGAGATCTGACTAGTAAGGGTATATTTATTTAAGCCAAATTTAGTTGTTATATATAGGAAGACTGATCTGTAGATGTGTGGCACTTGTTTATAAATGCTGATGGATTCTCTTTTCAGAGTTCAGACCTTTATTAATCTGCAGAAGCATTCTCAGTAAATATATGTAATTGGTAAAATTGCGATTTCCTATGACAATGGATTTATTTTCATAGATTTTTAAGGGTAAATTTTGGCTCGTAGCTAGTGGCATTACTACCTACTGAAAAGTGACCCCACCTGTTAGGAGTATGGTTGATACAGAGGGGAAAGATGCTGCTATCAAATAGATATTTGCAAGTAGTTGACCTACTCATTTTAGTTTTGCATTAATAGTTCTAAGAATGGACACCTGAGTTTTAATCCAGAGACCTCTGGCAAATTGCTTAACTTCTCAGGGTCTATGCAACAGGTAAATAAATAGTTGTCACTTCAGAAGGTCCTTGAGAGGAGTAAATGAATATATTAATATGTAAATTGCTTACAGCAGGGCCTGGAACGTAATTATTATTATTGTTTTATTCAGAAGTTCACTTATACTTTCTAAAAAATGAAAACTTGCCCTTGCTAGTGCCTTCAAATAATCAGATATTAAAACCCATCATTCACTACCGAAGTTTTGTTTTCATTTTTATTTTGCAGCGGTGGGAAGAATGAAGTGGTTAACTGAATGCCAAGTAAAATAAATAATAATAGATTGTGCTACCCTGGAGGCTAACAAAAAAATAAAATAATAAAACTGAATTGTCACTTCTAAATTAGAAATTAAATGCACATTGCATCTGCTTATTTGTATTTCCCACTTTTGATTTATAACCATGTTTTAGCATCAAAGAAATAAAGGTAATATATTTCTTCTCCCTACCTTAGATAATGACATAAGCAAACACTGCCTTCACTTTTCTTCTAAGTCCTGTCCTCTCCCTTCAGAAGCTTAGAGAACACTATTCCAATTCAGACAGCTCTTCTAAATAACCAGTTATGTAGTGGAGCAGGGATGTGGCTCAGAACCGTTTTTAACAAAAGTTTTCTCAGAGCATGTATTGTCTTTCCCAGGAGGTTGGTCACTGAGGCAGAAGAAACTTCAAAATAAATCACCTGCCATTCCATTAATATTCAGGCTTCTAAACATATTTTGCTTTTATATTTTTAAAGAAAAAATGCAAATGAAAAAAATCTAAGTGATGTTTCACTGCAATTAATGATTTATATAAATTAAAGCTACTAGGGCAAAACACTCATACTCATTCACTGTAGTTTATTAATGTCAATAAATATAATTTGACTCATATGCATAAAATAGTCTGTATTGCCCCAAAGCTTTGCTGTTCTGAAGGATTATAAAATCATTGGTTGTAAATATTAACCAGCTCCTAATATAATCTGACATCTACTTATGAAATTTGCAAAAACAGTTAATAATGTTAGCTATGCAAGTTAACAAATCAGTGTAACCAAATAACAAACTATTTTTATTTTGAACAAGCATTATACTGATATGAATGCAAATATAAGTATTCAATGACATAGGTAAATTTTTATTTTGAGAATTACTGTTATATTTATGTCTAGTATGTCTATAATTTTGTTCTTTATATTCTGTGTAAATGAGGCAACAGCGTTCTGTGTGTGTGTATATATATATACACAAAGGATATATATATACAAAGAATATGTGTATATATATGTGTGTATATATATATACACAAAGAACGTGTGTGTGTGTGTATATATATATATATATATATACATACATACACAAAGGATATATATGTACATGTTATTGATAGAAACAATCAGAAAAGGAACAATAAAATAAAGAAGCCTGTGTTAGGAAAATCAGTTTAATAACACAAAGGCAAAATAGGCTCAGATTTTTTAAGTGAGATGCTGAGTCAGATAATTAAACAAGGCTGTTAATATCCAGGTTTTTAACCCAAGGAAGCCAAATAATTTTCAGAGTTAAGTCTCCATTCAAGTGGCAAAATGAAATATATGAAATATTGATGTCCATCAATCCAGGGCAAAGGTCCTTGGCTATAAATCGTTGGCAGGATCTGAAAAAGAAAAAAAAAATCTTCTTATTGCTTACTCAGCACGTCCTTCTTATGCATTGTGTTCAACTTTGTCTCTGATATGACTCATCCAAGTAATCCAGTCTCTCACAGCCAACTAAACAATAATAAACAGTTTGTATTTATTATTATTGTTAACCTAAAGCTCTCATAGATCCTTTTAAAAAGAGAGGTTTTAAAAATTGTATTTAATTTCCTCACGTTTTTTGATTTATTACGTTATTACCTCACATATTATGAGCAGTATTTCTTACCTCTATTGTGAATCAAACAAGCTTCAGTGAGCTACCTTGATAAATTCTAAATATAAGTGCTATAGAATATTTCCACTTAGCTCTAAAATATTACTATTTGTTTCATGTAAGTTGTTGAGGATGTAATTTTTAAAAATTCCTATTTTTAGAGCTAAGTGTGAAGATTCCAACTTAGGAGTTGCTGGTGTTCTTTTCTCTGATAGAACACAATATGCCTCCTTGTATTTGTTGATAAATTTGGTGTTTCTCCTTTAGTGTGTGTGTAGTCATTTGCATATTGTACTCTGTTCATTATTTATTATCCATTTTCTTTATATCCATAAAGACACTGAGTTTCTTGGTAGTCAAAGTAACTTGTCCAAGATCACATGACTATTAAAGGCAACATCTAGATGCCAAACAAGGTCTTTCAGACCACAAAGCCCTATACAGGATAACAAAAACATTCATTCTTTTCATATAATGACAATTTTTCATGAAGTTGAAGATTAGAATATAGATATAGTCATTTGAAGGAAGTATTTCAAAGTGACCTTTATTTTTATCACCTAATATGGAAAATAGATATTCTTAACAGTGAAGTTATTCACGTCTTTATTTCTAAAATTCCTTCCTGTACTATTCATTTGCTTCCATTTTATTTTGTTCTAAGCACAGTTTTTTTAGAGTGGATTCTTCCTATCCGTGTAAGGAAAAAAATGCTTGAAAAAACTGAATATATGAGGATATAGATTGGCAAGCCACATATTACTTTTACAAAACTATTTTTGATATAGAATATGTTGAATTATTATATATTATTGTCCAATTGTAGGGCTTAGATTGTAAGAAGAATTTCATTGTCATTCTTCTTTCCTGGAAGCTTTCAAAGTATTTTATTTGTAGAATATTTTTTATTTTAATTTAAAATTTTTATATTTCAGTACGAGGATGAATATTTTGGTGAGGGCAAAGATTATGTTAGAAAAACAGGTAAAGAGCTTTTCCCTATAATCTTGTAGTAATAAAAAAGATATAGCTTTTCCCAGATCTTTGTGCTCCTGAATTTGATATTTTTTGAAGCTGTGCCCATTTCTGTCAGGACAATACAGTAATGCCTGGAATAAGTAGAATATATATTTCAGTTGAAATTTCAGTGATAATATTATAAATTAAAATTTTTATTATTGTATTGCTAATTCTGGTTTTAACAAAAACTATGATATGTTTTATAATTCAAAATTTTAAAACAAATAAAACTTGAACTGTGTCTCTCATCTGGAAAAATGTTCCTGCTAATATTGTAAACATAAAGGTTGTGATGATATAGATACCATATATAATATTCAAAGTTAATTCTAACAGAGTCATCATTGGTTCAAATTATTTTTCTAAGAAATAGGCTGTATTAATTTCTGTCTGCTTTTGTGAGGTAAATGGGAGTTAATTCAATTACCTAAAAAATTAAAATGTGAAAGGAGGATATATGTTTAGCAAAGAGAAAAAGGCCTCATTGGAAAGAAAGTACTTAAATTGTAACAACCAATAATTGGGTAGTATTTGATTAAATTAGCTCCTGTTGAATTGCATACAAAGGCTAGCACTTTATATAGCTCAGCTTTATATACTACATGCCATTTAAAAGTTTAATTGTTTATGTGATAGCTTCTCCTATGATTTTTTATAATAAGCTTTCTTCATAATTTGTCATAACAAGGAATGTGGCCGCTTCAGAATGTAAGACAAGTCAGCTACCACATTCATAGAAGGTAATTTACAACCCTGGAAAATCACTGGAGAATTACGAAAGATTTGAGAGGATATATAGATAGAAGGAAGATAGTCAATCTTGATTTAGAAAAATAGAAACAATATGTTTCCTGAATCAGCCTCAGTCTAAATAGAACAGAGCTGATTATGATCATAGTATAAAATAAGCCTTCTGTAACATTATCAAAAATCTCTTTATTCACGGATACCTTATTTGAATTCATGTCTATTTTGTTCAGACACACTTTTCAAATATAGCTTCCAATTTAAAAGATCAAATTTTAGTCACGACAGACCTTCTGCATGTAAGATTATATAATTTGCACAATATTAAAAATACACCAATACTGGGCAGTGAGTTATACTAAATGTCATATTTTTTTCACTTTGGTAAATTATTTTGTCTTTATTAATAATATGTTCATTTGTTCTGCATTTTGTTTTATTTCAGCACAAATTCACAAGCAATGTGTGAGTAACAGATAAATATAGCTATAGGATTGACTACATACCATTAGCAGACTATCAAATAATCTGATTTAGAGGAAATGAATTGAGTTGCTACTGTGTGAATGACAAAGATAAATATTTTTTGCTAAGTGCCTTTGATTTACTAAAAAGAACTGTGGTTTACTGCTATTTTGCCTGTGGTTAAGGAAAATTGCCCCAGGATTTTCAGACTCAGTATTCTTTGAGTACTATGCAAAAGAATTCAAAATGTTCAAGTTAAAAGAACACAGAAATACATGGCTTTGACTACAAAAGATGAGCTTTAGAGATTAATAAATTACTAATAAGAGTCCCTCACTTCTGCAAACCAACCACTTTGCTTTGAAGCAGATTCACCAACAATTCTGAGTTTCAATCCTACCACTGTTGGCTTAAGCAGTTGGAAAACCTAAAATCTCTAAAGAGCTTTGGTTTCTAGCTAATTATATGAATAATGTCATTGAATATCTAATGACAGTAGTTTTCTCATTTGCAATATGATAGTGTTGTGTTGCATAATATGGAAAAATATTAAATATAAAACCTTAAAACTTCAAAAATTATAGTTCAGATTTTAGATTAAAGAGGGAGTTTTTAAAAACAAAATAATAATGATCACACCTATAAGAAAAAGATAGATAAGATCATTTTCTCAACATTGAAACTGTACTCATAACACATAAGCCATTGGGAGAAAGTGTAAACAACATATATAAAAAACAAAATGCTAGTGCCCATGTTGTATAAAGAATGTCTACAAATTAATAAATGAAATTCAACTGCCCAATAGAAATGTGGGCCAAAGATAAGAACAGGCAACTCACAAAAAAGAAACCCTTATAGCGAATAAACATATGAAAAATTACCTACCTTTATAGTAATAAGAAATGCAGAGTATAACAGTGATATGAAATACCATTTCATACTCTGATTGGCAAAAATGTCAGTCTGACAATGCTAAATCCTAGCAAGAATTTGAGAGAATAAGTGCACTGTTCATGGGAAAGTGAATTGTATAAACAGGTTTGACAGCATTTAGGCAATATGTTACTTCAATAAATTGAAAATGTGCACAAGATATGACCCAGCAATTTGACTTTTAAGTATTTGCTGTGGAAAAGCTCATATGTCTGGACAAGAAGACACATATGTAGCCAATTAATACAAAATAAGAGCAATTGAAGAGGTAACTTCTAGGTTTCCCAACTCTGAATCTTCGGATTTGTATGTTAAAACAGAGGCAACACCTCTGAAATCAGACTATGTCATTTTATATTGAACTAACAATAACTTAATCTGTACTTTAGAGAAAATATGTCATTGAAATCCATACTAATGGATTCCCAGTGAATGAATTAGCTATTAAAAGAAGCTGAAGTATCTCCAAACCATTTGAATGAAATTTAATAGGCAGGTTGATTAAAATTTAATAGCAAACTTGTTGGCTATTAAAAGTGCACAGTGTGATAAATCAAGATGTCAGCTCTTCAATTTATGACTTTAGAAAAAAATGATGAAAGAGTTCTTAGCGTTCAGTAAAATATTTCTTTTTTGACTCTGTAATGTCATTGTTCAAATTAAAACATTAAAATCTAAAATTATGGTTTCTGTGATTTTAAAACTTATGTAACTTTGAAAGGTGTCATGTAGATTCTATTCGTTGTTTTTTTTAATAAGTGACTTGGTATTGATTTATATAGTTATTCCTGTTTTATAAAGTAGCCCGACAAAGTTGAACTAATCATTGTTTGTACTTTCTGTAGATTGTTTATGTGTGTTGATATTGTTTTGCTACACCAAAAAGCTAAAAATAGGAAACAAAATACTTAAAATAGACAATGCCTATTGAATCTGTTCTCTGTAATTCTAGAAGCCTCTTCTTTTGTCTATTTACTTTCTTTTTTATTCATTTATTTTATATAATTTAATACAAGAATATGAAAATAAAGTAATTGAATATTATCAAAAAGTATATGGAAAGATTAATGAACTCCTACAAGGCTCCTAATAAAATTACGTTGAAACATTTTTTGAGGAAGAGGATCTTAAAAAAATTTTGAAAATCACAGATTTAAATATATTTAAATAAAACTACCAGAGGTCATGTGTGACCTTGAATAAATTATAAATACCTCAGCCTGTGATTCTTTATGTATTAAATAATGGTGGTAGATTAGATGATGTTAAAAATCTTATTCAGTTATAAATTCTGAATTATAACCTTTCTCCATAATGCAATCTTAAGGTCAATTAGGTGATATAAATATAATATATATTTGGAGTACTTCTAATTTATTTTTTTCAGTTTTCTTGTTTATATTATATTTTACTCACTAAGGAAAGAAACTTACCTCTTATTCCTTTATACCAGTTTTTTAATTCTTTGTAAAGAAAATAAAAGCCATTGGAATCTTTCATCAGAAGGCAGTGCAGACATGTGAATGTGCACAATTTAGTGTACAAACATATACCTAAATCATTTTACATGCAGTGTTAAGGATTTCCCAACTTCATAGATCTCATCTCCCTGTGAAAGATCCCTTGCTTTACACTGAAGTTGGTGTTCTAATGCCATAGAAGATACAACCATTAGAAAGACTGTTTTTACTTGTTAAAAAATGAAGTCTCCACTGTGGGCCAAAATTAAGGTCTGAAAACAAAAACAGAGAGACATCACTCAATAGTAACTCTGTTTTATGCAAAACTCTAATTTATATACGTTAATGTATATATTAGAAATGACTTCATAAGAAATGTATGTCAAGACAAAGGAGAGAGAAACATGATGGACCGGAATGAAGAACCATCAGAGTAAAACTATTTTATTAGGATAAAGCAAACAGGACATTTGCCATCTTAAATATTTATGAAATAAGAATTTGAAAATTGAGGCATATTGCTATATGACTGACTATTGATGAATGGTTGTATTCAGTTAGTTCATTACATCACCAAGGTTTTGAATTCTAAAACTTTGGCCATTCAATATGATCAAACAAGAATGTAAGTGCATTAAAAAAAATAAAGTCTGAGGGCAGAGTAGAGTGGCAATTCAAGTTATTTTAAGAACTTTTCAGTATACTTTTGTTAGCCTGCTGTCAAGAAGAAGCGTTGTTTGAATTATGTTTCTGAATGATAGATTCAAGTGAGATCCAACTGTCATCCTTTTTCAGATCTGTTTTTTACTTTACAGTTTCAAAGCACATCATTCAGCCTTAGATTTCCAGTCCTCAGTTACATATATTACACTGAACCATCCCAGACAGTGCTGTCATTCAGGGCCTCCCAATGTCAAAACACCTATTCTATTTTCATAAGAAAAGAAATATCACAGTTTTGTGTTAAAACTATACATTAGAGAAGGGTGTGACTCATTATTTCATTCAAAATTCACTCATTCACAATTTTTGTATCAGTCTAGATCTTCAGGTATAAAGTAAAAAAGAAGAGAACTTTCTTAAAATGACTATGATTTTAACTGAATCTATTTCAGTGGCTTTAGGATCTGACTTTCTTCTAAATATGTGGTAAAGAAACTTCTCCAATTTTTTCAATATGGAATACGAAAATCGGTTTTGCTTTGTATCTCACTTTCATCAGAAATAAAAATTTTGTGCTTGGCCTTTTATTGACAACCATGGTAATGATTCACATATATTGTTTTTCTTTATTATTTATTCATTTATTGAGACAGGGTCTTGCTCTGTCGCCCAGGCTGGAATGCAGTGGTGTGATCTCAACTAACTGCAACCTCTGCCTCCCAGGCTCAGGTGATCCTCCTGCCTCAGCCTCCTGAGTAGCTGGTACTACAGGCACACTCCGCCACGCCTGGCCAATTTTTTTGTATTTTAGTAGAGACAGGATTTCACCATGCTGGCCAGGCTGATATCGAGCTCCTGATCTCAAGTAATCCACCCACTTCAGCCTCCCAAAGTGCTGGGATTACAGGTGTGAGACACTATGCCATGCTTGATACACATATGTTGTAATTGAATCTTAAATAATTTTCCATGGCTTTATTAAAGGGCTAATTCTTGTTTCTGACAGCAAATAAGCAAGCATGACCAGACCGTAGCCAGGAGTTTGTGAGTTAAATAATTAAGGAGCTGTCATTTTCACATAACCACTTTATTTTTAACCCCAATTTGGGCTTTTTACTTTGAGTTATGGCAAGTAGTGAGTTGTTTTTTGTTTTGTTTTCTGTTGTTATCCGCAGTTAGTATTCAGGTAGCCTTTTGTATTTCCAAATAATATATGATTGATTGTTTATTTCTGCTTTTAAAGTTTAGATAGTAGAGTACCTGGTACAGGATTAGAAGGAAATAAATTACATTAGGAGCTGGACAATTGACACTCTTAAAAAATTTACTAAAATTATAAGACTACTCATAATGGATAAAATAACTTTGATTTAATGTTATGTTTTCAAGATGCCATCAATTTCACGTACATTTTTCATTACTTAAACAAATATTTTTTGAGTTCTAGGGATTATTTAGACACTTGGTGTAGAGCAGTGAAAACCCCTGTGTATTTCTTTTTCATGATGCCTCCCTTCCAGGAAAAATTAGCACATGAACATTCTTTTCACATATGTAATATTGTAACTATCTCGTCCTCCCTGAGCCCCCAAAATTCACCATCGTATGTATGTCTTCAAACTGACTAACCGGTAAGCCCAACTTTTCAGCTGAAAAACAGTGACAGATGGTCTGTAAACACTGAACTTCTTGGAAGTCTTCAACAATTTCGCAGCTATTAGAAGGGAAGTTTACAAATCAGAAGCTGGTTGGAAGGAAGAGGAAGAGACAGGGCAGACAGAATCCTGGAAGACAGTATTAGAATTAAAAGTGACTTAAGTCACCTGGGGAGACAGCCAAAAGCAAACAGAATAGACTTCAGCTAAGGCAAGAGAAATGCAGTGCAGCTACAGAGAAAAGACAAAAGTAACTTTGCACATAAAAGGGGGAAGAAGACAGCTTCTGTGCAAGATTTTAGTTAAAAGATCTAGGCATTGGCAGCAAGCTAGGTTTTGTTTTCAGCACAGTCAGTGCTACCATTCTACCTAGTGAATGTGGACTGTAGGAACTATGAGATAGTAGTACCTTCTAGGAAAATTGTACTTGTTTGGTAGAGCGATAGGAAGTATGTCCTCTTGAGGTCACTCCAAGTCCTGAATAGTCATGGAAAAGTATTTAATTCTTACATTAGGTGGTTCAAATGAGGGATAATTGTTTGATTACTCAGACATATCCCTTACTCTTTCATACTAACAAACCCACAGAGCTGGTCTGTGTTTTATACACTTTGCAAAACACTAATCATCAAATTCCATTTCTTTCTTTTTTGTTTCTGTTGCTGAAGACCTCATTTGAATTATAACCCTCCATTTGTAGAGTTAATTTCAGAAACAATAATTACATTGATTTCAAATGGTGCATGAGGCATGAAAGTGAGTGCTAGACAGTAAAGAAGCAAGTGATTTTTAAGTAGCGATTAGTTTCTTTTCTCAGGAAAAGGTCCTTAATAACAACGGTAAGGAGGGACATGCATTTTCCTTAAGAGTTTTATATTAATTTTTATAAGTGTTTATATGGTTTCAGTGTAACCAGCAAATAGATCTCCAATTATGACTGCATGACACTCATTATAGCTACAGATCAATAACTGATTCTGTATTGCATTGAGATGTGAAGAAGCAACCTACCAAAGCCACATGGCTGAGACTAAATATTGTTCCATGTAGCCACCATTGTGTCATACACTTAGCTATATAGTATTTCTGCCATTGTTGCTGGATTTTCCAGCTTTGCAGAAATGACGGAACAATAAAATGAACTTTAGAACTAACTGTCTTCTCAGATTAATAGTTTCACTGATCAAAGTACTTTTAAAATACATTAAAAATTAGAAAACACCTACACAAAAACTGAAAAGGAAACTTATGCCAGGATAGATATAACCACATAGATTATTTTTAAAATCTTTGATAGTTTCATTAGAATTCCAATATGAAACTCCTCTTTTTTTGAATGATTAATCCTTTTTTGTTCTTGTATTCTTGGCTTTTCAATAAACTGAATGATAAACACAGAAACCAGAAAGTTGAGTCATCTGCTTCTTCCTTGCGTTTGATTCTTCCCAGTCAACTGTTCCTTATTCAAAAGTGCATTTTTCTTTTTTCAAATTATCTTCTTTTAGATCAATATAGAAAAAAATATATATGTATTTAAGACAAAGAAATATTTTACTTTTGAAGCTATATGAAGCAAGGAAGAAGAGTGGCGTGCAATCTCCTTACCTTATTATTTGTTTTCCAATTAGTTCAAATTAGATAATGTATAGCAATGAAGGGAAATACGGAGAGATGCAGCTGTAAGCCTTAGCCATAAACATTTTGCTCTTTTTTTAATCTTTGAGGGAGTGTAAAGAATTTGGGCAATTATGTTTTTTAAGATTTTTACACTAGTTCATTTTAACTTATACCTTTCATTTTCTATTTAAATGCTTATTTAGAATGATTTTAGAAATTATTTGTATGAAAAAACTAATTTTACTTTTTTACTTGAAAAAGATCTAGAATAATAAATATAAGATGGGAAGTACAATTTACAGATAATTTGGTTTTCTAATACGCTATGCAGACTAAATCCTCTTATTAATCTTAAATTTGTAGAACATCAACAATATAAATGTTTAAGATGTACAATTTTTCATTTTTTTGTCCAAAAGGCACCATGATGAACTCTTTTTTTTCTCATAAAATACCATATATTTGATTCATTAATGGAAAATAATACCCTTATAGGCCCATTACACAATAGATTGAAAATCTGCCATTGCACTATGTAAGAACATTTAGATGTATATGTTTTATATCTTCAGAAAGCAAATATTGAACACTTAGAAAGTGAAAAATTCTGTGACAGTTCTATGCTAATTCTTTGCAGGAAATACAGGATGCAATCACATGAGTTATTTCCTGAATGAACTGGTGCCTTCCAACTCTAGAGATCTGACAAGTGATAATGTCCTTTAAATCAAGAGGTGTTCATTTTTTCAATGTTGAGGTTAAGACATTTGTTAGTTGACTGATAATTTACTCTGACAAAGAGTTATAATTTAGAAAAGATTGAAAATACTATTACCCACACTTCCCTTCTCATTTTTAACATTTTTTAGGAGTGGCATTTTTTTTGTTTCATTAATTTAATATGGATTGCTAAAGTGCTGAGATTACAAGTGTGAGCCACTGTGCCCTGCCTAGATTACTTTTCGTTTTGAGATAATTGTAGATTCACATGCTGTTGTAGGAAATAATACCGAGAAATATTGTATCACTTATCCAGTTTCCCTCATATCTTGTGAAACTATACTGCAATATCACACCAGAATATTAATATTGACACAATCCACCACTCTTGTTCAGATTTCTTTAGTTTAACCTGTAGTTAATTGTATTTGTATGTATGTGTTTAGTTCTATGCAATTTTACCCACAAAGTAAGTTCATGTTTACACCATCATAGTGAAGATACAGAGTAGATAATTTTATCACCACAAGGATGCGTCATGTTGTCCTTTCATGACAATACTCACTTACCTCCATCCTCCATCTTTCACCCCTGGCAACCACTTATCTGTTCTCCATTTCTATTATTTTGTCATTTCAAGAACATTACACGTATAAATGGAATTACACAGTATGTAAACTTTTGGGATTGACTTTTCTTATTCAGTATAATTCTCTAAAGATTTATCCAAGTTTTTATGTGTATCAGTAGTTTGTTCCTTTTGTTTGTTGACTAGTACTTCATGGTATGGGAATACTACAGATTGTTTGACCACTCACCAGTTGAAGGAAATTTGGGTTGTTTCCAGTTTGGAGCTACTACAAATAAAGTTGCAATGAGCATTCATGTACAGGTTTTTGTGTGAATGTAAATTTCCATTTCTCTGGGATAAATGTTCAATAATGCAGTTGCTGGGTGTCATAGTAATTGCACAAGTAGTTTTATAAGAAACTGCCAAACTGTTTTCCAGAGCGGCTGTGCTATTTTACATTCCTACCAATGATGTATGAATAATCATTTCTCTGCATTCTTGCCATCGTTTAATGTTTTTCACCATTTTTATTTTAGATATGTAGTAATGTCTCATTGGGGTTTTAACCTGTATTTCTCTAAGGCCAATAACAATTTGTTTCATAAGATTATTTGCCACTTGTATATCCTCTTCCATGAAATATCTGTTTATGCTTTTGAACCATTTTCTAATTGAAGAGTTTGTTGTTGCTATTAGTTTTTTTAATGTTGACTTTTGAGACTTCTTTTTGCATGCTCGATACTAGTTCTTTTTTGGATTACAAATATTTGTGAATTTGTTTTACAAATCTGTCTCTCAGCCTATAGCTTGTGTTTTCATCCTCTAATACATATATTTAAATGAACATATACCTGTCAGTTCAACATGACTATTCTCATGCAATTTGTATTTTGCTTTCCTTTGTGACTTTTTCTTTCTTTATTCATCTAACACAAATACACAATTCTGTCTATTATTTTCATAAATGTCCTAAGTATATTAATAAAACTTCTCCTCTGATCTTTGCTTCTTGGTTAAATGGCTTTGGAGGATGGAAAGTTGCAACTCATGCTGATGGTGTTAGAAACTAAGAACAAAAAGTATTAACAAAAGGGTGAAAGAATTTAACATTGTTTCATTGCTATGTCAAATTCCAAACAACCAGTTGGAAAATGGAAAACGGAAAATGGAATTATATATGTGTATATTGCTTGACATCATAAAGTTAATAATTTATTTAAAATATTTAAAAATAGCATCTATATGTTTTTTATCAGATTTGTAAGATCACCAAATTAGTATGCTTACCATGGTGTACTAATGAGTGATTATATTTTATTTTATTTCATCTTAAATGATTCCTCTTCATAGAATTTCAGAAATGTCAAATTCTGTTGTGTCAACAACTGCTCTCCAAATGAGTGTTTTATCATAAATGTTGCCTTTTATCCTTTTTTACTTTCATTGGAAACAACCCAATGGTTTCTGTGAATGAGGGAATGTTTTGTTTAATTTTTGCTTTTTTGTGTGTGTTTTAAACTTTTTTTTGGCTTTTGTTTTGTGTTTTGTGTTTTGTTTGTATGAATGATTAGATTTTGCTTTTTTTCACTTTAATTTTAATTTTTAGCAAGCATGGGAATATATTCTTGCATACACCTTGGGAAAGATAAAACCTTAAATGTAGCTTAATCAACATTGTAAATCATTTTCTTTCTTTCCCATTGACTCAGATATGTGCATTGTTGGAAATGTGTGCTCTAAGTGGCATATTTTTTTAGTCTAGTTAGCTGCCTGCCTGTAATCAGGACTGTATCAATTGTTGTCATTCTAAATGTTTCCTTTCTTTTTTTCAAACACATTTGCCTGATTGACCTTTTTTTTTTTTTCTCTGTCTTTCTATGGGGCTGCTCCAGGAGCCATGGCTAATCATCTTATAAGCAATGCTCTGCTTCGTCCGCATGGTACTAACAATCCCTATAATACATTGCTTGGGGAACCGGCGGTCTGTAACAACCCTTCTGTCAGCATGTACAACGCACAAGGTGTGCTGGAGTTTATCTTAATTTTTTCAAGTGAGAGTCCCATTTTATGTAGGTTTTATGGGCAAATTCTATTTTTCTTTCTCCTGCCTTTCTTTGTTTTGGAAGCAGACCTGCAGACTCCTTTCGCATTCCACCCCTCTTGGTGCTTTTATTTTCCACTTTCCTTAGGTTTTCCTTAGTAAAAAATGGATTCCTTCTGATAAACAAATGCCTGATTCATCAATATGTGTTTGTTTCTCCATAACGTTATAAAATGTATTGTGGTTTGTCAGTACTTGTTGTTCATTTATTTTTATATTAAATATCTATGTATTTATTTTGAGAAATAAGATATTTTCTTCAGGTAAGTAATATAAAAGAAGACTTGATTCAATAGTCTTAATATTACAAGATCAAGAAAACAAATCTTACTTTGTTATACCATAAAGTACACTCTGAGCACAAACCATTAGTACTGATGAAAGCATTTCAATCAACTCTGGGGAGAATTACATTGAACTAAGCAGTGGAGGATAAAGACAGTGTACTGGGCAGTAGCAGCTTGGGTTCCGCCTTAGTTCTGCCATTGCCAGTAAGAGCTGCCTCAGGCAGGTCATAAAATTGCTTTTTCTTCTGTGGCTATATGTTAAAAACAAGGCTTTTGAGTATGGTTCCTCTGTACATCCTCCAGCTTGAAAATGATCCAAAAATTAATTGTATCTCAGAAAAAAAAAAACCACCATAGATCTCTTTAAAACCACTTACAATGTAAGCATTCGGACATGGTTTTACCTTTCCCGAGTATAAAAATGTGTTAGGAACACAGAAAGCTTAAAATACATCATATGTAAAGAAACCACAAGAGAAAATTATTCAAATAAAAGTTTTATAAAAGTCCTAGTCAGTGATCCACTTACTTAAAATTATATTTGAAAGAAAATTCACAATTACAAAGAGACTTCCATGATTCTTTCAAGTTGAATGTGATTGGCAGTATTTAAATTTTCTGGGCAATTTTTAATAAAATTTCTACTATCCTCTGTGGAAATCTTTGGTTGTTTTTTTTTTTCTTTCTCGGTCACAGGTGAAAGATTAGTGGTGTGTATGTGTGCAACTTAGTGAGAATGTGCCATTGCAGAAAAGGATATATTTGTTAAAACAAGGCCATTGTGTGTCTAAAACCATCTGAGCTTCCCCAGGAGGCATCTTGCCAGATGCGGAGGATGATTTTACATTATTTCAGAAACACCAAAGTCAATAATCAAAAGTGACTACATGAATATAGGCAAGTCGTTTGTCAATACAATGAAATAATTCAGCTCACTTTGAATTTAAAATTTCTTAAGGGATATATGTCTTTAGAATTAGACGGCATAGAGCTCATTGAATTCTCTTTACATCATTGCTGACATTCTGTCAGCTTGTGCTTAAGTATTTCCTATAATGGGGCCCATCCCACCTCAGAATCTCATATATTCTATTGTTGAAACACTCCATTTGTTATGTATATATTTTTTTCTTCCACTAAGCTGAAATTTTTCTCTGGTCTTTAGAGCAAAGAAGAGCAAAGCATTCTTCTGTTGTCTGTGGCAATCCTTTAAATACTTGGAAACAGCTAACCTGTCTTCCTTTAGTCTTCCATTTCTGTAATGAATCAGAACCATCAATATGAGACAGTATCTGGGTCTTTCTTCTTGGTTACTCCACCTAAAGTGTCTCTTTATATCTCAATGTCCCTATTTCATTGTAGCACTCAATGAATTGTACATTACACAATTCATCAGATGTGCTTTGGCAGAACAATTAAGTAAACCCTATAAAGGCTTGTTTTATTTTGCTTTTTTCTTTGTTTTCCTTAGGACAAGTGACAGGTAATTGTGTCATTATAAACATATTAACATGTGCTGACATATTAGTAAATTTTGAATGATGTTAAATGAAGATTTTCACCCTATCTGGAAATTAAATGTATTCTACTCTATTCAGTACATAGAAGAGTCATAGGTATTTATTTTAAAACAAATAATAAATTTGGACCACATTTTGTTTAGCTTTTTTGCTAATTCAGATATAATTTCTAACTTCTAATATAATGAAAAAGTAAAACTGATTAATCTGTATGTTTTTCCTAATTCAATATCTGCCTTCTTGTCTTACTTTATTTTTACTGGTATCTTAAAGTATGAGATTTTCCCAAGGATGGAATACTTCTATAAAAACTATCAAACTGCAGTTCTCACAATGTAAGAATTTTAAATAATACTGTATTGATACAAATTTTTATTCTTGGGATCTATGACTGGTTATTGCTACTTGGATTGTCAATAAATACACAAAGGATTCTTCTGAATGTATTTGTCTTTTATTCCAGTAAATTCAATAACTTTTACTGACTTTTTTAAAAAACCAAAGTAAATAACTTTATTAATGTTTTCCAGAGTCAGAAGTTGAATTGTACACTATTTAATGTTTTGATATTTTTTAAGATGTTAAGAAACTATGGTAGTGCTTAAAATAATTCTTTTTTACCACTGACCAAAAATAAATCTTGGTGATTGTCATATTGCTACTAATCTTATGCTTTCAGATGAATGCACTTATATTCTTACTGGCAAGGTGAAATCTTACATGAAATATAGGTGGCTCGGTATGTACTGGAGTGGTTTATGTTGAATTACCACTTGGTTCTCTTCTGTGGGTCCTCTGGTTCAGTTGCACCAATGCTATCCAAGCATAGAAGCATTCTTTTTTAAAGTACCTATTCTTGGTTGTAACACCATTTATTTAAAATATGTAAAGATGTGTTTATTGTGTTACTGAGGCATACAGAATTAGGAATGAAGATGAATAATATACTTTTATTACACTGAATTTGGAGTCTATCTGGAAATATTTTAAATTTCACGCAGAGTACTTCTGGACCATTATCTTCTTGTCAGTATTAGGAATTTAATTTTTGTAAAGATAAATCACATTATACAAAAACCTGTCAACAAAACATAATTTAGAGAGGAAGTCATGATTTTACTAAAATAATTTACATTTTAAAGTAATTTAATTCAATTCTAAAGCTTTAAAGAAACATAGTCCTAGAACAGAATATAGTGAAGAATATATTATAGTTGGTAAGAATACAAGATCATTTTAGAATGTATATAAATAGATTTTCTGTGATAGTTTTCAAAGCCTAAGGCAGATGTGAAGTGAAGGAGATTGCAGCAGACAGAATTGGAAGAAGTCTGGAAGACTTTTTTCTGATCCCAGTTCTACCATATTAGCAGGGTGGTGTTAGATAAAGGCTCAGCCCCTCTGGGCTGCAGTCTCCTCTTCTCTGAAAAGTGGGAATTGAATTTCAATGATCTCTCATGTGCTTTCCAGTTCTAAAATGCTTTCATTTAAGGAATGAGCCATAATGAGCCTGCAAGCATTTACATCTCTCGATATACTGGCTTGGCCCTTCCTTTCAAATTCTTACTTTAAAGTTCTTTTGAAACTTTAAAAGAGATTTCCTCTGCATTTTGAAATGTTGTTGATCTTTCTGCTGAGAAGCAAATCAACCTTTAAAGAACCAAAACTGTCTCTTTAAACTGTCATTAAATTATAGTAAGATAGAACCCTTTGAAATGATCTGGCCCAGTGAATTTGCTGGTTTTTATTTTATGATACTTTACCCTTTTTGTAGACAAAATCAGCAAGAACAACTCTGTTAACCAGGCTAAAATAAGAGGTTTTTTTCCTTAAAAAAATAATTTTGATAGGATTGTTTTTAAAGGATCAACTCTCAAAATGTTTGATTGCATACAATTGTGCAACAATCCAGAAGAAAACCTAATATTGTTGGTTGCGTTTTTCCCCTCTCACATTTTCTGTATTCAGAATAATAAATAAATGTAACCTTTTTTTCCTCCATAGTTACACAACCTTTGAATATGAGCTCCAAAAATGACAATATTGCTCAGTTTTTATTTAAAACTGATCAAAAAATTCATATATGTATAATAGAGAAATAACTTTTGTGCAGGAAAAGAGAAGATACATAAGGCGGGAAAAAATGAACACAATTATGAAAGTCTTCAATTCTGGTTTCTCTCTGTATAAAAGCTTCAGATTTTATTTATACTTTTACTGAAAAAATTTAAAATTAAATAACATTCCTTGAAGCACGTATACTCTAACATACACACACATATGTGACATTGAAATATATTGGTGAAAATAGTCATGGTCTGCCCTCAAATTTTTACTCTCCTTGGTTTATGTGATGATCTTAAGTGTGTATTTGTTTGAAATTTACAAATGGTGGAAACGCTTATTAAAGACTCATTATATTAGCATGTGTTAAGGGGGATTTCTTATTTTCTGACTAACATTTCAGTATTTTTAATTATGGTAAATCATGTAACCCAGACTCATGAATTTTGGGGCAGTGGAAATTATTTCCTTTGACTCTTTTTTCTGCATATCATCAATTTGCTTTTTACTCATGTTTCTTCTACTGTCGCTGTAAGCTTACTTGTTGTTTTTTCTTTCCTTTTCTTCATGCTGTCGTTTAGAGCCCTACAGAGAGACAAGTATGGGAGTAAAGCTAAACATTGCATATCAAATGTAATTTTTTTTAGTTCACTTTTATTGCATCACATATAGATGATGTAGTTATTAAAAACAGTTCATCTCACAATTTAAAAACTAAAAAGCCTATGAATCGACTTATATAAATATATGTTAATAGAGATTAGACGCTTTTGTTGTCTGATTCTTTTATTGTCACATAATCAACATAGTTGTTAAGTTTCATGTAATGTTTGTGTGAGTTAAATTGTTTTTAAATTAAGCATTTATTTTTGCTAAGTAATTCATAAACTTTTAATTTTTATTAGTACATTCCATCATAAAAATGTGTCACGTGCAACATATCCACTTTATTTTACTATGGCTGTTTTCAGCCCGTACCTAATGCATTGACAAACCGAAATAATAAACACGTGTTTCAATGCATCAGCCATCCAACCATAGCCATCAAGCATATCATAGCAGCTTCTGCAAAAGCTATCACCCATCACATACAGCCCTTTAAGAAGCATTTACTTTTATTTTTTCCTAACATTGTGGATTTGTCTACAAGATATAAAATGAAAATAAATCGCTTCACCCTATGTCTGTGATGGCTGCTTATTAATACAATTTATGCATTGCTAATTTTGAAAACTGTCTTACTTGAATACACAGTATGCATCAGGAGTCCAAATAAAAATTGGCATATTTGAATCACGTAATTTAAACTAGTAATGAACTAGTTGAGTTTTGATAAATAATTGCATCACAGATATAGAATGAATGCTATATTTTCACAAGTTAGCAATATATTAAGAAGTTTAATAGAATTCTCCAATTAATATTTCTGTAAATAAGCACCCTTTCTTATTTACCAATATTGTTTAAATGTGTTTTTTCATTTTGTGGTTGCATTTGAAGTGATTTATGAAGCTATTATAGATTCTTGTTTTTCTGTTCATTCAATGGAATGCAAAAACCTTGAAGAAATATGTGGTCAGATTTATTTCACTGCAGCTGTTTCTTACCAGAATAAAATGTTTATCCTTTTGAAACCCAAACTTTAACATGCACACAAATCCATCACTCATTATATAATGGTAACATTAATACTGACACAATGTTTTTAGGCACCAGATACCTGTGTCTTTACACATTCTTTTGTAGTATTACCTAATGACCCTAAAAAAATCTCTGATGGGATGGTATATAATAACAGCCAAAATGCTTATAGCAGAAAAAAAAATTAGAAAGTAAATCCAAATACTTTTGTTTCGAAAATTCCTCGGTGTAAATTCTTTTGATGTGCCATTTATCTGACTAAACATTATTTCATGACCTCATCATTCTGAGAAATTTAACATAATCCTTTTGTGGTTTTGTATGAAGGGATTATTTTTAATCTTACAAAATTAAATATCAATTTATTAGACACTGCTTGTTGCTTTTACTTTTGACCAGTATATTCAAAGTACCACACATGAATTATGTTAATATTATACCTATTTTGATGCTAAGACAATTTGTAAAATTAAAGGTAATGGAGTATTTAACTGACTTTGATGTGTATAAATTGAAAGCTATGAATGACTACACCAAAATTTTATGTTATTTTGTCCAAGTTATAACCAAATATACTTCAAATAATGTCAGCCAATGTTTGTGTGGCAATTGCAAATTGATAATTTATAGGTTTTTAAAAATTATTTTAAAGATCTACTTTAAATATGATTTTCCCATTTATATGGTTTCAATCACTGGTCCAATTATACACATATATAGATTTAATAGTATTTTCTGTTTCCTTCCAAACATTTTATACTTAAGTAAATGCTAGCAATTTATACATATTTCATAGTCAATGAATGTTTTTGCTTCTGTGTTTGTGTGTGTGTTCTATGGCTTGTTGGATATAAATGTCATAGTATCTTGTAATCTTTTTCAGAGGGGCTTCTGAACAATGCCAGGGATACAAGTGTCATGGATACTCTACCACTGAATGGTAACCATGGCAATAGTTACAGCATTGCCAGCGGCGAATACCTGAGCAACTGTGTGCAAATCATAGACCGTGGCTATAACCATAACGAGACCGCCCTAGAGAAAAAGATTCTGAAGGAACTCACTTCCAACTATATCCCTTCTTACCTGAACAACCATGAGCGCTCCAGTGAACAGAACAGGAATCTGATGAACAAGCTGGTGAATAACCTTGGCAGTGGAAGGGAAGATGATGCCATTGTCCTGGATGATGCCACCTCGTTTAACCACGAGGAGAGTTTGGGCCTGGAACTCATTCATGAGGAATCTGATGCTCCTTTGCTGCCCCCAAGAGTATACTCCACCGAGAACCACCAGCCACACCATTATACCAGAAGGCGGATCCCCCAAGACCACAGTGAGAGCTTTTTCCCTTTGCTAACCAACGAGCACACAGAAGATCTCCAGTCACCCCATAGAGACTCTCTCTATACCAGCATGCCGACACTGGCTGGTGTGGCCGCCACAGAGAGTGTTACCACCAGCACCCAGACCGAACCCCCACCGGCCAAATGTGGTGATGCCGAAGATGTTTACTACAAAAGCATGCCAAACCTAGGCTCCAGAAACCACGTCCATCAGCTGCATACTTACTACCAGCTAGGTCGCGGCAGCAGTGATGGATTTATAGTTCCTCCAAACAAAGATGGGACCCCTCCCGAGGGAAGTTCAAAAGGACCGGCTCATTTGGTCACTAGTCTATAGAAGATGACACAGAAATTGGAACCAACAAAACTGCTAACACCTTGTTGACTGTTCTGAGTTGATATAAGCAGTGGTAATAATGTGTGTACTCCTAAATCTTTATGCTGTCCTCTAAAGACAAACACAAACTCTCAGACTTTTTTTTTTTTAATGGGATTTTTAGGTCAGCCCAGGGGAGAAAGATAACTGCTAAAATTCCCCTGTACCCCATCCTTTCTTGTCCTTTCCCCTTCAGATGGAGACTTCATTATGTTAATGAACAAGATATGAAGAAAATGGCACTCATTGTGGCCTTGTTGAATTATGTTGTGTATGTTTTAACATCTCTGATGCTGTGTTACTAAAATTACAAGGACCTGCTTTTTAAAAGGCCAGAACAATTGTCTGAAATTAGTAACAATGCTGCATCTAGATTGGAGTGCTGCACAAACAAACATAAGAGCAAAGCAAAACTGTATCACATAGGGTTTTTGGTCACTCACAACCTGAATTCACCACAGCTGGAATAGCTGTGGAAAACAAAATAAAACAACAAAATTAATAATGAAATGGAGGGGAATTCTAGAATTATATGCTAAATGCATATTTTATGATTTGCTGTATTAACTGATGATAAAACTAATGGCAGAAAAAGAAGTTGAGCAATTTCTATGTAATGTACAGATACTAGCATTGCACATATAGTCTGCTTTCTGTTCCTCCAGAATTTGAGTCCTGTTAATGTAGTAGAAAAAAAAAAAAGAAATTTTCTTTTTCTTTTGTGCTGGTCTTGCAAGTTTGTCTACCAGTAAGAGAGCAAAGTTTCCTTCCTTTCTTCTCTTTCTTCATTTTCTTTTTTTCTTTTTTGCCTTTTATTCCTTTAAAATTTCGCCTGGCAAAAAATAAATAAATGGAACTATCACTTTATAAGAATCATTTTCTAGTAATGCAAACAAATTATTTTTTACAAAAAAACAAAATAAATAAAATTAGACTTCCTTCCCTCACTATATATCTTTATGCAGTCAGAATATTTCCAACAGTGTTTTTTGCAAATTAGAGCAGGACAAACTTTTATGTTTACAGGGCACGTCTGTTGTAATGCAAAGCATATTTGGCAAGCAGTTCATCACCAGGACACTAGCTATGATTCTAGAAGTCAAAAGGTGTCTATAGAACTAGTGGGGCTTCTGCATGTGAAAAACGGTTTTCCATAGGCATTAAAGTGCTGAATGCTCAGTCTGATCAACAAGTGGGCACCTGCACTACCACTTTTTAGAGGAAATTCACTCCCTCGTAAGCATTGGAAGGTCAAATTATTTTGAAGTGATTTTTTTAAAAAAAAGTCTTCTGTTTATTAACAGGAAAATTTATTTATTTGACAGGATTTTGAGTAATGTAGGAATACAAAAGGTAAATTAGCAGCACATATAATTTTTTTTTAATTTATGATCCATTTTGTATGGTCTCAAAGTTGGATGACCTCATTACTAATATTTGTTGTAAAAGTGAAACTTGTTTGCCAACCAATAAACAACTGATTGAGATTTAGAAGATATTGTATTGATGTATGTACTATATGATTAATCAGTCTTTTTATTTTTCTCGCCTTTCTTTCTTTCTGTTTTCAATACATAAACTTTGCTAATCCTCTGTGGCCCAAATGAGCCATGCAAAAGAAATCAATCTGCCTAGATGAATAAGCTAAGCACAAAATCATACAGGTTTGCAGACAAAGTAAACCAGAAAAATGGAATGGGCATGTTTATTTTGGATGAAATCAGATGCATAACTTAATGTTGAGCAGGTTAACATATATGTTACTATTTGCTTATCTATAAACCAGCTGCAGTCACTATGCTTACCTTTAAAACCAGATTCAATCAGAGATATAAATATGAAATTTGGGGGCTGGGTGAGTCATATTTTTTCCTCCTTTGTACATTGCATTTTGATGTTAGAAATTCAAATTCCCTCAATTTGCTAAAAGCTGCAAAGAGAATATTCATTTTATAAAGATATAATAAGACTTTTATTGTGTTTTTTTCTTATTCTATATATGAGGGAAATCGGAAAAGATAAAGAAGTTCTTTCAAAGAAACTTTCTAGATCTCTCATTACTGCAGATCCTTTATAGCAGTGTCCAAGTACAGATCCCCTGTTAGGGCAAAGCTAAAAGGAACCTGCCAAATTATAATTTCTCCTGTAGTGTGTTTTATCTCGGGGTTTCCTTTTTCAAAAATCTAAACACTATCCATCTATAAATGACTATCTTAAATCAAGTTTAGAGAATGGCCAATAATCTGTATATAGTTTATAAATACATGACAAAAAAATTTCTGCTGAGCCAGAGTGCATCATAACCTTCACATCACCTCAAAATATTTTATGTCTCATTCTTTTTTAGTGAATTGGCATGAATATTTTTTAAGTCTACAGATTTTATGTTAGAGGAGAATCACAAGCGTTAATGATAATTAGGTTTTCTCACACCACACTATGGCAATATTAGCACGTCCAAGGCTTTTAACCCACCCGATACATAGAATACATTTGGCAATAAAAGAATCCTTTTTAGATGTGTTTATGGTAACTTCAGAAACACAAATGTGGTCTGTGGATTATGAGCACTTATGCTTGTTTTGTCAAACAGTAACCTACATGAAAGCAACTCTATCAGTAAGAAGCTGGTTTCACAGAAAAATGGGGAAACTACCTCAATTCAGCTTGCTGATTTTCTGACATTGCTACCTCCCTGCCCATTATTTTTGTGTTTCTATATGGAAATTTGAAGCAGGTAGCTTCTCAAGCTCTACATAGACCAAACTGAAGAAAGATCACTTGAATACACAAACTGGTGCAGAAGAACATTCAGCATATAAAGTTACTACCAAGCTCTTGCATCAAGAAAAAAGAGTGAGATTTTTGAACTCTATACATCATAAATGGCATGCTTTCAGAGAGACTTAAGATCCCAAAGATTATAACAGAGAGAAATTTCCCCTGCAAGTATTATGTAACCGTAATTAAAAAAAATGGATAAAGGAGCTAATTTTACATACATTTCAATAGAAATTTGCATATATCTAACATATTCATTTTGTCCTGTTTACACTAGCAAGGGTTGAATTCCTGAACTTGAATCTTTTTCTTCATATACATTTTCTTATAGAGCTATTGATGAATTAATTAATGATTTTTTAATTGTTCTTTTTTCTACCACCTTTTGTGACTCAATTTTTTAAGATCCTGAGACATTTATGACCTGCTTATCTGTATATTTTTATGTGTTCATCTGAATTTCCAGTAAGAAGTAAATTTCCGTCAAACAGATGTAGTATACCGCTATAATACAGCTTATTTAGCCAGCTAGAAGTAAAACTTATGCCACCGAAACAAACAAATGATTACTTTCTTGTCAAATAATATTTTTGTCACATTTTTAGACTTGGTTGTTTTTCCTCTTTGAAATCTAGTTCACATGACACTTTATCAGGGACACTAGCTAATGGACCTCATGTTTAGTTAATTCTGAAACTGATGGATTGTTGCACAGCCTCTGCTCCTAACTGATAAATATTTGCGGCAAAGTCCAAATTTTGTGAAGGAGAAATTGGTTGGAATTAAATTTTATGGGCGTCCCTTCTTGTTTCCACTATATTATAATTAAACACACTGAAGTTGAATAATAAATTACTGTGCTAAAATAATTGTAATAACAAAAATGAACTGACAGAACAATTATCTTGAAGTAACAATAATCAGGAAAATATCTAACAAAAAGCACGTAAGGGAAATATCCTTAACTTCCTGTAAAAAAAATTCACATTGACTCTAAATTAAGATGTAGTTTATCATCTGTATTTTAAAATATCCATCATAACTAAAAATGTTGACATATTAAGGAAAGGATCTTTAAGATCTAGGTTTAAGATTCTTATTAGTATTAACTTAATTGGTATGACAAAACTTTTCATAATAGATATAAGCATATAAGGGAATTAGTAACATTTATAAAGGACCCACATATTTAATTTTAGGCATTGTCTTCAGCTTCCCTGGACCCCCAACACATGTTGAAATGTTATTGACTAGCTTGCTTTTTTTAAGGAATGACATTAAAAATTTCGACTGACTTTCTACATTACTGTAAAGATCAAAAGGGAGAGGAAAAATAGTTTACAAGTTTTCTAAAGATCAACTCCAGACTAATCTATATCATCCCCTAATAATGAAAAAACAATTAGTTTTTAGAAGTTGTCTATCAGTACTGTACCGAAGTGCTACTGCTTGGATTTTTTTGTTGTGGTTTTAAAGAGATGGGGTCTTGCTCTGTCACAAAGACTGAAGGGCAGTGGCACAATCCCAGCTCACTGCAGCCTCAGACTCTTGGGCTCAAGTGATCCTGCTGTCTCAGCCTTCTGCGTAGCCATGATCACAGGTTTGAGCCACAGCACTTGGCCTGTGATGTATTGCAGAGGGAAAAAAACCAACACTACAGAAGTATAATGCATGTCAATTCAGATTTAGAGAGTGTAAAAAACAAAAACCCAAAGTCCAACTATTTAGTTTTGAGCAAATCTGAAGATATTGGCATGAATATCCTTTCTTCTCTAAGAAAATTTTTGAGATAACAATATATATGAAGTTCCCAGTACATTGTAGACCAAGGTGTTAAAATTTAATTAGTTCATTTTTAGTAATTCATAATTTTAACTTACCACATAAACAATTACTATGCATTTCTAAGTAACGTTTTCAATATAGCTTATATTAGATTTCTGCACATCATTAAATTACGAAGATGGCACAAAAGCAAAGCAGCAACATTGCACAATAGCTTATGGAAGCATTTTTGTGCGAATGGATTTTACATAAGAAGCTTTTCTGAGCTCATAAAATATATTCAATGGATCCCAACATTAAATTTAACTTTGCAATCAGCAAATATGTTCTTTATAACATCTTAAAAATATTAAACAATTAAATTTTCATTTGTAGGCTAGCAGAACTTAAATGTGTTGGTAGTTGCTTCTTTCCTGATTAGGCCATAAGAAGAAACTTTCCTATTTACTAATTAACACTGATTACACTCTCTTTGGTTTAAAAGGGAAACTTTCACCTGTACACATACACACTCTGATTCCATTTATTTACAGCCTGCAGAAGAAGTAGCTTGTTTACGATATTTAAAACTTTGTGATTTCTGCAATAAAACAGGTAGTTAATATAGTTTCGCATAATCTCATTGAAAGATATTGCTATTCCTTCTTTATTTAAAAAAAAATTTAAAAGTCAGCACTTCTTTCACATCTAGCACCTATAAGTTACTATTCAAATGTCTTGATTTCAGCTAAGTTTTGATGTTTCTTTTTCTCTTAATAGTATGTCAAAAGCATTGTTCTCATTTGATAATTTGTGTCCCGTTACAGTATTTCAAAGGTAAATGCAAACTAATTTTTAGGAAGGCTTGTGAAAGAACTTTGATTTATGTGAAGAAATCAAGAAAGACTATACATGAACAAATCTCTATTGGGATAAACAAGTCTCTTCAACCACAATATGAACAACGGAAGAGCAGAAACCAAACAAGTTAGCAAACTTATGGTAAGGTGACAGGACCTAAACTAGAGTTACAGAGAAAAGTTTTCCAGGAAAGAATAATGAAGTCATTTGTAGTGATAAAAATCTTATACACTACACCAAATGTTACAGATGTATTCCGAAAAGTAAAATGGGAGTTTCCTATATTCTGATTTCATTCTGCTAATTCCACGGGAAACATTAAATACTTTAAACACTCTTGAGATATTTCGTATCTAGCTATACCTTGTCTCAAGGAAACATCAATATTTTATAAATGTTTCTTAAATATAAGTATTTTGTCTGAATTCATCTTCACTCTCTAATCTGCTGGCT
Source organism: Homo sapiens (assembly GCF_000001405.40). NCBI lineage: Eukaryota > Metazoa > Chordata > Mammalia > Primates > Hominidae > Homo > Homo sapiens. The sequence goes on from NC_000004.12 coordinate 62,076,807, forward strand.
CTATTGAACACCAACAGAGTTAATGCTTTTAGTAGCTTTGTACCTTTTAAAGCTCTATTATGAATCTTTCTAATACATATGAAATTAATATTATATTAGAATTATGTACATTATACAAAATAATTCATAACCAAGAAATATTCATACTATAGAATAATTTATTATTATATATATGAATATTACATTGAGACTGAACAAATAACCACTCTGCTCCAAATATTACTCTCAAGTTCTCTGCCTTTAATTATTATAGTCAATTCATAAAATTCTACATACAGTTGTACATGGTGGGTTATCAAAGTACTCCATAATCCAAATGCATCTAAAAGTATTCCAAATGCGCCTTTCATTCTAGAATACTAAAGGAAAGCGTTTGAAAGAAGAGGAAAGTAAAGCAGACTTCTAACTATTTAATTTAAACATTGCCATTCAGATTGAATAATTTTTAAATGATGATGCTCCACTCTTTGATCTACAGACAAGGTTACAAAAGATTTACAATTAGTCCAAAATCAGAGGATTTTAAATCTTAAAGGAGTTAAGTTTGTCTCAATGATCCAAGACTACAAAATTTCTTGCTACATTGGCAAGGAAATATGTTTAAAGCCGAGAACTAAAATAGCTTTTTAAAATTTAAAAATTCCTCTGTTTCTTCTGAATGTAAAACAGGCAAAATGATCCTGACTTCAAAATGAAATATATTGATTGCTCTCAAAAGATGTTTGACAAAGTTAAGTCAGTATCTTCAATGCTTTAACAGTAGGTAGAGGTCTTTGGGGTTGGAACTCAGGATACAGTGACTAGGACAGAGTGCATTCTTAGGCTAATTAGTGCCTAGTCCTCTGGAGTATTTTTTAATGCCCTGAATTTCAAGTTGTCAAACTGGTTTACATATTGAATGACATTTTGAATCAATAAAAATGAGAAAAAAACATTTAAATTTGGTTTTCATGACTCATTTGAGAATAAAGATTTCCTTCATCACCCTAAGTAATAAAAGCTGATATGTCTTGAAACAACTATAGACAATCAGAATGTGTTCATTTATAAAGTATCACTGGTTTGTATATTTTAATGCTGACCTTTGCCTGTGAACTAGAAAATCAAGATTTGTAGAGTCAGGTTGATTTGCCTTCATTTAATTCCTGCAAATGCATTGGAAGTGGATGGATAACTTGGAACTTTTTCCATACTGTTTTCCCCCTCACCAAGCATTAAATCTAATTCAAAATATGTCTTTCTAAAAAACAATAGTTTATTTTTAAAACTAACAACTAATTGTGTTATTCCTTGTTGATAAGAAAGTCACTTTTTAGAAACAAGAATATAGCTATTGTGGCTTTGGTCGCTTAGGATTCTCATATATTTACACATGGCATTATTCTTTTCATATACACCTACCAGATTTCAAGCTATTGGATATTTCCCTTGTACAACCTTTACATCCTTTTTTTTTCCTTAAATGCTCTGTACAATCACATGTAAAGTCATGAGCTACAAACCTCAATAAAAATATCAGTAAACAAGAAGTGATGTAGTTACTGTTATTATATGGTATTACCAAAACTTTGATTTTGGGATAGTGTTTCAAATTTCAGGATAATAACTGAAACATGGGCTCCTAATATATTTCCTATGTCCACTACCTCACACCCTGCCACCCTCCCCTTCATGCATTGGAAATATAATGTAAAACCTTTTTAACCTTTGTTTTCAGAGAACTGCCACCACTAGAGGCATCTATAAGGCAATTTTTCTTTTCCAGAAAAATAGAAAGTTAAATTAAGAATTTACTGTTTGACCTTAAAATTTGCTATTAGTGAGATATAATCAAATCTAGTCTTATATCTACTGCCTGGTCTTATTTTTCCTCATCTCAAACTAGGGAGTAGGACAGTCAGTCATCAACGAACCTCTGGTCCAAATAAGAGTTTAGAGCTATGCATTGTGACATGTCATTCTTCTTTTGAATAAAAAGTAGTATATATATTAGTAAATATTTTGGATCACAAAGATAGATGTCATATAATCATTATTCTGTAGTGTCACGGATTCTGATTATTTAGCTTACTAACTCTGAGTGTTGGTTGAATGAGCACAAATATCAGCTGGATAAGTCGAATTCGGAAGCCACTTTTTTATAATATTGAAAATGCATTTCCATAAGAAATATTCTGCAAAGGAAATGGAAGAGAATCAGCAGCTCCTGAGTGCCTAGTGTATGCCTGGCACTTTACGTAGCCTCATTTGATCTTCCCAATAATATGACAAAATGGAACATATTACTGTGTACTCCTTTTATGGAGGAAACTGAAATTCAGATCTCACAGTCACAGAGCTACTGTATTTTGAACCAAAATCTCTCAGTCTATTTATTTATTAATCATTTTATACTGCATTAACTAAATGATTAGTTGAAAAGAAATGAAGCAAACCCTTTTCATTTAATTAAGGGGAGGAAACAGGCATTCAAGGAAATGTTGCAATAACATGGAACTAAAATTTATGTGAACCCACTTTATAAGGTATTTAATACATCTATAAATATAATATGTACATATAAAGAGAGAGAAAGAAAGAGATCAATATAGCTATTTCTACTTTATCTATCTATTGAGGGAGAAGAGAGGACTGACTTTTGAATTCTGGTTCTGTCACTTATTCTGTAAGTTTCAGCAAATTAACTTCTCTAAGAATAGGGTTTCTCATCTCCGAATATCTAAATACAGCATTTTGTCTGTAACATACATATATACATAGCGTATGAGGCACACATAAAATTCTCATCCAGAAAATTCTTAAATGGATTCTGGGTTAATACTAAGTAAATTTTGCTGGTGTCTTGTTGATTCTATTAGTCCTCTCACCCCTAATCATGGTTGGATAGTAGTAATCTGTTTCTTAATTCAAATTCTAGTTAAAGTTCCACCTTAATATGTATGGCTGGCTCATTCGATTGTTATGGCATGTATGATAATTAGAAGTTTACGTACACAATTTTTCAAAATTTAATCTTTACACAACAGTTTTAACAACTGTATTTCCAATGTGATAACATCATTTTTTAGTCTATATTCAGCAGTTTGCACCTGATAAAAAGAGATGGCACTGCACTCCAGCTTGGGCAACTAGAGCGAAACTCCGTCTCAAAAAAAAAAAAAAAAAAAAAAGATGGTTCTAAGTTTAAATACATTTGGGAGATGTGAAACAAAACACAACACAGATTTTTAAACTGTAGGATTTCAGAGACTGCACTGCAAAACTCCTAGAGGAGTATATATTGTGCTGTTTACTAAGACTGTTTGCACCTGAAATCCTCAAGGAATCTGAAGAGCAATACATTGCAAACCTGTTGATCCATGAAACACAGTTTGTGAAACACCCCTCAAAATATTCTTGTTACTATTGAGTTTTTTTTCGGAATATTTGATGTTCATGAAATACTGGAGGTGTGACTCCTCCAATACAGGTATTAATTGGCTTTATAACTCATGATAAAATAATATTTTTAAAGTATCCCCACTAAATTTATGCTCCTAATCTTTAGGTGGAGAAAGAAAAATTGAGACGAAGACTGCCCTAAGAATTCTGCCATAACCGTAGAATCTCTATATTTTAATATAGCTTCCTATCTTCTAATATCAAGTATCTATCTGGCTGCAGCAACTGGAGGGAAAAGGAGACCACCTGCAAATATCTGCAAATACCTGCAGAGATACCCGCAAATCAATGAAATGAAAATCTTGTTAAAATGCAAATTTGGGTTTTTGTCAGTCTTTGGGAGTGTGGGGTCTGAAGTTGTGCATTTGAAGCAAGTGCTCAGTGATGCCTCTGTGGCTCTTCCAGCTAGTATCAGGCCACTTGGGCTTTCTCCATGTCTTCCATATGCCTGTGATCAGGTTTATTATTCCCTCTAAGTGGTTATTTTTAGGTACTAGGGAATATATTACAGGAAAGGAGACAGACATGTCTAGATGTTGCTCAATTTTACCAAAAGATATATATGTTTTGATTTTTGGAAATAAATACAGCATATTCTCAAAGCTGGTAATGGTTACACCAGTACTGAAGCTAAAGCCACGGCTCTTTTAGTCCAGCGTGTTAGGTGAAAAATGTCATGGGAAAACGATACACACACACACACACACATACATATGTGTGTATGTATATATGTGTATATATGTGTGTGTCTGTGTGTCTTATGTGTTTATGCGTATGTCTGTGTGTAACTGCATATATATAATTGCATATATATGTAAAATATACACATATACATGAAGTAATTGCTTATTATGAAAAAAGATTTTACCTAAGTGTTATTTTCCTCATAAACACTTATCTAAGACACGGTGGAAATAGCTATTAGAGATAACTAACGTTTTTAGCATGTGAAACAATCTGACTGTTGAAACTGGAGATACTTGCTGATCTTTGTGTAAAGTGTAGAATAATCACATAGGTACATATGACAAAAAGTGAAAAATTAAAGAATGTCCAGGAAGCAATAACATTTTGAGTTTTATAAATACTTTAAAAAAATCAGTTATAATTTTTGTTTCATTATAATACTAAAAAGTTTATTGCTAGAAAATAATCTTCTTTGATTAAAATATCTCATAAGATAAAAGTGAACTTGTCTTCTCTATTTACCTCTGAGACACTTTATTCAGGATTTACTGCCATTAACGGGAGTAGAAAATATAAATGTTTTATCCAAAAGTTTCAAGGATGTTAACTGCTCTGAAGATTTTATGTATACATTGAAATAAAAGATCCTGTCCAGATCGGTGATTGTGTGTTAAGTGTATTAATGTCAAAACACATCATTGTATTAAACAAAAATGTGTAATTATGAATTAGATAACTCTTATAATGAACATGGTCTTTCAGATAATCAAAATTATTTGAAAGCAAGACTCATACTGAATTTCCAAGATATTAATTCTCTTAATGTTTCCAATTGGGAAAAAAATTTCACTAAAATATTTTATTTTGATTTTGATATTCATGCTTTGCTTACCATAAGATGTAAAGAATTTGTATTTGATATTTAGTACACAGCCTTAATTCCACCAATCAAGCCCATATTCCAGAAATTAACAATGAATTTTATATATTGGGAAGAAAAGATAAGGTATACTCAAATATAATTCCCCTTGTCTTACCCTTTATGCCTCTTAAAGCTGGTAATTTCTCACATCTTAGAAAGTCTTTAGCACATTGTTAATTCTATCATTCCATTGTAACTGAAGAAAACAGAATTCCATTAATTTCCATTAATGCAGAATAACACAGTAAGAAGAAATAGACAAACTGGAAAAATGCATAAAAACTTTTTTTTTATACTTTCAACTTTTATTTTAGATTCAGGGGGTTACATATGCAGACTTGTTACATGGGCAGACTTTGTGATGCTGAGGTTTGGGGTAAGAATGGTCCCATGACCCAGGTAATGAGCAGAGTACCCAATAGGTAGTTCTTCAGCCCTAACTTAGTCTTTAGATCAAATTTTCATTTAACAAATTTTCATGATTTATTAGGCTTTGTCTCTATAATCTAAAATTATTTAATTAATAGAATTTTTTTGCAGTTGTAACCTATGTGTACGTAGATTGCCTAAAAGATTAAAAATAAATAATGATACTATTTGGTTTTTAAAATTGGAATAATATCCAAGAAGACAGAGTCGAGACTAATTACTGACCCTATGAAGAATACAATAATTCAGTGTTACATTTTAGTCACTTATTTTGAAAAGACCTTGATTAAACTTATCTTGCTATTTTCAAATATTATGAAGGTCAATAGAGTAGTTAGTTTTGTATTTTCCCAGCCTTCCCTGCATTAGAATCACTAGAGCACATTAAAAAAAAAAAAAAAAAAAAAAAAAAAGGCCAGGCCTCACACCACACTAATTAAATCAAAATATCTGGGGGTGGTTCTCAGGTGTAAGTAAATTCTAATGTGATTAGATTTTACCAATGATTCGATGTGCAGTTGGGGCTGAGAATCACAGAGTTAATTGCTTAATACATATTGGGTATTTGCATTAATCATGTTTAAATATTCTTAAAACATTTAAAAACAACATTTTAAATATTTCTTACTTTTTAAAGCAAGAAAGAAAGATGAATAAGGAAATTCAAAATAGAAAATTTCTTGTCCCCAGAAGAATGCAGCTAATTGCCTAAATATGATTTATGGATAGTATATTATTCAAGTACAAATCAACTGGCTTATTAAATCATCTTTTTCATGATTTAATTCACAGAATAAATATTCTTATTAAAAATATCTGTGTTTCTATCATCATTTGGGGGGATTATGAATATTATCACGGTAGAAAGAGGTCAGTTATTAATTTTAAATCAGGCAGAATCACAGACACATATCAGGAACTATTTACATGGAACAAAAGCATCTTCAAGTTTTTCTGGAAAATTTAACAATCATTAGACCGTATGTCTACATGGCATTTAGCACAGTGTGACAACTATCAAAAACCTACTCTTTGTAAAACTGAGTTGATTATAATTCCATAGAATAAAGCTATAAGCTGAAGGATTGTCATTTTTTATTCATAATAAACAATAATTATTGTTTCTTCAATATGACTTTAACTGTTGTATTTAGCTTTTGTGGGCCACCCAATTCACATTCTCCTTTTTAAGTTTTAGTAAATAATTGATAGTGATTTCTAAAAGGTTCTCTAGACAGGAATAGTATGGAGGACTGCATGGAAGATAAGAACAATTCATTAGATAGAAAAATCACCTCTGTTTCATTCTCACACCCACCAGTATTCTCCCTCAATTTTTGGAATAACACATAGAATTATACATCTAAATTGCCTAAACCAAATAACACATAACTTTGGTGGATAATGTGATGGGATGGCAAATCATTTTTGACTCTAGTGACAACCCCTGATCAACTGGTAATGTCTGTTTGGAGCACTGTCCTCAAACGTTTTCTACAGTATTATTAGTAAGAAAGACATAAATAATGCCTTAATGGATTTTTTATGTTTGCTATGACAGGGAAAAGAACCACAGGTGAAAATGATCAACTCATGTGCAATTTACATGACATCTCTGATATACAAGTTGTTAACACAAATAACTGACACACATATTTTAGAAGAGTTTGGAGCCCTATTCTTTTTTTGATGATAGCTACTTTGGTTATGTAATGATAGATAATATTTTCTAAAGAGAGCAGAAAAATTATTTATATCATGTATTCTGCTTGTTCCAGATGCTTAATTTATATTACTTACATAAAGTGAAGTTTAGAATGATTTTCTTTTCCATTACTTTTCACAGAGGTAAATACTTGAGCTTTCTTCTTTATCCAATCATCACTTGCATCTGGCCGCATCCCTAACCAGTCTCCCTTAAGATTTGGACTAAGGTGTATTCAATCTCATTGCAATACAGCATCTGTTTTCTCTTTTCCTACCTATCAATTTTACTCTCGTCTTCATTTTATGTTTAATCTTAGCCTTCGTCTTTTTCTCTTTTTGTTTCTATGTTGCATAAAAGTCATTTATATTTTATCTAATGTTTCTTTGTTCCATAAATCAGCAGCGCCTTGTCTCACTTGGTCTAGAGATTTACTTATCAACTAGCTCTTTCCTGTCTCCCTTCTGTCTCTCAGTAGTCCCAGCCCCAGTTTGCTTCAGCCCTCAGCTGGATTTTATTCTAGCCATTTTCGTTCATCTCTCTGGGCTTCTCCACCTATCACTCTAAGCTATTTGTCTTTTCTGTGCATAATGTAAATTCACAGAGCTGAAGACCTGAAACAACTCTTGAAACCATTTAATCCAATTCCTTTATAGACGGTAAACTGAGAACTACAGAGGACATCTGATGTTTCAAGACCATACCTTATTCATGGTGGAGCTAATTATTGATCAGGGTTTCCTAATCAGCACATTTTCCTATGTTATTTTTTTCTATTTACCTTGCTAAACCCTCCTACCATGATGTATCTGTTTCATATGTGGTCTAGTTTCTCCTTTCTTACTAGGTATTTTTCAGGAGACTTTGGTTTTAAATAATAGAGCCATAATTCACATTTACTTAAAGTAAACAAATAAAGAACCAATGCTTTAATAGAATTAAAAGTACTTTTAATGGAATTAGTGGAATTTATTGATTCACCTCATCAGGGATGATTTTGGCTGGTGCCAGAGCTGGTTGGGAACCAGGACAATAAACACACTACAGACTTTTTCTGTGTCTTATTTCTGTTTCTCCCTATGTAATAACTTGATTTTTTTTTCTACTGAAAGGCACAATTTTATGGTGGCTGAGTGTCCAGACTTTGAGTTTAGACTGCCTGAGTTAAAAGCCTGCTTCCTCCATTTTCTAGTTTTGTGATTTTGAGCAAATTCCTGTCTGCCTCCAGCTCCCTACTCTGTAAAATTGGGAAAATAATAAAATCTACTACAAAGGTCTGCTGGGTAATAGAGTTAAAAGCATGAGTTACTAAAGTGTTTAGAATAGTGCCTGACACATAATAAATACTTAAGGATTGTAACCTATCATTGTTGCAGCAGGACAGCCTCTTTTCATAGACAGAGGCATGTTTGAAAGCAGCTTGGAATTTCAATCAAATGGCTCCATGAGACTATGAAAGGTCTCTTCCCTGAAACTGGTTAGAAAGCTGCCAGGAAGGATTCAGATTCACCATGCGTGATTCTTTCACCTTTCCCTGGACAAGTTTTGCCCAAAGGATTGGGTACCATGATTGGTCAACCCTAGGCTACTGAGGATATCTTTGACTAGAACAGCAAAGTCTTACTAGAAGCTGGTATGAGGGGGAAGCTGACCAGATACACTGGTATTGGCATCAGTTCTTACAATACTGTAGCTTGCCAAGTCTATGTGAGACATGAACTTTATGAACTTCATTATTTCATATCTAAATCGTGCTTCATATCTGACTGAGTTCACTGTTTATCTTTACTCAATTCCATTTCCATTTCATCAGTGTAATGCTAATAAAAAGCAAAAGTTAAAGTCACAATTCAATCAATGTTCCAAAGCTGCACATTTCTATTGGTTGCGATTAATTTCTGTGCTATCCTTAATAGGTCTTGATTGTAAACATTAGGAAATCAGAAAAAGTTTAGTTCTTCTATTTACTCTTCTCATTTTCATAACAAAGCATTGAATTTCACTCTGTAAATTTGAAATTTTCAAATACAGAAATACTACTTTTTCTAAACACTTATATGTCCTTGAAAAGATAATTAAATTTGTTTTGATGAAAACTCTTTCTCAAAATAGGATAGAAATAAAAATGCTATTAGGTTTAATCCGGGATTAGCAAGACATATCCAGAAAGGCTTTTACTCTCACCAAGTCCGAAGGCTTATAGCTGAGGGATACACACCACCACAATATACACATCTAAATAAAAGAACTGTTACACTCAAAAGGATTCTTCTTTCAGTTTGAAACAATCTTTCAGATAAAACTGGGGGAACTTTCCCCAAGGCGTACTTTGCGCCTAAGCATCTTATTTGAATATGGACTACTGATCTTATCACACAACACACACACACACACACACACACACACACACACAAACACAAACACACTAGGCTATCGGAAAAGAAAGAAGTGAAAAAAAAATATTTTTATATATATATTCACAACAGGGATGAGAAGGGAAGATTGTTCTCTGTGGAGCAGAGTCACCAACAGCAGCAAAGAAGGATAAATGTGACAGTCTGAAAGACAAAAAGAAGGCCCTCACCAGATTATAGTCTCCTTGACCTAGGACTTCCCAGCCTCCAGAACTGTGGGACAACAGGCCCAGGGAAATGGAGGACCTGGCTTACCCACACAGCAGAATCAGAACTAAGACCCAACTATCTTATCTCTTAACTCAGAGTAACTTCTACTAGACCACAATATTTGGACACGCAGTGTGCTTTGAAGTAGGAGAAGATAAATCTAGGACCAAACATGTTTTGGGGTTTATTTTCCATCATCTCAGTGACTTCCAGTCTCCAGCTTCTGAGTCTTTTTGCCCGAGGGCTTCAGACTCATGTCTGGGGTAAGCCAAAAGCACTGGGGGTTCATTCCCCAGGAGCAACACTTAAGCAGTGTAGGATGAGTGCTGTGTATGTGTGTGTATATATACACACAATTCTAGCAGACAAAAAGGAATCATAGAATTTTTTCTTTTCCAATTTCACAGAGACTCTAAGAGGAGTATGTATGCAATATACACTGGGGGATGCACATTCTTTGAGTCAAGGAGAAGATACAATTCCTTGTATAATGCCATAGGATTTCCAACTACCAAAAGAATGCAGAAGTTAAGAGCAATTACAATTCTGCCTCTTCTGCTCAATGATCCATCTGTATATAGAGTTGTGTTTGATTTGTTGGGATTCTCAGTTTTATTCTAAGTTGTCTGAGGTTTAATAAGTAAACAAAAAGAAGAAGTGCTGCTAAAATTTGATTTTTCTCTTGAAGCATTTCCAGAAATATTAAAACCTAGACAAAAATAAAAACCTATTGAGTGGTCTCATTAAAAAAATAGTTTGAAATGTTCCAAATCTGAGATGAGTGACTTGGATATATATCAGAAGAATTACTTGTTATTTCCAGTAGATTTAATTTAAAACAAGTTACAGAGGAGACTATCATAAGAAAATGATACGAATCTTTAATTAGAACAATTAAAACCTAATTGTGATTTAATTACAGATAAGATTAAATTTTATCAAGTTAAAAAAGGTTCAAGTGAATGCTTGATTGAAGATTTGCTAGATTTAAAAGTCTGGATTTATTTTGGAATTGTGGAATTTAATTATAAAAAAAGAACTCTATCCTTATTTATGTATATAGGTTTCACATTAAAGCAGTTGCATAATTTTGGTAAACTATAGTTTGGTAGCTGACATTTTTCATTTCCTGTTATCTCAGATAAATAACAACACAGAAAATCAACATATACTTTAAATTTTCTCAGAGGAGTATCAGCTTCAAGATCAAACCACAATACTGAGGATTAAATCACACTTGGGGCTTATGTAGTCACATGCCCAAAGTGTTTGAAAATGCTTTCAAGTGAAGGGAGTGCTTAAAAGGATTATAACTCTCAAGACTATTGTAACTAAGCATATTGTGCTACAAATAAATCCTGATGTGACTGTTACAGAAAAACAGGTGCTGTAAAGACCATCCTTTAGAGAGAAAATAGAAACTGTCTATGCATATAATAAAATTTATTTGACTAAATGAGCTAAAGCTCTGGTGTCCCCAGAGTATTAGAATGCTATTCAGCAATTATGTCCCTACTGAGATTTAATTATCCCATTAGATATTTATTTACTACTACATATTAAGTTAGAGTACACCATTAGAGTCGGTGGAATAATAAATACATAACTGCTGCTAGATAGAAACAGCTTAGCCAAAAAATTATTTCCAGTTACTTTGCAAATATTTAACACTATGCCCAGAACTATGCCTTGCCCATAGAAAGCATCTAATAAACATTTTTAAATTTTTTTAAATTGTATTTTAAGTTCTGGGATACATGTGCAGAACGTGCAGGTTTGTTACATAGGTATACACGTGCCATGGTGGTTTGCTGCACCCATCAACCCGTCATCTACATTAGATATTTCTCCTAATGTTATCCCTCCCATAGCCTCCCACCCCTTGACAGGCCCCAGTGTGTGATGTTCCCCTCCCAGTGTCCATATGTTCTCATTGTTCAACTCCCACTTATAAGTGAGAACATGCAGTGTTTGGTTTTCTGTTCCTGTGTTAGTTTGCTGAGAATGATGGTTTCCAGCTTCATCCATGTGCCTGCAAAGGACATGAACTCATCCTTTTTTATGGCTGCATAGTGTTCCGTGGTGTATATGTGCCACATTTTCTTTATCCAGTCTATTATTGATGGGCATTTGGGTTGAATCCAAGTGTTTGCTATTGTGAATAGTGCTACGAAAAACATATGTGTGTATGTGTCTCTGTAGAATGATTTATAATCCTTTGGGTATATACCCAGTAATGGGATTGCTGGGTCAAATGGTATTTTTGGTTCTAGATCCTTGAGGAATTGCCACACTATCTTCCACAACGGTGGAACTAATTTACACTCCCACCAACAGTGTAAAAGCATTCCTATTTCTCCACATCCTCTCCAGCATCTGTTGTTTCCTGACTTTTTAATGATCGCCATTCTAACTGGTGTGAGATGGTATCTCATTGTGGTTTTGATTTGCATTTCTCTAATGACCAGTGATGATGAGCTTTCTTTCATATGTTTATTGGCTGCATAAATGTCTTATTTTTGAGAAGTGTCTGTTCATATCCTTCACCCACTTGTTAATGGGGTTGTTTTTTTTCTTATAAATTTGTTTAAGTTCTTTGTAGATTCTGGATATTAGCCCTTTGTCAGATGGATAGATTGCAAAAATTTTCTCCCATTCTGCAGGTTGCTGATTCACTCTGGTGATAGTTTCTTTTGCTGTGCAGAAGCTCTTTAGTTTAATTAGATCCCATTTGTCAATTTTGGATTTTGTTGCCATTGCTTTTGGTGTTTTAGTCATGAAGTCCTTGCCCATGCCTATGTTCTGAATGGTATTGCCTAGGTTGTCTTCTGGGGTTTTCATGGTTTTAGGTCTTCTGTTTAAGTCTTTAATACATCTTCAGTTAATTTTTGTGTAAGGTGTAAGGAAGGGGCCCAGTTTCAGTTTTCTGCACATGGCTAGCCAGTTTTTCCAGCACCATTTATTAAATAGGGAATCCTTTCCCCATTGCTTGTTTTTGTCAGGTTTATCAAAGATCAGATGGTTGTAGTTGTGTGGTGTTATTTCTGAGGCCTCTGTCCTGTTCCATTGGTCTATATATCTGTTTTGGTACCAGTACCATGCTGTTTTGGTTACTGTAGCCTTCTAGTATAGTTTGAAGTCAGGTAGCATGATGCCTCCAGCTTTGTTCTTTTTGCTTAGTATTGTCTTGGCTATATGGGCTCTTTTTTGATTCCATATGAAATTTAAAGTAGTTTTTTTCTAATTCTGTGAAGAAAGTCAATGGTAGTTTATTGGGGATAGCATTGAATCTATAAATTACTTTGGGCAGTATAGCCAATTTCACAATATTGATTCTTCCTATACATGAGCATGGAATGTTTTCATGTTTGTGTCCTCTCTTATTTCCTTGAGCAGTGGTTTGTAGTTCTCCTTGAAGAGGTCCTTTGCATCCCTTGTAAGTTGGATTCCTAGGTATATTTTTCTCTTTGTAGCAATTGTGAATGGGAGTTCACTCATGATTTGGCTCTCTATTATTGGTGCATAAGAATGCTTGTGATTTTTGTACATTGATTTTGTATCCTAATACTTTGCTGAAGTTGCTTATCAGCTTAAGGAGATTTTGGGCTGAGATGATGGGGTTTTCTAAAAGTACAATCATGTCATCTGCAATTTGACTTCCTCTCTTCCTATTTGAATACCTTTTATTTCTTTCTCTTGCCTGATTGCCCTGGTCAGGACTTCCAATACTATGTTGAATAGGAGTGGTGAAAGGGGGCATCCTTGTCTAATGCCAATTTTCAAAGGGAATGCTTTCAGATTTGCCCATTCAGTATGATATTGACTGTGGTTTTGTCATAAATAGCTCTTATTATTTTGAGATATGTTCCATCAATACCTAGTTTATTGAAAGTTTTTAGCATGAAGGAGTGTTGAATTTTATCGAAGGCCTTTTCTGCATCTATTGAGATAATCATGCGGCTTTCATCATCGCTTCTGTTTATGTGATGGATTATGTTTATTGATTTGCATATGTTGAACCATCCTTGCATCCCAGAGATGAAGCCAACTTGATTGTGGTAGATAAGCTTTTTGATGTGCTGCTGGATTTGGTTTGCCAGTATTTTATTGAGGATTTTTGCATCGATGTTCATCAGAGATATTGGCCTGAAATTTGCTTTTTTTTGTGCGTCTCTGACAAGTTTTGGTATCAGGAAGATGCTGGCCTCATAAAATGAGTTAGGGAGGAGTCTTTCTTTTTTTATTGTTTGGAATAGTTTCAAAGCTCCTCTTTGTACCTCTGGTAGAATTTGGCTGTGAATCCATCTGGTCCTAGGCTTTTTGTTTTTGGTTGGTAGGCTATTAATTACTGCCTCAATTTCAGAACTTCTTAATGGTCTATTCTGGGATCTGACTTCTTCATGGTTTAGTCTTGGGAAGGTGTATGTGTCCAAGAATTTAACCATTTCTTCTAGATTTTCTAGTATATTTGCATAGAGTTGTTTATAGTATTCTCTGATGGTAGTTTGTATTTCTGTGGGATCAGTGGTGATATCCCCTTTATCCTTTTTTATTGTATCTATTTGATTCTTCTCTCTTTTCTTCTTTATTAATCTGGCTAGCGGTCTATCTATTTTGTTAATCTTTTCAAAAAAACAGTTCCTGGATTCATTGATTTTTTGAAGAGTTTTTCATGTCTCTATCTCCTTCAGTTCTGCTGTGATCTTAGTTATTTCTTGTCTTCCACTCGCTTTTGAATTTGTTTGGTCTTGCTTCTCTAGCTCTTTTAATTGTGATGATAGGGTATCAATTTCATATCTTTCCTGCTTTCTCTTGTGGGCATTATCTTTCCTGCTTTCTCTTGTGGGCATTTAGTGCTATAAATTTCCCTCTAAACACTGCTTCAGCTGTGTGCCACAGATTCTTGTACATTGTGTCTTTGTTCTCATTGGTTTCAAAGAACATCTTTATTTTTGCCTTAATTTTGTTATTTACCCAGTAGTCATTCAGGAGCTGGTTGTTCGGTTTCCATGTAATTGTGCAATTTTGAGTGGGTTTCTTAATCTTGAGTTCTAATTTGATTGCACTGTCATCTGAGACTGTTATGATTTCTGTTAATTTGCATTTGCTGAGGAGTGTTTGACTTCCAATTATGTGGTCAATTTTAGAATAAGTGTGAAGTGGTGCTGAGAAGAATGTATATTCTTTTGATTTGGGGTGGAGAGTTCTGTAGATGTCTATTAGGTCCACTTGGTCCAGATCTGACTTCAAGTCCTAAATATTCTTGTTAAGTTTATGTTTCATTGATCTGTCTAGTGTTGAGAGTGGGGTGCTAAAGTCTCCCACTATTATTGTGTGTGGGAGTCTAAGTCTCTTTGTAGGTCTCTAAGAACTTGCTTTATGAATCTGGGTGATCTTGTATTGGGTGCATATATATTTAGGAGAGTTAACTCTTCGTGTTGCATTGATCCCTTTACCATTACATAATGTCCTTCTTTGTCTTTTTTGATCTTTGTTGGTTTAAAGTCTATTTTATCAGAGACTAGGACTGGAATCCTTGCTGTTTTTTTGCTTTCCATTTGCTTGGTAAATACTCCTCCATCCCTTTATTTTGAGCCTATGTGTGTCTTTGCACATGTTATGGGTCTCCTGAATACAGCACGCCAATGGGTCTTGGCTCTTTATCCAATTTGCTAGTCTGTGTCTTTTAATTGGGGCATTTAGCTCATTTACATTTTTGGTTAATATTGTTATGGTTTTGGTTAATATTTGATCCTGTCATTATGAAGATAGCTGGCTATTTGGCCTGTTAGTTGATGCAGTTTCTTCATAGTGTTGATGGTCTTTACAATTTGGGATGTTTTTGCAGTGGCTGGTACCAGTTTTTCCTTTTCATATTTAGTGCTTCCTTCAGGAGCTCTCTTGTAAGGCAGGCCTAGTGGTCACAAAATCTCTCAGCATTTGCTTGTCTGTAAAGGATTTTATTTCTCTTTTGCTTATGAAGGTTAGTTTGGCTGGATATGAAATTCTAGGTTGAAAATTCTTTTCTTTAAGAATGTTGAATATTGGCCTCCACTCTCTTCTGCTTGTAAAGTTTCTGCAGAGAGATCTGTTGTTAGTCTGATGGGCTTCCTTTTGTGGTTAATCCGACCTTTCTCTCTGGCTGCCCTTAACATTTTTTTGTTCATTTCAACATTGGTGAATCTGAGGATTCTGTTTCCTGGGGTTGCTCTTCTCGAGGAGTATCTTTGTGGCATTCTCTGTATTTCCTGAATTTGAATGTTGGCCTGCCTTGCTAGGTTGGGGAAGTTTTCCTGGATCATATACTGAAGAGTGTTTTCCAACTTGTTTCTATTCTCCCTGTCACTTTCAGGTACGCCAGTCAAATGTAGATTTGGTCTTTTCACATAGCCCCATATTTCTTGGAGGCTTTGTTCATTCCTTTTCATTCTTTTTTTCTCTAATCTTGTCTTCATGATTTATTTTATTAAGTTGGTTTTCAATCTCTGATATCCTTTATTTTGCTTGATCGATTCTGCTATTGATACTTGTGTATGCTTCATGAAGTTCTCATGCTGTGTTTTTCAGCTCCATCAGGTCATTTATGTTCTTCTCTAAACTGGTTATTATAGTTAGCAATTCCTTTTACCTTTTTTCAAGGTTCTTAGCTTCCTTGCATTGGGTTAGAACATGCTCCTTTAGCTCGGAGGAGTTTGTTATTACCCACCTTATGAAGCCTACTTCTGTAAATTTGTCAAATTCATTCTCTTCCAGTTTTGTTCCCTTGCTGTTGAGGAGTTATGGTCCTTTGGAGGAGAAGAAGCGTTCTGGTTTTTGGAATTTTCAGTCTTTCTGCACAGGTTTTTCCTCATTTTCATGGATTTATCTACCTTTGGTCTTTGATGTTGGTGATCTTCAGATGGGGTTTCTGTGTAGATGTCTGTTTTGTTGGTGTTGAGACTATTCTTTTCTGTTTGTTAGTTTTCCTTCTAACAGTCAGGCCCCTCTGCTGCAGGTCTGCTGGAGTTTGCTGGAGGTCCACTCCAGATCCTGTTTGCCTGGGTATCACCAGCAGAGGCTGCAGAACGACCATGATTGCTGCCTGTTCCTTCCTCTGGAAGATTTGTCCCAGTCGGGCACCTGCCAGATGAAAGCCAGAGCTCTCCTGTATGAGGTGTCTGTCAACCCCTGCTGGGAGGTGTCTTCCAGTTGGGAGGCATAGGGGTCAGGGACCACCATGAGGGAGGAGGCAGTCTGTCCCTTAGCAGAGCTTGGGCACTGTGCCTGGAGATCCACTGCTCTTTTCAGAGCCAGCAGGCAGGGACATTTAAGTCTGCAGACGCTGCACCCACAGCCGCCCCTTCCCCCAGGTGCTCTGTCCCAGGAAGATGGAGTTTTATCTATAAGCCCCTGACTGAGGCTGCTTCCTTTCTTTCAGAGATGCCCTGCCCAGGGAGGAAGAATCTAGAAAGGCAGTCTGGCTACAGCAGCTTTGCCAAGCTGCAGTGGGCTCTGCCCACTTCGAACATCCTGGCGGCTTTGTTTACACTGTGAGGGGAAAACCACCTACTCAGGCCTCAGTAATGGCAGACGTCCCTCCCCCAACCAAACTCCAGTATTCCAGGTCGACTTCAGACTCCTGTGCTGACAGCGACAATTTCAATGCAGTGGATCTTAGCTTGCTGGGATCTGTCGGCGTGGGATCCGCTGAGCTAGACCACTTTGGCTCCCTGGCTTCAGCACCCTTTCCAAAGGAATAAAGGGTTCTGTCTTGCTTCCAGGTGCCAGTGGGGTATGAAAAAAAACTCCTTCATCTAGCTCTGTGTCTGCCCAAACGGCCACCCAGTTTTGTGCTTGAAACCCAGGGCCCTGGTGGTGTAGGCACCGGAGGGAATCTCCTGGTCTGCGGGTTGCGAACACCATGAGAAAAGCCTAGTATCTGGGCCAGAATGCACCATTCCTCACGGCACAGTCTTCATGGCTTTCTCTGGCTAGGGGAGGGAATTCCCTGACCCCTTGCACTTCCCAGGTGAGGCAACACCCCACCCTGCTTTGACTCGTCCTCTGTTGGCTGCACCTACTGTCTAACCAGTCTCAGTGAGAAGAGCCAGGTACCACAGTTGGAAATGAAGAAATCATCTGCTTTCTGCATTGATCTCACTGGGAGCTGCAGACCAGAGCTGTTCCTATTCGGCCATCTTGCCAACTATTCTAATAAACATTGTTTTTTTAAATGAAAGAATAGAAGATCTGACCTGCATTTTATTTAGCTGCTATTATGTGATCTCCTTTGTAATAAACCATATAGGGATCCACTTAGAACTTTAATTGGAACTCCAAACTATATTAAATGAACTTGGTGAAGCGAAGTAATGTGAAAAAAAAAATGGAAAAATAAAGAGTGTCTCTTACAAGTACCAGAGATTTATTTATTTATTTTTTAACACATTCTGCTAGGGTTCTTTTCTCTACCAAAAGCTACCATGGGTTGGCAAGAGAAGGTTTACTGTGTTAAAAACTGAAATACAAAGGGCTAAAGATAAAGCTTTTGGATAAGTATTTCCATTTTGTAGTTCTTCAAAGAAAAAGAAAAAAAAAACTGCTTTACTGATCTCAAAATAAGCTTAGTGGTTCCCAGTAAACTGGTATTCATATTATACCTCTTATTCAAAGAGTTAGAAAAAGTTATCATGCCTGCAAAATAATCTCTATCATGATAACATTTCTGTCTCGATGAAGCATAAAGAAGCTCCTCTAAGACTTATCTCCATGTTTCCCAAACTATTTTGATATTTTTCTGTTCTTTGAGATGTTATGTGTGTTTTCAAGGAGAGGCAGGAGGGGGTGGTTTCTGAAGGTCAAGTAATTTCAGAAAGACTAGATCAAACATATTCAAATATATTGCTCTCTCTCTTTCTTTCTTTTATTCTTTCTGAGATGGAGGTCTTGCTGTGTTGCCCAGGCTACTCTTGAACCCCTGGTCTTAAGTGATGCTCCTGACTCAGCTTTCCAAATCATTGGAATTATGGGTGTGAGCCACTGTACCCACCTTTAAACACATTTCTTAACAACAGGGTCAGCAAAAGCTTTAACATACTAACCTTCACTCTGTGTTTCCTTAAAGAAAGCATAAACCAAATGTTTATTAGGAAGATAAATGATAGGATATAAAGGAAGGAAATCAAATTAGAAAAAACTTTAGGGATCCATTACTAAGTCCACAGTCATTGATTTCTAGACCTAGTCCTCAATCAGCAGGCTTTCAATTATGCTCTCTTTTATAGTTAAAATGTTGGAAAGGAGTGACAGAGTAAACTCACTCTTTAGTGACTAAACAACTATGTGTTACACACCCAGCCATCATTCAGAGCTTCCCTTTTAAAAAGACAGGATCAATATCAGCAGGGGTCAGCCAAGTAAACTATAAGTACTCTTATTATTAGGTTGGTGCAAAAGCAACTGCAGTGTTTGCAATTGCTTTTAATAAAACCCTTACATTATAAAGATGCAATTAGCCCAGCTAAAAGTCTATATGACTGATTCTTATAGTGAAAGGTGGCCAATGAGATGTAGGTAGACATTATTGATATTTTTTCCAGGGGGCTGCCTCAGCTAGCAGTGAGTCCTTTATCTTTCTTCTTCTTCCTTATTCTTGTTGGAATGTTGCTATGATAGTTAGAACTCTAGCAGCCGTCTTGGACCATTAGGAAACCTTGAAATAGAAAGCTATGGACTGCCGGGCACGGTGACTTTCACCTGTAATCCCAGCACTTTGAGAGGCTGAGGTGGGCAAATCCCTTGAGCTCAGGAATTTGAGACCAGCCTGGCCAACATAGTGAAATCCATCTTCACACACACACAAAAATAATACAAAATTTAGCCGGGCATGGTGGTGGGAGTCTGTAATCCCAGCTACTCAGGAGGCAGAGGCTGCAGTGAGCCAAGATCCTGCCGTCGCACTCTAGCCTGGGCAAAAAAAAAAAAAAAAAAAAAAGAAAAAGAAAAAAAGGCCATACACTAAAGATGGCAAAGGAAAAACAGTGAAGAAGCCGAAGTTCCTGCTGCTGACTGCAGCTTCCGTACGAATGTAAACTGTCCACTTTCAGGCCTCCTTAATCAGTGAGGAAATAAGTATGTCTTGTTTTAGTCATAGTTATGTAGACTTCCCTGTCATAGACAGTTAAACATAATTCCTAACTGATAGCGCATCCAGTGAAAATTAATATTTTGGGTTTTTTTTTTCTGGTAGAGGTGAGGGGAAGTAATAATCATGCCATTTCTTTAAACATAAGGAGAGGGTGACAGAGCTTTACGTTTCAACATTAAGCTGCAAGTTCACATCAAAGGCTCCTTTTAGACTCCCTAAAACAGGACAGTTCCATTTAATTCTAATCTCTTCATGGATTATATATTATTGTGGGGGAAATCTCAGCTGTCATTTAGCTACAGCACAGCATGCTTTCTCATTACCAGCCTGCAGTTATCAGAAGAGCTTCCTCTCGAGGTTGTAATCATTATGAAAATGGCAATGAGGTACTTAGTCAAAAGAGAGTAAAGTGTGCTTCAATTAAAACTTGATAGCAACATACATCTTTCTTTTCTTTCTTGACTCATAAATAAAAGCTGTCTATACCAACACTTAACTACTCAATTAGGAACCAGCACTAAATAAGGTTTAGCAAGGGCTGTACTGGCAAACACAGCATGAAGTAGCCATTGGAGGAAAGCTCTACTGTCTTATTAGGGAGGAGATGGTCATATATGGGATATAACTTTTCTGTTCATGAGGACATGCCGTCTTACCGAAAGACTTCAGAAAGATGTAACTCTCTCTTTAGGCTACACACAAGACATGTGACTAGCATGATATAATTACTTATAGATTATAAGTGATTGGTTGGTAAAACCACTTGTTGGGAAAGTGAATTTCTGTTCATAGAAGCAACATCTTCTTGTTGTGTCCATATGCAGGTATTTCTGTTATCTAGAGTTACAAGGAACGAACACAAAGAGTAGATCTAAGTGTAGTGACAAGTGAAGAGATGAGTTTTAGCAGGTGGTTACACGAAAGAATAGTGAAGATTATTAGAGGTAAACTCATGAGTATTTAAAAGTGACTCAAGGTTTGATTTCATTGGTTCTCACACAGATGAATGACCATTGGCAGCCAAGCTAATAGAAAGCCTTTTTTGGAAATCATAACACTTTCAAATTAAATGAAGACAACTGTAGATGTCTTTTTATAAGGATCTTCCTATGAAAAATAATACAAACTTCTTATAAATCACAACAAAACAACTATAAAGAAAAATCTCCAAAGCGAATATTCCAGAAACAAGAAAGATCTGATGCCCTTTCCCATCTCTCTCATTGTAAAATACTAAATCTTTACTACAAGATTCAGCGCCCAGCTTCCTCTCTGAATTCATCTCCTATAACCGTTCCCCACATTCCTCTCAGCCACACTGATCTCCAAGCTGTTCTTCAAATTTAGAAGGCATAATCTTGCTACAGAATCATCTAATTGCTGTTCTCTCTGCTTTACAGCTTTTTGCCAAGAAAATCACTAAGCTTATTTCCCACATTTCCTTCAAGTCTTTAATTAAAAGTTGCCCTTTCAATGTGGCTTTCCCTAGCCATTCTATCTAAAAATTCATCAGTCTCCCTCTCCCACTCCTTTTCTGTTTGTCTCTTGACATACTGTAATTCTTACGTATTTATCTGGTATATTATCCATCTCTCAAGATTATATTTCTGGGAGAACAGTGATTTATGTCCATGTTGTTAAGTAGCATATTCCAATACCTACAACAGTACATGGCAATAGTATATGCTAAATTAATATATGTTAAATGAATGAGTGAATAAATGGATAAGTGATAATGAAAACAAAATAAAACAAAAAAGCATGTTATAAAACTTGCCACTGATATCAATTTGGTACATATTCTACCAAAACCATTCTAGGGACATGCAATGTGTATGTGTGGTTTTGTGTGCATGCACACATATGTGTATATATATTTACAAGCGTATATACACACATTTTATTTAATTATATATTTCTCACTGACCTAAATTTATATATAGTAGTCTGCCCTTATCCTCAGGAAATATGTTTCAAGACCTCCAGTGGATACCTGAAACTGAAGATTGTACTGACCTCTCTATATATACTGTATTTTTTCTATACATTCATACTGTATAGTATAGATATGCTGGACGAAAGGATAATTCATATCCTGGGTGGGACAAAGCAGGATGGTGCCACATTTCATCATGCTACTCAGAACAACATGCAATTTAAAACTTATAAATTGTTTATTTCTAGAATTTTCTGTTTAATATTTTTGAACTGCAGTTGTCTGTGGATAACTGAAATCATGAAAAGTGAAGTCATAGCTAAGGGAGGACTGCTGTATGTAGATTTAATATATTACTTAGGAGAAATAATTTGCTGCAAGTTTCTTTTTTTAACATTATGATTAGTCCACAGGAAACTTGCTATTTAATACCTATATATTTCTATTATTTGTTATAACAGTTTATGTTTTTCAACCAGGTACGACATCTCCTTTAAGTTAGTTCTAGATTTTTTGCCGTTCATTTCACATCTGCTTTACAATTATGTTTGTTAGTGTATCTGTAGATAAACTGATAGAAGTAAAATTACCAAGTCAATGGTGTATGCAGTTTTAACTTATTATCAAAAATTTTAAACATATACTAAAACAGAATAGTACAAAACCCACAAGTAATTAGCATTCTCTTTCAATCATTATCAACAAATGGCAAGTATTATTTCACCTATATTCCCATCCACTTCTTCCCTTCCCATTTTATTTTGAAGAATATCATTTTTATGATTAGCATTGCTTTTTATAAAGCAAATCATGCCGTTTCAACTATACGTATTTCAATATACCTCTCTAAGAGATAATGACTTTTAATTTTAACCTAACTGTGATACAACTTGTACATATTAAAAAGTTCTTTTAAAAAATCCTCAAATATCTAGCTAGTCAGCGTGCATATTTTCGGTTGTCAGTTGTTTTATAGTTTGCTTAAATCAGGAACCAGATATAATGCTTCCTGGGCATCCTGTTATCCCTTTTTTTCTTACTTTTTTGTTGTTGTTGAAGAAAACATGTTTGCTTTGTGGAGTTTATAACAATCTAGATTTTGCATCTTACCAGGTTTCACTTGTAGTGATTGTTTTCTGGTGAGAATGTTTTCCAGGTCATTTAGATGCCCGTTGACTTTATTCTCATACCTCCTAGAGATGTTGTACATTGCAATAATATTGTTATTGGTGGTTCATTCCATCTGCTTGTATTTTGGAGTCCATGACGATACTTTATTATCCATTTTTGTTGTATTTGCTAGCTGTGAGGTTTTGTTTTGCTATCCAACTTTCTGTGTCTCTTTTTACGATATGATTTTGGAAACTCCAACTTTATGCCACTACAATAATCTCCTCAGAATTTTCTAGAAGAGTGGTGTGTGGGTTCTCTTTTTTTTTTTTTTTTTTTTTTTTTTTGAGGTTAGTCTTGCTCTGCCTCTCAGGCTGGAGTGCAGTGGCATGATCTTGGTTCACTGCAGCATTTGCCTCCCAGGTTCAAGTGATGCTCCTGCCTCAGCCTTCTAAGTAGCTGGGATTACAGCTGCCACCACCTGCTAATGTTTTGTATTTTTAGTAGAGGCAGAGTTTCACCATGTTGGCCAGGCTGATCTGAAACTCCTGACCTCAAGTGATCCATGCACCTCACCTCCGGCTCCCAAAGTGCTGGGATTACAGGCGTGAGCCACTGTGCCTGGCCTAGAGTGGTGTACGGATTCTTAATTATCATAGATAGTGACAAGTGTCCTTCAATAAAGACTTGTTCATTGTATTCTCTCACATAGAATTTATAAAAGTTTGTTTCCCTGAAACAGGTTCAATTTCCCCATAGACCTTATGTTTACAGATGGTTTTTGTTTTTATTGTTGTTTTTGTTTGCATAAACATAGAAATTGACCTTCCTGGTCAATTGAAACTTGCATTTGTCTTATCTGAATTCCCTCCTCAGGAAACCAACCCTCAGGCTTCCCAGATAGTATTAAGGAACTGAAATGCCTCTTCCTTGTCCCCTAATTCCTGCTTTTCTAACTGATCATCTGCTTCCTGTTGACCAACTCCTCTTCCTTCCCTCCCTAATTCCCATTTTCCTGCACATAGCTACATTCCTTCCTTACTATATAAACCTTCAATTATAGTCAGAGAACTGGGGAGATGGATTCAAGATTTATATTCCATCTCCTTAGCTGCAGCATCTGAATAAAGGCTTCTTCCCTTGTAATATTCATTGTCTCAATTATTGGCTGGTCATGCAGTGAGTATTAGAACCCCAACCAAACCCTGGTGTTTGGGTAACATCCGTGCATCATGACTCACATTTGATACTACCATTACTTTTCGTCTTTGGCAATCTAACCAATAAGCAATTATAAGTCAGTGCTTTACATGGACTTTCATGAATGCAACTTAAAAGAGAGGTAATCTGTCCTTTTTCCCAGATGTACTAGGCAATCTTGTATGTTTTCCTATGGATTTATGCTTTATATTCTTTGAACACATTCCTTACAGGTTAGTGGTCTTGTTTGTATTAATTTATTATTTTAATATACTAACAAGTTTATTTTCGGAATTTTAACATGGTAATTTATATGTGTCATTAAGTATTCCATGTCTTTTGTTTTTTTTGTAAATATCCTGTTATTTAAACATCCTGTTATCCAAATATCCTTTTTCCCTAAATTATTTGAAATCCTATATTTACTACTCTTAAATTACCAAACTGTACTTAGATTGACTAATGGACATTCAATATTGAGTCACTGAACTGTGTGCCTATTCTTTTTCTATAAACATTCATTTAAAATTGTTATGGTTATAATATTTTAATATCTATCAGGACTGATATGGTTTGGCTGTGTCCCCACCCAAATCTCAACTTGAACTGTATCTCCCAGAATTCCCATGTGTTGTGGGAGGGACCCAGGGGGAGGTAATTGAATCATGGGGACTGGTCTTTCCCATGCTATTCTCATGATAGTGAATAAGTCTCATGAGATCTGATGGGTTTATCAGAGGTTTCCGCTTTTGCTTCTTCCTCATTTTCTCTTGCCGCCACCATGTAAGAAGTGCCTTTTACCTCCTGCCATGATTTTGAGACCTCCCCAGCCATGTGGAACTGTAAGTCCAATTAAAAAACTTTTTCTTCCCAGTCTCGGGTATGTCTTTATCAGCAGCATGAAAACAGACTAATACAAGGACTATATCCCTCTCAACAAACTTTCTTAATTTTTTCTTTTTACAAAATGAAATTCAGTTGTAATTTTCAGTTTCTAAGGGAGTAAGTGGCTTGCCTGAGGTCATATAGCTAGTGGGGGTAGAAGCACTATTTGAAATAAAATAGTCCTGGCTCCAAAATCTGTACTCTATTTACATAGTTCTTATTTTTTAAAAATACAATTGTTTTCATAGAACAAGAAAAACAAATCTGTGTTGTGTTCTGTGTGCCAGATTCTGTGCTAACTGCTAAGGCTACAAAGATAAATTACTTTGTTTCTAGACTTGAGAGCTTATTGCCTTATATCCTATTGTTATCCTTTTTTATTTCCAATTTCCCTCCAGAAAATCATATATAAATCTTTATAAAACCTTTAAACCCATAAAAGTCATTTTTAATATCATAAATACATCAGTTGGGTACGAAGACAGTTTCTAAAATAATTATTGTTTGGATTCATTTTTATGGAGGAAGAGAAGAATGCTTAAAAAAAAATAAAAGCAAGGCTTAGATTTGAAAAAACAGAGTAAGTACAATCTCTTCTACAAAACAGTTGTATTTGTAGTTTACACATAAAGGTCTTAACATTCCCTAACTCCTCTTTAGAGATTATTTGGTATACTGGAAAACATGGCTCTTGTTTCAAGTCCTTGCTCCTTATGTTAGTTATTTGTTGCTGCACAACAAACTATCCCTAAACTTAGTGGCTTAAAACAAAAACATGTATTGTCTCATAGTTTGAGAATCCAGGTGAGGCTAGCCTGAGTGTTCCGTTTCAAGTTGCAATCAAGGTGTGGTTTAGGACTGCAGATGAAGAAAGGTTCAGCTGGAAAAAAAGTCCCCTTCCAAGCCCATTCACATGGTTGTTGGCAAAATTCAGTTGCTCGTGGTTGTCACACTAAAGACATCAGTTTCTCTGAGAGCCTCAGTTATTTACTGGCTATTGGTCAGAGGTTGCCGTCAATTTCTTGCCACTTGGGCCACTCTGCAGAGCAACTTACAGCATAACAGCTTGCCTCATCAGAGCAAACAAGCAAAAAGACAAGAGGGAGGTGTGCTAGCATGATGGCAATCACTAATCTAATCTTGGTAGTACCATCCCATCACCTTTGCTTTACTCAGTTCACTAAAAGTGGGTTACTAGGTTCATCCCAGATGCAAGTGAAGGTAGTTAGGAAAGGGCATGAATAACATGAGGGAAGAGTCATTACAGGCATCTTAGAAGTCTGCCTACAATTTTTCTCTCTGTACTGATTCTGCAACATTGGTTTATCTATGAAATAAAGGGTAGTCAAAGAAAAGAAACATATTTATCAATTATTATCAATAAAAGTAAATCTAGGTATGCATGGGATGCATATATCAGTATTTTCTTTATTTTTACTATTACTGATAGTATTTTTACTATTACTGATAATAACTAACATTTATTAGATACTATATGCCCAATATTAGGATAAATGGCATGCAAGTTTGATCTCATTTAGTATTCATATAAGATTGTTAGCATAATTCTAAGAGTTAGGTAATACTATTTTCCCTTGTTACATTTGAGGAAGCTGAGGCAAAGAAAATCTAAGTAATTGTGCCAAATCATACAATTAGCAAAAACTAGTCAGCCTATCTCCAACTCTGTGACTGATAACTCTACAGCATGAAAAAAAAGGGTATATACATACAGGTATACATAAACATATATTTAAAAGACCTTTTCATAAACAGTGTAAAACAGTATACACACACATACACACACAGAGCCTTTGTCTAAATATTGTGAACTGGATACTCTCCAATTCACTTCTAGTAACAGATTTTGAGACCAAAATCATCTTCTAGGTAGACCTTTTGGGTATCTGAAGAAAAAAAAGCCAACTATGAGTTAACATCCACATAAACATCATGCAGTTAGGCTATGCTGCACATAAATTTTATAAGCCTACAGCAGTTATTACCCTGAACTGTGAAAAAGCCTGAACAGACACAAACTGTTTGCAGATAATTGTACTGACATTCGTACTTCATTACTTTTAATAGAACTGAATTTGCAGTGTTCATGCCAGGGTACATGAGCACTACCTTCAGGAGAAAGACATATCATACGTCCTTTTCTCAGTTGAATAGAATGCTTTAGGCAAGAGGTCACTTTGTGGCATGAAGGACATATTTGCTTAACTAAGAGACCAGCTTTAATTAAAATAAAAGAAGTTTTAAAAGGGTTTTAGATGATTCTGTCCATCTAGCCTAGCTATAGGTAAAAATCATTAGATAATAGAAAGTCATCTTATAATGGAGCACTGTGTGCAAATTTGGTATTAATTCCATGTATTATATATCGAACATCTACTAGGTAAGCTATTTTTCCAAATTGAGGAATAAAATATGGGACACACACACACACACAGATAGATAGATAGATAGATAGATAGATAGATAGATAGATAGACAGATATGTTGTCAAGAATTACTCTTGCATTCAATGAGTAATGAGATTAAGAAAATGTTAAAACATTTAGTAGGAAACATTTAATTAATAAAACTAAATAGTTAAATATAACACTCAGGCTCCTGCACCTACTGGTTTCTACAGGCCCTGAAACCAGCCCATTTTCTGTACCATGACTCTGCAGTCAGTCGTTCAAGTCAGTTCATTCAATGCACATCTGTTGAAAGAAAATAGGTTGTTTTGATGGCTATTTCCTCACTCATTCAACTAGTGATTTCCTATACTCCCCCTTCTTATAGTCTTTTCCTGACTAATGCTACCCCACACATTATTTTTACACATTTAAAAATTATAAAATATGGCCGGGCGCAGTGGCTCATGCCTGTAATCCCAGCACTTTGGGAGGCCGAGGTGGGCGGATCACCTGAGGTCAGGAGTTCGAGACCAGCCTGGCCAACATGGTGAAACCCCGTCTCTACTAAAAATATAAAAATTAGCTGGGCGTGGTGGCAGGTGCCTGTAATCCCATCATCTATTCAGGGTGCTGAGGCAGGAGAATCACTTGAAACCGGAAGGCGGAGGTTGCCGTGAACCGAGGTCGTGCCACCGCACTCCAGCCTGGACAACAAGAGCGAAATTCCATTTCAAAAAAAGAAAACAAAAGATAAAATATATCACACACTTGCATAAGAATCCCAAAATGTATAGTTTAAGGAATAATTGTAAAGCAGTCACACATTTATTTGATTTCATGTATTTATTTTTAAGTTCAGGGGTACATGTGCAGGTTTGTTACTTAGGTAAACTTGTTTCATGGGGGTTTGTTGTACAGATTATTTCATCACCCAGGTATTAAGTCTAGTATCTATTAGTTATTTTTTTAAAAATCTTCTCCCTCCTCCCACCCTTCACCCTGCTACAGGCCCTAGTGTGTGTTGTTCTCGTCTATGTATCCATGTGTTCTCATCATTTAGATCTCACTAAATGAGAACATGTGGTATTTGGTTTTCTATTCCTGTGTTAGTTTGCTAAGGATAAGGCCTCCAGCTCCATCCATGTCCCTGCAAAGACATGATCTTATTCTTTTTTATGGCTGCATAGTATTCCATGGTATATAGGTTCCACATTTTCTTCATCCTATTATTCCACATTTTCTTTATTCTATTATTGATGGGCATTTAGGTTGATTCCATGTCTTTGCTATTGTGAATAGTGTTGCAGTGAACATACAAGTGCATGTGTCTTTTTTTTTCCATGAGGCATTTTATTTGTAAATATATGTATTACATCCCTAGAAAAAGAATCCCAGGATTTTCCCTCCTGTGTGTTTTCGTCTTGCTTCTTCACGGTCTGTGATGCCAGCTGAGGTTGTCAGTATAATGAAACCAAACTGGTAGGATGGAAGCAGATTATTCTGCCATTTTTCTAGATCTTTGAGTTGCACATGAAATCTGGGGCTAATCACTCCACACTTGTTTAGCCTGTCTGTGAGGTACACAACCATTTTCCCAGCTCTGTGATCATCAGTGATTTCAAATTCGCCAATGTAACCATGCTTCATCACAGTGAGAAACCGGATGATGACTTCGGAGCACGGC
This sequence comes from Homo sapiens, assembly GCF_000001405.40. NCBI lineage: Eukaryota > Metazoa > Chordata > Mammalia > Primates > Hominidae > Homo > Homo sapiens. Next base: position 62,105,967 of record NC_000004.12, read on the forward strand.
CTAAGAAGCACCTGGCGTTTGCCTCTCTTTTTTGCATTGTTGATCCTTTTGAGAGCATCAGCCAGGACATTCGTGCGCACCATTGCGGCAGTGCAGAAAGATGGCGGAAAGAGCACGAGCATGTGTCTTTATAGTAGAATGATTTATATTTCTTTGGGTATATGCCCTGTAATGGGATTGCGGGGTCAAATGGTATTTCTGTCTTTAGGTCTTTGGGGAATCACTACATTGTCTTCCACGATGGTTGAACTAATTTACACTCCCACAAACAATGTATAAGCATTCCTTTCTCCATAACCTTGCCAGCATCTGTTACTTTTTTGACTTTATAATAATTGCCATTCTGACTCGTGTGAGATGGTATCTTATTGTGGTTTTGATTGGCATTTCTCTAATGATCAGTGACGTTCAGCTTTTTTTCATATGATTGTTGGCCACATATATGTTTTATTTTGAAAAGTGTGTATTCATGTCCTTTGTCCACTTTTTTAATGGTGTTGTTTGTTTGTTTGCTTCTTGTAAATTTGTTTAAGTTACTTATAGATGCTGGACATAGATCTTTGCCAGATGCATAGTTTGCAAAAATTTTCTCCCATTCCGTAGGTTGTCTGTATACTCTTTTTTTTTTTTTTTTTTTTTTTTTTTTTTTTTTTTTTTTTTTTGCTGTGCAGAAGCTCTTTAGTTTAATTAGATCCCATTTGTCAATTTTTGCTTTTGTTGCAACTGCTTTTGGCATCTTTGTCAGCTGCAAACAGGGATATTTTGAGTCCCACTCTTCCTATTTGGATGCCCATTATTTCTTTCTCTTGCCTGATTGCCCCAGCCAGAACTTCTAATACTATGTTGAATCAGAGTGGTGAGGGAGGATATTTTTGTCTTGTGCCAGTTTTCAAGGGGGATGCCTCCAGCTTTGGTCCATTCAATATGATGTTGGCTGTGGGGTTGTCATATATGGCTCTTATTATTTTGAGGTATGTTTCTTCAATACCTAGTTTATTGAGAGTTTTTAGTTCACAATGGATGTCAAATTTTATCAAAAGCCTTTTCTGCATCTATTGAGATCATCAGGTGATTTTTATCTTTAGTTCTGCTTATGTGATGAATCAGATTTATTAATTTGCATATGTTGTACCAACCTTGCGTCCCAGGGATAAAGCCTACTTGATGGTGGTGGGCAAGCTTTTTGATGTGCTGCTGGATTCGGGCAAACACACATTTAAACAATACCCAAGTTAGGAATTAGAAACTCACCAGTTAACTCGTAGACCTATTGTATGTTTCTTCTTGCTTTTACCCTTTCCTTTCAACTCTTATTTTTTTCTTTGCAGCATTATTATCTGTTTGCAAATATTTAAAATTATAATATTGTTTTTTCTTTTTTTTGAGTGGCATTACATTGAAATTATGTTGAATCCTTTGTTGACTTTATTTTTTGCTAAATTTCATGTTTATGAAAGCCATTTTATTGATGGGACTATCTGTAGCTATTTTTTATTGTTGGAGAGCATTCTAGTTTGTCAACATACTACCATTTACTTATTCACTCTACTGTTAATGGATATTTGGATTATTTCAGTTTGGGGCTATAACATCAACGATGCTGTGAACATTATAGTACATTTTTTTATGTACATTTACAAAAATATCTAGGCTTTATTTATTTTAATTAGATAATGTCAAATTATTTTCAATATTACTGAATAATTTTAAACTATTTTCAAAAGTGAATGTACCTGCAGTGTATGAGTTTCTGCTGTCCCATATCCTCACCAACACTAATATTTTCTTATTCTTATTCTTATCAATTTTAGTTAGCTTGGTAACCAAGTACTGCTTTCTCATGTTATTTTTAATTTGTATTATTTTATTTGTAATTAAGTTGAGTATATTTACATATGGCTATTGGGTCATTTGGATATTCATTTACATCAAATAGTTATTTTAGTCTTGGGACCATTTTATTTGTGTTCACTTTCTTTTTCTAATTTATTTATAGGAATTCTTTATATATTCAGGATCTGAGTTCTTAAATATATGTGTTGAAAATATCTTGTGTCATTTTTGTAACTGTGTTTTTATTTAGTTTATAGTGACTTGAACAGATCTTCTATATTTTAATAGTCACATCACTGTTTTCTTTGCTTATGTATTATACACATATAGCTAAGATGACAATACTCTCCAAACTGATCTAAAGATTCAATTAAATTTCTGTCAAAATCCCAGTGATTTGTTTTACAGATTTTAACAAGCTGTTTCTGATATTCACATGGAAATGTTTAGCTTTCCAACCAAAACAAATTTTAAAAAGAACAAAATTGAAGAACTCAGACTTCCCAATTTTAAAACTTTCTACAAGGATAGTTATCAATATAATGTGATACTACCATAAGGACTGACATATAGATCAGTACACAGAATTGAAATTCCAGGAATAAATTTTTGCATTTACAATGAATTGGTTTTGACTAGGCTGTCAAGCCAATTTAACGAGGATAGAAGAGTTTCTGTGAATGGTTCTAGTACAAGTGGATGGGATATCCACATGGAAAAGAAATTTATTTCTCTATCTCGCATCATGTATAAAAACTAACTAAAAAGGGCCCACAGATCTAAACTTAAGAGACAAATACATAAAACTCTTAGGAGAAAACACGAGTAAATTTTCATGACTTTGGATTAGTCAACAGTTTCTCAGTTATGATGCCCTAAGTATAAACAACAAAAGAACAAAACACATAAAAGTCAACAAAAATAAAAATGTTTGTGATTTAATGCACACAATTAAAGAGGTGAAGGACCACCACAAAATGGAGGAAATACTTGCAAATTACAAGGGATTTGTATCTTGAATATATATAAAAAATTCTTACAACTGAGCTAGAAAACATCGAACAACCTGATAGAATAATGGATTAAAAAACTGAATAGATATTTCTCCAAATATGGTATACAAGTGGCAAATCAGCTTATGAAAAGATTATTAATCTCACTACCAATTAGGGAAATGCAAATTAAAACCACCGTGTGATACCACTTCACACTCACTAGAATCACTAAAACAAAAAAGACAGGCAATAATAAGTTCTGTCAAGGATGTGGAGAAATTGGAACTATCCAATCTTGCCTGTGGGATTGTAAAATGTACAGGCACTAGAGAAGACAGTTTGACAATTACTCAAAAGGTTAAACATAAAGCTAATATATGATGGGAGAATTCTTTTCCTAAGCATGTCCCAGATGACTGAAAACATATCCACACAAAAACTTGCACCAAAACGTTCACAGATGCCTTATTCATAATAGTCAAAATTAAAAAAAAAAAACCCAAGGGTCTATTAACTGATAAATGGACTAACAAAATGTGGTGTATTCTTTATTCAGCCATGAAAAAGAATGAAGTGATGATACAAGTTACAACATGGATGAACCTCAAAGATACTGTGCTATGTGAAGGAAACCAGTCACAAAAGACTGCATATTATATAATCCCATATATATATAAAATGTCCAGAGTACGTAAATCCGTGGAAAGAGAAACTCAATTAGTGGTTGCCAAAGGCTGGGGAAGGAGTTCAATTGAGAGTAACTGCTAATGTGTATGGAGTTTCTTTGGGGAGTGATAAAAATGTTTTTGAAATTAGATAGTGGTTATGTTTGCATAATTCTATGAACATTAAAAACCTCTGGACTGTACATCTTAGACAGGTGAATTTTATTTTATGTGAATTGTGTCTCAATAGAGATGTTGTAAGGAAATTTTACTTGCTTCATTGTGGATTTGTGTATTTTTTTCTTGCTTTGTTATTATCTGAATACCTTTTAAAAATTAAAATGATTATGTTTTATCTTTATGAAATCACTATCTTTATCTGTACTTGTTGACTTAAAGTCTACTTTGTCTAATATTTATACAGTTATACCAGCTTGCTTCGATAAGAATTTGGTTATAACTTTTTAAAAATTTGTTACTTTCAACTTTCTTATTTTCCAATTTTAGATGTTTCTCTTACATGTAGCAAGGCCCTTGGAAGGGCCTTAGCAATGTATTCACTAGCCATATGTTTTGGTTAACTATGCAATATAAGGCATCTTGACTGCAATTGATTAAGTTTGCTGCTTTTTCCCATTCAGTTTTTTCTTGGTCATACTTCCCTACCTGATAAATGCAATGAAATGGCCAATGGAATTTTGGCGGTTAAGCTAAAGTGATAAGTAGGTGTAGAGGAATATGTTTGTGTGGCTTCTAGAGTCACTTTCCTGGATACTTAGTTATTGTGTGCCATATTGGTGTAGGAAAGCCTTCCAGGAATCCTCCTGCTATGCATTGTGCTGACTCGGCTGGCATCATCTCACAAGACTTATGACCTGAGGTTGCCCTGCTATAAGAACTTGTTCTACAGTACCTGGCACCAAAACCATGTGTGAGTGGAGAAGAAATAAGTTTGGAAATGTATGAATGCAGAAATAAAATTTGAATTATATGAATGTAAAATTCTTCCAATCAAAGATGTTTAAAATTGCAAGGAAAGGATTTGGTTCTTTTTTTTTTTTTTTTTTGAGATGTAGTCTCGCTCTGTCGCTGCAACCTCCTCCTCCTGGGTTCAAGCGATTCTTCTGCCTCAGCCTCCTGAGTAGCTGGGGCTACAGGCACACGTCGCCATGCCCAGCTAATTTTTTTTTTTTTTTTTTTTTTTGTATTTTAGTAGCGATGGGGTTTCACCATATTGGCCAGGCTGGTCTCAAACTCCTGACCTTGTCATCCACCTGCCTCGGTCTCCCAAAGTGCTGGGATTACAGGCGTGAGCCACCGTGCCCAGCTGGATTTGTTTCTTTTTGATGCTTAGTCAAAACAGAAGTTTCCTGTCATCAGGCATACACTCAGTGATTCACATATACAATTATAAATATGCAATTGTTAAAAGTATTTTACACAATAGAATCTTTTAGATGGTCTATGCACTGTACGGCATAAATCTTTAGGCATTCTACAAATAAATATATCAGTGTCTTCAAGTCTCATGTCTTATGCGCCTCAACATATGGGAATATATCTTGTTATATCTGATGTGTCGTGTTCTATAAGTCCCAGGTGCCATTGCTCATATAAAAATGATGTATATTTCCTGATAATGTGGCCCCAAATACTAACTTTGTTGACTATAACATAAAATACACCGCATGAGGAGGCTAACAACAATAATCTAGTTAATGAGTTCATAATTCTTTAATATAGTTCCCTGCACAAGAAAACTTTAAATGCTCTAAAATCTCACAACTTACATAGAAAATAAACATAGAGAGGTTTTCCCAAATTTGACAAAAATCTTTAAAAAATCAATGTGGTATTACTAGTAACTAGTCATAAAGCTGAAACTTTTCTATACTATCAATATTAAAACCAAGTTATAATGATCCTTAAATAATTGGAATTATCTTTCTAATCTGTTTGCCAAAAATCTTCAAAGTTGTTGTTATAAAATTAAAAAGTATGCAGCCAAAGTATATAAGAAAATAGTATTATATATATGTGTTCAAAAGGAAAATTTTTTAAGGTTTTTATTTTGGCCTATGTCTTTTGTGGTATTGTCAGTTTTTTAAAAACTGTAATTTGGTTTGATTTCTTTTTTTCATTCCAAATAAATATTATAAAGTGCAAATAATTTGTTGTTAGCTTTTTTTAAAATTTATTTTTCTTAGAGAATGAACTACCAAATTAAATAAACCTCTGGCTTCACATAAAACCTAGATTGACATATATCCTCCCCTCGAAGTGGTCATTCATTTTAATTTTTGTTATTAAGTGCATGTAAACTGGTACTTTACTGTGTTCGTGTTTTGTATTTCTGGAATCACTACTAATATTCTTATGGGTCATATACATTTTCTCTTCTGTGGAAAGTCTCTATGCCTTTCAACATGTTTTCTATCTTTTAAAAGGTTTTCATACTGAGTTGTGGAAAGTTTTTTTTCTTAAATAACATCTCAATATTTTGTTGGTTATCTGTATCACAAATATTTTCTCCCAGTTTATAATATTTTCACTTGTTTTAATATATCTTTTGATTTATAACAATTTTCAATTTTGATACAGTCAAATTTATAGGTCTTCTTATATGGTCAACTCTTTTTTTAAAAAAATGTATTTTATTTTATTGTACTTTTTGTTTTTTTCCATAGAGTACAGTGAAAGCAGTTTTATTAAGAAGGCAAAGGAATAAAAGAATGGCTATTCCATAGGCAGAACAGCCTTAAAAAAATATTTTAAATAAACTTTTTCATCCCACTAAACCTAAAGACGTTCCAAATGAGTTATTTCAAGTAGGTATTTAAACATTTCACTTTTGACATTTATCTTTCATTTTCTGCAGTTTGTGTTTATATAGTGTGAAGTGGCTTCAATTTTTTCTTCTTTCCATATGGATAGTCACTTATTCTCCAATCATCCCTTTCCCTACTGATCTAAAATGTCACTTCTGTCAAAAATCAACATGTGTGCATACGTTTCTGAGTTCTGTGTTCTATTTTGGGTGTCACACTGTTTATCTCCACACTATTCTCATTTATTATAGTTCTACAGTATCATATTTATTATAGCTTTATAATAATTCCCATTAGCTAGTTGAGCAATTCTTTCTCTCTGTTCTTTCTGGTTATTATTGGCCCTTTACTCTTCTCTATAAAATTTAAAATCATCTTATCATCAGATCATGAATAACCTTGTTATGCATTAGAAATGTATTGGATATGATTATTAGCAAAAGATATACTATTTTCAAATACTACATCCTTGTAGGCATGAACATGATACATCATCTCATATATTGAAGTGGTCTTTGATATCCTTTATTGAAGCAATTTCCCTTTAGTAGTTTTGAATATTTGAAAAGATACTTGATATTCTGTGATAATATTGTAAATTATCTTCTCTCTTTAATTGTAGTATTAGGATGTTTGTTACTGGTAATTAGAAATGCAACTGACAAATGTTGTATTAATATTTAATTAAATGTTAATTTTATATACAACCAATTTACTAAATTATTTGTAGTAATTTAAAGACTCTTCATTTTTTATGTAAATGATTACCTTTCCTAATTTGTATCTTTATGTCTCCATTTTTTTTCTTGTCTTATTGTACTTGCTAAGACTTGTAATACAATGTTGCATAAGAGTACTGATATTGTGCATCATTGTCTTAGTCCTGCTTATAAAGGGAACTCTTTAAATCTTTCCCCTTTCAGGAAAATATTTACCCTATGTACATCATTTTTATAAGGTTAAAGATATTCTTTCCTATTTCTTATTTCCTAATAATATGTATATTAAATTTTGTTAAATATTTCCCTTCAACCTAAGTAAATGATCACCTTTCCTCTCTTTTAATATGTTAATTTGTCAAATTGAATGTATGAAATTGAAAATATTGATCTGTTTTCATATAAGCAGAATATAATGTTGGCCAAGGTATATTTTTTGAAAAATACATTAGGATTCAATTTGCTATTATAATATTTTGTTTAGGATATTGCATCTACATTTATGAGTAAAATGTGTCCATTATTTGCCTTTATTATGATATATATATATATTTTTTATTTTAATATCAGTTGTTTCCAGAAGTAGTAGAATTAGTTTGAAAGATTTCCTCTTTTTTACTGTCTGTAAGATTTGGCCTGATCTGTTATTTGAAATTGTCTTGCATTTCTATTGCTAAAAGATTAGCTGTTCATCTTTCAATACTTTGAACATAATCTGCCTCTTTTTCCTCACATTTTTAAACATATCTTTTTATTTGATGTTCTGCAGACATTTCTGGATGTGGATTTCTTTTGACTTGTTCTACAAATAATATATTGGACTTCTTGAATTTTTGGTTTGATATCTTTTATTAGTTAGGGAATATTCTCAGCCATTCCGTTTTGCTAATTCATTCTTTTCTCTCTATCTGGTTCACTAATTAGCAGTATATTAGACTTTCTTAGTTAATTTTACCATTTTCTACCTATTTTTCATCGTTTCCACGTTTTTTCTCTATGTTCTATACTCTGTTTGATTTCTTCTCACCTGTCCTCCATCTTGCTAACTCTCTCTGTTGTTTTCAACATAATGATATAGCCATTCATTGAGTTTCTCATTCAATTTTTATATTTTTAGTTTCTGTGAGTTCTCTATTTTCAAAGCTCCTTTACTTTTCCTTATAGCTTCCAGATCCCTGGAGATAGAGTTCACCTTGTGTTTTGTTTTTCAAATTCTAGCCAGCATAATTACTTTTTATTCTAATAATGTGATTATATGATGAATTTATGGTCTGTTTCTGTTGTTTGATTTTTGATTTTTTTAAGGGTGGGGGGTGGACTGATTCTTACACATAGTGTATTATCTCCTTGAGTATTTTTAAATCTTTTTCTTTCTTAGAATTGCTCATGGTTTGAGGAGAAAATATTGACGAGAATTCTTTGAGTTCTAAGATGAAGATGTGCTACTCTGGAGATTTTTGTTTGCCTTTTTAAGATTTTTGAAAGTACTACCGATCTCCAACAACTTTACTGTAAATTTATGACTCATTTTTATGGGTTACCCGTACAATATGAATTTTTGATTGCAAATTCACCTGAGGACCAGCCTGTGGTTACTACTTTGCAAAGCCAATTTTATAATATACACTTGCTTTTGGAATTTAATGTTGGTGATTTATTCAAATAATGTAATTGGTTGTGTTTAAGATTAACAAACCAACTTTGAGCTTGCATTGCAACTAGTCTAAGTACTTGAGGAATATGAGATCTGCTATTTTCTTTAGATCCTAGTTTCTGTGATAGCTTTATAACACCTGTGTAACTGAAATGATCTGATTGCTACAAATGTATGAATTCATTTTAGGATTTAAGGTTAGATGGTTTTATTAGTTATTTAGTTATAAAATTCATCACTGGATTTTTACAAGAAGTTGATTTGGCTAGAGCCCAAAAACTGGAGATGCTTTTATGGTATTGCTTATTTGTAAACATTTTGCTTAATCAGCCTAAACTTTTAAGCAGTAAAAAAATGAATAGATACTGTGAATAACAATTTAAGCACCAGAGTAGTTTTAAATACCTTTATTTAAAGGAGAATACCATTCTGGTGCCTTCCTTAGCAATCCACAAATATATTTAATGTAAGGTTTTTCATCCTTCTAATTAACTACTGAGCTTCTTAGAGAAAAAAAAATGCATACATTTTTAAAAAGTCTGTTTAGCTTAAGGAAATATAATATTCACTCTAAAGTGGCACTTAATAGATTTTTCTATCATTGCACATCTGTAAGTTCAATGGTCGTTGTCTTTATTTATTTAGCACCAAATTCTAAAGTAACAGATGTGCTGAAATAAATTTGATGCAAAAATTCTTTACAAAAATTTGCATGTGTGTAATATATATTATGACATACATATGTTTTCCCTCTTAGCACAGATTCTTAGCACTTCACATAAATGAGGCTGTGATTATGGATCCCAATCTTATGTGCTTTTAGTTGTACAGAGATAAAATACATTACACTTTAGAGCATAAAGTTAGTACTCCTCAGGTTGTATGAAATAGAAACCCACTTAGCTTGAGTAAAAAGGTAGTTTATTAGGACAGCAATATACCTGGGCCTCAGGAACAGAATTAGAATGGCAACACACTGAAGAATCCATTAAATTTCTCTCCTGGTGCCTATCACGTCTACTTCTCTGTATGTCATGCTTTATTTTTCTCCTTGGTCACAGAATAGTTTTTTCTTGTTCAGTAGAAAACTACCAACACGTGCTATGGAATTTATGTAAAGTCATGAAGTAATTGAGAAATACTGAATTGACTTTGTCTGGATCTCGGTTCCCAATATTTGAAAAGAGGATAGATTGGTTGAGTTAAGGGCTCATCCCTGTGGTATAAGTGATGAGCAAGTGTGAATGTGGTGGCTGCTACATTACCAGTGTTGATGAAAGGAGAAAGGAATGTTTCCAGAATATAGATGCTGGAAAAAAATTTAGTAATTGTCTGCGTATAGCCAGAGGCTGCATGTGTGGCTTATTTCCATACCACCAATATTACCAGGAAGCCTGTTAGACATTTAGTCTCTCAAACCTACCCTACCCCTTATGAATTAGGATTTGCATTTATCAAGATTCTCAAGTGATTTGTATCACATTAAAAATTAAAAACATGGTTCTGGTCTGTTAAAAAGTCAGTATCCAGGTGTGTGAAAAATTGGTTTTATTTCAACGTACATTTTATTCCTAACCAGACTTAACATTTAGCTTTCTGAGTTAAACCTTTGCATCCTAGAAGAATCCCTATCAACCGTTTTATAAATATATTTTAAAAATTATAATATAAAGGGAATCTTTAGAGTGACTGTGTATATTACTTCAAATTCATTTCCCCTAGCGGAAAATCAAACAATTTAAGGTACAGGTCTTAATAATGTGGGTCAATAGTTTCAGTTTTATATATAAAAGATAGCACAATATATCCACTGACAACATATTTCTAATATTTTTAGATTTTACTAGTATGATATATTTACATTAATTACCAAAGAAATAGCTAATTTGGCAACTCAGATGGAAACAAGTAATCCAAGTAACCTAGGTAAAAATGTTTAAAATAATGGAAGTCTTTAGCTCTTAGGTATTATATACCTTTAATTTTCACATAGGTGGATGTTGTGGAGTAAAACATTATTAGCTAGGTGTTATTAATGCTTATTACATGCCAGAAACATTTCCAAATAATTTACGCAGTTTTTTTGATTTATGTTTGTTTCTGTTTAGATTGTGATATAACTCAATTTTTACAAATATGGTTGTTTTTAGCGAGGTTTTCTTTTTTGTTTTTATTACTGTAGTATACAACTTGACTCTAAAGCTTGGCATATGAAGTTGAACAGACATGGATTTGAATTGTGGTTCAACCTCTTGCTGCATAAGCTCACGTTAGGCATATCAACTTCTTAAGCCTCAGTTCCCTGTCTATAAAGTGAAAATAATAATTATACTTTCTATATAGAGTTATGAGGATTAAAAGAGAAACATGTATATATTCTAGCATAGGGGAAACATCAATAAAAATTAGTTTTTGTTATAATTATGTACTTTATTATATGCTCATTTTTAATTTCATTTGGTTTATGACAGTAAGTTTCTTCGTGTTGTTTTTAGAAATAGTTTTACTCTATCTGATTACTTGGAAAAGGAGCTTTCTTCTTAAAATCAGCCTGTTTCTTACTGAGCCAAGTGTGGTTGTTTTGGGTTAGATAGTAAATGTCATTAGATCTGTTTTTTAAATAGGAACTTGAAAACAGCATGTGTTACCTGAATTTGACTATAAAAGCCATTTGGCGTTTTTCACTTAATTCTTTGTTTAGGTTGACTTCATGTAATCTTACACCGTGGTATACATGCAATGTCAGAAACAGGTAAGCAGAGAGAAAAGTCAACATGGAAGACATTGTTTGGTGATGTTTACATATATTTTTGCCAAATTTCTTTCCATAAATAGAACTCTAACTTTCTAATTCAATATTAGATTTGCCACAGATATCCTATGCAACATTTTAGGTCCAAAACTCTAGGTTAGAAAGTTATGTGGTAAATTTATGCCTCGTTATAATCACAAAGATAATTTTTGATCTCATTAAAACTGATTAAAAAAAAAACTTTGCAAATAGCCTTTAATATCTCTGTAACACATGGGGTTAGGTGGAATATTATTCTGATTCAATATTTCATTTCTTATGTCTCATCTCATATACTTTCTAAGATGAAAAATTTAGGTAGAATATATTTCACATAAAAACACATTGAATTCTTTATTTTGGAGTTATAGCAGACTATAAATAATGCTATTCTTATTTTCTCAAGTTTGAAATGAACTGAAAGATAGATTTAGGGGTCAAAGAGCAAAATATCATGTTTATTTCCAATTATGATTAATTGTCAAAGGTAAATTTAAATGTAAGGCTAGGTTGTTCTGTTAATAATCCATTTCTGTATTAGACTAACTCATGCCATTAGCGGGAGAACTGTACAATTATAGAGCGGACATATGAGGCCTTTTTGCAATACCTTTATAGATGAGTCAAAGAACAACTCAGCATACATGCCTCCTGCAGAAAAAATAGGACAGCAGTTGCCAAGAATCATACATGCTTCTTTCTTCCAACACCATCATCAGGATAATTTCTCTTCCTACCATCAAAGTAATTTGAGCTTCTCCCTATTTTTTTCCTCAAGATAATTCAGCAAGATGCCATGCAACTTTAATTATACAATGGAGCTGAAGGCATTCTAAGAACTGGTAAATAATAGCATTTTAACATTCTGAATAGTTATTAGAATCTAAGGAGAGATTATTCAACTGAAGTGTTTTAAATAGTATTTTATATTTTATATAAGAATAAGTTGGGATTTACAACAATCAGAAAAATAAAGTCTAGCCTATTCTTTGGAAATATGAATTAAAATGTAACATTGAATGTATATTTTAAATGCTGTTAAATTCCTTTTTAACATTGTGAATTAAAGGATATACCTTCTTTACCAAACCTCTTCTAAGTTTGTGTGTTTTCTTCTGCTCAACTTTTTCCCTAATATTTTAACTTCAGGGACTGAAGGAAGCTCATTGGTTAAGTCTCAGGGCAAAGCATTAATTATAATGCAATTACATAGATAGAAATCTCAAGTATCAAATTTAGAATATGTTTTTACTTTTCTTTATCATCGGATCAACTCAATTTACTTGGATTCCTCCAGCTCCAACCTCAATTAGACTCATTACATCATCATAAGAAGCTAATCTCTTCCCATGAAACCCTGTGTGTGGAATGCGTAAGAAAGCCAGGGAGACAAGATTTATTTGTCAAAGTTCTAGGCTCTAAAATTTAATGAGTGGATAAAGAAATTTGAATTCTGCTTCTCCTTGCCTGTTTATCCTTCTATGTTCTACCTTTATATTTGTTTTCTTTTTAATCTCCAAGCTTCTTTAGAAGCTTATTTTCTTTTTATTTTTCAACATAAGAACTAAATTATAGCTATTGATCAATAGTAGGTAACAAAATACTATCGATTTGTAGTACGACACAAATTTTAATACTATTGATTTTGTAGTGTGGTAACAAATCACTAGCTAGTATACAGAAATCTTACATATTAATTGTTGTTTTCAAGACTATTGTTTGTGTGTTTTTTAAAAACCTTGCAACTTTTATCACTTACTTTAAATGAAAAGTGTCTGAAACAGATTTTGTGACATCAGCTTTTTCAATACAATTACCCATTTAAAAATACACATGTTGGGTATTAGTGACATTATTAAAGATGATTAAACTATTCTCTCTGGACAGTTTAATGGCATTCTTACTGCATACAAGCCAGCCATCTGGTTTACCTAAAGAGAGTTTAAAAGATGATGTCACCAGGGTACCTAATCTACATTTAAAACACTGCACTGCATATACAAGAGTGTTATTAGAAACATATGTCTGGTTTAAAAAATGCCTGCCATTTCATTCATTGTGAACCAGATTCTACCAGTGACAAAAATTTCTCAGGAAGTAAGCTGGCATTTTTGAATTTATTAAGTTACTACTAAAAGGCAGAACATCTTAAAAGTAGTCTCATATTTCTTTTGCACCAATTATACTGCTTAATTTAAGGAGAAAATTCCCCTATAAGAAATTCTGTGTATTATTGTTGAGAAGGCACAGCAAAAGATTTAGCTCTATTGACCAGCACTTATATTCCTTCATGTTTAAAGAAAGGAAGGTCAACATTTAACCTCACAGCAAAATTATTGACCTATTTCCACAGAGAGTTTTTAAAAAATTGAAAAATTGACTAAGTTCAGAGAGGAAATGCAGGAGTCATATTATGGGGGAAATTTAAAAGAAATAATCAGAACAAAGTACTCTTTTGGGGTTTACTTAGTGTTTCAGTGACTTCATTTTTAAAAGGAAGTGTCCTTTAAAATAAACTCTTCCTTTTAAGATACAGGGAAAATGATATCAGGTCTTAAGCTTAGAAATACATAAGATTAAAGACTTTTTTGTAATAATTATTGAGGTTAGAAGGCAAATATTTATAGGATATACATTGTATCTATACAATGAATTTTAAGTTTTACTTTAAAAGATTACTTGAGAGGTTTCTCCTTCACATTATCGTATAGTTTCTTTAAAATATTTTTTCTTGAAAGACAAGAATATTTAGATTAGCAAAATTCATTTTACTTACATTTGGAAGTAATCGCTCCTCAAAATTGAAGGGGGTGGTAAATATCAAACAAAATCATATTTCTGTGAGCAAGGATAAAGACAAAAAGGTTTTTCGATAGGCAACCATCCACCTCTGCTTAAAGGGCTTGTTTGAAATTACTCTTGATATAGTCAAATTATTCAATGCACTTGAAGTATAATGTTAATGTATTGCTACATTCATGTATTGATTGATGTATTTCTTATGAAAGCTAACCCCCCCAATTAAAAAAATATATAGTCAAATGTAATATGATAACATAAAAATGCAACTTAAAACCAATGAAAATAGATAAATTAACAAATAAAAGTGGGTATAAGCTATAAATGATCTAGAAATAATGTGGTCTTCTCCCAGCATATTTTATTCTTTTGTTTGTTTATTAGTATATCAGATTGCATGTATAGAATGGTCTTAGATTTATCAATTATCAAAAATTTAATGTTGTACTGAAATGTGGTATTTTTCTATAGGCTAGTGAGTATCCATAAAGTTAGAATTCAACAATTTCCAAGCTGGGTTTCTCTTAGGAGATAATTCAGCATTATAAGTTTTGGAAATAAAACACAACCTGTGTTTTAATCCATTGGGATTCATCTGAAGCTTAAGTTAGTCTTCAGATACTAACTGTGTGGTTCAGTGTGAGTCACATAATCTCTTGGAGACTGTTTTCAGGTCTGCAATCTGGGAAAATTTTAAGGTACTGTGCACATGATACATATTTATTCCAGGGCTGCCTAACAAATTATCCAAAATGTAATGGTATGAAACACCCATACTAATGGATTGTGTGAGTCTACAAGTCAGGGTACATTTTAATATTTCAATTTTCATGTCTGCTCTGCAATGTCTTTGGCCTCAGCTGGAAGACTTGAAGTTGGAGGCTGGAATTATCTGAAGAAATCATCTACCAATACATCTAGAGTTGATGCTAACTGTCATGTGAGGGCCTTAGTATCTCTGCACATCAGCTCTCTAAGTGAGGGCTAGTTTAGGCTTCCTCACAGCAAGCTGGTTTGCTAGGGTAATTTTCTTGAGACAGCACCAAGTAGAAGCTGCATCCTTTATGTAACCTAGCCTGCGAAGTCACATGACATCATACTGCCATGCTCTGTGGGTTAATTAAGGCTGCCACAAGCCCTTGCTGGATTCAAGTAGGAGAAAAATGGAACCTGATCTATTGATGGGAGATTTTCATTCACATTATAAAAAGAGCATGTGGGATGGGAGTGCATATATTGTGTGATTATTTTAGAAAATTAAATCTTCTGCAGTATTCAACATACAGAAGCTATTACTACTTTATATGATATAGTATGAAATTGTGGAAAAAGCAAGGATTGGTGGTCAGGATATTTGCCACTTTTAACTTAAAAGTCCTTATTAAATAGTCTCTTACATTCTTCATCTATTGAACTAGGAGGATACACTTATTTTCAAGGGTTATTTTGAGGATTAGAGAGATATTAGGCAAAAATATTTGAAGATACTTTATGCTCCTCTGCCTCCTTCATCATATTTTGGTTCCACAGGAAATGGCACTAGAAGTGCCTTTATCTGCTATTAAGTCGAAGAGTACCAACAGGCTAAAAGAAGTTACTAATGGACCAAAAGGATGGATTTCTGCTTAAAATCAAATTTGGAATAGTATGCTAAGGACAGGGCAAAGATGTAATTTTTTATATGGAAAAATCCAGTATCACCAACAAGCTTGAAGAACAAATAGAATCACAAACACACAGAATCTTAGGAAAGGAAGGTGGCTGATAGGGCAAACTCCACATTTGATAGATAAGGGAATCAACTGAGGTTAAATTGCTTGCTAAAGGTTACACTCTAAAGAGCAAATGTGCTGCTTAAATTCATGTCTGCTAACTTGTTAAGTTCAAGTCTCTAATATACATTTTCTTTATAGCTTTTTTTTTCTTGGAACAGAATCATACATTAATTACAATTGAGTACATTATTTGTGTGAATATAGTAATAATGTGATTATAATAGCTAGTGAATTAATATCTTAGGATAATTTTTCAAAATCTTTGTTACAGTAGAAGGAGTAATTATTCTTCATTATGAGAAATAATCAGGAATATTAAAGTCAAGGTGTCAGTAGGGCTGGTTCCTCCTGCAGGACTATTTCTCATAATATTTCTTAGAAACTTAAAAACGGTTGAAATCATTTCCAAACAGTTTCCTTTAAAAAATGTGCATTTCAGTTTTTGAATATTTATGAAATTGGTTAATTAAAAAATCCAATTAACCAATGTTGTGGTTGGATGGACCATAGATGTATACACAGCGAGCCAGTCAATTTTCTTATCATGGAATATAGCATGGTGGCTAAAGACAAGGACTTTTGAATCAAACTGCCTGGACTGGATCCTACTTCTGTCAACTTAGTTAACTTTCCTGTACCTCCAGTCCCTCACCTATAAAAAGAGATAATGACAGTTTCTACATTCAGTGGTTGTGAGGAGTAAGTGCTGTGTTACTTTCCTGTTGCTACTGTAGCAAATTAACACAAACTTAGTGGCATAAAATAACACAAATGTGTTATGCTGTGGTTCTAGAACTTAGAATTCTTAACCGTTTCTTTAGGTTAAAGTCAGGTGTCAGTAGGGCTGGTTCCTTCTGTAGGCTCTGAGGAGCAGAATCTGTTTTCCCAATTTTTCAACTGCTAGTGACCACCTACATTCCTTGTGATTATATTTGAGCCCACTCAAATAATCCAGGATTGACTTCCCATTTCAACATACTTTTCTTTTTTTTAAATTATACTTTAAGTTCTGGAGTACATGTGCAGAAAGTGCAGTTTTGTTAACATAGGTATATACATACCATGGTGGTTTGCTGCAGCCATCAACCTGTCACCTACGTTAGCTATTTCTCCTAATGCTATCTCTCCCCTAACCCCAAAACCCCCAACAGGCCCCAGTATGTGATGTTCCCCTCCCTGTGTATGTTCTCATTGTTAAACACCCACTTATGAGTGAGAACATGTGGTGTTTGGCTTTCTGTTCTTGTGATAGTTTGCTGAGAATGATGTTTTCCAGCTTCATCCATGTCCCTGCAAAGGACATGAATTCATCCTTTTTTATGGCTCCATAGTGTTCCATGGTGTATATATGCCACATTTTCTTCATCCAGTCTATCATTGATCGGCATTTGGGTTGGTTCCAAATCTTTGCTATTGTGAATAGTGCCACAGTAAACATAGGTGTGCATCAATATACTTAGTTTAATGACATTCTAAAGCTCCTTTTGCCATATAAGGAAACATTTGTAGGTTCTGGGATTAGGATGCAGATAATTTTAGGTGCCACTATTCATCCTACCATAAATGTGATGCTGCGTGTAAGTACTTTACACTACCTCTAAGTAAATGCTTACTCAATAAGTGCTGTAAGTTACTGTTATTGTGAAATAGGTGAATTTATAGTTATACACATTGGGATCACGTGCTTCCTTCAAAACTACACCGTTGTGTGATATATTCGTATTAGTCCACTCTCACACTGCTATAAAGAACTGCTCAAGACTGGGCAATTTATAAATAAAAGAGGTTTAATGGACTCACAGTTCCACATGGCTGGGGAGGCCTAAATCATGGCGGAAGGTAAAGGAGGAGCAAAGGCACGCCTTGCATGGCAGCAGGCAAGAGAGTGTGTGCAGGGGAACTGCCCTTTATAAAACAATCAGCTTTCATGAGAGTTAGTCACTAGAATGAGAATAGCATGGGAAAAATCCATCCCCATGATTCAGTTACTTCCCATCGGGTTCCTTCCATGACATGTGGGGATTATGGGAGCTGCAATTCAAAATGAGATTTTGGTGGGGACACAGCCAAACCTTACGAGTATTATTCAAAGAACGTGGATTACAAAAGCAATAAGGGTGGAAATTGCCTTTCTCTCTGAGCCTCACCTTGTGGAATACTGGGTGGGATTCCAAGGACACCCAATACCTTCTTTTCCTTCACATTATTCTAAGTAAGCACGTTTGCATTCTGTGGTACTTTTAAATCTTCTTTTCTGCCTATTTCCTGATTTTCACTTTTCATCCTTTGATCTGCAAAAATGTCCCCCTTGCATTTTTCCTGTGTTATATTGATATGTCGTGGCTCTGCTGTTGATATATCCAGCTCTGGCACTGAGATTGAGTTGGCTCATCACCATGAGTCCTCAACCATGGATGCAAGGCAGAGCTTCTTTCTCCCTTCATCACCCTGATATTTTGACCCAGTATTTGAGCCCTCCTCCTCACCTGCATTTCTATTTTTTTTAACCAGGTCTAATGTAGACTCCATAATTAAGTGGCATCTATAGATCTCTTACAGCCTTCTCTCACAAGTCATTTCAAGCAGATTTCCCTGGGGCTTAATTGGACAATATTACCATCAGCTGCCTCATTAACAGAAGCTGTTCAAGATGAAAACCTTGCCTTTTGCCAAAGACAGGATGAGTTTTCTACTGAGCTAGGACATGAATAATGATTAAACACCTAGTACACATCAAGCCTATGCTGACGAACATGAAAGCTACAGTCTCTGCCCAAGAAGTTCACAATTAGGTACAGGAAATTTAAAAAGGCAGGTAATTATCATCCAGGATGATATGCTAGAGATTCAGGGTACTAAGGGGAGCACATTGGAGAGGCAATTAACTCTGATTTGGAGAGTCTGATGATGGCTCTTGGAGAAAGTGGTTGGTAAGGTGAGACTTATCAGCTCTCCATAGACAAATGATGTGTGCAAACATGGGTATGACTGATGGCTGCAGGGAGAATACAGTTTTCAAAGAGGAAAGAAAAGTCTGAAGCAAAGACCTGGAGAATAAAAGAGTATGACATGTGTAAAGTTCTGAGTGAATTTTGGGATGGCTGAAGCATTTCAAGTACTGAGAAGAGAGAAGACTGGAGAGGTTAGCCAGATCCTGAGGATTTTGAGGGTATTTTAAGACAATTAGATTTCATATAAAGAGCAAAATGGGGCCAGGCGCAGTGGCTCACACCTGTAATCCCAGTACTTTTGGAGGCCGAGGTGGGCAGATCATCCGAGGTCAGGAGTTTGAAACCAGTTTGGCCAACATGGCGAAACCTTGTCTCTACCAAAAATACAAAAATTAGCTGGGCATGGTGGCACAGGCCTGAAGTCCCAGCTACTGGGGAGGCTGAGGTGGGAGAATCACTTGAACCCAGTAGGTGGAGGTTGCAGTGAGCTGAGATCGCGCCACTGTACTCCAGCCTGGGCAACAGAGAGAGACTCTGTCTCAGAAAAAAAAAAAAAAAAAAAGAGCAAAATGGAGCCCCTGAAATGTGCTATTGCAAGATTGGTGTTTGGGAAGATCATTCTTTAACTTGTATGGCTAGATTAAATGGCAAGCTTGGAGACTGGGTGAAGTAGCTTGGAGCCTATTACATTAATACAGTTGAGAGAGAATGGTGCCTTCATCCTAAAAATGGCAAGTGCAATAGAGTGGATGAGCTTACACATTTCTTAGGAGATAAATTCCATAAATTTGTTGCTTGTTTTAATGTGTATATTGTGGTAAAATAAGACAAACAAAGGGAATTTCTGGTGCCTATCCTGTATAGATTCTTGGTTGATTCTGAAGTTAACTGTCAGAATTCATGGTCCTTTCACAATTTTTCTGAGGAGGCCATACATTTGCATTAAAAGAAATGACAAGCCAGAGTTCACAGTGTGCTCACAGATTTGACCTTTCCATTAGGCCTCTGTTGCATATATACAT
Organism: Homo sapiens; assembly: GCF_000001405.40. Classification (NCBI taxonomy): domain Eukaryota; kingdom Metazoa; phylum Chordata; class Mammalia; order Primates; family Hominidae; genus Homo; species Homo sapiens. The sequence continues at coordinate 62,125,999 of NC_000004.12, forward strand.
TTATGATTTTAACCATTTTTATGGTTTATCCATTGTATTGGATTTATTTCCTCAACCCTACAATAGAATTAGATGTTACTGATTTTCACAGACCCCACAAATCAAGAAAAAGATAAGAAACATATGCTACAAACTAGACAAAAGTCCTGTTATTTAGGATACTAAGGCATTTTGGTGAAGCCCCTGGGAATCTTTTAGCTGAGAGGCCCTTGACAGTTTTCTTCTGCTATTTAAGAGGTGTCAGAGACAGTTGTCTTGTTAGAGACAATGAGGCAAAATTTTCCTACTCAGCTCCTCATCTTTGACTATTTTTAGGATTGTTTCCTGGTGTAATACCAGAATGTTGTAAGGTGCTAAATTATGACTAAATCCAAATAAGAAAGAGGTAGAGTAAAAGATTTCATAACTAGAAGATGAAAGAAAATCTTTATCAAATGGACTATTTCTTCTTTCTTCTGAGAAATGACCTTAGACTGTCAAATCATATCAAACATGACCACAGTACACACTACCAGTCATTAGGAATGCATTCCCTGTTGTTAAGGGAATTGGTAAGGTCTGTGGTTGCAAAGCTCTATGGATAGCTAGTCTTTGCAAACAATGTGGGAGACAAACAGTTTTTGGATTTCCTGAGTGTGACAGCATCTTTAAATTTTTATTAAAGTATATAAACAGTTTACACAGTTGTCTGCATTCTCAAACAGACAAAATTGGGCAGTCAAATTTCAGAAAGATATAAACTACTCTTTCAGCATGCCAATGTCTTTTTCTTTGTATTTTATATGAGGACCATAACCAGGTATAGAATTACTATTCAAAAATAACACAAACAAAAAAAAATAAAAACAAAACAACAATAAAAAAAGTAAATTTCAAATTGTATTATAAAGACGACTTTTACAGCACAAAACAAAGGAAAGAAATCACAAAAGCTAGACAACTTATAACCTTTAAAAAAACTTCTATACACAAAAAGTCTTAGTTAAATGAGATGTTCCAGCTCTTTTATAGAAACACAGATTTAACAACCATCCATGGATAAAAATACCTTCATGAGAGCTCTGGAATCCAGGTGAGAAGTTACAGCAACTGGGTGGAGCACAGAAAGAAACAAACAAAAAAAGGCGCATTGAAAATGGTAAGAACAATTTTACATGACTCACATCATGTCTTCCCCAAGCCTGCAGAATAGAGTACTGAGAAATATCTTCTTGGCTTGTAAGTACTTCTATGCCCATAGGGAAAAATGAGAATGAAGTATAATATACAGTTAGGATGAATAAATTCTAAACATCTACTGTATACCATAATGCCAATGGAGAAAAATAGTCTATTGTACACTTAAAATTGTTCTAAGAGGAAATATGTTAAGGATTCTAATTATAAAATAATATAGTAAGTAAAGAGGGCTGATATGGTTTGGCTATATCCCCACCCAAATCTCATCTTGAATTCCCATGTGTTGTGGGAGAGACCCAGTGGGAGGTAATTGAATCATGGGGGCAAGTCTTTCCTGTGCTGTTCTCATGATGGTGAATAAGTCTCATGAGATCTGATGGCTTTAAAAGCAGGAAAACCCTGCACAAGCTCTCTCTTTCTTTGCCTGCCACCATCCATGTAAGACATGACTTGCTCCTCCTTGCCTTCCACCATGATTGTGAGGCCTCCCCAGCCATGTGTAACTTAAGTCCAGTTAAACCTCTTTCCTTTGTAAATTGCCCAATGTTGGGTATGTATTTATCAGCAGCATGAAAACAGACTAATATAGTAAATTGGTACCAGTAGAGTGGGGCAATGCTTTAAAGATAACTGTAAATGTGGAAGCAACTTTGGAACTGGGTAACAGGCAGAGGTTGGAACAATTTGGAGGGCTCAGAAGAAGATAGGAAAATGTAGGAAAGTCTAGAAATCCCTAGAGACTTGTTGAATGGCTTTGACCAAAATGCTGATAGCAATATGCACAATGAAATCCAGTCTGAGGTGGTCTCAGATGGAGATAAGGGACTTGTTGGCAACTGGAGCAAAGGTGATTCTTGCTATGTTTTAGCAAAGAAACTGGTGGCACTTTGCCCCTGCCTAGAGATTTGTGGAACTTTGAACTTGAGAGAGATAATTTCGGGTATCTGGCAGAAGAAATTTCTAAGCAACAAAGCATTCAAGAGGTGATTAGGTGCTGTTAAAGGCATTCAGTTTTATAAGGGAAACAGAGCACAAAAGTTTGGAAAATTTGCAGCCTGATAATGCGATATTAGAGAAAACCCCATTTTCTGAGGAGAAATTAAATCCGGCTGCAGAAATTTGCCTAAGCAATGAGGAGCTGAATGTTAATCCCCAAGACAATGGGGAAAATGTCTCCAGGGCATGTCAGAGGTCTTCATGGCAGCCCCTCCCATCAGAGGCCCAGAGGCGTAGGAGAAAAAAGTGACTTTGTTGGCCGGGCTTAGGATCCCTGTGCTTTGTGCAGCCTAGGGACTTGGTGCCCTGTGTCCCAACCACTCCAGCCCTGGCTGAAAGGGGCCAACATAGAATTCGGGCTATGGCTTCAGAGGTGCAAGCATCAAGCTTTGGCTGCTTCTACGTACTATTGAGCCTGCGAGTGCATGGAAGTCAAGAATTGGGGTTTGGGAACCTCTGCCTGGATTTCCGAAGATGTATGGAAGATGTATGTTACCAAGGCTTGCATCTTGTTCAGTGAATTTCCCAAGAGAAGCTTGTTCCAGTCTTTATCTTCATATATACTCGTAAATCCTGGGGACTAATGCCAGTCGTTCCTAAGAATTCTTCCATACCCTACATCCTTGCAGCTTAACTGGCATCACAGGCAGTTAGGGATAGAGAAGCTTGTCATCCCTTTTACAGATAATCACTATCACTAGGAATGATTCTCTTGCGCACCTCTCTTCACTTGGTGGTGAGGGGGCAGTGGAGAGACAAACTCTCCCCATGTAAGTAGGAAAGGAAGAGATCATAGCATTCTCTACTCATATGTATTTCCTTTAAGCAATTTCCTCAACGTACGTTTCAGTCACTTTTAACAGAGACTGGAAGTGGGTGATGGTAGTTGGTAGCTGAAGAACCAATTTAATCATTTGTTAGTAAGCTCTGTGGGAATATGTTTGTAGCTCTCTTTTAATGTGAGTGTAATATATTACCCACTATCTGTAGCTTTGGGGAATTTGCCAAAATTTTCAAGTAGATAGGAAGCAACCTATTCAACATTCTATAACATATGGCATATATGAATATGCTCATTTGCTGTTCAGAAAAATGAAGACATATTAAACTAAGATAGATTTAGTGAAAAAGATTATTTCTGGCTGATATACCTTATTCTAATCTAGCATTTCCCAGTGCTGTTTGAAAGAACTCCACCTCCAAAGGAGTCATCCTCAGACTCCTAGCATATTAAAGATTCTGAGAAATCACAGCAATGTTCTGTACAAAACCACCCCAAAACTCAGTGAATTAAAGCAACACTCATATCTTCTTGTACTTCTGTGTGTCGTTGGGGGCTTGGCTAATATTGGTTGGACTCAACTGGTGGCACTTTGTAGTCCATGGTAGTTAGCATCCTGCTTCCAAGTTAGGAACTGAAGGCAGGGTGGGTGCTCCAGCTTCAGTGTCTTTCATTCTCCTTGTGTCAGAGAGGTTGCCAGAGATATTTCTTCCTCTTATATCACTGGCAGAGGTGCAAGAGAATAAGCACAAACATGTGCATCCTCCTAAGACCCAGGCTTGACACTGGCAAACTGTGATTTCTGTACAGAAACTTTTGGTCAAAGAAAGTCATCTGACCAAGCCCAAAGTCAAGAATTGGGTAAGTACATCCATAATGAGGCCATGGCAATGGTGTGAGTGCAGGTAGGGGAGAAGAATCAGGGCAATAGTTCAATCTAAAATAGTTTTTTTAAATGAAGTTTTTGGAATTTTTTTTTAACCATAGAGTTATTTTTGTTTTCTTATCTGTAAGATAGATGGTGGAGTAGGAAACCTCAGCCTTTATTTTCCCCACAAAGAATAATGATTAGACAACTATATGAAAATAAAAATAACTCTAGAAGAGCTAAGGAGTCCACTTAGGAAGCTATAGCCATACCTATGGAAGAAAAACAAAAAAACAAAATAACCACACAAAATAGATAAAAGTGTTTTGCCTACATCATCCCATCCCCCAGGTCTGTACTGCTCAACACAGAAAGGGAACACCCGGACTCTCAATTTTCTCTCATAAAGAAGAAGAATATGGTGTGAACAACTAATTTCCACAGCCTTTCAAGGCACTGCTCAAACAAATGTATTTACTTTCTCCTCACCCGGATTGCTAAGGAGACTGGTATTATCTGTGATGTCTGGAGACAGCCAGGAACAAAGAAGAAGGATGTGATCTATCAGCACAAGCCAACAAGGCAGAATCTACTGAGGTCCCCAGTGCCCTGCTCTGCACATACTCCAGCAGCCTCCTCTACTGAGGACCTCAATAGTCCTCATGGTTACTGGGCACCCCCTGCAGGTTTCACTGCTGAGGACTTTGCAGTGTTCGCTGTCATAGACATTAGCAGCTTTTGCTACTGAAGAAATCAACAACCAACACAGCCTCAATGGATGCCCTGCAGGTTTTGCCATGGAGGATTCCACAGCTTTTTGCTTTTGCTGTTTCCAGGTGCCTGAGCCACTGCTCATCTTCCTTTTCCCTCCCAGGAACCACACCAGCTGCTGTCATAACAGGTGCCTTGGCCCAGGGACCCAGAGCAGCCACAATACACATGCCTGAAAATGGTCCTGGGCCCACACTGCAGGCCCTGGCCTCAGCTCCCACTGCAGCACATATGCCTGTAGCCAGGCTCATATATAACTCTAGTCCTGGCTCCCACAGCTGTGTATATACAAGCAGCTGGGCCCAACTCCCATTTCTGGCCTTGTCCACTGTGTTTACATGCCTAGCTCCAGTCCCTGCAGCTGAGCACACAGATGCAGTCATCTGACCTCTGTTACCAGCTCTCACTGCTGCATGCATGCCCCCATAGGACCTCTGCAGCTACGGATGTGTGCATGTGCCCACGGCCAGCCTTGGTCTCCACAGTAACACAGGCATACATAGCTGGCCTAACCCCTGTCCATAACCCCCAGTTAGCCCCTGCAACTACTGACATGCAGGCTGCCAGCTCCTATAGCTGTGCTTGGACACAGCTCCAGTTCCCACCAGCACATGAACCTGCGGTCAGCCAGAGTCCCTGCTCGTGACCCTCACCCTTGCCACTGTGAGAATGCCTATAGCTGGCCCCTGCTACCACATATGTGCTGGAGCCAGCCTCCATACTCCAGCACAGGAACACCACTGGCCCCAACTCTGGTCTTTGGCTGTTGGACCCAAAGGCACTGCTTAGGACCCCAGCAGCCCTTGCAACTACTGTGAAACTCTGTGTTTCTTGCCATCAAGAATCATGCAGTTGCCAGTGTCACAGACTCTAACTACCTGAACCCCCAAGACACTGCACCCCCCCAACATATCCATACCTCCATACTTCTTGCCCGCTACCACTAGACCAGGTGCAACAGCACACTCCAGTGCTCCCCTCAACCCTGACAAGTAAAAATCTTTTAGAAAGATTTTCATATATAATTCCAGTACAAAAGTCTGGAAGAGTAGACTGCTTTTTGAAGTGTGTAGAGAACTACATGAGGTTACAGAAATCATGAAGAATCAGAGAGACATGACACCACCAAAGGAACACCGTACACATCTAGTAACTAATTCCAGAGAATTGAAGATTTGCTAATTGCCTGACAAAGAATTCAAAATAAATGTTCTAAAGGAGCTCAGTGAGCTACAAGAACAGAGATAAATGATTTAATGAAATCAGGAAATCAATATAAGAACATCAATATAAGAAGTCAGGAAAATAATATAAGAACAAAAGGAAAAGCGCAATGAAGAGATAGAAAAATGTAAAACACACATACACACAAACACAAACAAAGACAAAAACTAACAAACAGAAACTTGGGAGCTGAAGACTACAATGACAGAACTAAAAAATCCCATACAGAGCTTCAACAGAAGACAAGAACAACAAGAAGAATAAGGAAACTCAAAAACAGATTATTTGAAATCATCCAGTAAGAAGAGAAAAAAAAATGTATAAGGAAAGCCTATGGAATCTAATAGCTACAGCAACCTTGGGCAAAAAGAACAAGTTGGAGTCATAATACTATCTGATCTCAAAATATACTACAAAGCTAATGTAATCAAAACAGCATGGGGGCTGAGCACGGTAGCTCAACCTATAATCCCAGTGCTTTCAGAGGCCAAGGTGGGAGTACCACATGAGGACAGGAGTTTGAGACCAGCCTGGGCAACATAGTAAGACTCCATCTCTACAAAAAAAAAAAAAAAAAAAAAAGTCAGGTGTGCTGGTGCATACCTGCAGTCCTAGCTACTCAGGAGACTGAGGCAAGAGGATTGTTTGAGCTCTACCTCATGGGGCAGCCAAACAAGACCCTGTCTCTAAAACAAAAACAAACAAACAAACAAAACCAGCATAAGAATAGCGTAACAATAGACATATAGACTAATGGAACAGAGTAGAGAGCTTATAAATAAATCCAGGCAATTATCGTCATTGATCTTTAACAAAGGTACCAAGACTACACAATAGGGAACGGAGATTCTCTTCAATAAATACTGCTGAGAAAACAATATCCCCATGCAGAAGAATCAGATTGGATTTTTATTTGACACCATTAATTCAGAATGGATTAAAGATTTAAACATAAGACCTGAAACTATAAAACTCCTAGAAGAAAATACGCAAAAAAAGATTTTTGACATTAGTTTTGGTAATGATTTGTTGAATATGACTCAAAGCATAGGCAACAAAAGAAAAATAGAAAAATAGGATTGAATCAAACCAAAATGTTTCTGCATAACAAAGCAAACAATCAACAGAATGAGGAGACAACCTACAGCATAAGAGAAAATATTTGCAAATCGTATATCTGAAGAGTAATTAATACCCAAAATACATACAAGGAAATAAAATAACTCAATAGCAAGAAAACAAATAAATTGATTAGATATTTCTCAAAAGAAGGCATATAAATGGCCAACATGTACATGAAAATAATGCTAGCTATTACTAATCATCAGGGAAATAAAAATTAAAACCAAACAAGATATTACCTCACATCCGCTATCATGTCTATTATCACAAAGCCAAAACATAAGTGCTGGTGATGTGGAGAAAAGGGAACCCTTGTAAACTCTTGGTGGGAATGTAAATTACTCCAGTTACTATGGAAACTAATATGGAGATTCCTCAAAAAATTAAAAATAGAAGTACCATATGATCTAGCAATTCTGTGTCTAGCTATATCTTCAATGAAAATGAAATCAGTATGTGGAAAAGATATCTGTACTCCCATGTTTCTGGAAGGATTATCAAAATAGTCAAGATATAGAAGCAACCATCAATGAATGAATGAATACTGAAAATGTGGTATATATACACTGTGATATTATGATTATATTTATATTATGGTTTTCAGCCTTGGTTCATAGCTCATAACTCCCATAACCATTGTTACAATCTTTTGTTATGATGTTGGGGCACTTAAAGCCTCAGAAACAGACCTCAGGAAACAAAACTTATCTCTCTGACCTTTTTGTGTCCCCCTTTCACTTGCCAAAGGCAGGACTCTAATCTGACTGTGGGTCATAAGACCTTCATTCCAGAGAGTCCTGCTTCCTTCTCTGGAGGAAGCAACCCTGCACAGAGGGAAAGAAGAATCTCAACATACAGTCCTCAGCAGCTTTAGCATGGGCAACAAATTAAGTCTCTGTAAAAGGCCCAAAGGACAGGGTTTGGTGAGATTCTGGAGAGCTGGAAACATGGAGGTTGACAGGAATGTAAAGAAGAACTCATTTACATGCCAGGAGGGTGGAACACCCCAATTCCATGAGGATAACTGCTCCTGTACTCCAGACCTCACCCCATGTGTCTCTTCATCTGGCTGGTTATTTGTCCTTTAAGATCTCCTTACTCAACCAGTAAATGTAAGTAAATGTTTCCCTCACTTCAGTGAGCTGCTCTAGCACATTAACTGAACTCAAAGATAAGGTCGTAGAAACTCCGCCTTGAAGCCAGTCAGTCAGAATTTCTAGAGGCCCGAACATGTGACTAGAGGGAAGGAGGGGGAAGTCTTGTGAAACTGAGCCCCCTCGACCTGTGGATTCTGACACACTCTCTGGGTAGATAGTGTCAAAACTGAATTGAAGGACACCCAGCTGGTGTCCATTGTTTGGCGTGTGTGGAAAAACTCCCACACCTTTGGTCACAGAAGTCGTCTTCTGTGTTGATGATTGTGGTGGTGAAGTGAGGCAGAAGAAAAATGCAGTTTGGGAGTTTTTCCCTGAAACACACACACACCATAGAATACTATTTAGCCTTACAAAGAACGAAAATTCTGTCATTTCCGACAACATGGATTAACCTGGAGGATATTTTGCTAAGTGAAATAAGCTAGGTACAGAAAGACAAATGATGCATGACCTCATTTATATGTAGAATCTAAAAATGTGGAACTCAGAGACTAGAGTGATGGTTATCGGGGGCTTGGAAGAGTGTGAGATATGGGAAGATGTTTGCCAAAAAGTACAATGTTTCAGGGGTAAGTTCTCTAATTCTATTGCATAGCAGAGTGATTATAGTTAATAATAACATAAACTTGAAATTGCCAAAAGAACAGATCTTAAAGACTTAACATGGAATATAAGATACAAACCCTTGCATATAATTTGGTTCTTACTTTTTTCCATATAATGCAAAATCCTTCCCCTCAATCTTTGTACAACCCAAACACGTTGATCTCTCATAGTCTCAAAACTGCTGTGTTTTCTCCTGTCCTTCCATTTTCAGAGACTCCCTCTACCATGAGTCCTTTCTCCTCTTCACCAATTAACTTTCCCTTTCCTCCAAGTTTTAATCAATCATGACTTCCTTGGCTAAGCCTTCTGGGACCCCCTATCTTGGTCAGGTCCTTGCATTATAAATTCGAATAATCTCAGTGTGACTAACGCATTACTTATTACAGTGGAAATGCTGTATTCCTTTCTGTGATTATTTGATTAATGTATCTCTTAGTAACTCAACTGTAGGCTCCCAGAGGACAGGAAATATGTTGTATTTATCATCTGATATCACTAGGGCCTTGCAAAGAACCTGCCATGGGTTCAAGAAATATGCTTATTAATTATTTTAACTATTATTTCCTACAGTGTAGGATAAGAATAGCTTTTAATATCTGAGATTATGTTATGATAACACAAAAAAATAAACATTTTGTATAGACATTCACTTCTTGTCATAGAATGATTATAACTTTTTCTCTTAAAGTCTGTTTTTTTTAAAAAAATCAAAATTTTTCTTAAATTATGCCTCTCAGGAGGGTATACCTATGTTTATAACCCCCCTTTCTTTTTTCACGCCACCCTCTGTCATTTCATCTTCAAAAGATCTCTTTTAGTACTGAACCCTAAATTAACCTGATTCCAGAAATCCTCAATTTTGGCAAATCACAGTGCCTTCTTTACCAAGTTAAAGGAAACACTGATTTATATGAATAGATGAAGTCTTTACCATCTCAAATTCCTGTTATAATTAGTTTCAGAAGAACAGATCCTTGTTATGTCTATTTCTATTCTTTTCCTCATCTGTGACAGGGGAATGAGTCATTAGAATTTTAATGTCTGCATTAAATGCCAGCAGTGGTCTGTTGTTATGCTTTAACTACTTCAATATTCTGAATTCTGAATGGCTAATCCATTCTACCTTTTATTATAAGAGAACAGGAATGAGCTGCTAATCAAACAAGAGAGCATGGTAAAGGTCAAATGAGTGCAAAATCATCTGTCTATCATTAAATAATGACAGAATTAGAAGGCTTGCCTTTGTGACTAAGATTGAAATTGGAACATAGAATGTCACCACATGAATCCTCTAGATTGACAGAGAATGTGGTTGAGGGAGGAATGGTAAAGAATTAACTATTTTAAAACAATTTCATTGCATATGAAAATTCTAAAAGAATATGTTCTTTAGCCACAGGAAATGGTTTTTAATAATAATAGTGGTTCGGATAATAATGGAATAGAAATAGAGCATTGTTATAAACTTGTATGAATGCAAAAATTTTTGACTAAACCTTTAAAAAGAAGTCAAGTCCTATTCTTGAAGCAATTCATAAATTTTACCAAGATGGTATGTATATCCTTTCAATTTCATCTTGTGCTTATATTTTTAAATTCAAAAATAATTACTTTGAGTTTGTAAGTTGTAAGATGCTGTTATTGGAACTGAACTGATCTTTATTTCATGTATTGTTTGGCTTCATTTTAATCTTTATACTCAGTTCTTTTTTTCTTGCCCAGAAAGGCTGCCAAATAATACTACTTCAGATTTCTAAATCATCACTTATTTAAATAGACTTTCAAACAAATGATTCTACAAGGTGCTGTTTCTTTTGCTGTTGATTAGGTCAAATTTACTTTTAACTTCTTTCTCATTATTATTCTTTTTTAAATTCAGAGCAATAGGTTTATGCCATTGTTTCAGGAATAAAAGCTATGTGCCAGCCACCAACTTAAATTTTTTTTTAATAAAGATACTCACTTTATGTGTAGATTATTCAGAATAATTGCTTTTCCTTCTGCTGTCTCCTGCAGATTTTATTTGCCTGCTGTATTACTTTTCAGAAACTTCACTGTAGAAAAAAAACAGGAGATGAAACTGCAAGAGTGAAGTTCAGTCTAATGACTAAATGAAGTTTGTGGTGTTATCTGTATGGTTCAGTGTCCTCTGCCCCTTTTATCTTCCTAAGTGTGGATCTTTGGCAATTAAATTTATTTATACCTTTACCAGGTGTTGAAGTATCCACAAGGTCATCTGAAAGGTTCTTTGTTTTATATGGATAACAACCCTAAAGCACTTGACCATTTATCGTAAGTTAGGTTCTTTGGTCTAGCAATTGCTTTATTAGCTAGCAGGCTAAGAGAAAAATTTTTGGGATAATCGATGTTATAGACATGCAGTCATTTGTAACAGCAATAGAAATCTTGGAAGTTCAGAAGCAGTTGTATGCAGAAGTCCAAAATAAATTATTGTTACTCTTACGACAAAAGTAAAGAGCTAAATTAGCTGATCCAGAAGAAAATCAGAACACTGTTCTTAAGGATATAATTTTATAGCTCATGGAAGTTGAAAGGTAGACAACAATCTTATGTGCAAACTAAGAGAAAAATAGAGAAGGTCCAGAAAATAGAAGTCACTATTAAAGCATGTGATTTATAGATCTGCCAGAGGGGACTCTGAGAGTCTCGATTTCAGTGAGATTATCTGAAAAATCTATTCAGAGATGTGCAATGTAGAGGCCAAGAGAAGAGTGGAATAAAATTGATAGAATCCTTCACCTTCGCATGCTCAACACATGACTTAGAGGCTCAGTAAAAGTGCAGTTGGCAGTATTTTAAGTCCATGATATATAAAGGAAGCTGTGTCATTGTTATGAGTTTCCATTAAAAGTGACAAAAATTCACAGTTTAGGCCAGTCAGTTTTTTCAATATTTATGCCTGTAGAGTCTAACACTTTTTTTCTCATTGTTGGGTGGGGGGAACATAATCAAACTCGGAGAATGCTTGAGACCTAGGAGTTTATGTTTACAAATCCAAATTTCTTTTCATCAGGTGTCTTTACATTGTTTTAGTCTTGAACTAGAAGATGAAAGCATCAAATAAAGAAATATACTGTGGGTATATGGATTACAAAAAAAGGTAAGAGAATGAAAAAACAAAAACAAAACATGTGATGTAGTGATAGAATGAGGCTCAAATAGGCAAACATTGCAAGATCTCTGATAATTGCAAATACGTAATTTAATGTGCTATTTCAAACTCGCTGTATTTGACACATGCATAAGATCACCCTACAAGGCCACCCAAGGTTGGGCACAAGCATTTGAAGGTCATCTTTGTCAGTTGCGGCACTTTAAAAATATTAAATTCATTAATTCATTAAAATTCATGTAAGAATAAGAAGCAATCATAAAAATATACTATTTTTATTGTCTTTGAACTTTTAAAGGACTCATAATCAGTGATCACTAAGGAAACAATCTGTCAAAAGAATTGGGGACTTAATATGTTCCAGGCACTGTGCTACTTGTGTAAGTGTGTTGCAAACCATCTGTAATACACACTTAAGACTCTTAAGCAATTATGCTGGGCTTGGTGGCTTACGCCTGTAATCCCAGCACTTTGGAAGGCTGAGACGGGTGGATCGCTTGAGGCCAAGAGTTCCAGACTAGCCTGGCCACACTGGTGAAACCCCATCTCTACTAAAAATACAAAAACCAGCACAGGAGAGGGCTCAATGTGGGGCTTGCGGCTGGACTAGTCATGTTGCAAGTGACTCTCATGGTGGATTCCAGTGTCCAGATGAGGGGAATGTGGTGGTGCCCAGGCTGTGGTGTCTGTGACCCTGAAGCCCCAGACAGGGTGTTACAGCATGCTAATTTGCTCTTTTAGTCCCACTGTCTGCAGCCCGATGGACAGCAGCATGTTAACAGCTCTATCAGCCCCTTGTCCTACTTGGGCCCATGGCTCTGGGGCTGAGCTACTTCCCATTATGTGGGGCAGAGGGCCACAGTGTTGCAGCCTTCTTTGTACCCCTGTTCAGTGGGTCCTCAGTTCTTGCACCGTGTCCAAGAAGAATGAGTTTATGCTGACAATCAAAGGGTGAGGAGGGTGGAAATAACTATCGAGCAATGAAACAGCTCTCAGCAGAGAGGGAATGCGAGGGTGGTACCCCATCCAAAGTTGTGTGGTCTCTCACAGTGTGGCTGGGGTTGAGGCCTTTATGGGCTCAGAATGAAGAGTGAGTGCTGATCAGTTTGTGAGTATGCAAAAAAGATTAAAGCAAAGACACCACTCAAAGGTGGGCATGACATTATAAAAAAATCAATTAGGGAGAGATAAGCATATGTAAAATAGGTGAAGGGTGGGGATCAATCAGAGAAACACATGCAAAATGGGAAGACAGGTTCTCAATCTGGCCCAAGGGTTTACCTGGGACTTGTAGCTAGACTTTAAACTGTCCTTGGCTTGAAGGTCAAGTTTTGCCAGGGACCCACCCCTGTCTGCCTAGGATTTGTCTGCCTCATGCCTCTGTCACTATCCCAAGAATAGCAAAGGGAAACCACCCCCATAATCCAATAACTTCCCCCCCTCACAGGTAGGGATTACAATTCGAGATGAGATTTAGATGGGGTCACAGAGCCAAACAACATCAATATTATTGTAGAATCATGAAGAAAATGGAGCACCTAAAAAGTTAGGAAAGCATAACTGGTAAGAAATTTGGAGTGAGAATGTGGGATAAAATGCAGTACCTTGGCTAATAAAGTAGCTCATCCATGTACTGGCTGAGCACATTAACCCAGATGATTGCCTGTTTTCTCTTTTATTTTCTGTGTAAACTGAGAGAAATCAACAGTTCTCATTCCTATTTAGTCTGGGTAGAAGTGCATCAATAGAGCTTCCACACTCTGTTGTATCAGATTTATCATGAAATGAATAAAATTGTAACTTCTAGTCTCTTCCTTGCATGGGAACCTTCTAAGGCTTTCAAAGACACACTAGGAAAATGTTCACAAGGTCAAGCATTTGTAAAATTTGCAAAACTAAGACACATTTTAACCATGTTTGATTAAGTTACCTGTATCTCCCCTCCCTGATTTCCTCTCTATCACACTTTGCCAGATACTGGGTAGCACTGGAGTGTTTAGGGCATTTTGGGGATCCAAGTAAAGTAGAGTTAAGGGTATATTTGGTTTTTACTCTAGTGGGGTATATTTATATGGCTAACATTTCCTCTAGGTAAAGTTTGGATATTGCTTGTTATTCAAGTGTGAAAATGACTTCTAGGAATCCTCTTACTGGCCATTCTGTTGACTTATCTGGCATTGGTGTACTTCAGTGCAGAGGCAGAGTTTAAATCTTATATGAACATGTATTATATCCCATGACATTCTGCACCAAAATTATGTGATTTTGGACAAGAAGCAAAGTTTGAAAAGTATAGAGCCAGAAGCTAGTCTGTAGAAATATTTCCCAATCCTCAGACATGCAATCTGAAGTTTCAGTTATTGTAAACACTGGTGAAAATGGAACTTCTCTCCTGTCTTGAATTTTCTAAATAATACATATTTACTTGTACAAATGTATAAACCCACTATTGTTTTTGTTTGATGATGAGACTTGTGCTTATAGTTATTTTTATTAGTACTAAAAAAGTGGGTATATCTGTGTATAAACTTACATGTCTTATGCATATTAGCATCTAAGATTATAAGACAAGGATGCTCACTTTCACTGCTTTTATTCATCACAGTACTAGAAGTCCTCACCAGAACAATCAGAGAAGAGAAAAAATAAAAGGCATTCAAGTTAGAAAAGAGGAAGTCAAATTGTCTCTGTTCACTGATGATATGATCTTGTTTCAGGATACAAAATTAATATGCAGAAGTTAGTATTGTATCTATATATCAATAACAATCTAGCTGAGGACTAAATCAAGAAGGCAATTCCATGTACATTAGCTTCAAAAAAAAAAAAAATACCCAGGAATATATTTAACCAAGGAGGTGAAAGATCACTGTAAGAACTACAAAGCACCAGTGAGAAAAACTGTAGACAACACAAATAAATGGAAAACATGCCATGCTCATGGATTGGAAGAATTAGTATTTTTAAAATAAACATACTGCACAAAGCAATCTATAGATTCAACATAACCCTTCAAATTACCAACATATTTTTTTTTACAGAATTAGAAAACAACAATTCTAAGTTCATGTGGGACCAAAAAGAGCCTGAATAGCCAAAGCAATCCTAAGCAAAAAGAATATAGCGGGGAAATCCCATTACCTGTCTTCAAATTATACTACAAGGGTATAGTAACCAAAACAGCACGGTACTGGTATAAAAGTAGACACAGAGATCAATTAAACATAATAGGAAACAGAGAAATAAAGCAACATACCCATAACCAACTGATCTTTGAAAAACTCAACAAACATATACAGAGGCAAAATGACACTGTATTCAATAAATGGCACTGCAGAAGAATGAAACTGAACCCACACCTCTCACCATACAATATGGTTTGGCTCAGTGTCCCCACCCAAATCTCACGGTGAATTGTGCTCCCATAATTCCCACGTATTGTGGGAAGGACCTGGCGGGAGATAATTCGAATCATGGGAGTGGTTTTCCCATACTGCTCCTATAGTAGTGAGTAAGTCTCACAAGATCTGATGGTTTTATCAGGGGTTTCCACTTTTGCATCTTCCTCATTTTTTTTCTCTTGCCAGCACTATGTAAGAGGACTTTTCGCCTCCTGCCATGATTCTGAGGCCTCCCCAGCCATGTGGAACTATAAGTCCAAATAAATCTACTTTTCTTCCCAGTCTCAGGAATGTCTTTATCAGCAGTGTGAAAACAAACTAATACACCATACAAAAATATCAACTCAACATGAATTAAAGATCCAAACATAAGACCTGAAGCTATGCAAATCGTAGAAGAAAAGATAGGAAAAACCCCTTTGACAATGGCATAGGCAAAGAATTTATGATGAAGTCCTTAAAAGCAAATGCAACAACAACAACCAATAAACAAATAGGACATAATTAAACTAAAAAGCTTCTGTCCAGCAAATAAACAGAATAAACAGACAACCTACAGAATGAGAAAAAATATTTGCAAAGTACGCATCTAACAAAGGGCTAATACCCAGAATCTGCAAGGAACTTAAGCAACTCAAGAAAAAATAAATAACCCCATTAAAAAGTGAACAAAGGACATGAACAGATATATATATATATATATATGTGTATACACACATATATAAATATGAAAAAATAACTAAATAAAAAATATACATATATACATATATAAATATATATTTATATATATACATATGTGTGTGTGTGTGTGTGTGTGTGTGTGTATATATATGTATTTTTTTTTTTTGAGATGGAGTCTCACTCTGTTGCCCAGGCTGGAGTGCCTTGGTGTGATCTCAGCTCACTGCAACCTCCACTTCCCAGGTTCAAGAGATTCTGCAGCTTCAGCCTCCTGAGTAGCTGGGACTACAGGCGCATGCCACTGCATCCAGCTAGTTTTTGAATTTTTAGTAGAGATGGGGTTTCACCACGTTGGACAGGTTGGACTAGAACTCCTGACCTCAGGTGATCCACCCGCCTTGGCCTCCCAAAGCACTGGGATTACAGGCATGAGCCACGGCGCCTGACCAGAACAGATAATTTTCAAAACAAGACATACAAGTGACCAAAAAACATGAAAGAAATGCTAACCAGGTTGTTAACCAGGATGCAAAGAAAACTGAATGCTTATACACTGTTGTTGGGAATGTATATCATAACAACCTTTATGGAAAACAGTATGAAGCTTTCTCAAAGAACTAAAAATAGAACTGCCATTAGATTCAGCAGTCTCACCACTGGGTATATACCCAAAGGAAAATCTATATATACCATGGAATACTATTCAGCCATAGAAAAGGATGAAATCATGTCTTTTGTAGCAACATGGATGGGACTGAAGGCTATTATCCTCAGTGAAATAACTCAGAAAGTCAAATACAGCAAGTTCTCACTTATTGTTGGGAGCTAAACAATGGATACACATGGACATACAGTGTGGCATAATAGACCCTAAAGACTATAAAAGGTGGGAGGGTCAAAGTTGGGAGAGTGTTGAAAAACTACTTACTGGTTACAATGTTCACTATTCAGACAATGGGTACACTAAAAGCCTAGACTTGCCCTATACACAATATATACATGTAGGAAACTTGTAACTGTACCCCCTAAATATATACAAATTAATTAATTACAAAAAATATTATGTTGTAGTGTTAACTGGTATATCTTGTCTTGGGAAAATATGGCAGCTCCTATGAAACATCTCGGAAAATTTGTAACTGATGTTACAAAACACCCAGAAGAAATAAGTGGTCTGGTGAGAAAACTTACTCATCTTTGCCTACATATGTATACATGAGTAATTTGATTACACATTTGTGCGGGATAATATAACTGAAAAGAAAATGTAAAATTTAACTTAAATTGTATTTGTAAGTTGTAATTTCATTAATTCTGCATTATTGAAGTACATGTAGGAAAGGTGCAGAAATGCATCAGGCAGTTAATACAAATACGTTTTTTTTTTTTTTTTTTTTTTTTTTGAGATGGAGTCTCGCTCTGTCACCCAGGCTGGAGTGCAGTGGCGTGATCTTGGTTCACTGCAAGCTCCGCCTCCCAGGTTCACACCATCCTCCTGCCTCAGCCTCCCGAGTAGCTGGGACTACAGGCGCCTGCCACCTCGCCTGGCTACTTTTTGTATATTTAGTAGAGACGGGGTTCACCGTGTTAGCCAGGATGGTCTCAATCTCTATACCTCGTGATCCGCCCACCTCGGCCTCCCAAAGTGCTGGGATTACAGGCATGAGCCACTGCGCCCAGCCAATACAAATATGTTTTGCTCAATTTTGTAATGTTTATGCTACCATCAGTTTTTTGAAATATGTAACTTTTACTTTTTTTCTTAGAGTCCTCCAAATTATGTTTCAGGCTCCTTAAAAACTTTTTATCTATCCCTGATAAATATTCCTCAATAATAATTTTAAAAATCCATTTGGTTAAATGAACATGAACTCTAAGTCTTTTAACCAGAAATAAGCTATTAGGTTGATGCAAAATATTTGCATTTTTTGCCATTGAAAGTAGTGGCAACAAAGAAATAAAATTGTATTTTTGGAATAGTTTTCTCTTAAGCTCTTGATAATAAACCTGTAAGTATTAACTGCCTTACAAATGGCAAAAGAGGCCACTTGAAGGAAAGGAAATTCCTTAACAGGACTTTCCTTAGCAGGAAAGTTAGTTGCCTGGGTCATCATTTGGATAAGAAAAAAATCCATTAAAAAATGGCAGTATTATTAGTATCATATGCATAATTACATATATAAAACTTGCCATATATTGTGTGAAATATAGTTCTTTAGTATAGGAAAAATATATTGATATCTATAAAGGTAAAATTATTTTAACTCTTTCACATACATGTTATTTGATAAAATTTGCTTTCGTGTTTTTTCTTTGTCAGGTTTCATTGATACTCAAAATTCATTTCCTTTGACATAGCTCAGGAGATTTGTTAGTAAAAATCTCACCCAAATTCATAAGAATTTTCCAATAAAATATTTCAGAAATGAAACATTTTGAAAGAATTGGTCAATTATCACTTTCTGCTAGATAGAGCATGATAGTTTGGTGTATATTTTAATATATCAGTGATATAGTTTGGATATTACTCCCCACCCAAATCTCGTGTTGAACTGTAATCCCCAGTGTTAGATGTGAGGCCTGGTGGGAGGTGTTTGGGTGACAGGGGCAAATCCCTTATGTCTTGGTGCTGTCCTCTAGATAGCGAGTGAGTTCTCTTGAGGTCTGGTTGTTGTAAAGTGTGGCACCTCCACTCCCAACTCTCTCTCTTGCTCCTGCTTTCGTCATATTAAGTGCCCACTCCTGCTCCACCACCTGCCATGATGATAAGGTTCCTGAGGCCTCCCCAGAAGCAAATGCCATTGCCAAGCTTCCTGTACAGCCTGCAGAACTGTGAGCTAATTAAACCTCTTTACTTATAAATTACCCAGTGTTGGGTATTTCTTTATAGCAATGCAAGAAAGGCCTAATACAGAAAATTGGTACTAGGAGTGAGGCATGGCTATTAAGATATCTGAAAATGTGAAAGCAAATTAGGAACTGGGTAACAAGCAGCAGTCCAAAGAGTTTGAATGGCTCAGAAGACAGGAAGATGAAGGAAAGTTTGGAACCTCTTAGAGACTGGTTAAGTGGTTGTTACCAAAATGCTGATTGTGATATGAACTTTGAAGTTCAGGCTGCTGAGGTCTCAGATAGAAATCAGAAATGTATTGGGATCAAAGATTATGCATATTATTTCTTAGTAAACAGCTTGGCTGCATTGTGTTTATGCCCTAGAGATCTGTGGAAGTTTGAAGTTGAGAATGATGACCTAGAGTATCTGGTGGAAGAAATTTCTAAGCAGCAAAGTGTTCAAGATGTGGCCTGGATGCTTCTAACAACCTATGCTCAGATGTAGGCACAAAGGAATGACTTACATTTGGAACTTACATTTAAACAGGAAGCAGAGCCTAAAAGTTCAGAAAATTTGCAGGCTGATCATGTGGCAAATAAATAAAAACCTTTTACAAGAGAGAAACTCAAGCAGGCTGTTGAGCAACCATTTGCTAGAGATATCTGCATAACTGAAAAGGAGCCAAATGCTAATAGCCAAGACAATGGGAAAAAGGTTTCAGTGACATTTCAGAGAACTTCCTGGCAGCCCTTCTTACCACAGGCCCTGAAGCCTAGGAGGACTGAATGGTTTTGTAGGCCAGGCCCAGTACCTTGCTAGCCTGCACAGCCTTGAGACACGGCTCCCCAAATTCTGGTCACTCTGGCCCCAGCCTCAGCTCAAAGGGGCACTGGTAAAACTTGGGCCATCACTTCAGAGGACACGAGCTATAATCATTGGCAGATTCCACATGGTGTTAAGCATGTGGGTGCACAGAGTGCAAGAGTTAAGAAGGCTTGGTAGCCTCTGCCTAGACTTCAGAGGATGTATAGAAAAGGCTGGTGTTCAGGCAGAAGGCTGCTGCAGGAGTGGAGCCCTCACAGAGAACTTCTAGTAGAGCAGTGGGGAGGGGAAATGTGGGTTTGGAAGCCCACAGAGTCCCCAGTGGGGTATTGCCTAATGAAGCTGTGAGAAGGGGGCCACCATCATCCAGAACCAAGAATGGTAGATCCATTGGCAGCTTGCACTCTATGCCTGGAAAAGCTGCAGGCACTCAGCTGTAGCACTTGAGAGGAGCCATGGGGCTACATCCTGCAAATTCACAGGGGAAGAGCTGCCCAAAGCCTTGGGAGCCCACCCCTTGCATTAACGTGCCATGGATGTGAGGCATGGAGTCAAAAGAGATTATTTCAGAGCTTTAAGATTTAATGACTGTCCTGCTAGTTTTCGGACCTGTGTGAGCTCTAGTCCCTTTCTTTGCCTGACTTCTTTCTCTTGTAATGGGAATGTTTACCCAATGCTGGCACCCTCATTGTATCTTGGAAGTAAATGACTTGTTTTGATTTTACAGGCTCACAGGTGGAAGGAACTCATTTTCAGATGGGACTTTGGACTTGGGACTTTTGATTGAGTTGTTGCAGAAATGAGTTAAGATTTTGGGGAATTGCTGAGAAGGCATGATTGTATTTTGCCATGTGAAAAGAATAGGTAATTTGGGGGAAGACAAGGGTAGAATGATATAGTTTAGGTATTTGTCCACACTGAAATTTCATGTTGAATTGTAATCCCCAATGTTGGAAGTGTGGCCTGGTGGGAGGTGTTTAGGTCATGGGGGTTGATCCCTCATGTCTTGGTGCTGTCCTCTCAATAATGAATGAGTTCTCTCAAGATTTGGTTGTTGTAAAGTGTGGTACCTCCACCCCCAACTCTTTCTCTTGCTCCTACATTCACCATGTCAAGTACCTGTTCCCACTTTGCCTTCCACCATGATTGTGAAGTTCCTGAGGCCTCTCGGAAAGCAGATGCCAGCACTATGCTTCCTGTACAGCCTGCAAAACTGTGAGCCAATTAAACCTCTTTTCTTATAAAGTACCCAGTCTCAGGTATTTCTTTATAGCAATGCAAGAACAGCCTAATACAATCAGTAAATATGTCAGATTCTACAATGAGGCTACTATAATGTGAAGATATTTTTCTTAATCATTTACATTTACAAATAGACTAAAATTCTTGTTTTATGTTATTGTCTTAGTTCATTTTGTGCTGCTATAACGGAATACTACAGACTGGTAATTAATAAACAACAGAAGTTTATTTGGCTCATGTCTCTGGAGATTGGGAAGTCTAAGACTGAGGGGCCTCATCTAGTGAAGGTCTTGCTATGTCATAACATAACATGGTGGAAGTCATCACATGGTGAAAGCATGTGTAAAAGAGGAAGACAGGAGAACTCATACTCTTATCAGGATCCCACTCCCACAATATCTAGCCCTCTCCCAGGATAACAGCACTGATTATCTTAGAAGGGTCTCAACTCTCAGGACTGTTGCATTGGGGATTACATTTCAAACACGTGGATCTTGGGAGACACATTTAAACCACAACAGTGATGTTTTGAATAATAAATATACATCTACAAATGTGTTTCTTCCACCTGGCAATGCCTTCTTCTGATAGTTTTATTCTGCAAATTTCAATTATTCAAATAAAATTTCCTCATTGGCCCTCTTTAACACTTTTTCCTCTGAAATCTTATATTACTTGTTGCTTTACAAATACTCTTTAAAAATTATTCCACACTGGTATCTAAATTCTTCCTTTTTTCCCAGTCTTATCTTCCCAATTGGCTTTTAATTTCCATCAGGAAAGGATCCATGTGTTTTGACTTCTTGGTACTGCTCACAGTAATACGTAAATAATTAAGATTTAATATAATTGGGTTTAATTTAATTTCATGTAGATTCCAATTGATTTTTCCAATTAGATGTGTGAGATTTTTATTCATTAAAATACGCAATTATACTAGCATCCATTTTTACTTGTCCAAAGAATGAGCTAAGATTTAAGTTATATTTTGCGATCTTGAGATACATTTCATATGCTCTTCGTTGAATCACTTTTCTATTCATCTTCAAATTCCAGCTATAAAATATGATATGCAATTGTCTTAGCTCAGATTGATCACAAATCCTTGTTCTACAAGATACCATGTATTCATATATTCATAAAAATATCAACAGAAATAATATATTAATAAATATTTAAGTATGTAATTTCAGAAAGAGATGGTAATGTATCAGGACAGATTTTAGTTAGGAGACACAATATGCTTATCCGAGCACAAAGTTGGTTTTTATCAATTGATGTTAGTTTTTGATTATATACTATATGTAAGTTCTCTATTTATAATTATAATTTTCTCATTAATAATAATAATAAATCATACCTATATTGTACCTTGAAATTATCAAAGCCCCTTTCATTTCCACCTCATTTTCTCTCTTTCTCTTTTTCTCTTTCTTTTTCCCTGTTCTTTTAGTCTCTGTCTCTCCTTCAGAAAAAATATCAGTTACTTAGCAGGACATATATTATTGTTTCCATGTTACAGGTTGGAAATGAAATTTCAAAGGAATAAGTTATTTTTTATGGTCTTATAGCTAATAATTATTAATAATTGATATATGTAGGATTGGGATCCCAAGGTTTAACTCCTAATCATGTGACTTCAGACAAAAAAACGTAGAAATAACAGTTTTTCTGGATTGTTACATGGGGTCTTAGGCAATTTGAGTCATTATAACAAAGTACCATAAACTGGGTAGTTTTAAACAACAGAGATTTATTTTGCAGAGTTCTAGAGGCTACAAGTCTGACATCAGGGTGCCAGCATGGTTAGGTCCCAGTGAGGGTCCTCTTTTGAGTAGATTGCTGCCATTTTATTGTCTCATCACAGGGTGAAAAACAATGTGAGCTAGCTCTTTGGCCTATTTTTATAAGGGCTCTAATCCCATTCATGAGGGTTCCACCCTCATAATGTAACTACTTCCCAAAAGCCCTATCTCCAAATACCAGGATACTGGGGATTCGATTTTAACATATGAATTTTGGGGGAAAATGAACATTCACTTTATAACACATAGAGAGTGAGGTAGTC
This sequence comes from Homo sapiens, assembly GCF_000001405.40. Taxonomy (NCBI): domain Eukaryota; kingdom Metazoa; phylum Chordata; class Mammalia; order Primates; family Hominidae; genus Homo; species Homo sapiens. The sequence continues at coordinate 62,148,883 of NC_000004.12, forward strand.
TGGATAAATGATCTAGCGTGTTCACTCATAAATGTTATTTTCATGCTCCTTTTCTAAGCCTTTTCTATTATAACAGCAATGCAGTTTGTAACTTTAAGAATTATTCCATGTAGAATGTAAATTGATATAGCCATTATAGAAAGCAGTGTGAAGGGTTGGGCATGGTTGCTCATACCTCTAATCCCAGCACTTTGGGAGGCCTAGGTGGGAGGATTGCTTGAGCCCAGGTGTTTGAGACCAGCTTGAGAAACACAGAAGGGCCTGGTCACTACAAATAATAAAGGAAAATTAGCCAGGCATGGAGATACATGCCTGTGGTCCCAGCTAGTCAGGAGGCTGAGGTGATAAAGGCTGCAGTGAGTTGTGATCGTCACCACTGCACTCTAGCTTGGGCGACAGAGTGAGACCCTGTCTCAAAAAAAAAATCACCAAAACCAACCAACCAAACAAAAAAACACACAACAACAAAAACAGTGTAAAGTTTCCTCAAAAAATAAAAAATACAACTACCATATGATCCAGAAATTCCACTACTATTTACCCAAAGGAAATGAAATCAGTACTTTGAAGAGATATCTACATTCCTATGTTTATTGCAGCAGCATTCACAACACACAAGATATGGAATCAACCCAAGTGTCCACCAGTGAATGAATGGATAAAGAAAACATATATAGGCAATGGAGTACAATTCAGCTGTAAAAAATAATGAAACCCTGTCATTTTCAGCAACATGAAGGAAACTAGAGGACATGTTAAGTGAAATAAGCCAGGCACAGAAAGACAAATAGCACATAATCTCACTCATTGCGGAATCTAAAAAAAATATACATCAATAGAAATAGAGAGTAATATAGTGATTTCCAGAGGTTGGGGAGGGTTGGGAAAGAGGGAATGGGGACAGATTGATCAATGGGTACAAAATTACAGTTACGTGGGAAGAATACATTTTGGTGTTCTATAGCACAGTAGGGTGAATATAGTAAACAATGTTATGGTGTATATTTCAACTACAAGAGAGGATTCTAAATGTCTCATCACAAAGAAATGATAAATGTTTGAGGTGATGAATATGCTAAATACCATGCTTTGATCATTATACAATGTATACATGTGTTGAAACATCACACCGTACTCCATAATATGTATAATTACTATGTGTGAATTATAAACAAAATATCATTCCATGTAATGTGAGGAAATTGTTTCTCTTTGAAAAAAATGTAGCTATCAACAATACTGGTAAAAGCAGATGAAGAAGCAAAATATCAAAAACCCATAATCCTGCAAGAGCCTTAACAAGATTAAATATTTGATTATTTCTAGGACACAGGACCTTTTAAAACATTTCCTGTTGTTCTTTGGATGGTCCACTGTGGGTAGTTTGAAACAGTCTACGAGACTTCTCTCTGTATCAAAGGAAGCAATGAGATCAGAGTAAAAATATCAGAGAAAGATTTTTTAAAATGAATTAAGGAAGGTAAATCCAAGCAGAGTTTTTATAACATTCACAAAAGCATGTAGCTTTGTGTTAAATCGTGTTTTTAAAAAATATTCTCTTCTTGCTTCGTATCTTTGAGTCAGAAAGCTGGATGTGTGTCTAAACAAACTAGGCAATGCTAATACCAAGAATCCCGGAAAATGTGCTAAATTCACTATTCTATGTAAGTTTGCTCAGATGGTGGAGAAAGTGCATTAACCAGTACTGCAAACTGAATCTTTTGTGTGTGTGTGTGTGTGTGTGTGTGTGTGTGAGAGAGAGAGAGAGAGAGAGAGAGAGAGAGACAGAGAGAGAGAAACAGACAGAGAAAGAGAGAGAGAGAAGATATTTGAAAAAAATACAAGAAATAAAGAAAGAAATATTCAAGGAAATAGATAGCATGAATGAAAAGCAATCTAAACTTCAGGTAGCAATGAACACACTTACAGAATGCAAAAGGCTCTGGAAAGTCTCAGCAATAGAATTGAACAAGTAGAAGAAAGAATCTGAGCTCAAAGACAAGGTCTTTGAATTAACCCAATTCAACCAAGACAAAGAAAAAAGAATAAGAAAATACAAACACAGCCTCCAAGAAGTCTGGAATTATGTTAAATGACCAAACATAACAATAATCAGTGTTCCTGAGAAAAAAGATGAATCTAAAAGTTTGGAAAACATATTTGGGGGAATCATTGAGGAAAATTTCCCCATCTTTTCTAGAGGCCTAAACATCCTAACACAAGAAGCACAAAGAATACCTGGGAAATTCATCACAAAAAGATCATCACCTAGGCACATTGTCATCAAGTTATCTAAAGTTAAGATGAAGGAAAGAGTCTAAGAGCTGTGAGACAAAAGCACCAGGTAACTGTAAGGAAAACCTATCAGTTTAACAGCAGATTTCTCAGCAGAAACCCTACAAGTTAGAAGCGATAGGAACCCTATCTTCAGCCTCCTCAAACACGACAATTATCAGCCAAGAATTTTGTATCCAGTTAAACTAAGCTTCATATATGAAGGAAAGATATGGTGTTTTTCAGAAAAACAAATGCTGAGAGAATTGGCACTACCAAGCCACCACTACAAGAACTGTTAAAAGGAGCTCCAAATCTTGAAACAAATCCTGGAAACACATCAAAACAGAACCTCTTTACAGCATAAATCTCGCATGACCTATAAAACAAAAATACAATTTAAAAAACATAAACAAAAATTTAAAAACCAAGGTATACAGACAACAAATAGCACGATGAATGGAATGGCACCTCACATCTCAGTACTAACGTTGCCTATAAGTGGCCTAAATGGTCCACTTAAAAGGTACAGAACTGCAGAATGGATAAGAATTCACCAGCCATCTACTGCCTTCAAAAGACTCACCTAACACATAAGGACCCATGCAAATTTAAGGTAAAGGGGCGAGGAGGGGAAGACATTTCATGTAAACAGACACCAAAAGTAAGCAGGAGTAGCTATTCTTATATCAGACAAAACAAACTTTAAAGCAACAATAGTTAAAAAAGACAAAGAGGGACATTATATAATGGTAAAAGGCCTTGTACAACAGGAAAATATCACAATCCTAAACATATGTGCACCTAACACTGGAGCTTCCAAATTTATAAAACAATTACTAATAGACCTAAGAAATGAGATAGACAGCAACACAATAATAATGGGGGACTTCAATACTCCCCTGATAGCACTAGGCAGTTCATCAAGATAAAAAGTCAACAAAGAAACAATGGATTTAAACTGTACCTTGGAACAAACGGACTTAATGTATATGAAACATTCCATCCAACAACCACAGAACATATATTCTGTTAAACAGCACATGGAACTTTCTCTAGGATAGACCATATGATAGGCCACAAAACAAACCTCAATAAATTTAAAAAAATTGAAATTATACCAAGCACTCTCTCAGACCACAGTGGAATAAAACTGAAAATCAACTCAAAAAGGAACCTTCAAAACCATGCAAACACATGGAAATTAAATAACCTGCTCCCAAATGATAATTGGGTCAAAAGTGAAATCAAGATGAAAATTAAATATTATTCTAACTGAATGACAATAGTGACACAACCTATCAAAACCTCTCAGACACAGGAGAGGTGGTGCGAAGAGGAAAGTTCACAGCCCTAAATGCCTACATCAAAAAGTCTGGAAGAACACAGACAATCTAAGGTCACAACTCAAACAACTAGAGAAACAAGAACAAACCAAACCCAAAACCAGCAGTAGAAAAGTATTAACCAAGATTAAAGCAAAACTAAATAAAATTGAAACCAAAAAAAGTACAAAAGATAAATGAAACAAAAATCTGTTTCTTTGAAAAGATAAATAAAATGGATAGTCCATTAGCAAGATTAACCAAGAAAAGAATAAATAAAATCCAATCGAGCTCAATAAGAAATGAAACGAGACCACTGAAATTACAACTGACACCACTGAAATACAAAATACCATTCAAGGCTACTACGAACACCTTTATGTGCATAAACTAGAAAACCTAGAAGAGATGGATAAATTCCTGGAAAGTTACAACCCTCCTAGCTTAAATGAGGAAGAATTAGATACCCTGAACATACTAATAACAAGCAGCAAGATAGAAATGGTAATTGAAAATATTACCAACAAAAAAAATCCAGGGCCAGTTTGATTCGCAGCAGAATTCTACCAGATATTCAAAGAAGAATTGGTACCAATTCTACTGACACTATTCCACAAGATAGAGAAAAAGGCAACTCTCCATAAGTTATTCTGTGAAGCCAGTATCACCCTAGTACAAAAATCAGAAAAGGACATAATCAAAAAAGAAAACTATGGACTGATATCTCTGATGAACATAGATGCTAAAATCCTTAACAAAATACTATCTAATCAAATCCAACAACATATCAAAATGATAATCTAACATGATCAAGTGCGTTTTATACCAGGGATGCAGGGATGGTTTAACATATGCAAGTTAGTAAATGTGATACACCACATAAACAGAATTAAAAACAAAAATCACTTGATCATCTCAATAGATGCAGAAAAAGCATTTTACAAAATCCAGCATCTCTTTATGATGAAAGCTCTCAGCAAAATTGGCATACAAGTGACATATCTCAGAATAATAAAAGCCCTCTATGACAAACCCACAGCCAACATAATACTGAATGGGGAAAAGATTGAAGCATTCCCTCTGAGAATTGGAACAAGACAAGGATGCCCACTCTCACCACTCCTCTTCAACATATTACTAGAAGTCCTAGCTAGAGCGCAGACAAGAGAAAGAAATAAAGGGCATCCAAACTGGCAAAGAGGAAGTCAAACTGTCGCTATTTGCTGATGATATGATTGTTTACCTAGAAAACCCTAAGGACTCCTCCAGAAAACCCCTAGAACTGATAAAAAAAATTCAGCAAAGTTTCTGGATACAAGATTAATGCACACAAATCAGCAGCTCATCAATACACCAACAGTGACCAAGCTGAGAATCAAATCAAGAACTCAAGAAATCTCCACACTGTTCAAATCAAGAAATCAAGAGCCCCTTTTACAATAGCTGCAAAAAATACAACAACAACAACAACAACAACAAACTTAGGAATACACCTAACAAAGGAAGTAAAAGTCCTCTACAAGGAAAACTACAAAACACTGCTGAAATAAACCATAGATGATACAAACAAATGGAAACGCATTCCATGCTCATAGATAAGTAAAATCAATATTGTGAAAATGACCCTACTGCCAAAAGCAATCTAGAAATCCAACACAATTCCCATCCAAATACAACCATCATTTTTCATGGAATTAGAAAAAAATCTAAAATTCACAAGGAACCAAAAAAGAGCTCTCATAGCCAAAGCATGGCTAAGCAAAAAGAACAAATCTGGAGGCATCACATTACCTGATTTCAAACTATACTGTAAGGCCATGATCACCGAAACAGCATGGTACTGGTATAAAACTAGGCACATAGACCAATGGAACAGAATGGAGAACCTAGAAATAAAGCCAAATACTTACAGCCAACTGATCTTCAACAGAGCAAACAAAAACATAAAATGGGGAAAGGATACCCTTTTCAACAAATGGTGCTGGGATAATTGGCTAGCCACATGTAGGAGAATGAAACTCGATCCTCATCTCTCACCTTATACAAAAATCAACTCAGGATGGGTTAAGGACTTAAATCTAAGACCTGAAACTATAAAAATTATAGAAGATAACATTGGAAAAATCCTTCTAGACGTTGACTTAGGCAAGGATTTCATGACCAAGAATCCCAAAGCAAATGCAGTAAAAACAAAGATAAATTGCTGGGACTTAATTAAACTAAAGAGCTTTTGCACAGCAAAAGAAACAGTCAGCAGTGCAAACAGACAACCCACAGAGTGAGAAAAAATTTTCACAATCTGTACATCTGACAGACGACTAATATCCAGAATCTACAGTGAACTCAAACAAATCCATAAGAATAAAAAAACAAACAATCTCATCAAGAAGTGGGCTAAGGACATGAATGGAAAATTCTCAAAAGAAGATATACAAATGGCCAGAAAACATATTAAAAAATGCTCAACATCACTAGTGATCAGGGAAATGCGAATCAAAACAACAATGCGATACCACCTCACTCCTGCAAGAATGGCCATAATCAAAAAATAGTAGATGTTGGCATGGATGTGGTGATGTGGGAACACTTGTACACTGCTGGTAGGAATGTAAACTATACAACCACTATGGAAAACAATGTGGAGATTCCTTAAAGAACTAAAAGTAGAACCACCATTTGATCCAGCAATCCCCCTACTGGGTATCTACCCAGAGGAAAAGAAGTCATTATATGAAAAAGATACTTGCATATGGATGTTTATAGCAGCACAATTCGCAATTGCAAAACCTGACACCAGCCCAAATGCCCATCGATCAACCAGTGGATAAAGAAACTGTGAGACATATAAATACACACACACACACACACACACACACACACACACACACAATGGAATACTACTCAGCCATAAAAAGGACTGAATTAATGGCATTCACAGCAACCTGCAAGAGATTGGAGACTATTATTCTAAGTGAAGTAACTCAGGAACAGAAAACCAAACACTGTATGTTCTCACTGATATGTGGGAGCTAAGCTAAGAGGATGCAAATGCACAAGAAGGACACAATGGACTTTGGGGACTCAGGGGGAAAGGTGGAAGGGGGTGAGGGATAAAAGACTACAAACATGGTGTAGTGTATACTGCCCGGGTGATGGATGCACCAAAGTCTCACAAATCACCACTAAAGAACTTACTCATGTAACCAAACACTACCTGTCCCCCAACAACCTATAGAAAAAGAATTTTTTTAGTTAAATTAAATTAAACAGAAAAAATTTAAAAAATAAAAACAGAAGCCACAGGCCAAGTGCAGTGGTTCACGCCTGTAATCCCAGTACTTTGGGAGGCCAAGGCAGGTGTATCACTTGAGGTCAGAAGTTCAAAACCAGCCTGGCCAACATGACGAAACTCCCATCTCCACCAAAAATACAAAAATTAGCTGGGCGTGGTTGTGCATACCTGTAATCCCAGCTACTTGGGAGGCTGAGGTACGAGAATTGCTTGAACCTGGTGGGGGCAGAGGTTACAGTAAGCCGAGTTCACGTCACTGCACTCCAGCCTGGGTGACAGAGTGAGAGTCTGTCTCAATGAATAAATAAATAAATAAGCCACAGAGAGACACACAGGAAGAAAGGCCATGTGAAGATATAGAAAGATTGAAATTCTGCATCTATGAGCAAAGAAACATTAAAATTACTGGCAGACACCAAAAGTACATAAGAGATGTAGAATAAATTCTCCCTCAGAGCCTCCACAAGGAAGCAACACTTCCAACACCTTGATTTTGGACTTCTGCACTCCAGAAATGTTAGATAATACATATCTCCTAGTTTACATCACTTAATTTGTGCTAATTTATTATGGCAGCCTTGGGAAACTAATACAGACTCATGATGCCTCCATGGCAGCCATCCAAATGTTTGCTCTGTTGGCTTGCATGTGTGAGTTCTTAAGAGAATCCTAGAGAGTTTCTCTACTGCATTTCCCAGGTCTGGAAGGTCACCCTTAAACTTAACTTTCCCTTCCTCTTCATTCCTGTAACTTGGAGTATATCCAAAGCTCATGCGGATGTCATCCTCTTGTCTTGAGGTAAATTTTAATATATGGTGTGCAGTTCTGGCAAGAAAGTTTAGTCCTTTGGTGGCATCCCACTGATCTTTGAGAAACTCAGAAATTCTCAAAGTGCCAGATGTAAAAAACAGGTTGCTCTATTCCCTTCACTTCTGTAGCTGTCTCCAGTTTTCTTGCTCTGCTCTAGGAGATCTACTGTCTAACAGACAACTAACTAGGAGGATGGTATGCCAGGCTTTCTTCTTGTCAGAAATCCATTTCTAAAAGTGTCATATGTTTTCCAATTTTTTGAGAAGCAGCTCCCCTGTCCCTTTGGGGATGGGAGTTAATAATTTTTCTCTAAGAGCTTATAGTTTCTACAAGAACAACAACCTGATATCTTTATCTCCTTAATTCCATACTGACTCACCTTCTTTCCTGGATTGGGAAGGAAAGTGGCATTGTAGCTGGTGGTAGAGTTAATGCTGGTTCTCCAATCCCATAAATTCAGGAGTAAGTGTGGGGGAATGCAATGCTTGCCTTAACTGTTAACCAGCTTTCTTTAAAACGTTAGGTAGTTAATGCCTCATTGTCCTCAAATTTGGGCCAGGGTTACTGATTCTTGGGCACTGGATTACATTTCCCTTAACCACTAGCTATACATGCTTAACACAAAATCCCTCCACTAGCATCAGATGAGTTTGTGGGTTTGGAACTTTAGAGTGAAAAAGCACTTAGCAAGATTTGATTTCACTATATATTTGACATTCAACTCAACTGTTCAACTTACCTTTTTGTGAGGTGAGGGAATTTGACTAAAATCAGCAATTGCTTACCCAAACGATTTCAGGAGCTAGAAGGAAAAGTAAATGCAGGAAGTAATTATTTTGAATGGGGACTGTGACCAGTTTGAGAGTGGTAATACCAACCTGAGTCGTTGAATTTTAGGCCTTCTTGAAGCGAGTTTCTAAGCTCTGAGAGATGTTTTAATGTCCATTCCACATTTAAATGTCCATATATCCACTCTTTATGGGCAGGTAGATAACATATGAGGGCATTTTTCCCTTGTCATAATGTTTGGGAGTGGGTGCTACTAGCCATTTTAGTAAGTAGGGATCAGAAATGTGATATATGCAATTGTCCTTTGTCTCCCATGATTTTCAAATGATACATAAGGTATTAACGCAGAAACTGTTCATATTAACTTGAGCATAATCCAAATTCTGCTTTATATAGAGCTTAGATAGACAGACAGAAGAGTAAAGTATTTTGCATATTTTCCAGAAATACAATTGCTATTTATATTGAGTAACTATTGCACTTTATTTTGTTTATTGTTTTCCATCATTATCTAGATTCAGCCACCCTTTCAGAAAATCATTTCAGCGATAGCAAGTTGCTGATAGAATTTGAGTCCATAACACTTCACACTTAAGTCAGGCAGCATTTGTAGTTTTTAACTCATGTGATTATACAGATAGAGGTCAGCATCTGACTATTTCATACAATCTTCTCATGTAGTCATGCCTGAATATACATAATGAACTTCAGATTTCTTCTTAATGAACTGCTTTCTTGTTATTTATACTTAAATTTCAGATAAGGCATTATATAGACTTTTTCAAAAAGCTATTTGTGGGAAGATCTTTATATCCATGGTCTTCATTTCAGGTGGTAAAGCATTTATTACAAAGTACTTTTTATAAAAATGGAAAATTGTTTTGATAGCACTGCTCTATATCCACTGTCAGAGGTCTACAAAATCTCAGAGGTCATCAATATTCTAATGTATATATATACACACATATATCAGTCTTCACCTATCCCTTGGCCATATTCTTTAACATGTTATGGTTCTCAGGCTATAATATTCTCTTAGTCACCAGGGGCCTAAAGTAATCTGGTTTTACTTGTAGCATAGTAAAAACTTCAACCTGAGACTGACTGCCAGAGGACCTATTCATTTGATGGTTTCCTGAGTAGGTACAGTTTTCAAGTCTAGATTTAATATGAAAGAAGTATAGCCCCCTAAATATTGTGTATGGTTATTTGTAGATATATTCAAAATTATTGTTTTGCCATGATTAAAATATTTATGAGACTGAGGAGATTTTAAAATTTAAACTAATAAATTGGATCAACTCACTGTTAACTGGTAAAGCATTTTCATCATTATAAAGAGAATGCATCATCTAATTTTCAAATGTTTTATCTTTCTAATTGAATTTCTAATTAGCACATGCTAGTAAAATGAAAATATTAATGAGATCCTCATAGGTGCTTAATATAGTGATATCAAGTACTATCATACATATGTGTGTATATATACATATATATGCATGTGCATAAGTTCTGAAGAAAATTTTTATTATGCAAGATAATTAAGTGTCATTTGACATAAAAATTTTGCAAAGAGGTAAAAAGTGGCATAAAATTAAAGAAAGTTAATTATCTGATCTTTCTCCTTTCGGCAATTTACTTTCTTTTGTCCACAGATCAATCATCCTAATGCTCATTTCTTTAATTCCCTTTAATTACAACTGAGAAGTAAGCAAGTGAGATAGTAATTTCTACTGAAATTTCCATGCTTAATCTGCAAATGTAGTGAGCACTGATATAGTCAAGGAACAGTGTGGCTGTTGTGAGAAATAGAAAATGGAGGACAGGAATTATACTCAGTTTCCCCCATTATTCAGCAATAATAGAAAAAGTTAATTTACATTTTCTTCTTTAAAATGTACATTTTAAAATTTCAATACATTTATTGAATTGAGCAACAAAAGTAATGTGTAGGGTAGGCATTTCTGTAACTTTTTCTCCCTATTTTGTATTTTCATTTTTCTGTATTTTTTCTGTAAAGTTTTGTATATATATAAACTAAACTAAACTAAACTTGGAGGTTGAAATAAAACCCAGATTGACACTGTATATAGACAGCAGTACAATCCAGAAGGAATCTCTTTATATGGTCAGTGAGAAACATTTCTATTTTTAACACTACTAAGGGGCTCCACTAATGAAGTTTGTCTGGCAGAGGATGTGACCTCAGTATTTTATAACACAGAAATTTCTCCTCAAGGTAGAAAGCTGGCTCGAAGAAACCTGTGACTGTCATGTCCCTGAGGGGTGCTTTAGAGTTCATAGCTTCAGGATATCTGTGAAGTTCTGAAATTGCAGGCAATAATTTAAGCATTAGTCCCCATGTTTGTGTGTGTGTGCATGTGTGTGCACACCTGCATGATACTTTGGGGGGAAGTGGCCCATTTGGTATGATCCAGTTCTAAAATATGATTATCCATGACCCCCTCAAAGCTTAAGATCCCCTGAAATTTCAGCTTTCTGCTTTTTTGCAGGCAAAGATCTAATTTCTCCTCTCTTTTAAGTGAATTATCCTGCCCTTTAACAAATAGTGGCGATACGTTATTTTGGTCTTTACAATCCAGGAACACTATTGGTTTTGACAGGCTTTGCTCAAATAAAGACTAGTTTCACTTCATTTCCAAGGCATTCAACTCTACCCAAGTGACATTTGTGAAAGCCATATATTTCATTTGTGCATTCCAATGATTTAATTTAGTAAGCTCAATAAGCTTATCTCTAGTCAAAGATAACATGGCATTTATGACTGTAGAGTGCGTGATTGAATGGGATTCTTCCTGCTTCAGTTTCAACTTAGACTCCATTTTGTTGTTATCAGACACCAAAGATCCCGTGAGAAAAATTGACATATGGAGATTTTAAAAGACACTGGTTGAAACTCTTAATTCCGGAACTCTTTCACGTACTTAGGAAATACGCAAGAGAGTCATGGTCTCAAGAGAAGGTTTTAAGAAAGGGGTTATTAAAACTATTGCTTTGGAGAGTGCACTTCACATGCAGGCTGTTCCATCCTCTTTTGGGGGAGAGGCATTAGGCAGGGGTTTACTTTCCAGTCCCAATATTGAAGAGGGTGGGCTTCTAGGCATCCAATTGAAGATCTTTGAAATAGTCAAAAAACCTTGAGGATAAGTGCCTGATCCCAACAAAGGAAGCTAAAGCAGTTAGTGTTCTGAGGTCTTTTCTTCCCAGGAGGTCCAGGAGAAGAGAGAGGGTCTGACTAACAGTGCTGGTGGCTGAGCCGGGAGATGCTGCTATGTTGAGATTGGTTCACTTTCTCCTAGCTTGTCAGGACACCGGATGTGTGTCCTGATTGTTTCTGGTGAATTGGATGTGGGCTATGTGGTACAGGATCCTCTTGGGCCTGTCCATTTGGGATCTCAGGAGGGATAAGGGCTGCAAGTGTATTGCGGGATGCCCTTGGACAAGGGAAGGGTCAGAAGAATCCACATATAGACACTGATACGCCCAAGACAAGGGAATTTCAGACAAGAGGAGGAGCAGGGAACTATTCCCAGGCTCCTATAATCAAAATCATGAGACAGAGAGAGTAGATTTTAATCATCTGCCAAGTTTATGAAGAATACCAGCTTCACTGATCTACTCTGTCCAGATAGCACAAAGCCACCCAAAGTAAATGTGGCACAGAGCCAAACAGCAGCTTGCAAGTGCAGGAAGAAAGGGAACTGCAGAGAGTAGATAGTAGAGGCACCAGATACCACCTTAGCCCATTTTCCTCAAGCATCTAATTGGGGAAAAAAGAGATTTAAGGCTACATCAAGATTGGAATATTTTGAGTATCTATCTTGTAATGGACATTCTAATTACTGGACTGAAAGGCATTTGCAAACTAAAGTGATCATATTGTGATATATTCCCTAAGAATGTGCAAAAAAAAAAAAAAAAAAAAAAAACCTTGGGACCTACCTGAGCTTCTATTCAGGGATGGGGAAGATGGCCTGTATGTCTTTTCCTAACCTACCATCCCCTAAGTGGGAGAGAAAAAAAAAAAGGTTGTACTTTATTCATATCTGAAGACCAGTCTGATTATCATATGAGTTACACTGCTTAACAGAATCCAAGCAGTAAATACTATGATTGATAATTGTGGTGATTAATACTGAATGTCAACTTGATTGGATTAGAGGATGCAAAGTATTATGCCTGGGTGTGTCTGGAGGGTGTTGCCAATGGAGATTAACATTTGAGTCAGTTGACTGGGAAAGGTAAACCCATACTTAATCTTGGTGAGCACAATCTAATCAGCTGCCAGCATGGCCAGAATAAAAAGCAGGCAGAATAACATGAAGACTAGACTGGCTTAGCCTCTCCGCCTACCTCTTTCTCCAGTGCTGGATGTTCCATGCCCTCAAACATTGGACTCCAAGCTCTTCAGCTTTGGGACTTCAACTGGCTTCCTTGCTCCTCGGCTTACAGATGGCCTATTGTGGGACCCTGTGATCGTGTGAGTTAATATGCCTTAATAAACTCACCTTTATACATACATCAATCCTATTAGTTCTGTCCCTCTAGAGAACTGTGACTAATACAGATTTTGGTACCAGGAGTGGTTCTAGAGGAAAAGAATATTAAAAATGGAGTTCTTTTGTTGGTTTTCAGGTTTCTGGAGTTGGCTTCTTAAAGTGATTAGCCATAAAAATGCTAAGGACTCTAATTCTAATAGTATGGAGAACAGACAGTCCTTGGTGTGAACAATTTAGAGAGTTATTATGCAAAATAAATGCATTTGATACTCTTGATTCACCGCTCATGAAAGGCAAGGAGTTTAGTGACTCAATACCTAATACCTTTGACCATATGTGGAGAACCAAGGAACATAATGAAGTTGGTTGGTTGCTCCTAAGTTCACTGGACAGAGTGATGAAAAAAAACGAACTCAGGGATTCTAACTAACTCCTGGCTTCAGAAGCAGATACTGAGCCTCAAATCTGCTAAGATTGCCCTGAGTGAGTCTTATCTCCTGCAGAGAAAGAGCTGAAATTGTGGAAAATCAGACACAGGCTATTACCATGTGAGTGGTTGACCTGCAACAAAAGGTGCACGCACAGCCTCGCCAGGTGTCTACTATTAAAGTGAGAGCATTGATTGGAAAACAATGGGACCTTGCAACTTGGAATGGGGATATGTGAGAGGACTTTGATGAAGCTGGGGACATTGAGCTTGTAAACTCTGATGAACCTTTTCTGCCAGAAGGAACAGCTTCCCCATCCCCAGTAGTGGTAACATCCCCTCCCCAACCCATGCTGCTATTAGCCTTTCCATCTTTGTCTGAGGAGATGAACCCTGCTCTGCCTGAGGCAAGAGTGATGGCCTCCCCTGAGGCAGTTGCTAGGCAAGATAATGTTGATTCTCCTCAGGAGCCCCCCTCCCCCCAACACCCCTGCTTGCTTCTAGACTTATAACTAAAGTTTTGGCAGGCCCCTAGAGGTGAAGTTCAGAGTGTGACCCACAAGGAGGTGCACTACACTCGAAAAGAACTCCTTGAGTTTTCCAATCTATATAAATAGAAATCTGGAGAACAGATATGGGAATGAATATTAAGGATATGAGAAATGGTAGAAGGAACATACAGTTGGATCGGGCTGAATTTATTGATTTGGGCCCATTAAGTAGGGACTCTGCAATTAATGTTGCAGCTCAGGGAGTTAATAAAGGTTCTAATGGTTAATTTGCTTCATTAGCTGAAATATGGATTAAAAGATGGCTCACTGTGAGAGAACTGGAAATGCCTGATTTCCTCCCTTGGTTTAATGTAGAGAAAGGGATTCAAAGGCTTAGGGAGATTGGGATGCTGGAGTGGATTAGTCACTTTAGGCCTACTCATCCCAGCTGGGAAAGTCCAGAAGATGTACCTTTTACCAATGCTTTGGAAAACAGATTTGTGAAGGCAGCACCTGCGTCTTTGAAGAGTTCTGTATCTGTTGCTTTTCTCCGGATACCATATCTAACAGTGGGAACCATAGTCACTCAACAACAAAATTTAAATGCAATGGGGATAATTGGAACCCAAGGTGGCAGGAGCCAAGTGGTGGCACTCATCCATCAAAGGCACAGTGGGCATAGCTACCATCATGGACAACAGAGGCAAAGCAGCAATCGGGATAGATTGATTTGTGTAGAGCTCTGGCATTGGCTAGTTAATCACAGTGATCCTAGAAGTGAAATTGATAGGAAACTTACTGCATTCCTACTTAATTTAAATAAGCAGAAAACTTCCAGGCCGAATGGACAAAAGACTAATTTGAATTATAAAAACAGAGCATCATGGCCCCTCAATTAATTTTCAGACTAGAGCCAGTTTACAGAACCCTTTGCATGAAGGGGAGGCCAGGTCCCCTTGAGGAAGGACCCCACTACACTACCAACAATTTATGCTGTTAATCTTTCTCCCATCCTTCCCCAAAGGGACCTTTGGCCTTTCACCAGGGTAACTGTGCATGGGGGAAAGGAAATATTCAGACATTTCAGGGATTATTGGACACTGGCTCTGAGCAGACATTGATTCCAGGGGACCCAAAACATCACTGTGGTCCTCCAGTTAAGGTAGGGGGTTACGGAGGTCAGGTGATTAATGGAGTTCTAGCTCAGGTTGAACTTACAGTGGGCCCAGTGGGTTCTGGGACTCATCCTGTGGTTATTTCCCCTGTGCCAGAATGCAAACTTGACATAGACATACTTAGCAGCTGGCAGAACCCCCACATTAGCTCCCTGACTTGTAGGGTGAGGGCTATTATGGTGGGAAAGGCCAAATGGAAGCCATTAGAGCTGCCTCTACCTAGAAAAATAGTAAATCAAAAACAATATCGCATCCTTGGAGGGATTGTGGAGATTAGTGACACCATCAAGGACTTGAAAGACACAGGGGTGGTGAACCCCACCACATCCCCATTCAACTCTCCTATTTTTCCTGTGCTGAAGACATGGATCTTGGAGAATGACAGTGTATTATTGTAAGCTTAACCAAGTGGTGACTCCAGTTGCAGCTGCTGTACCAGATGTGGTTTCATTGCTTAAGCAAATTAACACATTTCTTGGTACCTGATATGCAGCCCTTTATTTGTCAAATGCCTTTTTCTCCATTCCTGTCTGTAAGGCTCACCAGAAGCAGTTTGCCTTCAGCTGGCAAGGCCAGCAATATAGCTTTGCTGTCCTGCCTCAGGGGTATATCAACTCTTTGGCTTTGTGTCATAGTCTTGTTCAGAGAGACCTTGATCTATTTGCCCTTCCACAAGATATCACACTGGTCCATTACATTGAGGACTAAACTCTGATTTTTTTTTAACTTGCCCAAATTCCTATCTAAGCTATCTGGTGAGTCATGCCCTACAAATCATACATTCTCATCAGATGGGTTTTATTTAACCCTATATATCGTAACTTTCCAACCTGACTCTGGCATAACATTACTAGACAAAGAAGAAAATCAAAATATTTTACCCCCAAAACACATTTCTTTGATATATTTTGAAGTAGCCCTGGAAAGCTGTTCTTTGTTGGGGGAAATTTGCATATGTAAAGAATCTCTATTAACATAGCTAGATTTTTTTCTTCCAGACTCTCTCAATCCTAAAGAAATTAACTAAAATCTGAATAGGAAACATTTGTCATCTGTTGTCTCGAAGGGCAGCCAGTATAAGGCTTCAAAATAACCTTAGTCTCCACAATCTTTTATCTTAACCTGAACATTCCCTTTCTATCAATCCCAGGTCTTTAGACACAAACAACCAATTGTCCAGCAGAAAATATTTAAATTCACCTATAGCCTGGAAGCCCCCACTTTGATTTGTCTTGCCTTTCTGGACCAAACCAATGTATTTCTTAAATGTGTTTGATTGATGTCTCATGCCTCTGTTAAATGTATGAAACCAAGCTGTGCCCCGACCACCTTGGTAACATGTTCTCAGGACCTCCTGAGTGCTGTATCATGAGCCATGGCCACTCGTATTTGGCTCAGAATAAATCTCTTCAAATATTTTACAGAGTTCAACTCTTTTCATTGACAACATTATGACATTATGCTGATTGGATCCAGTGAGTCATAAGTAGCAAACACACTGGGCTCATGCTCATAGAATTCATCTTACCATGTTCCCCATCATCCTGAAGAAGCTGGATTGATAGAACTGTGGAATGGCCTTTTGAAGTCACAATGATAATGCCAGCTAGGTAACAATACTTTGCAGAGCTGGGGCAAAGTTCTCCAGAATGTCGTGTATGCTCTGAAGCAGTGTCCAACACATGGTGCTGTTTCTCCCATAGCCAGGATTCACAGGTCCAGAAATCAAGGGGTGGAAGTGGAAGTGGCACCACTCACCATCACCCCTAGTGACCCACTAGCAAAATTTTTGCTTCCTGTTCCTGTGACATTATGTTCTGCTGGCCTAGAGGTCTTAGTTCCAGAGGGAGGAATGCTGCCACCTGGAGACACAATAACGATTTCATTAAACTGGGAGTTAAGATTGCCACCTGGACACTTTGGGCTCCTCCTACCTTAAAGTCAACAGGCTAAGAGGGGGTAACTGTGTTGACTGGGGTGATTGACCTGGACTATCAAGATGAAATCAGTATACTACTCCACAATGGAGGTAAGTAAGAGTATGCATAGAATACAGGAGATCCATTAGGGCGTCTCTTAGAATCACCATGCCCTGTGATTAAGGTCAATGGGAAGCTACAACAGCCCAGTCCAAGCAGGACTACAAAATGGCCCAGATCTGTCAAAAATGAAGATTTCGGTCACTCCATCAGGAAAAAAACCCCATGACCTACTGAGGTGCTTGCTGAAGGCAGAGGGAATACAGAATGGGTAGTAGAAGAAGATAGTCACTAATACCAGCTACGAACACATGACCAGTTGCAGAAATGAGGACTGTAATTGTCATGAGTATTTCCTTATTCTTTTGTTAAAAACATGTTTGTGCATGTATACACTTGTACTAGAAAATTTCTTCATTTTATTTCCTTTTTTCCTTTATCATGTGACATAAGATTTATTGACTTCATATCAGCGTTTAAGTGTTGTTAATTTTGTGTAATAGCATTTGGGTTGTGGATTGGTGCATTTCTGGTTGTATTTTGTTAGGTGTAATTATGACCTTATTATTGTCTTTATTTGAAGATTACATATGATTTCAGGAAATGTGTATGAATTCAAGTTGACAAGGGGTGAACTTGTGATGGTTAATACTGAGTGTCAACTTGATTGGACTGAAGGATGCATAGTATTGTTCCTGGGTGTGTCTGTAAGGGTATTGACAAAGGAGATTAACATTTGAGTCAGTGGACTGGGAAAGGCAGACTCACCCTTAATCTGGGTGGGCACAATCTAATCATCGGCCAACACAGCTAGAATAAAAGCAGACAGAAGATCATGAAAAGACTACACTGGCCTAGCCTCCCAGCCTACATCTTTCTCTGGTGCTGGATGCTTCTTGCCCTCAAACATCGGACTCCAAGTTCTTCAGCTTTGGGACTTGGACTGGCTTCCTTGCTCTTCAGCTTGGAGATGGCTTACTGTGGGACCTTGTGATCGTGGGAATTAATACTCTTTAATAAACTCCCCTTTATATATACATCAATTCTATTAATTGTTCTGTTAATAGTTCTGTCCCTCTAGAGAACCCTAATACAATAATTCTTTTTTTTGTTTGTTTCTTTTTTTAATTTTTTATTTTATTATACTTTAAGTTTTAGGGTACATGTGCACAACATGCAGGTTTGTTACACATGTATACATGTGCCATGTTGGTGTGCTGCACCCATTAACCCGTCATTTAACATTAGGTATCCCTAATGCTATCCCTCCCCCCTCCCCCCACCCACAACAGGCCCCGGTGTGTGATGTTCCCCTTCCTGTGTCCATGTGTTCTCATTGTTAAATTCCCACCTATGAGTGAGAACATGTGGTGTTTTGTTTTTTGTCCTTGCAATAGTTTGCTGAGAATGATGGTTTCCAGCTTCATCTGTGTCCCTACAAAGGACGTGAACTCATCATTTTTTATGGCTGCATAGTATTCCATGGTGCATATGTGCCACATTTTCTTAATCCAGTCTATCATTGTTGGACTTTTGGCTTGGTTCCAAGTCTTTGCTATTGTGAATAGTGCCGCAATAAACATATGTGTGCATGTGCCTTTATAGCAGCATGATTTATATATACCCAGTGGTGGGATGGCTGGGTCAAATGGTATTTCTAGTTCTAGATCCCTGAGGAATCACCACACTGACTTCCACAGTGGTTGAACTAGTTTACAGTCCTACCAACAGTGTAAAAGTGTTCCTATTTCTCCACATCCTGTTGTTTCCTGACTTTTTAATGATTGCCATTCTAACTGGTGTGAAATGGTATCTCACTGTGGTTTTGATTTGCATTTCTCTGATGGCCAGTGATGATGAGCATTTTTTCATGTGTCTGTTGGCTGCATAAATGTCTTCTTTTGAGAAGTGTCTGTTCATATCCTTCGCCCACTTGTTGATGGGGTTGTTTGTTTTTTTCTTGTAAATTTATTGCAGTTTATTGTAGATTCTGGATATTAGCCCTTTGTCAGATGAGTAGATTGCAAAAATTTTCTCCCATTCTGTAGGTTGCCTGTTCACTCTGATGGTAGTTTCTTTTGCTGTGCAGAAGCTCTTTAGTTTAATTAGATCCCATTTGTCAATTTTGGCTTTTGTTGCCATTGCTTTTGGTGTTTTAGACATGAAGTCCCTGCCCATGCCTATGTCCTGAATGGTATTGCCTAGGTTTTCTTCTAGGGTTTTTATGGTTTTACGTCTAACATTTAAGTCTTGAATCCATCTCGAATTAATCTTTTTTTAAATGAAATATTCCTTTTTTTTCTCAGTGCCATAGATAATAGATGGGTGGACTGTAACAGTACCTAGTTTTCAGCTGAAGCATTTTAATCTCCATCATTTCCACTATTAAAAGAACTAAATCATGCCTGCTTAATACGTCGTGTGTGTTCGATACTATTTAGGTTATATAATAGTATAGCTCATTTGAAACTTAGTGATTCTCAGAAAAATCTGAGTATTGCTTATGTTACTAAGAGTTTGTCATCTGGGGTCAATACTTATCATGCCATATTGCTGTGTCCCCTATCTCCCATTGGAGATGAGAAAACTCTGACTTTTAGTGTCAGACTGTCTGGAAATCACAATGTGAAATTATCTTCTAAACTAATTCAGCTAAATCACATTTAATATCAGATTTTAGTGACTTTCTCATGACTGTTTATCAACTCCCAAATGACTCTTTAATTAATTGTTTCTCCTTTACTGGCTCATTTTCTGTCAGATCCCTTTCCTTAGAGTGTTGTTTTATCCCTGTGTGGCAGAAAGACTGTCTGAGATTGTGCTGTTATTAAATGTAGTCTGGCATAATTTAAGCACATTACCTTGATGATGGTGATGTCACTCAGGTACTTGGCCTACAAGGAGCTAGTACAATTTCACTTATTTCATTTTAATGGATCCCCTTGGTTTTGAGCCTATAAACTAAAATACCATTGCAGTACCCTCCCTCCAGCAATCTCAAACTTAATTATTCCACTCCAGGAAGCTGTCTGATGGCCCTGCAGAGACCTGTTTTTGCACTAAAACGCAATCCCTTATTGTGTGACAAAATTACTTTTGTTTCATGTTCTTTTCTTTATTTATTTACAAACAGCATGGAAAAGCACTTCTCAGCACAACTTAATAGGTGATTACCACAAATTTGATTTTGAGATTTAGATTGAATAGTTGTTAAAGTTTTCTTTGTATTCTTTCCTTTGTAATCATGATGACTTCTTAAATACTATTCCAAGTACTGGGCATTGTGGGTAATGTGGCATAAATTGCCAAGATAGCTGACTCAAATCTTTTCCCCTACTTAGTTTTGATATTATTTATTAAGTTTCATAGCTTGGATGACACCTCTTATAAGCCCATCTCTACCAATATCTTTTTTGCTGCTTTGAGCAAATTTAGTTTTCTAAGCTAAAATTTCTAAGTGGTTTTGCAGAAAGCAGAAAAGACAGAGACACATTGCAGAAAAAGGTGTGGAAAGATTAGAGATTCATAGATGTTGCCATTTGCAGTACAAAGTTATCTATGACAATGGTCAGTAATATATTTCATAAATGATCAAAAGTTTTCACTTACAATTTCAACATTTTCACAATTGTATAATAACCAAGAAATACTTAGTTTTGTTCATAGTCAAAAAGAAGGTTGAATTGAGAGCCAGAAACTCTGTAGTATTTTGCAAGGGACATATTTGTCTCTAGTCATCACTTTGGTCTATGGGGACTAATAGGAAACGAACTTCGTGCTTCTGTCACATTTTTTGAAGACAAAGGGACAGCCCATGGATGTGCTGTATTTTCTATTAATAACATGTTCTTTCTCTTCCTAGTTTCCTAGGCTTTGAAAAAAATGGTGAAGAGAGAGAGAAAAGAGTAAGAGGGACTGGCATACTTACACTTTATGTGTGCATGCAGTTTTTAATTTTGTGCTTTTCAACCCTCTCTCATCAGTGCAAGAAATTAAATGCATGAGAATTAATATGCTCAAGTCAATAGGTGAAGCAATAAGCTATAACGGAAGAGAAAGGGCTTCCATCATGCACAAGCTTTATAGACATTTAATTCCCTATGTGGACAGGAGGTTTACTTATCTGCACAAGAGCTTCACACAAAACAAGAATTAGATTCTCTTCATTTTGAGTTTGCAATCCTACTTCATACAACAACTGTGGAATTGAGAAAGAAAAATAAATGCAGAGATAGACAATATTTGGAAAAGGAGTCAGAATGAAACTGAATTACACTTGTTTATTTTGAGTTTGGGAGAATGTGGAGAAAAACAGATTGAATTAACACACACAGAAACCACAAACACTTTTTTCAAAAACTCATTTTAGTTTATCTTCCCTGAACAAACTGAGCAATATTTAGTGAAGCTCTGTCTTAGTCCCTGTGACCACTTTTAAATTACAGGATGGTCAGAGGAGGATTGGTGAGCACCTGGAAGATTGACAAGTCACTTCCGGCAGAGCAGGCAGATGTGAGTTTCACTTAATCTTTTGTCTCAAAAATGAAAGGTTCCCCATAAAATGAGTTACTATATTTTGCAGGCACATTGACAGAGATACAGATTTTCATAGAAGTTATTTGGTAAGTCTTAGAGATAAACAAACACTAATATTAAGAACTCATAAAAAATGTGAATTTAAATATTCTTCCTAAGATCTATTATCAAAGATTTTAAGACTGAAGGCTAATATATCATAACATAAAACCTATATACTGTTACCACACAACTGAGGCTCATAGTTTCTTATTCAAAGAGAGCTAATAGGTTAAAATGGGACAATAGTCCTGAATTAATTTTGAAAATGTTTAGAATGTTATCAATAAACCTGCAGCATTGATTTTTATTTTGATCACAATACATTTCTTTTTTTGCTACCCTTACAAAGATAGTATTTTTCATGTTCAACAAAACAAATATTACATATTTTTTAAAAGTGTCTTTGGGCTGGGCACGGTGGCTCACGCCTGTAATCCTTTGGGAGGCCGCGGCAGGCAGATCATGAGGTCAGGAGTTCGAGACCAGCCTGACCAACATGGTAAAACCCTGTCTCTACTAAAAATACAAACATTAGCCAGGCGTGGTGGCATGTGCCTGTAATCCTAGTTACTTAGGAGGCTGAGGCAGGAGAATCGCTTGAACCTGGGAGATGGAGATTGCAGTGAGCCAAGATCGGGCCACTGCACTCCAGCCTGGGCAACAGAGCGAGACGCTGTCTCAAAAAAAAAATTAAAAAAAAAATAAAGTGTCTTTCTATTGTGAGGTAGATTTATCCAACAAATACTAATTAATGGTACTTTGTGTTGTATGGTTAGGTTTGTTTTAATCTATCAAATAAAAGAATTTTAGGCAGGGTGCATACAGATTTTGTAGTTCCTAAAGCTTATAAAAATGTGGAAGCTTTCTAAAAGGAATAAAATACTAAATTACAAACATACAACTACTGGGGCTACTCCTAGGACCTTGGCATGGGTGTGATTTAGTGAGGGCCTTGAAGTTTAAGCTTCTAAATTAGCTTCATAGTTAATCCTTCCCTGTTCTCATGTAACCCTATAAAGAGCATAATTCTTTTATCCTTTGAATCGAAAGCAAATGGCCTCAACCTTAAAAAACAAAGAGAAAATAATATACTGTCCTTTGCTTTTCAATACCAGGCTGAACATGATGTTTCTAAATGTTCTAGCATCAAATGTGATCAACATGCCTTCCCCTGTCTCCTTCGTGGTATTTTTATAAAGACACAGTGTTTGAAGGACATTAATCTAAATGACGGGTCACAGGAAATGAATGTGATAACAACAGGAAGTGTATTATGGAGATATGGTTCAATACAAGCAAGGTAAGATTCTGTAACTAGAAATATTAGGAGATAGTCTGGATCCCAGACCTATAAAACCATGAGTGAACCATAAAGCATTAGAACAGGGCAAGTATTCATATACTAGATGAGGCTGGGTTTTGGTAACTGTATATAAAACACATTTATTAAGCGTAAAACCTATTGGCCAAGCATTATGCTAGCCTTTGAAGATACACATATGAATGAAACCTGCCCTCAGGAAATTAAAAGTCTTATGGGAGGTAGCCTCTTCAACTGATAGCAATGAGATAACTAATTTTTGAATTATAAAAAGCCTGTATAAATTATGAAAAGTACCTTGAATGATTATGATTCATTTACTGCAATAACTGAAATCATGTTACTCTTCCACTCTCCCTGCAATGTATCCTCTTAATTCAGATGCCTCTAAGGTCAATGTAATCCAATCTCTATCAGTTTTTCACAGATGCTGGAATTTTGGATAGCCCTGGGAGGGTGTGGCTGGGGCAGAACTCACTCTGCATGGTAAAATTAGTGGTCTGATGTTAGAATGTGAGATTTCAAGGACATAGTATAAAACCAATCATTTCACTGGTCATGATCCCTTCATTATGGATAGGATGGGGTATCTTGCTCCAATGAACTTAGGAAAGAGGAGGTCCCTGGATTCCTACTTCATATGAGACAACTTGTTTCCTAGCAGTCACCCTACAGTCTCTAGAATGAAAATGCCTTCATAGCATTTTGTGCTCCTGGTAGCTTAGGATAACACCAGTGACCTCCATGTGATTAGATGCAGACTTCATCCATCATCTACATTTGAAATATATGATCACCCTCTTCTCTTTAAAACACTTTCTTCTCCTGACTTCCAGAACAGAATTATATCTTGTTTCTCCTCTACCTCACGGGCTGTTACTTTTCAGTCTGTTCTGCTGGTTCTACTTTCTCTAATGTTTCCAAGTTGGAGTGCTCAGGGCTTAATCTTAAGGCTTTAATCCTACCAATCTAGGCACCCATCTCCAGTGATCTCATCAGGACACATGGCTTCAAATAACATCAATATTTCTGATGATTCCAAGTTTATGCCTGTGGCCTGAACCATTTCTACAAACCCCAGACATGTATGTCAAATTTCCATGCAACATGTCCACTTAGATTTTTCAAATTGATAACAACAAAAATTGAGTTCCTGATTTCTCTTCTCATACTTACTTCCCTCTGCTTCCTCAATCTCCCCTCACAGTAACAGTCAATTCTGTTATTCACACTGCTCAGCCCAAAACCTTGACATAGTCAAGGTTTCCCACCCTACATCCAAATCAATAGCAAATTCTATCATATCTATTTTTGAAAGACAATAGAAAATCTCACTAACTCTTACCACTTTCACTGAAACCATTCTCATCCAAACACCAGCATTTCTTACTTGGATTTCTGCAGTAGCCTCATACATATCACCCTTGTCTTATTACAGGTTAGTCTCATCCAACCAGGGAGTTCTTTTTAACACATCAGATTATGTCACTCCCCTACAAAGCCTTCTAGTGGTGATCCATCTCCACAAAGCAAAAATATGAAGTTCTCATCCAGTCTAATGATCTGGATTCCGTGGCATTTTTGTGATCTAATACTGCCCCTCAGTTTCTTGAATATGCAAAACATGTTCCCATCTCAGGGCCTTGGCGCTTACTGTTTTCATTGTGCTCTTTACCAAGACATTTGCACAGCTTATCCCTCACCCAATTCTCAACCACCACCACCTCAGAGAGGAGACAACACAACTCCCTGAAATTCTCTATCTACTTTACCTTGCTTGATTTGTATTAAGTTACCATCACTTAACATAGTTGCTATATTTTTTATGTCTTTATTGTCAGTCCTTCCTCATTGTTCTGTGAGCTCTTTTAGGGAAGAGACTTTGCTTTTCTCCATCCTCTTTTATGAACCTAAAAGAGCTTCACATAATATGAATACTTGATGATATTGATTAAATAAATAAATAATGTAAGCCCATTGAGAAGCTGGACTCATTCCACGCTACTGCATCACTGATACCCATAGGGAAGAAGAGTTGTTGTTCATGGTGCCATGTGATAGAGTTTTCACTTCTCCTAAATATGAGAAATAAATGCATTTGTCCCTGTTCATTCCAGGCACCATTAGAACCAAAGCACTCTAGATTATCAATCAACTCCTTGATTTACTTCTGCTTACTTCTCTGCACACTCGTTAACCTTGCCCAGTTTCTTTCTATTGCTAATCTCTGCTTTATCAATCTTTTCCTCTTGGACTTATAGTCTGTCATCAGCAAAAACCCCTATATTCTGACCCTCTTCCCTAAGCCTGCCCTTCACACTCTTATTCCAATGCAAACTGGCTATGTCTCATTGACCTAACTTTCTAGCCACTTTCTTGAGGGAAATCTTTTTTTTTCTCTCTTTTCCTCTCCTTCTCTCTAACATCCCCATATACAACAATATCTGAGGTGAGAACAGACATTATCCTTGCTTTATACTTTTTTTGTTTTCAAAATATTTCTCCTCCCTGTGCATACAAAATTTTCCCCACCTTTAAAGTCATAATTAGGCTCTGTCTCCTGCAACATCTCTTTGTAGCAGTTATCTATAAACCTCCATTCATTTCACTCCCTTTTTCAGGATGACTTCAGCGTATCACCCAATCTCTTATTTTCTACCTGCTTCCCTTTCCCCTTTTGATTACTTAAACAATTCTACTGCACTTTCCAGTATGTTTTATTTTCCTCCATCAACAAAATGGCTATTTCAGACATTCTTCTTTCTTTTCAGATTTCCTCATAAGCAGAGGAGCTGCTGCAGTTGTGAGCTTTACATCTGCATTAACAAGGAGTATCCCCTTTATCAGGAAGCTAAAAGCTTCTCAAAAAAACCCCAGCAGGCTGCTGTTTCTCTTTGGCCATATCTGCGGCAAATAGCTATTCCTTGCTTTAAGGAAATTAGAAAAAGTAAAAGTTTAGCTTTTCCAGCCTTTATATGAGGAGATAGCAAGGGAAAAGAGAGCAGGAATTATCTGTAGGGTTAGC
Organism: Homo sapiens; assembly: GCF_000001405.40. NCBI lineage: Eukaryota > Metazoa > Chordata > Mammalia > Primates > Hominidae > Homo > Homo sapiens. The sequence goes on from NC_000004.12 coordinate 62,174,889, forward strand.
CACAAGAATGCCCAACACAATTGTTCATCATCTACATTACAAGCAGGAAGTAAAGGCCACCACACATCTTTTTTGAACAACCTTATAGCCTGCAGCTAGTCTCTATTCTTGACCTACCACAATCCATGTTCCATGAGGCCACAGTGACCTTTGTAAAACATGCATCCAATTTGTCATTTCTCTACTAAACCCTCCAATGGTTCCAATTACATTTAGGATAAAACCTATATTCCTTATAATGGTTTGCATAGCCCTGTCTATTCTGTGACTTTTATTTCTTACCACTCTCCAACTTGCTCTCCCTGCTTCATCAACTTAGGCTTCTTTATGTTTCTAAAGCACACCAAGATAACTCTTGTCTTGTTCCTTCTACCTGGAATGAATGTCTCTTTGATCTTCTCTTATCTCGATCCTTTTGTGATTTAGATGCTGGTTTAAATTTTCCTCCTTAGACAGGATTTCCTTGAATCCTCTATCTTAAGTAACTACCTTTTCATTATTGTGCTTTTAAGTTTTTTAACACAGAATTTATTTGGAGTTCTAAGAATTTGTTTTTTGTTCTGGTGTGTATCTGCAGTTTAACAGGGATTATCTATAGGGTTAGTCACAAGAATGTATTTTCAGGTCCTAGAGAAGCATAGGCATCAATAGTAGGTATCAATAAATGTGTTAAATGAATAGCAAATGTACCAGTGTGCTAAACAATTAAATATGTCACTATTAGCCTCTTTTAAAAAAAACCTTGAAAAGTATGTATTAGTATTTTTCTATTTTTCAGATAGGAAAATTGAAGCATTAAGAGAAATTAGACATGTTCACAGTTACACTGTTTGGTTCTCTAGGATTTATCAGTGGATCATCTGACTTGGACAACCCCTATACTTCCCACTGAATTGTCTTAATATTTATGTTGAAAAGCAATTGATCTTACATGTTTGAGTGTATTTCTGGACTTTATTCTGTCTCATTGTTATGTTTTTTTTTCTGTCTTTATGCCCATTCCATGCTGTTGTTGACAAAAAGAGTCAAACTCTATAAAATATTTTAAGAGATTTATTCTGAGCCAAATATGAGTGACCATGGCCGGTGACACAGCCCTCAGGAGGTCCTGAGAACATGTGCCCAAGTTGGTCAGGGTGTACAGCTTGGTTTTATATATTTTAGGGAGGCATGAGATATCAATCAAATACATTTAAGAAATACATTGGTTTGGTTCAGAAAGGCGGGACAACTGAAAGCAGCAGGAGTGGGGGTGTGTGGGGTGTGGGGGGCCTGAGGGGGTGGGGAGGTGGGTTTCTGGCTATAGGTAAATGTAAAGATTTAAACATTTTCTGGCTGACAATTGGTTGAGTTTGCCTAAAGACTTGGCATCCACAGAAAGAAAATGTTCAGGTTAAGATAAAAGATTGTGGAGACCAAAGTTATTTTAAAGTCTTATAGTGGCTGTCCTTAGAGACAGCAGATGACAAATGTTTCCGATTCAGATCTTTAAAAGGTGTTAGACTCTTAGTCCATCACTTTAGGATTGGGAGAGTCTGGAAGAAAAATATCTAGCCATGTTAATAGAGATTCTTTACAGATGCAAATTCTCCCCCACAAAGGACAGCTTTGCAGGGCCATTTCAAAATACGTCAAAGAAACATGTTTTGGGGTAAAATATTTTGACTTTCTTCTTTGTCACATAATGTTATGCCAGAGTCAGATTGGAAAATAAGTCACAATACATAGGGTTAAATAAAATGCATCTGATGAGAATTTGTGGTTTGTAGGGCATGACTCCCCAGACCCCTTAGGAATTGGGGCAAGATAAAAAAAAATCAGAGCTTAGTCCTCACATTTTGATTACTTTTGGCTTTTAGTAAGTTTTGAAATCAGGTACTATAAATCCTCCAACTTAGTTTTTCAGTTCTGAGTTCTTTGGCTTTTCGTGTAAATTTTAGCTTACCAATTTCTAAAACAACAGCAACAATGACAAATATGTTTTCTTTTTAACATTACATGTTGTCATTCAATGTAATTCATTGAATTAATTTAATTCATTTAATTGCAAAGATTTAATTACAAAGATGATGAGAGTGAGTGGCTAAGAGAGGAGAAAATAAGCTCCATTCTCTCTTGAGACTTTAATAATCCATTTATTTATTTCTCTTCTGGAAGGCAACTTGTGATGATGTCTTAGGAAACTAGAGGAAAAAGAGTAGCAATGCAGTTAATTCTTCATCTTTTTAATTTATCATTTATAATAATAAAGAGCTTGTTTATTGGGAATATTTTTAAAGTCTACATGAGAAGCATAAGGCCATGGACAACATTTCTTATTCAAATGTTACAGGTAATGAAGAAGGTTGTAAACGGAATTATGAGGACAAAGGTATCTTTGCAGCAGTTCAGAGTAGAGTTTAGAAGACCAAAGCAGTATTAGATAGTGTCAGTAAAAAATTTAAAAATCAGTCATTCTCCAACTGTAAAAAATGTCAATTAATCTCAGGATAGAGATAAGACACAGTTAAAAGCTATTGAGATGAAGGAGGAAAATAATTATAAATTTGTGCAGTGTTGTTTTAAATCTCTAAATTTTATTTTCACTAACTATCAGGTAGACATACATTTTTGATGGTAAATCAATAGTTACATTATTACTTTGCTTTTAGAAATTGCTTTCTTTCTAGAAAAAGAATACATTTTATTGCTGTAAAAATGGAATTATTATCCCCATCAACCTAATGTCAATTTCTCATTACAAGCTATGTAGGAGAAGTTGATAGTGCCACAGTGCCTTTGAGATTCAGTTTTACGTTAGAGATCATAACTATCCAATAGAAAAAAAATTGTAGTTTTGAGATCTCTAAATTCACACTATATCAGATAATTTAATTTTATTTCAAATTGAACGCATTCTTTGCTACTTTTCAGCATATGTTATGTAGAAAATTGGCCACATTAGTGAGTAGATAATCAAAAACTTGAATTAACTGGTAGTTAGTGTAGGAAGGTAAAGTAGCAGGTGACACTTTACAGGGAATATGTACTATTATCTAACTATCTTCTTTATAAAATTGCTCATAATCTTAAGGGATGGTTGAAAAAATTGGAAAAATAGTTCCAACATCCTGATATATAAAACTAAGTGTTGGAATTCAGACATATTTCTAGGAATATGTTTCTAAAAAATCCCCAAAGAAAGGGGGCAATTTTTTGGAGAATGTAGATGATGGGATGCAGAGTATATTTTTGGCCCTGTGACTTTTCTGTCTTCTACAGTGTGTATAAAGAAGAGCCATACTAATACTAATTTTTTTTTTTTTTTTTAGACCGAGTTTCATTCTGTCTCCCAGGCTGGAGTGCAGTGGTGCAATCTTGGCTCACTGCAATCTCTGCCTCCTAGATTCAAGAGATTCTCCTGTCTCAGCCTCCCAACTAGCTAGGACTACAGGTGCGTGCCACCATGCCCAGCTAAGTTTTTGTATTTTTTTTAGTAGAGATAGGGTTTCACCATGTTGGCCAGGGTAGTGTAGAACTCCAGACCTCAAGTGATCCACCGACCTCAGCCTCCCGCAGTCCTGGGATTACAGGTGCGAGTCATGGTGCCTGTGTATTTCCTTTTTAACTTTAACAGATTTTATTTGAATAGATAACATGTTTACATATTTCTGTGATGGCCTGGTTTGCCTGTCTGGTTTACAAATACCAATAAAAGAGGATACAAACAAATGGAAGAACATTCCATGCTCATAGATAGGAAGAATCAATATTGTGAAAATGGCCATACTGCCCAAGGTAATTTACAGATTCAATGCCATCCCCATCAAGCTACCAATGACTTTCTTCACAGAATTGGAAAAAACTACTTTAAAGTTCATATGGAACCAAAAAAAAGCCCGCATTCCCAAGTCAATCCTAAGCCAAAAGAACAAAGCTGGGGCATCACGCTACCTGACTTCAAATATATTACAAGGCTACAGTAACCAAAACAGCATGGTACTGGTACCAAAACAGAGATATAGATCAATGGAACAGAACAGAGCCCTCAGAAGTAATGTCACACATCTACAACCATCTGATCTTTTACAAACCTGACAAAAACAAGAAATAGGGAAAGGATTCCCTATTTAACAAATCGTGCTGGGAAAACTGGCTAGCCATATGTAGAAAGCTGAAACTGGATCCCTTCCTTACACCTTATACAAAAATTAATTCAAGATGGATTAAACACTTAAATGTTAGACATAAAACCATAAAAACCCTAGAAGAAAACCTAGGTAATACCATTCAGGACATAGGCATGGGCAAGGACTTCATGTCTAAAACACCAAAAGCAATGGCAACAAAAGCCAAAATTGACAAATGGCATCTAATTAAACTAAAGAGCTTCTGCACAGCAAAAGAAACTACCACCAGAGTGAACAGTCAACCTACAGAATGGGAGAAAATTTTTCAATCTACTCATCTGACAAAGGGCTAATATCCAGAATCTACAAAAACTCAAACACATTTACAAGAAAAAAACAAACAACCCCATCAACAAGTGGGCGAAGGATATGAACAGACACTTCTCAAAAGAAGACATTTATGCAGCCAACAGACACATGAAAAAATGCTCATCATCACTGGCCATCAGAGAAATGCAAATCAAAATGACAATGAGATACCATCTCACACCAGTTAGAATGGCGATTATTACACTGTTGCTGGGACTGTAAACTAGTTCAACCATTCTGGAAGTCAGTGTGGTGATTCCTTAGGGATCTAGAACTAGAAATACCATTTGACCCAGCCATCCATTACTGGGTATATACCCAAAGGATTATAAGTAATACTGCTATAAAGACACATGCACAAGTATGTTTATTGTGGCACTATTCACAATAGCAAAGACTTGGAACCAACCTGAATGTCCATCAATGATAGATTGGATTAAGAATATGTGAAAAAAAAAAAAAAGAATATGTGGCACATATACACCATGGAATACTATGCAGCCATAAAAAAGGATGAGTTCATGTCCTTTGCAGGGACATAGATGAAGCTGGAAATCATCATTCTCAGCAAACTATCGCAAGGACAAAAAAACCAAACACCGCATGTTCTCACTCATAGGTGGGAATTGAACAATGAGAACACATGGACACAGGAAGGGGAACATCACACACCGGGGCCTGTGGTGGGGTGGGGGGAGCGGGGAGGGATAGCATTAGGAGATATACCTAATGTAAATGATGAGTTAATGGGTGCAGCACACCAACATGGCACGCGTATACATATGTAACAAACCTGCACATTGTGCACATGTACCCTAGAACTTAAAGTATAATAAAAAAAAATTAAAAAAACAAAACAAACAAACAAAAAAACAACAAATACCCAGGGATGTGCATTTAGAAGCTGCCAAGACATTAAGCACCCAAGAGGTTCTTTTTGGTCTGTGTCTGTGCTTCTCAGGTGGAGCTGATGGCTGTACTTTCTTGAATTCAGCAGTTGCATTTCCAGCATGTGAGGAATGTTTCTTACTGCTTTCAGGGATGGGCTTAATCTGAGAGTAACAAAACTCTTATTTCTTCCCCCTGGGGCCTTTAACACTTCAACATGTGGGACTGGGAATCATCTTTTTTAGGAAGTGAGAGAAATTGCAAGTATATCTAAACATTTTTGAGTAATACAATCTGCGAAAACAGTTTTATTATTCAACACTTCTGAAATTGAATGTGAACATGAAATAAACAAAACAAAACCAAAGCACCATAGGACTGAATGGTTTGCACAGGAGATGGAAGGATTAACTAGAAGCCTGAATATCTTTGTTGGCTTTATATACTTAATAGGCAGCCAATAGGAAATAAATTGTAAGCAAAAGCATGTATTCCTATATGCCAGGAAAATTACCCTGTAAATACTGAATTATATGTGGCTAATCAATATTCATAATTTATCAGATTTCTTAAACTTATATTTGTAAGAAACATCTACAGAATAGTTGTTTGGCTTCATTAACTTTTGATTCTTATGTAGATATATATTTACATGTTTTGATGGTGTTGAAAGGCAATTCAATTGTAAATAATAATTTCAAAATATTTCTGCAGAGAAAATGTTAACCCTAAAGTTCGGAATGATTGTAGAAAAGTAAAACATCTTGAAAGCTCTTTCTAAGGAAGTAAAAATTAAGACCAATTTATTAGTAAAATAATTTATTAAGTCCAGATCCTAATTTTATGTAACTTGAAGCCTTTAACATATATTTTAATAGTTCTGTCAAATACCTATTAATCTTTAAAATATCTTAAAAATCTTTTTAAAATTCTGGATTTCTCCTCTATAATTTAGATTAAATAATGATAAAGGGCAGACAAAAGATGATAAGTCCTTTAAGGAAAATATATTTACTTCACATAGGTTTTATATTTTTTGTAATACTCCCAGAATCATAAAATATAGATTTTTATATAATTTAACAGTGTTTGGCAAAACATTTGGCATATGATAGTTGTATCCTTCTGGATTTTGGGTTGCAAGCCATAAACACAACATCTGGCTAAGTTATAAGAAAAATAATTTATTGGAAGTGTATGCGGCTGTCACTCACAGATTTGATGGGAAGACTGGAGAGAATCAGGCTCAGAAAATGGAAAGGAAACAAGAAAGCCTCAGCATCAACATTCTCAGCTCTGGTCACATTGTAGAGTTGTCTAGTGTGATCTCCATGGCCAAACACCACTGCTGCTGCAAGCTGCCAATGGGAATAAATATATCTTTTTTAGGAAGTGAGCCTTTGTCTTTAGATCCCAAGCTCAACATTCAGCATCCTAGGTAGCAGCATTTAATCTGCTGAATCTAGGTCAAGTGCCTGCATCCTTACTTCCAGGAGTATGGAGAGACAGGGTCTGATCCCCTTCAGCTTGCCAACTTGCACTCCAACCAAGACTTAAACAATGGAGGAATTTCCACCACCAAATAGAAAGAGGTTTTGGACAAAGGGAAACTAAGCAAAAACAGATGTCATCTAAATGTGGCATCCCATATTATACAGACAGTTGATTCTTGTTATTTGCAGTAGTTATAGTCTATAAAGTCACTGAAAACACTGAATTAGAGAGTGCTAAGCAATTACCTTTAGAGAAAATACAGGTATAGTTTCCTGTGAACCTCTGGTCACAATATTTTCATCAACCAATCGATACATAACCTTGCTTTGTGTGTGTTTCTCTTTAAAGACGCCTTATTTAATATATATTGTTGATTCAACAACATTGAACTCTTGGCCAACAGCGTTATAACTCATGCCTGAGCAAAGCTTATCTAACACGTCTTTTCTCCGTAAGTCACATCATAGCTTTGTTGCACTTAGAAATGCTAGATAGCACTTGGGCACTCTGTTGGGGGCCATTTTAAACAGCAAAATTACCAACAAACAGCACAAAAATGCAAACAATGTAACACTAGACAGACCTCAAAAAGCACACTGGTTTACAGTGTGAGAGCTGAAACAAGAAGGCAGAGCATGAACTTGTTCAACATCTGCTGGGAATGTGAGCATCGGGTAGCCCCAATTTTCTGCTTCTCTGCAGATGAGCATGTCTGCGAATGGCAGCAGAAGTGACATGAATATTGATTTGGGGCTACAAATAAATTTGCCCCAAATTTATGTTTCTGTATTCACAAATATAAAATCTGTGAGCAATGAGGATAAGCTGTATATATGTGTGTGTGTGTTAACAAATATACATACCTAACAAATACTACTGTTTTTCAAACTGTAAAACATATACATGCATGTAAAAGCTGGGATTATGTAAGTCAGTGATATAGCATATACAAAAATTCTGTACTGTATTGGCACTGAAACCACTCAATCCTGAAAATTCTTAACATATTTCCATTATTAGATAAATGTGATAATGTTAGGAGGTTATATATATTTGCTTTTTATTTGATTGTCCATGTTAAATGTTAATACTTTGAAAACCTTTTTGCATCTATGAATTTGACTATAGTTTGTGAGTTTAGTTTTACTTGGATACATCAAAATCTTTCAGCCATTATTCAAATATTCCTTAAGAAAAACTAGTATGCATGTCCTGTAATATATTTTCAGTTTCTAAACACATTCAAAGGTAATTATCTAACTAATTAATCATTCTCCATCTTTGTCCAAATATATAAATGTTTATTCAAAGATTAAAATAAATGTTTTATTTTTTTCACACATCTGATGAGTTGAATAGACCTCATCAGTCAAATGACTTCCCAGGACACTTGGTAAATTAAAAATTTTGAAACACAAATAAGCCTAACTCCCATCAGCATTTCCACCTATGGTTTCTTTCTAGCAGAACTAGCAGAAAGTTGGTATAGCTTTGTGTCTTCAATACCTTAATGTTTCTAATCTTTCTTAGGTATCTCTTGGCTCACTGACTTTTGACATTTGGTTTCTGTCAATAGAGATGATGATATAAAATACATCTTATGAGGAAATGAGGAGGAAGAGCTATCAGATCCAAAAACTATGTCCCAGATGGAAAACCTTGCCAGTTCAACAGTTATTTGTTGGCATTGTTGGTACCTCTGGCAAAGGTGGATCAGAAGGATAGTCTTAGGACAGGTTTGAGGCAAATGTTTGGATCAAAGATACAGGAGACTTTTACATCAACATAAGGTTGATTAAGGGAGGCAGAACCAAAAAAATTACAAGTATGAACGGTCTGCCAGACAACTCAGTTCTAGACTCCGAAGACCTGATTGAAATATATCAGAAGGTAACATTCAATATCTAAGAAATCAGAGAATGATTATGATTGATCCTAGAAATTGCAGGCTGCTTGGCCTCTGCTCCATTTATAGTACTTGCTAGAGTGGGTAGGCTCAGGTCTTGAGATATCATTTTAAGCAAGAAGGAGGTCAAAAGTTTACAGGATAAGGTCAGCTATGCTAGAATTAGCTTTTAGAAATAATAGGTCTACAATAAAATTAGATACAAATGTATGAGTTTCCTAGGGAAGGTGAATTGAGTTCTTGTAAAATAATAGAGAGAAATGGCAGATATTCTAAGACCTAATATATTTTATATATTCATTTATCTGAAGTAAAAGCAATTTCTCATGTCTAAAGTAAAAAGAAATACCATAATTTATTGATTCTAAGATGCACTTTTTACAATTTTTAACATCTCTGAAACCTGGAGACATTTTACCATCAATGACATCCTACAATTAAAATGGAATGATTCTTTATCTTTAAACATAAAATAATGGGGCACCTTACAAATGGCGATGACCAAAATATGATAAAATATGGTAACGCAGACATCCCTTGATAAGCGCAAACTGGTTCCAGGACTCCGCATATACCCAAATCCACACATAATCATTTGTAGTTGGCCCTGTGAAACCTGCAGGTATGAAAAGTTGGTCCTCTCTATATGCAGGTTTGTATCCTGTGAATACTAGGTTTGGCTGAAAAATATCCATGTATAAGTGGAGTTGCACAGTTCAAATTTGTGTTGTTCAAGGATCAACTGTATATCCTAAATTAAAAACAAAATTCCTTAGTGTTAAAAAAATATAATTGGGAAGCCATTAGCCTGAGACAGTTCTAGTGCTTTGGGTTCCTATTTAAGCGAAGAGAAGTTCAACTCAAGGCAAAAAGTAAAAGGAAACTGAAGTTTAACTGAGTAGAAACTGTCAAACTAGCCTCTAATTAGGGAATTTTGATTTGAACCAATAAAAAATATTTTCTTTGCCTTGTTTCTGTCGGAAGCACCTTATAAAAGTTCCCCCTGGGTATAGCCCAACCACTTATGGTCTGACGCTGCTGGGGTCATGAATCGCTGTTTACTCAAATAAACTATTTAAACGTTAAATGTGCCTAAGTTTACCATTTAACGTTAGTAAAAACAGGATTGATATCTGTACAAAATATGTATTTTTTAAATTGTACTTTAAGTTCTGGGATAATTGTGCAGAACGTGCAGGTTTGTTACATAGGTATACACATGCCGTGGTGGTTTGCTGCACCCATCAACCTGTCTTCTACATTAGGTATTTCTCCTCATGTTATCCCTCCCCTAACCCCCCAACTCCCCAATAGTCCCTGGTGTGTGATGTTCCCCTCCCTGTGTCTATGTGTTCTCATTGTTCAACTCCCACTTATGAGTGAGAACATGCAGTGTTTGGTTTTCTGTTCTTGTGTTAGTTTGCTGAGAATGACGGTTTCCAGCTTCATCCATGTCCCTGCAAAGGACATGAACTCATCCTTTTTTTATGGCTGCACAGTATTACATGGTGTATATGTGCCACATTTTCTTTATCCAGTCTATCATTGATGGGCATTTGGGTTAGTTCCAAGTCTTTGCTACTGTGAACAGTGCTGCAATAAACATATGTGTGCATGTGTCTTTATAGTAGAATGATTTATAATGCTTTGGGTATATACCCAGTAATGGGATTGCTGGGTCAAATGGTATTTCTGGTTCTAAATCCTTGAGGAATCACCACACTGTCTCCCTAAAATATGCATTTTTAATATAACATTTTATTATTTCAACTTAGGGATCAACGGTACCCCTTTGGATGTCTTCCTGTTGGGTCAACTTCCTGTTATTTTATACGAAATTCTTTCTGTGTGTGTATATGTGCATTTTTCTCCCTAAAGAGTCTGTAGTTTTCATCCAATTCTGAGTTAGTAATTCAAAAAGTGGAAAACATCTCAAATAATCATAGGTGGTTAATTTTTAATAGTCCAAATAATGATTACATAATAGGTGATAAATAATATTTTCTAATTATTACATTAAAGTAATTTGTATAGGTGACGTTTTTTCTGTTTTGATTCCTCATTACAGGGCAATTTTCCATAGCTTAACAGATATGAGGCCACCTAGATTTATAGCGGAATCCTTCATCTATAGCAAGAAAAAGTAGAAAGGAACCTCTACTATTTGAGTTCTCAAATACGTTGCTGTATTACATTTAATGTCTAGAAAATAGAGTCAGTTTTTATATCGACTTTAAAAATTAAGTATAAAACAAACTATACTTTTGAATAACTTCTAATTTCAAAAAATAAGATGTTCTTTTTGTAAAATACATGCAATGGTAAGAAAAAAATGTCAGACAGTATCTAACTACAGAGATATTTTACCTCCCTGATTAGCTGTATTCCTAGGTATTTTATTTTATCTTTTCTTTTTTGTGGCTGTTGTGAATGGGATTGCATTCTTTATTTGGCTCTCAGGTTGGACATTGTATATAGAAGTGCTACAGATTTTTATACATTGACTGTATCCTGAAACTTTGCTGAAGTTGTTTATCAGGTCTAGGAGATTTTGGGCAAAGACTATGGGGTTTTCTAGGTACAAAACAATATGGTCTTCAAACTGGGGTAGTTTGACTTCCTCTCTTCCTATTTGAATGCCTTTTATTTCTTTATCTTACCTGATTGCTCTGGCGAGGACTTCCAGTATTACATTGAATAGGAGTGGTGAGAGTGAGCATCCTTGTCTTGTTCAGGTTCTCAGTGGAAATGCTTCCAGCTTTTGCCCATTCAGTACAATGTTGATTATAATTTTGTCACAGAATTACAAAAGACTGCTCAAAGAAATCAGAAACAACACAAACAAATGAAAACATACTATGCGCATGGATTGCAAGAATCAATACTGTTAAAATGGCTATGCTGCCCCAAAGCATCTACAGGTTAATTGCAGTTCTTATTGAACTACTAATGCCATTTTTCACAGAAAGAGTAAAAACGATTCTAAAATTCACATGAAGCCAAAAAAGGTCCCAAATAACCAAATGAATCCTAAGTAAAAAGAACAAAGCTAGAGGCATCACCTTACCCCACTTCAAACTATACAAGGTTACAGTAACCAAAACAGCATGGTACTGATACAAAAACAGACACATAGACCAATGCAACAGAATAGAGAGCCCAGAAATAAAGCCATAAACCTACAACTGTCTAATCTTTGATAAAGTTGACAAAAACAAGGAATGGGGAGAGGACTCCCTATTCAATAAATGGTGCTATCCAATAAATGGTTGAATAGCGGCCAGGCACAGTGGTTCATGCCTGTAATCCCAGCACTTTGGGAGGCCAAGGCGGGTGGATCACAAAGTCAGGAGATTGAGACCCTCTTGGCTAACACGGTGAAACCCCCTCTCTACAAAAAATACAAAAAATTAACTTGGCGTGGCAGCATGCACTTGTAGTCCCAGCTGCTGGGGAGGCTGAGGCAGGAGAATGGTGAGAACCTGGGAGGCAGAGCTTGCGGTGAGATGAGATTGCACCACTGCACTGGAGTGGGAGACAGCCTGGGAGACAGAGTGAGACTCTCTCTCAAAAAAAAAAAAAAAAAAAAAAGGTTGAATGGCATTTCAACCATTATTAAGGCTAGCCATGTGCAGAAGATTGAAACTGTACTTCTTCCTTTCACCATATACAAAAATCAACTCACGATGGATTAAAGACTTAAATGTAAAATCTAAAACTGTAAAAACCCTAGAAGAAAATCTGGGAAATACCATTTTGGACATAGGCTCTGGCAAAGAGTTCATGATGAAGATGCCAAAAGCAATTGCAACAAAACAAAAAAAATTACAAGTGGGAACTAAATTAACTAACTTTAATTGAACTAAAGAGCTTCTGAATGACAAAAGAACCTATCAACAGAATAAACAGATGACTTACACAATGGGAGAAAATATTTGCAAACTATGCATCTGACAAAGGGCTAATATTCAGCATCTATAAGGAACTTAAACAAATTTACAAGCAAAAACCAAACAACCCCAATAAAAGTGAGCAAAGGACATGAACAGACACTTTTCAAAAGAAGACGTACACGAGGCCAACAAGCATATGAAAGAATGTTCAACATCACTAATCATCAGAGAAATACAAATCAAAGCCACAAGACATACTATCTCAAACCAGTCAGAATGGAAGTTATTAAAAAGTCAAAAAATAACAGATGCTGGTGAGGTTGCAGAGAAAAGGGAACACTTATACACTGTTGATGGGAATGTAAATTAATTCAACCACTGTGAGAAACATTTTGGTGATTTCTCAAAGAGCTCTGAATATAATCACCATTCAAACTAGCAATCCATTATTGGTTATATACCCAAAGGAATATAAATTGTTCTACCGTAAAGACACATTCACACATATTCACTGCAGTACTATTCACAATAGCAAAGACATGGAATCAAACTAAATGGTAATAAATGGTAGACTGGATTAAAAAAATACATATATACCATGGAATACTACACAGTGATAAAAAAGAACAAGATCATGTTCTTTACAGCAACATATGGAGCTGGAGGCCGTCATCTTAAGCAAACTTACACGAGAGCAGAAAACAAAACACCTCATGTTATCACTTGTACATGGAAGCTAAATATTGAGTACAAGTGGACACAAAGAGGGAACGATAGATACCAGGGCCTACTTGAAGGTTGAAGGTGGGAGGAAGGTGAGGATAAAAAAACTACCTATTAGTTACTACATTTATCACCTGGGTGACAAAATATTTGTGTGTCCGACCCCTGTGACACACAATTTACCTGTCTAACAAACCTGTACATGTATACTTGAACCTAAAATAAAAGTAAAAAAAAAAATCTAACTACATTCGGATCTTCATTTTGGAAGAAAAATTGGAATTGATCAGATAAATGAATTGTTTAAGAATGAACTCTCATCAGTAGGTCTTTGATAGTGAAGGGCAAAGCTCTGGCCACTGTGGAGAGGTGACCAAAAAAAGTAGGTATTCTTTATTTAAAACAATAACAGAAAATTTGGGTTTTCATTTATCTATTGAATACTCAGGAGGTAAGATGTTGGGTTGCCTTAAAGATTCAAAGGAAGAAGGAAAATGGGTAAGAGTGTCCCTAAAAGGGGAGCAATAATGTGATAAACCGGGAAACACAAAAAGGGAACTAAGAAATTCTTTTTGTCAGAGATAGCTAGAAATTTAGTAACAATAGTGGCTGTCATTTAGCTTTTAATCTTTATTTTTTTGTTCTGCAGCAATTATCCTCTAGTATACCATGGATTTGGTAAAAGATTCACACAATAATATTATGTTCATCATATAAAAGTACAGACATTTGAGAACACAGTTTTTGCAGCCAAGCTTACGTAGGTTCGAATCCTGACTCTAACACATGACTATCAGCCTCTCAGTGTTTCATTTACCTAAGCTCCAGAATGGGAGTAAAATGTACTGAATCCACAGATCTGGTCAAGATTAAGTCAGTTAATGTGTATAAAGGTCTTAGACCACTGCTAGGCATATAGTAAAAACTAAAAAAAAAGTTTTGGAATAAAATGACCCATAGAAAACTAGAGCAGCCTGTGGAAGCATTGGGATTTAACTGCATAATCAAAAAATGAACCAGTAGCAGGGATTTAGAGTAAAATATCTTGGCAAGTATAAGTGTCCCTTCTGCATGCCCTTATTGTTTGTCATCTCAGGAAGTCTCAGAAATATGAATAAACCTGTTCCAGTTTCATGGGATGGAGGCTTGAATTGATTTCATTAGGATATTACTAAAGGGTCACTTGGGAAGGCTGCATGACTTTGGAATACTTTGGCTACATATGCCAAATAGAAAGTGAAATTTCCCAGTCACCTAACTCCTCAGAAATACCCTGTGTTAACAATCTGATATACAGAATATACTCTTTCACTTTATAGTCTTAATACAATTATTTTACTTTTGAATGAAGAAAAATGTGTCTCCAATAATCATTTTAATTTCCCTGAATTGATCAGCATGAAAAAAAATCTTCAGTTTTCATTGCTGTCAAGGAAAGATACTGCATAGAAAATTGGGAGACATGAGATTGAATCTTGTGGCTTTAACTTGTTTTAGACTGTGTAAATTGCTTTATTCCTGAAGGACTCTGTTTCATCATATTTTAAATGGAAGTATTTAGCTAACTCATCCCGAATGTGTCTTCCATATTTAAAAATATATAATTTTAATGGCTCCATAGCAAATTGGGAGAATGAATTATAATAAAAGTACTTCTATTGCCTAAAGCAAGTTTTTTTCTTTATTTTTTGGACAATAGTTATTCAATAGCCCACACTTAATTTTGTCCAGGTTTCACCAAACAAGTCACAATTCTAAACACTTCCCAGTAGCTGGGAGAGCGATTCTTCACAATTTTTCCATATGTAGGATAGTTTCATATCTCAATTATATTGATTTGCAAGCCTCTTCACTCTTCTAATTGTGAAATATTTATTGAGAGCCCCAGCTGTACTTCATGTAGGTTCTCATGACAATCTCAGTAGGCAGAAGGCCATTTGATGGCAGTCAACTTACTTGCCCAACCTATTTTTAAAGAGTATGTAGTCAGAAATACACCTACCATATAATTCAGCAATTTCACTTTGGATATATAACCCTCAAAAGGATATCAGTATATTGAAGAGTTATCTGCACTGTTATATTGGCCGCAGCTCTATTTACAATAGCCAAGATATGGAAGCAACTTAAGTGTCCATCAGCAGGTGAATGAATAAAGAAAATATAGTACTTAGACACAATGGAGTACAGCCATCAAAAAGAATGAGATTCAGGCATTTGCAACAACATGGATGGAACTGGAGATCATTATGTTAAGTGAAATAAGCCAGGCACAGAAAGACAAACATTGCATGTTTTCACTTATTTGTGGGATCGAAAAATCAAAACATTAAACCCATGGAGATAGAGAATAGAAAGATGATTACCAGACAGGGGAAGAATAGTGGGGGTTCTTGGGGGAAGTAGGGATGATTAACAGGTAACAAAAAATAGTTAGAATGAATGAATAAGGCCTAGCATTTGACAGCACAATGAAGTGACTATAGTCAATGATAATTTAATTGTACACTTAAAAAATAACGAAAGGAGTATAATTTGACTGTTTATAACAATAAATTTTAAGGGAATGGATACCCTATTTTCCATGATGTGATTATTAAGCATTGCATATCTGTATCCAAACATCTCATGTACCCCATACATATATATATATATCAATTATGTACCCACAAAAATTAAAAATAAAAACAAATAGAGAATTGAGTCAGAATGACCAATCTATAGCAGTTGGTGTTATAATTGGTGGTAGCAGTGGAAAAGGAAGCAGACAGATCTATAACACAATCTGAGGGAAGAAATGAAAGAGAAAGGGATGATCAGCTATGTCCTCATGATCTGACATTTGATATCTAGCTATCACACCAGATAAGGCATTAATTTCTGGAACTTTTCTTTATCCAACTTCCTGAAGTTTTGTCACTATTATTCTTTACCACCTAGTCTGCAGTTGTAATATTACTTGATAGAAGTGGATTTTCTTTAGAACCAGTAGCACATAAAGACATTATTCATTTAGCAATTGAGATTTAAGTTGTCAGATTTGCTTCTGGCACAAAGACTAATAAACTGGGGGCCATTGTGGGGAATACTGTGGGGAACTAGAATTGGGAAAACTCAGGATAACTGAATACACATTGGCAGTTGGAAAGGTTGGTAAAAGGAGAGTGTATAAAAGGAAGAGGGAGCTAATAGATAAATCCTCTGAAAATTTCCTTGAATTGTATATTTTCCGGAAAGCTGGCCCTCAATCAAAGTTCCTAAGAAACGGAATTAATTGAAAATGTAGATGCTCTAGCTTGAGATGCTTTGAATTTATTTATTCAGCTCAAGGCATTTGCTCTTCATATATGTTATTTTAGGATTATGATGCCAGATGTTTCTTGTGCGGGATACTGGCAATGAAATTCTTTACATATTTACCTTTTGATTTCTATCTTGGAGGCTTGACTGAATGCCACATGACTGGAATTAAAATAAATACACAATCCAACTTTTAAGTTAAGCTTTGATAACTTTTCTCACATAGATATATACTTAACAAAACTTAATATCATTAATAGTAGGCAGTTTTCTCAATTTTTGTTGATTCTATCTTGTCTGCAATCATACCCTGTGAAATAAAATTAAAAATATATAATTACAGTCCTCTCGGTAGGCTGTTGACTATTTTGAGTTAAAAAGCACTCTGTGCTGGCAGCAGAAACACAGAGGCAGCAGTCTAATTTCCTCTATTTCACTAGGTGCCTGCTTAATTGCAACCTTCCATTTACCAGCTCTCTGGCGGCATGCCATTTTTGCTTGTATATTTTTTCATTCAGTTTATCATTCATTTGTATTTCATCGAGTAACATATAATAGAGACTGCGCTGTTTGCTCTGTAGCTTGTGCACACATTCAGTTGAGCCATTTCTATATTTTGTAGAGTTGATTTTAACTCAGAGAAGAAATACATTTGTATAAAAATTTAGACTTCAAAAGGTTTTGTTAAGGTGTCTCAGAATTATGAGAAATAACAGAAGAGTGTAAGAATCATTTTAGCTGTCAGATTGAAGAGTAAGATGATAGACTGAAAGGAATATGAATCGATGTTAGTGGAAGAGTTTTGCTGTCATATAATGTATTGTGTTAATTATTTTTAATGGAAGAAAAGATTCTTGGTACCAGTTTTCAAAACCGTTATCTTGTATATGTATGTAGATAATGTAATTCTTCAAACCATCCAATTATTTAATGAAGTCAATAAATCAAAAAATGAAAAATATTCACTAAATATACAATTATATGTTATTGTTTATATACATTTAATTGTATACATGTAAAATATACGGAGTTTCTTTTCAGCTGAAGCAGTTTTGTTATTTTTGTGGTGCTAAAATTGTATATAATACATTAGGTTTAATAGAATTAGAGATATTTGGTCTGGTTTACAGTAAATTTATTCAACTTAGATTGTAATCTACATGAAGCCAGAGAGTTTATCTAACTTATTTAGCAACATATTCTGAGACTACCACAAAGTAAATTCTTAATGTTATTGAGGTACATAAATATCAATATTTAAGTGGTTTTTTTCCTAAAGAGACATGCAGTTAAGATTTACAACATTGTACTGTCTTTGTGAAGGTTCTGGTCAACTGTTATGAAAAGACAAACTCAGGAAGATAGTAGAGAAGCTGAGATGAAGATAATTCAATCTAGAACTTTAGAATACAAATGTTAGCTTTTGTCAGGCTAAAAAAAGATTCAATATGAATGTTGGCTTTTAATTTTATATTTAGAGGGAAAAAAGATGACCGGGAGTTATGGGACGAATCAAATGGGAAGGTGAACAAAGGATTACTTCAGAGTGATGAAAATGTTTTACATCTTGATTGTGGTGGTGGTTACATTTCTGTATCCATTTGCCAAACTCAGAGCTATATGCTTAAAATGGGTGTTATTTACTGTTTGTAAGTAATATTCTACTTCATATATCTATAATACGTTACTAATATGTTTGCAAATAAAATTTTACTTGTTATTACTGTTTGTAAGTAATATTCTACTTCATATATCTATAATATGTTACTAATATGTTTGCAAATAAAATTTTACTTGTTATTACTGTTTGTAAGTAATTGATTTAAAAAATGTTCTCCAGGAGGAAAAATAAATAAAAAACTGAAAATAAAGGCAATAGTTGACATGGCATTTTTTAATAGGCTCTAGCCAGAAAAACATTCTAAAACATAACTAGAAGCCTGATCTGGAAACAATTCGCCAACTTGGAACATGTTGACTAGAAAATCGATGACTGTCATTTTCATTTTATTTTTCACCTTTTCTGACTACTAGCCACTGAATAAGGAATGAGAGAAAATATTAGAGCCCAGAAAGAATCACGAAATCTCCTTGAACTCTTAGATTACGATTAGACAGTAAATTAAAATGAGGATCCCTCATTTCTGAACAAGCATATTTTTATAATGACATCAAAATTGTTTTTTAAAAATAGTTTTTGTCTCTAATTTTCCTGTCATTGATCATGTTTATTCACTCAGCAACATTCCTGCCTCATTTGCTGGGACTAGCTTAACATTTGGCTATGCTTTGAGGGTCTGTCATGAAACCTTATCTGACTTCAAATTATGTGATCCTTTAAGTTTCTCCACAAGAATGCAAGCTCAGTCATGTAGTCGCAGTGGTTAGCAATGAAACCATTATGTAATGTACTATAAATAAGTAACTCAGGGATAAATTAATCTCTCCATTGGATTTTCAGAACTTCCTTCAAGAAAGTAGCTCAGAGCAGACAGTTACGGGTTTTCGTGTGTGTGTGTGTGTATGTGTGTTTACCACTATCTTCTACAGAAAAGTTTATAATATGTTCTTATTTAACTTTTAGTTTCCAATATCTTATGTTCAAATGCCAATTCTATTTGCATTGATAATCTATGAGTCTGTTGTAATGATCATTTTTCATAGTTATTGGCTGTCCACTATGTTTTCAACACTCTTTAACATGTTTTGGGGGAATTTTCTCCCTTATTTATAAATCCTCTCTTCTCAGAGAAAATGCCAGAAATTTTATTTCCCAGGCTCCCTTGCAATTAGGCCATGAACATGCGACCTAGGCTCTACCAAATGGAAGCATCCATTCAGGAGTATGATTTGCAAGAATAGATATCATGTACTGTTACCTCATGTATCTAGGCATAAACTTGGGCACATACAGTAGAAACAGGATCTTGCTTTGTCACCCAGACTGGGTTGCAGTGATGCAATCGTAGTTCCCTGCAGCCTGGAATTTCTGGTCTCAAGAGAGCCTCTCACCTTAGCCTTTTGAGTAGCTGGGATTACAGGTATGTGACACCATGCCTGGCAAATGTTTTTATTTTTATTTTTTTAGAGAAAGGGATTTACTATATTGCTCAGGCTAGTCTTGAATTCCTGGCCTCCAATGATTATCCTTCCTTGGCTTCCTGAAGTGCTGGGATTACAGGCTTGAGCCACTGCACCCAGCCTCCCAATGACTAATTAACAGAGAAGAGGAAAGAGAGTTTGATTTGGTTTATAGATCACCCTTCATGTTATATAAAGAACATGAACCTCTGTATTGTGACAGTAGTACTCAGAGATGTTCCTAAAAGAACATGGGAAAGAATAATTATTTTAATGTGAAGAATGTTGAGCAACTTTCCCCATTGTTCTTTTGTCTTGGAAGGTGGAAATATCTGAAGTACTGTTCCACAATCATTCATGGATATTGATGAATAGTTTTTTTTTTTTTTTGAGATGGAGTCTCACTCTGTTGCCCAGGCTGGAGTACAGTGGCCCAATCTCGGCTCACTGCAAGCTCCGCCTCCTGGGTTCAAGCTATTCTCCTGCCTCAGCCTCCCAAGTAGCTGGGACTACAGGCACCCACCACCACACCCAGCCAATTTTTTGTATGTTTAGTAGAGATGGGGTTTCACCATGTTAGCCAGGATGGTCTCGATCTCCTGACCTCGTGATCCACCCACCTTGGCTTCCCAATGTGCTGGTATTATAGGCGTGAGCCACCGCGCCCGGCTGGGGAAGAGGTATTTAGATAGATAACAAAATGTACCTACAGTGTGTAATTATTTTTTCCCATGTGACTTATCAACTGAAGATTGTCACTGGGAAGGAGATGAGCAATATTCTGATAGAAAAGGGTGATCCAGCTAATGAATGTCAGTAACCATGCCGATATTGAGTGGAGTCATTCTTGCTTTTACTTGTTTTTGATTGTTTTTGTTTTTGAGACATTCTCAGTCTGTTGCTCAGGCTGGAATTCAGTGGTGTGATCACAACTCACTGCACCGTTGACCTCCTTGGGATTAAACAGTCCTTCTGCCTCAGCCTCCTGAGTAGCTGGGACCACAACTGCATGCCACCATGTCCAACAAATTTTTGTATTTTCTGTAGAGACAGAGTTTTGCCATGTTGCCCAGTGCTGATCTGGAACTCCTGAGCTCAAGTGATCCATCCGCCTTGGCTGCCCAAAATTCTGGGATTACAGGCATGAGCCACCGTGCCCAGGCTCATTCTTGTTTTTGTGAGATTATGCACTGGATCAGCATGTCCTTCCCTTAGCACTATCTGACCAATTATTGGCTGTATTTGATGGCCAGTTCACCAGTGGCAGAAGTCTTAGAAGGCAAAACTCTTAACCTCTGATATTAATAGTATACCTGGGGGTGAGGTATGAACTAACCAAGAAGGGTTAAACAAATTACTTGGTGGTAGGCTGATGATACTAAACCTATTCTACCATGAATTAGACTGTGATTTGACCTCACTGGAATTAATTACAATTTTGGATTTGGAAATTTGGATTTCCTCCCCCTCTTTTCCAGAGACAATATCTATGGACTTATTAAAATGCCTTGTCTACAATTGTGGTGTCCCATATACCAATGCTTTTGACCATGGAAATGATTTTTACAGAAACGGAAGTCATGTATAGATATATACTGTTTGGATTTAGAGATATAGCTAGGCACTCAGTCACCCAAAAGCTGCTGGTCTTGATAAAAGTGTGTAAGATTATTGAACACATATTATGGCACCACCCTTGTGAAGCTGGAATACCATCTTGCAGAATAAGGCAGAAGCTTCTTCCAAAAATAAGAAAACAAAGAGATTGAAAGCCAGAATTTCACGTGTCACTTTTACGTCTTATGATCCCTTAACAAAAACTATGTTTCATATTCTATGACCTTTGGCTTCGTTGGCTTGGAAGACGTAGTGCCGGAGTGAAGAATGCTTCCAACATGACACCCAACTATATTTTTGTAGAACTAGGAGCTGAGACTATTACATAACCATTTCAAGCTTTTTGTGCCACTGTATGAATAGGTCAAAAATGGAAGTTATAGTTTTGCTGGGGTGATTGACCCTAATTATCACAGACAACAAGGGCTGACACATGTAGTACAGAAATGAATATTTAAAATACAGGGGATACTCTGGCCTTCATAGTGCTATTATAGCTAGTAGTAAAATGAATGGAAGATCCATGGATGCGTACACAGCAGGCAAGACCACCAATCCTTTTGTATTTAAGGAATAAAATTTCATTTACTGTGCCAGGTAAGGATTCTGAACAGCTGAAGAACTAGATGAGGAACAGTTGAGGAAAAAGAATTCTAGAATACATGATAGAGAAAGAAAATTATAACTTGAAATAATGAGCAGTTCCAGAAATGAGGAATATAGTATCTACTCACATTCCCTGTAGTCTCTTATACATATTCACATATTTCAAAATGTTTTTCCTCTCTCCCTTCCCCCTATTATTTTATATTTATATGTTCTTCTTTCACAATGTAGTCCATAAGTTAAAGAATATAAAGATGACATTATGATGGACTTAGACCAGTGATGTCTACCACCTAGATATCTTAGTTTAGAATTGGATGGAGAAACTTATGAGGCTTTGGATTTGCCATCCTTTTAGAGGTAGGGCACTTGTATTTTCATTTCTATGAAGAATAGTTCCATTATGTTAAGCTGTGGCATTTTCTTATTGTTCAAAGTTTAAATATATTTTTTAAAAAACCTGGTGTTGTTGGGAGGTCACAAAGCAGATAGTAGCAGATGGTAGGATATTTGGCACCTTTTGTGGCCATCAGCGTGTTGTGAACTATGTTGGGAATTATCAATGTTGTGAATCCCTTCTCTCTAAGACAGAGGTTCCTTTTCCCAGCTTCTCTTATAACTGAAATATAGATATTTAATATAAGCTCTACCTATCAGGCACATTGCTCAAGAATTCTGCTTGGAAGACAGTGACATGAAGAAGGAGGCATTCATAGGCTCTTTCAGGCAATTTTGGCAGAGCCGGTCGAGAGATTTCAGTTTTGGGAGTATAACCCCAGAATCTTTAATGGCTGTGTCCAGGATGTGCCTCTAGTCTTTTCTTAGGAACTATCCCTGGCTCTGTAGCCTCTAAGAATGATCCCAGAGAATCTGTGGGCCACCCAATAATTAATAAATTCCTTTTCCTTTTCTACCTAACCTGCTGGAATGCTTTTTCCCCATATGTGTCTATTTATTTACAGTATGCTCCCTGAACATAAATGAACTCAAAGAACAAATAATCTGAAAGAACACCTGACCTACATGCATACATACTTGTGGGTATGTGCATGTTTGTCTATGAGCATGTGTGTGTATGACATGGGATTAATTCAGTTTTAATATTTCCTTGTTTTTAGAGCTTCTACTCTGTAAGTTTTCACATTTTCATTTTATACTTATTTGGTGAAATATTTTCCAAGCGTCCAAAAATAGAAAAAAATAGATTTTGAGGTTCTCAGTGTCACCCAAAGAAAACTTTTGAAATAGTCTCACAGTATTTTTCTCTTTTCAAAAGAAAATTTCAAGGTATTTCTACTCAAAATTTCATTATCAAGAAAATATCCTCAATTTTACTAACTTATATAAAGGAGTATATATATATATATATATATATATGACTTCCAGAACATTATTTCTTACTGTTTAAAATAAGCCAGGCACGGTAGCTCATACCTGTAATCCCAGCAATTTGTGAGGCTGAGGTGGGAGGATCGCAGGAGGCCAGGAGTCCAAGACTAGCCTGGACAGTATAGTAAGACTCATGGTCTATAAAAACTAAAGTAAAATAAAATAATTGTTAATAGTTTGAGGCTGGAATTTTTATTCTTTGTTCAGTGATCTGGAAAGTCCAAGCACTTATTAATTTTTCTGTTATTTCTTTTCTTTTTTTTGAGGCAGAGTTTTGTTCTGGTGCCCAGGCTGGAGTGCAATGGCACAATCTCGGCTCAACACAATCTCCGCCTCCTGGGTTCAAGCAATTCTCTTGCCTCAGCCGCCCGAGTAGCTGGGATTACGGGCACCCGCCACCACGCCCAGCTAATTTTTTGTATTTTTAGTAGAGATGGGGGTTCCTCCATGTTGGTCAGGCTGACCTCGAACACCTGACCTCAGGTGTTCCGCCTGCCTCGGCCTCTCAAAGTGTTGGGATTACAGGCGTCAGCCACCACATCTGGCCAATTTTGTTTGTTTGTTTGTTTCTATAGTACATATACATTTTATGGAAGTAAATTTGTATTTTAAAAAATACTCTTGTAAACATTTGTTATGATTTGTTTTCATTGTCAATGTCTGTTTTCATTGCTGATCAAGCCCAAATTACTTAGTGAATGAATTGTACACATTTTCAGTGAAGTTAGGAATGTCTAAAACAGTTTTTAACTATTTAAGCCAGTAGATCATGACAAAGCCAATCTTGTCACTTGGTCAGCTTACTCAAATTAATAAACTGGCCATTTTCCAGTGCAGTGCTTGTCTCTGAAAGGCCAGGGCCTCATTCAGGGTATTTTTCCTTAGCTTCTATCTGGCCCTTATACCTGAATTAGGAATCTGAGAGGAATAACATTTGGAGAGGTTTATAAGCTCAAGTTACTATTGTATTTCTCTTGCTGTTTAGGGTAGAATCTAGTCACAATTAAAAGAAAAAAGGAGAAGCTTCCCAAAATGTCCGCCCTTCACGCCTCTTGCTGTTCAGATATTTCCTCTGGGCTTTCCGCCCTGATTTCCTCTGGTTTTTAGTGCTTTTATTTTTCATTCAAGCATTAGAAGAGGGAGTACTTAAAACAAATAGACCAAAGGAATTATGTCCTATGTGGTATAGATCCAAGAGCTCCGTTCTGATGTCTTCAGGGGACACAGAACAAAACAACTGGGCCTCTAAGGGCTTTTGGGAGGTGTAAGGAATCTGGAAATAATCCAGCTATCCTCACCAGAGTTTGTGTGCAGTCCTGGAGTCGTCAGGGATTACGCATGAAAGAAAGAAATTCTCTCCTCTGCTCACTGGCCGCGCAGCAGGCAAAGCACTAAATCTCCTGGTCCCTTCTACTTGTGGATTTTAATTGATGGGGCTGGTACACAGAGTAAAGCCATTTGGGCACAAATGACAGGGGTTGGCATTTAAACAAAAATGGCAATTTTAATTTTATCTTCATCCAAATTAGAAAGGCAAAAAAAAAAAATCAAAAAAGAAAAACCTCGTTTTTTCAAACGAAAAGTGAGTTTTTAAAACCTTTGGTTTGCAGGAATTAAAAAAAATAATTAAAACAAAACTTGTCGATGTCATTTTAAAGTGGTTGGTTAATAAGCTTTGGCTCATGATTTCAATTTGAAATTTCCCTAGACTACCCTGTTTATGATAGAAGCTGAATTTTACAGTGGCATTTTATGTGCCTGGGCTACATTTTTAAGCCCAGTCCTGTTGTTTAGGGCCAGAAATGGACACAATTTAATTCTGTTTATTATAGAAATCAAGTGCTTTTGGAAAGAGATTGTGAGCAGCTGCTTAGTATTGTCTTTGTGTTAATATAGAGGTTCATTTCTCATGCCTTTTGAGGAAAAAGCAGTTCATGAGATTTCTAGAGGCTCTTTTCTACAGAAATATAGGTTGGCTGCCAGGATTTAGCAGCAAAAGAGATTTGCTGTTAATTGGTGGGGCTGGATGTCTCTGACAGGTGTCAAATTAAGACATGTACTCCAGTAGAATTTCTAGGGTTGTGCAAAGAAGACATCAGTAATCAAAATAGAAAAATAAAACTTTTTTTTGTTATACAATTTCCCAGCGAGTTTTTAATCTCATGTAGCTGAATTCAATATGAAGAAAGTTTTTGGAATGAGGATGACAAGGATTATTTCCACTTTCCTTAGAAGACTGTGTTCATCGATGGTTAACAAAATTAATTTTTTATTTAAAAAACAATCTAGTTAAGATAATTGAGCAAATTTTAAGGTGAGATGATGGTTTTAATAATTGCATTTACAATGGTAAGTAACTGAAATTCACAGTCTCTTGAAGCAGGCCCTTGCATATAGCATTTGATTCTTTCTACAATGATATAAAGAACCTATTAAATTTGGTGGAAAATAGCAATGGCATTTAGTTCTTAAGCTATTTTTTTATGTTTGGTAACGATATGAATAAAAACCAAGGATGAGACATTCTTATACTCTCATAATGGCTGGCTCTGTTTCTCCATCCACTATCTTAAATCTTAGGGTCCCTTTTTCTTAGTGCTAAGAAAGTGACAGCCAACTGCATCTCAGAACTGCAGCAATGCTGAGTCAATAAATAAAAATATCCAGGTAATTTCCTTATCCTTAAGTGAAGCTTATGAACATAAGTTATACTGAACTACTTTGAAAGTTGGAATACCATTGAGGAATTATTAAATGGAATAGAATTTGTACTACACCCACATTTTGGGCAAAATACTCATTTAAAATATGCCTTAAGGAATATGCCTTGAGGAAATATACCCAGTGGATTTCTAAAAGCATTCTGTGGTCTTATAGGTAGACTGTGATTTCTGCATTAAGACTACATGGGGTGAGGTTATTTCTGTCTGTGTTCCATGAATACTTTGCTTTACATGATTTTAGAAAAACTAGTTTGAATTTCTTCATTTATTGATTTATCCTTCTGTTAAAAAAAAGCACTAATTTTAAAATTTATTGCAGAAAAAAACACTTTTGGACTGAGCTATATAAAATGACTCAGAAGTAAAACATATAAGTGTCAGATAGAATTTGCCACCAGTCTGCCTAAAAGACTGAAGTATTTGAGTATGGATTATATTTCATCCGGTTGGTAGCACTTTGTGAATCTGCATTTCAGGATGGCCTGTTTTCAGTTTCCAACTCAAATAAGAGTATTATTGAATTAGTTGGCAATCAAAATATACAGTCTCGCACCCTGGAAACTTGATTTGTGAAGAAATCTCTTTGAAATAAAAGAGGTTAGGTACGTATACTCTTTTATGGAAATGAAAATGCATAATATGAAATTTCAGTTCTTGAGACTTTTTGGATACCAAATTAGCACTCAAACTCAAGACCTCAGAAGGATGTTGGTGCAGCAGGGTGAGAAAACTTGGACCTCTGATAACTGCAGTGCTGCTATCTCCACTCTGGACTGCCAGAGTGAATTACAGTTTTTGTTTAAATACTGTAGGCCTGTTTGTCTGTTTTGTCATATAAAGTTGAATATAACACTAACTGATAGCATTTAATTAAGTAAATTGAGCTCAGTCAACTGTATGCATTTCTCTCTCGCTCTTTCCCCCTTTCTTTTTCTCTCTTGTCTCCCTCCCCACTCCTTTCCTTTTGGATTGGTAAGTAATACAGACACATATGCATAATAAGGCCATAGGCATTAATATACCAAAATGTACTTCAAACAAAAGGAAATAAAGCTTGATTTTAAGTTCCAGGCTCTGTGTTCACACTTACTTTCTCTACTCCACAGATATTTTAACAATACTTATCATTTATATGCATAATCCCCCAGTCCTTTTTTTTTCAATCAAGACTACAATGATGGTGAATGAAATAACATGAGAAAACAAAACTTGACATAGAGTGGACATCAAAAAATGCTATTTGCTCTTTCTCTTTCCTTTAAGGAATGAGACAATGGTATAGTTCACATATGAATTTGGAGTACTTTTCAGGTTTTGAAAATTGTGTTATTCTTTTACATGTTTTAAAATAAAGTAGCTGATAGTAACACCTACTTGTGGTATGGAATACTATTTGGAAAAGGGATGGCAAGTAAATTTATATCCTACAGCTGCAAATTCATTGTCCTCAAATGGAGATAAAACTCAAATTAGCTGATGTCTTTTCAAATATAGTACAATTTGTATCCTCAAGAATTTTATTTTATTTTGTTTATTATTATTTTTTTGAGATGGAATCTCACTCTGTTACCCAGGCTGGAGTGCAGTGGCTCACTGCAACCTCTGCCTCCTGGGTTCAAGCGATTCTCCTGCCTCAGCCTCCTGAGTAGCTGGGATTACAGGCGTGTGCCACCATGCCCAGCTAATTTTTTTGTATTTTTAGTAGAGACAGGGTTTCACCATGTTGGTCAGGCTGGTCTTAAACTCCTGACCTTGTGATCCACCCGCCTCAGCCTCACAAAGTGCTGGGATTACAGGTGTGAGCCACCACGCCTGGCCTTTTTTTTTTTTTTTTTTTTTAATGGACAAGAGGTTTTTAATGTTGCCCATGTTGGCCTTGAACACGTAGCCTTGCCTCCTTATGCGCCAGGACAACGGGCCTCAGCCACCAGGGCTCCTATCCTGGAGAATTTTATAGTCTTTGATTACGTAAACCTTTATCAGCCAATAGGAAGACTGGTATTTCATATACATGGTCTCCAGTATTCTACATATGGAATAACAATTCTTGTCTTACTGTATATGAGGAAATTGGTGGCTTTCTTTACATGGCTGTATTATCTGCTTTCACACCTTAGAGAGAAAGCCATCAGCTGAACCATTTACTTTTCACTTTCTTGAACTGCCGCGTGGGAGTACATTTAAAACAATTTGAACTTTATACATGATGAGCATGATCCAATTTTAGTCTTGTCCTACATTTCCAAAAAATGTGGCTTATTTTCATAAATTACTTTTACATATGTTTCTGACCCTCTGTTATGGTTATATAAAAAGGCAAAATGCATGGAAATAGTACCAGACAGTCATCCTGTTTTAATACAATTTTCAGTATAATTGTATGTGCTATAAAGTTTCAAATAACATTTGAATCAACAGGCAAATTTTGGGGGTGCTTAAGTTGAACTGAACTTCTGAACATCAAAGTTTGCTTTTCAGTGGTTAAAGATTGTTTTAGGGAAAGTGAATACCCTCTGTCAGGTCGAGAGTTATTTATAATTTTTTTTTTACAGTCTAGCCTGCTACATTTGACCTCTATGTACCTTTTCCACTTAGCTTGCTAGTGAGAAATGGAAACATTGATTTCAGAAAATGACAGGTATTTTTTCCTAAGGTGGTGGATGCATATTTTGAATTGTGTCCTGTTATATCCAAATTGAGAAACGATAAATTACTAGATGTGAAAAAATGTTTATAATTCATATTAAATTAAGCTTATGGCCAGATGACGTCAACTCTCACTATAAAAGATGATGTTTTCCATTTAATAACAACTTTTATATAGATTTTATAATGCTCTCCCACTTAAAAAATGCACATGTGATCCCAACAACTCCGTGAAATTTCTTATTAATGTCATTTTACTGGAAATGAAGGAGTCTTAGATGTTTAAGGACAAGCTGAACATCTGGTTAGTTTTTGAACCGAGATTGTTATAGTGGGTGGTTAGTCAGACAGTAACAGGGCAGGAGAGGCCCACACACTCCACCAGGAAAGTCAGGCAACCATCAGGTGATGGTCAGGCAGTTGTCACATTGCCTCTCTAAAATAATAATAGGTTGCAGCCAGCACCAGGGAAAGGCAGTCTCCCTATAGATAGGACACCCCTGAAACTAGTGATCAGCAGCTTCCTGATAAGATCTCAGGAGCTGGGTCAATGAGCTCAAGCATGCACACTAAGAGGCAAAATGGCAGTTTAACTAGTATATGATCTTCCAGGGGCATTTGACTGGTAAGGGAAGAATGCCTCAGATGAGCATGCATGCAACTCCAGTAAACACACTGCGCATGCTCACCTATCAACTGCTAGCAGGCCACTGCGCATGCGGGTAGCTCACCCTAAGGGAAGAATCAAGAGAAATGGGACACAACACACCAGAAGTATGCCAACATATATAACCTCAAGTCAAAGTCCAAACCTCACACTTGACCTCCAAGATGTCCGCTTGGCCCTCTTCCAAATGCACTTTCTTTTCATTCCTGCTTTAAAGCTTTTTAATAAGCTTTACAGGCCTGCTCTAAAACTTGCCTCAGTCTCTTCTTCTGCCTTATGCCCCTCAGTCAAATTCTTTCTTCTGAGGAGGCAAGAATTGAGGTCGCTGCAGACCTGTACTGATTTGCCACCGGTAACTCGGGTAACTTCCACGGCTAACAAGATCTTCTGATTTTGGTCTGTTATTCATTGTGTGCCACAACTACTTCTAATCTCATATGAGAAGTCTTTTTCAAGAGACAGAGGAAAATGAAATGAATAATATAGAAACAGCAAAATTTAATCTGTGATGTATCAGGTGGCAAGTTTAAGCTAAGCCACATGTAAATGAAAGTTATGGGGGAAGAGAAAAGCCCCTCAGAGAGGAAGTGTTTCCAAAGAGACAAAGGGTGTGGTTCCAGTTCCCTATCTTCCAGCTCCATCCTGTAACCCACCTGAACTGTCAGGTTCCCCTCTATAGTTTTTTGGAAAGCGATTAAAAAAAAAAAGAAAACATAAAAAATGATGAAATGATGTTCTCAAGTGATAAATAGACAAGTCATTTTATTTTATTTTATTTTATTTTATTTTATTTTATTTTATTTTATTTTATTTTATTTTATTTCTTTTGAGAGAGAGTCTTGCTCTGTAACCCAGGCTGGAGTGTGGTGGCGCAGTCTTGGCTCACTGCAACCCCCGCCTCCCGGGCTCAAGTGATTCTTGTGCCTCAGCCTCCCAAGTAGCTGGGATTACCGGGGCTTGCCACCACGCCCAGCTAATTTTTGTATTTTTAGTAGAGATGGGGTTTCACCATGTTGGCCAGGCTCGTCTCAAACTCCTGACCTCAAGAGATCCGCCTGCCTCGGCCTCCCAAAGTGCTGGGATTACAGGCGTGAGCCACTGTGCCCAGCCAGAAAAGGCATTTTAAATTTTGTTCCAGTTCTTAGAAGATGGAAAATAACACTCTTTCCTGCCAATATCTCTGCACACACACAAAAATGAAAAGCTCGAAAATATTTGAAATATTTAAGCTGAATCTAAAGAATAACCATTCAAATTCTGACATAGATACATTTAGTATATTATTATTAATTACTGACATTGTTTGAAAAGTGTCTCTCTGGGCCGGGCACGGTGGCTCATGCCTGTAATCCTAGCACTTTGGGAGGCCGAGGCTGGCAGATCATCTGAGGTCAGGAGTTTGAGATCAGCCTGGCCAACATGGTGAAACCCCATCTCTACTAAAAATACAAAAATTAGCTGGGCCTAGTGGCATGCACCTATAATCCCAGCTACTTGGGAGGCTGAGGCACAAGAATCACTTGAGCCTGGGAGGCGGAGGTTGCAGTGAACCAAGACTGCTCCACTGGGTGACAGAGCGAGACTCTCTCCCAAAAGAAATAAAATAAAATAAAATGACTTTTCTATTTATCACTTGAGAACATCATTTTTTGTGTTTTCATTTTTTTAAAATCTCTTTCCAAAAAACTATAGAGGGAACCTGACAGTTCAGGTGGGTTACAGGATGGAGATGAAAGATAGGGAACGGGAACCACACCTTTTGTCTCTTTGGAAACACTTCCTCTCTGAGGGACTTTTCTCTTCCCGCATAACTTTCATTTACATGTGGCTTAGCTTAAACTTGCCACCTGATACATCACAGATTAAATTTTGCTGTTTCTATATGGAATTGCTTGAACCCGGGAGGTAGAGGTTGCAGTGAGCCGAGGTGGTGCCACTGCACTCCAGCCTAGGCGACAGAAAGAGACTCTGGCTCAAAAAAAAAAAAAAAAAAAAAAAAAAGGAAAAAAGAAAGAAAAGAAAAGAAAAATCAAAAATGTCTCTCTGGCTGAATCCAACCATTTCAAAGAGCCTGAATACTAAGCTCAGGCATCTATTTCCTCTTTTCTGAGGATTCTGCTGCAATTACAGAAAAACCTTAAAAACAATAAAGAAGTAATATTGTCATTAGAAATCAAGAAAACTTTCCTTCAGAATAACAAAAGTTAAAAGAATTCCTAAAGAATGAAATAAAATTAAGACCGAGGGATAAAGAAGAGAGAAAACTCTGGCCCTGGGCACTAGATATAAGCATAGATCTTCTCTAGAGACTCCAAAGTCAGAACCAACTTGTGCAAAGGAATGGGCCAGGGAGTAATGTGAACAGTGTTTCATTAAACAGCCTTGTAACTGCCTCTTTATTTCTCTTGTAAACAAATAGACTGACAACAATGACTTTTACCCTTAGGCTCAAGTCAGTGAGCTGCTCTAGAAAGAGTTTGCAATCAGCCTTCGGTGTGAGAGCACTGGTTTCTGAGAGAGAAACAGCAGAATTTGAGATACACACAGGCTTGCATGATGGATTTGGGGGTAGGAGCAGAACAAAGAAACAACAATGAAATCTCCTCCCCCCATCGTAGATCCTCCTTCTCCTCCTCTGCCACCGCTGCCGCCGCCTCTTCTTCTTCTTTCTCCTTCTCCTTCTCCTTCTCCTTCTTGTTCTTCTTCTTCCTTCTTCCTATTACTCACCTCCTCCTCCTCTTCTTCTTTTTCTTTTCTAAGACAAGGTCTCACTCTGTTGCTCAGGCTGGAGTGCAGTGGTGCCATCATGACTCACTGCAACCTCAAGCCACCCTGCCTGGCTAATTTTTGTAATTTTTTGTAGACATAGGTCTTGCCATGTTGCCCAGACTGGTCTCAAACATTTGAACTCAAGCGATCCTCCCATCTTTGCCTCTAAAAGTGCTGGGATTACAGGTGTCAGCCATTGCATCTGGCCAATACTCTTTTTAATTTTTCAGATACTATTGGGTGAAAGGAGGGTCTCCAGTTCCCTGCATGCTTGTTCTTTATCCCTATATCCTGTTGCAAAACTGTCACCAGGCCCTGCCCAATCACCTACAACCATTCAGGAATGTGGTCTGTTGAGGGGGAAAATCTATATCTGTACCTATATATCTATATTTCTATCTTACCTATTTCTATGGGCAACTTGCATCTATATATAAAGAAAACATATGCAAGACAACTACATTAATTACACTAGCACTTTCTTATGGGAGTTTACTCCATGTGTAGTAGGAACATTGAACAAGAAAAATGTATGGAGAATAATCCTAAAAGCAACTTTATTTTTGTCTTCTTACTGTCTTTTTGTCCCACTGATGAAACAGAAAATACTTTTCATTAATCTTTGATGAAAACTCAGGCAATACCCATGACTTTTTAATTCACTCTTTGTTAATAGCAAGTGTTTTGGCGACTATAAATAGCAAAATACATCTTGATTCATGGCATGAAAGCCTCTAGTTTCTGTATTAATGGACAGTTTAATATTCATTCAAAGATAAGACTTTTTCTGGTTTCCCCAGCTTCTCTGGGTGGGTTGCCTGCTTTTAGATAATGGATATAGTTGAATTCTTTTCTCTTTCTCTCACTTATTTCCCTACTGACAAACTTCTCTTTCTGACCCTTCAAAGCTTGAAGAAGAAAGATAATGGGAAACTATTACTTATTTCACAGGATTGTGGTGAGAATTAAACTGATATACTGTATTTCGTGGAATTTAAGATGCTAATGGTTAAAAACCACACCTTTATAAACCACTAAGAAAGAAAGAAAATACATGTTGCCAATTATACTGTGATACAGTCCTAATGTTTATTATCACTTCTAGTTTTAATTTTTGAATTATGGAAGAAACTCTTTTAAATTTATTTATGTAATTTTTAAACATTCTACTACATACATAAAAATGAAAGCTTCAAGTGAAGTACATTTATTAATGTCGTTCTAAAATGTCTTCATATTCAGTGTAATATAACTGAATTCCTGTGACTCAGTGTCATTGTTGTCTGTATTTTTCTACATACTTTCCTGTTCTGTGTCATGAAGAATATTAATAATGGGACATTTCTTAAAATGTTCTATTACTGTTGATAGGATTTTCTTCCAAGTACCTGATATCTTTCCTGTAAGTTATTTATTGATCTTTTCAAAAGATAGACAACAATCAGGATGCACATTCCTTCCTCAAAAGATCCTTAAATTGTTTATTCATTGAAATGTTTGTGGAGGAAGTTTTCCAGTCATGTCATAGGAGGAGCAACCAAATCATGACATGCACAATGACCACTGTGTCATAACTGATCAATAGTGAATAGTAAAACTCTACTGATTGTAAGATGCATCAGATTTCAGAGCTGTTACAACGTATTACAACATGCCACCTTGAAATTGATGAAATACAACACATACACCTGTGTGTCTGCAGCTTCTGCAGGTCAACTAGGGTGCTACATCCAGAAGTGAACCAAACCACAGCAGTGAGCATTTCTTTGGTTTGTCCTGAAAATGAGCAATAGATCTCCCAGCTTCCCAATTTTAAACAGATTCTTTTAAGGCATTGTTAATCTACATAGGAGACAGAGCATAGGACAAAACAGACAAGTCCCCACTCTCATGGACCTTACATTCTTGAGGGATTTTAGCTTGAGGTCCTTAGTAACAGCTGTTATATGGCTTTCTGTGTGACTCGGACAAGTGATTTTTTTTTTCCTGTGGAATTGACCCCAGATTTGTGTGAGTCCAATTTGTGGAAAGGTGATATAATCCTGTTCTTCAGACAATAGATACTTTGTAAATAAGTTGGTTTTCAAATTGAGGTCACCTCAGGTCGCTTTTGGAAACAGGAGGGTAGAGCGAGCTCAGCACCTAGTAGCTCCCACTAATACCACATTTGGGAGATTTTGCTGCGGCAGCTGAATCAACAGCTGGGATTCTAAAATCCCTAACTTGCACATAGGATTTAGCTTTCTCACCCACAAAATTATGGTCCTATATTTACCATCTGTGTGTCACTTTTTTATTTATGAAATTATATAAAAAAAGAATTTATTGGGACAGTAAAGAAATATTTTTGAAAACAATTTAAAAGCATAAATCAGTGGCTTAGAAATGCAGTTTTTGATAAGACACCATTCATTAGGCATAACAATAGCTCATTAATAAAGGATAGGTATTGGCTAATAACTTTTGATAGGGATTATTAATTGTTAAAAAGACACGAGCTATTAAAAAGGCTATTCTCTTCTAAATTGCTACAGAGTTCATTCAATTTTAACATACAATGGAAAAAATATGAAAGTTACCTTTGTGGCATCTTTGAAAGTTTTTTTGTTTTTTGCCTGGGATTCAAAAGTCATATTTGCTTTTTTGCTAGAAGGTTTGCACTGAAGGAAGGGCTACCAAAATGTAGGTCACTTTGTCAGGTACAGGACAGTTTGAGAAACAGGGGAAGCTGATTCTATCAGGCTAATATACACAGGTGAGATGCAAATCTCCTGCCAACTGTTCCCATTGGTATCATTAGCCCTTCCCTCCATAAATAAATGCCTCGCTGAGAAAGTGCTTCTAGGCATTGTGCTGCCACTTCCGAGTGATATTAGCTTGCAAAAGAGGAAAGCCTAATCAAAGAGAAAGTGTTCCCCAAACAGGCTATCACTATAGACTGAGGCATTTTCTGGTCTGGGGAAAGAAGGGCTTGACTTTTTTGTGCTTCTGTAGAGTTGTATGTCAGTTCTCATACACACTCTTCTCTTGGTAAGTAATCAGAAAGTTATTTTTACATCTCTGCAGTCTAGTTGTCTTGGGTTCATGTTCGTGGTATTTCATAGCTAGCAGGAACCTTAGAGATGAACCTCTTAGAGACAAGAAACATTTTCACCATCACCTTTTTTTCTAGAGTCACATGCTTATTTTTCTTATTGTAAATGACTAAGTACAAATGGGAGTAACAGATTTTTTTTTATGTGAATTTGGCAAGTCATCAACTCAAATATGCTGCTTAGGATGGGAAAGAGAGAAATCATGTAGGATCCTGTTCTAAATGTTAAGTTAATTTTTTCTCCATATTTTGGATATGACAACGCAAAGGCACATTTTCTTTATTTCAAAACAGCTTTAGGTTATTAATATGATGTTATCTAAAATTTGATAATCAGAGATGATTTTGTTTGTTTTTCATAAAAGATTTCTAGTGTCAGTAATCCTATAAATATATGGTCCTAATTTAAAATAATTATTCTGAAGTAAAAATAAGCAATTCTGTCACTGTGGGGCTTTAAAGGAAAGGGCAGTGTTCCAAACCAATTATAAACAAATTGACCCTCTTAAGATTTTCCTTCTTACTCAACCAATGAGTAAAAACTGATTCTTTGCCAATAAGCCTCATGATTTTTTGTGGCTAGGAAAAGCATGCTTCTTAATGAACCATTATCCCTCAGCCTTCATGATCCAGATGAGTAAATGCAACCCTATGCCTCATGAAGAATGATTGATTTAGTTACATGGGCATAATTGTTTCATTAAGAAGAATCAGTTCATTAAAGCTTAGGGAAATGAGTAAGTTATAGGTGAGACTGGCTAGACTTACCTTGACATAAAGACAATCAAGTCAGGAGAAATCAACTGGCATTTATTTAATACTCTATGATGTGTGAAAACTATTCCAAGAAATTTAGTTGCTTTCTTTTCTTTTTGTCTCTCAAAAGAGAGAAATCTAGTCATTTTAGTTAAAAATGTACATTTTACTTATAAAGGTAAAATGTGATTTCAAGGTATATGAAGCTTCTTCAGAGACAGAACTTCATTCTAATATATATTTGATAAATACTGCCAACATAGACTGTTTTTGTAGATAAGGCTGATTTGTTCAAGTTTTCTGAAGCACAGAGGAGCATTATCTCTCTATATATATCATATTATCCTGTGGGCAATAGGATACACCACTGGTAGAACCATAGGGTTATAGGAATATAAAAATAATAATAATATATTAAATTTGTTTGACTTTTTTTGCAGTTTTTGTAAGGATTTTATTTCTCAGAGACCCTGAGAATGAGCCACTTCTATTTAATCCCTATTACTCATATGAAAACTGACTCTCAAAGTAATCTTAATGGTAGTTACCAGACCTAGCATTGATGCTAGGCCTTTTGGATCTTGAAAATAATCTAGGTAATTCCACTTATTTTACATACATTTTATTATAAAAAGCTTAAACCATGTAGATGCAAAAATTAAAATAGAAAGTATCCCTTCTTTGCTACTAACTATAACCTTTTTCAATTTTCTATGAATGTTTTCAGACATAGTGCTATGAGTTTACACAAAATTGAATACATACATACACATATGCTTTCACACACATTATGTATGATTCATTTGTTTTTATAAATATAATAAAATAAATGATAATTTTAAGTTTTTTTCTACAAGTTGATTTTTTTAACTTAATATATGCAGAGAAACCCATATTTAGAATAGCTATACTATTTTTTAAATTACTACATAGTATTGCTTAATATAGAAAAAACATAATTTGTGTACCATTTACATATTTTGTTGGGGATTTATATAGTTTCTAATCTAATTTCTTTAAAAACAAGTGTATAGCTTGTACACATGTCTTTGTAAACATATAGGAATAGTTTTAAGGAATAAATTCCTTGAAGTGATAGGCAATGAAAAATTACCTTTCATTAAGTTTCCACAAATTTTTACTCAACGAATTCACCAACTTACTTTACCAAAAATATATTTACAAATTTTTAAATTTATCTGTGCAATGAAAAATAGATACCAATTTCTTAACAGAATATTATGTTTGAACAGATTTTCATATATGATTAGTGGCCACTTTTATTCTTTTCTCTGTGAGAAACCTCTAAATAAACTTCGACTGTATTTTCTATTGGATCATCTATATTTTCCTTTTGATTTTTAGGAGTAATTTATATATTGAGAATATTAAGCTAGCTTTTTCTAAATTAAAATATTTTCTTTATTTTGACTTTTAAGCTTTTGTTGATAGCTTTTGTATTTTAGAAGTTTTGCATTTTTATGTAACTCTATAGGTCAATCTTTTCCTTTATGACTTCTGTGTTTTGTGTCATACTTAGAAATAATTTGTTACCTCCAAACTAATAAAAGCATATCATTAATATCTTTCATATATTAAACTATTTAAGCTACTAGAATGTTAGGTAGGCATGAAGTATGGATTTCACTTTTTTTCCAAATAATTCTAAACAATTACCTTTAAACTATTTGTTAAATAAACTGTATACTTCTTACTAAATTCAAAGGCCAACTTAATAATGTATGAAATTGTTATTTATATATAATATCAGTCTGTTTCTGCAATCTCCCTTCTGTTCATCGCTTCACTTGCCTATATCTGTTCTCAGTACCTCACCGGTTTACTCTGCCTTTCTAAAAGCTTTTACTGGAATATTCTACTACAGTTAAAAAAAAAAGCTGTCTATTTTTGTCATTTTTTTCTCTTCTGTAAAGGTACTTCATTCATTAAAATCAGTTTTTCTGATACCATTAAAATGTTGGCTTTTTTTTTTAAAGGGAAGTCATTTTATTTGTAAATAAATTGGAAAGAATTGATATCTTCATGCTGTTGCCTCTTCTCATCTTGGAACACTTTATACATTTCCATTCATTTAAGAGAGAGAGAGTGTGTGTTTTTTAGTAGATATCATAGTCCTTTTTCATTATTTCTCATTAAAGTCATATATTAGTTAGTTTTATTCCTAGAAATTTCATATTTTTCAACAGTATGTTTTCTTTTATACCTTGTTATCTTGTTTATAAGAAAACTATTAATTTTCACCATTGATTAGTACATGGCAACCTTAATAATTAGTAAATCTAATAGCGTTTGAATTATATTTTAATTTTCTATTATATTATCTGCAAGAATGATAATTTTCATTTTCTTTTAAGTATTCATATTTATTGGTTTTATTAGCTTTATTATATTGACTATAATTGTATTACTGTCTTCTCAAATTTAGTGGAAACACTTCTTACATGTTCTCTCTATTTTTTAATAAAAATATTTATTTGGTCTTATGAATACAGAATTGATTATTTTATTTTTATTTCAAATGCCTAGGTATTATAATTGTATATAATAGTTATTTGTACTTTTTATATTTTTATTATATTTTTAGTTATGCTTGT
Organism: Homo sapiens; assembly: GCF_000001405.40. Lineage (NCBI taxonomy): Eukaryota > Metazoa > Chordata > Mammalia > Primates > Hominidae > Homo > Homo sapiens. The sequence continues at coordinate 62,213,534 of NC_000004.12, forward strand.
ATAGGAGGCTAACAAGTGTATTTTTCTCTTGATGAAAATTGAAAATACTTATTTTTTATATTGTTATTTTTTAAAAAACATTTTTGGTTTTAGTAATAAGTCTTCCATTTATTTTTCTTCTTTCTTTAGTTTTCTTGCTTATAAAAATTTTCTAATTCATGAATTTATGTTTCCAGATTTAGTAATTTCCTTTTGACTCTTTGAGTTCCTTTTCTGACATATATAAAAAACTTAGTTTTTGGGGGTTGTTTTGGCTGTGTATAAAATTCAAAACTCAAAATAAAATAATGTTCCTTTTGTGGAATAATGTCCTAGGATTTTATGATATTGATGAAAAGATATTCATATGATTCTCATTTTTTGTAATTATACTGTGTTACAGGAAAAGGATAGCAAACCTAATTTAAAAAGGGCAAGTTATGAAATAAGAACAATTCAAATGACTAACAGTTACATGAAGAGATGCTCAAACTCATTTGTAATCATAAAAATGAAAAAAATTAAAATGCAATCCTACATTATACTCATCAAGTTGAGAAAAAAAGGTTATAGTTTTATAATTCTAAGTATTGAAAGATATTTAGGTAGAAAGGAATCTTGTGCCTTGATGTTGAAAGTATTGACTGGTTCAGCTGCACTGGAAACACACTTGATGATATTAAATATGCCTATCCTACAACTCAGTAGTCCAGCTCCTAAGCGTATGTTCCAGAAAAGCTCTCTCACAAGATGTGTGGAGATATGGATGATAATTTGTAGTAGCAACGAGTTAGAGGCAATCTGTCTATCACTGGGAGAATGAAGAAGTTCAATGTAATGGTTATGCTCTAGCATGCAGCAGCTGGAAACAGTGAGTAGATGCACACACAGACCATGATCACTCCTAGAAACATAGTGGTGAGTGAAAAAAGAAAGAAACATAATGTTTTTAGCACAATGCCATTTATATATTTGAAGTAGAGGAATGTAGAAAATGAAATATCATATAATCCCAGTAACATGAAAGAGCAAAGGGACAAGAATAACCAATATGATTCTGAAAAATGAAATTAGGAATAGGAGAGTACTCCTACTAGATATCAGGACTTATTATAAAGCTACAATCTTTAAAACAGGTACTCTTATAAGGAATAGAGGAGAAGAGAAAAGAAGAGAAGACAAGAGAAGAGAAAGAGAAGATTGCAAGAAGGGAAGACAAGAGAAGAGAAAGAGAAAGAGAAGAAGACAAGAGAAGAGAAAGAGAAAGAGAAGATGCGAAATAGACGCATGCATTTATTGAATTTTAATTTATGACAGAAGTAGCATAGTCAATAACTGAGGAGTGGAAGGACAATATAATCAGATAAATTGAAAAATGCTTATTGACATGGAAATATCAAAGGAAAAATATACCATGTGCCCACTGATAAAAAATAAATGGAATATTCATGAAAGGTCCCAATTACTGTTACAATAATTTTTTAAATAATTAGGCATTTGGATTTTATGTGCTTTTTGATTTGAGTAGTTTAAAGTGTTTTAAATAACATTAAATATTATTATAATTATAATAATTATTATTTTTGAGACCGAGTCATCTTGCTCTATTGCCCAGGCTCTAGTTCAGTGGTGCGATCTCAACTCACTGCAACCTCCGCCTCCTAGGTTCAAGTGAATCTCATGCCTCAGCCTCCTGAGTAACTGGGACTACAGGCATGTTCCACTACACCTGGATAATTTTTGTGTTTTTGTAGTAGAGACTGGGTTTCTCCATGTTGGCCAGGCTGGTCTTGAACTCCTGACCTCAAGTGATATGCTTGCATTGACCTCCCAAAGTGCTGAGATTCCAGGTGTGAGCCACTGCACCCGGTCCATTAAATATTATTTTAATTATATTAGGTCAAATATTTTTGTTTCTTTCCTGAATTTTAACACTATTTAGAATGAGTACATAGTTGTTAGCTAATAAAATCTGTAGTTCAAAAATTATTTTGTGACTTACTGAGCATTTCACTTGATCAATTTTTATAAATGTTTCATGATCTCTTAAAAAGAAATGTAAGTAGCATGTTATAGTAGTATCTTCCGTCATCATAATAGTATGTTCTATATGTATCATGTGTCATACTTCTGTCATTTTTGTTTTATTAGTGCTTTGCTTATTTCACAGATTCTGCTTTTGTTTATTTGTTTCTTAATAAACTTTCTAAATCTGCTAGTTTGGGAGGTTTCGACTTTCATATTGGTGCACATTTAACTTTATATAATATGCTTGATCATCTATTTACTGATGCATAGACTTCAGAGAGTGTCTTCTCTTAACTATCCACTTTGATCGATGAAAAAATAACGACCACTCCTGATTTTAGTAGTTTTGTTGGTTTTCATATATATGAAATGCTACTGTATGAATAAAAATCAAATGTAGATCTATTTTTCTATTGTTTCTTCCCCAGTGATACTTTTCAGATAAGAATATGGGCAAATAATGATTGCAGATTCCATCTTTGGTTTTATTCTTTTTGCTAAACATTTTATTCTGAGGTATAGCTGGTCAATTCGATAGCTCATGATCTTAAAAATGTCTTTGTATTCTATTTCTTTTTTTTTTTAAATTCAATTATTTAGCCTCATTGACTACATCATTCCTCCAGGCAGAAGGTGCAAAAGACAGCAAAACTTGAGGACTTTCACCAAGGATGTGCTAGGAGGGGACGTGGGAAATGGATTATTCCTTGAACATTTTCCCTGGGCCATTCTCTTCCTTTTTTATTTTTGTTCTGGTTACATGGGGCTTTCAAGACTCAAGCAATTGTTTGTTTTTTTTTTTTTACTTTAATTTTTTTAGTATTTCAAATGTTTTTATTATGAAAAATTTAAATATGTATAAAATATGAGAAATTATATAATTCATCCCCAGATATACGTCACCCAGCTTCTATAATTATTAATTCTGTCCAATTATTTTATCTATACTACCATGCTGTTTCTCTTCCTTTCTCCTGGATTAGTTTGGAGAAAACACCAGACATTATATCACTTATAAGTATTTTGAATATATCTCTAAAAGATAACTCATTTAAAAATATAATCCCTATTATGACACACAGAGTACTAACACAAATTCCGTAATGTTTTTGAATATACAAAAATTGTTTAAATTCCCACAATTCTCAGTCTTTTTAAGAAATTAATTATTCAAATCAGGTGCCAGACAAATTCTATGTATAGCAATTAGTGAACACATTTCTTAAATTTCTATTAATCTTTAGCTTCTATCTCCAACTCACTGTTTTTTTTTTGTAATCATTTGTTGAAGAAAGTTTAAAGACTGTGTTACAGTTTCCCCTAGTCTATATTTTGCTGATTGCATTTTTTTGTTTGTTTGTTTTGTTTTTGTTTTTGTTTTTTGAGACAGACTCTCGCTCTGTTGCCCAGGCTGGAGTGCAGTGGCATAATCTCGGCTCACTACAACCTCCGTCTCCCAGGTTCAAGTGATTCTCCTGCCTCAGCCTCCCGAGTAGCTGAGATTACAGGCATGCAGCACCACGCTTGGCTAATTTTTGTATTCTCAGCAGAGATGGGGTTTCACCATGTTGGCCAGGCTGGTCTCCATCTCCTGACTTCAAGTGATACACCTGCCTTGGCCTCCCAAAGTTCTGTGATTATAGGTGTGAGCCACTGTGCCCTGATCACATTCTTGTGGTATTTCTGAATGGGTCCACTGCTCCTTTTCTTATAAATTGATCAGACTGAGGCTTGAATTTTTTTTGGCAAAAAGATTTGACAGGTACTATTATATTTCCAGTAAAAAGCCCTTAATATCTGACTGTTTCTCTTTTTGTGAATTTAGTAGCCATTGATGATTACTGCTGGATCCATTATTTCATAAAGGGTTATAAAAGGATGATATTGTAATTAAATAACTTTAATTATTATCTGAACTACCTTGATGAATAAAAAATTATCTTCCATCAAATATTTGTTTCTCTGAGTTCAGAGCATGTAGGATAGAACTACAATATAGATGTGTTGGTAATTTTCTTATTTACCAGTATTCAAAATAACGAGTTGGCTCCCAGTATCTTTGCAGGTTGATCAATTTTGTTTTGTAAAAATATATATTATTAAGCGCTTATGGATTTTGAACACCTAATTTGTCTTAACTAAGTAAAATTGTAATTCTTATTGGTGTTCAAACTTTCCCAGCTTTGGATAGTGTGAGTTTCTCTCAGCTGGCTCCTGAGTCCTTTTTATGATGATCACAACAGTCTTTGTATTCTTACTGTCTGGTTTGACAATATGTTCTAGATGCAACATGTATATTTGCTGTCCCATCTTGAAATCTAAAATTTTTTTAAGAACCCTAGCTCCTTTATGAGAAATGCCATTTGGAGACAAAAATCTGGGTGAAAGAATACTTGTTTCTGCTGCCCAAGAACAATAGTACTGCCCAGTTCACTTTTTTTAGTGAACAGAAGTATCACATATTTAAAAAATATATACAATATATCATATGTTCATGTTTATACTCCAAGTCAAATTTAGCAAATTCAGGAATTCAGGATTTTTTTCTTAACCAAATTCCTCTCACATATGTGTCGCCTTTCTCTCATGATCAAAATTCCAATTCTTAATGATATCATTATTATTTATTTGCTTTGTCCTGTGTAGCACATTCAGGAAAACCGTAGTAGCACTCAAAAGTCTGATTACTGAAAACAGTTTGAGGATTTTTTCTTTTCTCATTTTTTTCTTAGTGTATACCACATTGGGAATAAACAACCAATTTACTCTGTTTTAACACTCACTTGAAAGAAATATTTCCTCCCAATGTAGTTATTTTTATTAATTCTATACAAGCTGTGCCAATTTTTTATTAACTTGTTAGAATTTTAAAATTTAAAAACAACTTCTGTTTAGTAGTTTTGGAAAATATTTATATAATTCTTTTGACTCTATTTCCTTAGATCTGAAAACTGGTTTTGTTTGTTTGTTTTAGGTTCATTTCTCCATTTTTGAATAATGTAAGCAAATACATTATTTCCCCTTTCCAAAATTAATGGCAGTATTCTATGCATAATTTTCTTCACGTTGGACCAAATTGTTTTTTAAAGATCTTATGAAATTACAGTATCTTCCCTTCACTCCATGCTATTAAACGACATAAACATTTACTGAATACCTTCTAAGTGCAAGGCACAGTACTTTGTTTTGTGGTGGAGGAGACAATGAAGTAGATTTTGCCTTTAAGACACTTTTACAAACTTTTTTCTATGGTTTTTGATATTGCAGAGATCTAAAAATATCACTTTGGATGTTCAGATAATATACTGATTGTTGAATAGTTATTGGGTTAAAAAAAGTCAAAGGATAGTATTCTGTGTAAAATACTAACAATAAGGAAAAAACAAAACAGGCATAATGTAATTATTCCAGAAATTGTAGATCTTTTATGACATTATGATCAATAAACTATAAAACATAGACGACTGCATCTATAAAGCACCTTGAAAGATGAATAGCCTCTGTGTGTGTGTGTGAGTGTGTGTGTGTGTGTGTGTGTGTGAGAGAGAGAGAGAGAGAGCAGGCAGGCAGAGAGAGAGAGACAGAAAGACAACATAGATTAAAGAATGTGTGCTAAACATTTGCTTAGCAAGTAAGCTCATTTTTCCCATTATTTTGATATACAGCAAAGTAAAATTTCTTATTAATATATAATTGAGTTAGGTACCCTTATTTAGACATTTGGATTTATGAAAAATTCCCATAATGATTTCAATGTGTGGGTTTATGATTATAAATAGGAGTCCACTTAATTTGACTGTTAATATGCTAAGGTTTATAATTTACATGACTTCTCTTTCTAACATGATCTGTGAAGTAGTTTACGTTTCAAACTTTACTTGGATTCAACTGAATTTATTTTAATGATTATCAATATGGTCTTAGTTCACATTCCCAAATGTAAAGGTATCTTTGACAAAGATAAGGATGTTTGAAAATACATTTTTTTGAACATTAAAATTTAACAATGAGTTGAATGTGATTTGATAATATTCACTTTTAACTGTGAATAAAATAAGCTTATCATTATATATTAGCACTACTATATTGATCTTTCAGATTTAATTTAACAAAATTCTAATTTTTGAGCAAAAATTTTCTATTTTATCTATTTTGGTAATCATCAATGATCCTTGCCTCCTTGTATTTAACCACTTGTGTTCTTTCCTCCCACATTGGATCCAACTGGATTCAGCAAATTTTTTTCTGTACCTTCCACGAATGTTACCACTTTTTATAGTATTTGCATAAGTTGATAACTGTCAAATCTATGATGTGTTTTTAAAAAAAGACATTATCTAGTAGGGTTCTAGGCAAACTGCTCATCTCAAGAATTCAGTTAGTGGATGATGGATGATACTTTCCAAATGGTTAGTCATGGCTGGAAATGTATCAAAGCTTGGAGGAAATACAATGACAGGTGAGCAGTGTGGCGGTGTGGTAGCACTGGGACAAAGTGGAAGGAAAGAGAGATTGTTAATACCTTTGGAAATAAAACATAGGAGCATAAGAGTTTAAAAAGAGTTTTTAAAGATGTCTACCAGTTTGGTGGCACAGCTGTGTGCCACACTTTCAAGAAAGCCTACGGTCAAACTCTTCTGATTGGTTAATGTGTGAGAAGATGAACTCATATTCTTTGTGGTAAATCCTGGGTTTTATAGCCTGAGCATGCCAACCTACTTTTACACTGATTGTATCTTTTGTTTCATCTCTTTTCTTCCTTGAACTCATTGTCCTCTCTCCATCCACAGCCCAAATCTGCTCTTCTGACTCTGCATCAGTGCATGTCAATACCATCCAAGTTATGACTCAAGATGGAAACAAGAAAGTCATCCTTCACATTTGCCTGCCCCTTAATTTTCACTGAGTCTCTTAAAGATTATTCCTGAAATATCTCTCAAATTTGTCTTTTCTGATTACAACCTTACTGACGCTGCAGTAAGTTAGAAACTCAACATCTGTAGTCTAAACCGTTAAAATAGCTGCTTGACTTTTCCGGTCTCTGTGTAGCTCTATTCTCTCCATTTTCATTAAGTTTCTTTGCAAAACACAGACATGATACTGCCAAAGTTTCGAACAAATACCTTTAGTGGCACTGAGTTATCTACTGTTAAATCGCCAGACACCTCAAGAGAGCATTCAAGGTTCATGATCTTGAACCAATTTACTTTTGGGCATTCTCCAAAAGAATTCCCTTGGTAGTAAATAGTATCCATTGCTGAGGCTCTTGGCAACATTTGGTGGGACAAAGGATGGGCAATGGGCAACAGGAAGGGCATTCTAAACCTTCTCTCCCGACCCCCCCTCCACTTTTTTAGGGATGGTAGATTTAGAGTTGGGATAGAGAAAGAAAAGAGAGAAAACTAGCCATTGAAATTTGATCTCTCTCTGTGCCTTGTAAAGGAAGCCTGGTCCCCAGGCAAAAAGGGGTTTATTTCAAGAAGGAGCAGTTACCATCTTAGTTTCAAATTAAACTATAAACTAAATTTCTCCTAAAGTGAGTTCAGCCTGTGCCCAGGAATAAACAAGGATAGTCTGGAGGTTAGAGGCAAGATGGGGTGGGTTAGATCAGATCTCTTTCACTCCCATAATTTTGTCACTGTTATAGTTTTTGCAAAGGTGTTTTCACAAAGCCTGCGAGGTGGTTGAGAAACAGAAAGAAGGCCAATGGGCATCTGAACTGCATAGAATAGTCAGTTTTATTGCTTAAAATGTATTTGCAAGAGTAAGTCTGACTATAGTAATATAAATGACTTTGCTTTTTTAGTTTTTCAATACTTAATAATAAAATATATCTTAATTTTATATTCATCTTTTTCTTTGTTAGAATTATTATAATGAATTAGAAAAATTATGAATGATCTTTAGATACTCATTGCAAGAACAAGTCATATGTCCTAAATGTAGAATGAGATATTGTTTTCATAAGAAATATCTTTCATCACAGACATAAATATCCAGAAATTTTATATGAATGTTACACAAAGTTCTGTCAGCAACATAGGGCAAGAAATTCCAGTTAACGCCATTCAAATAGTTTCATCTGAAAATAAAAGGACATGCTGTCTACTCTTCCTGTCAGTTTTCTTGGACGGTTTGAACTTGCTCACCTAATGTGGTTATGTTAGGTAGAATTTATCTTTTTTGTTCAAATCATAGATCTTTTTTTCCTTTACCTAGAGGAATTGGCAAGTATACAGCTTTTGACTTACTGTAAAACTTTCAAAGTCATCACTTTAAACAGATCTTTACTTTAAGATCTTAAGAAGACTATCAGTAACTAATGGAGTACCATGGTGATTTAATCAACTGGTGACTTGCAGGAAGTTATTGTAAGTCAATATATAAAGTTCATCAGTGCAGTGTCTAAAGCAGCAGAAATTGACTTGCAGGCATAGGTGTACTTCAGTATTGTAGGTATTAGCTTCATTTCTCAATAAGGAGAAATGAAAGCCGAGAAAGATTATTAATTGGGTTTGCCAAAGTTACAAAACACTGAAGTGATAGGTCCAGAAAAAGAGCCTATGTTGTCTGACACCCAAATTCCATCTCAAAGTCCTACATAATATTGCCCCCAGCTAAACGCTATGAGTTTGGTGGATAGCAGGCTCAACGCAATGCTTTTTATTGTGACTTTTCGATAATTAATGACTAGGGATGCCTTCTCTGTTCTTTCTAAGATGTTAAACTGTTTCTCAGTGAGTTCTCAGCCATGAATCTCTGCTCTGTACTTGACTATATTTCTTGCCCCATTGACTTCACAGCGAGATGGAATATGGGAAAGATGTAAAGCCTCTGCCCTTTTTTCCATTAGTGACAATATTTTTCCAGTTCAGTTACAGGTTTAAGCACAGGCTCTTTGTTAGCCAATTCATCTAACACCTCACTCACACTGAGTCCCAAACACACAAATGCCTCCTAAATCTTTATGTTCTTATTCTATTAATTTCAGAGAAAAAAATGATATTTCACCCTATTTTACTTTATATCTTTTTATCATGAAATATATATGAGTTCTGCAATAACTTACTGATAAGATGGATTACCAAGAATTATTGATTAAATTCTACTCATTTGTGAGCAACTACTTTTTAATCCCATTTCTCATGGACTGGGATTTATTTCCCAAATCAGATTTGCCTTTGTGATAGGTAGCAATATTTTGAGAAATGTAAATAATGACATTGATGTCTTCCAGTCAATAAATAGAATAATATATTTAATTAATTTTCTTACCTCATCCTAAAGGCAATTGAAAATTGAAGACTTTTCCTCTCCAAACTGTGCAAAGTGTTTCTTAATAGAAAAAAAAAAAAGACTGTGGCAAGGTGCAAAGGAAAGAAAATGCAATAAAAGGACTTGTTACTCTGGAAGCAAACGTACCTGGGTAATTAGTTGCCAGTCCACTTAGATCGTAACACAGATAACTGAGCAAGATATTAGTAACGCTGAATTTGAGGAGAATATACCCCAAACTGTATTTCTAGTATGTGATCTTTAAAAGATTTGTGTGGTTTATTTATCACACTGATTTTTTCATTTAAATGCATGCATTAGTAACATCTAATCTAAAGGTTTTTTTCCCTCCTATGATTGATGGACATTTTTTTAAGAATGCAGTTTGTCAAGAAGACTTTCCCTTTTCCTTCTTGAAATTCCTGTTTCAAACCAGTGGAAGCAATGTCCTGCCTGTGATGGCATTCAGGACATGAGGTATCCTTGTCTTTGACAGCAAAGGACATTTGTTTTGTTTGAGTTGCACTCTTATCACTGACAACAACAAAATTGTCAAGTGTGTTATTTGAAACATCAAATTCAATAAGAACCTTTGTGTATGTAAGCTACATTGTATATAATGTTTTCTTTCCTAACCAATGGAACAAACAGCTAGAATTTGTGATATTCATATATTGAATGATGAAATATGATACGAATGTAATTGCACAGTATAATTATAAGGAACCAGGAGTATATTTTTGTGTTAATGATGGAGTATAATATAAGCTGTTTGTGAAATTATACATTAGAAATCAAAGGGGGTAGTATAACAAATAGTTAAAACATAAATAAATTTTATTTCTCAACACAAGTTAAATGTTTTAGTTGTCACTGAAAAATGCAATTAAAATTAGATTTATATATCTCTGTTTAGAAAAAGTCACTATCAATTGGAAAGAATATTCAATTATTTAATCATTCATTCATTTCTTATGTGTGTTGAATCCATTTTCTTCTGACCCAAATCTGATAAACATTTTTGAATGAATTCAATATTTGTAAGTGAAAGGAAATGTACCTAACCACCTTGTGACTTGCTGAGGCAAATTAGATGAAAAGAAATTTAAGGAGTAAATGTAAGAGTCATAACTTTTAAAGCTATACAATTTATACTACTGCTGGCAAAAATTACAATTACATTGAATCTCAGAACAAATTTCAGTTAAAATGTAATTCATAGTTCTACAAAGTTCTAACTATATTCTATTAATTTAAAATAATAGTAAATCTGCCACAATATAAGATCCTAGACACTGTGTAATAACTATGAGATTTTTTAAAAAGTCACCAACAGTTTTTATTTTTAGCATCTGTGAAGCAACTCTCATTTACATTAAAGTTACATTATAATTAGACCATATTTTTATAAGTATAGAAATCTGTCTTTAATTTCTTAATTTCTTACTTTGTGAAATTCCTAAAATATAATTTAGAAGATGTACCTTGAAACATAAAATTAATAAACATATAATAGGAATAAAGGTATAATATTTTCTTATTTTAAACGCATTACATTTTCTTAAAGCACTATACCTAGCTATATATATATAGGGTACTGAGGTCCTTACCTCTATCTCTATATATATGGTACTGAGGTCCTTACCAACAAAATTTTAGGTAAGAATTATCATATAATATTTTCTTAAGTATAACTAAAACAATTCTTCTGAAGTTTTATTCCTTCTGAGGTAATATATAGATTACATGTCTTCAGGAAGATATGACTTCTTTTCAAGAGATGAGGGATATAATACATTAAATGATTTTCTGTGTGCGTCAGCATGTGTAGGTATATCCAGTGTAGAGTCCATTCATGCTTAAAATGCACCTAGAGTTGCATTTGTGTTCAAAATGGAGAAAAAGGGGAAGGGAAGTCTCCCTATTCTATTATCATTACAATTCTCTCACTTCTTCATTTCATTGCCTTTTGTTGTTTCCTCTCCCTCACTTGCCAATCTACGCAAAGCCCTGGTTCACATATAGTCTGAGAATGATGGTCAGATTCATTTCTAGATTCGCCACTGAGTTGCATTAGTTTTCCTGCCAGTGAATGACAAAAGTCCAAGAGACTATTCAGGCATTTGAGAAATAATAACCTAGATTTTACTGAGAAAAAGAGCTAGCTATGAATTAGTAGATTTTAGAAGTTAAAATTAATAGGTGAATACATAATAAAAATTACTTAGTCTGAGACCTGTACAGCCTTTAAATTTTTTAAGCCATAGAATTTTAAACTAGTCAAATACACCAAAATAAAATCAAATCTTGGATGCATTTACTCTTTTTAAAAAATGATTATGTATTCACAATATGTATAATTAAATACATAGTTATTAATCTAATAATAATGCTGATGAAATATCCTAGGATATAGTAGATGGTGTGTCATGTGACCCTTCCCTCTAATGCAGAGCAGATAGCTGAAATTTCACCTGACTACATTCTATCTGGGCTTCTACCAGAGTATACTTTTGATCTTCTGGCATTCTCCAGGGAATGCATATATATCTGTTCGGGTCACTGTTTGCCACATCCAGCAACCACCTTGACCTAGAATCCTGCTCACTGTTCTGCTCACAGTTTACCAGGCCCTTGTAACATGTCATGTCATCCTCTGTCTTCAGTCTAACTTCTCAAAGGCAGCTGCTACTGGTCCGAACTGCTTCCTTCCAATTTTGGGCAGTGAGCCACCTCTTCAGTTCCCCACAGGAATCACTGAGAACAGGTTGTAATGTTTAACAAGATTTTACTGAAGGCTTAAGGAACAATAGAAGAGAAATATAACACGACGACCTTTAAAAAGATGCTCAATGGAGCCGTTCTTAGCAGAGCCAGCATCAACATAGTCCTTCCTGCACCTAGTGCAGAGTCTGACAGGTGGAAGTGCTGGATGAGTACAGTATTTTTTGTTGAGTTAATTAATGGAATTAGTTTGTAGAACCCACATATTCACATGTATTCACAGAGTTTTTGAACTAGGAGCCTCTCTACCTTCAACCTGCCAACAGTCCCAAGTTCTATCTCTTCGAAGTTAGCACAAACTAAGTTTTCTCCTCCTTATCTGAGTATGTGGATTATTTCTGGAGTAGTGATTTCAAAATACTTTTATTATTCTAATATCTGCTCTACTTTAAAGCCCCCCAAATTACCATTATTTCAGTTGGTGTGACTATTCTCTTCCTGGCCTTCGTCCTCCTCTTTTTTTTGTCTGACTTTTCACCACTACTTTCTGCCCAAACAAACTTGGCACCCTCACAGTAAACCCTCCAGCTGCTCATTTCCACTCAGTTCCTGCAATTCTTCTTCTATGCATTCCATTTCTCTGTGACCGCCTCCTGTCTGGCAACCTCCCAACTCTTAAGGTTCATCTTTCATCTGAGGAAAGATAGTAGTTACAGCAAAAGATCGGACGTGCTGGAATCAACTATTCTGCAAAATTGTTCTTAGAAAATTTCCTGAGATCTCCCTGAGTCAATTTTAAGTATGTCAAAAAATTCTGAAGACTAATGAGGCCAGCTCCCCCAGAGTTGGGAGCTCTCATTCTGAGGCTGCCTTGGGTGCAACTGGACTAAAGTCAAAAGGAACAGCTGAGCTCAGAACAGCTAGCAATTTAAATTGGCATGATAATAACTGAGACACAGTCATATAAATGCATTTATATTTTACACAATATTTTGCTTTAAAGTTAAATCATTTGTGCCTTCATAATTTCTAACACAATATTTAATAAACAGTAAATTGCTAGCAATTTTCTTTATTAAGCTATTTCTCTAAGAAGCTTAAAACTTATGTACAAGATTTTATTCAACATTTTCAATTTATATATATATATAACATAAAAGGAATAGATAATGTCAATATTCAACAATAATAATGTTTCCTGATTTGCTTATTAGTAAACTCATTGAAATAGTATGTCACCTACATGTGTGGGCTATAACAGGAGTGATGTTTGGGTGCCTAGAGAATAGTTGGTACATTCTCAAAGGGAAAGACAATGCTAATCAAGGTTGGAGGTAGAAGAGAATTTATTTTAGTGACAGCAAGGTAAAATAGCTTGGCCACACCAATAGTGAGTGTTGAAGAGTAATGAGAAGCATGTTTGTATTGATGAGGAGAATGCTTATTTTCAAGTAAGTCAAAACAATTTTACATTGAGAGAAGTGGGAAATAGTAAATTCAAAAAATTCTAGTTTGCTAAAGAAATCACAGAAATTTTACTGCTTTTCGATTGTGTGTTGATACTACAGCTGGCCATATTAACTAATGAAACACTGTTATATTTTATTCTATCATAACAAAAGGAATAAAACTGTATGCTTTTTATGCATTCCAGAGTTACAGTTGGAATAGTACATTCTATTACTCACGTAAATTCAGTGGTTCTCCTAAAAAGATAACTCTGGAAGAAAATGTCCAAATCTCTGAAGTAAAACTCAAGGGACAATTATTTAGGAGACAAACTGCAAGTGCAGAATTTGCCTGTGAAAGAAAATGCTCTGAATCGTTTTCAAACATTTGATAGAAGTTGTGAATCTCCTTTGTGAATCCTTGAAAAAAATCTAATTAAATAGTGAAAGGCACTGAAATTTAGCATTTACTTACAAAAACAAAACTATCCCTTCATATGTATCATGCATGTGTATACCCTAGATCTTGTATTGATGTTAGCACTAATGTAAGAGGCACCATAAACACGAGTGTTTGATGCAAGCTAGAGAGATAACAAACTGGCAGCATATTGCTATTTAAACTTTGTGACACATGTTGCAGGTGCCAAGATAGGTGCAAAATTTTCAAATTATCACCTGGTTTGTTTGCAAGAAGGAAAAGCATCATGCTACTTAGAGGAAATAGTGTGGCAATGTGATTCTAACGAACGCCTACTGTCCACATAAGACAAACCCTTAAACTCTTCAATCTGTGATGTTGCCACATTTCATTGAAAAAAATATATGCCAACTGTACAGCTGTGTGATAATAGCCAAAATTAAAAAGAATTCCAGGCTGGAATGCAGTGGCTATTCAAAAGTGCAATCATAGTGGACTACAGCCTCTAATTCCTGGACTCAAGCAATCCTTCTGCCTCAGCCTCCCACTTAGGTGGGACTAAGGCATTCGCCACCATCTTAGTTTATTTAAGATTAAGATTTAGTTAATCTTAGTAACTAAAAATGCTTTTCAGTTTCTTTAGGTCATGTTTTTGTTAAATTTTTAACAGTAACTCATAATTAAATTAGTGAATTTCATGTTCATAGTTCCAGTCTTAAATAGAACACGTATACTACAGTAAAAAAAAGAACACAATTGCACATTAGTTTTGTTAAATTAATGTATTCTACTTACTTGTCCTAAATATTCAAGTGATGGTTAATTAGCTGTACTCTTATTTTAGGGCACTATCTGCTCGTATTGAAATTGTTGTTACTGTTTGCTTAGGTGACACTGTTCTTGTAAGCTCCTAATACTCACAAAAGATAAATATAGAGCATTTAGATGTTGGAAAATCTTATGCATTGCATAATATTTTGTTGTAACTATTCAAATGAATATTGACATGAGGCCTACGCATATTGTTTGCCTGACAGCATGCAGGTTTTAGAAACAAAACTGCAAATTTATTTCACATAATTAAAAAAAACTTGTGAATTATTACAATAAATAGTCTATAGGTTAAAGTAATATTATATTTATTATAGAAAGAGTCTGTCCAGATTTCTGGGAGTAGTAGGAATTTGGTATTTGAAAATACTTATAATCTGTATAGTGTCTGACCGCTCATGAGCAGTCTCCTAAGTCCTATAACCTTGATTTTGCTTTCCATCTCCTGACTCTGAGTAATACTTCTTCACACATTCTTCAGTAACAACTAGCTCAAAGGCTCAAAGGTCAATAGAGTTTCCTTCTTCTCTCATGAAAACCCATCAATATTCACTGTGGCTTCAGTCTGTGATTTGCTCTCATTTTTCTTCATTAAAAAAAAAAAATCCTTCCAGCATTCCATTTCAGGCAAGCTCTATCCCTGGTTCTATTTGGTGCTTTCTTCTCTCTTCAACTGACTATGAGGGACAAAACAAAAACAAAAACAAATAAACAAAAAAACTCCCAAAAAACTGACATCTGGATGTGTAGGGACCAATATTTCAGAGTCTACTCTGTATCTTAGGAATCTAAATTTCGAAACCAAAGCACTCATAAATTCCTTATCGGATTGACATGCTATTTCCATTATGGTTTGCATATTAAATAACTATAACTTCTGTATTTCAAAGATGTCACTATATAACATTTACTTTGGCAGTAAAATACTTTTTGCATCTTTATTTTTTATTTTTTGTCTTTTGACGCTTTTCGCTTCTACCTCCATGGCATGGGTGCACACACACAGGCACATAACCCAAATCACTCAATGGATTAGACATGGGGAAAGATCCCTTATGATACATACAATGTAGAAGAGAACAGAAATTCTTATCACCATCAAACAGTAGTTTTGAGCTGTAAATATATTTTCTATGAGCCTATTGAAATAATAATTCAGAAAAAGACTAGATTATGCCAGCAGTTTTTAACTATTTTTTCTTTAGACTTGTTGAACAGTGTTGCATTTTCAGTTGTATTGGTTTTATAAATTGATCCCTGTGGAACTGTATTTCCAAAGGTAGAGTGCCTTCTCTTTCAAACCTGGATTAATACCACTGAATTTGCCCTTTGATGTTAATAATTAAAAAGAATAAAACCTCCTTGTGGATTTTTCCTTCAATGCAATTTAAGCTTATTTTCTTTGTTAGTAATAGCCATCTGGTAAGATTTACATCAATGATGAAGTCTAGTTGGAGCACATGTTTCATTTTTGCATTGACAGGAATAATGCTGAGTATGTTCCTTAGTCTCTCTGGAATCACCATGCTCTTTACAAAAAAATGTTGTGATTTTCAGTAATTCTATATATGGTGGGGTGGTATAGTTGGTTTTATTTAATCTAGAAATGTATAGTGTGCATGAATCATTTTGAATGGTACCATGTAGGCATCAAAGCAAATAATACAAGGCTATTTTCTAGTTTCTATAATATATTAGGGAATAGAAGGCAACTGCAAATAACTGTACTAAAATTAAAACATAGAAAATGTTCTAAAATGGTAAAACATATTATAGGAGTACAGCGAAAGGAGTTTTTTCATCATTTGATATTTTATTTCTACATAATAATAGGTAACTAACCCTAAAATATTTGATGTTTATGTATGCAATTTATTTAAAAAACATCCTCTTCAAATTTTACTAATGCTTATTTTCAAAATAATCTCAGAGCAAGGTTATTCGTCAATTTAACACTTCTGATTTCAGAGAATACAACTGTCAATTTTACTTGATTATAGCAAATAGTGAAAATAATGTAGACAATCCTGGATACTGTATATAACTTGAAAAAATATTATAATATGTTAGGTTTAATTTACATAATGTTATGAATTTGTGAAAGTAGAAATCACTTGTGTAAATAATTACAGCCCAGTGAAAATTGATAAACTGCTGGGCCATTCATTTAATTTCCCAATATAGTCTTGAAACTGCTACAGATAACCAGGAAACCAAGAAAACATTAAAAACCTGAAGAAGATTAATAGTCGTACAAGAAACTTTATGAAACAGAGTTTTAGGGACAGCAATCCGGTTGGAAGACGGGTTAGTAGACTTGTCTTATGGCTGAGTTTATTTGGGAAGCCCATTATTTTTCCACAGAATATAGATGAGAGGGGACTGATGGAGATGGAGGAGACACCATCCTCAAGCCCACCCATGCAATAACCATGGATGAATAATTAATTGGATGAGTTTAGTGTGTTAAATAACCTTATTTGTTATAATTACTTTCTTGGGACATTTTCCATTGACCTGAACAAATGCTGAATTTACTTACTGTGACATTAACAGAGAAAGCATATTTGTTATATTACTGATATATAGTTAATATATGTTTGCTATTCATCCTTAAAAGGATTTTTTGTTGTTGTTGTTTGCGTGTTTTGTTTTGTTTTGAGATGGAATGACACCCAGGCTAGAGTGCAGTGGTGTGATCTTGGCTTACTGCAACCTTCACCTCCCTTAAGCGATCCTCCTACCTGAGCCTCCCGAGTAGCTGGAACTACAGATGTGTGCCAGGCTAATTTTTGTATTTTTTTGTAGAGACAGGGTTTTGCCATGTTGCCCAGGCTAGGCTCAAGTGATCTGCCCATGTCTTCCTCCCAAATTGTTAGGATTGCAGGCATGAACCAGTACACGCAGCCAAAGGGTGTATTTTTAATGTTTATTTTAAACCTGAACTTTAACAGGATCTCTGATCAATATGATTAATTTTCAATATGCTTATGGTGAATTTGCTATTTAGACGAATTCTGCTTTAGGAATTTGTTAGGAATGCCATAACTAAATATTACAGACACTGGGTGGTTTGGTTTAAACAACAGGATTTGTTTTCTCACAGTTCTGGAGGCTGGAAGTCTAAGATCAAGGTGTCCGTAGGGTTGGTTTCTCTTGAGGCCTCTTTCCTTGGCTTGCAGATGACTCTCCTTTCAACATGTTCTTGCATGGCATTTTCTTCATACGTATGTATCCCTGGTGTCACTAAATGTCCTAATCTCCTCTTATAAAGACACCAGTCATATTGAATTAGGGCCCACCCTTATCACCTCTTTAACATTAATTACCTCTTTAAAGGCCTTGTCTCCAAATATAGTCACATTTGGAGGTAGATACCTGAATTTTGTAGGAACATGGTTCAGTCCATAACAGAAAATCACAAGGGTTTAGATTTCTGGAACAACTAGAAATGCTAAAACATACCCTGAGTAACCAGGGGAATAGCATATGCTGTTCAGACTCTTGGTCTGATATTTACTGACTGCTTGTGTTGTCCATCAGGAATGATGGCAATTGCTTGAGTCAGGAATCTGGGAATCATTCTTAACTCTTCATTCTTCCAATATTTCATGAATTGCCTGGGAGAATGAAATTTGCTCCCTCTCCTAAATATCTGTTCAAACTATTCACTTTTCTCCAGTCTCAATATGAATAGGTTAGCTTTTCACTTGGCTAGCTTACTACAGAAACTTCCTAATTACCATTTCTGCCATTGTCTTATTTTTAACTCCTTTCATTTCATCCCAAATTCAGCCTTCTGAGTGATTTTGCATAAACATTTCAGTGACTTCCCATTGACCACAGAATTTGGTCAAATTCCCTGCATTATTTGATAGAGCTCCCCGCTACTTAGGTACCCTTGCCCTCTGTCTACTTCTCCACCCTTGCCTTTTCTCACTCATCTCTTACCCTCCATCCTTTGGCCAGACTAAGCTCATATTCACTGAGAAGCTATGTTATCTCTTAGCTCTGATACGCTGCACATGCTGAAATTTTAGCCCAGAGATCTTTCTGCCAAGAATCTTATTCATATTTAAGGTCTCAGCTTAAATATAACTTTTTATAGGCACCTTTATTGACCCCGAAATCTGGCTGAGATGTTCTTTTAAGGTGCCACAAAAAAAAAAAATTGAAAAAATATTTAATTAATTCACACTTCTCCCATGGTTACATTTCTCTCATTACCTTGGAATTACATTTTTACCAGTATATATGTACTACTAAAATCTAAGTTTCTTAAGAAATAGGAATCTGTCCTGCTTATCACTCTAATCTAAGCACTAGTATAAAGCCTGGCACAAGATAGATGTTCAACAGGACTGAAGTGACTCGATGTATAATTAGATTAGAGAATCTCTTTTAACATATATCAATTTTTATTAGGTTAGGGATTAATGGCAGGGTAAGTATTCTCAAATTGTGTTTTCCTTCATTATATTTCTTTTGCTGTCTTCCATTATTTTCATCTCTGTGTCTACACTTTTCTATACTTGAGAGTTTTCTATATTTTTGATCCTAAGAATCAGGTCACTTGTATTTTTTTCACCTTGCATCATACAAAGAAAAGCTTGAAAGATCCTGGTCTGTTGTATAAACTGACTACTGGGATGAATTGGAAACTGAAGCACAGTGACCAAGTTAACAGAGAGGAAGAGAATAAAAGGACAGAGCCATGACACAGTGAATGCTTCAGGGCAGCCGAGCTGCAGGCATCAAGTTTCTCACAGATAACAGAGTTGGTAGCTATCGTTACTAGATTGTTTTCCAAAGACAGTTGATGCTGCAGCAGTATGTGTATGTGAGCATTTTAAGAGAAAAAAATGTCCACCCAAACATCAATGTGGTAAATTGTATGTGTCAATGAATTAGGGCTTTATTCTCCACATGATGAAACTGAAATGTGATTGAAAATGAGTGAAGCGTGAAAAAGGGACTCATGTTTAAAACACTCCCAGAAGAAATAATGCCTGTGTAATGACTATACTAAAAAAAGTATCATTTCTAAATATGTGCTATCAGTTTCACCAGGAATTAGATCCAAGTTTGAAAACATTTAGTCAAATAATAAATTTCAAAATAAAATCACCCTTTAATATTGATAGAGACTTTGACTATATGATTACTATGAGAAATTCTTGTAGTCTTTATTCACTGTTTCATGTGTACACAGTGAAAGCTTTAATATAGAAACTTTTATAATATATTAGGATTGTTTTCCTTTAAATAAAGTATATATTGAACATACCAAGTTCTCTGTGGATTATGAGTGAACATTCTAGAAAATCATATTTACAAATCATGCCGCTTCAGTGGGTATAAAGAAACTATTTTGTTGCCCCATAAAGGAAATTTGCCTTTTGGACAATGTGGGCAGAGGTAATGACCTGTTACTGGAATTTTACTCCTAGAAACGAAATTCTTTGGTAAATAACATACAGATGATGAAAGAATATATTTTCCCAGTTGCAAGTAATAGACCAACAGTTAAAATATTTTCTCAAATAACTAGAACACTTCCAGGGGTAGGATTAAGGTTGCTTTCTGTCTATTGCAATTTCATAACTGTTTTGAAATCAGTAATTATACAAACATTTATTAACTATCATGATGTCTAGGCCTGTGTTGGGTAACGGAAATACAAAAGTATAGTTTCTAGATATTATCCTTGCCTTCAACTTGCTCATAGCTCCTTGGAATGCTTACAATATTTCTCTCTAATATGATCTTTAAAAATTTGAAATCTTAGCATGTTACTTCTTTGCTTAAAACCTTAATGCTTTCCCTTTTCAGCTAGAATAAACGAATGCTAGAAACCATGATTCACAAGATTCCAGCTGATCTTGTCTAAGTTTCTTGTCTCTCTCCCTATTCTTCTCTTCCCTCACCTGGAACATCACTTTTTGAGATCTTTGAATGATTCACTCTTTCTCATGATGTCATTCTCTGTTCATACGTCCTTTTCTCAGCAAGCCTCTCTCTGACCAAATATTAAAAAACCCCCTTCCCAGTCCACAACCCTAAGTCAGTCCCATCCCTTACACTGCTTAATATTCTTTATGGCTCTTGTCACTGTCTGAAATATTTGTTTACATAAAAAATATCCAAATAGAATTAAGTACCATGGAGAAAAGACTGTTTTTGCCAACTGCTGAATTCATATCACATTAAAAATAAGTTTGTGGCCCACAGTGGTACTTGGTGAGTTTGTGCTACATGAATGAATGAAGTTCTGGAAAGGCCTTTGCTGTTCAACATATGATGTCACTGTCTCCACGTATCAGAAGTTTCTGCACAACCAGAATGGCGAAGAAGGCTTAGGAAGTCAATCAAAATGCTTTTGTAAAATGTGTTTTCTAATTTCCCATTCAATATATGCTCATAAAGTATAATTTGGAACTTAGATGCAGAAATAGAATTTCTCCTCAAATGAGACCTCAATACCAAAAGACTGATGTTACATGCCGATTTTCCCATGAATTTATATGTTAGATGTAGTCTTTGACATTTTTTCCTGAAAATGGATATATATCTAAAATTTGATTTTAAAATCAATTTTTACAAAAAAGCATTAATTGTGAAAAAAGTTAGAAAGCTTTGGTAAATATATTAACATTAAAAATAATATATGTATATTATAAAGCTGTGTTTTTATGTAAGGATTTCTTAAAATAGAATGTTATTATAATAGGTATATGTGTTGTAAAATAAAAGTTGCACTTCAGGTTATCTTAAAACATGACTGGGTTTCAGACTTTACAAATGCTTTACTACAGTATACCAAGAAAGATATTTTGGACTAAATGTATACACATGTTAGGCACTGCATCATACACCATTTAAACTGCTTCAACTGTATCTGTCTTATTTTAAAGACTGCACTTGCAAATACTGAGGGTGTATTGAGAATGTTTATCTACCAATTTCCTTTTTTGCTTGAGAGACAGTACTCAATATTATAAATTACCCCCCTGGTAGAAAATCCATTCCAGGAAAGCCCTCTGAAGTGAATACCTGTTAAACTAGGAGATCTTTAAAATGAATACATTTTATGATGAGAAAATGAAATTGAAAAATGAAGTACTGAAATAAAATGCCTGATGCTTGTAGAAAAAAAATGACATCTAGTAACAAGTAAAATTTACCTATTAAGCCACATCTCATTAAAAACATGTATAGAACAGTAGAGGTGATATGAAATAGCCAGTGTCATGCTCAGGATATATTTGTGCTATATGTAATTGTGCTATTTTAATTCATACAATTAAACTATACTTTTGTAGATCACTTTAAGTAAATGTTAAAAATCTGATATTGTAAACTAAGTTTATGAGAGGTCATGATTCATGGGTGAGAATTTTTGAGTTGTACCATTGAGCAATGTTCAGATTGAATTATTTCCATTTTCTGTCTGCCCTTGGGGTTCCTCAGCACAAATATTGTTGAAGAACATGCCTCAGTGGTATTTCCTTATACATACAGGCTTTTCTGGGTGAAAAAACATGTTCTACATATAAAATACACAATAAACAAATTGCTTCAGTGTAAGCTTCTCTCATTCCCTTCCTCTTTCCCTCTCTACTTCTTCCTCTGCCTTCTCTCCATCGCTCTGTCTCTCCCCTCCCAGGGAAATTTTGCTTTTGACAAGTAACTTTTAAAGTGACTCAATGACTGTTTTCTCATTTGAATCTCATGTCATATGCAGTGGAGTTTGTCGAAGAAAGCTGCTCCTGAACTGCTGTAATAACAGAAGCTCTACTAACTTGAAGTTTGTAACATAAAAGCACTCTAGGAAGGATGAAATGGCAGCTGGGAACAACACTTTAGGCACCGGAAGCAATACAGCAGCTGTTGGGGGACAGCATTCCTCTTATAGACGTCCATGTGATTTTCTCAGCCAGGGACACATCTGCAGGGCATTATGAATCTGCCAGAAGATTAAAAAATTCATTTACACTTTTCGAAATATCTGAGGGAACCATTTGAAGTGTTAGAGTCTTTTGTAGCTTTTACAAGGAGGCCTTTATGGAAGCAAAAAAAGTCATGTATTGGAAAGACTAGATTTAAATTAACATTTTTTAAAAAGTTCATATTTTAGGACCAGGATAGTAAATTTTAAAAAGTGAAAAGAAAGTAACATTCTATGAGCTAAAAATGGTTATTGGTAAAAAATTATCAGTGTTCTAAGTCATGTTATAATTTATATATTAATTTCTCTCTCTGTATATCTAAACACACACACATATATGTATGCACATATAGTCTCTAAAATATTACATACCTAAAATATTCTGCACAAATGAACATAATTATGTAAATGATATTTATAGAGGGCTTTTATATTTATCAACAAAACCTATTTAATGTTAATGTGGAACTTCAAAGCTGAAAGGTATTATAGGGTAAATATTTTTTAGTAGAGATTGGAAGAACTGAGTTTTAGAAAATTTGTCTTTGGCGCTCCAAAATTACCATAGCAATTGAATACAGTACTTCTATTTCTAAGTTAACACAATGACAAATACAGTGCCTAATGCATAATAGTTCTCTTTTTCACACTAAAGAGAGATATTTTAAATGTTAAACATTTTAACATATAATTTTAATTGTCAAAATTATAATATGAAGAATATAATTTAGTAACATTAATCATGTAAAATTGGTGAAATACATGAAAATACTTGAAAATTAATTCAAATGGCATGTGGCTTTTGATATGATGTGACGGGATCCATCATATTCTTGGGGCAAGACAGATAAGCAGTCAACAGGTTACTGCTTAATACCTATGTATTAGAAGTTCAAGAATAAACAAGAAGTGGAGCTCACCTGCCTCAAAGGAAGGTCGTGATCCATTGTTCAATTTCTCCACAAGAGCCACTTCTCAGCCCCAGAGCTCACGGACTGAGCAGCAGTGATCTCCTGAGCTCCTCTGAAGAAGGACTGATGGACATTTATTTAGGTAGCTACACATTTGGGAAAGGAGAATACCAGGGCTTTAGAGGATTCTTGGATGCAGAATCTGAGTTGGCACTGATATTTAAGATCCAAAATGTCCTCCCTGTTAAACTCAGAATTATGTGATCAAGTTATAAACAGAGCTCAGGTCCATCTTAAAGTGGGTCCACTGGATTTATGTTGGCAGAACCTTCACCCTTTTTCCTTGATCTGTGGAATGAGAGATAGAAGGAAAGTGAGAAGGAAGCTTCTGAAACTGTACCCTCTCTTTAAAATACTTAATCAAGAAGCATTGGTCAGTCACTAACAGAGGCATGAGTTCAAGTTTGCAAGGCAATTTATGTCCCTAACTTCCCTATGAAATTAGACTGAAGCTACTTTCTGGAGGATACCACATTCTTGTTATGCTTTTTTCCTCTCCTTTTTCCACTTCCATTTCACCCCTTGGCCTGAAAACACTTCAATAAATCATTTGAAAGTTACCCTTGACTCAGGCTCTTCCCTAGGGAACGAGATCTCTGACATTTGAAATAGCACACTCCACTCTCTACCTCTTTTGTTTTTTATCCTCTTACCCATTTTATTTTTACATAGCTCAAAAGTACTTCATATTATAGTTCTAAGTAGCTATTTTTAAATTTATCTAAATGGACTCTTCCCCTCATTAGACTGTAAGTTAT
This sequence comes from Homo sapiens, assembly GCF_000001405.40. Classification (NCBI taxonomy): domain Eukaryota; kingdom Metazoa; phylum Chordata; class Mammalia; order Primates; family Hominidae; genus Homo; species Homo sapiens. Next base: position 62,237,917 of record NC_000004.12, read on the forward strand.
TCTGAGTGTAGGTACTTTGTATTGTTCACTATGTTAGCCCTCAAAGAATAGAACCTAAACAATACTTGATATTAAAAAATGACAAATAAATGAATAGATGAGTATGTAAATGATTTGAAAGAGCACATTTTCATTTACTTTATTATTTTGTTGTTCTTTAGTATTATAGGTAGTTCACTAAGTTACTCCTAAGGAAAATTCAGTTGCTCAATTTAACAAGTTCTTTTTTTTTTTTTTTTTTTTGTAATCCTATTGCGTATGTAGATTCAAGTAGAATCAATAAAATATTTTGAATTAAATTATATAAACTCTAAGTGAGAATTAGGGGGTTTATATGAACACACATTTAACTTTAGTTTTATACTTAGATTATTTTTCCATATTCACAAAATGAGTTATTTCCTTTTTATGTTTCTAATCTGTGTCTTCAGTATTCTAGCCTTACATGCTACAATCTACCTCCTCTTGGAAACATAGCATGTTCTGAATTGCTCCCTGTTGGTTAATAGTCATTTTATAAATGGAATAGTATAATCTTTAACTATCCCGAGATGCCATCAATTTTAAAAATTTCAACCTTTTACACATTTAAGCTTCTGAAACTCAGTGTAAGGTGGTGGATACATTTTACTATACTCAGTAAATCATAAAACTCCAGTAATTTCTGGAATCAAATTTTTGAAATCATTGTAATTTTTATAGCAATATTATCTTATATCAAGATTTCCTTTTTTCACTTAAACTAATTGATTGAATTATTTCTCTACATATTTTATAGTAACTGGCCTTTAAAATAGAGTGAGATAACTTTAAAATATAGTGTATTAAATCAAGAAGATGGCATATATTGAGAGAAAGCAGACACTTTGAGTTTATCTCAAGCTGTCATGCATATTATAAAGCCTAAAGATTTAAGAAATGAAACAGTATTACTCGGTGGGAGAGTGGAGGCAATAAGAACATGAACTAAACAATTCAGATTTTTTAAAGGTACCTCTAAACAATCAAGGCCAATAGTAGAGGCATTGGAACTAATTTGGCATCCCAACTCTGCTATTATCTAACTATGTAATCTGGGATATAAGTAATGCCATTTATAAAATGATTTTATTTGGTGAATGTTGCATGAATGATTTTATATATAAATTCCTATTGTGTTTTTACATCACCTTATTCTTCCCTGTAACTCCATACAAGTGCCCATTTGAGCCACAAAGTCATGTTAGTCAAGCCAGTGAATGGAAACTGTACATGCTTGAATTTTAAGTCACAGTCCACAGGTAAAATTAGGAGTTCGGGAAGAATACTTTCTGGGTAAGTTGTTCCCATACTATAAGAAATTGAAACTCTGGGCTGAGGTTTAGACATGAGAATGACGGGAAATCAAAGTAGACCACAGTGAATGAAGAGGCTTTGTGCTCTGACTTGTCAACCCTGAGCCTTAGCATCCAGGTTTGGGATAATAAAACTCAGATATGTCAACCCTGAGCCTTAGCATCCAAGTTTGGGATAATAAAATCTCAGATAAGTTTGCGCATCTGAGAGTATAAAGGAGCCCTTGCTCTCCAGAAGTGTCAGTTAAACCTAAAAATGGCAGCCTTGCAAATGCTCTGGGGTGTCATTGTGGCATGAGAGCAAGAGAAGATAGATGGTTATCAGAGTTGGATGTAGGATAATTATATAGTTTAGTTTGCCCAGGACATTTATGATTTACATCTGCTTTTCAGTAACATTTATCCATGACAGCATGTCCTAGTTTTGGCTGATAAATTAGATAATCACTCAAGTTCTAAGTGGCAAATAGGATTTGAAGTAGCCCTATCAAGTTCCCTATAGCCCTCAAGATGGATAAAAATGTGGCTTCATTCTATTGTGCTTCAGTAAATTAAAGGAGACAAAACAGTTGAAAGAGGCATACATATGTAGAACATATCTCAAAATAATAACAGCTGTTTATGACAGTCCCGCAGCCAATATCATACTGAATGGGCAAAAGCTGGAAGCACTCCCTTTGAAAGCTAGCACAAGACAATCTCTCTCACCATTCCTCTCTCACCACTCCTATTCAACATAGTATTGGAAGTTCTGGCCAGGTCAATCAGGCAGGAGAAAAAAATAAAAGGTATTCAAATCAGAAGAAAGAAAGTCAAATTTTCTCTGTTTGCAGATGACATGATTGTACATTTAGAAAACCCCACTGTCTGAGATCAGAAACCCCTTAAGCTGATAAGCAACTTCAGCAAAGTCTCAGGATACAAAATCAAAGTGCAAAAATCACAAGCATTCCTATACACCAATAATAGACAGAGAGTCAAATCATGCATGATCTCCTGTTCACAATTGCTACCAAGATAATAAAATACCTAGGACTACAACTTATAAGGGATGTGAAGGACCTCTTCAAAGGGAACTACAAATCACTGTTCAAGGAAATAAGAGAGGACACAAACAAATGGAAAAACATTCTATGCTCATGGATAGGAAGAATCAATATTGTGAAAATGGCCATACTGCCCAAAGTAATATATAGACTCAAAGTTATTCCCATAAAGCTACCATTGACTTTCTTCACAGAATTAGAAAAAACTACCTTAAATTTCATATGGAACCAAAAAAGAGCTTATATAGCCAACAAAATCCTAAGCATAAAGAACAAAGCTGGAGGTATCATGCTACTTGACTTCAAACTATACTACAAGGCTACAGTAACCAAAACAGCATGTCACTGGTACCAAAACAGAGATATAGACCAATGGAACATAACAGAAGCCTCAGAAATAACACCATACATCTACAGCCATCTGATTTTTGACAAACCTAACAAAGAGAAGAAATGAGGAAAGGATTCCCTATTTAATAAATGGTGTTGGGAAAACTGGCTAGTCATATGCAGAAAACTGAAACTGGACCCCTTCCTTACACCTTGCACAAAAATTAACTCAAGATGGATTAAAGACTTAAATTTAAGACCTAAAACAATAAAAACCCCAGAAGACAACCTGGGCAATACCATTCAGGACATAGGCATGGGCAAAGACTTCATGACTAAAACACCAAAAGCAATGGCAACAAAATCCAAAATTGACAAATGGGATTTAATTAAACTAAAGAGCTTCTGCACAGCAAAAGAAATTATCATCAGAGTGAACAGGCAACCTACAGAATGGGAGAACATTTTTGCAATCTATCCATCTGACAAAGGGCTAATATCCAGAATCTACAAAGAACTTAAACAAATTTATGAGAAGAAAACAACCCCATCAAAAGGTGGGCAAAGGATATGAACAGACACTTCTCAAAAGAAGACATTTATGCAGCCAAGAAACATGAAAAAAAGCTCATCATCACTGGTCATTAGAGAAATGCCAGTCAAAACCACAATGAGATACCATCTCACACCAGTTAGAATGGCGATCATTAAAAGGTCAGAAAACAACAGATGCTGAAGAGGATGTAGAGAAATAGGAACACTTTCACACGGTGGGTGGGAGTGTAAATTAGTTCAACCATTGTGGAAGACAGTGTGGCGATTCCTCAAGGATCTAGAACCAGAAATACCTGTTTGTCATAAACAGCTCATTATTTTGAGATATGTTCTACATATGTATGCCTCTTTCTTTTGTCTCCTTTAATTTACTGAAGTACAATAGAATGAAGTCGCATTTTTATCCACCTTGAGCACTATAGGGAACTTGATAGAGCTACTTCAAATATTTGACCCAGCAATCCCATTACTAGATATATATCCAAAAGATTATAGATCTTTCTACTATAAAGACACATGCACATGTATGTTATCTGCAGCACTATTCAGAATAGCAAAGACTTGGAACCAACCCAAATGCCCATCAATGATAGACTGGATAAAGAAAATGTGGCACATATACACCATGGAATACTATGCAGCCATAAAAAGAATGAGTTCATGTCCTTTGCCAGGACATAGGTGAAGCTGGAAACCATCATTCTCAGCAAACTAACACAGAAACACAAAACCAAACACCAAATGTTCTCACTCATAAGTGGGAGTTGAACAATAGAACACATGGACACTGGGAGGGGAATGTCACACACTGGGGCCTGTCAGTGGCGGGAGGCAAGGGGAGGGATAGCATTAGGAGAAATACCTAATGTAGATGACAGGTTGATGGGTGTAGCAAACCACCAGGCACGTGTATACCTATGTAACAAACCTGCACGTTTTGCACATATATTCCGGAACTTAAAGTATAATAATAAAAAAGATAAAAAAATCCCTGGATGCAAAAAGCTGTAGAGGGGACTAGACTAAATTAAAGGTACTAAACCTGAAATGACAGTGTTTATCTGAGATTTAATAAGATCATAGTTTTGATGATTACTTGAAATAAAAGTTTGAGACAAAAACTAAGTTCAGTTACAGTAAAAAATAAAAATTAAAAAAATATGGATTGAGAAAAGTGTACCCACTGCAAGTGTTTTTCAAACTATTCTCTGAAGAGGTGTACAGGTCTAGGCCCTCAGAAAGATATCAAGGGCAAAGGGGTGACTTGGGTGAGAGATCTGAGCTCATCACCCCTTCCTTAAACAGTTTGATTCTGTTCCTACTTATTCTAACTATTTTAATTAAAGAAAAGATTTAACTACTAAAATAAAACAATTGATTTCATTTGTTACTTTTCTATTTTTCTCACAGCCCATAAGTGACCCAAGTCCTACTGCTTCTATTTTCAAAAATACATCCAGACTCTGATCATTTCCTACTAGCCCCACTGTTAGCTACCATGTTCCAAACCGTTATCATTCCTCACTCACATTATTGCAATAACCTCCCAGCTGGTCCTCTTTGATACTCTTGTTACCGTATAGTCTATTCTCAACAGAATAGCCTGAATAATGCTTTTAAAAAGATAAGTCAAGACAGTTCACTTTTGTGCTTATGACTCTTCAATGATATCTTATCACTTAGGCTCTCTCCAGCTTGCTCCATAATGATATCACAAGGCCCTGTGTAAGCTGAACCCTTCTACATACTCTGACCCTTTTCCAAGTTTCTTTTGCTGTCTCTGCATTACCTGTTCTCTGGGCATCTATGCCGTTTGCACAAACATGCTAATCATGCTTCCATTTTGGGACTTTTGCATTTCATGTTTGCTATGACTAGCCCCTCCTTGCTCCAGAGTAGGCACTCAAAAGTAAGTTTAATTACCATTAAACCACATGATTTCTAAGAATACTTTTATAACTTAAGGTCTGTAACTATAAGAAATTGTTGCTTTGGAATACCTGAAATTGAACCAGATGCTTTTTTTCAAACACTGTAAGGATGATGGACTCTGCTGTTTCTGTTTTGGTGCTAAAGTGTTAATTTCAAAATTGTCTATTTTGTCTCTTGATAGGGAAATATTGGACGATTGATGTCAATACCAAACAAGCTACAAATAGTTTGCATTCAACTACCAATATTTGTAGGAGAAGGATACCACTGCTAACTTACATTATGTAGCAAAGAATTTAAAAATTGCACTGCTGTTAAAATTTACAAACTTTGTAATTTTCACCATAATAAATTCAAAGATTACTGTCTTATGTTCATGGTACCAAATTCACTCCTATACATTTTACTTATTTAGGTGTTACTTATAACAGTTGGCTTTAATATCATGCCAAAATATTACCATTCAAAATTGTTCAGCAGCTATATGTTATTCCTAGAAGTAGACACTTAAATGTTAATTTGTCAAGAAACTCATGTTCTATTGGTCAAGTCAGTTAACTTTTTGAGGACTCAATTAATTTATTTTCTTTAAGTTGTAGGCAGCCACAAAAATATCACCAATGATCCTCACCTCCCAGCATGAATGCCCTTGTATAATTCTGTCCCCTTGACTGTGAGCTGGACTTAAATGAATTCATTTCTGAGGAATAGAATACAAGGAGAAGTGTTGGGTAGGCAATTCTGACATCAGGCATGAAAAACTCTATGACTTCTGTCTTAAGTGTTTCTCATTTTTTATTACATTTGCTTGTTCTGGGAGAAGTCAGTTTTCATGTCCCGAAGCAGCCTGTGGAGAGTCCCACATGAGTGAACTTGGAAGCAGATATGAACCTTGTCAACAGGTATATGAGTGAGTTTGGACATAGATCCTTGAGAACTAAGAGCCATGTAAGTGGATTTAGAAGTGATCTTCTCTTCATTGACCCATGAGATGGCAGCACCTGTCTTAGTCAATTTGAGCTGTTCTAACAAAATACCATAAACCAAGTGGCTTATAAACAACATAAATTTATTTGTCACAGTTCTGGAGGCTAGAAGTCCAAGAGAAGGGTGCCAGAATTGTCAGACTCTGGTGAGAGTGCTCTTCAGGGTTGCAGACTGCCAATTTCTTGTTGTATCCTCACATACAGGATAGCAGAAAGGAGACACAAGCTCTCTGTAACTCTTAGACTCTTATAAGGGCACAAATCCCATTTGTATTAGTCTGTTTTCATATCAGCATTAGTCCTTTCATAAGGGCTCTATCCTTATGACCATACCAAATCCTAATTACTTCCCAAAGGCCACACTTTCTAAAACCATCACACTGGGAAGGGAGTAAAGTTTCAACATATGAATTTTGGAGGAACACAAACTTCCAGTCTATAACACACCTGATGTCACATACGGTTGCAGCCTCATGAGAGACACTGAGACATAAATACCCAGCTAAACTATTTTCGAATCTCTAGCTCTCAGAATCTATGAAATATTAAATGATTGTTGTTATCATATGTATGGATATCCCATCTAGGAATATGTTACCTAAGGATGACATTATTGATTACTATAAGATTTTTTCTTCTGTCTCTGAAATCTCTCTTTGCTTTTCTAACTATAATCAGACTAGAACATAGGAATTGCCATTTTCACCAGACTGTAAAAATAGTGAACTTGAGAAGACATGTGATTTTGCATTGTGATAAATCTGTTAAATGGCTAATTTAGCATATAAAATATGTTTAACATATGCAAAATTGTCCTAAAATCGCTAGTCTTTTTAAAAAAGTGAATTTCTTAAATCATTCGCCCAACTTTAGTCTGAAGTAAAATTAAGACAACCAAGTTAGAGTGACTGCTCTAGCCCTCTTGCATAAGAAGGTCACTTAAAGGAGACTTGGTTCAATTTAGATCTAGGCTGCCTCAAAAGGACAGCAGTAGACAGACTGGTCAGAAGGCAGCAGCCTTGATCTTCATGACTCTTGTCCTTACATTTCCAGCTTACACCAATGCCCTTTGAAATAACATGCCTTGATCTGTCTGGTCCATCCACATTGCTACAGTTTTAATTGGTCAAATTCCCTTGATATCAATCCCTCACTCATGGCCTTGCTATATTATGGCTCTCGTACCAGGAGCCTCTAGCATCACTGATCCTTTCATTTGTATAAAAGGAGAAATCTTTCAACATTATTTATATAACTAGCACCTCCATGGGTCAAAGCACCAGCTTGCAACATCAGCTTTCTTCCAATCTTTTAAAGCCTTTATGAGATTACAGGAGCTTCACTATTTTCATCTTTACCACTTTCTCATAGCTAAACCTCAGTATGGATTTATATACATGGATACATGCAGACAAATACATATGCTGATACACACGTGCATATAAATATGAGAATTTTCTTCTTGTTTCTAGCTGTAGTCAGTGTAATAATTATCTGACAGTTCATAAAATAAGTAAATTTTTTTACTATATAACAGATGACACCTTATATTAAAGTGTACATAAGGAATAACTTAACTATAGGCTAAAATTAATCAGTTCTGTTTTTCTGTCCCTATTGAAATCAGTAATAAAATGTTTTGTCTAGTCACACATACATACACACACACCTACACACACATTTCTCCTTGGAGAACATTTAGCAACAACTATCTTCTATTTGTTCGGGCATTTTCATAAGCAAATCATCTTTACAGTTCTTTAGTAGTAGTCTCCAAAGTGCATTTCTTGGATTATTGTTTTGTTAGGTGTTGACATACTATATACTAATAATCCTCAGGTTATGTGTGTTTGGAAAATACACAGTTAAAAAAGGGAAATAGATTCTGTTATTTCAGGAATACCAGATGTTAATAGATTTTTATTAAATAACTGTAAGCCTGTTAAAATTAACATAAGCCTATTAAAATTTAATTATTAATGTGCAATGGAAACTATGGGATACCATATTATTAAAATGAAACGATAAAGAACATTTAGGAGAACTAAAAAACAATTCTAGAAGAGACATTTAAAGCAAAAGTAGATCGCTCATGGTCAGCATCATTTAACTATTCAGCAACTGGAAGTCAGTTTTGGGTGAGGCACCTCAGTGAGCATCTAGCTATTATTCATCAGGAGCCTCAGGATGGGAGCAAGGTTTTACTTAAACACTTTTAAATTACATAGTGACGTGCATGGCTTACAAAAATGAGATATTGTTGTATTAGAATACTTTCTTACATAACAATATTTTATCATAGAAGTCCACTTGATAATGTAAGATTCCTTGATGAATTGATTCTTGTAGGTGAATATTAATATACACACTAAGGACGATCAGTAAATACTTGTCTAATAAAAATGACCAGAATCCTGAGAGGGTCCAACATTCCTTTCTCTGTTGATCTTATCTCTTAAATATTTCTCCAGTTGGCTGGGGGCGGTGGCTCACGCCTGTAATACCAGCACTTTGGGAGGCCCAGGCGGGTGGATCACGAGGTCGGGAGATTACGACCATCCTGGCTAACACGGCGAAACCCCGCCTCCCCTAAAAAAAAAATACAAAAAAAAATTAGCTGGGCATGGTGGTGGGCGCTTGTAGTCCCAGCTACTCGGAGGCTGAGGCAGGAGAATGGCGTGAACCAAGGAGGCGGAGCTTGCAGTGAGCGGAGATTGAGCCACTGCACTCCAGCTTGGGCGATGGAGCGAGACTCTGCCTCAAAAAAAAAAAAAATATATATATATATATATATATATATATTTCTCCAGTCTTAGCACCATCTCCTTTGCCCAAGTTCATGTCTTTATTTCCCACCTTTAAAATTAATTTTTATTTCCAACCTAGACTGTTTTTCCTATGTAATTTTGCATGCAGCTTTATTCTCTACATTGCATTTTCTACTTTGTCACCAGAATTTTTTTTAATGCAAATGTGATTATATTGCTTTCATGTTTATTTGCAGTGGCTCTGTGCACCTACAGGGTGCAGTCCAAATTCATATGTTGAATGCATATGTTTATAGTTCAGCTATTTCATGACTTTATGCTTTTACACCTACTCTCCTGACACCTCAAATGCCCTCTTCAGTTCAGTAGTTCCAGGTTCCTAGAACTACTTTTAAAAAGTCAAGGTTTCTAGAAACATAAAGAGGGAAACACTCTTCAAGACATACATGGAAGCTTTTAACATGCTTGCTTTTAAAATGAGCCGATATTTAAATTCTTAAGAATATTTTTATGTTCTCTTTTGTTCTTTGAAACAACTTCAAACATTCTCAACAAATTTGAATTGTGAATAGTTCTCATAGTTCTAGGAAATAAAATGAAAATGTTATTAACCATTTCTCCCTCCTGAGGGACATGGGAGAACTAGAGGGGAGTAAGGACCACAATAGTTTAATGAAGACATGAAATGTGAAATACCAAGTTAAATAGTTCTTAATAATATGACTAACATAGTATGTTTGCAATTGATATTTTATTGTGATGTAAATCCTTCAGACACTTTCTCACATAAATATTAAAATATGCTTTTAAACTATTTCCTGAAAGGGCTTGTATTTAAGCTATGTTCTAAAAGGGCTTTCCAGATCTGAAGTTAGACAAAACTATTACCCTCATCAATCAGGAAAAAAAAAACAAAAAACAAAAAAACAAGCAAAAAACAATGTTTTATAGTGGCAGCACCACCTCCTGATACCTCATTTTCCTACTTAGTTACCACAGCACAGATCCATTTCTCCTGAGCTTATTAAAATATTTGTATGTGTAGTATTCTTGAATGAATTAATCAAGAGGAGGGGTAGTGGCACATACAGAGAGGGTATTTGGTATCATAAGAATGTCAGTCACTGAGAGACACTTATAGAAACTTCACCGAATTAAGTGGATGTGAATCCTCAGTTACATCAGTCAAAGATGCTAAATCAGAAGGGACTTCTGATTTCTTGTGAAGACAAGATCAGGGAGCATTGGTAGTCATTTCAGACAGCCTTGCTTGGCCTGTCTTCTCTAAAGTGGGGCATCCTTCAGGGCTGTATTTCCACGTGCTTCCCCTCAAAATTATAGTAAAACACTAGGTGCTGTTTTTACATGCAATAACAAGTTTGAGCTCTGTTCAGCTGGAACTTCCATCTTCCAGTGATCCACCAACATGACAAACACAAAAAGAAAGAAGAAGGACACCCATTGTATGCTCTCTAGGCATTTTAGAAAACTTGGAATTTTTCCTTTGGCCATATACCTATGAGTCTACAAGAAAGGAAATATTGTATACATCAAGGGAATGAGCACTGATCAGAAAGAAATGCCCGCAGATGTTACCGTGACAAAACTAGAAGAGTCTACAATGTTACCCAGGATGCTGTTGTCATCTTGGTAAATAAGCAAGTTAAAGCCAAGATTCTTGCAAAGAGAACTAATGTAGGTATTGGGTGTATTAAGCACTCTAAGAGCTAAGATAGTTTTCTAAAATCTGTGAGGGAAAATCAGAAAAAGAAGGAAGCCAAATAGAAAGGTACCTAGGTTCACCTGAAGAATCAGCCTGCTCCACCCTGAGAAACACACTTTGAGAACCAGTCGAAAGAGGCTTAAGCTGTTGGAACCTATTCTCTATGAATTCATGCCATAACAGCATAAATAAAATGCATAAAATAACAAGTTTTGGATTCCAAAGTTAGCTCTTTTATTTTTCTCTTAATTAAATAGAAGTGTGGTGTTTCCTCCCCCAAAAGAGTATTTAAAGCAAACTTGGTGTCCTAATTCATTGGGTGATGTCCTTAATTTTAAAATTTAGTGCCATTCTTGCTGGGAAAGGAAAGTTTGAGCTCATTTCTGGCCTGCATAGAACAATATGATTCAAACATAGAACAATATGATTCAAGCATAGAACAATATGCTTCTGTTTTCCATAGAAAGAGCAAAACAATTTGAATAAAACTATATCACTTTGCTCTTCCGTAGGTTATCCAGAGATAATCTCCCCTTTTTTGTCAGATCTTTGTGTATTTCTCTTCCTCATTAATTTTGTATTAACACCCATTTTTCCCTACTAACCTCTCCATTTCTAATTTTTCTTTAGATCAACTTCACTCCTATATTATTTACCCACTCCTGGAGGTAAGGAAAAGTGTTAAGGGAACACAATTGGAGAGATTAAAAAGATAAACTGAAGAGTTGGGGCAAGGCTAAAAAGCCAAGAGGTATAATGGGGACCAAATTGTGGAGACAGAGCTAAATGTTTTTCTCCCTGAAGGCAATAAAATTCAATTAACCAATTGGTAATTTTTTGTCCCATCTGCCTGGTACAGTCTTCTAGGTGGGTGCCTGATTAGCTCTTTATCATACATTAGAGCTCAGCTCATATACTGCTTCCTGTGAGAGGTGTTTCTTAATCTCCCAAGGTAAAATGCTGTCCTCACTCCCACCATTTATATCACATCAGCATGTTATAATTTCTGCATGTCACCTATGACTATGTGAATATATTTTATTTCATCATTTGTCTGTTTCCTTCCAATAAAAAGTAACCTTCATGTGAACAAGGTCCATGATTTGTGGTTGTTCTCTCTATCCCTAATCTAGTACAAAGACACATAAGAAAATAGTTCTATAAAGATAATTATTTCTTTTCATAGAAAATCATAATTTAATTCACAGAATAACTAGAAAATGATAAAGAGTGAAATGCACCCTGTAAACCATAAGTAATACACTAGTTCAGTGGTAAGAGGAATTGTTATGGCTAGAAACATTTAGGGAAGACTTCATAGAGGATGAGAGCTTTAAAATGACCCTGAAGAACAGGCAAAGAGAAGAATGGGCATTACCACGGAGGGAGAGGTCTTGGGCAGGGAATAGGGGTAAGAATTAGACTTAAATGCTATTAAATGCCTTATTTCTCACCACCCACTTCTAATTTCTTTCATGTAAGCGTGGTATTTGATTTGAAATTACCCTTCTGACTTTTTTATGGATAAACATGAAGCCAGATATTCACTACGACAGCTTGTTGAAGGAATGGATGGTGAAGGCATCACTTGTCTCAGTGCTGAGGTGCAGCCCTCAATAAGCCTGCGGTTCAATGAAGTGCTGTCTTTGTGACAGGATGGATGAGGCAGCTATGTTGTGAGCAGCAGTTGTAGATTACGTGGGCTGTGGCTTTCACAGGAATTTGTCAGGCTAGGCTAGGTTTCATGTGAGAAACTTGAAGCACCCCTCGTGAGGCTGTCTACATGGGCTGGCATAAGTGTCTACATGGGCTGGCATAAGTGTTTCTCACTATTGCTATAGGCCAGCATATACACATTGCCTTCTCTCACCTTTTGATTTGGAAGCCAACTGTCAGTTTTCGATGTCTTCACCTGATAAAAACTCTGCCTAAGAATCATTTTTTTCCACTGGGGATTTAGTTAGTGAAAGGGAAGCCCTAAGTATGCAATTTTAATATTGAGGAAAGGGCAGTACATAGCATTCTACCCATTTTCACTACCTTTGGCAGTGTCTTGTTTTGTGACATTGTGTGTGCTTGTGTATGTGTGTGTGCCCGCGGGGTTTTTTTTTTCCTGCTCCTTTTCTTTTATTGCCATATTGACAGAAACCTGTGCCCTTTTGGGCTGCACAGTCAAAATAGAGAGCAATCTAATTTGAAATGGCTATTTTAAAGAATAATTGGCTTGCAGAGACAGAAACCTCTAGTGGGAAAGAAAAAAGGAATACAGATGATAAATGAGCAGAGGTCTGAAAATTATTAACAAAAAATAGTGAAGTATCTTGATGACAAGAAGACTTTGATTTACTAAATAATAAGAACATCTGAATTGAAGGCATCATTGTATTGATTTTCAGTAAGTCCGTAACTACAACCAAACACTATAACTGATGTACAGAAGTTGAGGGCACCATTTATATTCAGAACATATAATTTTACCTTTGGAAGTTATGAATGACACTTTTTGTGCCCATTGGTGACCTCCTAAATATTCTATAAAATTTTTGAAAACTATAAAAATTCTATAATGTATAATGATATATTAAATATTGTGTTAATAGTTTAGTTAAAATCTTTCCCCAATGTGTATATAATCTTAGGTATGTTTTGTTATGTATGATTGTGGCATATTTCTGTAGACGTACCAAGGAAATTTTGTTTTATTTTTTTGTGTGAGACTTAGTCACGCTCTGCCACCCAGGTTGGAGTACAGTGGTGTGATCTGGGCTCACTACAAACTCTGCCTCCCAGGTTCAAGCTATTCTTATACCTTAGCCTCCCAAGTTGCTGGGATTACAGGTGCCAGCCGCCATGACTGGCTAATTTTTGTATTTTTAGTGGAGACAGGGTTTCACCATGTTGGTCAGGCTGGTCTCAAACTCCTGAGCTCAAGTGATCCACCTGCCTCAGCCTCCCAAAGTGCTGGGATTACAGGCGTGAGCCACCGCACCCAGTCAAGAAGGTCTATACTTTTTTAATTTAAATTTTTAAATTAGCAAATAATAATTGTCCATATTCAAGGGGTACACAGGGATTTTGTGATACATATAATGTGCAGTGATCTGATCAGGACAATTAACATAGCTGTCATCTCAGATGTTTATCATTTCTTTGTGCTGGGACCATTTAACCATCAGTGATCCATATTTACTTTGAAATGTTATATAATTATTTCAAACCTACAGTGCTTGATAAAACATAGAAAATAGAAATACTACAGAAACACAACATACTTTCCAAATAGTGACAAAAGATTCACAAAGTATGGAACTATACTTAATTGTTTATTTGTTTATTCATTTATTCATCCCTTTATTCTTTTCCAATTTCATTGTGCTTGTTAATAGATCACTTGGTTAGTTGATTGAATAAATTGGTTTATTTAGTGTTAGAAATACCCTAACTGTTCCAGTTTGGATTTAGGCCAACATTTTCCATGTCCTATTTTGTAGAAGAGGTCTATGGAAGGAAATGTATTGCCTAGGTCATATGGGTGGTTGCAAGCCTGGACTCATCCAAATACTAAATAGCTAAGCTACATCTGTCCTTCATGACTCCAGTTTTATTTACTGAATGTTCGGTCCTCTTATGTCCATATTTTCTTCATTTACTGAGGAACTTGTATCCTCACATGTACCTATTCTGCTGTTCTTTCATCACCCCATATAAGGTGAATATTTAATTTATGAAATATCTGTAACTCAGATATTTTGAATTGCAACATCTAATTTTGAAATGCAACATCTTTCTCTATTAAGAGGTTAGGTTTTAAGTAGTTAGTGATTGTAGAATTTGGGGAGCTAGGGTGTGACATTTCTGGAGTGCCTTTTTCACAGCAGAAAACACGAGAAGAAAAAAAGAAAAAGAAAACAAATATTTATTTAATACTTTTATTATGTGACAATTACCCTACATATACATTTACACATTTTATCTTATTTAATAATATCATAAACTTGAAATGATTGTCATCATAAGTAATTTTGTTTTTGCTAATGAGACCTAAAAATTGCTTGCCTGAGATGTCCACAAAATATCTGACTACCCATTATAATAGATTCATGTTCCAGTCACTCAATTTCTCCACTGTAATGCAGCTCACTATGTATACAGATGTCATATACTCCTCTTCACTTTGCCCAGTGGGAATCACCAATTGGAAAATCGGCATAAGAATGCTGATATTCTACCTGCTGACCAAGGGGCCTCATGTCTTCTACCAGCATTTGTGAGACTATAGAAAGTTAATTTGTTTGGTTTACTTGAGTGGAATAAAATCTCAGATCCTTCACAGTTCTTGACAATGATGTCATCATTTACTTGGTCATGAATTTTCTTAGTGGTAAATGAAATAATGGTTAAAATACCATTAAATAATGGTAATTTTTAAATTAATGACTTTTTAGATTCAGTGACATGTAGTGTCTGATATATATTCTTGCATTTATACATATAGAATCAATGACATCCACACTTTCTCTCTAAAGATCTTATCAAAGCTTCAAGTTCCTATACCGTGAAGCTGGCCAAAACAGTATAATCTCAATATTTACACTTAAAGTTAGAGATAGAGATAAGCCGAGTCAATTTATACTTTTATTGTCACTTTCTATTCCCACCTTGTAAACAGTATCCTAGAAAATTTCCTTGGAAGAGATTTGTTTGACATGGCTGGCTTCAGGAATTTTTGGCCGTAACATCATCTCTTTTCTTACTTTAGTGAAATCAGCAAGCCAATGTATTACTTTAGAGAGGGAAACAGCTGTGAAACAGCCAAGATTTTAATACTTCCGTATTATCTTCCTATATTTATGATCTTCCCATAGACAAGCAACAGGGAAGGCAAATTATAAGATTTTGTGTTAAGAACAGAATTAGAGTAAATAATATTAATATCATTTTGTTGTCTACTGGTGCCTGACTGGAAAAAAACAAAACAAACAGAACACTATTATTCTTGCCCTGGAACATGCCCCAGTGCATCATTTGCTCTATTGTCTTAACCTCTTTTTTTTTTTTAACAAAAAGACAGAGTATCACTTTGTCAATCACACTGGAATGCAGTGGCATCATCATAGCTCACTGCAGCCTCAAACCCCCCGGGCTCAAGTGATCTACCGGCCTCAGCCTCCCAAGTAGCTAGGTCTACAGGCACATGCCACCACACCTGGCTAGTTGATTTATTTTTAGTAGAGATGGGATCTTGCTCTGTTGCCCAGGTTGGTCTTGAACTCCTGGCCTCAAGTGATCTCTGCCTTAGCCTCTCAAAGTGCTGAGATTACAGGAATGAGCCATTGCACCTAACCTAAATTAAGCTTATTTTGGTAGTTTCATTCTTCAGGAAAATTGCTTTAGCATTGCACTTAAAAAATTCTATTGAGATGGCTGAGGATTTCTGAACAAACCACATTCCTGTGGGCGTTGTTTTGAATGAGCATTTGAAGGTGGCTGGATGTGTAGCAGCTATCTTCAAATTTATGTAGAACTAGCATGCAGACAAGGCCACAATACTGAGAGATAGCAAGGTAGAAAGATTAAATGTCCCCAAATCACCAGACTCCAATTCTGTTACTCTATGTTCAACCAATGTGTTTCCTGAGCTCGTATTTTGTGTCTCTTTGTTGCCTTCCTTTCCTGGCAAGAGCTGAATGTATTGGTGGGAATGGAATCAGGTTGAGCAGAAGATGTATCAATACATGAGCTATCACTTATTCCTTATTATAGCTCTTCTCATAAATTTTCAGCCTAGCTTAGTTCTTTCCTAATTGAGAGGAGAGAAATCAGTTTTTTAAATTCTCGTTTAACAGCTGTTTTTCTTTTTTTCTTTTTGACCCCAGTTTTAGAGATTCTTTAATATTAAAGATTACAAGGTGATGTTCTTTTTCTCAAAGGTCCTTATGAAGGACAAAGAAAGAGAACTGTATGGAAATAAAAGTGAATCAGTCTTTGACATAACAAATTTCTAACTACCATAAAGGATACTTTATGTGTCATATTTCTACATATGTAATTCACCATTATACTTTCTTATTATTTGTAGCCATTTAATCACTTCCCCAAACAAACCATGTCTTCAGGCATTTCTTACTCTGTCTTTTGTAATTTCTGTTACTTCTTCACTTCTAACAAAATTATTATTACATTTATTTTACAGTTGTTGATGGAGAGTTTTAATACATCAGATATTGAAACTCATATTTTTTTACAACATCACTCTTAATGGACTTATTATCTGATTGAGTTTTTTTCTGTTTTGCACTTTAATATTTGTTCTTATTGATAGAAGCACTTACATGTTAAAAAAAATAACTTTCCCATTTCTGCCATGGTAGGTGCCATGTTCTCCCATGCTAGGTGCATGCTAGTTGCAGGGAATAATTCTCTTTCATAATCACAAAAGTGCCTCCAAAGATAGTTCTGTACTATTTCCTTTGAAAGGCTCTTTTGAAATATAATATTTCTATGACCACATATAATTTCCTGAAGACCTTTAATAAAAGGCTAAATGCTAGCTTTTATCTCACTTAGTTGGCACAATTTTCCACATTTATATCACAGATTTTAATTTTATTTCAGCAACCTTATTTTTAAACTTCAAATAGTCATAGAATTCTATGTAGCTTCCAAACCATTGATCGGCTATTATAAGTAACATCTCATTCTCCAACATGATCCCCTGCATTACTCTCCTGCACATTCGCTGCAGTTACAAATGGAACAGGGTCAAAGTGAAATCATTTCAATCACTTTGAGTATGAATGAAGAGTAGCCCCTGAAAGGTAGAGTCAAAGCTCAGAATTTGGATATGGCAACAAATTGAGTGGTCTGTTAATTCTAAGGATGCCCACCAGAATGTGAACTAGAATGTATTAAATATTGGGGACCTGCATACAGGGCAGGTAGGACTCCTAGAGACCTAGAAAAATGTTCAACTTAGTTTTAGATCCAAGAAGCTGTCACTGTTATTATTTAGCATGATTTGTAAAGTCTTGCCAATGTAATAAGATTGTATACAGCTGAGGCAGGAGAATCGTTTGAACCAGGGAGGTGGAGGTTGCAGTGAGCTGAGATTGCACCACTGCACTCCAGCCTGGGTGACAGAGCAAGTCTCCATTTCAAAAACAAACAAACAAACAAAAATCGTATACAATGTAGGTAGCAAAACTATGGGGAAAATGAAGAAAAATGGTCATTATTTGCAAATGACATAGCTATTACATTGGTTGAAATTGCATGTCAACTGAGAGTCCTGGAAAACAGTGATGTACAGGAAATTGGAGTTTATTATTATTATTTCTGAACATAAAAGGGTCTGAAGGTAGGAATTTCAGTACTGGCATGAATTTCTATGATATAAGCAGGAAATGAGGCTCCTTCTCGTTTTTGTTCCCTCTTCCTTAAGGCATGATTGTTGTTGATGTTTTCAAGATAACTACTGGACCCTAATTGTCATTACCTACCCTGGGCAAAGAGGGTCAAGACAAAGGCAATAATAATTTTAAAAAGGTCAGGCTAAATGAGTTTGTCCTGCTGTTTAAGTCCACCTAAGAACTCTCTTAGATAACAAAGAAAGTGAACGTGAAGACAGGACTGGAGCACAGTCACTATACAATAGAGTACAAATTACAGAAACCATTAATGGGGAAGTATTTTGTTGATAGAATAGTATAGGCACCAGAATTTGCAAAAAAAGACTTAGTTTCAACCTATGTAGGGTTTATAACGGGCAGGTTTTACACTACCTTGATAGGTTTTCTCAAGATGAGCACACCTATAACATATGCACAATTCATCGCCATGAGTTATATTAAATCATGACAAATCATAATGTCTGATAGACCAGTCCTGATGTGACATTTGTCCTGATGTACACATAAAACTTAAGGTATACAAATATACTCATGTACTTTATAACCTCTCAAGTTTGGTTACTGTGTACTTCCCAACAGTGTATTTCAACTTTATACACTTTATTGCTCTGCTGCCATCCAAGAGATTTCTACAGTTCTCATGTTACTATTTACTCTTGAAGTGCCTATTGTACATATATTTTACTTCAACAGCTATAAAAATGTCTGCTAGCTACTTAAGAATCATTACATTTTGGAAAAGAAAACCACCTTTAAATCAAATTGAATATGCATGGATCTTTAAAAGGTCTGACCTCACTTAAACAAATGTTACCTTAACAGAACAGTTGATCTTATGGAAGATCAATTATGACAAAAATCACTAAGTCCAAAAGAGAAGTCTTGTCTTTGGAAATGAACATGAAATAATTTATTTGACTTCTAATCATATTTATGCCATTAGAAAAATGAAATGCCTTTACCACAGAGGCGATACAGAAATGTATATGAGAAAATTGATTAGGTGCTAATTGCTTTCTTGATCCTTAACTTCACTAATATTATTCACGGGATAAATATAAATAGATCTTATGTCCTGTAGCTAGGTCTTTTTCTAAATTATATGAGCAATTTTAAAGGAACAACTGCCTTTATTCTTAGGGAGAAATTTGAATAAGATTTTTCTTGATTAAAACAAATAATTGCTTTATTGTGGTTAAACATAATTTGACCTAAATTGATCACTTTCTTGGATACGTTATCTTTGAGCATCTTAAAAAATGAAACACACCTTTTAGATGAGATAATTCTTTGTTGATATGAATTATTTTTATATGGTTTATTTTTCTATTATTAAAAAATGGCAAAAATTCTGATTTCCCTATAATCTCACTTGTTGAAAGTAAAGTTGAGCCATGTCCACACAAAACAATATGTTTAAATGAAAACTAAAAGCTCATTTAGATCTATCTAGCCATCTGTAATTAGTCAAATATGCAGAATTAAGGAAGCAGATTCTCATTTAACTCTGTTTACATAGTACACAAAATTTAAACCACAATTGAATGATTTACACAAAACTTAAATAGCAATTGAATTGTTAAACCTTCATTTCCTTCTTCCACCTTTCCAGCTTAAACAAATTTTGCACAAATATTTTAAATTTGATAGGCATTTTAACATGTATTAAATTTTTTTCTCATTTTGAAGATAATACCTTATTTATGAGAAAATGTCTTTCTTTTTCTTTAAAGGAAGATTGGTGTCTATAATTACTGCTATGATTCATAGACTGTCAGACTGTATAATAATGAGTCTGAAATGGTTACATAGGAGCCCTTTCTGAGTTTATATAGCACGAAGACTGAGAAGGTAATTTTAATGGACTTGCATAGGAAATGTCATAATATCCCTATTTTTGGCCAGTGTGGCTATGTTTTCTGCTTGGACCTTACATCTGTTTGCTAGGGTTACCATAACAAAGCACCACAGTCCGCATGGCTTAAACAACAGAAATTTATTTTTTCACAGTGCTGGAGGCCAGAAGTCTGTGATGGAGTTGCTGGCAGGGTTGTTTTCTTCTGAAGCTGCTCCCTGGCTTCCGGAAGCCATTTTCTCTCTGTGTCTCCAGGCCATCTTTCCTTTGTGCCTGGCTGTGCCCTAATCTCTTTCTCTCTCTCTTTTTTTTTTAAGACAGAGTCTCCCTGTGTCACCCAGGCTGGAGTGCAATGGCGTGATCGCGGCTCACTGCAACCCTCTGCTACCCGAGTTCAAGTGATTCTGCCTCACCTTCCCAAATAGTTGGGATTACAGGTGCCCACCACCACTCTCAGACTAATTTTTCCGTTTTTAGTAGAGACTGGGTTTCACCGTGTTGGCCAGGCTGTTCTGCAACTCCTGACCTCAGGTGATTCACCCGCCTCAGCCTCCCAAAGTGCTGGGATTACAGGTGTGAGCCACCTCACCTGGCCCCTAATCTCTTCTTATATGACACCAGTCATACTGGATTAGAGCCCACCCTAATGACTTCATTGTCATTTAGCTTTACCTCTTTAAAGGTTTTATCTGCCAAGATAGTCACATTCAGAGGTACTAGGTGTTAGAACCTTAATATATGAATTTTGGGGAGGCATAATTCTGCCCATAAAAGACCTCAACAGCCAATGCATCTCTCTGCCAAAGGAATTTAAGACATCTTTAATATTATCACAGTAGGCAAAACTATGATGATGATGAGCATGCTGACTAGGGAAGAAAGGATAGTGCTTACAATTCACAAAAACACAGAATAAAAAAGTTGAGGTTAAAGAGCTGCAACAATATACAGCCATGTTTTTCAATTAATGAAGCTGGAAGCCACCATTTTGGATAACATATTAGGATGAAGAAAATAGATATGAATAGCTCTACTAACTTAAGGTGTGAGTGATATTATATTTATTTGTCTTTGTATCAGAATGCCAAAATGATCTTGGAAGACCAAGAATAAAATATCAGTTTGTAAGTGCTCCAGCATTCCAATTGAGGTGCTAGACATGTAAATGAAGAGACTAAAACTTCATTTTGCAGTCTTTAGCTCAATATCCACCTTAAGCTCGAAGGCTTAGTTTGGGAATTAGATTTCTTGAAGAAGCTTGCACTTGTTTTACACGGGGTAAGGGAAACAATATTTTACATCACTTCAAGTCAAGTATGTGGGTCTTGATTTACAGTGCCTGCAGTTTGGGAGCATAGTGGACTGGCTGGTATTGGATGCATATCTGAATACCTTCTCCAGTCACTCTCTCCTCTCAAAAAAGTTTAGAAGCAAAAGGCTGGCTGAAATGTTCTGCAGCAACAGAATAGAGTGCTGCATTAACAAAGTAACTACACTCCCACTCCTGATACAGTAGATCAACGCTGTATGTTTCTTGTTCGCCAAATCTGGCCCATAGACAAAACACAGAGCCAATCTTAGGCTGTCTTAGACATTAATGAAGAGCATAAGACATCTCCAGCCATGAGGGAGGGAATTTAGAGATCCATAACACGACAGCCTGAGAAAAAGAGATGTTTTAATTATCTACCTGGTCCAGAATATACCATGACCCTCATGATAGTAATAGTCAAGTAAGACTGTGACCAACACGATGTCCAAGTTGAGAAAGGAGAGAAACATATTTGAAATGTAATTCAGAGTTCTGACTATTGCATATTATGGACATTTTAATTGTGTGAATGAAATTAGATTCATAACTAAACATGAAGAAATACCTTTTGTTTTCTGAGAGTTAGGAGATAAGTTTTAAGGCCTGCCCAAAATTTTACTCAGGGTCAGGAAAGAACCAGACATACACGATGAATATGAATGAATATTTAGGATGGAAGAATAATATTGGTTGCAGAATTACATTCAATGAATCCCATTTGTTTAATTGATTTTTAAATTAAATTAAATTCTGCTCAATCTCTGAAATTATGGTAATATTCTTGTAAGGCCCCCTTCTTGCCCAGTTGTCCAACAAACCTGGAGGGCTAACATATTTTCAAATAGTGAGAAGAAAGCCCACCTTCCATAGTCTTGTGGATTTATCTGGTTCTTTTTCTGAGTTCTATTACATATTTATGTGGACTCCCATGTGTTGCCATGGATGAACATCCATAGTGCATGAAGTCTGGCTGGGCTGTAGTTCCCAGCAGAAGCCAGCATGATCCACTGAAGGTAAAAAGTGGCTCCCCATTTATGCTAAGTTCCCCTGAAAGAATTCTTTAGTTAGATCATAAACTGTGGTCTTTTGCAATTTCCAACAGCATAAGTAGACATCATCTTCACCCTGCCACCTCTTACATGCTATATACCAGAAAGTCTGCCAAGATGCCTATATTACTGCCATTCATCCTAAAAGATCAGGCAGGTTTTACTTGTCACCATTCAAGAGTGGCAGTCGATCCCTCCCACTCCTTTCTTCAGAGGTGGAGTCATGCTAGCCCTGCCTCACCACTCCCATTTCTGTCGACTATTAGCAGATATTCAGAGAGAAAGTTGCAGGAACAATGACATTCTCTCAATGAGTCATTCTTCCGTATCAACTTTTAAAGAATTGGCACTTGATTTCTGTCCTTTCAACAAATAGGTTTGCAAATATTTATAAAATCCCTAAAATAACAAATATTCATACTATTGCAAATAGTCTGGGACAAACTAAAACCTGTTTGTAATGGGAAGTGATGCACTGAAACTTCTGTAGTGAAATCCATTCTAGATCAGAAGAGAAAGAATGATTTTAACAATACTAGTTAAGGATTATCATGTTTCCTTACCGATAAACTGAAAATAGATTTGAGAATTTTCTAAATCTCCCTCTCTCTCACACACGCACACACACAGAAACACCTGTACCTATTTGCATATTATTTTAAATATATTAATTTAAGCATATGCATATATTTTTAAATTGTTTTTCTGATGGTATGATTGTCATTCATTTAATTTGAGTAAAATATTTCATCATCCTCATAAAGTGATGTTAAAAAGCCCTTGCTCTAGGTAGAATTTCTTTGACTATTAGAATCAAAATTTTGCAGCCAAAGTGGAAAAATAAAAGGTTAAAAAAAAAAAGTATAGGTTAGGCGTGGTGGTGACTCACACTTATAATCCCAGCACTTTAGGAGGCTGAGGCAGATGGGTCACCTGAGGTCAGGAGTTTGAGACCAGCCTGGTTAACATGGAGAAACCCCATCTCTACTAAAAGTAGAAAAATTAGCTGTGTGTGGTGACCCATGCCTGTAATACCAGCTACTTAGTAAGCTGAGGCAGGAGAATTACTTGAACTCGGGAGGCGGAGGTTGCAGTGAGCTGAGATCGTGACACTGCACTCCACCCTGGGCAACAGAGTGAGACTCCATCCCCCGCCCCCCCAAAAAAAGTATTACAAAAGGATATTTTTAAGAGATTTAATTCCTCCTCGAGTAAACATAATAGATGAATACATTCCATGGTTATAATTGTATATTTTAAACTAGATAGCTTAGTTACAACTGGCAGATAACTTTTTTCCCGGAAGCAAGTATGTTTGTAAAAATATTAAAAGTGCTGGGGTAGGTAGATGGCTATCTAAATTTGCATCTCATTTGATGAATATTAAACACTTTTTGAAAGGGTGAGATAAATCAACACTCAGATCTAATTAACCTAAATTGAACACATAAAAATATTTGCCACCGATAAAGTTGATTTTAGGAGTTAAGATCAGTACCAATACATAAAATACTCTAGCAAGTAACATCTTTGAGCAACTATTAGCAGCTTTCAGCCCCTTTGATATTTGCTGTATTATAAACTCAACACAAAAACTACAAGTAAACAGGAACTAATTAAGCAAAGACAGTGTAAGCAATTTAAACAGTAACTATTGAGTTGGAGTACCTGAACTACATCTTAAATACTATGCATAAAATAGGATTTTCCTTATTTATGAGAGTTTTTACAGACTTTAAAAAGAAAACAAAATATTAAAGTTTAGAGAAAGAAAAACATAGGAAAACATTGTATAATGTTCTATTCTCCACATTAAGAAATATTTTCCAGAAACAAAATAATAACCAAACAATAGAATACATTTCCCAGATCCAACATTCCTCACAGTTAAGATACTAAGTTAGAGAAAATGATACACAGGTAAAGTAGAGACACATTTGAAGACAGTATCTAAAAAAATAAGTAGGCAAACAAAACAGTATTCTTGAAATACTGCATGGCACTGACACATTTTTTTCTTTATTGAAAAATTTTTGCACCCTGAGAAGCTCTTATAAAACGCATCAAGTTATTTTTGCGAAGGCGGCAGCAGAACAGCAGTCGCGTGATCACATTTTGACAGGCTTCAGTAGCACACAAATAGCATTAACGCAAGACCCTTGGTCTATGGCAGCGAACAGCGATGTAACAGACAACTCTAATCAATCAGAATTTGACTTCCCTTTATTCTGACAAGGATTCTTAATATAAGCCATCAAAAGTAGTTTAAAACTTGTTAGTCCTTCTGCCCTGCTTTTAATAGAACAGGTACATACCTCAGTTGCCATCTTTTCCTTTATTGAAAAACTGACAAAGCATTACAAAATGCATCTGCCTTAAATATTTGAGGCCAACTATAAAACATCAAGATGTGTGGCAATAAATGCATCAATGAAGATGTGCTGTGAAAGGTAAAAGGCATAAAACCGTCAAAGGCAAAAAAAAAAAGGTGGGGGGTGAGCTGGATTGAAGTAAGAAAAATAATTCTGTTAAAAAGGCAAGAAACTTGGTGGGAACAAGATAGAATTTAGGAATCAGAAAAACCTGACTTTTCATCCTTCACTAGGAGCTAATAACTAGGAAATGTGGGCAAATTGTTAAGTCTCCCCAGGCTTTGCTTGACACATTTGGAAAATGAAGAGGCAGCCTGGATGATTTCCAAGATTCCTTCCAAAGCTACAATCTGATGATATATTGGTGATTTACAATTGTTAGAAAGAAGACAAGAAAATTCAAATTCTGGGTTTACAATCTTCAGATGAGAATAAAGTTATCTTTCTTTTTAATTTATAGAAATTATAAATGAAATAAAAATGGACATAGTCCATTGTGTTTCTAGTCAATGGATATATCTAGTCAACAGATATGACCTCTGGATTGTACCTGTTCTATACTATTCTCCATTTACAGTTAAAGCTGAAAGTTAAGATAATACAATTGATCTCTAGGGCAAATTGTAGAGAGAAAATGTACTCTTGTACTAGATAATGGTAAAATTTACCATCAATGTACTAGAGTGATGAACTATTTAACATACATGAAGACGGCTGATCAATATTTAGTTAATATAGGTTGGTTTGTTTTTTTCCTCCAAAGAACTGTGTTACTGAGATGGGTGGGTGTTGAGGTAATACTTTATTATTTAGATTTTATTAGGAGACATATTAACTGGTTTAAGTAGGGAGGAAGAGAAAGAAAGAGAGAGAGAAAGTGGGAACTGAGAGGAGAGAGAAAGAGAGAGGTGGATTGCAGGGAAAAACAGTGAAATTGTTGAAGTATTAGAAAATATAATATAATTACATAGAGGGAAAGAACTACTGAATAGCTGCCAGGCCACTGAAGAGTCCTAGCCTTTGTCTGTAACAGTTGCTAAAACAAAGAGCAGACTAGGCTATTTGTAATTCCCTCTTGTATTGTCTAAGCAGGAATGCACTTTTCCAGGCTATAGGTCTTGGTAAACTCCACCTGTTCTATGTTAGACTCTGCAACCTGGAGCTATACTTGGGAAAATGTATGCTCAACAGTTTACAGCTACCTTAGAGAGTTTCTTAAGCAGGTGCAGCTCTGGGCTGGCCACTCTACAGTGTGCACCTTTAGTTTCAAGAAGAATTAGCATTATGTAATGTCACAGTGGCAAGATAATCATTACAGGTTAGACCTTGGAATGAAATCCCAATTCCAAACAGTTATGATACTACTATTACTACTAAGAATGATAATCATGATAATAATAATAGCTAATAGTAATTGGGTTTTAGGCTAATGCAAATGCTTTACATATGTTATTTCTATTAATACTTGTACAACGCTATGGAGATATTATTAACCATACAGAGAAATGAAATAATTTGTTTAATGGTGGAGTTATCATTTCAAAGTAGTTTTTTGACTTAAATTCTCTTGTTCTCACTACATGTGACAAGGGCAGGCCATTTGGTTTATCTTAGAATCATAGCTTCAGTTTTCTGAGATAAAATAGGATAACAATATTTCCCTCTCCCCACGTTTGAATGTTATTAATATATTCAAACACACACATATATGTACATATATGGACATATATTTTACACACATTTATCTCTATGTCTATCATCTCTATCTCCATCTATTGATCTAACAAGTTAACCAGTGATAAACAGGAGCTTATCTTCTCTTCACTTGTGCAATTGGCCTACTGTAATATTCAACTAAAATCAGAGTGCAAGAGGTGAGAATGCATCAGCGACAGATACTTTTGCTTTATTTTACGTCTGACAAATTCAATAAATTTACTTAAGACAAAGTCAGGTCTAGTCTTTTTGATTTCTCACACAGTGGCTAAATTATAAAAATGATTACCAATATACAAATTCCTACATATTCATAATACTTTATTCATAATGATAACAATTGTAAAAAGTTGTTATCACTTCCTTTTTACAGTTAAGGAAATTGAGAGTTACACAGGTTAAATGATTTGTCCTAGGTCATATAGATAAAGAGAGTATGGGTATGTCTGTGTAACTGTTGGCTCATATTGTTTATGTGAGTCAGATCATCTCTGTAGCAGACAGACCCTGGGGTGGCCCTCATGATTCCTACCCTTGATGGTCATACTCTTTGAGTGGAGGTAGGAGGATGCATTGCTTCTAGCTAACAGAATATGGAAATGGTTAAGGATTTTGAAGCTGCAATGAAGGTCCTAAATGAGCTGATTTTGAATTAAGCAAGAAAGAGATTAACTTGAGTGGACCTGACATAATCATGCAGAAGCCTGTAAAATAGGAATTAGGGCCTCCATCGTGGGCTTGCTGAAGTAAGCAGCCATGCTAGAGAAGCCTACATGACTTCATACAGCTGCAAGGCTATAAACTCTGCCCATAACTTAAAACAGCTTGAAAGTAGATTCTTCCCCAGTCAAGCCTCCAGAGGAAAACACAGCCTAGTTGAGACGATGATTGCTGCTGCATGAGATGCTGAATAAAAGACCCAGCTAACCTATGGTCAGATTCCTGATCCACATAAATTGTGAGGTAATAAGTGTGTGTTGTTTTAAATTGCTAAGTTTGTACTAACTTGTCATGCAACAACAAAAAAACCCAAAAACAGAAAACCAGTATAAACTCAAAAACTATTCATTTAGTAAATATTTGTGAAGTGTTTTTTATATGCAAGGTACTGTGCTAAAGGCCATATAAAGCACAAAAATAGAAATCCTCTAGAATTCCTGCCCTCAAGAAAATTATAACTGCAATAGGGGGATCATGTTGGCTTTCTGGTGCCCTTTGGCTTATTCTAGGACTTCTGTTAGCTTTTATTATAAAAAAATCCTTAGTAAATCAAAATATGATAGCTAGGTTGCAGGCTTTATTTCTTGAATTAGGTCATGGATTGAAGTAAGAAAAATATTTTCAAATATGGAACATTAATATGTGTATGAGTTCTTTTCTAGACCATATGAACACATCATCTCCAAAGATAAACAAATTGGATATAGATATTTTTTGTGGTAACTTCGAGTTTGGTTGCATTTGAAGATTAGCTTCTAGAATTAAATTCCTTTTAATTTAAAAAATTTATCATTATTTATTACTATGACAAAATAAGTCCTATTATCCCCTGAATTTGAACAACATATTGTAGTTCCTAAATTTAGGGAATACAAAGAGATTATTTAAATTGAAGACTAATTTACATGAAGTTATATTAGATGGAATGTCCTTTGAAGTCCAATCATGGGGTTCTTCGAGGGAAAAAAGATTTCTAAATTGAAACTTTTGTGTGTGTGTGTGTGTGTGTGTGTGTGTGGAGAATGGGGTCTCACTGTGTTGCCCAGGCTGGCCTTGAAATTCTGGGATCAACCTGTCCTCTAGCTTCTGCCTCCCTAAGTGCTCAGATTACAGGTGTGAGCCATAGTGCCCTGCCAAGATTTCTAAATTCAGTTAAATTGCATAGAATATTAAATAAGTGTGTTCTTATCATTATCTAAACCTATGCTTCTTAACTGCTACAGGATTTTTAATACTGACTTTCATTCAAATTTGTTTGCATGTTGTAAAACTCAATTAAGCCATATAGGTCGTTCTTATGTTGTAGAGCATATCAATTTAAATTCCCAAGGAAAACTTAAGTGCTTACATCGAAGTTATTTTTGATATTAATCTTTCAAGCAAGAACTGCAGACATTTCCTTATACTTTGTTAACCTCAAAATAAAATAGTCTTTGTAGGAGATACCCTATGTTTTTGGTCTTTTTTTTTTTTTTTGAGATGGAGTCTCGCTCTGTTGCCCAGGCTGGAGTGCAGTGGTGTGATCTTGGCTCACTGCAAGCTCTGCCTCCCTGATTCATGCCATTCTCCTGCCTCAGACTCCCTAGTAGCTGGGACTACAGTCACCTGCCACCATGCCCGGCTAATTTTTTTTTTTTTGTATTTTTAGTAGAGATCGGGTTTCACTATTTTGGGTCTTTTCTAAGCAAAGACTACATAGGCAACATTAAACATCAATATGTTCAAATTGTTTGCAAATTAAGCATATTAACAACAAATGCAGATAAAAGATAATTAACATCAAATCATCATAAGTTATCAGAAGTGAAAATTCTGAAGTGAAATTGTATAATCAGGGTACATTCAATATAATATCTCAGAATAATTGAGACTGAGATAAATTATACTAAACATAATGATGAATTTAAATGTTTGCCCTCCTTTAAGTCTTTTCTGTCAGTTTCTACCTATATATTCTTAAAAAAAAAGACAAAAAATAAACAATCAAAAAGACAGCTTTCAGAAACTATCTCTTTAGTGAAAAATACACTTCTTTCAGTCTTAACCTCTCAGAGAACACTCTCTTTTCCCCTAACTTCACTTGACTTACATTACAAATTCATAGCAAGAGAAACAAAAAATTTTACTCTAGGAGACAAAGAAACTGGTAGAAAGGTTTGAAATATCAGCATATAATTGTTTGTTCTCTATAGCCAATCTTAAAACAAAAAATAACTAGTTTTGTTAATATGACCTACTATCTTTTTTCCTGAGTCTGTCACTCTTACTAGAAGTACCTGCTGGGCTCGATGCTTTTTCATTAATGGGATCTGTTGAAGAAGAGTGTAATTTTCCCAATAACACTCTTGGAGAGCTTTTTGACTCAACAACCTCAAACATGTACCGAGAGATTTCATTTATAATCACCTCTCCTACTAGTAGTGTCTGTAGACTCTGAAGGCACAACACAGTGTGAAATAAAAGTAAATAATAGGAACTGAAGTGAGCATCATTTCCTTTTCAATTCATCTGCATATGGAAACCCCTCTTTATATTTTGAATACATGAGAAACATATTTTGGCTGATACCTGCATTGAAATCATCTTTAGGAATTTTTATTCTTGCTTTATTTATCTTTCTTTATCATTAGGGAAGTTCCTTCATGGATCTCTGGTTACTGTGTTTTGTTAGTTAAATCAATAAAGCCCTTTATTGAAAGAAGAATTGCGTTACAATGCTGTCAATAATGAATGCTTATTGCAAGAAGGGGCTCAGAGAAAATAATTAAGAGGTGGAAATCTCTTAAGAAACTTCTGCACACCAATTGTGGATGTAATCTATGTATGCAAATGACGGGCATACATTGTATAGCAGCTTTCATCCAAATAGACACTTAACAAATGTGACTATTATACTCATGAATGCAGTGTATTCTTTTCTTTTTCTGCAGTTGTTTTCATGATGAAATGTTAACTCTGCTTAATAAAAACTTTGGTATGGATTAGTTAAGCAAGAAACATGAAAGAATGAATAATCAATTTGAAACAATTAAATTACATCAGAGGAGTTCATTAAAGAGCACATCTCCAAAACATTGAGATCTGTGGAGGTTATAATTAGGACCAGTGGAAAAAAATACCTCCTTTCCCTTGGCTTGCATCACCTCTCTTGTAATCATTAATTGTCAAATTTACCCACCACAACTACCTCATCTTTTCTTCACCTCATGCAAAATTCTCTTGTTCAGCCATTCTCAATCAGAAGTATGAGAACTTCCATTCCGTATGGTTGTTGTAACTTTCTTCTCACCAAACTGCAGTTGTGTCTACTTACATTTTTGGGTTCTTCTTCCTATATTTTATAAAATTCAACTCTTTAAAGATCCATCTTTGGTTCTCCATCCCTACGAGTAGCATCCTCTTTCTTTTACTCATTTCTTTTAATAAAATCATGTATTTCTTTATGTGTCAAATATAGAAATTTGCATAGTGGTTGTGTATTCAAACCAAGATGAGTTTGCATTTAAAAATAATGTCAAAGTATGCTGTTGCTGTATGCACATGGATTGGTTGCAAAAGCAATTAAGAAAATAAGCTGAAAATACCTGAAAGATGTATGTGACTTAGTGAAGGACAATTTGTTTTAGACAATAGAAGAAAGCATTAAGGAATAAGATTTCCCTATTTGAAAAAAAATATTAAGTTATTGAGATGTACTCTGGAATAGCCAGTAAATGAAATGTGGAGGCTAGCTATTGATTCTCAAAATTTGAACCTTAGGAGAATTCCCAGTTAAGTAGCATTAGGATAAGAGTGTTGAGGCCCAGTCCTTGAGGACTGACCATGCATGATCTAGGCCCTGTGAATACAAAAGGAAACAGGGCACAGCAACATTTGCTTTTCAGTAATTGGTGCATTTGAGATAAAGAAAAAAAAATTCATGATATTTGTTAAAGATGGTAAGGCAAGCTTTACTGAGGTGGGACCATGGAGATAGCTTTAGGGATGACTTCAATGGGATCTTGCAGTAGAGGAGAGAGACTGGACTCAAGTCTAACTCTGACAAGGACAAGTGGAGACTTAAAACCAAAAAGAAGAATGAGGGTGAGTGGATGGAAAATTACTAAGAGGAAACATCGAGGATAAGGGATTTCTGGCTAAACTGATTTGAGAGGAATATTGCTAAAGGCAGGTCAGGGTAATAAGATACCCAGGGTGTTCAGGTAACAAGAGACTTAGCAGGATTCTTACTCAAAATGCATTTTACAGACAGAGAGGGAAAGCTCAAGGTCAAGACTAGTCAAAATAGAAAACTCAGAGGTGCCTCACTAAAATTTTGGCCAAAAGAAAGAGTCTTTGTCAGAGTTTATATGGATAAGTGCAATAATAAAGAAAAAGGAAAAAAAAAGTTATTCATGGTTTGTGGTCAAACAGAATAAAAGCCTATTACTGAGGATTAGACAAGGAGAAGTAAATAGTATGTCATCATCTTTCAGACTAATTTATAGTTTGTGACTTTAAATATATTGTGATAGTAAGGCACATATACCTTTAATTCTAACCTTGGGAACTTCTATGAGGCAGAATAATAAACAAAATTCTCTCAGGGCAGGTACATGCCTATTTTATATCTTTCTGACTTTAAAAATTAATTGGCTCTTAAAGCATGGCATTGGATGTATCTCCTTACCAGAGTGGTTGAAAGGAATGATTTAAGGATGACTTTAAATTACAAAGGCCTTCAGAAATTAAGTTAATTCTCCCTTGCAATAGCTTTCCAAGGTAGAAAAATATTGTCCTCCTAAAAATGGCAGTTAAAATTGAGATGTAGTTAAAATAAATTGGTTAACGTAGGAAAAAAGTCAAGATTATTAACTTTATATTAGGCTTGTGGCCTGATTTAAAAATCTCTTCTTCCCTGTTAACGGTAAAAGCCTTCAGAGTTATGGCTTTCTTAGGGCATGTATCTTTCGTAGCATCACCATCATCATCATCATTGTTAACCGCATCATTAACATTTTCAGTGTGATTACAACACTAGTTACATTAGCATTTCATGCTGAAATATTCTTCTTAACACTCTCCAGATAGTGACAGGATATGATAGATGGGCTGCTTCTAAATAGTTGCAGTTAAGGCTTTCTCTCTTCTGGTCTATGTGTGAAAACAGATAGCAAAAAGAGATGAGTAGAAAGCAAAAGGACAGCCATACCTGTGAGATCTATTTAAGAACTTTATCTGGCAACGTATTAAATAACATAGCTCCTTGTTGAACTCTGCACTTTATTTTCTTCCCTTTTTATTTTTTCTTGGCTCAATCATGGATTTATTTTCCTATATTGTTTTGCATAAGCCATGTTAGGATTTGTTCTGAGTTGCAAACATTATAAAATGCTTTAACTTATAGTCCTTTTAGTTAAAGGTGTTTTTATATAGAAGCCTTATGATACAGTGTGCCTGTGTCCCCCCGCCAAGTCTCATCTAGAACCACAGCTCCCATAATCCCCACGTGTTGTGGGAGGGACTCAATGGGAGGAAATTGAATCATGGGGGTGGTTACCTCCATGCTGTTCTTGTGATAGTGAGTTCTCACAAGATCTGATGGTTTTGTAAGGAACTTTCCCCCTAGCTTTGCTCTGCACTTCCCTTTGCTGTCACCATGTGAAGAAGGATGTGTTTGCTTCCCTTTCTGCCATAATTGTAAGTTTCCTGAGGCCTTTCCAGCCATGCTGAACTGTGAGTCAATTAAACCTCTTTCCTTTATAAATTACCCAGTCTCAGGTGTATCTCTTAGCAGAATGAGAATGGACTAATACAGTAAATTGGCGCTGGGTAGTAGGGTACTGCTGTAAAGACACTCGAAAATGTGGAAGCGGTTTTGGAACTGGGTAAGAGGCAGAGGTTGGAACAATTTGGAGGGCTCAGAAGAAGACAGGAAAATGTGGGAAAGTTTGGAACTTCCTAGAGACTTGTTGAGTGGCTTTCACCAAAATGCTGATAGTGATATGGACAATGAAGTCCAGGCTGAGGAGGTCTCAGATGGAGATGAGGAACTTAATAGCAACTGAAGTAAAGGTCACTCTTGCTATGCAAAAAGAATCGTGCCATTTTGCCCCTGCCCTAGAGATCTGTGGAACTTTGAACTTGAGAGAGACTTGCTGAGTCTTCCGGCCTTCATCTTTCTCCCGTGCTGGATGCTTCCTGCCCTTGAATATCAGACTCCAAGTTCTTCAGCTGTTGGACTCTTGGACTTACACCAGCTCTGGGTTTGTCAGGGCTTCCTGGGCCTTTGGCCACAGGCCGAAGGCTGCATTGTTGGCTTCCCTACTTTTGAGGTTTTGGGACTTGGACTGATCCACAACTGGCTTCCTTGCTCCTCTACTTGCAGACAGTCTATCTTGGGACTTTACCTTGTGATAGTCGTGTGTGAGTCAATTCTGTTTAATAAACTCCCTTTCATATATATATATAAAGAAATATATATATATAAATATATATATATATAAATATATATATATAAATATATATATATAAATATATATATATAAATATATATATATATAAATATATATATATAAATATATATATATATATATACACACACACTATTAGTTCTGTCCCTCTAGAGAATCCTAATACAGTTTATGTTATAAGTTTATTGTTCTAACTTTTTCCTTTCTCTTATATTTTCTGAACTATACGTTTTGAATAATTTGAAAGGGTCCTGTTGAGGCTGAGAAAACAATACCCCAAAAGGAAGGCCTCAGAAGCAGCCCTTGAAGCAAAAGTTTTTCTCTGCCCTCTTCCTGTCCTCCTGTCTCTCAGTCCCATTCTCCCCTGGGGTTAGCCATAGAAATGGAATCCCTCTCTCCAAGGCAGGTCATAGAAACCAGAAGCTCTTTTCCCCAGAGTCAGCCATAAAACATAAAAAACATTACTCTAATTTTCCCTCCACCCTTCTGTGTAAAAACTGGCCATAAAGAAATGATCTGACGACTACCTTGTTTGAGTGTAAGTCATAAGGTCCCCTTTCCAGAGAGGGCCTTACCTCACACCCAGAAGAAAGAAATGCCACACAGACAGAGAGGCCAAGAAGAATCTAGACAAAGAGGCCTTGCTGGGTTTCCCCATTCAGTGGGGATTAGAACATAACCTTTTGATCAATCATATTTCTACATGACTGTCCATCCTCCGTTGAACTTAAGCATAAAAATGGACAATTTCCCCTGTGTCTTTGGGTCTCCATTTTGAACACTGCCCTACATACATGTTAAACAAATTTGTATGTGTTTTCTAGAATTAATTTGTCTTTTGTCAGTTGATTTTTTCAGAACCATCAGAAGGCCAAGGAGAACTTGTCCAATGGTCCTTACAGACTCTTTTGCATGTTCTAACTTTAAGAATTGTGTATATGTGTACTAGAAAGAATTGGAGGACAAATTGTATACTTGGTTTGTTTATTACTGAAACAATCCTGAAAAGGACAATGTTTATTTTCCAAATAGATCAGTAGTGACAATGCTGATCTTTACCAGAGCCATGTGATTCTGGAACAGTGATGATTAGATAAATTCTCCCAGCTTTTTAAAGTTCCAGAAAAGAGGTTAGTGCAAAAAATCTTCCCTCCTTGCATGGCTGAGATAAAACTCATGGATGCCTCTTTTTTTTTTTAACCTAAGACAAGGCCAGACACAGACCCTTCAAATTCTCATTTTTTGCCTCATAAATGATCAGCTGAACTGTTTGTCCCTGCTGATCAACAGGAACAAAATGCTT
The DNA here is from genome assembly GCF_000001405.40 of Homo sapiens. NCBI lineage: Eukaryota > Metazoa > Chordata > Mammalia > Primates > Hominidae > Homo > Homo sapiens. The sequence goes on from NC_000004.12 coordinate 62,272,779, forward strand.
GTTAACCAAACTTTGGTTAAGATCTTCTCCTTCCCCAGGCCCAGAACACAGACATAACCACATCCTGAACCAGCAAACAACCCCTACTTAATAGCCTCTCCTAAGAATAGGCTGACCTGAGGGTAAAACATTTTCTGATCTACTACCTTCCTCCCACTTCTCATCCATTTTTGTCTTATTTACTCCTCCTTATAAAAGAAAAGCCCTTTTCTGTCTGATCTCTGAGATACTTGCAGATCTCATGGTCCGAGCCTTCTCCCTATTTCAATAGTCGCCCCACTCCATTACAGTAGTCCCTTTCCCACTCGTGCAACTGTCTTTTCTGATAAACTCTTTCCATATCAATGTCTGGAGTTGTTTTTATTTGACATCTGTAGAAATTTGTTAGCTAGTGATAGCCTTATATTCAGCAAATGCCTTAAATATGGTAGATTAAATTAAGCTGACTAATACATAGACAGTAAATTATTATTAAAACAATTAATACATAAATTACTGTGCCAATGATCAATGTATTGCCTTTCAGCTCCAAATCTAACCTGTTTACCTTGCTTTGTGATATTGGAGCTGGGCTCTGTGAACTCCTTTACCAGTCATCCTGCAAAGAGATAGTAGAAAAATACTACCCTTCCAGATTCAGGTTCTCCATATTGACTTCTCAGCCTATGACTCCAGGGGTCTGTGCAGACATGCCCCACTTGTGCCCTCAGGCCAAGTTCTCCCACCAGCAGCTCTTCTGCCCTCCTGAAGGCTCCAGCCTGTCCATATTCCAACAGCTGGTTGCTTCTAAAACTACTGTTAGTCCAACACCTTTGACAAGTTTTGTCACTGACAGGCTACGTGTTCCTTTGGTAGCCATACTGTCTTTGTAGAAGTCTGAATCACAGCATTTCTAAGTGGTGGTCTCACCTACTTCTTAGTTCCTTTATTGTTTCTTTTCCTCAGTCTAGAGGTAAGAGCTATCTGTTTGACCCTACTTCTAGATCTCTTAAATCAACTTTTACTTCTTTTAGTATTTAACCACTTTTTAGTGTTGAACAATTTTTTATTTTGAAATTTTTCTTTTCAAATAAACAGAGTCATTTCTGTCTCCTAACTAACTTCTTTCTCTGATGTAATGAGTGAGGAATAAAATTTTCTACAAGCTCTCTTGTCCTCAATTTTCAATATTAATAGATTCTAGGCAGAACCTTTTATTTTTATTTATTTATTTTTTTCGCGACAGTGTCTCACTTTGTCACCCAGGCTGGAGTGCAGTGGCGCAATCTCGGCTCACTACAACCTCCACCTCCTGAGCTCAAACTATCCTCCACCTCAGCCTCCTGAGTAGCTGGGACCACAGGCATGTGCAACAATACCCAGTTAACTTTTGTATTTGTAGTAGATTCGGGGTTTCACCATGTTGGCCAGGCTGGTCTCGAACTCCTGACCTCAAGTAATCCACCTGCCTCAGCCTCCCAAAATGATGGGATTACAGGCGTGAGCCACCATGCCCAGCCTAGCCTTAATCTTTCTTCAGTAAAACATACTCAAAAGTTATACCCCCAACTTTTCAGTCTAGAAATCTGGGAGTCACTCTTGACACTTTCTCTTTTCTCTCCTCCTAAATTTATTTTATATATTTATTTATTTTCTTTTGAAAGGGAGTCTTGCTCTGTTGTCCAGGCTGGAGTACAGTGGTGCAATCTTGGCTCACTGCAACCTCCGCCTCCCGGGTTCAAGGAATTCTCCTGCTTCAGCCTCTCAAGTAGCTGGAATTACAGATGTGTACCACCACACCTGGCTAATTTTTGTATTTTTTTGGTAGAGATGGGATTTCACCATGTTGGCCAGGCTGCTCTCAAACTCCTGACCTCAGGTGATTCACTCACCTCGACCTCCCAAACTGCTAGGATTACAGGCATGAGCCAATGCGCCCAGCCTCTTCCCCCAAATTTAGTTTCAGTTTAACACCAAGTTCTGTTAAGTTCTACTTCCCAGTATATCCCAAATCTGTATACTTCTCCCAATTTCTGCTAGTCCACCATCCTACTTTATCAATAACACACAATAATCAATATCTTAAGTGGTTCCCCTTCTGTTATTGTTTCTCAGTTATCTTAACCTATAGGTACACTGATCTCTTAGAATACAAATTGGAACATGTTACTTACCCAATTAAAATATTTCAATGACTCACCACTGCACTTAAGATAAAAATTAAAATTTATTATGATAGCCTCCAGGCTACCATTGAGATCTGGCTACTGACTACTCCTTCCTTCATATTACATTGACACTGCCCTTCCCCGTTTGTCTGTTTTTGCACACAAAACAACCTTTAAAATTTCAGGTCCAATCATACTGTTATCTTTCTGAGACATTAAATTGTCACTGAAATTTACCAGTGTGTATTCAACAATACACACAATTCAAGCTAAGTGACAACAATGGATAGCTCAGTCATATGCTGACAGTGACTATGGCATGGTGACTCTTGCCTGGCCTTTAGAGATTATGAAAGCCCATTGGTTGTAAGATACCATGCAATGGTAAAGTACAATAAAATGTGAAAAAAAAGTGTTTTAAAACTGATGAAACCTTATATATAACTGTGTTTGTGTTATTATTTATTTAATGTCTGCCTCTAGTCTGAAAGCCATGTGGCTTGTGCAGACCATCTGAGTCCTACCACTTACCGGACTGTCAGGCATTTAGGATGTGTTCAATATATATCAATTGGAGAAATAAATAAGTTAAATGTTTCTTAGTACTTAGTGATAAGATTCAAGATACTTTTTTCAAAGGAAGGAAAAATGGTGGCTGTTTTTAGCCAATGTGATTATCCATGCCTCTGTGGTTGACCTTGAATTACAGAGGAAACCCAAGTAAGTACTGCTGAGCCAGGGATTAGAGAACCAAGAAAAGAGAGTCTTTTAGTCTCAAAATAGGGTATTTTACCTCAAAGAGAGCAGTGTACAGGCTTTGTATACACTGGTCACTGAGAGACCTTTTCCTCCTTGTATTTTCTCAATAAAGCCTACAGGCTGTGACTTCAAGCTTCAAAGAGAAGCTATGTGTCACATGGGGTACAAGCATTAGAACATGAAGTTTTAGCATTGTAATTTTAGTGTTCAGTCTTAGTTGACATATTAAATCAATAGACAAATAATCGTTCTACTTTTTCTTTTTATTAGCTGTATTCAGGATCAAAGAAACAACATTGTAGATAATTTCCTGTATTTATGTGGCCTGTCCAATAGTTTCGAGGACAACTGTCACTTCTCTAACACGCAGCTTCTAAGCATGTCTGATTTATTAATTATATAAGCTCTGACTGTGGATGTTGCTTCAAGAGCCAGTCAGGGTTCTCAACCACAGAAAAGTGGTGAATATTTATAAATGAGTAGATAAATCAGAAAAGGGTGAGGGGACCCTATTTCCATGAAAATATTCGTTTCATTGGGAAGGGGTCAAAAAAATTTTGGATGAGATTGCCATACATCCCAACGTCAAAGTTGGTACAGAAAGCTTGTACTTAGGGTATTTTACTGTAGAGAATTTGTTAGAACTGAAAGACTATAAGAAATTGGGACATCAGAGAAATTTCAAGATGTTAGATGAATGAAGCTCAGGAAGTGATTTTAGCTCTGGAAATAGCAAGCGCACTGTGGAAGTATCAAGGCATACAGGAGGGGCATACTTAAAAGGAGGCAAGGTCATTGAAGCCAAACTAGATTTAGATGACAGGCTAAAAATATAGATTTATTTATTCATTTAAAAAATACTTTCTTAGGCACTTGCAATACCTCAGAGTAAAAAAAAAAAGTAAGGCAAAAATGTCTGCCTTTTGTATGGCTCATCTTCCACAGATATACTCAGAACTTATTGTTTTTTGAATGGTATTAATAATATGGGCAGTGATATGTGAGTTATTACTTGGTTGACTTGGATCAGAGAAGGCTAACAGAAAAGAAGAGTTCATGAAGTGAACCGGAGTGATAACCCAGAGAAAGCCTGGATCCCAGGACATATTGAGAGGTACCTCATTAAACTTCAGATACAAGTCAGTAATAAAAGCACTTATGCTAATCATTCATCGAGGAATGGAACACAGTAAAATGGGTAAAAAAATAAGAATTTGAATAAATTTGAGAGAAGCCTCAGAAGATAATCTTGACATGTCTTACCGTTTTTAGACTACTTTCAGTGTGACATATATCCTTGGATAGCATACCAGGAAAATATATAGTTAGGACTCTAAGGGAAGGCCCACAAAATGTGAAATATACTAAAGGGGAACCAGGCAGGACATTAACAGATGGAGTCTAATCCTGGGCTAGTTGAACATTTAATACTAACAATATGAAAAACAAAACAAACAAACAAACAAAAAACCAAAATCTAATATCTTCATCCAAAAGCAAATAAAAAAAGAAAAGAAAGTGCAATTGGAAGAGAAGCAAAGGGATAGCTTAAAAAATTAAAATCTTAAAAACTCTGATGAGCCTGCCTCAAAGAAATAGAGAAACCACAGTGGAAGATAGAACACTAGGGGGTATCTCATTAAAGCAGAAAAAAAAATTGTTGAAAAAAGTTTCTGTTGCTATTGAAGTAGTAGAAGTTACCCAAGATACAAAAAGCGAAAAAGCTGTTAAAAGGACAATTTTTAAGGTGCATTTATGGTCTTCTTTGAATTTCAAAGAAATTTCAAAAAAATGCCTCCTTTTAAGTATGTGTCAGAAGGAACAGATGTAATTTTGATTCAAGATTCTGCCTTGGATAATTTTTCAGCTAAGGAAAAAAAAATTGTCAGGAGAAACTTCTCCTTAGTAGGAAGATTAAACAGAGTTAAGCAATGGACAGAGCAAGCGGCAATAGTAAGTGGCTTAAAATGCCCGATGAGGAAACAAGGAACGTCACGTTAGACCCAAGGACTGTGGGTGTCATTGCTGCAGACTTGCACATTTTACATGAAAACAGGTAATCACAAATGTCACTTGCTGGGAAAGAAGGCAGAAAGAAGAGGTTGATCCCGCCCCATCTCACTTCCCCAATCCTGAGATATGATAAACGTGACATACCCACCTGTTCTATCCATTGACAGGAAACTCACAGGTTGTGAACTCCATCAGTCTTCACAGGCTAATTGGCACCCACTGGAGGTGAAACCAAAAGGATTTTTCCTTGCTTATCATGGTATCTTGGTGGTCTAAGCCTTTTGTCAGATAACAGGAATTTTGGGGAACATTAGTAAGGGGAATGGATAACAATACAAATACAATATTAACTATGGACACCTGGGAATTTCTTGTGTTTTCTAAATTTTATGAGTTGTTAAAGTGAACTAAATATAGCCTGAGAAGGACTCTGTACTTCTATATTTGAGTCCTTGTGGACAAACTGCAACCTAACTTAATGGGTAGACAAGACTGAGAACATAACATGGCAATGTGTGCCTGTAACAGTACCTGGGTCTTGGCCAATCCCAGCAGCCATACTTCAACCACTCATACACTGTTGAGTGTTCAAACTGTTCAAATAAGGCCAAGGCTGAGCTGTAACCAATCCACTTGTTTCTGTACCTCATTTCCGATTTCTGTACCTCACTTTCCTTATTTTGTCTATAAATCTTCTCCTACCACGTGCCTAGGCTTAAGTCTCTCTAAATCTGCCGTGATTCTGGGGGCTGCCTGATTCGTGAATCATTTGTTGCTCAATTAAACTCCTTTAACTTTAATTCAGCTTAAGTTTTTCCTTTAACAGAGTACAGGGCTGGTATTGCAATGACAATACATGTCCTAGCAATTGTTAAAGGCTCTTTTAATACAATAATACATACAATAATAACAATAATTTTATTTTTCATTCTCAGTGTGTACCAGGCACTGTTATTGTAAGGTCTTCATTTGTAATTAAAAATATAAATAGATTTAGGGTTCGATTAATTCAACTTTAAAACCTAAAAGAAATTTGCTCTTTTGAGGGAAAACCAGTCAAGAGAATAATATCCTGGGATTCCAAGAGAACCCTCTGGCTGAGAGCGAGCAGAGTAAGAAATTGAGAATGATGATTGTGGACTTCCTTGAGATTTGATTAATTTTGGAGTGAAATTAAATTTTGAACTTTACCATTTTCCTGAACTTACCTAAAGGGGAGAGGAATTAAAAACATTCAAATGTTGGACATTTAAATATTTGTATTCTTTAAGGCGTATTTCTTCGATCATCAAACTAATTATCAAATTTCTAGTAAGCTATATCAATCCTTGCAGCAAGATATGATGTTTAGGATGGAAATTACTCTAGGAAGCCATTTATTTTATTTTACTTTATTAGCCTGTGGGGCAGTGTGAACTTGAATTAATTTTATGTAATATTTTGATTTAATCTTATATTTTCTTGAGGCAAAAGCTAAATCCACATCCAGTGGTCCCAGGATAATACTAAAAAAAAGCTGTATTTGGAATAGGGCAGTTGTCTTAGGAAGTGGGAGTAGGACTAGCCTGAGAGAATTGTAGTCTTCTCCACCCAGGGCAGAGCTTTTAATTATTAATGGTTAATTGTTAAGACCCATAGGTTAAGAGAATAAGATCTGGGGAGTGATACAGTGCTGTTTATTTCCCTATAAATCTATTTCCTTGAGAAAGCATTTATTCCATTCCCCGAGAGAGAATAGTATTGTGAAGTTAACTTTTGCATCTCTTCCTATTTCCCAACTCTTTCCCTTGATAATTGCCTAAAGCGGTTCAGGAGAAAACAAATTGATCCACATAATAATTCTTGAGAATTGAGTCTCAGTTACTGATATTTTGAGCATGGGTAATTTTAGTACATCATGTTGTTTTTGTAAATTTTTATTAATCTCTACTTATTTTGGTTTAGTTTTAGACTCTTCTCAATTTTGTATTTTTTTCTAACCATTTTGAAATCAACTACACATGCACATCACTATTTTTAATATTGAAAACTTGGGTTAATTTTAATATCAAAGAGTAGGACACTAGTTGGAAAACCCAAAATATCTAACATAAGTATATAGGTTGGAGCAACTTATACCTTCAACAACAGTGTATTAGTTGGAACACTGAATAAAGTTTCTACCATTGATGAAATGCTTAAGTAAAATATGACAGCTTGCAAAAATGAATAAAAGTTACTTGAGCATAGAATGAGATTTGGAAGTACAAATTAAGGTTTTACCACTGGTAGTTTCTGGATAGATGTATTTTTACTTATTTATATCCTAATTATTCTGTATCAATAATTGCTTTTGTGATAAGGAAAACACAGAATTAATTTTAAAATAAAATTAATTACAAAAGGAAAATAAGTAGGTTTGGAGGATCTTAGTGATTTATACTTAAAAGTGATAATTCATTTTATAAACTAATTATTCTTGCTCTGCTTGTTTGACTGTATTTTAATTTTATGCTCAGGTGTGAAAAACATTTAGTTGGTACCAATTAATTCCCTCTTGTCAGATATTTAATTTTGCTCACCAATTAAACACATATTATTGAATATTGAAGTTGTGCCAAATTATTTTCAGTTAACATGCTGGGCAATTGCAATGTGTGTTAACTCTTTAAATAAAACTAAAATCTTAAAATTGAAATATAATTAAATGTAGCTTAAAATATGTGTGTGCTTATATCTTACCTCTGAAGAATACAATTTTACCTTTTTGTTATTTCAATTGAATTTTAGAACCTTATGTCTCTGGGCCACTGCTATGGTTTCAGTATTTGTTTTCTCCAAAATTCATGTTGAAATTTAATCACCATTGTGGCAACATTGAGAGGTAAGGCCTTTAAGAGGTGATTGGGTCATGAAAGCTCTGCTTTCATGAATGGATTAATGGGTTGTCATAGGAATGAGACTTGTAACTCTGTAAGAGGTAGAGAGATCTAAGCTGGCATATTCAGCCTCTTGCCATGTGATGCTCTGTGTCACCTTGGGACTTTGTGGTCCCCACCAGCAAGAAGGCACTCACCAAATACAGCCCCTTGACCTTGGACTTCTTAGCCTCCACAACTGTAAGAAATAAATTTATTTTCTCTATAAATTACCTAGTTTCAGGTGTTCTGTTATAAGCAACAGAAAACAAACTAACACAGTCACCAATAAAAAAATTGTTTGCAATAGCAATCATTATAATATTTGTCATCAGATCAATTGGTGTTTTCTGAAAACACTTTTTCCAGATTTTAACACTGTTGATATCTTGTAACTCTCTCCATTACTTTAAAGTAGTCCTAAAATATCATATTTATTCTTCAATATCTTTTCCATATCCTACTCAATTACTTCTTCTGCTGTATTCACCACTTTCATATTTCTTTCTCCTTATTTCATCTTTTATCTTTTTTACCTGCTGTTTGCTTCATTCTTTTTTGTCTTCTATTTTACCATTTTTATTTTCTCTTTTTTTTAATTTTTTTCCCTTTGCTCTTTCTTTTTTTCTTTTTCTTTTCCTTATGCTTTAGTTCTTTTCTCTTCTAAATGAATATCATCTTTTAATTCCTCACTTCAATTCTGCTTAGTTTTTTTCACATCATTGGATTCAAAAGTGTAGTCTGAGAATTTCTGGGGGTCGTCCTTCTTTAACTACATATTTGTGTGAGACAAGTACTTCACATGTACTTCACAAGCACTTTTTCTGCATGTACTTCAACAAACAAACAAAAAGTTACAACAAACTTAATGTTCACTAGCTGTTCATCTCTTAATCCCCCAAACCTGTGAAGACATTACCTTTTGTGGCTAAAAGCCTTGCAGATGTGATTGATTTAAAAATCTTGAGATGGGAGATTATTCTAGAGGCCCCAGTGTAATCGCAGGTGTCCTTATAAGAGGGAGGCAGGAAGGCCAGAGTCAGAGAAGACGTAAGGATGGAATCAGTGATTTTCCTGAAAACCAAGGACTGTGGGGACCCTCTAGAAGCTGGAAAAGGCAAGGAATGTGTACTGCTCTAAATTCTTCAGAAAGAACGCCATCTTTAATTTGCTTCATTAGACCACTAGACTTCTGACCACTACAAAACTAGACTTCTGACCACCAAAACTGTATGATAATAAATTTGTGTTGTTTTCAGACACTAAGTTTGTGGTAATTTGTCACAATGGCAACAGGGAACTAACACATCTATGTAAGGATTGACATTTTAAGCTGGTGGTTTAGGAGTTTTAAAGATTGTAGATTCCGAGTTCCCACCTTCAGAGAGTAATATTTGGTAGATCTATAAGGGGAATTGGAAATTGTTTTTAAGAATTCCCCAACTGACTTGGGAAATCGAAAAGGTTTGAGAAGTGTTGATTAAATGGTTAAAAGCACAGACAGAAATTTAAAGGGTGGGTCCATTCTGACTGTTTAGAGAAATGTAGCCTATATCTGGATTTCAATTTGCAGTTACAAATTGAAAATATCTGTAAATAATGATTTGTAATCCACATGATTATAATTGTTTCTAAAATCTACTCGAGAACTATTGCTTTAAAATTTTAAAATTTGAATAATATATATTGAAATTGAGCAGCCATCACTGTAGTAATTGCCCAGCTTGATATAAGGGGAAAATACAAAGTTTCCTTTTAAGTAATCTATTCAGGTTATCTTTTTTATAACCACAATGTATTTTTTTACTTTTATTTCTTCAACTTTTGAAGTACTATTGATTTATCATGTTAACTGGAAAACATTATTTTACTGCAAGGTCGAAGAAACCACAGAAAATGTGAAGTCATTTTTAAAAACCATGATCTTTGTGGTTAAAAGGGATGGAAATTGTGTAAAGTAACTCCCAAAATCAAAACTGTTCAACGGCTTCTCATCATGTTTAGAACAAAATCAAAATTTCTGAATATGGCCTGCATCGTCTGGACCCTGGCTACCACTCTGAAAGTAACTCCCACAACTCCCCTGCCTTACCTACTTCCCACCAGCGAAAGCCTCCTTGTTTTCCTCAAATACATCAATCATGAGGTGGCATCGGGTCTCTCACAATTGCCTTTCCTTCTACCTGTTATCTGCATGATTCACTCTCTCTTCATATGTCTACTTAAATATTCCTCAGAAAGGCTGTCATGTTTCTGGGTGCCGCATAGATAATTAATATCAGAAGGACAAGTGTTGAGGAAGGGAAAGCAGGCAAAAGACCATTATACATAGTTTAGGCAGGTTATTGTGGCTGCTTAATATAAACATGTACATATACTGATAGTGAGCATAAATCGGCATGACCATGTTGAACAACTAAAGTTAAATATCTGCATATCATATGACCCAATTCTAGGTACCTGTTCAAGAAAAATGAATATATTTGACCACTGAAATATATGTACAAGAATGTTATTAGGAGATTTATTCATAACAGCTGCTGAACAGGGAACTGCACATAGACACAGCCTATCAACAGAAAGAATAACTAAATTGATATATTTATGTAATGGACTCCTCCACAGAAATGGAAAAAATGAAATACAATGATATAAAAAACATTGAGGGCTAGGCACAGTGGCTGATGACTGTAGTCTCAGCACTTTGGGATGCTGAGGTGTGCAGTTTGCCTGAGCCCAGGAGTTCACAAAAAGCCTAGACAACATGGTGAGACCCTACCTCTACAAAAAATATAAAAATTATCTGGGCATGGAGGCACATGCCTGCAGTCCCAGCTCCTTGGAAGGCTGAGATGGGAGTACCCTTATGCCTGAGTGAGACTCTGTCTCAAATTAAAAAAAAAAAAAAAAGAAAAATTAAAACGTTAAAAAAAAAAAACCATTCATTGTCTGAAAGACATAATGTGACATGAAAGGAGCTAGTTACAAGGATCTATGTTGTATGATTCTAGTTCTATGAAGCTCAAGATCAAGGAACATATTATGAGTATAAAATAGACATTACCTTTAAAGGCATATAGACTGGGTGACGCATGAGGAAGTCTTTCAAGGTGCCAGAAATGTTCTATATCTTGATTGGTTGGAAGTTGCACAGTTCTATATATATGTAGAAAGTCACCATGCTGTGCTGTGTACTTTACGGTGACAACTCATTTAAAAAGCAGATTTTAAAAGGAGATTATTTTGGCTTGAATCAGTGTGATTTTGGTGTGAGATGGTGTAATTCAGGATGTATATTGTTGACAATATTTTACTAAAGGAAAAGTCTGCAAGAGAAGAAGGAGCCATTGGCTATGACTTCATTAATTTTTGGAATGAGAAAATTCATGAGCTGAAATGAAAAAGAGAGCAGTAGAAGGGATTCAAGGACTTCACCATCTTTTGTTTTTAACAAATATATCTGTTAAATGAGAACTCACACATTTATATGAAAGTTAAATGTATAAAGTATTCCAAACAGTCACAAATAAAATGCTAAGAATGTTAAAAAGAAAAAGGAACAGATACACTATTTGCTCAATTGGCCGTTACTCTCTGAGTGAGGTCTGGCAAAGCAGGATATTATTAGTCAAATTGAGCACATCATAATACCTTTTAGGAGAGTTTCAAGAATGAAGCAAACTTGCAAGTCCTATAGTGTTTTGTATTATTAAAAATAGTAGTGTAAAAAACATAAAATATCCATAATCCAGTTTCAATAATTATCAAGATGAATCAAATCTTGTTTCATGTATAGCCCTGCCCATTGTCTCCCACATAATTTGAAGCAAATCCCAGACAGTATATCAGCACATCTGTAAATATTTCAGTATGATCTTTAAAAGATTATGTCTTTGAAAATCATAAAGTCAGGCATGGAAGCTCACACCTGTAATCCTAGCCCTTTGGGAGGCCAAGAGAGGAGGATTGCTTGAGGCCAGGAGTTCAAGACCAGCCTGGGCAACATAGTGAGACCCCCGTCTCTACAAAAAAAATGTAAAAATTAGTCAGGTCTGTAGTTCTAGCAATTAGGGGGACTGAGGGGAAAGGATTGCTTGAGCCCAGGACTTTGAGGATGCAATGAACTATGATCACACCACTGCACTACAGCCTGGGCAAAAGCAAGGCCATGTCAACAGAGTGAGATAAGCTTCATGCACATGGATGAATGGTTGATATTCTTTTTGGTCAACGTATCAGAAATAATTTACATATTTTATTTTTTTTCTTAGAACTTTTCTGTTGAAGAAACCAGGCCATTTATCTTGTTGCGTTCCCCCAGACTGAATTTTGCTTTCAGTGCATGGACTATGGATTGAGTAACACAGCTATATTTTACTCAACAAATCATCTATAGATAGAATTTTGAGTGGTTTGCAGTCTTTGCTATTATAATAGTACTGCAATGAATAGCTTTGTGGATACTTGTGTTTGTATTTTTGTCTGTTTGTGTTTTGGACAGATCCCTAGACATCGAATTGTAGTACCAAAGGGTAATGCATATTAAATTTTGCTAGATACTGCCAAATTCTCTTCCATTAGGGTTGTTCTACTTGCATTTCTACCAGCAAAGTTTTAGCATTCATTTCCCCACAGTTTTGCTAACAGAATAGCTTGGAAACTTTTGGAATTTTGCCTAATAGTTAAAAAAAGCCATCTCAGTATAGCTTTTATTTGCATTTTTTTTTTTTTTGTGAGCTGAGTTGAGCATACAGATAACTTAAGCTGTCTGTACATGAAGCAATGATTTTTTTAATAACAATTTTTTACGTATATAAATAAGCAGCAGCTAGCCTGGAGAACTATCTTTATAGCTTATAGTTTGTAGGGATGGTAAATGTTAAAAAGACTTTGATAAATAAAATATTATTAAAATATCACTATTTTAATGTAAGCATTTTAATTTAATCAATTGTAGTGTATCTGAAAATATTTTGTAGAATGACTTGTAGCTGACAACCATAAGTGGTAAAATTGGTAAAAGGTGCTCTTACAGAGTGTGTTAAATATTTTCATGTTTTGGAAATATAGAGTTTAGAATTTTTCTTTTTGTTCCTGATATTTTAATATGGCCAGAGGCCTCTTTAATTCCGATTAGAAAACCCACTAATTATCTTATAATAGTGGATTGCTTTAAAATTTAGAATGGGACAAAGCAAAGACGGCATTTCTCCCTTTTCTCCAGGCTCAAGGACGAAAGGCTAAAGGCAAAATGTAATACCTACTATACGCAGTGGGCCTGAGAGTTAAGTGGGCAGAGGTATAAGGGGGAAGATGAGAGGTTAAAAGTCTCTTCCGGCCAGGCGCGTCGGCTCACTCCTGTAATCCCGGCACTTTGGGAGGCCGAGGCAGGCGGATCACGAGGTCAGAAGATCGAGACCATCCTGGCTAACACGGTGAAACCCCGTCTCTACTATAAATACAAAAAATTAGCCGGGCGCGGTGGCGGGCGCCTGTAGTCCCAGCTACTCGGGAGGCTGAGGCAGGAGAATGGCGTGAACCTGGGAGGCGGAGCTTGCAGTGAGCGGAGATCGTGCCATTGCACTCCAGCCGGGGCGAAAGAGCCAGACTCTGTCTCAATGTCTCAAAAAAAAAATAAAAAAAAAAACTTGTCTCTTCCAAAAGCAACGCCTTTTTGGTGTTTTTTGTGTTTGAAAGACTTTTTGTTTTGTAGTGTTACCCACTTTGGATTGAACTTTTCTTCCTTTTCTTCCCCTTTTCATGTTTACTAAATTAAGCTGGACTTTCCTTCCATTCAGGAGGTCTGAGGAGGCCTGAAGGAGCCAGGATAAGGTCAAAAGGAAAGCAAGTACAGAATGGGCAATTTAGGAAAATTTGGTTTCATTTGACAAGAAATATTCAGTTTTTTATTACTTTAAGAGTAGTAGAACCCAAGCCTAGGTCTGGGTCTAGCAGAAAAGAGTCAAAGGTATGGCTTGACCTGCTTTAATTTAGACAAGGCAGTGGGTCAAAAATAATCCTTGAGGATCACAAGGCTGGAAGAGTATATGCCACTCTGAGGCCAAAGATGTAGCTCCCTTGAGGACTTGAAAATGTATCAGGCCACTGTCTTAGCCTTTATGTTTCCCCGTCATTGTTTTTCAGTGGAAACAAAATTAAGTTCTTCCATGTGCCTATCACCTGATAGGCTATAAACCAGCTTCTGAGGAGTTAAAAATACACAGCACTGTGCTGAAGAAGGTTGTAACCTTCTTAAAAAGGTACTGGAATGCGGGGCTTAGATGCATGAATTCTGGAGCCAGGCCTGTAAAGCTGGATAATTTTGAGCAAGTTATTTAAGCTCATTGCAACTTAGTTACTTCATTTAAAATTATCAATATTAACTGTAAGGTGCTTAAAACATCAACTGATACATAGTAAACTGTTAATTTTTGTTATGATTACAGTTATTTAAAACAAACCCTATCTTTGATTTGCCTGTAATAAATATCTGCTATTCATTTTTCCAACATACTCAGTTCATGCCTATGGCCAAGGACAGAAAATCCTCCCTGACTATTCTGCTAAGGTTCCAGGGAAATATACACTCTTATATTTCTTTGTGGATGAAGAAGTACTTAGTGGAATAAGCACTTTCCCAGCCATGCAATCTTTCCTTTGCAATTAAATCACTGTGCATATAGAATGAATGATTTATTATCTGGAAATCTTAGCTTATTCATTTATATAATGTGAAATGTTATCTTTAAAATTCATCATACCTGTAAAACATCATTATTAATGAGTAGCCTTGACACAAAAAGTATACTTCATTGTTAAGCAGCCGTATGAGAAATTATAAATACTTTCAGGTATAGCCAAGTACACTCTACCTGGTGAAAATCTTGCAATGTGTTACAGCTAATCCTTGGGCTTGGAGGCAATTTTAAATCTAGAATTTATAGTTCACTGTGATTATAGTTAATCACACAGTATTTAAGATTAATTGCTATATTTACAGAACTAGCAATTCTTAGAAAAAATACTGATCGGATTTTCCACACCTACCAATCACTTCCAGTCAATCAGGTAACTTTGTCTAGAACGGGAAAGGGAACTGTTCAAATCTGTTTTATTTATTTAATACATCTGAGTATATAGTGAGGTAAAATAATTTGTACATAAATATCAAAAGTAATAAAAGGGGTATTGTATTTTGTACATCTATCAATATATTAGAAAATATACTATCATTGATACTACCACTCTGTGTACGTAAGTGTATATGTGTGTATGTATATGTATATATGTATATGTACATATGTATACACACCCACATATATATACACATACATAGTATACATTCAGGGTTAGATATAATGATGGCAAAGATGTATGGGTGTGTATACAATTCATACTTTACTTAAAACACTGGAATGATTTCAAGTCATTGCCGATTTCTGATTTACAGTTACTTGTAGATTGTTATTCTAACCTTAAGTGATATTTAAGCCTTATAATATAAAGATTTTGAACGTTAACACTTTATAATTATTTATTTAAAAACCATCACAATTATGTTAAATAGTTTCTAGCATGGTAAACTTAAGTAAAAACATATAGAACATTTGACAATGATACTAGCAAACTCTGCTGCAAAAAAATTAAAAGTTCAAAATGCCTATTAGGGATTGGTTCATATCTTTAAAATAAGAAGTTTCCATGAGAATCTCTATGGTGCATGGTTTGAGGATATTATCTTTTGATATGGGCTGCCTGAGCTAAACTGATTTTGCTATTTAACTGTGTGACCCTGGGCACTCTGTTTCTTCATCTGTCAAGTATATCTAAGAGGTGTAGGACAATGCCTCACACAGCAAATAAGGTCATAATTGTGATAAGAAACCTGAGATCCCTTTGAGCTTTAGAATTTTATGAAACAGTAGTAATATCTGTTTAAGAGAAGATGCTAAGGGCTTCTTTAGCCATACAATACTGAAGAAAATGAGCTCTCAATGAAATAAACACTTTAATTTTTATTTTATGCATTTATAATACAAAAAGTAGCTTACAGGAGTTAGCTTGGAGCTTGCAGGAATTCAAGGTGATTTGGGAGGAGTGAATATGGCAATAATTGGAAAAACTGCTCGATTTATTTTTCTAATCTTGACATATAAGATGAAGGATTCATGTAAAATCACTTAAGTTTTATATGTTACTAATGTAGCTGTACTGACTAAAACTGAAAGAGAGTCAAATGCTTTCTTTCCATTTGCTGAGTTTCATGGGTGTGTGTTTAATTTGAACTCTTTTTAATGAGAGTGAGATGAAAAAGGCTGAAAAAGGCCAGTCCTAAGCTTAAGCATCAGTTAGTTACACAATAGGTTCAGGGAACGTGTTTGAAAAACAGAAGGCCAGTGCTTAGTCATCTGGCTTCTATCTGCCTTGTTCTCTGTAGAGACTTAGATAGTATACTTTATAAATTGCTGGAGAATGGAGATAAAACTTGATGATTTTAATGGAAATTGCTGTTGTTTCCCTAGAGTAATTCAGTTAAAGTTGACCTATGTTGAACATCAGTGAAACAATTTCTCTTTCTTCGTAGGTTCTTTCTGTATAGAGGATTAAATAGGAAAAAAAATTACGTTTCAGATCTTTTTTGCAAGACCAAAATTTT
The DNA here is from genome assembly GCF_000001405.40 of Homo sapiens. NCBI lineage: Eukaryota > Metazoa > Chordata > Mammalia > Primates > Hominidae > Homo > Homo sapiens. The sequence goes on from NC_000004.12 coordinate 62,289,251, forward strand.
CTGGCCAATATTTGAACATTGCAAAGAATTGTGTAAGTAAAGATTATTCATTTAGACAGTGTTCTCATTTCAACAATAGCTCATTTCTAGTATTTAATTACATGATGTTCCAAATGATATCATATCATTCCAGTAGAATAGGGGAGCTTTCCCAATCACTGTTTTGAATATTTCATCTAATTAGAGAACAGAACTTTTATGTTGTAAGCATAATCTAATGTTGTAGGATATAATCTGTATTTTATGTTTTTGGATGAAGAGGATGGGAGAGTGATCAGAGAAGAAATGTTTGAATAAACATTTAACATAAGTTCAAATGCTCATATGTGCTTTTTATTGATGTAAAACAGGTTACATCAAAAAATAATTTTATATTTTGTAATTTTACTAATCTCTAAGGGTTGTCTGAATGAAATACAGACATTAAAAACTGATACCAGGGTAGCAAAACCAGTGAAAAAATTAATATGACCAACTCTAGTAATTTACTTAAGAGCACTTAAGACCCAGAAATAGACCCACACAAATGCAAACATCTGATTTTTGACAAAGGTGTAAAAGAAATTCAAAGGAGAAAGGGTATTCTTTTCAACAAATGGTAGTAAAGCAATTAAATATCCATAGACAAAAATAATAAACCTTGATCCACATCGCACACTTTGCCTAAAACCAACTCAAAACAGATAACTCAAAACCATAATATTTTTAAAAGGTAACATAGGAGAAAACTCTGGAACCTAGGGCTCAGTCACATGTCCTTAGACATGATACCAAAAGCACCACCCATAAAAAGAAAAATCAATAAGTTGGACTTCATCAAAATTAAAAACACTTGTTCTGAGAAAGACCCTTATAAGAAAATTAAAAGACAAGCTATGGAATGAGAGAAAAGAATTGTAAACTACATATCTGACAAAGACTTCTATTAGAATATATAAGAACCTCTCAAAACTCAGCAGTAAAACTAACAGACAAAAACCCCCAAAATAACCAATAAAATTAGAAAATGGTCGAAGACATGAAGAAACATGTCACTGAAGAGGATATAAAGATGACAAATAAGCACATGAAAAAAATGTTCACCATCACTAGCTGTTAAAATACGAATGTAATCCAAAATACCATTTGGTATTGTCACTATTTTAGTTCTTCCAAAAGGAATGTAGTGATATCTCATTTGGATTACATTTGTATTTCCAGATTTCACAGTCCTACCAGCAATGTGTGACAGATCCAGTTCCTCTGCATCCATGTAATCCAAAATGGGATATCACTATATACCTTTTGGAAGAACCAAAATAGTGACAATACCAAATGCTCGTAGGACTGTAAAATCTGGAAAATAGTTTGGCAGTTTCTTAAAAATACTAAACACATACTTACCACTAGACAATCGAGCACTTGGACTCCTGAGAATTTATTCTGGGGGTAGAGTGGGAGGTAGGGAAATACGTCCTCATAGAAACCTGTACATGATTGTTGAAAGCAGCTTTGTAAGAAATGGCCAGAAACTGAAAACAACCAAAATGTCTTTCAACAAGTGAATGGTTAAACGAACTGTGATCCATATATACCATTGAATACTACTCAGCAATAAAAAAGACTCAACTTGGATGTCTTGGACAGATCTCAAGGGTATCATGCTGAGTGAAAAAAAAAAAAAAGCCAAGTTATTCATTTACACATCTACGCAACTGATAAAATAACATAAAAGTATGCATACACATTGTATTGAATGTCAATTTCTTGGTTTTAATATTGTACTGCAATTATATAAGATGTAACTATTGAGGAAAACTAAGGGAGTACTACACTGGCACCGGTCCTCTTTGTACAATTTTTTGCAACTTCCTGTATCTACAGTTATTTCAAAATAAAAAAGTTTAGGCCAGGCACGGTGGCTCACGCCTGTAATCCCAGCACTTCGGGAGGTCAAGGTGGGCAGATCACTTGAGGTCAGAAGTTCCAAACCAACCTTGCCAACATGGTGAAACCCCATCTCTACTAAAAATACAAAACAATTAGCTAGTGTGGTGGTGCACGCCTGTAATTCCAGCTACTTGGGTTGTTGAGGCAGGAGAACTGCTTTAATCTGGGAGGTGGAGGTTGCACTGAGCCGAGATTGCGCCACTGCACTCCAGCCTGGGTGACAGAGCAAGACTCCGTCTCAAAATAAGGAAAGAAAGAAAAAGTTTAAAAAAATACAAACATAGGAAGTGATAAACAGCCCTTTCTAACTGGGTTTTGTTGCATGTGGATGTGAGGTGTCGAACTGTAGCAGTTGATGTCCAAGAGGGTTGTCAGCAGAAGGGTGATGGACAAGCCTCCACATGATAAGGGGGCTTGACATAGTTTGGATATTTGTCCCCACTCAAATCTCATGTTCAAATGTAATCCCTAATATTGTAGGTAGGGCCTGGCAGGTGGTGACTGGAATATGGAGGCAGAATCCTCATGAATGGTTAAGCACCATCCCTTTGGTGCTGTCCTCCAGATAGTGAGTGAGTTCTTGGAGGAGTGTTCTGAGATCTGATCGTTTAGAAGTGTGTGGTGCTTCCCCTCACCCTTCCAGTTCTCACCATGTGATGTGCTTGCTCCCCTTTGCCTTTTGCCATAATCAGAAGCTTCCTGAGACCTCCCAGAAGCAAATGCAGCTATGCTTCTGTAGAGCCTGCAGAATCATGAGCCAGTTAACCCTCTTTCCTTTATAATTTACCCGGTCTCAGGTATTTCTTTATAGCAATGCAAAAATGGGCTAATACAGGGCCTTCAGGATCAAAACCAACTTTCCCACAGAGTACTCATTCAAACCACCAAAGATCACATTTAAAACAAAGACCTATCACCTGAACATTGATGAAAAGGGGAAGGTCTGTTTGCCAGTAATTAGTGCTGAAAACTAGAAGCTGGCAACCAAAACCAACTAAGTAATCCAGTCAGTCTTTCATAGCACTGATGATCTATCCTCAGCCCAAGCATCCCCTTTGGCCTGACTTACCTGAAGAATACTCTAAGGATCATAAAAAATTCTGTAAGAATGCTGGAGAGTTTACAAAGCAATACAGTCAAAAGCGACTTGCAGACTAAAATCTGCTGCGATTGATTCCAGCAAATGTGAGCAGAGCCCTTGCCCCTGGGAGCAGTGCATTCAGACACCCAGAAAGCAAGGCTCTGTGGAAAATTGACACATGCCATCCCCTGGGTTTCCTTGTGGCAGTTACTAGCTTTCCACAGTTTTCTCAATCAAAAGTGATCTAGGTAACTTGTAAAGAAAAGATGAAACATTTAAGGTGTTTTCATTCTGCTTTTTGTTTTAAAAAAATCACTGCTTCAACCTACTTCAAAAGAACGATTTTCCTTTTCTTGTCCAAAGTTATCGAAAATCTTCAAGCTACACTTAGCTCTTAAGATTAAAAAAGAAAAAAAAAGAAAAAAAAATACGTTGTTCCCCTTCTTCCTTCTGCCCTTGCAACTCCCACTTCTTGCACTCAGTTTCTTTTTCATTTATTGACTTCCCCATACCTAGGCCCTGCCTCCTCTGCATGGGAGAGGAGAGGACCCAGGTGTTTCTGGTGGCTTTTCCTCTCACTTATTTGGACTGCTCTATGTAGGAGTTGGTTTAAAATTCTCCTGACTCCCAGTTTATAATATCATTTTAAAAATTTAAAAACAAGCAAAGAGCCACAGCCCTCCCCTCCAGCCCTCTCCCTAAAAATCCGTGGAAAGGGAGAGCCAGCTGTCCTGTAAATATCCAGCTAATGTTACTACAATATAGTCAATGACTTGGGCAAACCTCGATGTCGGGGTGCACGACTGATCTCCGGGCGGACCTGGCCTGCATAGGGAAACCCTATAATAACAGGTCGGCCAGCCAAGAGGGTGCTGTGCACACTGCACGTGGTGAATCTCTCGCCAGAAAGACTCCAGAGACAAAGGGTGGCACTCCTGCAGCCAGTTAGATCTTCTGGTCCTTGCAAGCAACGTTAAAGCCATAATGTCCATTTGAAATTTCAAGTTCATTTGTCACCGAGTTCCATCGGAATGCGCCACGGGGCTCAATCTCCACTTTCTGGATGCGTGGCCCCACCACAGCCCTCCCTCAGCACAGTCTGATCCTGTGCGAGATTGGAATTGGAATCGGCAGGACTCGGCTATTTAGGGCACCAGTCTGGGGTCTCCGGGGCCTCTGCTGGCGCCTTTGTCCTCGGAGCAGCCAGCCAGCCAAGGAACAAGACAGACATCCTTCTTCCTTTGGACTCACAGCCTTTGCAGAGTCAAGCTCCCCTTGAAGCTCACTCAATAATATCCTTTAAAACATGTCTTAAATTGTTTTGACTGCCTCTTTTATTTTTGGAAGAAATAAAAATTGATCTTAGAATTAAAAACAACACACACACACACACACACACAGACACACACACACACACACAATTACAGCAGTAAAGTGGCGCAAGGAGACAAACAGGAAAAAGCCAATATGCTGAATATGGTCTAATTGGAAACATGGAAGACGCTTGGCTTCTGATGCCATCTTTGGATCACTAAGTTAACTAAACTTGGAATGACTTATATCTAGTAAATTACTAAATGATCTAATAATTGACTTCATTGTTTAAGCTTAGAAAAAAGCACTGAATCTCCTCAAAGCTATTAATATTAAATGCCATAAAATTTAAACAGAAAAATTATTTAAAAATTTAAAATTCTGGTGTACATGTACTGAATTGCATCATCTTGGGCAATTTTCAAATGAGATACCCTGGAATATCTCCCAAAGAAATCTAAATTCACCATATTTTATTAAACTACTGAACTGACAGTATATGAAAAACACAGATGTTACACACAAAATAAATGCAGAAACAAATTCAGATTTTAAAAAGTATAATGTGAGTTTGAGAAATGGCTTTGGTTCTTAGCAAAAGTTAGAAAGTTAGGGATTTTGTCAAGATTTGAAGAGTCTTTAAAATTTGGAAAAGAATATAAAGGTTTATAAATAATATTTTCTTAAAGTTCATGTGATATTCCAGAACAAGAGATAACTCTTAAGATTAAGATATTTTAATTTTAGCTTTGAATACTTTTTGTTTTCTCCCTAATTTTGCCACTATGTAAAAATGTTAGTGCAGTATTTTAGTTAGTACATGCTTTGAGTTTAATCTATGTTAAACTTTCAAAAATTTTTACATTAGTTCTATGGGTTGAGTCATTAGTGTTTCTATAAATTGTCTTAAGATTGCAAAACTATACAGTTGTATTTAACTAAAAGAACTCATAACAATGAATAACTTCTAAAATGTTTAAGCCTGTGAATTCTTACAATATAACCAACTATATATACTTAATTTGCTTGTTTAATTTTAATTTCTAGAACTTTATTTAACTTTAAAGGCTGAAGCTAATCTTTTATTGAGGTAATAATTTAATCTTTGGGTACTTGGACAATTTCTAAGGAAAAAAGAGGCAAAACATTGGTCACTAATCATTGTTATGTCTACCCTTTTCACTATTTTTATGTATTATACTATGGTTGTAGAGTAAAAATATATGCAATTTTCTTTAAATGGTCAATAAAACTCAAAAGTTATTAATCTGGTAGATTTGGGCTTATGAAAAATTATTATTTTGGCTTTCTGAGTTCTTTTTATTTTTAATTTGGAAAACAAAATTTGGTTAGTTTGGATAAAGATAGTGCTATAATCAGAATGTTCCTTCCAAAATTCATGTGTTGAAAACTTAATCCCAATGCAATAGTATTGGAAGGTGGGGCCTAATGAGAGATGTTTAGGTCATGAGTGCTTCATTCTCATGAATGTATTAATGCTGCTAAAAATGGGCTTCTGGGAGTGTGTTCACACTTCTGCTCTTCTGCCATATTTGGACACAGTTTGTCTGTTTTTGCTCTTCCACCTTCCACCATGGGAAGATAGAGCAAGAAGGCCCTCACCCAACACCAGATGCTTGTGCCTTGATCTTAGACCTCCCAGCCTCCAGAAATGTGAGAAATAAATTTCTGTTCTTTATAAATTACTCAGTCTTAGGTATTGACAGACTAAGACCAGATGGTAACATAAACCACAAGATAATACTTGGTTTAGAGGTTACAGAAAAATATAAATATGTATTGTACTAGTTTTGCTAGGGCAGCCATAATGAAGTACCAGAGACTGGGTGACTTAATCAACATAAATTAATTTTTCTCACATTTCTGGAGGCTAGAAGCTCAAGATCAAGGTATCCTCAGGGTTTTTTTTTTTTTTTTTTTTTGAGGACTCTCTCCTTGACTTGTAGGTGGCCATCTTATTCCTTTATCTTCTACTTGCTCCTCTTCTGTGCTTATATGTATTTTAATCTCCTCCTATAAGACCAATCACATTGGATTAGTGCCTATCTTTACGACCTTATTTTAACTTAATTTCCTCTTTAAGAGACCTTTCTCCAAATATAGTCACATTCTAGCATACCAAGGTTTAGGGCTTCAAAACATCAATTTTGGGGAGATATAATTCCGCCTATAATATATATATATATACTTATATATGATAAATATGTGTATTAGTCTGTTCTCACACTGCTGTAAAGAACTACTTGAGACTGAGTAATTTATACAGAAAAGAGGTTTAATTGACTCACAGTTCTGTGTGCTGAGGGAGGCCTCAGGAAACTTACTCACATGGTAGAAGGTGAAGGGGAAGCAAGGCATGTCTTACATGGCAGCAGGAGAGTGCAAGAGCAAGGGTGGGACAGTCAAACACTTTTAAACCATCAGATTTCATGAGAACTCACTACTCCCATGAGAACAGCATGGGGGAAACTTCCCCCATGGTCCAGTCACCTCCTACTAGGTCCCTCTCTCAATTTGTGGGGATTACAATTTGAGATGATATTTGGGTGGGGACACAGAGTCGAACCATATCATTCCACTCCTGGCTCCTCCCAAATCTCATGTCCTTTGCATATTTCAAAACACAATCATGCCTTCCCAATAGTCCCTCAAAGTCTAAATTCATTCCAGCACTAACCTAAAAGTACAGATCCAAAGTATCATCTGAGACAAGACAAGTCCTTTCTGCCTATGGGCCTGTAAAATCAAAAGCAAGTTAGTTACTTACAAGATACAATGGGGGTACAGGCATTGGGTAAATGCTTCCATTCCAAATGGGATAAATTGGCCAAAACAAAGGGGTTACAGGCTCCACACAAGTGTGAAACCCTACAAGGCCATCATTAAATCTTAAAGCTCTGAAATAATTTCCTTTGACTCCATGTCTCACATCTAGGGCATGCTGATGCAACGTGGGCTCCCAAGGTCTTGGGCAGCTCCACCCCTGTGGCTCTGCAGGGTACAGCCCTTGTGGCTGCTTTCATGAGCTGATATTGAGTGCCTGAAGTTTTTCCAGGTGCACAATGCAAGCTGTCAGTGTATCTACTATTCTGGGGTCTGGAGGATGCACCCTCTTCTCACAGTTTCACTAGGCAGTGCCCTAGTGGGGACTCTGTGTGGAGGCTCCCACCCTACATTTCCCCTCTGCATTGCCCTAGTAGAGGTTCTCCATGAGGGCTCCACTCCTGCAGCAAACTTATTTCGGGACATTCAGGTTATTTCTCTAATCCTCTGAAATCTAGGCAGAGGCTCCCAAAGCTCAACTCTTGTCTTTTTTGCCCTTGCAGGCCCAACACCACATGGAAACTGCCAAGGCTTGGGGCTTGCACTCTCTAAATCCATCACTGGAGCTATACCTTGGCCCCTTTTAGACATGGCTGAAGCTGGAGTGGCTGGGACGCAGGGTGCCATGTCCTAAGGCTGTACAGAGCAGTGGGGCCTTGACCTGGCCCACAAAATCATTTTTTCCCTCCTAGGCCTTTGGACCTGAGATGGGAAGGGCTGCTGTAAATATTTCTGAACTGCCCAGGAGACATTTTCTTCATTGTCCTGGCTATTAACGTTCAGCTCCTTGTTACTTATGCAAATTCCTGCAGCCAGCTTGAATTTCTCTTCAGAAAATAGGGTTTTTTTTCTACTGCACAATCAGGCTGCAAATTTTCCAAACATTTATGCTCTGCTTCCCTTTAAACATAAGTTCCAATTTCAGACTATCTCTTTGTGAATGCATATAACTGTACACTGTCAAGAAAAAACAGATCACTTCTTGAATGCTTTGCTGCTTAGAAATTTCTTCTGCTTGATTTCATCTCTCTCAAGTTTGAAGTGCTACATATCTCTAGGGCAGAGGTAAAAGATTGCCAGTCTCTTTTCTAAGGCATAGCAAGAGTGACCTTTACTCCAGTTCCCAATAAGTTTCTCATCTCCGTTTGAGACCCCCTCAGCCTGGACTTCATTGTCCATATTACTATCAGCATTTTGGTCAAAACCATTCAACAAGACTCTAGGAAGTTCCAAACCTCCCCACAACTTCCTGTCTTCTTCTGAGCCCTCCAAACTCTTCCAACCTGTGCCTGTCAAAGTTGCTTTCACATTTTCAGGTATCTTTATAGAAGTGCCCCAAATTTCTGGTACCAATTTTCTGTATTAGTCCATTCTCACACTGCTATAGAGAAATCCTGAGACTGTAATTTATAAAGAAAAGAGTTTTAATTGACTCACAGATTCACATCACTGGGGAGGCCTCAGGATTCTTACAATCATGGCAGAAGTTGAAAAGAAAGCAAGGCACATCTCAGATAGTGGCAGGAGAGAGAGAGTGAGGGGGGAACTGCAAAACACTTTTAAACCATTGGATTTTGTGAGAACTCACTTAATATCATGGGAACAGCATGGAAATTACCACTCCCATGATCCAGTCACCTCCCACCAGGTCCCTCCCTCAACATGTGGGGATTACAATTCAAGACGAGACTTGGGTGGGGCACAGCCAAATCATATCAATATGGTTTGGTTAATACTCCAATATCTCATCCGATGAACTTTTTAGATTGGCAAAAGGATCTGTTGTCTTGGTTTAATTTGAGCATTCTTAATTCCTGGTCTAGAAGAAAACTAAAAACTATTTTCTTAGTATTTGCTATGTTGCAATACTGAAATATATGATTTCCAGAATCTTAAATGCTGTTACAAAGCCACTGTCTCCCAAATAATAATTCACCAAAATAATAGAAACTAAACTTTATAAATGTTGAATTTATCACAAGAAAAAAACTTATTATGTGAACATGACTCCACAAAGAGTGATCCAGATTTGGATTGATCATACCCCCAGATTATATTGATTTATTGTCCAGCACAGGCATACAAACAAGAAAATACAGAGAGCTGTGTCTTCTTGCAATAACATGATACCATATTTATTTTGTCCCAGGAAACTCTTCACCAGGAAGGTAGGAGTATAAACCAAAAAATAACCACTATTTACTTCATGAAATTGCTGTGACCCAATTTATCAGGGCAAACAGTTTGCTCCTTTGGACAAACAGCTCTCTTATCTGGAAAATAGAATGCTCACTGGTGCAAACAGCTAACATAATATATGAGATTTTACTAATTCAAACCCTCCCTTCATAATGCTCACCATTCTAAACAATGATTTAGACTGAGTATTCTTACTTTATCTTCCTTTTTTTGAGATATAATGAGGACTCTGTCCAAGTGGTGTTTTTTCTTACAGTAGAAAATCTGATCAACTTACCATTGTTTGATTAAAAGACTTTTAAAATAATCTTCTTGGGGATATAACAGTTGATATATTTTACACCTAAACTGTAAGTAACATGTTAAAGTTATTAAGAATAATTGGTTTGCTATATTTACATATAATTTTGAGAATTTTAGTCTTATTTCCTCAGTGTTAAATTTTATCTTTCACATAAATTCAAACTAAGTTAAAAACACATAGAATAACCTAGTATCTGTGATAATAATATGTTATAATAATAAATAACATAATTATAGAGGCTAAAAATAGATTAGTGGTTACCAGTGGTTAGGAATTAGGGGAAGGTGTGTGTATAGCTACTAAGAAGTTACATAAGGGAGCCTCTGGTAATGGTACAGTAATGTATCATGATTGTGGTGGTAATTACAGAAAGCAACACATGTGATAGCATTGTATAGAGCAACACATGTGATAGCACATACACACATACACACATGCACACATGTACACATTCTAAGTACAAGTATGACTGGTGACATCTGAATAAACTCTATGAATTATACCAACATTGATTTCCTGGTTTTGACATTGTACTGAAGCTGTGGATAGTACTGACATTGAAGGAGGTTGGATGAAGGGTGCACTGGACCGCCTTGCACATTTCTCTGCAAGTTCTTGTGAATCCATAATTATTTTTTAAAAGTTTAAAAAAAGCCCAAGAAAATCACTGAATTTAAATTTTGGTGATTTAACACATAATCATTAAATTATTTTATTGATTCACCTAAAAATTTTATTCAGTGCTGAAATTTGATACTGTAGTGAAGCAGTGGCAGACACTGTGCCTAATACCATTTACTTTTCCCCTTTTACTTCCTGCCAAAGGTCACTTCGCATTATAAAGGCTGAAAATGTCAGATTCCCATTTGTCAGGCTCTCTTGCAGTAAAGCTAGGTCATAGCGCTGGCCGAAAAGATGAAAGAAAAACTGTATATGTGTGTTTGTGTGTGTATATATGTGTGTGTCTGAAAGAGAGAGTGAGAAATCTGTTGTATATGAGAGCATCTGACATCTTCCTTGTTAAAAAGATAGTGCTGTGATGACAGAACCTTAACTTTCTTTTTCCTTTGAATGTTATTGTGCAAGGATATGATAGAAAGAGATGCAACATTAATCTTAAAACCATGAAGCCACAAACTGAAAATAAGCAGCCAGCTTGCTTAGGATAATGAGTGGAAAGGCATTGGCATTTTAGTGACATTGAGACATTGAATCCACCTTGAAAGTATCTACCTTTAGACTTCTTGTTATTTACAATAAATATTTATTTCATTATTAAATTAATTGTCAATAGGTTATTTCATTATCTGCAGCCAACAGCATCTGTAATTCAAATATTTGACATATTAATGATTTTTTGAGTAATAAGTTATTTGCTAGAACAATCTCTTTTATATGAAATAATATCCCCTCAAGAAACAACATCATATGCCTTCATAGAGACATTTAAAGAGCACTTTAAAAAACCAATTTGTCATAGTCATTTAAAAGCTGAGATTTTAACAATTAGCCAAATTCAAAACATCACACATTAAAATAGATTATCAAAGAAAAATCATTTTTTCAGGTACTTGTGTGCACATTTAGGCTTCAATTAAAATTTAGTGATGGTGAGAAAGAATGAAAGATCATGCCACTTTTTATTGAATACTTGTCACTTTTTCTTAAGAAAACTTCAAAATAGATATAAAATTTTAAATAAAAAATGCTGTTATATTTCCTTTTAAGACACTGAAATTAGCATAAATATCTAACTTCCTGAGTCTTCTATGCAAATAATAAAATACAACAAGAAATAACCTACAAGAACCCTGAAAATTAAATAATGAATTTATTCATATGTTGAACACCTCAACGTAAACTATTTTCACAAATTGCAATTATGAAATAATAAACATTGTTTTATTAAGTAATGTACTCCACTATGAAACTGTATTAAAAAGCATTGAAACATTACATTTGGTTCAGTCCTCTGTGAACATTTTTCTTTTTCTATTTTCTTCTTTTATATATTTGAGCGAATTTAGAGCTCCAACCTTTATGAAACGTAAACAAAATGGGTTTTTGTTTATTATTGTGCTTTTCAAATTGAGGAAACTGTTTTAACATATCTTTGGAAACGATAGCAGCAATCATATTCAGTTATAATTCTATAACTTCATTTAGGGCAAATTTAATGGGCAGGCCTGTCTTTAGTCATCATTTGCAGCATTACACACTGAGCTATATTCAATAATTGTCATTAATTTATATAACAATATTTGCACAAAATTTCATTAAAAAATGTGTATACTTTGCATTTTTTTGCAATAATGTGAAATTTAAATGTGTAAATGATGTAAGTGGAACTGACTTGAAAACTTTTGTTAATATTTACAATTTATATTTTTTCATCTTTTTCTTTAAAGAGGAAAAATTTTAACTTTATGTAATTTTTAAGGGCACTTCAAGCTGAATAAAGGGACATCAGATCAGAGGGGCTCAAAATAGCCTATATTTTGACTTTTAAAAAACAATTAAGTATTTTGAAACATAAATTATCTTTTTTATTTGACTTATAAAGGCATAAAAAGATAGGACTGAAAAGGGTAGAAAAGAAAGTCTTGAATCTCTGATGCCACCCCTTCTCTCATCCTCTGACTGCAGCCACATGGTGTAAAGAGAAAATTTGCACTTTGGGGAGGGACAGCACAAGTGGTTGTGAGACTTTGCATTAAACTCAGTGCTGCCTTGTCACAGTGGAAAGCAAAACCAAGATGAACTCAGCTGACGCCTGCTCACAGAGAAAGCATTTAGACAGGCCCCAGCCAGAGGTGAATTCCCCATCCTAGTGGTTGGAACGTGAGTTCTGGCAAGACTTGCCTCATGGGCTGAAGTGCTCTGGGGTTCTAAGTCAACTTGAAACGTACTCTAGGCCACAAGGATGGCAATTCTTCAGCAAGTCCTAGTGCTGTTTTAGGCTTGGAGCCAGTAGACTTGCAGGGCACATGGTCTAGTGAGACACCAGCTGTGGTGGCTAAGGGTGTTCTTGCACCACCCGTCCCCAAACCCCAGGCAGCACAGCTCACAGGAACAAAAGTGCCTCTATCCTTCTGCTTGAGGAGATGAGAGGGAAGAATATAGAGGACTTTGTTTTGCATCCTGGATATCAGCTCAGCCACAGTAGGATAGGGCACTGGTTAGAACTGGGTGGGGGGGCCCATTCCAGGCCCTATCTTCTGGAAAGCATTTCTAGACACACCCTGGGACAGAAGGGGACTCACTGCCTTGAACTGACGGACCTAGTCCTGGCAGGATTTATCTCCTGTTGACTAAAGAGCCCTTGGGCCCTGAAGAACAAGCAGCAGTACCCACGTAGTACACCATGAGCCATAGGTAAGTCTGAGATGTGCTCGCTTCAAATGAGACCCAGCACACTCCCACCTGTGGTGGCTACAATGAGAGACTCCTTCAGCTTGAGAAAAGCAGAGGGTAAAGTAAAGGGATCTTCGTCTTGCATCTTAGATACCAGCTTGGACACACTGGGGTAGAGTACCAAGCAGGCTCTTGGGGTCCCTGATTCTAGCCTTGTTTCTTACACAGCACTTCTGGATCTTCTCTGGGCAAGAGGGGAACTCACTGCCAGGAAGGGTGATTCCCAAACCTGGCAGCATTCACCACAAGCTGACTATAGAGCCCTTGGGCCTTAAATGAGCATCAGCAGTAGCATGGCAGTACTCCTGTGGGCCTGTGGTGCTGGCGGTAGCCATAAGAAGAGATTTGTCTGCCGCTGGAAAGGGGAGGGTAGATGGGAAGAACTTTATCTTGTACTTTGATTGCCAACTGAGCTGCAGAAGGATAGAGCACCAGGTAGATTTCCAAGGTATTTGATTTCACTCCATGGCTCCTTGACAGCTCTGAACCCAGCTGGAGCCTGGGGGAACCTGCTGACCTGAAGGAAAAAACACAAGCTTAGCTGGCTTCACCACCTGCTGGTTATAGAGCCCTAGGACCTTGAGTGAACATCGGTGGTAGACAAGTAGTGGTTCCAGCAGGCCTTGGGTGAGACCTAGTGCTGTGCTGGCTTTAGATCTAACACAGCAGAGTCCCAGTGCTGGTGGCCACAGGGGGGCTTGTGTCACTCCACCTCTGGCTCCAGGCAGGTCAAGAGATAGAGAGACAGAGAGAGAGAGAGAGAGAGAGAGAGAGAGAGAGAGAGAGACTTTGTTTGTTTTTGAGAAAGTAAGGGAAGAAAACAAATTTCTGCTTGATAATCTGGAGAAGTCTTCCAGATCTTATCCAAGACCACCAAGGAAGTACCTGGGCCAGTGTGCAAGAACCACAACATTACTAGGCTTAGGGTGTCACCTAATGCAGATATGGTTAAAATCATAACACCCAAGTCACTTGAAATTCCTGGAAAGCCTTCACAAGAAGGACAGGTACAAACAAAGCCCAGACTGAAAAGACTATAATAAATACCTAACTCTTCTGTGGGTGCCCAGAAACTGATGAACACCCACAAGCATGAAGACCATCCAGGAAATTAAGACCTCACCAGGTGAACTGAATAAGGCACCAGGGAGCAATCCTGGAGAAACAGAGATCTGTAACCTTTCAGACAGAGAATTCAAAATAGCTATTTTGAGGAAACTTAAAGAAATTCAAGACAACACAGAAAAAGAATTTAGAATTCTATCAGATAAATTTAACAAACAGATTGAACTATTAAAAAGAAGCAGAAATTCTGGAGTTGAAAAATGCAATTGACATACTGAAGAATGCATCAGTCTCTTAATAGCAGAATTAAGCAAAAAAAAAGAATTAGTGGGCCTGCTGACAGGCTATGTAAAAATACATAGTCAGAGGAGACAAAAAAATAAACATAAAAAACAATGAAGCATGCATACAGGATCTAGCAAATTACCTCAAAAGGGCAAATCTAAGAGCTATTGGCCTTAAAAAGGAGGCAGAGAAAGAGGGGTAGACAGTTTATTCAAAGCAATAATAACAACAAACTTCCCAAACTTCAATATTCAAGTATAAGAAGGTTATAGAACATAAATCTGATTTAACCCAAATAATATATCTATATTCAAGTGTAAGAAGTATATGAAACACCAGTCAGATATAACCCAAAGAAGACTACCTTAAGACATTTAATAGTCAAACTCCAAAAAGGCAAGGATAAAGAAAGAATCCTAAAAGCAGCAACAGAAAATAAACAAATAACATACAACGGAGTGCCAGTACATCTGGCAGACTTTCCAGCAAAAAACTTACAAGCCAGGAGAGAGTGGCATGACACATTTAAAGTGCTGAAGGAAAAAGACTTTTACCCTAGAATAGTATATCTGGTGAAAATATCCTTCAAACATGAAGGAGAAATAAGGACTTTACCAGACAAACAGAAGCTGAGATATTTTGCCAACACCAGACCTGTCCCACGAGAAATGCTAAAGGGAGTTCTTCAGTCACAAAAAAGGAGATGTTAGTGAGCAATAAGAAATTATCTGAAGGTACAAAACTCACTGGTAATAGTAAGTACAAAGAAAAACACAAAATATTATAACTGCAATTGTGGTGTGTAAACTACTCTGATCTAAGTAGAAAAACTAAAAGATGAACCAATTCAAAATAATTGCTACAACAACTTTTGAAGACATATACATTACAATAAGACATAAAGAGAAATAGCGAAAAGTTAAAAAGCAGTGAAGAGTAGAGTTTTTATTAGTTTTCTTTTTGCTTGTTTATGCAATCAGTTTAAAATAAGTTATTAAGAGAGTAATTGCAAAACTCCTAGTAACCTCAAATAAAAAATACAATTGATACACAAAATATAAAAAGCAAGAAATTAAATTATACTAACAGAGAAAATCACCTTCACTAAAAGGAAGATAGGAGGGAAGGAAAGAAGGAGGAAAAGACCACAAGGCAACTGAAAAGAAATAACAGAATGGCAGGAGTAAGTCCTTACTTATTGATAATAACACTGAATGTAAATAGACAAAACTCTGCAATCAAAAAACTCAGTGGCTGAATGGATTACAAAATGAGACCCAATGATCTGTTGTCTACAAGAAACACACTTCACCTATAAAGACACACATAGATTGAAAATAAAGTGATAAAAAAAATTTTCCATGCCAATGGAAGCCAAAAACAAACAAAACAAAACAAAACAAAAACAAAGCAGGAGTATCTATACTTATATCAGACAAAACAGATTTCAAGACAAAATCCATAAGAAGAAACAAAAAGGTCATTATATAATGATAAAGGGGTCAATTCAGCAAGAGGAAATAACAGTTGTAAATATATGTGCACCAAACACTGGAGCACCCAGATATATAAAACAAATACTAATAGAGCTAGATATATATATATATATATACCACAATACAATAATAGCTGGAGGCTTCAACACCCCATGTACTCCTTGGGCAGATCTTCCAGAGAGAAAATCAAGAGAAAAACTTGGGACTTAATCTGCACTACAGACCAAATGGACCTAGGAGATACTTACAGAACATTTCATACAATGGATGCAGAATACACATTCTTCTCCTCAGCACATGGATCGTTCTCAAGGATAGAGCATATGTTAGGTCACAAAACAAGTCTTAAATCATTCAAGAACATGAGAACAATATCAAGAATCTTCTCTGACCACAATGAAATAAAACTCAATATCCATAACAAGAGGAATTTGGAAACTATATAAACACTTGGAAAGTAAACAATATGCTCCTGAATGACCAGAGGGTCAAGAAAGAAATTAAGAGGAAAACTGAAAAATTTCTTCAAATAAGCAACAATGCAAACACAAAACACCAAGACCAATGGGGTGCAGGGAAAGCAGTACTAAGAGGGATGTTTATAGCTATAAATGCCTGTATCAAAAATGAAGAAAAATTTTACATAAATAACTTAATGATGCATCTTAATGGACTTGTAAATAAAGAGCAAATCAAACCAAAACTTAGTGAAAGAAATAAAGATCACAGCAGAAATAAATTACATTGAAAACAGTATATAAGCTCAACAAAATGAAAAGTTATTTTTTGAAAAGATAAACAAAATTGACAAACCTCTAGCAAGACTAAGAAAAAGAGTGAGAAAATCCAAATAAAATTAGAGATCAAAAAAGAGATATTACAACTGACACCATAGAAATTCAAAGGATCTTTAGTGGCTACTATGTGCAACTATATGTCAATTAGGATGAAAATCTAGAATACACGGATAAATTCCATGTTGTATCTATACATACAACCTACCAAGACTGAACAATGACAAAATCTGATAGACCAATAAAAAAACCTGAACAGACCAATAACAAGTAAAAAGAATGAAGCCATAATAAAAAGCCTTCCAGCAAAAGGAGCCCAGACCCCAGTGGATTCATTGCTGAATTCCAACATTCAAAGAAGAATTGTTACCAATCATACTCAAACTATTGTGAAAAATAGAGGAGGAAAGAATACTTCAAAACTCATTCTTCGAGGCCAGTATTGCCTTGATACCAAAAACAGACAATTACATATCAAAAAAAGAAAACTATAGGTCAATATTAACCAATATTGATGCAAATTCATCAACAAAATACTTGCAAACCAAATTCAACAACACATTGAAAAGATTATTCATTATGAACAAATGGGGTTTATCCCAGGAGTTTAAGGATGGCTCAACATACGCAAATCAACTAATGAGATACAGCATATCAACCAAATGAAGGACAAAAACATATGATTATTTCAATTAATGCTGAAAATGCATTTGATAAAGTTTAACATCTCTTCATGATAAAAATCCTAAAAAACCTGAGTATAGAAAGAACATACCTCAACATAATAAAAGCCATATACAGTAGACACATAGCTAGTATTATACTGAATGGGGGAAAACTGAAGGCATTTCCTGTAAGATTGACAACATGAGAAGGATGGTCACTTTCACCACTGTTATTCAACATAGTACTGGAAGTCCTAGCTACAGCAATCAGACAAAAGAAAGAAATAAAAGGCATCCAAATAGAAAAAAAGATAACAAATTATCCTTGTTTGCAGATGATATAATCTTATATTTGATAAAACCTAAAGACTCCACAAAAAACTATTTGAACTGATAAACAAATTCAGTAAAGTAGCAGCATACAAAATAAACATATAAAAATCAGTAGCATTTCTAAATGCTAACAGCAAATAATCTGAAAAAGAAATCAAGGATGTAATACCATTTACAATAGCTACAAATAAAATACCTAAGCGTTAACTTAAACTAAGAAATGAAAGTTCTCTGTAAGAAAAACTAGAAAAACTGTGAAAAATCGATGCAAAAATTGAAGTAGACACAAAGAAATGAAAAGATATTTCATGTTCATGGACTGGAAGAACCGATGTTATTAAAATATCCATACTACCTAAAGCAATCTACAGATTCAGTGTAGTCTCTATCAAAATACCAATGGCATTCTTCACAGAAAAAGAAAAAAAAATCCTAAAATTTATGTGAAGCCACAAAAGTCCCAGAATAGCCAGAGCTATCCTGAGCAATAAGAAAAAAAATCTTAGAAGAATCACATTACTTGACTTCAAGCTATACTACAAAGCTATAGTAACCAAAACAGTATGGTACTGGCATTCCAAAAAAAAAAAAAAAAAAAAAAGACACATAGACCAGTGGAACAGAATAGAGAACCAGAAACAAATCCACATATTTACAGTGGACTGATTTTTGACAAATTTGCCAAGAACATACATTGGGGAAAGATAGTCTCTTCAATAAATGGTGCTGGTAAAACTGGATAACCACAGGCAGAAGGATGAAACTATGCTCCTATCTCTTACTATATACAAAAATCGAAGCAAAATGGATTAAAGACTTAAATCTAAGACCTCAAACTATGAAACTAATACTAGTAAATATTGGAGAAGTCTCCAGAACATTGGCCTGGACCAAGATTTCTTGAATAATACACCACGAGCCCAGTTAACCAAAGCAAAAATTGACAAATGGAATCACAAGTTAAAAATCTTCTGCACAGCAAAGGAAACAATCAGCAAACTGAAGCAACAACCCACAGAATGACAGAAAATATTTGCAAACTGCTCATCTGACAAGGGATTAATGATCAGAATATATAAGGAGCTCAAATAACTCTGTAGGAAAAAATCTAATAATTTGATTTAAAAATGAGCAAAACATCTGCATAGCAATTTCTCAAAAGAAAACACATAAATGGTAAACAAATACATGACAAGTTTATAAAAGGTGCTCAATATCATTGATCATCAGAGAAATGAAAATCAAAACTACAATGATATTCATCTCCCCAGAATTAAAATGTCTTTTATCTAAAAGATAGGCGATAACAAATGCTGGTGACGATATGGAGAAAAGGGAACCCTTGTACACTGTTGGTGGGAAGAACAGTTGTGCAACAGATTAGTGCAACCACATGGATGGAGCACAGTTTGGAAGTTCCTCAAAAAACTAAAATAGAGCTACCATATGATCCTGCAATCCCACTGCTAGGTATATACCCAAGAGAAAGGAAATTAGTATATCGAAGAGATATTTACACTCCTATGTTTATTGCAGCACTATTCACAATAGCCAAGATTTGAAAGCAACCTAAGTGTTCATCAACAGATGAATGAAGAAAATGTGGTTCATATACACAATGGAGTACTATTCAGCCCTAAAAATGAGTAAGATCCAGTCATTTGCAGCAACATAGAGGTCATTATATTAAGTGAAATAAGCCAGGCACAGAAAGACAAACTTCACATGATCTTATTTACAGGAGTTAAAAATTAAAACAATTTAACTCATGGAGATCAAGAGTAGAGGGATGGTTACCAGAGGCTGTGAAAGGTAGTGGAAGGCAAAACAGTCTATTTCAAAAATAATTTAAAAGAAGGAAAACAACCTACATTTTGATAGCACAGCAGGGTGACTATATTCTAAATAATAATTTAATTGTACATTTAAAAATAAGTAAAAGACTATAATTGGATTGTTTGTAACACAAAAAATAAACTATTGATGTGATGGATACTTCATTTACTCTGATGTCATTATTATGCATTGCATGCCTGTATCACAATATCTCATGTATCCCATAAATATATACTGCTACTATGTACCCAGAAAAATTTAAAAATAATTAAAACATAGTAAAATAATATAGAAAGCTAGAATGCAAAGGATATATAAAGTGAATCCAAAATGAAAAAAAAACTTAAAAAACAAGTGTCAGTATACTCTTAAGAGAAAATGTAAAATCTGACATTGAAAATATTAAGTTGAAAAAAATTGGTCATTCATATTTATAAATGACGCAGTTTGTGGGGATGGTTCCAAGATGGCTTAATAGGAACAGATGCAGTCTACAGCTCCCAGCATGAGTGATGCAGAAGACAGGTGATTTCTACATTTCCAACTGAGGTACCAGGTTCACCTCACTGGGGTTTGTGGGACAGTGGGGGCAGGACAGTGGGTGCAGCCCACTGAGTGTGAGCTGAAGCAGGGTGAGACATTGCCTCACCCAGGAAGTGCAAGGGGTCAGGGAATTCCCTTTCCTAGCCAAGGGAAGTCGTGATGGATGGCACCTGGAAAATCGGCTCACTCCCACCCTAATACTGAGCTTTTCAAAAGGTCCTAGCAAATGGCACACCAGGAGATAATATCCCGCACGTGGCTCAGAGGGTCCCAGGCCCACAGAGCCTGCTCATTGCTAGCACAGCAGTCTGACATCAATCTGCAAGGCAGCAGTGAGGCTGGGGGAGGGGCACCCACCATTGCTGAGGCTTGAGTAGATAAACAAAGTGGCCAGGAAGCTCGAACTGGGTGGAGCCCACTGCAGCTCAAGGAGGCCTGCCTGCCTTTGTAGACTCCACCTCTGGGGCAGGGCATAGCCAAACAAAAGGCAGCAGAAACCTCTGCAGACTCAAATGTCCCTGTCTGACAGCTTTGAAGAGAGTAGTGGTTCTCCCAGCACAGAATTTGAGATCTAAGAACGGACAGACGGTCCCCTCAAGTGGGTCCCTGACCCCGCGGTAGCCTAACTGGGAGGCATCCTCCAGTAGGGGCAGACTGACACCTCACACAGCCAGGTACCCCTTTGAGACAAAGCTTCCAGAGGAATGATCAGGCAGCAATATTTGCTGTTCAGCAATATTCACTGTTCAGCAGCCTCTGCTGCTGATACCCAGGCAAACAGGGTCTGGAATGGACCTCCAGCAAACTCCAACTGACCTGAAGCTGAGGGTCCTGACTATTAGAAGGAAAACTAACAAAGAGGAAGGACTTCCACACCAAAACCCCATCTGTACGTCACCATCATCAAAGACCAAACGTAGATAAAACCACAAAGATGGGGAAGAAACAGAGCAGAAAAGTTGAAAATTCTAAAAATCAGAGCACCTCTCCCCCTCTAAAGGAACGCAGCTCCTTGCCAGCAACGAACATAGCTGGATGGAGAATGACTTTGATGAGTTGAGAGAAGAAGGCTTCAGATGATCAAACTTCTCTGAGCTAAAGGCGGAAGTTCGAACCCATCGCAAAGAAGCTAAAAATCTTGAAAAAAGATTAGATGAATGGCTAACTAGAATAACCAATGTAGAGAAGTCCTTAAATGACCTGATGGAGCTGAAAAACATGGCACGAGAACTACGTGATGAATGCCCAAGCTTCAGCAGCTGATTTCATCAACTGGAAGAAAGGGTATCAGTGATTGAAGATCAAATGAATGAAATGGAGCGAGAAGAGAAGCTTAGAGAAAAAAGAGTAAAAGAAAAAACAAAGCCTCCGAGAAATATGGGACTATGTGAAAAGACCAAATCTATGTCTGATTGGTGTACCTGAAAGTGATGGGGAGAATGGAACCAAGTTGGAAAACACTCTGAAGGATATTATTCAGGAGAACTTCCCCAACCTAGAAAGTCAGGCCAACATTCAAATTCAGGAAATACAGAGAATGCCACAAAGATACTCCTTGAGAAGAGCAACTCCAAGACACATAATTGTCAGATTCACCAAAGTTGAAATGAAGGAAAAAATGTTAAGGGCAGCCAGAGAGAAAGGTTGGGTTACCCACAGAGGGAAGCCCATCAGACTAACAGCTGATCTCTTGGCAGAAACTCTACAAGCCAGAAGAGAGTGGGGGCCAACATTCAACATTCTTAAAGAAAAGAATTTTCAACCCAGAACTTCATATCCAGCCAAACTAAGCTTTATAAGTGAAGGAGAAATAAAATCCTTTACAGACAAGCAAATGCTGAGAGATTTTGTCACCACCAGGCCTGCCCTAAAAGAGCTCCTGAAGGAAGCACTAAACATGGAAAGGAACAACCAGTACCAGCCACTGTAAAAACATGCCAAATTGTAAAGACCATCGATGCTAGGAAGAAACTGCATCAACTAACGAACAAAATAACCAGTTAACATCATAATGACAGGATCAAACTCACACATAACAATATTAACCTTAAATGTAAATGGGCTAAGTGCTCCAATTAAAAGACACAGACTGGCAAATTGGATAAAGAGTCAAAACTCATCAGTGTGCTGTATTCAAGAAACGCATCTCACGTGCAGAGAGACACATAGGCTCAAAATAAAGGGATGGAGGAAGATCTACCAAGCAAATGAAAAACAAAAAAAAAAAGGCAGGGGTTGCAATCCTAATCTCTGATAAAACAGAATTTAAACCAGCAAAGATCAAAAGAGACAAAGAAGTCCGTTACATAATGGTAAAGGAATCAATTCAACAAGAAGAGCTAACTATCCTAAATATATATGCACCCAACACAGGAGCACCCAGATTCATAAAGCCAGTCCTTAGAGACCTACAAAGAGACTTAGACTCCCACACAATAATAATGGGAGACTTTAACACCCCACTGTCAACATTAGACAGATCAACGAGACAGAAAGTTAACAAGGATACCCAGGAATTGAACTCAGCTCTGCACCCAGTGGACCTAATAGACATCTACAGAACTCTCCACCCCAAATCAACAGAATATACATTCTTCTCAGCACCACATCACACTTATTCCAAAATTGACCACATAGTTGGAAGTAAAGCACTTCTCAGCAAATGTAAAACAACAGAAATTATAACAAACTGTCTCTCAGGCCACAGTGCAATCAAACTAG
Organism: Homo sapiens; assembly: GCF_000001405.40. NCBI lineage: Eukaryota > Metazoa > Chordata > Mammalia > Primates > Hominidae > Homo > Homo sapiens. Next base: position 62,312,074 of record NC_000004.12, read on the forward strand.
AACTCAGGATGAAGAAACTCACTCAAAACCGCTCAACTACATGGAAACTGAACAACCTGCTACTGAATGACTACTGGGTACATAATAAAATTAAGGCAGAAATAAAGATGTTTTTTGAAACCAGTGAGAAAAAAGACACAACATACCAGAATCTCTGGGACACATTTAAAACAGTGAGTAGAGGGAAATTTATAGCACTAAATGCCCACAAGAGAAAGCAGGAAAGATCTAAAATTGGCACCCTAACATCACAATTAAAAGAACTAGAGAAGCAAGAGCAAACACATTCAAAAGCTAGCAGAAGGCAAGAAATAACTAAGATCAGAGCAGAACTGAAGGAAATAGAGACACAGAAAATCCTTCAAAAAATCAATGAATCCAGGAGCTGGTTTTTTGAAAAGATCAACAAAATTGATAGACCACTAGCAAGACTAATAAAGAAGAAAAGAGAGAAGAATCAAATAGATGCAATAAAAAACGATAAATGTGATATCACCACCAATCCCACAGAAATACAAACTACCATCAGAGAGTACTATAAACACCTCTACACAAACAAACTAGAAAGTCTAGAAGAAATGGATAAATTCCTTGGCACATACACCCTCCTGAGACTAAACCAGGAAGAAGTTGAATCCCTGGATAGACCAATAACAGACTCTGAAATTGAGGCAATAATTAATAGCCTACCAATCAAAAAAAGTCCAGGACCAGATGGATTCACAGCCAAATTCTACTAGAGGTACAAGGAGGAGCTGGTACCATTCCTTCTGAAACTATTCCAATCAACAGAAAAAGAGGGAACCCTCCCTAACTCATTTTATGAGGCCAGAATCATCGTGATACCAAAGCCTGGCAGAGACACAACAAAAAGAGAGAATTTTAGACCAATATCCCTGATGAACATCGATGCAAAAATCCTCAGTAAAGTACTGGCAAACCAAATCCAGCAGCACATCAAAAAGCTTATCCACCATGATCAAGTGGGCTTCATTCCTGGGATGCAAGGCTGGTTCAACATACACAAATCAATAAATGTAATCCAGCATATAAACAGAACCAAAGACAAAAACCACATGATTATCTCAATAGATGCAGAAAAGGCCTTTGACAAAATTCAGCAGCCCTTCATGCTAAAAACTCTCAATAAATTACGTATTGATGGGACATATCTCAAAATAATAGAACTATTGTGACAAACTCACAGCCAATATCATACTGAATGGGCAAAAACTGGAAGCATTCCCTTTGAAAACTGGCACAAGACAGGGATGCCCTTTCTCATCACTCCTATTCAACATAGTGTTGGAAGTTCTGGCCAGGGCAATCAGGCAGGAGAAATAAATAAAGGGTATTCAATTAGGAACAAGGAAGTCAAATTGTCCCTGTTTGCAGATGACATGATTGTATATTTAGAAAACCTCATTGTCTCAGCACAAAATCTTAAGCTGATAAGCAACTTCAGCAAAGTCTCAGGATGCAAAATCAATGTACAAAAGTCACAAGCATTCTTATACACCAATAACAGACAAACAGAGAGCCAAATCATGAATGACCTCCCATTCACAATTGCTTCAAAGAGAATAAAATACCTAGGAATCCAACTTACAAGGGATGTGAAGGACCTCTTCAAGGAGAACTACAAACCACTGCTCAATGAAATAAAAGAAGACACAAACAATTGGAAGAACATTCCATGCTCATGGGTAGGAAGAATCAATATCGTGAAAATGGCCATACTGCCCAAGGTAATTTACAGATTCAATGCCATCCCCATCAAGCTACCAATGACTTTCTTCACAGAATTGGAAAAAACTACTTTAAAGTTCATACAGAACCAAAAAAGTGCCCACATTGCCAAGACAATTCTAAGCCAAAAGAACAAAGCTGGAGGCCTCATGCTACCTGACTTCAAACTATACTACAAGGCTACAGTAACCAAAACAGCATGGTATTGGTACCAAAACAGAGATGTAGACCAATGGAATAGAACAGAGCCCTCAGAAATAATACCACACATCTACAACCATGTGATCTTTGACAAACCTGACAAAAACAAGCAATGGGGAAAGGATTCCCTATTTAATAAATGTTGCTGGGAAAACTGGCTAGCCATATGTACAAAGCTGAAACTGGATCCCTTCCTTACACCTTATAGAAAAATTCATTCAGGATGGATTAAAGACTTAAAACCATAGAAACCCTAGAAGAAAACCTAGGCAATACCATTCAGGACATAGGCGTGGGCAAGGACTTCATGTCTAAAACACCAAAAGCAATGGCAACAAAAGCCAAAATTGACAAATGCGATCTAATTAAACTAGAGCTTCTGCACAGCAAAAGAAACTACCATCAGAGTGAACAGGCAACCTACAGAATGGGAGAAAATTTTTGCAACCCACTCATCTGACAAAGGGCTAATATCCAGAATCTACAATGAACACAAACAAATTTACAAGAAAAAAATAAACAACTCCATCAAAAAGTGGGCAAAGGATATGAACAGACACTTCTCAAAAGAAGACACTTATGCAGCCAAAAGACACATGAAAAAATGCTCACCATCACTGGCCATCAGACAAATGCGAATCAAAACCACAATGAGATACCATCTCACACCAGTTAGAATGGCAATCATTAAAAAGTCAGGAAACAAGAGGTGCTGGAGAGGATGTGGAGAAATAGGAACATTTTACACTGTTGGTGGGACTGTAAACTAGTTCAACCATTGTGGAAGTCAGTGTGGCGATTCCTCAGGGATCTAGAACTAGAAATACCATTTGACCCAGCCATCCCATTACCAGGTATATACCCAAAGGATTATAAATCATGCTGCTATAAAGACACATGCGCACGTATGTTTATTGTGGCACTATTCACAATAGCAAAGACTTGGAACCCACCCAAATGTCCAACAATGACAGACTGGATTAAGAAAATGTGGCACATATACACCATGGAATACTATGCAGCCACAAAAAATGATGAGTTCATGTCCTTTGTAGGGACATGGATGAAGCTGGAAACCATCATTCTCAGCAAACTATTGCAAGGACAAGAAGCCAAACACCACATGTTCTCACTCATAGGTGGGAATTGAACAATGACAACACTTGGACACAGGAAGTGGAACATCACACATGGGCCTGTCATGGGGTGGGGGGAGGGGGAGGGATAGCATTAGGAGACATACCTAATGTAAATGACTAGTTAATGGGTGCAGCACACCAACATGGCGCATGTTTACATATGTAACAAACCTGCACATTGTGTACGTGTACCCTAGAACTTAAAGTATAATAAAAAAAAATGCAGTTTGATAATAAATTAAATCTCTCAAGAAGCTAGCCATTACAAGAGGTGACATTACCAATGTGGCGGAGTAAGAAGCTTGTCACGCTCCCTTTACACTTTTGCAGCTAACAACCATCTATTCATGGATCAGTTCTCTCTGGGGGAAAGTCAGAGACCAGTCAGGAGGCTCCTACTCACTGGGCATTGGAGAGAACATCCACATTGAGTGGGTAGGAGAAACTGATGCACACGCAGGCACAAACATCACCCCAGGTATGCATTGTGCCATAAAACTAGGAAAGAAGTTCCCAACATTCAGTTTCTCCCTGTGGTGAGGAGGGTCTAGATCTCACATACAGGGCTTTAATCCCAAGCTTCCCTGTGGTTTGACTGTTAATTCACATACTCTGGGAATGGAGGGGATTAGATACACGCCTTTCCTTCCAGATCATAGGAAATAAATCAGCCATTTTCTATGGGCATGCAAGTACTTGCAGGAATTTCACCCTCTAGGAGCAGTGCACAAAAAGGGGGGGCTTAAAAAAACTGCAGATCTCTGTTTCCTCCTGGAAGGAGTTTACAATACATCCCTCCAGTGCCTGCTGGGTGGCCTGGCTTTTAACTAACTTGCAATGGCAAGTTAAAGAGAGAGTGAATTATTAACCTGCCACCAGTCTGGGAGGAGTTTGCACCCACACCCTGTGCCTCAACTATTACAACATCCCCCTGAGGGACTCATTCACAAATCTTCTAGCTCTGGGAGTGGAAGGGACTGTCATACACATGTCTGTCTAGATGGCAGAAAAAAAGCACTGTCTTTAAATGTGTATGCAAGCTTCTCCGGGATTTCCTCCTCCTGGAACTTCATCCTTCTGAAACAGTGCAAAGGGCCTAAAAACAAACACCCACCTCCCCCACAATTCCCTGCTTTTTTTTTTTTCCCAGAAAGGATTTAGGATGCTCACTGAGTGCCCCAATTTTTAAAGTTACCTCTTGAAGGACTCCATCCTACACCTAGTAGCTCTGGGATCAGATGCGACTAGGTATATGTGTGTATCCCTTGATCCCAGAGGTGGTTTTAAATTGTTGTCCTAAAACTTCCAGGGGTTATGTCCCCTTAAAGCAGTGCAGAAAAGGGGCAGGAATGTGCAGCTCTCATTTTCTCTCCAGAAGGGATTCAATGGCATGGACGCTAATAAACTGGCATTGGGGATCTAACAGAGCAAAACAAAGAAACCAGCAACAAAAACCCAGTAGCCCTTCCATAGCTGAGACAGAGCTCAGCACGTCATAAGATCTCCCTCTGGATCACTTTAGAGATAAATTCATGCCTATTTAGCCTGGAAGGTATTTGGCCATGCCCCAAGCACCACAACTTCCATAGCTCCCATCTAAAAGGACTGTCCCTTTAACAACCCAGCTCTGGAAATTAAGGAAGGGTCTTTGTGATCCCGACTGGCTCAAGACCACAGAAAACAAACAGGTGGATGTATATTGGGCCTACTCTCAGTAGCTATCCCTCCAGGATCAGAATGTGCAGCCTGATCATGAGTGTAGATATTTGCCACAGATCCTCTCCTTGGCTTAGTCCAGAGAGATTGGGAGATAGACCCAGACTCACCGTGAAGATAGAAAGACCTGGTACTCACATTCAACACCCCAAACTCTTCAGCTATAAAGAGCCTGTCTCTTACTTTACTGGTCTTTGGGTACTGAAAAGCTGTGGCACATCTTAAGCTCCAGGTTCTACCAAAACAAGAGAGAGCAATCTGGACAAACAGAAAGATTAGATCAGATAGGCATCTTAAAATCTCTTGCTGGTTGGATTCATGAAAATCTTCTCTTACGTAAGTCCAGTCTAACTAGGCCGTATCTTATCTAATGACAGATACCAACACAGAGATCAAGGAAAATGAAGAAACAGAGATATATTCCAAACAACAAAACAAGGTAAATTTCCAGAAGCCAATACAAATGTAGTAAACTTTTGTGATTTACCCAAGGAAATTCAAAATTATGGTTATAAAGAGGCTCACAGAGGTCAAGGCAGCAATGTAAGAACAAGCTGAGAACTTCGACAAGGAGATAGAAAGTATAAGGTAGTACCAAAGAGAAATACTAGATATGAAGAATGCTATAGCTGCACTGAAAATTCAATAGGAGCACTCAACAACATACTAGTTTAAGGTGGTAGGGAGGATCAGTGAATTTGAAGACAGGTCATTCAATCTGAGGAGCAAAAAAGAATTAAAGAGTGAAGATAGCTTAAAAGCTTATGGGGCATAATAAAGGAGAACAACATACATAATTGGCATGCCAGAAGTAATAGAAAGAGAGAAAGGGACAGAAAATATATTCAAAGAAGTAATGGCAGAAAACTTCCAAATTTGAGAAAGAAGTTAGATAACCAGATCTAGGAAGCCCACAGGACACCAAATAAGATGACTCTGAAGAGTCCCACACCAAAACACATGATAGTCAAATTGTCAGAAGTTAGAGACAAAGAAATGGTATTAAAAGCAGCAAGGGAGAAGTGAATTGTCACATAGAGGAGAATCACTGTAATACTATCAACAGTTTTTAGCAGAAATTGTGCAAGTCAGAAAATTTCTTTCTTTTAAAATTTCATACCTTTAATATTTTGGTCATATTTCAAAAATATGTTCCCAACTTTGAGGTAGTATCCCACTCTTTCAGAAATAAAAACATAATGAGTCCATATAATTTGGCTGAGTCCATGACACATTTTTTAAAAGGTAAATCTTAGCAATTTTTCTACCCAAAGCAAGTGGAAACCAGTAGAAGAACTAAAACTATATTGTCATTGTGGTGATTTTTGCTGCAGGATAATAATGCAATTTGTATTTTTATTAAAATCCTATATAAATTTGTAAGTATAGTATGTTGCATCTAATAATGAATTTCTTAAATGAAGGAAAAACTATCTAAAGACATTTATTCTGTGTTGAGGTTTACCTGAAATTAACTTTGCTTTTGTGGCTTTACCTTCAGTATATAGTCTTTGGAATTAAGTTTCAAATGAATTTCAGGAGGATTTGCACAACGTGTTTATATGGATTGCAATATTTGCTGAAGTTTTATTTAAGGATAAAAACGTTTTAGACATTGCTGTTCTATAATGCAAGATAAAGATGTATCTTTCTTCCAATATCCTTTCTTTACATGTACAACTTTACTTCCTTTTATTGTTCTAATATAAATACTCCACAACTTTTGATTAAATATTTATTTTAAAAACTGTTGATTTTTTTATAGGTGAGCTAAGTACTATGATTATTTGCCCTTTATTTTACATTTCACTTTGTAAGCATAGTAAATAAACTGTGTTTTTAGATTTGCTTAGCTTTCTGTTCACCCTATCAATAATTTATACCTAACATCTATGGTAGAATTGAAAACAGCTCCTGGATATGCTGAAACATATCAAATATTCTATCTGTTTAATTTTCTTCTAGCTAACCCAGTGCTCTTAGGACATGATTCTCCTGCTCCAGCCTCCATTGTTTGCTCTCCAGCTTGTTTCATGAACTGTCTATAGTGTTTAAATCCTTTTCTTTGACTTGTATTATGTCTGTTGTTGTTTTTTGAGTTTATGTTTTCTCCTTGTTGGTTTACTCCCCCATTTTGGTGATGTACATTCACCACCAGCTTTCTGAAGAAAGTTCTGAATTTATGAATTGGTTAGCTTCTGTTTGGCTTTATCTCTTAAAGTTTTAGGTTTTCTCTAAGCTATTAAATCATATATCATTAGTTCATTTACTTCTCAATTTCCTGTCTTCTGCTCTTCATTCATTTTTCCTTGTGGATAAATGCCTGTTTTGTATTTTTACTGTCAATTTAAAGGGTTTGGTAGACAGTATCTGAAATAGTTCCCAATGATTCCTGACTCCTGGTATTCATGTCCTTGTATAATGCCCTCTCCCATCCTTGAGTGTGGGTTGGACTTAGTGACTCACTTTTAATGAATAGTGTGGACTATTGTCATGCAACTTCACCTCTGTGATTAGGTTACAAAAAAATCATGATTTGGTCTTTTTCTCTTGCTCTTACTCTCATTCTTGTTCTGCTGATAGCGCTGAGAGTAGCAAGCTTCCATACTGTGAGCTGCCCTACAGAGGAGCCCACATGGCAAGGAGCAAAGGAGGCCTCTGGCCAATAGCCCTTGGAGGAATGTAGGCACTCAGTCCACCAGGCTGAAAGGAACTGAATTCTGCCATATCAGTGAGCTTGGTAGCACATTACATCCCTCATTCAAGTCTTCAGATAAGACTGCAGTCCCTACTGACACCTTGATTGTAGGCTTATGAGAAACCATGAGGTACAGCAACCCAGATAAGACATTCCCAAGTTTCCGACCCATAGACACTGTGAGATAATAAATGTTTATAGCTTTTCCGGCTTCTAAGTTGGGGTTATTTATTTCAGAACCATAATAACTAGTATAATTTTTAGGAAGGAATAAAGATTATTGACTGTGTTTAATTTGCCATATTTGAACAGAAACTTGAAGGCTCTTCCTAAGAAGTCACTATACATATATCTTTAAAATAAAAGTCAAATGATAATTATTTTAAAGAGTTATTATTTGGAAACCTTGTGGGGAATATACTACAGGGAGCAAGACTGGAATAAAGGAGCTACTGCAGCAAACAAATGAGTATTGATGAGAGCATGAATTAAGTCAGTATCAGAGGACATAGAGGAAAGAAGGCAAATTTGAGAGCTATTAAGGAGGAATCATTGATGCAACGTAATTATTGAGTATTTTTATTAAATAATTAGATTTCTTTTGGATTCTAATCTTTAGGGAATAAGTGGATCATGGTCTTGTTAACAAGAATAAATACTAGAGAAAAAGAAGCAAATATGGAGAGGATGAAGATGAGTTTAGTTTTGAGCATTCTGAGTTTGGGATACTGTGATATAGCTGTGTAGAAATAAGAATAATGAAAATAATAATACATAGCATACATTAAATGCTTAATTATCAACAGGTTCTGTTTGATGCATTCTACATGGGTTTTTAAATGTTATCCTCATGACAACATTATCTAATAGTTTCAATCATTGTTTGTACTTTACAATGGATAGTCTGAGGATTACAGAGGTCAAATAACTTGCCCAAACAGCATAGATCACTTTTGAGGTAATATTGTAAATATAAGCAGTCTGTTTCAGAAGCTCAAACTTCTTACCTTGATTCCATACTGTTCTCCTAGGACCAGCTTATACACACACACGGGCATGTGTGTACACACACACACGCACACACACGCGCACACGTGCGCAAACACAAGCCGGGCATTGTCTTCAGAGCTTTTGAATTTCTTTTGGTTGCCCTAAACATTTCTGTAACCAGACAATTATGGTTCTAATTATATGACTGGGCCTACAGCCTAGAGGATAATTACAGGCATTTAAAATTTTCTGGTGAATTATTATATTTTGTAAATCAGTTACATGTAAGATATGTTGATAGATATGGAAACAGACAGGTCTGGTTTTTAGTGTTAAAATTAATCATTATGGTACAAGCCTGGGTGATGTTTCTTGCATTCATTTAAGTAGATTATAATATTGACTGTTTAAATCCAGGATCTTCAGGAATAAGAGGTTGCATAGCATAAGGATAGTCTGTGATTTTTCAATTGTTTTAACTTGAATACAATACTGAAAAATTGTAACCCAAATAGTGTCATATAATATCTTTTACTTTTATTTGTTTTAACTTTGCTTTACTTTTTAGAAATAATATTCTGCAAATTGCAACTAGCTTGGATTAACATAAAAGTTCATTATATTTTCTGAAATAATTATCAATTTGGCAGAACATGAAAATTACGACACTATGTATCTAAGAGAGGGAGAGAGAGAGAGACAGAGGGAGAGAAAGAGAGAAATATCTGGGGTTTTTCTTAGGCCACTAGAAGATTTTTATTTTTGAAATAAGTAAACTTTTATGAGGTGCCTGAATAGAGTATAGGAAGATATTAAGGCAATCAAAGCTATAGAGGTATAGAAGCTAATAGTGAAAGGTATAAGGCAATTAAGGGAAGACTTGCACACTTAAAGAATTTCAATTCTTTCAGTGAACTATTCTCTGAAATGTTTGTTTGTATTCTTTCTTCTGTTATTTTTACATTTATATTCTGAACTTAACTCCACATTATCACCTTAGGACATTTGGTGAGTGCCTCATTTCCTTCAGCCTTTTGATTATTAAAATTTTAAAGCATACAGAAAAAAAATGTAGAGCAAACACCTGATCTTCTTTGTCTAGTTTTAGCAATTGTTAGTTTGTCATATTTGCTTGTGTGTGTGTGTGTGTGTGTGTGTGTGTGTACTTTAATTCATCCTTGAATATTCCAGCATTCATCTTTAGAAATAAGGGATTCTTTAGGAGTTCTTTTTCATTGTTAATGACAAGAAAGAGAATGTGGTGTAATGATTAAGAGCAAAAGCATTGAGAGAGCTGAGTTTGAATCCCAAACCTGCCACTTACTACCTAAGTGAGATTTACCTCTTTACTTCTTAAAACCTCAGTTTCATCATATATACAATAGTGATGAGATATTTTTCCATATAACAGGATTACTGTAAGATGAAAGAAGAGAGTGTACGCAAAATGCTTTAGCCTAATGCCTTGTAGGTGAATCCTCAGTAAAGAGTGGAGTTTTCTTATGTACTTGATGTTTGTCCCCACGTTTGTCTCACTGCTTCTTGTTCCTGTTGTTCATTTATTACATGCTCACACCCAATATAAAATCAAATTATGATTGAGAATGGAAATTTGAAAATCTGAAGAAAAGTTTGGAGAAGGCACAGTTCTGTTGGTTAACACATACTTACTCGACTCAATTTACAAAACGAAAAAAAAAATAGCAGAAAGACTTGCCTACAGCCATCCTTTGCTGAGAATAAACAGATCTGAGTTTCCTTCTATCCAAGCTAATTTTGCATTCTTACTTAGGAAGGCTTTCAACGATGGGTAGGGTTTAGAATCTTTTGAACAACTTATTTTCAAGTGAGTTTATAGCCAGTGATCAGCGTTTGTCATTTAGAAACCTTTGTTGTTTGGGTATTTTCACAGAGAACTTAATAAGAGTAATTGGGAGGCATCTGGAGCCCTTTGACAGATCTTAGAGAAACAAACAGTATTTCTTTGGGAAAGGATTACTAGCACTCTATTAAAGAGAAAGAGCACCCATATTGGGGTTGAGTCAGTGATATTGGCTTTAATGTTGCCCAGGGTGGAAAGGGAGCTGTTTCTTTGTCAAAAGAACAATTGGACTGGCTTCAGGATAAATTCTTCTTTATCCAGAGAAAAAGAGAAAGGAAAACACTTACAGAATACTTCATTTTGTCAGACACTGAGCTAACATCGTGTGTGTGTCTGTGTGTGTGTGTGTGTGTGTGTGTGTGTGTTTCTACTTTTATTGAGTCTCCACAATGACCCTAAGTGGTATTGATTGCCATCTTTAGCATATATTAGTGAGGAAACTGAGGAAACTGAGTGTTTGAGACATTAGGTCTTTTGTTCAATGTCACACAAATAGTAAGTAATACAGTTACAATTTAGACTTAAGTTTGTCTGCTTCAGAAATTGGCATTCTTTCCACTGTACCAATGGCTGTCAAACTATAGCCCTTGACTTAGCGGTATCAATATCATTTGTAAGAAATGCAAATTTTCAGGCCTCTATCCAGATCTACAAAGTCAGAATCTCCGGAATTGGGGTTAGCAATCGGTGTATTAACAAATCCTCTGGGAGATTTTGACGCAGGCTAAAGAGAAAGACCCCTTGCAATATATTTTTTCCCTGGAGCATCTGAAATGTAGAGAATTTAGAGAAGAAAGTAACTCTTAAGAGTAGACAGTTCCAACTCAGCAATTACAGTTCTGATGAAATCTCTCTGAAAGTATCATAATCAGGCTAAATCAAGAATAAAACTAGGGGACTTCCTTTGATAAAATCTATGAAACCACTGGAGGACTGAGACTAAGAGAAGCCATCCAAATAGGGCTCCCAGCAGAGGAGGACATTTGTGGAGGGAAAGTTGGATCATGCCAGTGGGGTTCACTGAAATGGTTCAGTGAGAAGATCACTCACAAGGGGACTGTAGCTGATTTTCTGGGAATTGTTGATTCTAAAGCCCATTAGGAAAGGATTCTTCAGAGACTACTTTGAAAAATATTTGGTATGAGGACACTGTGATAGCTGTGATTTGCCTGATTCAAAATACATAGTATTTGTTTCTTTCTTCTATTATCTTTTAGTAGAATTTTCTTATAAACCACTAAGATCACTATCTTGCATGTTGGATTATAGATAGTAGCCTCATACGCTAACACCACCACTTGAAATACACATATTGAAAGTCTAGACAAGGTTGGGCAGTAGATAAACAATATTAATTTACTTGTCGGGGATCCAAGCTAAAATAAAAATGACACACTTTTGAAAATCTAAGTTTCTCATTGTCCTAGAATCTTTGACAAAGCAGAAGGGCAAAATTTTGTCCTATGCAAACTAAAATTTTGATTATGCAAACAAACTCTAAGCTGTAAGCTAAAGGGTTAGGCATAAAGTTGCCATTTATCACAAACCAATTAAAAATAAATATGGTAAGCAGATGTGACATTATAACTAGAGGAAACAGAAGCAAAAATTAGATGATCTTACTTAAACAAATGAACAGATGCATGGAAGACAACAAAACCAGCAAAACAAACAAACATTTGGAATAAGAATTTTTAAATTAAGAAATGAAGCAAAAGGGAACTGTGGTCCTAAATTGAGATATCTGGTGTGGTAAAGTGTTGTCCATTCCTTCCTTTGGCAAATCTCATTTTTTAGGCATCTGTGATTAGCACAGTGCTTTCCAGCTCCATGTTTCTCCTCAATTTAGGTCTCATCCATGCCTAGATGCGGGAGGAGCATTGCCACCCATCCAAGGTTTCTGGATATTTAGTGTTCAAGATGTCCATTGAACAAAGCAAAGCCTGGCATGTGGCCACTGTGGTCATGTTTGTGGTTCCCACACTCCCAGAATCTTTGGACTGCCAGAATAAATTTGGCAGTAGCTAGATGAGTTCCTGCCAGTAATAGGTTTGAGCATTGTTTGGACCAATTTTCTGAGTATCTGGTTGCTTCAGAATTTCCTTATTTCTAGTGTACTGTATAAAGGAAGATATGGGAATAACTTAAAGTTTTTAAAAAAGGTTTTTAAAAAGGATATATTTGGAAGGCTTTTCATAGTAGAGCTAAAGAATTACAGATTTGAATAGGCTCATTTTAATATCCTTTACTGTCTTTGGCAATCTGTGTATTAACAAGTCTTCTAGGTAATTTTGAAGTACACTGAAGTATGAGAAACACTCAGACAGATATCCCCTATTTAAATGCATACTCCTTCTTTTGTAATAGCATCTCTGCAATACTGACTTTTCACATCTAGATTACAGCCCTCTAGCAAAATAACTTTTTTTTTTTTTGAGATGCAGTCTCGTTCTGTCGCCAGACTGGAGTGCAATGCAGTGCAGTGCAGTGGTGCAATCTTGGCTCACTGCAACCTCTGCCTCCAGGGTTCAACTGATTCTCCTGCCTCAGCCTCCCAAGTAGCTGGGACTACAGGCACGTGCCACCATGCCCAGCTAATTTTTTTATATATATATATAATATATATAAAATATGTATATATTATATATATATTATATGTATATATAATATATATTTATATATATCTATATAAATATATATATACATATATACATATATATACACACATATATATATACATATATATACATATATATATATGTATATATATATATATTTAGAGATGGGGTTTCACCATGTTGGCCAGGATGGTCTTGATCTCTTGACCTTGTGATCTGCCCGCCTTGGCCTCCCAAAGTGCTGGGATTACAGGTGTGAGCCACCACACCTGGCCACAAAATAATATTTTTATAGAGAAATGCTATACTGTACCATACATGAATACTATATGGCAGTGCAATATTGTATTTGAATTTTGAATTTTGAATCCTGCTTGGTCATTGACTGTCTTTTCTGCATTGGAACAGACACTTAATATGTCTTATCTAGGCACACCTAATTTCATTGCACTTATCTTTATTGCACTTTGAAGATAGCTGGGTTTATTACAAAATAAAAGTTTGTGGCAACACTGCATTGAGCAAATCTATTGGCTCAGTTTTTCCATTAGAATCTTTGTTTTTGAGACTTTGTTACAGAGACTTTGTTTCTCTGTATCACATTCTGGCAATTCTTGAAATATTTCAGGCGTTTTCGTTATTATTACATCTGTTATGGCGATTTGCAGTCCATGATCTTTAATGTTACTATTGTAATTGTTTGGGGATATTATGAACCATGGCCATATAAGATGACAAACTTGGCTGGGTGTGGTGGCTCATGCCTATAATCTCAGCACTTTGGGAGGCCAATGTGGGTGGATCACCTGAGGTCAGGAGTTCAAGACCAGTCTGGCTAACATGGTGAAACCCATCTCTACTAAAAAGACAAAAATTAGCTGGGTGTGGTGGTGCACACCTGTAGTCCCAGCTACTCTGGAGGCTGAGGCAGGAGAATCACTTGAACCTGGGAGGTGGAGGTTGCAGTGAGCCGAGATCATACCACTGCACTCCAGCCTAGGTGACAGAGTGAGACTCTGTCTCAAAAACAAAACAAAAACAAAACAAACAAACAAACAAAAAAGATGACAAACTTAATGGAATAATGTTTGTGTTCTGACTGAACCACTGGCCAGCTGTTTCTCCATCTCTTTCCTTCTCTTTACTGCTCCATATTCCAAAAGACATGACAATATTAAAACAGGTCAATTAATTACCCTGCAATGGCCTCTAAATGTTTAGGTAAAAGTTGCATGTCTTTCACTTTAAATCAAAAAGTAGAAATGATTACTCTTAGTGAGAAAGACATGTCAAATGGTGAAAAAGACTGAAAGCTAGGGCTCTTGTGGCAAGCAGTTAGCCAAGTTGTGAATGGAAAGGAAACATTCTTGAAGGAAATTAAGATCACTACTCCAGTGAACACACAAATAATAAGAAAGCAAAACAGGCTTATTCCTGATATGGAGAGTGTTAGTGGTCTGTATAGAATATCATACCAGATACAACATTACCTTAAGCCAAAGCCAAATACAGAGAAAGGCCCTAACTCTTTTCAATTCTATGAAGGCTGAAAGAGGTGAGGAAGCTTCAGAAGGAAGATTTGAAGCTACCAGAAGTTGGCTCATAAGATTTAAGGAAAGAAAGCTGTCTCCATAGCATAAAAGTGCAAGGTGAAGCAGCAAGTGATGTAGAAGCTGCAGTAAGTTATCCAGAAGATCTAACTAAGATAACTGATGAAGGTGGCTACACCAAAGAAAAGATTTCCAATATAGATGAAACAGCCTTATATTTGAAGAAGATGTTATCTAGGACTTTCGTAACTAGAGAGGAAAAGTCGATGCCTGGCTCCAGTGCTTTAAAGGACAAGTTACTCTTTTGGTAGGGGCTAATGCAGCTGGTGACTTTAAGTTGAAAGCCAATGATCATTTACCATTTCAAAAATTCTAGGTCCCTAAAGAATTATGCTAAATCTACTCTGCCTGTGCTCTATAAATGGAATAACAAAGCCTGGATGAAAGCGCATCTATTTACAACAAGGTTTACTGAATATTGTAAGCCCACTGTTGAGACCTACTGCTGAGAAAAAAAGATGCCTTTCGAAATAGTACTACTCATTTATGATGCATCTAGTCACCCAAGAGCTGTGATAGAGATGTACAAGAAGATAAATGTTTTCATGTCTGCTAACATAGCATTTATTCCGAAGTCCATAGATCAAAAAGTAATTTTGACTTTTGAGTTTTATTTTATATAAAATAATATATTTACTTATATAAAATATAATCTTTAAGGCTCTAGCTGCTATAAATAGTGATCCTTCTGGTTGATCTGGGCAAAGTAAATTGCAAACCTTCGAGAAAAAATTCGCCAATCTAGATGCCATTAAGATCATTTATTAGAATTAAAAGTGGAGCCCGAAGTTATGACTAAGTTGCTGCAATCTCATGATCAGACTCAAATAGATGACGGGTTGTTTCTTATGAATAAACAAAGAACATGGATTCTTCAGATGGGATCTACTCTTGGTGAAGATGTGTTAAACATGGTTGAAATGACAACAAAGGATTTAGAGTATTACATAAACTTAGTTGATAAAGGAGCAGCAGGGTTTGAGAGGATTTATTTCAATTTGAAAAAAGTTCTACTGTGGGTAAAATGCTATCAAACAGCATCCCATATTAAAGACAAATCTTTCTTGAAAGGAATAGTCAATCAATGCAGCAAATTTCACTGTGGTCTTATGTTTAAAAGTTGCCACACCCAGTGCAACTTTCAGAAGCCACAACCCTGATTAGTCAGCATCCATCAATATCAAGACAAGATCCTCTATAAGTATACATACTAAAATTTACTGAAGGCTTATATAATCATTAGAATTTTTAGCAAAATATATTTTTAAATTAGGGTATATACAGTGTTATTAATGATATAATGCTATTGCTTACATAAAGGACTTCAGTATATGGTAAATTAATTTTTTATGCACTGAGGAACAAAATTTTGTGTGACTCACTTTTTTGCTATTTGCTTTACTATTGCTATTTATTTACAGAAGTGGTCTGGAGCAGAACTCAAAATGTTTCCAAGGTATTCCTGTACTCAGGTTTTCGAGATATAAAGTGAGATAATAATTGCATCTAACTCACAAGGTGATTATGAAACTTATGAGAATGTTATAATGTATTCAACTATTTTTTTTTTTGAGCTGCTATGGTATGTGTCTGGTATGGTGATAGAAGCCAGGAATACAGCAGTAAACAAGACATAGTCTTTTTTCTTAAGAAATTGTAGAGTATTCCAATATGTATAAGTACTCCTGGGTGGGAAGCTGTGGACATATCCATTTTAGTGTACATAGTATTTGGAAAGAATCAGACATAACTTCTCAGAGAGATGTTCTGTCGGGAGAAAGATACAACTAAAGTAGAAAAAAAAAATGATGGAAATGGATGGTGGGTGGAGCATTCTGGGTAGAAGAGATAACATTGGCAAAAACTTTGGAACCAAGAAAGAGCATTGACCATTAATGG
Source organism: Homo sapiens (assembly GCF_000001405.40). Lineage (NCBI taxonomy): Eukaryota > Metazoa > Chordata > Mammalia > Primates > Hominidae > Homo > Homo sapiens. The sequence continues at coordinate 62,328,576 of NC_000004.12, forward strand.
CTGCAAGTGATATAGTTTGATGTGCTAATGGAGGTAAAAGTGGAGTCCTCAGAGATGTGAATATGTAAATGCAAGTAGGGATTTATGCATCATAACTTGTGTAATGTGGAGTCAGTAGTGAGGAATTTTAAAAAGACTTTAGCACAATTAGATCCACATTTGGTAGAGATCATTTGCCTGCATTACGTAAGATGGGTAAGGATTCCATTTAGGTGACTGCTGTGATAATGTAGCCAACGGATAATAATGCACTCAACTAAAACAATGGCAATGAAGATGGCAAGAAGTAGAGATATTTGAGGTGTAAAGGATATAATCTCAATGTCATTTGGAAGACAATAGGATTTGACTGAAAAAAAATTAACATTAATTTCCCAGACCTTGTTAGCCTATGGTTACAAAAATTTTTAAATACTCAGATTATGATCGATTGAGCTCTGACTGTTCTAATTGTTGGCAATCCATCTTCCTCCAAGTTTCCATCATCTCAGAGGATTTTCTCAGGGAGCATTCTCTTATGTACTCAAGGTCAACTTCCTAAAGTTCTTCTGCTCTGTCCCTCTGTCATGCCACCCTATGGTGGACTGTTTTATGGACAATCTTAAAATCTTCATTTTAGGGTAGAGAGTTCCTCTGCTGGATTGGTGGTTGCAATCCCCATTCTGACCACACAGAAAGCCTTCTGCTCTATTATTTAGACCTCTGTTGCTGTATCAGATGCATGGAATGTCTGATTTGGGGACACTAATTCTATAAGGCACAACTCCAGCCAGGCCATAGCTTTTAAGAATACATTCCAGAAGGACTAGGGAACCAAAGGATCCAGGGAAAGATAACATAGAAATTGATATTCATCAATGTGTGGACCCCATCTCATACTATAACCCATTTTTTTATATTTATGTTTTTGAGATAGGGTCTTGCTCTGTTGCCCAGGCTGGAGTTCAGTGGCATGACTATGGTTCACTTTAACCTTGAACTCCTGGGCCCAAGCGAGCACCACATACAGCTAATTTGTAAAATTTCTGTAGAGATGGGGTCTCACTATATTGCCCAGCCTGGTCTTGAACCCCTGGGCTCAAGCAATCCTCCAGCTATGGCCTCCCAAAGTGCTGGAATTACATATGTGAGCTACCATGCCCAGCCTCATACTAGGACTCTTTACCTGGCTTCATTGCCCACTGTCCTTCATGTGGTTGGAAGTATCTGAACCCCCACACTGAAATTCTCCAGGATATTCACACACTGGAATCAGACTAAATCTCTTTTCAACTCTAGATAAAAAAGGAAGTTTACTTCTCACCCAAACTAAGGCTTGAACCCTAAGTCTTGACTTCTTTATGGAGCCTGAGTCATAGTGAGCATGTTCTTTCAGGAGAAAGCTCATCCCTATTCACAGTTTTATAATCTATTTTCATGGCCCCATCAAAACAACATGACATAATGGTAAAACATCAGTTTATTTCTCAGACTCAATGTTATTTGGTTTTAAACAGTACCATATAAAGAATAGGAACAGCCTTATCCTGTGGGCTGATAAAATATAGTCTAGTTTCTTTTTTGTCTCATTTCATCAAAGATTTAATAATCTTGGAGTAAAAACTCATTAGTAGTAAGCTTATTACTTAGCATATATAAGTGCCTTTGTAGACTATAAAACACAATACAAATATAATGCTATAATTTTTTGTGAAAGAATCAAGTCTAAATTATTTAGTACAGTTCAGTGAATCCTAAAAAAAAGTTGCTCCCTAGGGTATGATGATATAAAATCCTATATCTTGTTGTTTTATTCAATAATACATCAGAAATAAAAATAAAACAGAATTTATTTATGACAGCTTGACTCATTAAATCACCCAAATCCTGCCAGGTGTGGTGGCTTATGTCTGTAATCCCAGAGCTTTAGGAGGCTGAGGTGGGCAGATCACTTCAGGTCAGGAGTTCAAGACCAGCCTGACCAACATGGCGAAAACCTGTCTCTACTAAAACTACAAAAATTAGCCAGGCGTGGTGGTGAACACCTGTAATCCCAGCTACTCAGGAGGCTGAGGCAGAAGAATCACTTGAACCCGGGAGGCAGAGATTACAGTGAGCTGAGATTGCGCCACTGCACTCCAGCCTAAAAATCACCCAAATCCTAAGCAGACATGATTTATACTAGAATATATCTGACAACAAACTTTTAAAATGGTGAAATAAAAAGGAAATCATATTTTATTATACCTTTATCTGACTAATTTTTTCTTTTCTTTTTTGAGATGGAGTTTCACTCTGTCGCCCAGACTGGAGTGCAGTGGTGCGATCTCTGCTCACTGCAAGCTCTGCCTCCCAGGTTCAAGTGATTCTTGTGCCTCAGCCTCTCAAGTAGCTGAGGTAACAGGCATGTGCTACCATGCCCGGCTAATTTTTGTACTTTTAATACAGATGGGGTTTCACCATGTTGGTGAGGTTGGTCTTAAACTCCTGACCTTACATGATCCACTCCACTTGGCCTCCCAAACTGCTGGGATTACAGGCATGAGCCACCATGCCCAGCGCTTATCTGACTCACTTTTATTCATTGGTTCTTCTTTTAGAGACTGAGCAACATTATTTTCCTGAAGTTAAAACAAAAATTTACCTTGTGCATAAACTTTTATAAAAATTAACACTAAGGCTTGCCACTGCAAACTTTGTGGGACAGCCAAAAAACTGTGAGCACCAAAATCCACTTCTAAACACATGTCCTCACTGGGGAACCTGAAAATCCAGATCATGTGAGAAGGATTTAATCATACCTAGAGCTGAAACAAATTTAGAGAGCTGAGCAAAATAGAAAAGTAGAAGAAGCAGTGGGTAGAGTGCTGTAGGCACTCCTGGTCCCCAGGGAAGCCCAGGGAAGCCATTTCTGACTTTATTTCACAGTAGTCCTTGGGGAGGGCAGCCAGTGGAATTAGGGAAGGGCCACAGGGAGGAGACTTCCAGCTAAACTTTGTAATAATTCCAATCAAGCATGAATTTTCTTGGGCAGAATCTGGGTGAGTGAATGGGAAATGCAGGTATGACCACAGAAGCTGCAGCAGGCAGGGAAGATCAAGGCCTGAAAGTTCTGCTTGCTTTCTTAGCAGGGAGGCTTGTAGGAGCTCCATGGCCCTGCTTATCACTGAGAAACCTGAATACTTATCTAGGCAAACTTAGGGCAAGCTTGTGTTCCCCCTATACTACCACAGATGATGTTTTCTTGAAAGTACCATCTACTGGCTGGAGGCCAACCAACTTAAGCCATTACAGCAACTCATAACAGAACAACCATGCTCCAAGAAAGGAGAAAGCAACAGCTAATTCCACTGCCTGTAACAACCAGGCTAACCAGATGTCCCAAGTGTGTCCACATGATAACTTCACCGCCAGCATAACCAGCATTCAAGAAAACCAGTGCACTAAACAAAACTACAGCCAAGGACACTCACGGGGTGCACTTCACTCCCTGGTACCTCCAGTGGAGCAGGTGCTGGCATTCATGGCTGACAGACCTTAAGACGGATCACATCACAGGACACTTTGCAGACACTCCCCAGTACCAGCCTGGAGCCCAGTAGCTCCATTAGGTGGCTAGACCCAGAAGAGCAATAATAATCACTGCAATCCAGCTCTTAGGAAGCTCCGTCCCTACAAAAAGGGGGAGAGCACCACATCAAGGGAGCACCCCATGGGACAAAAAAATCTGAACAGAAGCCATTGAGCCACAGATCTTTCCTCTGACATAGTCTATCCAAATGAGAAGAAACCAGGAAAATATTTCTGGTAATATGACAAACAAGGTTCTATAACACCCGCAAAAGATCACACTAGCTCATCAGCAATGGATCCACACCAAGAAACAATCTCTGTATTGCCAGAAAAAGAATTCAAAAGGTCAATTATTAAGATACTCAAGGAGGCACCAGAGAAAGGTGAAAACCAACTTAAAAAAATTAAAAAATAATTTCTCCAGATAAATAGATATTATAAATAAAAAACAATCACAACTTCTGAAAATGAAAGACAAACTTAGAGATATGCAATACACCTGAAAGTTTCAACAATAGAATAGAAGGAGTAGAAGAATGAACTTCAGAGCTTGAAGACAAGGCTTTCAAATTAGCCCAATCTGAAAAAAGAGTAAGAGAAAGAATTTAAAAAATGAACAAAGACTTCAACAAGTTTAGGATTATGTTAAATGACCAAACATAAGAATAATTGGTGTTCCTGAGTAAGAAGAGAAATCTATAAGTTTGAAAATCTTATTTGAGGCAATAACAGAGGAATAATTCCCTGGCCTTGCTAGAGATCTAGACATTCAAATACAAGAAGTTCAAAGAACACCCAGGAAATTCATCACAACAAGATCATCATCTAGGCACATAGTCATCAGGTTGTCTAAAGTCAAGATGAAGGAAAGAATCTTAAAAGCCGTGAGGCAAAAGCATCAGGTAACCTATAAAGGAAAACTTACCAGATTAACAGAAGATTTCTCAGCAGAAGCCCTACAAGCTAGAATGGATTGGGATTCTATCTTTAGCCTCCTCAAACAAAATAATTATCAGCCAAGAATTTTGTATCCAGTGAAACTAAGCTTCATAAATGAAGGAAAAATAAAGTATTTTTTAGAAAAACACATGCTGAGAGAATTTGCCACTACCAAGCGAACACTACAAGAACTGCTAAAAGGAGTTCTAAATCTTGAAACAAAACCTTGAAATACACCAAAATAGAACCTCCTTAAGCATAAATCTCACAGGGACTACTAAACAGTAACATGATGAAAAAAAAAAAAACAAGTTATTCAGGGAAAAACTAGCATGATGAATAGAAGAGTACCTCACGTCTCAGTACTAACATGAAATGTAAATGGCCTTAATGCTTCACTTAAAAGATGCAGAATGACAGAATGGATAAGAATTCAGCAACCAAGTATCCGCTGCCTTCAAGAGACTCACCTAACACATAAGGACTCACATCACATAAACTCACATCACCTAATGTGTAAGGACTCACATCACATAAAAAAGACTCACAAACCAAAGAGACTCACATAACACATAAGGACTCACAACAAAAAGGACTCACATCACATAAGGACTCACAACACATAAAAAACTTAAGATAAAGGTGAAAAAAGACATTCCATGCAAATGGACACCAAAAGCAAGCAAGCTTAGCTATTCTTCTATCAGACAAAGCAGACTTTAAAGCAACTACAGTTAAAAAATACAAAGAGAGACGTTACATAATGATAAAAGGACTAGTCCAACAGGAAAATATTGCAATTCTAAATATATGTGCACCTAATACTAGAGCTCCCAAATTTGTAAAGCAATTACTACTGGACATAAGAAATGAGGTAGACAGCAGCACAATAATAGTGGGGGATTTCAATAGTCCACCGACAGCACTAGACAGGTCATCAGGACAGAAAGCTAAAAAAAAAGAAACCAAAAAAAATTTATCTATACCCTAGAACAAATGCACTTAACAGGTATTTGCAGAACATTCTACCCAACAACTGCAGAATATGTATTCTACTTATCAGCACATGGAACATTCTTTAACATAGACCATATAATAAGATACAAACAAGTCTCAATAAATTTAAGAAACTGAGATGATATCAAGTACTTTCTCAGACCACAGTGAAATAAAATTGGAAATCAACTCCAAAAGGATTCCTCAAAACCATGCAAATACATGGAAATTAAATCTGCACCTGAATGATCTTTGGGACAACAATGAAATCAAGATGAAAATTAAAAAAAAAATTGAACTGAATGATAGTAATGACACAACCTATCAAAACCTCTGGGATATAGCAAAAACAGTGCTAAGAGGAAAGTTCATTGCATTAAATGCCTACATCAAAAAGTCTGAAAGAGCACAATCTATGGTTACACTTCAAGGAACTAGAGAAACAAGAACAAACCAAACCCAAACTCTGCAGAAGAAAAGATATAACCAAGATCAGAGCAGAACTAAATGAAATTGAAGCAAAAATAAAAAAAAAAAAGATAAATGCAACCAAAAGCTAGTTCTTTGAAAAGATAAACAAAATTGATAGACCATTAGTGAGATTAACCAAGGAAAGAAGATCCAAATAAGTTCGATTAGAAACAAAATGGGAGCTATTACAACTGATATCACAGAAATACAAATGATCATTCAAGGCTATTATGAACACCCTTACACGCACACACTAGAAAACCTAGAGGAGATGGATAAACTCCTGGAAAGATATCCTCCCACATTAAACCAGCAAGAAATCCAAACTGTAACAGACCCATAACAAGCAGTGAGATTAAAATGATAATTAAAAAGTTGCCAACAAAATGAAGTCCGGGACCAGACTGATTCACAGCTGAATTCTATCAGAAACTCAAAGAAGAATTGTTACCAATCCTACTGAAACTATTCCAAAAAATAAAGAGGGAATCCTCCCCAAATCATTCCATGAAGCCAGTGTCACCCTAATACTAAACCTAGGAAAGGACATAACAAAAAAAGAAAACTACAGACCAATATTCATGATGAACACAGATGCAAAAATTCTCAACAAAATACTAGCAAACCAAATCCAAAGGCAAATAAAAAAGAGAACCTACCATGGATCAGATGGGTTCTATAACAAGCGTACATGGATGATTTAACATATGCAAGTCAATAAATATGATACACCACATAACATAACTGAAAACAAGAATTATAATCTCAATAGGTGATTACAAAAATCAACTCAAGATCGATTACAAAAATCAACTCAAGATGGATCACAAAAATCAACTCAAGATGGATCAAAGACTTAAATCTAAGACCTGAAACTATAAAAATTCTAGAAGATAACACTGGAAAAACTCTTCTAGACATTGGCTTAGGCAGTTTGTGACCTAAAACCGAGGCAAATGCAACAAAAACAAAGATAAATAGATGGAAGTTAAGCTAAAAAGCTTCTGCACAGCAAAAGAAATAATCAGCAGAGTAAACAGACAACCCACAGAGTGTGACAAAATATTCACAAACTATACATACAACAAAGGACTAATATTCAGAATCTATAAGAGACTCAAAAAACTAAAAAACTTCTGCACAGCAAAAGAAATAATCAGCAAAAGAATCGTCAACAGACAACCCACAGATTGTGACAAAATATTCACAAACTATGCATACAACAAAGGACTACTATACAGAATCCATAAGGGATTCAAACAAATCAGCATAAAAAAAAATCCCATCAAAAAGTGGGCTACGAACATGGATAGACAATTCTCACAAGAAGATATACAAATGGCCATCAAACATATGAAAAAATGCTCAACATCACTAATGGGGAAATGCAAGTCAAAATCACAATGCGATACCACCTTAGTTGTGCAAGATGGCCTTAATCAAAAAATCAAAAAATAATAGATGTTGGTGTGGGTGTGGTGAAAAGGGAACACTTTGACACTGCTGGTGGGAATGTAAACTAGTACATTCATTACAGAAAACAGCATGGAGATTTCATAAAGAACTAAAAGTAGAACTACAGTTTGATCCAGCAATTCCACTACTACCACTACTAATATCTATCTACCCAGAGGAAAAGAAGCCGTTTATTGAAAAAGACACTTGCACATGCATGTTAATAGCAGCACAATTCACAATTGTGAAAATATGGAACTAGCCCAAATGCCCATCAATCAACAAATGGATAAAGAAAATGTGATATATTTATACCATGGAATACTACTCAGCCATAAAAGGGAATGAAATAATGGTATCCACAGCAACCTGGATGAAGTTAGAGGCCATTATTCTATGTCAAGTAACTCAGGAATGGAAAACCAAACATCATATGTTTTCACTCATAAGTGGGAGCTAAGGTATGAGGATGCAAAGGTATAAGAATAATACAATGAATTTTGGGGACTTGGAGGGAAGGGTGGGAAGGGGCTGAGGGATAAAGAGCTACACGTTGGGTACAGTGTACATGGCTCCGGTGACAGGTGCACCAAAATCTCAGAAATCACCACTAAAGAACTTAGCCATGTAGCCAAACACCAACTGTTCCCTAAAACTATTGAAATAATAATAATAAAGAGAATGCACATTTGACAGCAAAAAAAAAGAAATTAAGAAGAGCATTTATTAAGGATCTACATACATATGTCATGGTCCTATAATCTGTACAATATAAGTCATATAGAAAACATTTCTAGCTCTAGAATCTGATAATTTAAGCTAAATAGTACGTATACATGCCAATAGAATCATTTCCATAGTTTGAATATTTTTCCCCTTCGAAACACATGTGGCATCCCCAATGTGGCAGTTTTGATAGGGGAGGCCTTTAAGAGATGATTGGGTCATGAAGACTCTGCTTTCATGAATGGATTAATTCATTCATGGTTTAATGGGCTAGGGTTTAATGGATTATCATTGGAGTGGGACTGGTAGCTTTGTAAAATAAGGAGAAAATACCTGAGCTAGCATACTCACCCCCCTCTTCATGTAATGTCCTGCACTGAGTTGAGACTCAGCAGAGTGTCCTCACCAGCAAGAAGGCCCTCACCATATATGGTCTCTTGACTTTTGTCCTTTTCACAACTTTAAGAAATTTCTTCATTAGTTAGCCAGTTTCAGGTATTTTGTTATAAGCAATAGAAAATGAAGACAATCATTTATTAAAAACACCCAGAAGAAAGAATAATACATTATTCATTAGATAAAGATAGTCAACAATTGAAAATGAATCTTAAGGAATCTTGGAGTGGGAAAGAAAAAAGAAATCCTTTATTTCATGTTCAAATGACAAAGTACTCTCTCTGCAGAATTCACAGGGTGTTTGAGACTTGGGGGTAATTTTCCACACCATAAAACAGTCCCACACCTCCATCCCCATCAGACTCATTTTCTCCAGAGAGCTTATGACATAAATTATCTCATTTAACCTTCAAAATCTACTTGGCTATCACTCCCCGGTAAGCAAAATCCCTTTCTTTGTTGGACCTTCTTGTCTTTCCCCTGTTAACTCTCAGCCCACTTAAATTATTTTCTGTCCCATTGAGGGTCTCACCTCTTCTGACACTCAGCACTATGCTCCGTGTTCAGTCACTTGGGTCCCTCTATTTCCATTGCTGATTGGAGACGTAACAGTTGGAAATGGCTTTCACCATGGTCTGGACTCAGAGTACAGCAAACAGTAGACACTCTGAGTTTTCTTGTTGCTCAGAAAATACCTACTTCCATGTTGCTTCTAAGGTATGATAAAATTTTTTTTTTATCCTTCCATTGTCATATGGTTAATGCCCCAGGAAAAGGGTAGAAAAGTAGACCAAAAACTGCCACCTCTTGCTCTTCAGTCTTTACCAACCCCTCTCTCAATAGTAGATTATTGGGGAACCTGCCCTGATATTCACATAGGTTCTTTTCTATTTTCCCTAAGCATCAGCCAGCTTGAGAAATAAAGGGACAGAGTACAAAAGAGAGAAATTTTAAAGCCGGGCATCTGGGGGAGACATCACATGTCGGTAGGTTCCATGATGCCCCAAAAGCCACAAAAGCCAGCGAGGTTTTATTAGGGATTTTCAAAAGGGGAGGGAGTGTGCGAATAGGTATGGGTCACAGACATCAAGTACTTTACAAGGTAATAGAATATCACAAGGCAAGTGGAGGCAGGGTGAGATCACAGGACCACAGGACCGGGGTGAAATTAAAATTGCTAATGAAGTTTCGGGCACCATTATCATTGATAACATCTTATCAGGAGACAGAGTTTTGAGATCAACCAGTCTGACAAAAATTTATTAGGTGGGAATTTCCTCTTCCTAATAAGCCTGGGAGCGCTATGGGAGACTGGAGTCTATTTCACCTCTGCAGTCTTGACCATAAGAGACAACCATGCCCAGGGGGGCCAGTTCAGACACCTACCCCAAAGTGTGCTTTCTCTTTCTCAGGGATGTTCCATGCTGAGAAAAAGAATTCAGTGATATTTCTCCAATTTGCTTTTGAAAGAAGAGAAATACGGCTCTGTTCTGCCCGGCTTACTGGCGGTCAGAGTTTAAGGTTATCTCTCTTATTCCCTCAACAATTGCTGTTATCCTGTTCTTTTTTCGAGGTGCCCACATTTCATATTGTTCAAACACACAAGCTGTATAATTTGTGCAATTATTACAGGGTCCTGAGGTGATACACATCCTCCTCAGCTGGCAGGATTAAGAGATTAAAGTAAAGACAGGCATAGGAAATCACAAGGGTATTGACTGGGGAAGTGATAAGTGTCCATGAAATCTTTACAATTTATGTTTAGAGACTGCAGTAAAGATAGGCATAAGAAATTATAAAAGTATTAATTTGGGGAACTAATAAATGTCCATGAAATCTTCACAATCCACGTTCTTCTGCCATGGCTTCAACCAGTCCCTCCGTTTGGGGTCCCTGACTTCCTGCAACAATAGATAAAAAAGAATTCACATGAATAACTGCATGCTACATAGCAGGGAGTTTCTAGTTTCCCTGTGCACCCAGATAGCTGCTTTTAGGTCGGCTGTCCGTGGGAAGTTGTCATTTACTGCCTGACTTTACAAATTGGTCATTTCTTCCTTTGAATATACTCCTCTTTCTACAATGGTCTCTTTTTAAATTATTTCTTCTCTGAGCTGCATTGATTTCATTCAAAGCCTCCTACCTGCTTCCTTGAATACTTCCTACCAAAGAGTGCTTTTTCCTGTCACAAGTTGGGATAGAAAATATTCCATTTCAATTCATGCTTGAGAGTACCTAAATCCTCTCACAGGAGTTTCTAGTTTCCTTACCGTTTTCTATATTAATATCTACCCCTCACTGTCTGCTGAACATGCCATAGTTATGGCCAAATTCTGAAGTGGCATAAATTCTTTTCTGGGTCAATTTGTGAATAACTATAAAGATATCTCTGTATACTGCCTTAGCATTCCTGGTTCTGGCTTCAGACTTTACATTATCTATTGGCAAAAATTCCAACTGGTCTAATATCAAATATAGATCTTCTTGCACTTGCTAGCTAAAAATCTGTTGTGACATCCAATGTTCTTATTAGAGTTTATGGTTCTATATCCACATGCATAGATTTTTTTTTCTGTTACATAACCAAAAGCAGATGTATTTGTTGGCACTTGCCCTGTGCACTTTAATGTTAAAAGAGTACCTTTCTCTGTTTCAGTCAAGACCCTTAATGCTGTAAATGACAAAATCCACATCAAATTTTGGTTAAGCAAAAAATAAATTTATTGGGTCTCATAACTAAAAATTGCAATGGTAGATCTGGCTTCAGAATTAAATGTTATTAGGATTCATTTTATCTTCTGTCATTTCTTGGTTTGCTTTTATCTTTTGGGTTCCAAGTGGTAACAAGATGACTGTATGAGCTCCAATTCGTACATAATCTCAGGCCTTACAGAAGGAGCAGGAATATCTTTTCTAGAAATTACAGCAAAATCCACTTTCATCTCCCAAACTCAGTTTTCCTTATATGTCTGTTTCTTCACCATCACAGTGGCCAGGCAAATACAATGCTCTAAATTTCCCAGTCTAAGTCATGCAGAATGAGAGATGGGCAGAACTCTGAGATAAACAAAATGGACTGAAAAAATTGAAAAGTTATCAGAAGGTGCTGCATGGCAAAAACAATGAATGTTTACTATAGTCCCTCTAACCTTGGTATGTGACAGGATCCAGGAAAGAAATGGGCTGCAAAAATGTAGGGACCAAATACAAAAAATTTGGCACCTAATTAAATTAAAAAGCTTCTACACGGCAAAATAAATAAACAACAGAATAAACGATTACTTACAGAATGGGAGAAAATATTTGCAAACTATGCATCTGACAGAGTACAAATATTCAGAATCTACAAGGAACTCAAACAACTCAACAAGAAGAAAACCAAGTAACCTAATTAAAAAGTGGGCAAAAGGCAGGGTGCGGTGGCTCATGCCTGTAATCCCAGCACTTTGGGAGGCCCAGGCGGGTGGATCATCTGAGGTCAGGAGTTCAAGACCAGCCTGGCCAAATGGTGAAACTCTGTCTCTAATAAAAATACAAAAATTAGCTGGGCGTGGTGGCCCATGCCTGTAGTCCCAGCTACTGGGGAGGCTGAGGCAGGAAAATCACTTGAACCCAGGAGGAGGAGGTTGCAGTGAGTCAAGATCGCGCCACTGCACTCCAGCCTGGGTGACAGAGCAAAGCTCCATTTCAAAAAAAAAAAAAAAAAGAAAAAAAAAAGTGGGCAAAGGATATGTAAAGACATTTTTCAAAAGAAGACATACAAGCAGGCAACAAATATACGAAAAAATACTCAACATCGCCACTAATCAGAGAAATGCAAATTAAAACCACAATGAGATATCATCTTGCACCAGTCAGAATGGCTATTATTAAAAGTCAAAAAAACACAGATGTTGGTGAGGATACAGAGAAAAGGAGACACATATAAACTAGTAAAATATAGAATATAAACTAGTAAAACCTCTATGGAAAGTGTATGGTGATTTCTCAAAGAACTAAAATAGCAATTTCATTCAACCCAGCAATTCCTCTGCTAGACATTCACCCAAAGAAAAAGAAATCATTATGTAGGTTGGGTGCAGTGGCTCATGCTTGTCATCTCAGCACTTTGGGAGGCCCAGGTGGGATGACTGCCAGAGCCCATGACTTTGAGACCAGCCTGAGAAACACAGCAGGACCCCATCTCTTCAAAAAGTTAAAAAATTAGTCAAGTGTGGTGGTGCACACCTGTGATGCCAGCTACTTGGGAGGCTCAGGTGTGAGGCTTGCTTGTGCCCAGGAATTCAAGTCTTCAGTGACCTATGATTGTGCCACTGCACTCCAGCCTGGATGACAGAGCAAGACCTTGTCTCAAGAAAAAAAAAAAAGGAAAAAATTATTATATAAAAAAGACACCTGCACCTGTATGTTTATCACAGTACTATTCACAATAGTGAAGTTTTGGAATCAACCTAAGCACCCATCAATGGATGATGGATAAAGAAAATACGGTATATATACAACATGGAATACTATGCAGCCATAAAAAACAATGAAATTATGTCTTTTGTAGCAACATGGATAGAGCTAGAAGCCAGTATCCTAAGCCAGTATACATGGACATACAGAGGAGAATAATAGACACTGGGGACAACAAAAGTGGGGAAGGTGGGAAGGAGTGAGGGCTGAAAAACTATCTCTTGGGTACAATGTTCATGATTTGGCTTATGGGTACACTAAAAATTTAGACTTCATCACTAGGATATATATTAATGCAACAAAAACTGTGCTTGTACCCTCTGAATCCATTTTTTTTAAGTTGGCATCATAGGAAATATTTAGCAGGAATTTGAAAAGAAGACCTGTTGGCATATTATGGTAATTAAGATTCTGGATATTAAGATTTTGAGAAAGTGAAAATACAGTAGGATGTTATTGGGTATGCAATACATGATATAATACATATGTATATATATTAGCTGTATTATTATCAATAACTTTCCCTGTTTCCGAGGCTTTCATTTTCACTATTTTTAAATTTTCTCCTCATTTATCTGTAACTGATTTCTCCTGTTACCTTTATTATTCTATTCGGTTTGGGTTTATTTTCTTATTTTCAATTTTTAAATTGGAAGATTAGAATATTGATTTTACACCTTATTTTTCTAATAGGAGTATATAAAGCTGTATATTTACATTTGGTACTTCAATAGCTGCATTTTTTATATGTGGTGTTTTAAGTACCATTCAATTTGAAAAAAAATTTTGCTTGGGATTTCTTCTTTGACTTATGAATAATTTAGCAGTGTATTATTTAATTTTAAAACATGGGAATGTTTTGGTATTTGATTGATATTGATTTTTGAATTTGTTTTGGTTATGATCATAGTTCATACTATGTATATTCTCAGTATTTTGAAATTTATTGAGACTCATTTTATGACTCATTATATTGTTTATCTTGATGAGTAATACACTTGTAGGTAAAAAAAAATGAGTAAATGTTCACACTGTAGTTGTGGGGTGAAGTATTCCATAATATCAACTAAATCAATTTGGTTGATGATTTTTTACTGATATTTTAGTCTAGTTGCTCTACATATTATTAAAATATGACATTAATACCTCCAAATAGGATTTTATATTTTTGTATTTCTTTCTTTAGTTCTGTTAGTTTTTGTTTCACGAAGTTCTGTTATTTAGGCCCATTAAGTTAAAAGGTTATATTTTCCTTATAATAGTGTCATTTTATAGTTTGAAATATGCTTATGTATCTCTGTAAATACTCCCTTGTCTTAAAGTGCATTATGTCTGATATAAATTTATCTAAACAGTTAGGATAGTATATCTTTTTCTGTATTTTTTGTTTTCCCACATCATTATCTCAAATTTTGAATGTATTTATTGTGAATAGAATGCAGTTGGGTCTCAGTATTGTATCCAGTCTGATAATCTCTATCTTATAATTACAGTGTTTAGTACATTTACGCTTAAAGCAATTATTGATAGGGTTTGATTTAGATCTACAATCTTGGTATTTGATTTCTATTTGTCCCATATTGTACAATTTTAGTTCTGCTGTTGTTTGTTTGTTTGTTTCTTTCTTTCTTTCTTTCTTTCTTTCTTTCTGAGTATTCCATTTTAACTCTTCTGAAAGCTTTATAACTGTAATTTTTTTCTAGTGGTTGCTCTAGTTATTTCAATATGCATCATTAACATACTATGGTTTCCTTAGAGTTAATATTGCACCACTTCACATAAAATGTAAGAACCTTATATAGCTCCATTTGTGCATCTCTAAATTTTTGTTATTTTTGCCATACATTTTACCTTTGTATGCATTATAACCATCATAAGATAATGTTATCAGTTTTGCTTTAAACAGTGTCTTTTAAGGAAATTAACATAAGAAAACTATTTTTATAATCACATATTTATTATTTTATAAGATTTGAGTTTCATTTGAAAAACTTTCCATTAGCATTTATTGTAGTTCATTTAGTTCTGGTATAGTAGTAACATATTTTTTCATTTTTTGTTTATCTCAAGATGTTTTAATTTCAGCATCATTTTTATACGATGTAGAATTCTGTATTTACACACTTTAAACAGGTCTTTCTATTGTTTTGATGAAGCATCAGTCAAATATTATATACAATGTGTCTTTCTCCCCTTTCTTCTTTTGTTTTCTGGCTGTTTTAACATAGGTTTGCATATGATACACCTAAATGTTGTTTTCTTCTTATTAGGTTTTTAGATCTGTAGCTTGAAATTTTTTAAAAAGATTTCAGAAAATTTGGGCAATTATGTTTTCCCCCTCCAGATAATGTTTTTATTTCCAATGTACTTTAGTCACTTTTTTAGGGATGCAAATTATATGTATGTTGGATCAATTGAGATTTTCCTACAAGATACTAAATACCTATTTATTTGTTCCTATCTTTTTACTCCCTGTCTTTTAATAATGGAATAGTTTCTATTGTTCTGTTTTCACATTAACTGACCACTCATTTTATAGTTTTCAGTATGCTGTTAAACCTATCTAATGCAGTTTTTCATATCAAATAAAGTACTTTCTTTTTTATATATTAATATTTTCATGTGGTTCTTTTAACATTTTTCATATCATTGCTGAGATTCTCTATTTAGATGTTTTTCTTTTCCTTTGCATTCTTACTCATAATTATACTTACTGTTCAAACTCTTTGTCTACCAGTTCTAATATTTGTGTCTTTTTCTGATAGATTTCTTTTGGCCACTTTTTTCTCTCTTGATTGTTTTACATTTTCATGCTTCTTTGCTTTTAGTGAATGTTTTAATTATATGGATATTGTCAATGTTATGCTATTGAGTTTTGCTTAACTAGTCTTCTTTTATGGGTATTGAATATGGTTCCAGAAAGCAGTTAAATTACTGGGAGATCCCTTGATATCACCAGACTTGGCCCTGTTCTTTGTAAATGATAGTTTCATTTTTGTTCTTAGTCCTAAAATGTGCCCTTTCATGTAGTAAGCATTTCTCGTTACTGATCTGTGAATTCTCTGGGGTGTCACTGAAAGTGCTAGGTGCTCAGGGAATTCTCTCTACTCTGGCTGGGCCAGAACTTCGCTGCTTCTCAGCACTGCATGACCTATGCTATCTCGGTTCAACTCTCACTCAAGCAATAGCTGCTCTTACTTAGTCCTCAAAGAATGTTTCCTGCAGATGAACAGCTAAGCTCTTGACAAATGACCTGTAGGAAACCCTCAAAGATTTTGATGTCCACTTCTCTGTTACATTTCGACTGCTGTGAAACCAATTACCACAAATTTAGCAGCTTAAAATAACATCCATTTATTAAGTGACAGCTCTGAAGCTCAGAGGACAAGGCATAGAGTAGCTGGTCCTCACCTCGGCTTCTTAAAAGGCTAAAATCAAAGTTTTGACAGGGCTATGTTCCCTTCTGGAAGCTCTGGGGAAAGAATACTTCCAGGCTTAATCAGGGTATTGATAGACTTCAGCTTCTTGAGACTAGAGCACTGACGTCACTATTTCCTTGCTGGCTGTCAGCCAGTGGCTACATTCAGCTCCTAGAAGTTACCTGCATTCCTTGCCATGTGACCTCAACAGGCAGTTAACAACATGGCTGGAAAGAATATCCTCTGCAACTATTTGGAGAAGACAAAAGGACGCACCTAATCAGGTTAGGCTCATCCTGAATAATCTATCTTATTCGAAGTCAACTGTGCCATACAACATAACCTAATCATGGGAGTAAAATTCATCATATTCAAAGTCCTGGGATGTATACTGTTGTGTACACCAGGGTACAGGGTCTCAGGGGCCATTATATAATTTTTCTTACCACATCCTGTATGTAACTCACTTCTCTCTGGTACCTTACCCTAAAAATATAGCCTCTTCTATTACTGAAATTGATATCTGCCTTCTTAGCTCAGTGAGAATAAGGTTCTCTGCTTAAATTCTATCTCCCTACATAGTGTTGTGGGGAGTGTCCCTAGGCAGACAGTTGATGTGAATATAAGGCCTACCTCATGTGTTTTTCTTCCCGCAAAGACCACAGTGTTGTTTTATCCAATGCTTGAAAACAGTTGACTTATGACTGTTGTACAGCTTTCTAGTTGTTTACTTCAGAAGGGCAAGTCTAATTCCAGTTATTCCATCATAACTTGAAAAACAATGGGAAATACTTTTCTAAAGAGATAAGTCATGCAAATATCTGAGAAAAAGTATACTAGGAATAGATAACAAGTGCATCCTTCTTACACTATTATCAAATATGTTATTCACACTATATATAAAAGCCCACAGTTACAGGAGATATATTTTGGGGGAATGCAATTTATGTGAGGAAGCTTATTTATTTATTTATTTATTTATTTATTTATTCATTATGTAGTCTTAGTGGGCATAGAAAACAAGAGATATTTTTGTAAATAGAGAGCCTATATACAAAATCAGATAGAACACAAATATCCTTCCTTTGTTATTTGCATATACTGCCAAGGTAATCCACCCAATCCTATGGCTTACACATTGTCCCATGCTCAAACGTAGGACACTCTGAAATATATTTCTTCAACCTTGATTTCCCACTTTTAGGCCAATATATCTGATCCTCTATTCAACATATTATTAACATATTAGGCAAATTAAAACTAATGTGTCTGAAATCAAATTTGTCCCCACTCATCCAATGAAATAACTTATTTTCCCTAAGTCTTCCTTATCATAGTGAATGACAATTTTTATTCTTTCTATTGCTGAGGCTAAAAGCAAGGGGAAATCCTTGACTTCTCTCTTTCACAACTATATCACGATGATATTCAAATCTTATTACTTTTTACTTTTAATCTTGAATCCTACCAAACAGTGAAATTTGTTGGCTCTACTTCAAAATATGCTCCAAATTTTACCACTTATTACCTCCAGAACTGCAACTCTGAAGCAAGGTCACCAAAATCTATCACCTTGATTATTGCAATTGATTCCAAACTGTTTATATTCTTGTCCCCAGCCCCAGTAGACCCTTCTTACAGCAATCAGATGATTCCTTTAAAATATGAGTTGTAATCTCCCCAGCCAAAACTCTCCTATGTTCCCCAAACATGCCTAGGAAAAAAGAGGAAATCCTTAGTAAGGTTCATACCGACTTATGTGATTAGCTCCTTGCTACTTTTCTAACTGTATCCTCAACCACTATTTATGGTAGCACACTGATCTACTTACTGTTACATGAACAAATCAAACATCCCATCATAGGATCTTTACAATTGATATTTATTTTCTGGAAAATTCTTACCTCAAAATCCACGTGGTTCTTTCCCCCATATCACTATGGTTACTGCTCAGATGTCACCTGCACAAAGAAATCTATCATGACCATCCTATCAAAGTAGCAATCCCCTCATTGTGCTTTATTTTTCTCCTAGCATTCATCACTTTTGACATTATATTAAACATCATCAGTTTATTATACTCCTCCTCCACTACCATGTAAGTTAGATGGAGCCAGGAGTCTTGTCTGCCTTGCTTGATGTTGCATCCCCAGCAACTTTGATGTAGAAAGTAATCTCAATTTATCAGAGAGTAAATTGCCTGAGTTTTAATGGTCACAAAACTGAGAAGATACAGTTTTGAAACAGAAAAACATTTAGTCATTCATGCCCTTTTTACTGACTGTCTACTGTCAACAAGACAGCGTTAAAGAGCAGGTGATCGAACCTGATTTTCAAGTAAAGAGACATTTAACAAAGAATTTGTAGACATTGTAGATATGTCTCATATCTCATAGAAAGAGCATACAAAGTTGTTATATTTTGTTTAGCATAATAGATATAGATGATTAGTGCTATATGTTTTGTGAAAATGGTGGCTTCAGGATTTTTTAAGACCTGTGTTAGAAATATTCTCAAGGGTTTTTCAGCAACCATTACCTATCAGGGAATAGCTGCTCTCCAATACATACTTTTATTTTTTTCTTTATTGATAAACTTTCAAAATTATTATCACCATCAAATACAGATAGCTACATCTTATTCTTTATATAACAAAATATTGACCCCATGATAGAGCATAAGATACAAGACAGATTTTGAATCTCCATAGACTGCATTATCTCTTAAAGGGAGCTTCCTATTTATAAGATTGGGTCTTAGGTGGCAAGTAGGCCAATAAAGCATATTTATTATTCTTGCTTTTGTTAGTATTGTTGCATTTTTCTCCTTTCCCAAATGAAACATTTCACAAAGTTTATTGTATGTGCTAATTAGATTAGCAATTATCCATTAAGTTGGATTTCAAAGTACCAATCACATTTTATATCTTAATTTGTTACTTTGTCACTAATTAGAATAGCAATTTTTCTAATGGATTAAGTGTAAATTATAACAATTCAGTCCAATTTTTAAAAAGTCTACATATATTTAAGTAATTGAAATAGTAATCATTAGCTTATATTTGAATTTAATATATCACGTTAGTAAAGAGTCATATGACAGTTCAAGTCTGTGTAAAATATGGGAAAAATTATTAGAAAAAAACTAGAGTTAATCATTTCAGTATTGTCCAATTTTATCCCGGTTTGAGTTAAGAGATGAGTGACATATTATCTAATCATGCTTTTCAAGACAGATAAACTAAGTTCTCTGATAAGAACAACAACAACAACAAAACAGAACATAAAATACAATATATTAAAATATCCAAAGTACACTTTTTATGAATGAGCCTTTCATCTGGGAGTAGCTGATTAGTATACCTTCTGGTGCAGTAGTAGCCAAGATGCATGGACTAGATCAGAGACAAATAAATTAAATTTCAATTTTAAAATTTCTGATGAGTTTTGACATCTGAACTTTCAAAATTGTTCAAAGATTTATTTCTTTTTGCTGACTTTTAACAAATATTTTCTGAACAATTCTATTGACAGATGTTTTCTTACTATCATATTAGAGATACATCGAAGACATATAAAATGTTAGCAGTATGATACCATAAATGTACATCTGAAACTGCCTTTGCTAAATTATGACAGTAAGAGAAATCTGACCATTGACTCCCTATCTTGCTTCTAACCTCCAAGCTTTCCTTGGTCATCCTCAGCGTAGGCCATGCTACTTTGGGAGGAATTTAGTTTATAGTTTAATTTTAAAACAAAAATAATAATAGTCCCTCTGTACAATTAATTGCCTCACTGGATATTGAAATTGCCTTTGTAAGACTAATGAGAGGTCACAGGCTAGATTTAGTTTCTACAGTCCCTTACTAGGCAGGGGTAATGGGGCCAGAGGTCACAAGATTTGTGACTTTCTCAATTGCTCCTATGGATAACATCTAGGATTGGGTTTTTTTTTTTTTTTAGATGTTTTCAGACTGACCCACCCAAACTCATGACTCAACTAATCTGTTACCCCACCCAGAGGCAGACTCAGCAGCACAGGGACCATTTTTCACAACTTCTATGATTTCAGCCCCAACCAGTCAGTGGCACCCATACCCTAGACTCTGTCCACCAAATTGTCTGTAAAAACCCTAACCTCCAGGCATTCCAGGAAACTGATTTCAGTGATAACTCCAGTTCTTCTGCATGGCCAATCTCAAGTCGATTAAACTCTCTCTACTGCAATACCACTGTCTCAGCGAACTGATTTCATTTGTGCAGCAGGTAGGAAGAATCTGTCAGGCCATAACATATTTATTGGATAGACAATAGCCTATAAAATGACTATAAACGCTTGACTACATTAATGCCTTCCTACATTTACTACATTAACATTAATATTCTTTTGTTTATTTACTATATTTAATGATTATTTTAGTCAGGCACAAGATGCTGTATTGTTTAGGACAGTTCCCTAGTCTTAGGCTAAATAGGAATACCAGTAGAAAAAAATATAGCCTTTGTCAATTATAAACTTGCATAAATCCTGAAATTGCACTCTGCCCCACTATACTATTATTATATAACTCACTCTGGTTCTTTGCTCTTAGTTATGACCCCAGGATGGTAAAAGCTGATGTACATTTACAAATTAGTAAATACAGATATTTTAAGATACTGATAATTAAAAAACAGACCCATCAACCAATTAGGATAACAAATGTATTACTCTCTGTTCTCCAAACATCAAATGAAATATTACAATAAACAAGTTACAATTAACATTGTAAATATGTTAATGATCAAACTCTTGGCAAACAAACTAGTGAATACTTGCTTATGAAAGAGTCCATATCTATGGAATGCTTTTAGCAAGTTGTCTACAGTAGGTTCATGGTAAACAAATAGAAATCTTTGTATTTATGGGGCAGCTTTCTGGAAATGTCTCAGAAGCTATGTAACTATATGAATAGAAAGTGGAGATGTTTCTTGGCCCAGGCAACTTTCCTCTGTGTAAGTGATGTAGTTACTTATATTATACCAGACCTTTCCTTGTTTGTCTATGCTTGTGATTATTTATAGCATCTAAATGATTACTAAAGCTATCAGACTTGGTTAGATCTCTGATTCATATGATTGAGATTTGACAATCTGATCCTTTGTGTTATCATAGTATATGTTTAATATGTTAGGTTAACTACATGGCAGACTAAGTATTTTTAAACAGTCACATGATTGGGTGAAAAATATGTCACAGCCACTTAAAGTAGCTATCATTCAGGAATATGCGAAGAATGTATGATCTTCATCCTTGCAACAAATATTCCTAAAACTTAACTCTTTGTTTAAGAATCCAACAGTTAGTGCATTCTAAAGGTCTTTTGTCTATTAAGCCCAAGTATAAACCAATCCAATTTTTAGTAGGATTTTAGGAAGATAAGTTATGACACAAAAGCCATTAACCTATTCTGTACAGAGGGTAAGAGAGAGGGAATGAAAAATCAAATCAGGAGGTTAATTTTTACTCATCTATTTCAAAGCTATAGTAACATATCCTCCATTTACTTTAGGTTTTGATCTTCTCTTTAAATTCTCTTTTATTATTTATATCCTCCAAGTTTTTCCTCTCACCTTAAGCCATATGACTCTGTGTTCTCTTAATTATAATCATCTGCTTTTGTATGGATCTTTCTGGTTATGTTTATGCTTATACAAATATAAATGCATCACATGAAAACTTTCACATTTCTTTCTAGATTTCTTTTTTTTCTAAGTCCAGAAAGTGCCATTCTATTAAGCAAATTGCCCTTTTCTTTTTAACAAATTATATTTACTGTCATTAAAAATGAGCTCTTAAAAAAAAAGGGCTTACTATTCAGAGAGAAATTTCTTTCAGAATTCAGATTTTGATGAAGAGAAATTCTTAAAAATTATAACCTTACTACTTTTCAATCTCTCTCTTTCTCTTTTTCTTTTACCCCTGCTCAGTTCTCCCCTATATAAAAATGACTTATCTGATAGGTAAAATTGGGGAAAACTCACAAGCCTCCTATGGAACATAAGTTAGCTGCTAGTTCATGCTCTAAATCTTCCCATGTCATCTACAGTGCCCTCATGGGGAAGTTTGTCTGAGATCAGTTAGCCAAGGGTGGAGTCACTTTATGTCTGTTTCATGCTGAGGTTCACTGTGGGATTGAATATTTCACTTTCAATAATCATTACATTCCTGGAAAGATCTCAATGAATCATGTTTTTTTTTTTGACTTATCAATGCACAATTAGGTCATTTTTAAATTTCTATGTTTACAGTAAGTTTGTAACAAACATATTTGTAGCTACTTTTTCATATATTTCTGTGTTTTATGTCTCTAGACCAAATTTCTAAAATTGAATTTGCTTATACAAAGACTTCTGCATATTTAAAATTTTTATAGGTATTTTCAAGGCACTGTCAATAATTTTCACTAATTTATACTCACAACAATAATGTAAAAAAAGATTTTTCTACTGTAACATCTGAAAAGCTATTTATATTTTTATTCATTTTATTTTCATGAGGTTGAGCAAAATCTTATATATTTATCCTGTGTCTATTTTTCTGCAAATTTTACATTTATGCCCGATAACCTATTTTTCTTTTCTTTTTTTTTTCGAGACACAGTCTCACTCTGTCGCCCAGGCTGGAGTGCAATGATGTGATCTTGGCTCACTTCAACTTCTGCCTCCTGGGTTCAAGTGATTCTCCTGCCTCAGCCTCCTGAGTAGCTGGGATTACAGGCGCCTGCCACCACACCTGGCTAATTTTTGTATTTTTAGTAGAGACGGGGTTTCACCAGGTTGGTCAGGCTGGTCTTGAACTCCTGACCTCATGATCCGCCCGTCTTGGCCTCCCAAAGTGTTGGGATTACAGGTGTGAGCCACGGCGCCTGGCAGGTTTTTCTATTTTTTTTTTTAATA
The DNA here is from genome assembly GCF_000001405.40 of Homo sapiens. NCBI lineage: Eukaryota > Metazoa > Chordata > Mammalia > Primates > Hominidae > Homo > Homo sapiens. The sequence goes on from NC_000004.12 coordinate 62,351,929, forward strand.
TCTTTGCAAGAGATTCTTTTATGTTAACAAAATGTGTTCTTTTTTAATCATATGTGTTACAAATGATATTTTGTTGTTTATTTGTGACTTGCTATACTCCGTGTATCTTTAACACGCATATGTTTTGAAATTTTATGTAGTTAAATTTCTTATTGTTTTTTTCTTTATGGCTTCAGCATGTCAGGTTTAGAAACTCCTTTTTTGACTTCAAAGTTATACAATACTTTTTTTTTAACTTCCACAATTTTCTCCACATTAAACAGTAAAGTGGGGTGGTATGATTAGACTGGCTATTTTCATATTTTCCTTTCTATAAAAGTTGAATCACGTTTGAGGTTGGAGCAGAAATAGTAGTAAATGAAGAAAGGTAAGCCACCTTGAACTCCTAAAAAAGCAAAAAAAAAAAAACAAAAAAAACAAATGCAGAACAATATATGCATAAACAAACAAATGAAAAACATGGAAAAACATAGGGGTCAGAAGCATCTGTGGTACCTGTAATATGGAAGAGTTGATAAGTCTCTCTAAAAAAGGATGTTTTGGCCGGGTGCAGTGTCTCATGCCTGTAATCCCAGCACTTTGGGAGGCTGAGACAGGGAAATCACCTGAGGTAAGGAGTTCGAGACCAGCCTGACCAACATGGGGAAATCCCATCTCTACTAAAACTACAAAATTAGCTGAATGTGGTAGCGGACTCCTGTAACCCCAGCTACTCAGGAGGCTGAGTCAGGAGGATCACTCGAACCCAGGAGGCAGAGGTTGTAGTGAACTGAGATCGGACCACTGCATTCCAGCCTGCGTGACAAGAGTGAAACTCCATCTCAAAAAAAAAAAAAGTATGATTCAAAAGATTACGGTTTCTTGCTATATAAGGCAGCTACAGAAGGAAAAGGCTCATAAAAGTGGTGTTTTCCTTACTACTGAATGATTGAAAGATTGCATCTATTTTAATTTCAATTTGCTTCAATTTCTACCATGGCTTTAAATATATCTACTTTATTTCAGCTCACTTACCAATAATTCAGACTTATACAGGAATAGGTATTATCAGCTATTACCTGATAATAAGCAAATATAATAAATGTTATTTTCAATATGCAATATTAAAGTCTAATTTGTAATCTACCATTGTAACTCTAAGTAGGAATTAGAGTAAAAATGAATTCTAATTTAAAAATTTTAATGAGTTTAATACCTTGTATATGTTGAATGTTAATAATTATAGTAATAACTTACACTAAAATGTATAATTTTATAATCAGGACTTTGCATTCATTGGATTAAATACAAAAACATAAAATATTCAACACTGAAAATATTATCGGAAAATTTGTATGACTTTGTTGAGTGAGTAGAAGAAATAATGGAAAAAACAAAAGCAACTTAGGAAAAGTAGACGTATTTAACTACCTAAGTCTAGTTATATTATCTCATGCTATTCTATTTAGGTATGGGAAACAATTCCCATAGAATGTTATGGAGCAAGTAATTGAAGAATAAATATTTAAAATCTATGTAATAGTTAAAGATCTAATGTCCCTAGTTGTTCAGAGAATGCCTCAAAGTACTAAGAAAAAGATAAATCCGGCCGGGCGCGGTGGCTCATGCCTGTAATCCCAGCACTTGGGGAGGCAGAGGCGGGCGGATCACCAGGTCAGGAGATCGAGACCATCCTGGCTAACACAGTGAAACCCCGTCTCTACTAAAAATACAAAAAATTAGCCGGGCGTGGTGGCGGGCGCCTGTAGTCCCAGCTACTTGGGAGGCTGAGGCAGGAGAATGGCCTGAACCCGGGAGGCAGAGCTTGCAGTGAGCAGAGATTGTGCCACTGCACTCCAGCCTAGGTGACAGAGCGAGACTCCGTCTCAAAAAAAAAGAAAAAGATAAATCCATTTCCCAGTTGGAAAAAGATTTCAGTAATCAATTTAAATTTGAGGAAAATCTATAGCCAAAAATACGTGTCAGGAATCTAACCAATTTTTAAATAATTTCTGTATCAATGAGACATATTTTATTTTATCTACCCATCATTTTGAATACCAATAGAAATACAACCTTCATTTTTGGTGGCAATTTGAGTAAATGAACACTCTTGTACACTGCTAATAGAAATAATTATTGCTATAGCTTTTATGGAATGTAAATTGCCTTTAACATTAAAAAAAGACCTATCACCTTATAATTTTTTCCATAAATCTTACTTTTATGAATCTTTCATAGAGAAGTAAAGAGAACATACATGAATACAGGTTAGATTGATTTATAGAGAGAAAAGAGAGAGAGAAATGGAGATACATATATGAATATATATATATATACAGAACTATAGCTATGTATCAAGAGATAAATGGCATACAGATGCATATTGCAGCATTAGTTTACTGAAACAATATTGGTAAACATTTTAATGTCTGTCAGTATTCATCATTAGAGTGGTATAAAAATCTTACATAATGTTATGAAGCTATTACAAAAAAAAGGTACTTCAATATTATATACTGTAAATTTTTTAACAAAGCAAGCAACCAACAAGTTAAGAATAATTTAAAGTATATGATTACATTTTGATAAAAATAGCAACATTCCTTAAATGTTTATGTGTGTGTGTGTGTGTATTAGTGGTAAGGAAAAAACATATCAGACTAATAACATTTGTTAAACGATAAGTGGGCAGTGTCATGCGCGTCGCTGTGAAGAGAGTCCACCAACAGGCTTTGTGTGAGCAACAAGGCTGTTTATTTCACCTGGGTGCAGGTGGGCTGAGTCCGAAAAAGGAGTCAGCAAAGGGTGATGGGATTATCATTAGTTCTCATAGGTTTAGGATGGGCGTACAAAGTACCTTCTTAAGGGCGGGGAAGAATATATCGTATCAGTTAGGGTGGGTCAGGAACAAATCACAGTGGTGGAATGTCATCAGTTAAGGCTATTTTCACTTCTTTTGTGGATCTTCAGTTGCTTCAGGACATCTGGATGTACACATGCTGGTCACAGGGGATATGATGGCTTAGTTTGGGCTCAGAGGCCTGACAGGCAAGGGGTTCAGGAGTGGGAATTCTAGACCAACTTCTTACTTTGCTTTGCTTGAAAGTTTACAGAGAATAGATTCCACCATTGTAGATTTTGGTAAGAAACATAATGTATGAAATGTGGAAAGAAAGATAAGTCAACATAATTGGAATAAAAATAAATTAGAAATAAATAAGAAAGTTTTCCCCCTCTGCCTCCCTCCCTCCCTCCATTTCCTCTCCTCTCCTCTCCCTTCCCCTCCTCTCCTCTCCTCTCCCTTCCCTTCCCCTCCCCTCCCCTCCCCTCCCCTCCTCTCCTCTCCTCTCCTTTCCTCTTTTCTTTCTTTTCTTTTCTTTCTCCGAGGCTGGAGTACACTGCAGTGGCATCATAGCTCACTGCAGCCTCAAACTCCTGGGCTCAAGCAATCTTCCCTCCTCAGCCTCCCAAATAGTTGAGACTGTGGTGCACGCCACTACACTTGCTAATTTTTAAATTTTTTATAGAGTCGGAGTCTAGCTTTGTTGCTGAAGCTGGTCTTGAACTCCTAGACTCAAGCAATCCTTCTGTCTCAGCCTCACAATATGGCAGGATTATAGGCATAAGCCACTGTGCCCAGCCTTAAGAAGTTTTTGAATAAATTGTTATTATTATTACAAACAAATTGTTTTGGGTCTCTAACTTTAAACCTCCTATTTTTATTTTTAAAATTTACTTTAGAAGTAATAGGAAGAAGTTTATAAATATGAAAAAGATAATTCCATCATAAATGGGTCATTTCCACTAAACATTTGTGTGAAAATTTAAGAAGATAGGCTGCTACTGTAAAATACGACAAAAATGTGTTTAAGTTACATTGTATTTTTCTTCTATCTATGCTAGAATACATTCATCCTTATATTAGCTCCCAAGTTGAACTTAAAATATCTGGATGAAGGATTAATAATGTAATCTTTGCTTAGTTCGATTCAAACAAATTAGGTAATAATGAAGTATTTGAATCCATTATCATTTTGAACTATGTGTTTTTCTCAATTAGGAGGAATTAAAATGAAATCTTGCAATTTGTTAAAGTTTTTAAAAATTTATGTCTAGATCTTATTGAGATTCTAGTTCTTTGGCATAAGAGATTTGTAAAGCACATGCAATCGTTCATTTCCAGTCACAATGCCAACTTAGATAGGCCTGAAGCTGGTTCAGTTCAGAAACCCACCTAGAGATATTGGGGCTTCCACCACCACTACCTCCTCCTGCTACCCACCACTAGGTGCTAAGATACTAAACAGACAGGGAAAAGGAAAGGGGAAATAAAAAATAACATAGATTCATACAATAAAAATTTATCCCAGTCATCCAGTCTGAATGACAGATGAAAGCAGAACTGATTTGCTATTCCCCTGAGCACCTTTCCCCAAAGTGCCAAATATCAATGTTTTTAAAGGTAATATGTTGACAGGATAGTTATTAAAACTATAAAAGAAGAGGAAGTACATAAAAGTAAGACCTGGAGGCTGTCAAAAGATTGTGCTATTCTTCCCAATCAACCAATTTTACAGTCCTGTTGAGACCTGGCCTTTGGCTCAGTTCCTTGCTGATGAGACCCAGCTTTCCTATATCCACACACCTCTTTTTTACCCAAACCCTATAAAAGAATCCCTGAGGCTCCAAGGAACTCAGTTTAAAACAAAATACAAAAATTGCTGTCTTAGTTCAATACACTCATTCAATAGATGAAAACATTTGAAGTTAAATAGGTGAAATATTTTACTGGAAGTTATGTGTCTTAGTCTATTCATAACAAACTGCCATAGACTGGGTGTCTTCGAAACCAGAAAAATTTATTTCTTGTGGTTCTGGAGCTGGAAAGTCCAAGAGCAAGGCACCAGATGAGGAAGCTGCCTTGAGTCCCTGATTCTTGGTTCATAGAGGACTGTCTCTCACTACGTCCTCACAGGGTAAAAGGGGTGAGGATTTGTCCGGGCTCTTTTATAAAGGCATGAATCCCTAATCACCTAATCAATTCTCAAAGGCCTTATTTTCAAATAACATCACATTGGGGATTAGGTTTCAGCATACGACATTTGCAAGCACACAAGCATTTAGTCTATAACATTATGTTTGGTAATGGGCAGAACTTAGCTTTGAACTCACGACCTCTGCATCTGGGTTTGGTTTTCTTTTCCAACATCAAGGTACATCGTAGGAACCTGTCCTAAGTCTTAGTTCATCCTTATTTAAATAAAGAAAAGAAAATATTTAAAATTACCAGAGATAAAGTTTTAAGTAACCCACACAAATTTCCACATTAAGGATTTTGTGTTTTATAAATTATACTGTTGACTCAAACAACACAGATTTGAACTGTACAGGTTCATTTATACATGAATTTTTAAGAGTAAATAAATATATTAGAACATGTTTTGAAGATTTGCAACAATTTGAAAAAAATAGCAGATGAGCCTAATAGCCTAGAAATATTTAAAAAATAAGAAAAAGTTAGGTATGTCATGAATGCATAAAATATATGTAAATACTAGTCTATTTTATCATTTACTACCATAAACTATGCAGAACTGTATTATAAGAAATTAAAAATTATCAAAATGTATGGACACAAACACAGACTCTGCATGGTGCCATTGGAAGTTAAGAGAAATGGAAACGATTGTAAAGATGCAATATATTAAATCATAACTGCATAAAATTAACTGTAGTACATCCTATACTACTGCAATAATTTTGTAGCCACCTCCTGTGGCTTTTACGGTGAGCCCAAGTGTTGCAAGTATTCCCTTAAAGCACCGTGTGATGCTAACCTTCCCTGCATGAGAGGTTTGTCTCTCCAGTAAATTACTCATCACTGTAAAAAGTGATCTCTCACAGTTCTCGTGTATTTTTCATCATGTTTAGTGAAATACCGTAAACCTTAAATAACACCATGGAACCCATATGAAGTGCCACTAGTAATGCTGGAAGGGCTCCCAACAAGCAGAGGAAAGTCATGACATTATAAGAAAAAGTTAAATTGCTAGATATATATCCTAGATTGAGGTCTGCAGGGCTGTTGTCCGCCACTTTAAGATTAATGAATCCAGCATAAGGACTATTGTAAAAAAAAGAAAAGGAAATTCATGAAGCCATCCTGCAGCTATGCCAGTAGGCATGAAAACTTGCACTTTTTGTGAAATACAAGATATGTGTGAATTGACTGTTCATGTTATCAGTAAAACTTCCAGTCAACAGCAGGCTATTAAGTTTGGGATAAGTCAAAATTTATGTGCAAATGTTTGACTGTTTCCAAGGGAAGAGTTGGTGTCCCAACTCCCATGTTCTTCACGGGTGAACTGTAGTTATACTGTCTGAAATGTGCTTCTAGAATGTTGATAATATTTTGTTTCTTGAACTGCATGTGTATAGCTTGTGACATTCTCTGAGCTGTAAACTTAGGATTTTTGCAGTTCTTTGGATCTATTTTGTACTTCAATTAAAAAGTTAAAACAATAGTGACTGTTCGTTAATACAGAAATTGCTGCAGTATGGACTCATGAGAAAACCACAAAACTTTAATTCATCTACCCTGTGAAATATTACTGAACTGTTCTATATCTAAAGATCTGCAACTCTGAAAGGAAAACTGGAATTATTTTGAATATTGCATGAAAGAATCCACATTAAGTACCTAGCATGGCGCCTGGCATAGCAGATTTTCAATATGGTGTAATTCTCCTTAATAAATATGTTGTAATTTTAATTCTGTTTCAAAGAAGCATTAAATAATAAAAGGAGTGTAGTCATTGTGGTTTAATTTTCAGGTCTAGCAAATATTAGTTTTCTTTAATTTTTGGAGTTTAGAGTAATCTATAATAGTAAATGTTTACCTGAAATATCCTTCTGTACTTAATATTCCTCAATTCATGGCCTTCTTATTAGATTGATAACTGATGACTGATTCACTGACTTATTCATTTATTTATTCATTACTTATACAGTATTTACTGAGTGTATTAATCAGTGTTCTCCAAAGATACAGAACAAATACAATATGTGTATGTGTGTGTGTTGGTGGCGGGGTAAGAAGAGAGAGAGAGGGGGAGACTGTAAGGCTTTAGTTCATAAGGCTGTGGGAGCTAGCAAGTCTGAAATCTTTATGGCAGGTTGGCAGGCTGGAGACCCTGGAAAGAATTCTTGGTGCACTTCAAGTCTAAAGGCAGTTTGGAGGCAGAATTCCTTCATCCTCAGAGGACCTCAGTCTTTTTCTCTCAAAGCCTTCAACTGATTGAATGAGGTTCACTCACTCTTATTATGGAGGGTAATCTTCTTTACTCAAAGTCTACTGATTTAAATGTTAATCACATTTTAAAAATATCTTCATGGCAACATCTGCTATTTGACCAAACATCTGGGCACCATAGCCTAGCAATGTTGACACATAACATTAACCATCACACTGAGTTTTAAATATAAGCATGGCTGGGAACTAAAAATCTGTTGAGCACATAACCTAGTGGTGGAAACTGAAAGGGAAGGAAAGGGGAAAAGAGGGACAGACACAAGGTCAACTAACTAGATTACAACAAGAAAAGCAAAATAACAGATCCTTGCCAAACGTCAAGGGAGCTGAGAGTAGGAAGTGAATAATTTTGCCTGAATAAAATAAGAGGTGCATTGATGCTCAAGATGCTTTCCTCTCATCCAGAAATTTGGCCCAGAGGAGCAATAGCTCTAGACAGAGAAATTTAAAGAGATGTGTGAAGCTCCACCTTGGGGCTCATGTGGAACTTGTTCTAGGCTTGGTTCCAAAATTTTTGCAAACTTAAGCTGGGATTCAATTTTACAGTGAAATTGAATATGCATTGGGATCTTTCTTAGTTTGAGGCGTAGTCTTTAAAAATCTCCATCCCCCAGAGAGATCTTATTTTATAAGCATCATACACAACTGTTTGATTAAATATGCAGAGTTTTTGAAAGCCTTTTATAAATTGCTTTACTCTGTGAGCTATCCAGTTTTTCTATCTGAAATGTTCATAGTAGAATCTTCAGCAAATCACAAAGTTTTTGGTTGCAGGATTTTGGCAGCCAAATTCACTCTGAGCACAAGGGGCTGTCTTTCTTCAGCACACTGCATTAGAGAAACAGTTATACACCCTAAGGGTTTTCAGAATTTCTTTGTTCATCAAAGAATTGAATCATATTCCTGAAAGTGGATCTATTTCTTTCAAGACCAAGTTTAAATGATCATTAACAAATCAAGCTAGACACTAATTAACTCTCCTAATGAAATTAATGCATTTTATATGTATTAATGTTTATATCACAAGAGACACACTGTCAATCTAGATTTCACAAAGGAATGTTACATACCTTCCAACTATTGAGTATTGGAAAAAATTTCTAGGATCTCTATCTCATCCTAAACTATTCTCCATCTGGCTGGCTGTGGTTTGGCACATTGGCTTCCTAATCTCCAAATCTCTTCAAGACTACGAAGGTCATATGAAAGCCTTTGTACTTTCTGCCCCATTGGACCTGGAATGTTATTTGTTTGTTTCTTCCATAACTTGCATCTCCACATTCTTCATGTATTAACCTTTGTTTTACCTGCTGAGAGAAACTGTCTTTGACCAGCCCATCCACTGCAGGCCTCTGACCACTCATTTCTCATCTATGGGCCACTGCTGTCATGCTCTTTGTAGCCATTGGGGTTCATATAATAATCTGAAGTTATATTGCTTATTTATTTATCTATTCATATAACACTTCTTTTTTCCACTAGGAAATTTGCTTCACTAAAATAAGGAAATTGCCTGGCCTTTTTTCTTTTTTTTAACAGCTGTATGCTTAACACAAAATATGTACAAATTTATGTTTGTTGATGAAATAGTGGAAACAAAACAATGTGGCCCTGATAGTCAAACAAAATGTTATTTAAAGTGAAGTTCATAAAAAGTGAGGTCAGGAATACAATTATAGCTTCTGTTTTATTTTAAGTGAGCTATCAATTATAAATATCAGTCTCCAAAGTGAATGTGAGATAAATGCCATACCCAAATTTAAAAGAGAAATAGTCCCTATCTTTGGATCCTTTGGCCATATTGATACAAAAAAAATGTGGGGTGCCCCCCAAAATTGTAGGGAAGGCAAGAAGACTGTGAAGAGATATACACATGTATATCTCTTCCCCCTTTTCCTGTGGATGTGGCTTCCTGTTAGCCAAGCTGCAGTGATTGTTATCTCTCTTCTGGGTCTAGCTACCAAGCAAGTCTACCTGGCTCTGAAGTGGTACTGGGGGTTGTCTGCACAGAGTCCTGCGATGTGAACTGTCTATGGGTCTCTCAGCTGTAGATACCAGCACCTGTTCCAGTGGAGGTGGCATGGCGGTGAAATGGACTCCATAATGGTTCTTAGCTTTGATGGTTTAATGCTCTATTTTTGTGCTGGTTGGCATCCTGCCGGCAGCTGGTGCTTTCCAGGGAGCATCAGATGTGGTAGTATGGGGAGGAACAGATGGTGGGTGGGGCCCTAGAACTCCCACGATTATATACCCTTTGTCTTCAGCTACTCCAGTGGATAGGGAAGGCCCACCAGGTGGGAGCAGGGCTAGGTGAGTCTGAGCTCAGACTCTTTGGGCGGGTCTTGCTGCAGCTGCTGTTGGGGATGGTGGTGAGGTTCCCAGGTCAATGGAGTTGTGTATCCAGGAGGATTATGGCAGCCTCTGCTGAGTCATGCAGGTTGTCAGGGAAGTGGGGGAAAACCAGCAGTCACAGGCCTCACCCAACTCCCACACAATCCAATGTGCCAGTCTCACTCCCACCGTACTCCCCCTAACAGCCCTGAGTCTGTTTCCAGGTGGTGGGTGAGCCACACTTGAGAACTTGCCCCAAGCTACCTGCCTCCCAGCTGCAAAAGACCAGGGCTTTGGTTCTTCCTTTGCCTATGGAGTCTGCACACCAGATTCACACTCTCCCTCAAGTTCCGGCCAGGAGGCTTCTCGCCTGGTTCAAATTGTTACAAAGTTCAGCTGGAGATTTCCTTCTCCCTGTGGTGTTTTTCCCTGGGCTCCTCTGGCCACTCTCCTGAAGGATCCCCATGGTGCCAGGCAGGAATGGCCTGCTTGGGGAGCCAGCGAGCTCCCAGGGCCTTTCCTGCTGCTTCTTCTACCCCTGTATTACACTTGGCTCTGTAGATTGACTCAGCTCCAGGTAAGGTCAGAAACTTCTCCCGCAAACAGACCTTCAGTTTCCCCAGTGGGGGTGTGTGTTTGGGAGGGGAGGATCTCCCTTTCCTGCTTCCACAATTGGGGCACTCACAGTATTTGGGGTGTCTCCCTGGTCCTGCAGGAGCAGTCCGCTTCCTTCCAAGGGTCTGTGGGTCCTCTTGGGATTCCTGGCTTGTTCTTGCAGTAGATCTGGAGCTAAAATTTTGATGCGAGCCTCCACACGCTGCTCTGTCCATCTGAGTCGGAGCTGCAGTCTGGTCCTGCCTTTTGGCCATGATCCACACAACTTTTTCTTATCTCGAAAAGTTTTAATTTTGAATGAAGATTAAAGCACTTCGGGAATAGGTGAATTGTATTTGCCACTAGGGAAATGTCTGTTGATTAAGAAGAAGCAGAGATTATGGGATCTGATTCAATTTGTATCCACAGGCAAAAGATTACCCCCAATGTATAAGTTTTAAGGCATCATTTAGATTCAGAAATACATTTGTGTATTTCTCTCATCTCAAGAATCAGGTATTTCAACATACCAGTTATAGGCAATTCTGTTATCCCAAGTATTCCTTTAGAATCTATGGCAGAATTTATCTCCCTTTCAATTAATTCTCCATTCAACAGCTATATATGTGTGTGTTTGTGTATATATATATATGTTTTATTTTTTGAGACAGAGTTTTGCTTTTGTTGCCCAGGCTGGAGTGCAATGGCACGATCTCGGCTCACCGCAACCTCCGCCTCCTGGGTTCAAGCAATTCTCCTGCCTCAGCCTCCCAAGTAGCTGGGATTACAGGCATGCACCACCAGGCCCAGCTACTTTTGTATTTTTAGTAGAGACCAGGTTTCTCCATGTTGGTCAGGCTGGTCTTGAACTCCCAGCCTCAGGTGATCTGCCCACTTCGGCCTCCCAAAGTGCTGGGATTACAGGCGTGAGCTACTGCGCTCAGTGCCACAGCTAGATTTTTAAAAACTCAAATTAGATTATGAGAATTCCCTGCTTAAAAATTTCTAATTGCCTTTTAGTGCTTTTATAATAAAATTTAATCTCCTTGACCATAGCATATAGGGTGTACATATTTTGGCTGCTTGCCCAATTCATTGACGGTATTTATTCTAACTCACCTCCCCCCACCCCCTACCTCAACCCCTAACTTCTGTTCTTCAATCACATTGCCTTTTTTAAAATTCTTAAAACATGTCGGGCTTATTTCTACCTGAGAATGCTGTTTCTCCAGCCTGAAACGTTCTGGTTCCAGACTTTCTGACTGTGTCCTCAGACACTCAGGTCTTAGCACGAATAATCCCTTCATAATGAGGCCTTTGATGACCTCGTAATTTAACCTAGTCACGTTATCCCTGACCTCCCTGGAGACTGCTCTACCATTCTTTATTTTATCAACTAGCTTTATTTTCTTCATATGATTTATTATTAAGTGAGATTATTTACTTATTTTTTTCCTGCTTTGGTCTGTGTCTTGCATTAGGCTATAAACTCCATGACAGTAGTGAATAAATTTGTTTTACTTAACAATAAATATCTTAGGACAAAGCATGTGCTCAATCAATTTTATTGAATGAAGAAGTAAAACAAAAGCATTTCTTTAAACATTAAATTATCACATAGTTGAATTTATTTTTTTTAGAAAACAACATTATTGTGATTTTCAGAAATGGACTACGTACATGAGATGTACTAGTTTGTTTGGTTTTGATGCCATGGTAGTTTAAAATGTAGTGTTTTTATTTGGGGGATTGTTCAATTTTTACTGCTTAGACAGTTCTTTTAGTCATACATAGGCTATGCTAGACATCTTGATAAAATATTTAAAAATTAAACATGAATTTTTTACATAATTTCAAATATTTAAGTCTTTTAAAACAAGGTAGACTTACGTTTATCCAAAATGGTTGGCCAGTAAGATACTCCAGTTCACGGAAAATTTTGATTAATTAGGGCTTATCATATACAATGGCTATTAATAAGTAATTTCTGGAATCGGGTAGAAGAAATCAATTTCAAACTGCATGTACGTTAACCTGTTGTTTTGATGGCTCTAAATGCACTCTAGAATCTTGCTGAACATCCTAATGGAATAATGTAGAATCACACATATTGGTGCTACACAGGGGCTTGGCATCCTTCACATTCTTAAAGGATATCTTATTCCTACTTCTTACTTTCCAATATGTAAAATATTACCACAGGTGTTGGAGGAGTGGTGGTGGTGTTGGAAAAGGGAGGAAGGGAACAATGAATCTCATGTTTTCTCTCTGTTGTGAAAATGCTGCATTATCTTAACAAAACATTCTGGGAATAGAGGGAAATGATTCTTCATAGAAAAATTGTATCTCCTCTAGATATCTTGATATAAATTAATTAACTTCAATCTCCCTTTCCCATGTCTGCAAACTTCCAAAGCTGTAGTAGTCTACTGTGTAATGGGAAGAATGACATCCTAATGTGTCTAGCAAGCATCTAAGTGGAAATGCTACGAGAGTTCTGACTTGTGTCATTAGTTAAATGTTAATCTCATAAATTATTGTATGTTTATAAAGGTATTCTTAATATTATTCAAATAATGTCACAGAAAACTTCACAAAATATGGTATGGTGTTCTCTATCATCTTATCATTTTTATAATTTGAGCAAGACTTGGTATCATTTTATCATATGTAAAAATGGAAGAAAGAAAAGCACCAACCTCCAAGGCGATTTTGCATAAAAGTGTTTTATTCCTATAGGATATCACATTTACATTTAATATATCTCTACTGCATTGCATTATAGTTACTTTTTAAAAATTTCAGTGTCCCACTGTACTAAGAGTTAGGTTGTTTGTTGAAGCAAAATGTTTCATTGTTATTATTCTTAAAATATCTACCCCTACCTGAATATTTAAGAATGGGCTTGGCCATGTAGCCTGATATTTGGGAGAAGTGAGAAAGAAGAAAAGAGAGAGAGAGAGAGAGAGAAGGACAGAGAGATGACAACAGGACCAAAAGTAAAGTCTTAAAAAACTTGATTCATGAGTGGTAAGATATGAGAAGTTTGATGTTTTGAAAATCATTTTTTAAAGTATATTTTGCTTTCTTTTCTTAGAAAGTGAGTTGAAAGAAATTTCATCTACAATGAGCTATAATGCTCTACAGTAATGTAGGTGTATGTCACCATCAGAAGAAAGGGCAAGACTTAGAAGAAACCTTGGCCAGAAGGAAGATGGAGGAGAGAACCTGTGCTGTTTGCCCCCTCCTAAAATTGTGGGAAGAAGAATTGGGCAGAAAGAAGGAAACATCCATTGAGACATTATTGTCATAACACTTCTGCTCTGGGCAAAATTTCACTTTGCATTTGAAGATCTGTCAAGAAACCAGCTCTTATAGTCCCTTGGCAGATTCTGGGGCACTTATGCATCAGTCAGACGGAGCACAGATATAATGCCCCTAAACATCTTTTGGATTCCATGTAGTGTGAACCGACTCAGAAAGTCCTCTCTCCTCCAAGAAAGGATGAGGCACTTGCAGAGTCTGAGATGGTAGGTAGCCAAAGGGAGCCATAGAGAGGTGGAGATTAATCTGCTGTTGAGGTCTATAAGGAAAACCAATTTTGCTTGGGGGAGAAAAAAAAAAAAAAAAGAAAATCAGAGCCAGAACTTCAGTTGTCTATATGAGTAAGAACTGAGTATTTGGCTAGAGTTGAGGCTACACATGGGAAGGTTGGGAGGTTAGGGAACCACTTGTCCTGATCCAGCTAAGATTCATCCCACTTGTTAGCTAACCTCAGACTTCAATATTTGATGCCAGTGTCACACCCAGGTGACAAGAGGTATTATCATAGAAATCAGAAGAGCCAGAGGGTGGTAAAAAATCTCATTCGTGTAGACTTGGTGTATGTGCTTCCAACGTATGAAGCTACTTAAACTTCTTTTAATATATACTACATATGCCATATGGTAAAAGAAGGAAACGAAATCTCTAAGATCAAACATTTGGTAAAGAAAAAAATGTAACTGAGTTATCCATAGTAGCTTGATACTATTGTTAGGTCAGACTAAGTTTATAAGATTGAAATCTATCTGTCTATTCATCTAATTATTTTTTATACTACTCCTACCCAGTGCCTTGATGTGATGGTTAATAGTGTCAACTTGATTGGATTGAAGGATGTGAAGTATTGTTCCTGGGCGTGTCTGTGAGGGTGTTGCCAAAGGAGATTAACATTTGAGTCAGTGGACTGGGAGAGGCACACCCACCCTCAATCTGGGGGGGCACCATCTAATCAGCTGCCAGGATGGCTAGAATAAAGCAGGCAGAAGAAAGTGGAATGAGGAGATGGGCTGAGTCTTCCGACCTTCATCTTTCTTTTGTGCTGGATGCTTCCTGTGTTCGAACATCAGACTCCAAGTTCTTCAGCTTTTGGTTTCTTGGACTTACACCAGTGGTTTGCCAGGGGCTTTCGGGCCTTTGGTCACAGACTGAAGGCTGCACTGTCGGCTTCCCTACTTTTGAGGTTTTGGGACTTGGACTGGCTTCCTTGCTCTCCAACTTGCAGCACCTATTGTGGAACTTCACCTTGTGATTGTGTGAGTCAATACTCCTTAATAAACTCCCCTTCATATATACATCCAACCTATTAGTTCTGTCTCTCTAGAGAATCCTGACTAATACACTTGTTATCAGCAAGAAAAGAAAATGAACTAAGATTGTCTTTGATAATCCAAATGCTTCTTTGACAAAGGTATTATAGTAAATAGATTCATATTAGTGGAGTGTTCCCAAACAACAACAACAAAAGAAATAACTTCATTTGTATTTTTGAAGATTTCTTCAAATTATCTCTAAAGTTACTGTATAAAGATACTTAGAATTAAAATCCAGTTTCTGGTCTGGAATGTAAGGAGCTTAGAAGTCTCTACTCTGTTTTAACAAGCAAAAAGCTGAATAAACTGAAAAATCAGCAACTCTTCTTAGATCCAGAAGAGAAATGAGTTCACAGGGCAAACCACTTCCCCAAAGTTGAAGAGACAGCCAGAAAAATACAGAAATAAAAACCATAACACTCTGATTTTACAAAATCAAAGGAGAACTAAAGAAATAGAGATAAATTCCATTTTTATGGGTAGAAAGATAATATTAAGAAGCCAATTCTCCCAATTTGATCTGTAGATTCAATGCAATCCCAATCAAAATCCCAGAAACATATATTGTGGATATCAGCAAACTGATTCTAATGGGTCATTACATGGAGAAGCAAAAGGCCCAGATTAGCCGACACAAAATCAAAGGAAATAACAAAATTGGAGGACTAACGCTACTCAGTTTCAAGACTTAATACAAAGCTACAATAATCAAGATCATTTGATATTGACAAAAGAATAGATAAGTACATTAGTGAACAGAACGGAGAGCTCAGAAATAGACCCACATAAACATAGTCAACTGATCTTTGATGAAGGAGCAAAGGTAATACAATGGAAGAAAACAGCCTTTTCAATAAATGGTGCTGAAACAAGTGGACATCCACATGCACACAATAATCAAGACGGAGACCTTACACCCTTCATAAAGTTAACTCAGAATGCAGCACAGATATAAATGTAATATGTAAAACTATAAAACTCTTGGAAGATAACACAGTAGAAAATCTATATAACCTTGTGTATAGTGATGACTTTTTAGATACAACACCAAAGGCACAATTTATGAAATAAAGAATTGATAAGCTGGAGTTCATCCAAATTGCAAATTTCTGTTTTGCAAAAGATATTGCCAAGAGAATGTAAAGATATGCCGCAGATTGGGAGAAAATATTTGCAGGCATATCTGACAAAATAATGTTATCCAAAATGTGCAAATAATTCTTAAAATTAACAAGAAGAAAACAAACAACCAGTTCAAAACCTAGGTCAAAGATCTTGGCAGACACCCCACCAAAGAAGATATACAGATGACAAATAAGCATATGAAAGGGTGTTCATAAAATTTGTTGTCAGGTAAATGCAAATTAAAACAAAAATAAGATACCACTATACATCTGTTAGAATGGTCATAATCCAGAACACTGCAACACTAAATGTTGGAGAACATGTAGACCCACAGGAACTCTCATTCATTGCTTGTGGGAATGAAAAAATGGTACAGCCACTTTGGAACAGTTTAGTAGTTTCTTACAAAACTCAACATACTCTTATCATACTTTCCAGTAATTGTGACCCTTGGTATCTACCCAAAGAAGCTGAAATTTTATAGCCACACAAAAACCTGCATAGGAACGTTTACAGCAGCTGTACTCATAATTGTCAAAACTTGTAAGCAACCAATATGTCCTTTAGTAGGTGAACAGAAAAATAAATGATGGTACATGTAGTCAGCAGAATATTGTCCAGAACTAAAAGGAAACGAGCTATCAAGCAAGGAGAAGCATGGAGGAAACTTAAATGTATATTATCAAGCAAAAGAAGCAATCTGAAAGGGCTTTATACTATATGATTCAAATTACATATGACATTCTAGAAAAGGCCAAACTGTGAAGCCAGTAAAAGGATCCATTGTTGCCAGGGGTTGGGGCTAGTGATAGGAGATAAATAGGCAGAGTCCAGACGATTTTTAGGGCAGTGTAAATACTGTGTGATACTACTCTGATGAATACATGTCGTTATATATTTATTCAAACACACAGAATGTACAAACCAACAGAGAACATAAACTATGGGCTTTGGGTGATAATAATGTATCAATATATATTCATGAATTATAACATGTATAACTTTTGTGGGAGATGATACTAATGGGGACGGCTATACATCTGTGGGGGCAGGTGGTACATAGGAAATATCTGTACCTTTCAATCAATTTTTCTGTGAACCTAAAATTGCCCTAAACATAAATATAATAAAATAGAATTGGTTTGAAAGTGTATTTTAAGAAGAGACAACTTAAAGAGATCAATTAAAATTGAATATTATCTGACAATTTAGCAACTCTTCATTTCTAGTTTGTTCAATTTTTTTGATATTAGTTTACCTTTATAAGATTTATGGTAGAATAGGGAGTTATATTTGCTGTGTACTTTTATGTTTATCTATTATAATCACAAGTTGAAATTATTCAGTCTTTTTATTCATCAGTCCACTTGCCTCTATTATCAAGGCACGTAGAGTTATTGATTATTAAAAGATGCTTCCAAGAAGTGCTCTTCCTGGAAGTTTGAATTTAATTGAGTAAGCTTGTCAATTTATTGGTATATTCAGCAGTTTAAGAGCTTGCAGTTTTGATTTTCTATCCCTTCCTTGCTTGGACAATTCCTTCTTGTACAACATGCTTCAGTATTTGTGATTCCTTGCTGAGCACCAGAGCAAAATGTTGCAATCCTGTTAATTTGAATATCTCCCTCACCTTACGGCTCAAATCATTCATCTAATATTCTCAATTCAAAGTGCCTTGGAAACTGGTATGGTGGTATGCATATTTGAAATCCACAGATACATGAATTAATGTATTTATCCAACAATGTAGTGTTTTCCTTTATCAAGTTATTTGGTAGAGATGCTAACAGAGTAACTGTGAATTTTGTCCCTAAGCACCTGGTATAAGTGCTAATATGTAAATAAGCCAAAGAGTAGTTCCCACAATAGCTGACAGGAGGATTCATTTATGCATAATGATGTGCTGGATGAATCTCATTCTTGCTTTAGTGCAGCTAAGCATGCAATAGCCTGTGAGGATGAGGCAAAGAAAAGGTTAATTCTCAGAGGCTCATCTTTCTCTACACTAACTAATTAATAATGGAATTCATTAGAATTATTTAGCTTATGAATATATGAAATTTAAATTTTATATTTCTCTCATGTTATAATTTGAGAATGAAACTATAGGTGACACAGGGAGACCTATTCTACACAAATGTGCATTAAATTTAAATTTAGTCATCTCTACTTATTGACTTTTACTAAATGCAGATCAGTTTTTCAAATGCTCAAGAGAAGAGAGCAATGGAGAAAAAGAAAAAGGAAGAGAGACTATAAAAAATGCTACCTGTACGTCTGCTACAATGAATTCTTAATAATTGTTATGAAGCCATATTATAAATGTAAATTGAACACAGCCCAGAGATGAACTTGGTATGACTTTCAATTGTGTGAAGGTATTAGATTCACTTATAAAGTAAACATTTATTCAGCACCCACTGTGTTCCAAACCTATAAAAAATGTTGGAAATAAAAGTGAATGTAGCCAGGTGCGGTGGCTCCTGCCTGTAATCCCAGAACTTTCAGAGGCCGAGCTGGGCAGATCAGTTGAAGTCAGGAGTTTAAGACCAGCCTGGCCAACATGGTGAAGCCCTGTCTCTACTGTAAATGCAGAAATTACGGGGCATGGTGGCAGATGCCTGTAATCCCAGCCACTCAGGAGACTGAGGCAGGAGAATCGCTTGAACCCAGGGGGCAGAGGTTGCAGTGAGCCAAGATTGTGCCACTGCACTCCAGCCTGGGCGGCAGAGCCAGACTGTGTCTCAAAAAAAGAAAAAAAAAGTGAATGAGACAAAGACACCAGTTTCAGTGAACCACAGGAGAAGAGAGGGCAGGGAGGAGACTCATAATAATGCTTGCTAAGTATCAGGTATTGTTCTTAGAGGTCTGTCTGAATCAACTCATTTGGTTCTCACTCTTATAAAAGGTATATATCTCTGTGGGAAAGATACTTTACTCCAGTTTCACAGATGAGGAAACTTTGGCACTGAACACTGATATTAACTTATCTAAGTTCATGTAGTTATTCCACTAACCAGGAGAGGTGAAGTCATGTGTCTATACCAAAGAAATCATAAGAACATAGAATAAAGGTCTATTGTGTCTTTTCTTGCTCAAGTCATAGTCTTACATGGCTTGGGAATTCCTCCTTCAAGAGGTCACTCAGAGATCAAGGTTGCTTCCACGTTGTAGCTACAAATCTATAACTAAGACATTGGAAATACCTAGTTTTCAAGGTCATCATGGAGGGTTAGGGAGGGTGAGGGGATTGATCATGGGGATTATGAACAGTCCTGGAAATGACGAATGCTACTTCCTTCATATCCATTTGCTAAATCCGTCATGTGGTTCCAACTTAATATAAAGCAATCTAGGAAATGTGGTTCTTCTATGTGCTTTTAAGACAACATGAACTGGTGAACTGACAAATTTGTGTCACAGTTAATGAGTGGCACAGATAAAATTTGAATCTAGACAGTCGTACAGTGGTTGGTCACCCTCTTAACCATTAAGTGCTTCCTATAAAGAAATATTTATAATGCAATGTGGCAAATGAAGCCAAGCAGAAAAATGAACATTGGAGAGCTAAAGGAGAGCACTTTGTAGTCAATAAGTCCTCATCAAAATCACATGTAACATGATAAAGTTTGGTATTTGTCCTTCTGAATAAACAAGGTGATATGTCAACACTGTACTCTGTTCTTATACAGTATTTCTTTGTCAAGAAAAATATATTCTATGGTTCAGTCTTATTGTGTACTTTTATTATACTGTTATGTATTTAACCTAAAAAAGGGATAAACTCTGACTCTGTGTGCTTTTCATTCTTATGTTAAAACTAAAATATAATTTGCACATGCAATATAAGCATATATGCAAAACCAATAAAATTCAAATCAACATGAATTTAATATGACAGATAAAATTATTTTGTTGAAACTAAGTTGCAATTCCCATTGTGACTCTGATTTTGATTGCTATATTGCAATTCCTTTGATTTTGGCATGACTCATCTGCTGGTTGCCCTTGATGGCTTCAACTTTCCTACCATAGTTTTCTATTTGAATAAGTAGGAAACATTTGTTTATGTAGCACTTTCTCATATCATTTGGCCTTCGCTTGTGTTGGTGCAAGATATAGTATTTACATGTTAAGTTGGACTCTGTCTTACATTAATTTGCCTGTGCCTTCTAAAGTGGAATTACCTGGAGGCAATTCAATTGTAAGTATAAATGCAAACTGTATAAATGGGGATTAAAGTATAAATGGGGATTAAAATTGTCTAAGAGAACTCACACATGTAATGGATATCTTTTTAGTATGGGACCCATGAGTTTCTAAAACTACTGGGAGATAATGCATAAGACCTGCAACACAAACTAACAAGGGGTAGGCTTTTTAAAACTAGGGAAATAGCTTCATTTTTTGTTTTAAAGAAATAATGGGTGTCTCTAGAGAAGAGTAGGAGCAGGGTTCTATTATTTGACCCATGTAGGCTATGTGTAATCTCAGCCAGCCTGGATTCAATTCTTCATTTCCATGCCCTGGCACTTTATTGCAACTGATTTGTAATCTTTGTGCATTTTCCACATAAAATATTTTCTGTAATATCATGTAAAAGTGAAAAATGGCTTTGTTGAGTAGGCGTTGTTAAATTTATAAGTTACAAGCAATACTAAAGCCTGAAATTTAGATGAACACCTGGAATCATGGAAATCTTAAGTTTAGTAAAAGTCATGGGTCTTTTTTTTTTTTTTTTTTTTTTTTGAGATGGAATTTTGCTCTTGTTGCCCAGGCTGGAGTGCAATGGTGCGATCTCGGCTCACAGCAACTCTGCCTCCTAGGTTCAAGCGATTCTCTTGCCTCAGCCTCCCAAGTAGCTGGGATTACAGGCATACGCCACTGCGTTCGGCTAATTTTGTATTTTTAGTAGAGACGAGGTTTCTCCATGTTGGTCAGGCTGGTCTCGAACTCCCGACCTCAGGTGATCCTCCCACCTTGGCCTCCCAAAGTGCTAGGATTTCAGGCATGAGCCACCATGCCCGACCTAAAGTAATGGGTCTTGTATTTGTAGAGATTCACATTTTTTGACAGCAAAGTAATATATTACTCAATGAAACAATAATTCAAACCCAGATAAAAATTAAAAACAAACATTTTTACTTTACTCTTTTCTTTCCCCAGTTTTTCCTACTTTTCTACTTTTTAAAAATACTTCTCCCCCTTCCTTTTCTGTTTCAGTCCTCTCCTCACTCTCTCTTCATTTCGTTTATCATTAAATGAGGATTATGAAATATACACTATTTGTCAGGTATTATGCTAAACACAGAGGATTCACAGATGCATAAGAGGCAGTCTTGAATTTCAAGGAGATTTCAGTGTAGTAGGAAGTAGAAACACAATAAATTATTTAGGTGATGGGCTGAGGTGGTTAACACCTAGGAAAGGAAGATACAGTTGAATTGAAATGGAGGGGCCAAAAAATTTGGCAAGGGAAGTTTTGAGGTTAGGTGAGGGTCAAGAGGGGCTTCTAAGAGTCATCTTTTACACTGAATCTTTAAGGACACATAGGCTACTCTGGTGGTCATTTAGACCCACGGTAGAATGTATTACAGTACACAATACATATTTAAAAACTTTCTGCACACATGGGGAGGGATTATCTCTGAAATAGATACCTGACTATTTCTGTTGAGCCTATTATTAATGGTATTACACTTTTATGTCCATTAGAAACACCTGAAGTGTTAAATAAGCAGGTTGGTATGTAGACCCTTTCCCCAAAGAAACTAATTAGATCTGTAGCAGGACTGAGCAATCAGTGTTAAATCCTGATTGTTTAAGCAGGTGATCCAGAGTCTATAGATTTATAAACTCCACCACATTTGGCTTGCAAATATAATGATAGGTTTGCAGTTGTGTTTGGCTATAGGGGTTGATTTTTTTTTAAATAAAAAAGAAGAATTGTTTAGAGTACACTGGGTAGAGGTGGCTGAAGCACATTTATGAAGATATAACCAGAAAAGAGAATCTCTGAGAATGTTAGAAGTGAGGTGCTTCCTGAGGTGAAATGGGTAGTAAAAAATTGTGAAAGCTGCAGTAGTGTAAGGGATGCAGAATGTCTAAGTGTAGCAATTTATAATGGTTGACTTGTTTTTGTTTTGTTTTAATAAAAAATCTCTTTTGCTTCACAAAAGCTTTAGTAAAGTTGACTGCATAAACATGGTTAGCTGTATGTAACTTATTTTTATTTAAGACAATAAGAAAGACGTTTTATCAGTCATGAGCTAGAGCCAAGCTGTACAGCATGGAAGATACAATTTCTAAAATTACAGGGATTTTGTGAGGTAGTTGCTAAATATAACCATCATTAAAAATTAACATATAAACTTACATATAAAAATTAACGTGTAAGCTTACAAGCAAATATATTGTATTAATAATAGCTAATATATATTGAAAAGATATCATGACCTAATTATTTTACTACAATGTACTATTATCTTTGTTTTTGAAGCTATTGATGCCTACTGTATCTAAGTATGTATATACATATGTATATACATTTATATCTGAGTAATCTAAATATACTCAGACACAATAGATATTAATAACCTGAAAAGCAAAGATATGTACGCAGTGGTATACTACTGCACATCTCTTCTCAAGTCTTCATACAGAGACCTCTCATTGGTATCTTGAAATTGTCACGATGGGGGAATTTGCAACATGAAAATTATCAAGCATTGCAGAGAAAGACTCGGTATTTTTCTTGTTTTCTTTTGAAAGCTGGTTCTTAACTCACTGTCTCAGTGGACTACTTTTTTGTCTTTCCTCCCTCCCCACCCTTCCTTTTCCTTTTGTCTTTCTTCTTCCCTCCCTTTCTTCCTCTGTCCTTCCATTCTTTGTTTTTTCCACTTTACCCATCTGGTATTCATTTTCCTTTCATAGGGCTGTGGCTTTTGAGAAACACCTACTTGTACTAACAGCCTGTCTACTTTTTATGACATGATTCAGTGGAATATAAAGAATTTAGAGTAAACCAGTCTAAACATCTACACATTCTATTCTCAGCCATAGCTGATTCTGAGAAATGCACTTGACTCAAGTCAGGCTAGTCACAGTTAAAATTTTACACTTGATCTTAGCCAAAAGGCTGAGAAACTATAGATAAAATTTTAATTGCAATCCCAAGATTTTTGTTTGAAAGGCCTGGGAAACAGTCTATTACTTTTCCTTTGGACATTAATCACCAGGATAATAGCCTGTGGATTCCTGGCACTAACATGGTGGCTAGGAGGGAAGATGGCTTGAGGGTGAAGCCAGGACAAAAAAAGAACTAAGCACACAAGATAGTGTGCCCTGTTCATATCATCTGAGCCCTAGATTAAGCTATATCTGGATTATTCACCTCCTTGAGTGAACACATTACTTTTCTTCATTAAGTATGTTTGGGGGTCTTTCCCACATTAGTTATATAAAATCTTCCAATTGCAGCAGACTGAACTTTATATCTTGTATAAAATAGTGCAAAACAGAGATCGTTCCTATGGGCTGGTGAGATAATCCATGAACTGGAGAAGCAAGAGTCCAGGCAGAACCTGCGGAGATAGCAGAGACTCACCAAGAAAAAAGAAACTGAGCTCTCAGACTTGGCAACTAGTGATGGTTACATTATTCACTATGTTTAACTTTACTATCTATTAGTATTTGGTCTTTAAATAGTAATTATTTTTTATTCTATTGTTACGCAGTTTTACAATCTGCATTTCTTGGTTTTATGTATTTTACCTGAAGGATTAGTTAAAATAAATATTTCATGAGGTCAAAGACTGTATTTTTGTTTTGTTTTTAACCTCACATCATCCCATCCTTTGAAATATTGTGTGTTTGAGAAATGTTGTTAATTGATTAACTACATTTTATTGCATCTTAGGGAGAGATCTTAGTATCAAAATTCTTTTGTATTTCCATTATTTATTGTAATGGAAATATTATATATTTCCATATATAGGAAAATTATATATATCCTAGAGTGCTTTCGTGAAAAAAATGGATAATAAATTGAGCAAATTAGATCAATATCCTCTATCTGTGATAACTTATAAATAAGAAGATTAGGGGAAGTGATAGAAGATGAATTTTCTTGTTAAGGAGTTCATGCATTAAGTAGAACTTAAAATAGTTTGATCCTGGGGTGACCATACATTCTATTTGCCACTTATGCTGGCAAATTATTAATAGCACTCTCTTTAATTCTCAACAGTGTCCCAGTTTGTATGATAAATTACATTGCCCAGTAGTTATTAAAATATTTCTCAAACCTGCATATCATCTGAATTACCAGGAGACAGATTTTTTTAAATATAAACTATTTCCAACATGTAAAAAGAAAGAAAATAATAGAAACCTGTATGCCCACAATCAAAATCTGATAAATGTTAACATTTTGCCATTTTTCTTTAACTGTTTTCTTGTAAAAGCAAGACAATATTACAATTAGTATTAATAAATCTACTATCCCAATCTTGTCATCTTCCCTTTCTCCCCAGAGATAATTATTATGGTCAGTAAATTATCCTGCCCATGCATTCATTTATATTTTGATTGTGTGTGTATTAAAGACTTAGATGTAGTAATTTGCACAGTTTAATACTGTTTATATAAAAGTTACTAAAACAAAAACAGCAATATATATTTTTATGAAAACATTTTAAAAATATGAATTACTGAACATCTGTCCTATGCATTAACTCAGAATGTTTTGGATTTGGAACCAGGAATATATATTGTGTCCCAGATGATTTTGATATGTAGATAGCTTTGGGAAATTTGATTATTGTCAGATCCCAAACTAATTTACAATGTTTAATTAGATTTATAATATCTAGCTTGATGGGCTAGAGATTCAATATTGAATATAGGCAATAAACATCCGAGGATGAAATCTGATAAGCTAAACAGATCAACTTTTCAGTGATCTTTAAAATACAGCCTGTTATGTTTTCCTCTTATCATATTAGTATATTAGTTTCACATGGGTTTTCAAGGGTGAGAACTATGGAATTTCCACCTATTATTTCAATTCCCAAATTGAAGTAGGCCAATTAAGCTGTGAAGCAAGACAATTAAACTGTGTGGTCATGGGCATACGGCAATATACTAAAAATTACATTTAGGAAATACTTACGTGAATAAAAGATAATGCTAATGCATTATTGAGTTTTAGGAAAGGCCAAAAACATTTTAGAAAACATTAATGGGTTCAGAGAATGGATGCTGAGAATATGCTCTTAATGTATTGAATTAAGAAAGAATAATACAGAAGGCAAAAATGAACTTTCAGAATAGAAACTATTAGAGAAGAATAAAGGTATAGGCCTAAGTAAATTGCTAATTCCTTGTATGCACTGAAAAGTATCTAATTTCAAGCACTTTACTAAATTTATTGAAATTCTTAGAGTATTATATATTTGACTTCCTTAATCATTGCATGTTTTGTCTCTTTTTAACCAAAACCAACTGACCTGGTATGCTCTGATTATATGAGTGTTTACACAATTGTCCTTGAGTCCTAAAGCAAACTGTGATTCATTTCATACAATGGTACTAATGATAGAAAACAACTTAGAAAATCAACTTTGAGACTTCTGGAAAGTTTCAAGTGACATATCCTAAATATTTACATGTATATTTACATGAGACTTCATTGACAGATTCTCACCACCAAACTTCATCAATCAAGCATCATTTGGAGTGAATTGGAAAGATACACATTCTCAAAATATCTTCAAAAGATTTAATGATGTCGCTCTATGTTTCTAAAAGTTACAGTGACTTTGGCACCTCATCATTTTACTTGTCTTTTGGAGTCTCAAGATAATAGAAAGGGATTAATGAAAAGGATAGGATAATTTGGGAAGAAATTGTGGTTTGCAACTGAGCTATCAAATAAATCACCCTCTAAAGGAGACAACAATAGAGAAGATTTTGCCTCTAGCCATTGGGTAAAGATAAGCATTCAAAATGAGACAATGAAGGCTGGGGTAGATAATAGCTTATCCAGCAGAGTGATGTTTCCAATTAATGTTAATAGAAGCATATAGAATTTCACAATACTGCTGTTAGCCATTCTTAGAATTTTGTTAACATCTGTATGCCTATCCTTTATTCAACACCTTGAATAAAAAAGTGGGGAAAAATTGAATCAATGCTTCTTTATCGAAGGTAAGGGAGATTTTAATTGAGAATCACATTTTTTAAAAGTGGTTTAGAAAAAAGTAAGGTGGTTTCGCATTGCTCTTTATTACACAGATAATTCTTACATAAGTTTTGACCCCATTAATCTGCTAATTAAATATCACAAGTGTCTGAATCTGTGGGAAACATTGGACATCTAGAAATGAAAAGGCAGATGCAGTTACTGCAAATTATGGTACCCCATGGTAAATGCAATGTAGGGAGATTACAAGGTGCTACGAGAACATGTATGAAAGTTACTTAACCCAGGCTTAATGGTTAGGAAATGCCTTCCAGTGAGAGAGAACTAAATCAAGAACAGAAAGAAAGGTGGGGGTTAAGCTAAAAGGATAGGGGTTGGGGGTTAAAGTTTATGATAAAATTAACGGCATGTGCAAAAACCTGTAATAAGGATAATATGCTTAAATCACTAAAAGAAGTTAGCTTTGATAGACTCCTAAGAGGAACAGGGAATGAGAGTGATGAGACACATAGCTGAAAAATGATCCAATGACACTTGAATTTGATTATAGGAACTGTGGATAGTTATTGAAGTCTAGATGTGATCATCCTTGGGTTTTAGAGAGGTTCCTTTAGTTCATTGTGGAGAATAGATTAGAGGAAGTCTCAAACGGAGGGAGGGAGAGCTTTCAGTAGTCCACGTGACTCTAGAAAAGGGTAGAGGCCAATAAGAGAAATAGGCGGATTTGACAGATTTTGGGGGTGGTACTGACAGAACTTGGTGATTAATTGGAGTTGATGATAAGGGAATAAGAAGAAATAAGAGTAACATCCAAGGTGAATCTTGCTGTTGGTAAGTGGGACTAGTGTATTGTAATGCCCTTGAATGAGGTGGGAATTACTGGGACACAGATATGGAAGAAGATAAAAGTTGTATGTAAGGAACATGTTTACAATAGGATTTAGGTAGGTAGCTGTATGTAACCGTCTGATGTTCACGGGAGTTCCTTGGGCTGAGGTTATGTTTTGGAGAGTCATGAATGTTAAGATATTAATTGGAATCATAGGGGTGAATGAGGTGTCTTATTGTATAGAAAGAAAAGAGATGAGGGCACAGCACAGGATTTTCTGGAGGAAAAACATTGAACAGAAAAGCATACTTCAAAAAAGAAAAAACCAGGGATGTGGAATGAAAAGAAAATGGAAAATTCAGGGAGAATTAGGACAAGTATGGAAGTCTGCTTGATATGAGATGGGTCTTTTATAGAATGCAACAGATAAGAGAGTGGCGTTAGTTATACATGGGGGAAGAGCAGAGTTGCTTCACTAAATCATTTTATATCTAAGACACTAAGACAGAACAGGAAGCAGGTTGAGATTACCTGACTGCAGATTATAAAAGGAGTAATTCCAGTTGTTATCTGGTAGATAAGTTTGCTGTTCTGATCTCCCAAAGATACTATATTTTGAGAAACTATATAAAATTTTGATAAACACTAGATCTGGAATTCTAATATAACACAATCAATTTCATGTCTCTGTTGATGTGGTTTCAATGTTTTAACAGTCAGTCTAAAGAGTTTTTGCCTTTTTAAAATGACAGAACATGATAGCAAAGCCATCAAGTATCAGATTTCAGAGATTTGGTCAGTCCTATCAATGTATAAATATAATGGGTTGGATGTTTTTATGAGAAGTATTACCACTAAGATTTTTATATTTTTCTTCTTCTCTGTCTGTAATGATGCGAAGCAAGAATTGGGATTTTTGCTCTTTAAGCATTTTTGCTAAAATTTTGTAAAATGTGTGAATTTTAAAATCATCATTCTTCAGTGTCAGGTATTTTTTACAATCTACTAATAACTGTCACCCCAAAATCTTTTTTTGTTGTTGTTGCTTTGCTGTTTTTGAGAATCTGAGGAGGAATAACACTGTTAGAAAATATATTGGGTCTTAAGTTTCCCAATGAAAGCCCTAGTTCTTAAAATATATTATGCTTGAAGGTGAGATCTGCTTCAACATATAAAAAAGCAGCATTCTCAAATACTTTTAAAATCAGAGTTCACACTTTGATCATACATTTCCACTTTATCTTTTGAAATGTTCAATGTAACTGACAAAGACTGCTGCATCACAGCCTAAAATCAAAGGACTTATTATTTCTGTAATCTAGGAATTAGGTATGGAGTTTTCATTTCTTATAAGTGCATAATAGGGAGATAACACTTGCATTTTCAGATTAGTTAGCACAGCAGCAAGTAGTAGAACTGGCCGGTGAAAGTAACGATATTCTGACAAATATTTTCACTTAAAATTAACATTTTGTTTTGCTCTTTAAAATAGATTGTATTTTTAGTTCTTTCAATATGTTAAAATTTAAAAACTCTCTACTGCTCCTTGCAGGAAGCATGAATGGATTATATAAAAGATTATATACTCATATTTAGAGCCAACAAAATTATTGTACTTTTTTCCTAATATATAAATTAGGGTAGACACCCACTCTAGCTAAGCAAAGGAAAAATAAAACTGCAAATTTTCAGTGGCTTATTTTTTTCTTATGTAAAGCTTGATACAAATCAGGCAGCCTTTTTTGATCTTAGGCGACAACATGTAGAACATGGTACTTAGGAATGCTGCAATAAGAAGAGGAACACTGGTGGTGAACTGTGTTGGCCAGAACAGGTTGAATAGCTGGAACCTAACTATGGAAAAGGCTGAGGAAAGCAGAACACACAAAATACTAAGTACTAATTGCTTCTGCCACACTATGTGCTTTATAAAACTGGAAGGTTAGTGAAAAAACCCAGATTCGAGAAAGCCTACAACCAGGAAAATCTGGAGAAAGAAGGATCTTAAGGAAAGAACTAAGTCTTGGAGACTTTCTGTTTTCATCTTCTACTCTTCCCTGTTTGGATAATTTGCTTATGTGGTTTGTTGCAGGTTTTCAGTTGTGTTTTTCTAATTAATTTGTAGAAGCTCTTTATATATTCTGGATGTAAGCCCTTCAAAAATTATGTTTTGCTTTGCAAATATTTTCTTCCATCCAACAGTTGTCTCTTCACTCTGTTGATTGTTTCCTTTGCTGTGCAACTTTTCAGCCTAATGCAATCCCATTTGTGTATATATGCTTTTGTTTTCTTGTTTTGGGGATAATGTTCATAAGTTCTTTGGAAGGCTTATGTTAAGAAGCTTTCTTCCTATGTTTTCTTCTAGAAGTTCTACAGTTTCAGGTCTTAGATTTAAGTTTATTATTCATTTCGAGTTGATTTTTGTATTTGGGGTGAGATAAAGATCCAATTTTATACTTTTCATATGGATATCCAGTATTCCCAATACCATGTATTGAAGACCCTGTGTCTCCATTGTGTGCAAGGGGCTATTATTCAAAATATTTAAGAAACTCAAACAACTTAATAGCAAGAAAACAAATAACCTAATAAATAAATGAGCAAAGAGTCTGAATAGATATTTTTCAAAAGAAGGCATATAAATGGCCAAAAGATATATGAAAAAAAATGCTCAACATCACTAATCATCAGGGAAATACAAATAAAAATCATGAGATATCACCTTACACTTATTAGGATGGGCAAAAGGACAAGAGATAATCAGTGTTGGTGAGGATGTAGAAAAAAGGGAACTCTTGTGCACTTTGGCGGGAATATAAATTACTGTGATCATTATGAAAAATGGTATGGAGGTTCCTCAAAGAATTAAAAATAGAACTACTGTATGATCCAGCAATCTCACTTCTGGGTATATATCCAAAGGAAATGAAGTCAGTATATCAAAGAGATAGCTGCACTCCCATATCCATTGCAGCATTATGTAATAAACAAGATATAGATGCAACCTAAGGATACATGAATAAAGAAAATTTGATGTGTATACTCAATGGAATCTTATTTGGCATTAAAAAAAGAAAAAGGCATGTCATTTGTGACAACATGAATGAACCTGAGGACATGATGCAAGTGAAATAAGCCAGACATAGAAAGACAAATACTGTATGCTCTCACTTACATGTGGAATCTAAAAATGTTGTACTCATAAAAGTAGAGAGTAGAATGGTAGTTACCAGGGACTGAGGATGTGGAATGGAGAGCTGTTGGTCCAAGGGAACAAATTTTCAGTTAGAAGGAATAAGTTTATAATAATACAGTTAATAACATGCCGTTCATAATAATATATTGTATATTGGAGACTGTATTAGTCCTTTTTCCTGCTGCTGATAAGGACAAGACTGGACAATTTACAAAGGAAAGAGGCTTAATTGGACTTAAAAGTTCCACGTGGCTGGGGAAACCTCACAATCATGGCAGAAGGCAAGGAGCAGCAAGTCACATCTTATATGGATGGCAGCAGGCAAAGAGAGGGTTTGTGCAAAAAAACTCCCATTTTTAAAACCATCAGATCTCGTGAGAACCATTCACTATCACGAGAACAGCATGGGAAAGACAACCCCCCGCCCCTGCCTACATGATTCAGTCATCTCCCACCTGGTCCCTGCCACAACACATGGGAATTATGAGAGCTACAAGATAATATTTGGTTGGGGACACAGAGCCAAATCATATCACAAGCCACACAGTTAAGACTAATATATTGTGTATTTGAAAATATCTAACAAAATAGATTTTAAATGTTGTCACCACAAAAAGATAAGTACATAAGGTGATGAATATGTTAATTACTTTTATTTAATTGTTCCACATTGTGTACATATATCAAAACATCACATCATACCATAGAAATGATATATTTTTGTCAGTGAAAAAGAAACAAGTAGCTTTTAAAATTAAAAATGTGCATATATACATGTGTACCCTATGGTTTGATATTACATTACCTCAATTACTTATTTGAAGAACTGACATTCTAAATTATAATGTAGAGAAATTTACCCTTCCCCCATGCTTGTAGATAAGTGTTTTCTGTAACTTGTTTAGAAGTTTCTTTCTCTCTCTCTCTCTCTCTCTCACACACACACACACACACACACACACACACACATACACACACAGAAATTCTGTTGGGATTATTGAGAATAAATGAATCTTCAGAACTTAGATTGGAAATGGACATCTTTAAAAAATTAAATCTACCAATACATGGACATAGTATATGCCACTCTTTCAGGGTGTTTTTAAAAATTTCTATCAATAAAGTTTAACAGTTTTTCAGTAGAGGTCTTATACATCTTATGCTACATATGTTTAAAGATACTTGACATGTTAGATAATTTGAATCTTTAAAAGTATTTTCATAACTACTTCTTGCTGCTATATAGAAATAAAATTGATTTTTATATTCTATTTCAATATGACCTGTAAATTCCCTAAATCTTCTTAATAATACTAATGGTTTATCTGAATTTTATTTTATATTTTCAATACAATCATTTTATTTGTGAACAGTGAAATTCACTTTTTCTCCTTTTTCTAGCTCAGTAACTTTATTTATGTTTTTCTCTCTATTTATTTATTTATTTTTTACTGCTTAGGAACTTAAAACTAAGTTAAATAGAAGTGGCAATAAAGATTACAGTTTTCCTGATCTCAAAAGAAACAGTAATTTTTAAAATCATAGTATATTTTCTATAGAGTTTTATTTTTATGGACATATACCAGGTTAAGAAAACTTTCTTCTATTCTAGTTTGCTAAGATTTGGATTTCATAGAATATTTCTGCATGTATTGAGATAATCACATCCATTTTTAAAAATTTGTTAATGAAGGAATATCCAATATTGAAGCAACCTCATATTCCTGAAATAGACCTGAACTTGGCTGTCATGTATTATCATTTTTTATATTATTATTATATATATATTATAATTTTAAATTTGCAAATATTTTGTTTAGAATTTTTGCATTGGGATTAAGGTTGGCCTGTACTTTTTTTTTTAACTTTTCTCATCCCTATTTTATTTTTATTCAAGGTTCATAAAACGCATGAAATGATTTGCTTTCTATTTGTTTTTCTCAAATGTTTAGTTAAATATATCAGAGACATATTCTTCATAGAAGGTTTAAAATTACAGATCCATTGTCTTCAGTAAATAACATTTCAGGTTTCCTGTATCTGTTTTGTTAGTTTTGGTAAGTTATAATTTTCTAGGAATGTGCTTAATATGTATGCACTTCAAAATAAATTTAGTTATAATGTTGATTATAATTTCCTTATTAGCTTTTTAATGACTAAAGGATATATACTGATGGCTTTTCCAAGCCCGGTACTGGATGCTTGAATGTTCACTCATTTTCTTGTCTGTCAGCCTCAGCAGGAGTTTGTCAATTTTACATTTGGCTTTTTTCTTTGTTTTTCCAATGAGTTACTTTGGCTTTGAGGACTTAAGATATATTTGTTTTTAATTTTACTATTTTCTCAATAATATTATTAATAGCTATTAATATTATTACTTTTCTGTTGGTTTTCTATCTTCTTTTTTCTAATTTTATGAGACGGATGCTTTCACTATTTCTCAGCCTTTCTAAATATATAGGTACAGTTACGAGTTTTATGTACTACTTTTGATATGTAGTGTTTTCATTTTCCATAATCTTCAAGCATTTAGGAATTGTCTAGTTATTTTTTTGTTACTAATTGCCAGCATAAATTCATTATGGTCAGAAAATAAACAGTGTATTTTAACACTTTGAAATTCTTTTAGAATTGACTTCATAGCCCAGTATATAGTCAATTTTAGAAAATGGTTTTATGTGTGCTTGCAAGGCAGCTGTATTCTGCAATTGTTCCATTATCATCTTCAAATATTCAGTTTTTCCCCAGGTCCTTTGTGATTTACTAGAGAGGAATATTAAGAGCTTCCACTCTAATTATCAATTTTATCAATTTTACCTCTGTTAATATTTTCTTTTTTAATATTCAAGACCAATTATTAGATATTAAAAAATTGAAATGTTTCGTCTTGGTGAATTAAACTATTATTATGAAGTGACCCTCTTCATTTCTAACGTTTTTGCCTTAATGTTGACTTTTACCAATATTAATATATCTATTTCAACTTTCTGTTTGTTACTTTCTGTACAAAAAAATGTTTTCCTAGCATTTAATTTAAATATCTATATCATTTATGTTTATATTATTAATATTTAAATATTTCCTCTATAAACATATTATAAAATTTAATGCAATCTGACAATAAAAATACTAGAACATCAATTTCTTATATTAAATATAATTTGTTATACTAGACTTTATAGTTTGGCTTTACAATATGTTTCTCTTTGTTCTGCCTGTTCTGTTTCTTATTTCTAGTCTTCTTCTGTTTTGAAATTATTGTATTTTTTCTCTGGCTATGTTATTTTGAAGTTAAACAATCTAATTCTCTTTAGTTGTTAAGATATTACCATACACTTTTCTGACTTAAGCTAGTCAATTATTTTACCCTCCTCCCAGATAACATAAGGACTTTAGAACACATTAACTTCCATTAGACCGTTCCAAACATGATTGTATTCTATTCTCTCTCTTTGTGTTTTTCTGCCTGAATAACTGCCTTTGACACTTTGTGACGTTAGGGGCTGTAATGGTAAATTTGCCAATTTAAAAAAAATTTCAAAATGTCTTCATTTTACCCTCATCCTTGAAAAATATCTTCTCCAGATATAGTTCAGGTTGCAATTATTTTATTTCAGCTCTTTGAAGATATCATTTTATTACCTTTAGCTTCCATCCTTTCTCTTGATACTTCAGCTAGAAATGTAACTGCTCTTTTTTGAAACTAATCTATTTTCTTAATGCTATAGTCTGAATGTTTCCACCTATTTAAAATTCTTATGCTGAAGTCTAATCTCTAATGTGATGGTATTAAGAGGTACAGCCTTTGGGAGGTTATTGGGTCATGAATAATCCTTATAAATGGAATTAGTGTCCCTACAAAAGAGGCCCAAGAGAGCCTGTTTGCCTCTTCCATAATGTTAGGTTATAGTAAGAAGTCAATATCTACAAGTCCGGAAATGGGTCCTCATCAGACACTGAAATTGCCTGTGCTTTAATCTGGGACTTCCCAAACTCAAGAACCATGAGAAATACTTTTTTGTTGTTCATAATCTATCCAGTTTATTGAATTTTGTTACAGCAGCCTGAAAAGACTAAAATATTTTAATTGCTTTTTAACATTTTTGTCTTTGCCTTTTTTTCTGTACTTTTACTGTGATATGATAGATGCAGATTTCATTTACTTACTTGAGAAACAATACTTTTCACCCATAATCTCATAAAATATTTCATTACCACATTTTATTATTATTCCAGGATTCCAAGATTATCTTTCCTGTAACTTCTCTCTTTATCCTGTATGTTTCTCTCCTGTATTTTCTAATTTTTTTGTCTCTGTTCGTCTTTGTAGTTAATTTCTTCATTTTCCCCCTAAATTTGCTGTGTTTTCTTGATTGTTTCAATCTATTGATAGTAATATTTATTAATTCTAGAAATTCTATTTGATTCTTTTTTTCTAAGCTATTCAATCACTTTGTATACTTTTAAATCCCCTGCTTAAATTTTCAAGCCTGGCATTCATTTTTATTTCAAAATTTAAAAAGCATAGCTGTTTTATGTTCTAATTGTAAGTAACTCCAGTGTCTATATTCCTGTGTCTCTATGTCTTTTCACCTCCATCCTTCTGCTTATTTGAAAAATTACTCACTGTAATTATTTAATGATAGGATATTATTCTCTTCCTTCAGAGGTTATGCTTGACACGAGGACACTAGCAATTCAGTTACTCCTTAATCTAATTTAATTTAATTAATTAATTTATTTATTTATTTATGTATTTTTTGAGACGAGGTTTTGCTCTTGTCGCCCAGCTGGAGTGCAATGGCACAATCTCGGCTCACTGCAACCTCCATCTCCTGGGTTCAAGTGATTCTCCTGCATCAGCCTCCCAAGTAGCTGGGATTACAGGCACCCGCCACCATGCCCAGCTAACTTGTATTTTTAGTAGAGACGGGGTTTCACCATGTTGGCCAGGCTGGTCTTGAACTGCTGACCTCAGATGATACACCTGCCTCGGCCTTCCAAAATGCTGGGATTACAGGGATGACCCACTGCAACCAGCCCTAATTTTAAATTTCAAGATTTTCTGGTCCATCCAGATGACTTCGAGACTGGTTACATAGGAAGAGTTTAGTTTCAGTTAACCTTACTCCTGGGGGTATAACGTTTTCAGTATCCATCCAAAATGGTGGGGTGACTTAGTAGATCCCTCCTTGTTGGACCCTAGGGAGCAAGACAAAGATTTTTGTTCCTTTAATCCTCTAAGGCTTCAAAAGCTGCAGCTTGGCCTCACCTCATCTTCTGGAAAGAAAAACGACCTTATTGCAAAAGGAGCTCTGAGAGTAGGGCTCACTTTACTTCTCTGGATTCCAGCCAATCGAGTCTCATTCAGGCCTCTAATTTATTATCTTATTCTTCTCTAGTAAACCTAAAAAATTTTGTTCTTAATGTGTCCAGCTTGCGAAGTTGCCTTCAGTGGGAGAGCTGATTAAAATTATCTAACTATTCTGGAATATTTTAATTTTTCCCTTTTTGCAGAGCAATCAGGTATTTCAGGGACCCTGTAAGACGTAGGGATCTCAGCTATAGTTCTTAACTTTATAAGACCCAAGTCCTTAACTTTAGCCTCCAAGGAATATTCGAATCCCTTCTCAGGCAGACCATTGAGTCAAGATCAGAGTCTGATGTTTCTAAGACTGTAATGACATTATTTAGTAAATCTATCTCTCTTGCTCTAGATTCTTTCTCTATTTACTCATGGGGGAACCAACCTTCCTGCCTTCCTTCCTTTGTCCTTTCCTTTTCCTTGTTACTCAGCTCAACTTTTATTTCTGATGTTGTTTTCCAGAATGTCCGAGTTTTGTTGGGAGGAGACAGAAACTGTGATAGCTTAATTTGCCACGTTGACAAATTCAGAAGTGTCAATTAAAAAGTCAAAAATAAAGTCCAGTACTTTAAGAAAAAAGTCAATGTTTTACATTTATATATAAATATACATATACAAAATTATTTGTAGTTGAGCTTTTCAAGCTGCAGATAATCAACTACAAATATCTCTACGAATTGTACACATTTGTCAGATGTATATTTAGCAGTGTGCTATCAAGAGGGAAAACTAGCATGAGTCGTTGGCTCCTTCCGTCAAAATCATCACTAGGGAAACTATAAAAGTGAAAGAAATATGTGGATTCTGGGAATTAAAACCTGCAACGGAAACTACAATAAACCTCCAGAGACACCAAAGGTTGACATGATTTGTTGTTGTTGTTGTTGTTGTTGTTACAGAGTCTAGCTCTATCGCCCAGGCTGGAATGCATTGGCCCGATCTCGGCTCACTGCAGGCTCCGCCTCCCAGGTTCACGCCATTCTGCCTCAGCCTCCCGAGTAGCTGGGACTACAGGCGCCCGCCACCATGCCCGGCTAATTTTTTTTTGTATTTTTAGTAGAGACGGAGTTTCACCATGTTAGCCAGGATGGTCTCGATCTCCTGACCTGGTGATCCGCCCGCCTGGGCTTCCCAAAGTGCTGGGATTACAGGTGTGAGCCACAGCACCCGGCCAACATGATGTTTAGAGGAAGTAGCTGTTATTGCCCCATTTAGGGGAAATGAGTGGAGGGGCACCTGCTGCAGCAGTGAGAATTCTGTCCCCTTCTCCACTGTTTTCCTATCACTTCTTTGAGATGGCATTGCCTGTGCTTTCACTGCAACAGGTTCTACCTTGTTCAGGTGACCACGTGTAACATCAGGAATCCTCAAAAGTCCTGGAGTTCTATGTTGTTGATGAAAACTGAACCAAAAAAAAATTGTTTTCCTAGGGCATTTACTCTTCCATACTTCTCCCTCCAAATTTCCTATTATTGGTGCATTTTAACTTACAGGCACTCCCTCTTCTCAAAGCTGCTTTTTCTGAAGCACTGAATGGGGAATTTTTGAATATAGGAGTTCCCGCATGAGTGCCAACCAAAGAGAATGGTCAATAATATTTTCCTGTCCCTGGGTCTCTCTGCTTTGAACTCATTCCTTCTCTCTTTCTAAACTCAGTGCTAATACTGGGTCTAGACTTTGGCCCTTTCCTAATACATATTACCAGAACAAACAATTCATACTCTCCAGAAATATGTTCTCACAGGCCAAAATAACCAAACCCCTGTGGAGTATAATGCCCTCAGAGGAAAAACAGCAAATCTTTGGATTATCTTAACACCTGAATAAAAATTTCTGGAATAGATGGAGTATGTGTGATACTATTTAGTTACAGGATTAATCTTTTCGTAAGTATTTTCTTTTGTGAGATAACTTCAAAGTTTAGTTTACTCATTTAGGATAGAACACTGGAGAGCAGCACATGCGGGCAGGGAGTGATAATTAGGTACAGCATCACTAAAGACATGCCTCAATACCATCGTTTCCATAAAACTGTGTGTATAGGTGATAAGAATAGTTACCATGGATGGAATGCTCATTATATATCTGCCACTGTGCTAGGCAGATGGTACACATTGTTTTAATTCTTAGGTAACTATTATCTACTCAAATGAGGGACGTGAGGCTTAGGAGGTTAAATGACTTATCCAAATCCCAACTGAGAAGTGTATTTCTCAGTTCTTAACCTGGCCAAAGAATTCCTTGGGGGAAACTGGACTATTATCTCAGGTTAAAGTTTTGTTTTTGTATAGTGAGGAAGGTTCTATTTGACTGTTATCTTGTAGTGACAGGAAATGGAGGGGAAAGGAGAGTCTCAGACTATTGGTGTCAATGAAACAAAAGATGCGAAGTGCATATATACTTAGGACTAGTGCATAAATATATTCGCCATATATTGCCGAGCAAAGTTTCCAACCTCATCTGTGGCTATATATATGTATATATATATATATGTATATACACACACACACACACATATATATATATACATATATATATATATTTGAATATTCTCACTCTTTCAAACTTGCCTTCAATTCTTGTATTAACTTGTGTTAAAACACAAATTGCTCCTTGAAGTTTTCTGTGTCCCACATTCAGTTGAAGACTACAAGTCCTTTACAGTTTGTTCATGGCAGGTTGAAAACTGCAGTTACCCAGTCTAGTGCTTGGAGCACAATAGTGGCAATGGGGGTGAGGGGAAAGTTTCAACAAACAATATAAAACTTGGAATAGTCTTGGGTAATAACTTTACATTTTATCCTTCTGGCAACGACAAGTGATGAAGGTGGATCTTAGGAGGCAGGATGAATTCTCATCTACCTTAATCCTCTTTGACAGCATAATATGTGCTTCTAGGCTATATACAACTTATATTACCAAAAGTTGATTTCATGCCTGAGGAAAGTATAGTGAACAATATCAAAGTTACTATGTTACTAGTTTCATATACTTTATTTAAAGAAATGTGATTGCAATTCTTAATGCTATCAAAATCAGTTTGCAAAGTTTAAGCTTGCCTTTGCAAACTTAGACTTCTTGATGCAATAGAAATGGTTGCTTCAAGGTGGGAGGGTGCTGTAATAATAGACTGCAGTCCACTTCCAGCTGTTTGTAATTACTGTGAGTTACATCATGATTCTCATGATTAGGGCTCTATGAAATTAAACTTTTTTTAAAGGTTACATTTCAATTATACTAACATCAGTAAGGAAGCTTATGGGAAAAGAAAAACATGTAAAGTGAGAAATACCAGAATATTAATCTTAGATATTCAAGTTTTACAAAGAAATCTCTGAAGACTACATCCCTGTAACAATCTTATTCTGCCATCCTGGGGGTCTATTTGTTCTAAAACTTCAGGATTCAAAGGAAAACATTTTTGGTAAATGTTCTCTAGCAGCTGATGTTCATGAAACAAGAAACTTAATCATTCCCATTACTTTGTTTTAGCACCAGAAATATATTACATATTATTATAACAATCTGCCTTCTCTTTGCCATCAAGTCTTTGCTTAAATGAAACCATAAAAGTTGTATTGATAATGGCTAACGCTGTGATTAAACAGTTTGTATCAAGCTATAGATTTCCCTATAATTTTATGATTATTTCCATTTTTTATGAATACAAAGTTAGAAACAAGCAAGCCATGAAACTAGTTCCTAGATTCTAGTTTCATTGCGGAGATTGTTTTAATACAAGTTCCAAGAAAAGTACTCACACTAATTATGAACTGTTCATCTCAGTAGCCCAAACTGCAAAGTCAATTGATTAGTTTCTGCTACCTATGAAATCATTAAGATTCAAAAACTTATATGGAGGAGAGTTAAAACATGTAACTAAAAGTGAAAATTCTCTCCAACCCTAAGAATCTCCTAGAACCAGTGGTGAAAGAAAAGCAAATGAGTAAGGTCAGTCTTCATCTTTTAGTTGGCATAGAGAGCTAAATCTACCTAGTATATTTGGCAAACTGACAATTGTCAGGAAGTTTTCTGCTTTAGATTTAAGAATTATAATTTAAATGAATGGCAACTATAGGAAAACAAAAATATATGAAGTCCCATCCTCATTATCCTGTTTTAATATCTATCTGGACAAAATGATAACATTTGCTGCCACTGACAAAAAAGAAGAAAGGGAGAGAAAAAATATGTGTACCTTTTATATACTACTGTAATTTGTGCTGATTGTAATGTATATAAATGTAATTAAGATATATGTGTATATGTGTGCGTTTAATTGAGCTAAAAATGTATTAATTTGCTTCAGTAAAGAGACTGAATTTGGAACAGTGCCTGCAAGGCCCTTCTTTCCTTTAATAGGTCAGGGAGGCAAGTTTAATGAGGGACATAATAGGCATTTTCACCTATGCATATTTCAAGTTTTCGATGGCGACCCAAATCTTTGCAGTTTTTCTAGACATGAGGCATTGCTTTTGCTTCATTACACTTGTATAGAAGTATAGTTTCAGAAGCTTTCAAGTGTCTTTTCTTTCTAAGTAAACTTTACTTGATGGGTTAGAGAACCAATGTGATAATATTGCCAGCTACTAAGATCTCTCTGAGAACATCTCCGACCAGACTGCATTTATGACTGTCATACATTTCCACTTTCACTGCTTAATCACCATAAAATCCTATGTGGCCACACATGGTTAGAGACTGTGTTAGACAGAATAATGCCTGCTTCTCAAAGTGCCCATGTTCTACTCTCCAAAACTTGTGAATATGTTAAGGAATTAATGTTTCAGACGGAATGAAAGTTGCTAATAAATGACTTGAAATGGGAAACTTATTCTGCATTATCCAGGTGTGCTTAATGTAATCACAAAGTGATTATAACTGGAAAGGGAAGGTAGATGATTGTGTCAGAGTGATGTGATATAAGGAACACTCTACTAGTCGTTGCTGGCTTTGAAGACGGAAACAGGCCAGGAACCAAGAAATGCAAGCATCTTCTAGAAGCTGAACAAAGCAAGGAAATAGATTATCCCCTAAAGTCCCGGAAAAGAATGTAGTCTAACCAATATCTTGCTTTTAGCCTGGTAAGGTTCGTTTTAGACTCCTGGCTTATAGAACTGTAAACTTTTGTAATTTGTTATAGTGGCAATAGAGAACTAATACATGTAGTTCTACATGTAGAACTACTAATACATGTAGCCTATGTCAATTAATCCTGAAAAGTCTAGATATTCCTCTTTCTTTAGTACACAGCTACACTGGTTAATTGCAGCAAGTTCTTCTGTGAAAGAAAGCTTAGAAGGCCTTTTGATGTTATGGCTTGTTTCTCAAGAGTACCCACTGTCCTCTTCATTCAAGTGGCCTCGGGTCTATAAACTGACTTACAGTCTCCAGTTCTATATTTTGATGGTTTAAGTTAGGCTTTGTTCATTAGAACTATATATATTTTTTCATATATACTGAAAAATGGAACTTCTGTGAGCTTATTTAGGTTGATCTCAGGAACCAGCAAATGTGTCCACATGTCAAACAATTCTGATTACCACTCCAGCTTTGCCATCTATTTTAGTACCAGCACCTACCTTGCGTTGACAGTTAAGTGCTACTATTTGACATCATCCCTGTACCCCAGAAACCTTATGGGAGTCATTTCAACAACAATGTCTTCCACCTTTAACTGTGGCCTACACACTGGACATCCACCATGGTGCTTTTCAAGAATGCAATAGTCTCACCAATGTAATTATTAATGACTATGTGAAGTCTTATGTAGCTTCTGTAGGGACAAAATTAAGGGTTGTTTGTGTGTGTTGTTCATTATAAATTTATTCTGAAAACTTTATGTCACTAAAACGTTGGACTTTAAAAAAAATTGAGGTACTTCAGTTTCATTTACAATAAGCCTCCCCAAAAGTATCAGCCAACCATCCAAACAAAAGACAGAATCCTACTTCTTGAGGTTGTATATTGAATGTAGTCTAGAAGCAGCCTGCCTCTCTCAGGCTTTTGAATTCCTTGTGTTTCTCTTAGTCATCTGTTACAACACCCACTCATTTTGCCAAAGCTTTTATTTAAGTCACCTAATTCTATGTGCTCACAGGTTTAATAAAATTCAATATGTCTAGCATGCCATTGGTTAATAGTGCCATCTTCTAATGTTAAATGGATCCTAGTTGTATTCAAACTCAGTTGGGCAAGTACAATAATTCAAGTTTCCTCATTGCTTGATAATCAATTGCTAATTTCTTTTATTCCAAGTTGCCTTTTTGGTGAGTGTTTTTATTTGCATACAATTCTAACCACTGACACCACTTTTGTAGGTAGGGATCTACCAGAAAGCATGATAGAAATTCAGGGAAGATCAGGGAATTAAGTTTTTGTGATACACAACCAAGAACAGTATGGACATAAGAAAACATCCAACCATCATGTGATTATTTTAGACAAAATCCTTTTTGCTATTAGTATCTGCCTTGTGGGACTCATAAAAAAGAGGGAAAATGGGAAAGTCAGGAAGTACAAGAAAATCCCTGTTACAATTTTTGCAAAATAATTCAATACCTCTCCACAATGCTTATCAAAAGTGCCACTTACCATTAGCTTAGGTTACACTTTTTTTCTTCTAATTCCACATGTATTTGCTTAGTATAACCTAAGTCATTTGTGGACCCTGAGCTGCAAAAATTTCTAGAAAATATAATCAGTTTTTTTTTTTTACTTTATCTTTTTTTAAAAGAAATAACACATATTATTTTATTTAGGGGTTGTTTGTTACAGCAACATAACCAATTGTATTCTGAATAATAGAATAGAATATGCGCATATGCATTTATAAACACACATACATATGCACACACATTGTATGCATAGACAAACATACAAATTGGTTAGAGTGTAAACATTCCTTTGTAGTCTGTTTTGTTTTTTGGCTAAGAAATATGTGTATTATTCAAAATTTGTTTACTGAACACCTATTATGTCTTGGCAATTTTTAGGATTTTGATGCTACATCACTGAGCAAAACATTTTTAAAAGCCCATTGTCCATGGAGTTTATTTACATGGAAATTTATCCAAGTTTGTGAATATATAATTACTTTATTATTATTTTAGAAAATAATCTTAACCATTTTAAGTGTATACTTCTGTGAATTTAAATATATTAACGTTGTTGTGAAACAGATCTCCAGTACTTTTTCATCTTATAAAACTGAGACTTTATACCCATTAAACACTCTCCTCTTCCTTCTTTCCCCAGTACCTGGTAACCCTCATTCTACTTTCTGTTTCTATAAATTTGACTACTTTAGATACTTTATATAAAAGGAATCATATTGTGTTTGTCTTTTTGTGACTGGCATACTAGGAAATATATTCTTTAACTTTAGAATCTTCAGTGTACAGCAAGACAGAGTAGGAGGCTGAGAGTTTTTGTTGGGTCAATTTGCAGTATTTTTCCACAGCTATTCTTAACGTTCCTTATTGAAAAGAGGAAGTAAAAGCAAATCCTTCCTTAAATTAAAAAAAAAAAAAACTGAGAGGAGCTAAAGAAGACTAACTTAGTGTGGGCTCTTCAGAAGCAACCTCTGAAAAGAAGGTTACTATAGAAGGGATGAATTCTGAAAATTCTCATAGGTAAAATCTGAAGATTGTAATGAAAGCAGGAAAGAGCAGAGGTGTTTCGGATCAGCTTTAGCCTGATCTGGTGGGGTGTTCTTGTGTGTGATTTCATCAACACTCCATTATGAGAACAGAGCTCCTATGGTCCCATTTTAGTGAGTCATCAGCTAGATTAAGACCCAGAAAGGGGAGTTCCTATCAAAGATGGTACTATAGAAAAGGATGCGAGTATGAGCCCAAAATATAAGTAAATGTGAATTTAATAAGAATGTGTATGTCTGTGTTAAACCTAGAGGGAGAGAGAGGGACAGATGCATGCCTATGTATTTTGTAGCAACGCTTAAGTAAGGTGGCAAGAATTAGTGACAACCTAAAGGGGGATCTGAAATCATATGCCATAGGTCTAAATAACTTAATTTTTTTGTAAATAACTCCAGCAATTATTAAAATTAAAGGCTACTGCCTGTATGAAAATACAACTGGGAGAGAAAGACAGTACAATGGATGTTAAAAGGAATTTCTGAAATTATCTGATTCATTCAATATAATTCATGCATTTTGTTGATAAATCCTCAACATTATGTGTTGAAAAACAGAATAATTGAGGATGTAGCAGACCCAATAAAGTAAAATATATGAGGTAAATGTATGGTTTGGTATTCACACTTAAAAAATAAATTAGGCAGCTATATACTTTTTTTAAATGACCAAAACCTATTGAACAGGAATTCCTGGAGATAACAATGATAAGTTCAGGTCAAAATACAAAATAAAACAACACAAACTAATAAATGAATAACAATAACCTGAAGACACTAGAGAGTAAATTACAAGGAAATTCTGTGTGGGGATCAACACTGAAGAAAAGTTAGCACTGGGTAAATTTCTCATTTTTAATTACTTAGCGT
This sequence comes from Homo sapiens, assembly GCF_000001405.40. Classification (NCBI taxonomy): domain Eukaryota; kingdom Metazoa; phylum Chordata; class Mammalia; order Primates; family Hominidae; genus Homo; species Homo sapiens. Next base: position 62,396,028 of record NC_000004.12, read on the forward strand.
AATAGAAAGCATCAGTCAATATCATGTGGGGTAGCTAAATCCCTGATAGAAAACATGCAGTCTGTCTGAGCTGAAAAAAACAAATAACAGAAATTTGTGGCAAATACAGCCTTTGGAACCAGAAAACAAGGAACCCCACAAAAGCAAAAGCTAGCCGAGAAGCACAAATTCTGTGTTGAGACTCTATCTAAATCTCTGCATGAGCCCCAAATGTGCATGAGCTGGGCAGATTCAAAGCAGCCCAGATGAAGGTAAAAGAAATAAAACAAGTTTGAACTTTCTCAATCAACAGTTTTTAACTGGAATCCAACTAATTGTCAGATTTAAAAAATCAGTATTTTTCAGAGAAATATAACAAAATTAAAAGTCTCTCCACAACAAAATTTCAGTGACCAGTTTATAAGAAAAAATTATTATTTGAAGCAACATAAAAATATGATCTAGTCTTAAAAAAAAGACAGCAGGACCAACCCCACGATGAGTTGAATATTAGAATGAGCAGACAAGGATTTTAAGAAAGCAATTAAATTAATGAATAAGATTTAAAAAACAGTGATACCAAATGAAAAACATAAATTTTAACAGAAATATAGGAATCAATAAAAGGAAAATTCTAAAAGTGAAAATACTGGTGGTGCATGCCTATAGTCCCAACTACTCAGCAGGCTGATGCAGAAGAATCACTTGAACCCGGAAGGCAGAGGTTGTAGTGAGCCGAGATCACACCATTGCACTCCAGACTGGGCAACAAGAGTGAAACTCCGTCTCAACAAAAATAAATAAATAGAAAAATTTAAAAAAAAAACGAAAATACGATACGTAGATTTAAAAATTCACCACATGGGCATAAAAGCAGAATGGAAATGACAAAGAACAGAGTCCACAAACTTAAATATAGATAAGCACCAATTATCCTATCTTAAAGAGAGAAAAGATATTTTAAAACATGAATAGAGCCTCAGCGAGCTGCAGGATGTCAAAAGGTGTAACATATGTGTGAAGATATAATGGATGTACATGTTCCCATTTTATTGAAAGATATAATATTACAGATCCAAGAAGAAGAAGCTCAGTAAAGCCCAAACAGGATATGAAGAAAATGAGAATGAAAATATGAAGAAAATAATAATGAGTACATCATAGTCAAACAGCTAAAAACAAAAGATAAATGATAATCTTGAGAGCAGCCAGCAAAAAAGACATTAAAAAGAGAGGAACAGCAATTCAAGTTTCAAATGACTACAAACTTTTCTTCAGAAACAATGTTAGCATATGGCATGAAATAACATCTTTAAAGAGAAAATAAGCAAACCTGTCAACTGAGACTTTTAGATCCAATAAAAATATTTTTTATAAGTGAAGTCAAGCTACAGACTTGCAACAGCAAACATAAAAATGCTGAAATGGCTATGTTAATATGAGATAAAATATGTTTCAAGATAAAGAGCATTATCAGAGCTATTGAAGAGCATTTCATAATGATAAAAGGGTCAATTAATTAGGAACCTATTGCTATAAAAATTGTGGGTGCATCTAATAACAGAGCTTCAAAATACATGAAGCAAAAAATAGCAGAATAAAATGGAGAAAGAAAATGTACCCATTATACCTAACAATCAGAAATTGCTAAAAAAAATGCAAGTAATAAGTAGTATGATCTGAATAACACTTTCAATCACCTTGACCTGGTGAATATTTATAGGACATTACACACAATAACAGAAAAATATAAATTTTTAAAGTACATAGCATTTTCAGCATGATATAATACACATACGTTAGGCCGTAAAACTAGTCTCAATAAATTTGAAGGATTTAAAATCATATAGAGTATGTTTTCAGATTACAGAGGAATTAAATTAGAATCAATAACAATAATATGCCTAGGAAAACCTCAAAACATTTAGAAATTAAATAACACAATTCTAATTAATTTATAGGTCAAGGAAAGAATTAGAAAGGATTTATAAAATACCTCAAACCTAATGAAAGTGAAAACATAATATATGAATATCAGGCCTACTGCCTATTTTTTGGAAAAAAGCCACATCCTTGGGCTCATGTATTGACTGACTGCTTTCTGGCTGCAATGGCAGAGTTGAGTAATCGGGACAAAGACCATATGGAATGGCCACAAAGTCTAAAGTATTTACAATATGGCCTTTCACCAATGTAATTTGCTGACTTTAGTGGTAAGCTATCATTTGAAACGTTTTACCTCTTTTTAGAGGGATGGAGATTTTTAGCAATATTGATTATCTAGTTTCCAAGCTGTTTTACTCTATTTGTGTTGCATAAAGGAATTCTTGAGGCTCGGTAATTTATAAAGGACATTTATTGGGTTCACAGTTCTACAGGCTGCACAAGAAGCACGGCACCAGCATCCACTTATGATGAGGATATCTGGCTGCTTTCACTTATGGTAGAAGGGGAAGAGGAGCCAGCATGTACGCAAATCACATGGCAAGAGAGAAAGCAACAGACAGATAAAGTGAGAAAGACCAAGAGGAGGTGCCAGGCTCTTTTTAACAACCAGCTCTCACTCATTACAGCAAGGACTGCACCAAGCCATTCATGTGGGATCCACCCACATGACCCAAACACCTCCCATTAAGTTCCACCTCTAACACTGGGGATCAAATTTTAACATGAGATTTGGAGGAGTGCAATATCCTTACTGTTGCATTTTGTCTCTGGCCCAAAACTTATGTTCTTCTCACATTTTTCCAGTTTTTATGCTGTTTCCCTTTTAATTATAAATACCACCTTTGGGGCATTCTTTTGTTACTAAGCATGATTGTAAGCTGTTGAAAATATCAACACCACTTCTTGAATACTCTGCTGCTTAGAAATTTCTTTTGCTGGATACTCTAGGTCCTCACTCTTAAGTTCAATCTTCCAAAACACCCTAGGGCATGGACACAGTGCAGCTAGGTTCTATGCTACCATGTAAAAATGACCACCTTTTCTCCCATTCTGCGTATGTTTCTCATCTCCATCAGAGACCTCATGAGCATGGCCTTTACTCCCCATATTTCTATCAGGTTTTTTGACACAACTACTTAACCAGTCTCTACAAAGTTTCAAACTTTCCCTTATCCTTTCTGTCTTCTTGACTGCCAAACTCTTCCAACCTCTGCCCATAACCCAGTTCCAAAGCCAATTCTGCATTTTCAGGCATCTTTAAAGCAATGCCTCACTCCTTAGTGCCAATTTTCTGTGTTAGTTTGTGTTGCTATAAAGAAATACACAAGGCTGGGTAATTTATAAAGGAAAGGTTTATTTGGCTCAAGTTTCTGCAGGCTGCACAAAAGACATGGAGCTGCCAGCCTCTGCTTCTGGTGAGGACCTCTGGCTACTTCCAGTCATGGTAGAAGGTGAGGGGAAGCCAGCAAGTACAGACGTCACGTGGTGAGAGAGGAAGCAAGAGAGAGAGAAAGTGAAAGAGAGCAGGAGGAGTGTTGGGCTCTTTTTAACAGCCATCTCTCAAAGGAACAGGCAGATTTTTCGAGGATGTGTAATTCTATTATTTATCTGACCACTCGTGCCAGATAAGCATGACAGATTCCACTTCCCATACAGGTTAACTTTAATTTTGCCAGAATTCCTCAAAGAATAAGAGTTTTTGAGAAATTTAAAAAAAAATTTCAAGATAGATTTTTGGAAAGAAGAAACTAGATTTGCTAACAAATTACAAATTTATCTGTATCGGGGCATTTGCATTATAAAAAATGTAAAACTTTAAAAATCAATTTTAAAAAGGATTTTTTGTTAAATGTTATTCTTTAATTTCAAAAAGTTTACCTTTTATGTAATCTCTTATTAATATTCACCAAATAAAATTCAAATTATTTGGACCAATAATATCGGGATAAAACTTCAATCATGATCTTTCAGTGTTTCTGGTTACAATTAAAAATATCTACTTGTTGTAATTACGCACTAGAAATTGAAGAGCAAGTTAATCTCTTTTTTGTTTGAATTTAATTTCCTGCTAATTGATAAGACAATTGAAAATATCACAAGGCCAAAGCAGAATTTGCTTTTAAATATAGGCAATACAACTGACTAACATTCAGTACATAGAAGAGAGTTCAGTCTAGACAAATTTAGATTTCAACTCTCCTTGTATAATTTTTGTAAGGCATTGAGATGATAGTAAACCTGTGGAGTACCTATGCCTGGCATATAGTAGGCATTCAATAATAATAATAACAATAATATTATTTTTAATTGCAGTTATTTTTATTTACCTCCAAAAGCAAGAAAACCATTACTATCATTAATACTGCTTTTTCATATATATACTTTAAGTTCTAGGGTACATGTGCACAACGTGCAGGTTTGTTACATATGTATACATGTGCCATGTTGGTGTGCTGCACCCATTAACTCTTCATTTACATTAGGTATATCTCCTAATGCTATCCCTCCCCCCTCCCCCCACCCCACTACAGGCCCCTGTGTGTGATGTTCCCCTTCCTGTGTCCAAGAGTTCTCATTGTTCAATTCCCACCTATGAGTGCATTAATACTACTTTTTCTATGAAAGGTCTCACCTGTAAGATAGAATATGTTGGAAACCTTAAATATGCTTTCTTCCTCTCTGCTTTTCATCCTTTTTGTGTTCACTCCTGGAAACAATAAGATATTTCTGAAACCCTATTATAAATGCTTAATATTGATCCAAAATGCACTGTTATAGAAATAATTACACATGTCCATATATATATATATATATATATATATATATATATATATATATGCAATAGACACATGGTTCTTCAGTATTAGAAGTGCTCTTGGGAGAAAGATGACAGATAATATCTCTAAAGTTACACTGCTTTTAGAAGACAAGTGGACTTTTTATTCCACTATAAGGGCTCATGTATGTGTCAATGACATTTTGCAAACAAATGAACAATGATGCTTCTGAGGCTATTAAATTTGAAATCAGAAGAAAATGATAGGTAGCACTCATCATGTAGTTAAATTATGCTTACTAGCTACTGGAGGATAAGATGTAGTGTAGGCAATCAATCAATTTTGCAGCATATTTTTAATTTCTCCAGATATTCGTAGGGATTGATTGCTATTGTTCCATTAGGTAACACCATTGCATTATTTTAAGGTTGATATCATTAGCCCCAGGCACATGCAAAATATAAAAACTAAATGTTTAAAGAAAAGGTGACCTTCTATTTCAGAACACAGATAAATAGTAAATGAGCTGTATAACCTCCAACATTGATGTTTCAAGGTAATTTAATAACAAGACCCTTAACTAAAATACTGAAGTGCAGTACTATACATCACACTTAGAGGCATTCACAGCTTGTAAGGACAATTAGTTACAGTGACTTTTCCAATTCCACCATATTAAATTCAATTAATCTATCATTGTTGAAAGATACCTTGGTTTATTAGACATTTTCTAGGCATTTCGGTCATTAATAACACTTTAAATTCATATTTGTAGCCTGGAGAGACAAGTGTTTGTTTGTTTCCAAGACAATAGTTCAGACACTATAGTTTTTATAAAGGTTGGTAAAGGTCAACTCTGTGTGTGTGTGTGTGTGTGTGTGTGTGTGTGAGAGAGAGAGAGAGAAAGAGGGAGAGAGAGAGAGAAGAGTGAATTTTGTTGCTAAGATTTTATTGCTAAGACTCTTTGGAAATAAAAACCTCCACTCCCGACCACTCTGATGATTTTTCACACTAGCCTTAGCCTGTTATCTCCAAGAAGGCAGAAACAAGATTTTGCTGTTTATGTTACACGTGATACTTTGCAGAGCATTAGGTTTTTATAGATATTAGTTTTGATTCCAAAGTTGCAACAGTTGATATTAAAACTGTTACAAAGTAAAGAAGAAAAATACATGGAACAAGAATTCATCTCAATTATTCTAAATGGCAGTCCTCAAGTGACATTTAGGTAGTGTATCTCAGTCTTTAAGAACTCCGGCTTTGGAGTCAGAGAAACATGAGCTTGAGTCTCAGCTGCTCTCGGCTTCTTTGTGGATATTTGCTGATAATGGGCAACATAATTATGTTTTCTAAATCTTATTTTCCTCATTGATAAATGGGTAAAACAAGAACACTCATTACATTGGCTTGTGTAAATTATTGTTATGCATTTTTTTCATGTTCAAACAAGCAACTAAATTATTGAAAATGTATCTGTCTCTAAGATGCTTGAAGAACCTACAGCACTTGCCTAGTGTATGACTTATAGAGAGTAGGAAGGAAATAGCACCTGCCACTGTTAGTTGCTTACCAGTTTATTAGTCATTTCTACTTTCTGTTTTGCAATAAGAATTCTAATTTTATTCAGATTTGAAGGAAGCAGTGTGTCTACACAAAGCATGACTAGTGATTAATCTTGTCAGTTACATTAATCCTGTATCTTTACCTGGTTTAGGGTTGAGGATGTGACCCTGTTTTGGTAAAAAAGACATAAGAGTAATCCTGCTGAGGACCCTTGGAGAAATAGTTTCCTCTCTAATTAAAAGAGGGAGGTGCATAATTGGGCCCTTCAGCCTCTCCCCACCTTTGCCTGTGTGCACAGTTACACTGGATTATGAGGTTTGCAGCAGCAGCAGCCACAGGCAATCATGAGGCAAGAGGCAAGAGACTCATAAATGACTGAAGGGCCTGATGTGGTTGAACTGCTGAATTAACCTCTGAACTTCTTCATTCAAGATTTATTAATGTAACCCTATGTTTAAGCCACTGATCCTAAGGATGCTATTATTTGAAGCCAAAAACATTGTAGTCTGCTGCTATTGTTAAAATGCATAATCCTATTAAATTTTTTCTTTGGGTAGTCCCAAATGAGGAAGGAAAGGGGTAATATCTAAAAACACTTAAATTTAGTAATTGATGTATTTCATTTATTCATTGATTGGATACATGTTTATTCAACTGTAAAAGTGAAGCAAATATGTATTAGGTATTGTGGGGAACACTCAACAAATTGGGCAGGATAGTGAATGAGCAACAGCACATTATAATAAAATCCCATAGGGGTGGAAGCATGACAGAACAAAATTTTAATCTGGGCATTGCAATAGCAAACATTATGGCCTTCAATTTACTTATTTCTCAGAGTCTCTGTAAAGTGAGTATATAGTGATCTCTACCTCTAGTACCACTTCAAAAATTGGTGATTAGTGTTATCATTTATTATTTAGTCACTATCCCTAACCTAAATAAATAGTAGTTGGATGAATGAGCAAATTATATATTTTCTCATTGGTACCAACAATGACATATTTTGCCTAAACTTTAGTTCTCTAGAAAAAGAAAATGAAACAAATTTACTTTAGAAAACGTCACTTAAAAATCAGTCACTAGAAATTTAAATAAAGATGTAGAAATGTTTATGAACCTAAGGCTATTGAGAGGATACCATCTATGAACCATTTATTTTCTTGGGGATTTTCTTCTCTGCATTATTTTGCAGCACTAGTTGTATATTTTTGCTTAAAAAATTTAGGCCAAAATAAAATGTATATATATTCACTTTTTTTATTTGAAAATACCAGTCTAGAATAATCAAAACCTCCTCACGTTAAAAGAGCCAGGTAAGTATAGATACTCATACAAAGTATAATTAATACACACATGTAATTGTAGTGACAAATAATTAAATATATAATAATGACTATTAAAACATCAATAAAGTTAGCCCTCCATATGTGCAAGTTCTATTTATTTTTCTGTTTTTATTTTTTAATTTTTTTGAGACAGGATCTATCACTCTGTCACCTAGGCTGGAGTGTTAAATGGTCAACTTTATATGGGCGGATGTACAGTAGATTATATACAAATACTATGTTATTTTATATAAGGAATTTGAGCATCCATGAAGTTTTATATCTGTGGGGGTCCTGGAACCAATCCTCCACGAATACTGACAGAGGACTGGATGTATTTGTGTGACCACTATTAACTTTCACCTTATTTTCCTGGCATATACCCAAAAATCATACAAGGTAAAACTTATATTTGGCAAAAGAATTGGAGCCTTACCCTTATTGAATGCAATCTAAAAATAAGGTATCAATTGTCAAATCACCTAAACACTTATTAATAGTAGCAATCATAGCTAACTTTTATTGAGCTAGACATTTTATGCTAGACATATATGTGCTAGACACTCTTCTAAGCACTCTGTATTAATTCATTTAAACTCATGATGTTACTAATATTATTCTTATTTTACAAAGGAAAAAACTTAGGTACAGAGAGGTTTATTAACTTGTTTAAAGGTACACAGTTGGTAAGTGGCAGATCTGGAATATGATCTGGGATATGACTGAGGCACTGTGCTGTAGATCCCATGCTTTTAACTATAACATACCTTATTTGGAAGAGGTGAGATTTACATTAGGACAGCATTAGTAAGTGCTCATGGTTTAGATCTTAAATGCTTGGGGTTTCTGATAAATAAAAATTCAATAAGGTTTCGAGTAAGTACTGATGCTTGAGAAAGTGGACATTTCCTAGAAACCTGACAAGTTATGATTTGAATAGGCAGTGCATCAAGGAATGTGTGCATTCAGGCAGGGAAAAGAGCAAGAGTAAAAATACTAGTGCAGTAGTAAATTTATAACATACATGAGATTTTAATGATATGGATGAAAACATTTTAAGGAAACAAATTTTTATTTGTTTGTTGTCGATTCCTTTTCTTTGTAGTTTCCATGCTCCTCTATTCCCTGCAGAGCTCATTCTTCATTCAGTGATGTGGTAGGCTTAATAATGACTCCCAAAAGATATCCACACCCTAATCCCTGGAAACTTTAAGTGCGTTTTATTACATGGCAAAATATACTTTGCAGATGTATTTAAGATTATGAATTTCAAAATAGGCAGATTATTCTGGATTATCTGGGTGGGTGCTGATATGGCTTGGCTCTGTGTCCCCACCCAAAATTCTTCTTTTAGATCCCATAATTCCCATGTGTTGTGGGAGGGACCCAGTAGGAGATGGCTGAATCATGGGGGTGGGTCTTTCCCATGCAGTTCTCATGATTGCAAATGGGTCTCATGAGATCTAATGATTTTAAAAACAGGAGTTTCTTTGCACAAGCTCTCTCTTTGCCTGCTGCCATTCACATAAGATGTGACTTGCTCTTCCTTGCCTTCTGCCATAATTGTGAGTCCTCCCCATCCAAACCCTTTGTCCCGTATAGGGTACCCAGTCTCAGGTATGTCTTTATCAGCAGTCTGAACGCAGACCATTACAGTAAATTGGTACCAGGAGAGTGGAGCACTGCTGAAAAGACACACGAAAATATGAAAGCAACTTTGGAACTCGGTAACAGGCAGAGTTGGAACAATACGGAGGGCTCAGAAGAAGACTGAAAAATGTGGGAAAGTTTGAAACTCCCTAGAGACTAGTTGAACGGCTTTGACCAAAATGCTGATAATGATATGGACAATAAAATCCAGGCTGAGGTGGTCTCAGAAATGAGAAACTTAATGGGAACTGGAGCAAAGGTGACCCTTGTTATGTTTTAGCAAAGAGACCGGTGGCATTTTGCCCCCACCCTAGAGATCTGTGGAACTTTGAATTTGAGAGAGATGATTTAGGGTATCTGGCAGAAGAAATTTCTAAGCAGCAAAGCACTCAAGATGTGACTTGAGTGCTGTTAAGGGCATTCAGTTTTAGAAGGAAAGCAGAGTATAAAAGTTTGGAAAATTTGCAGCCTGACAATGCAACAGAAAAGAAAATCCCATTATCAGAGGAGAGATTCAAGCTGGCTGCAGAAATTTGCATAAGTAACAAGGAGCTGAATGTTCACCCCCAAGACAATGGGGAAAATGTCTCCAGGGCATGTCAGAGGTCTTCACGGCAGACCCTCCTATCACAGGCCCAGAGGCATAGACAGAAAAGACGGTTTTGGGTTTTGTGGGCTGGGCCCAGGGCCCCCATGCACTTGGTACCCTGCATCCCAGTCACTCCAGCCACAGCTAAAAGGGCCCAAGGTACAGCTCAAGCTGTGGCTTCAGAATGTGCAAGCCCCAAGTCTTGGCAGCTTCCACATGGTGTTGAGCCTGCGAGTTCACAGAAGTCAAGAATTGAGGTTTGGGAACCTCCGCCTAGATTTCGGAAGATGTATGGAAATGCCTGGATGCCCAGGCAGAAATTTGCTCTAGAGGAGCGGCTCTCATGGAGAACCTCTGCTAGGGCAGTGCAGAAGGGAAATGTGGAGTGGGAGTCTGCACTAGAGTCCCTGCTGGGGCACTGCCTAGTGGTGCTTTGAGAAGAAGGCTACCATCCTCCAGACCCCAGAATGGTAGATCCACTGACAGCTTGCACTGTGCCCCTGGAAAAGCCACAGAGAATGCCAGCTAGTGAAAGCAGCCAGGAGAGAGGTTGTACCCTGCAAAGCCACAGGGGTGGAGCTGCACAAGACTACGGGAACCCACCTCTTGCATTGGTGTCAGCTGAATGTGAGACATGGAGTCAAAGGAGATCATTTTGGAGCTTTAAGATTTGACTGTCCCACTGGATTTCCTTCTTTTTTATTTCTTTTTTCTTCTTTTTTTTTTTTTTTTTGACAGAGTTTCGCTCTGTCTCCCAGGCTGGAGTGCAGTGGTGTGACCTTGGCTCACTGCAAGCTCCACCTCCCAGGTTCACACCATTCTCCTGCCTCAGCCTCCTGAGTAGCTGGGACTGCAGGCATCCACCACCACACCTGGCTAATTTTTTGTATTTTTAGTAGAGATGAGGTTTCACCGTTTTAGCCAGGATGGTCTCTATCTCCTGACCTCATGATCCGCCCACCTTGGCCTCCCAAAGTGCTGGGATTACAGGCATGAGTCAGCTCACCCGGCTGTCCGACTGTATTTCAAACTCGCACGGGGCCTGTTGTTTCTTTGTTTTGGTCAATTTCTCCCATTTGGAATGGTTGTATTTACCCAATGCCTGTACCGTCTTTGCATCTAGGGCATAACTAACTTGCTCTGATTTTACAGGCTCATAGGCAGAAAGGGCTTGCCTTGTCTCGGATGAGACTTTGGACTTTTGAATTAATGCTGAAATGAGTTGAGACTTTGGGGGACTGTTGAGAAGGCATGATTGGCTTTGAAATGTGAGGATATGAGATTTGGGAGGATCCAAGGGTAGAATGATATGGTTTAGTTCTGTGTTCCCATCCAAATCTCATCTTGAGTTGTAACTTCCATGGTTCTCATGTGTCGTGGGAGGATCCTGGTGGAAGGTAGTTGAGTCATGGGGGTGGGTCTTTCCCATCCTGTTCTCACGATGGTGAGTAGATCTCATGAGATCTGATGGTTTTAAAAATGGGAGTTTCTCTGCACAAGCTGTCTCTTTGCCTACTGCCATCCAAGTAAGATGTGACTTGCTGCTCCTTGCCTTCTGCCATGATTGTGAGGCCTCCACAGCCACGTGGAACTGTAAGTTCACTAAATGCTTTTTCCTGTATAAATCACCCAGTCTTGGGTATGTCTTTTTCAGCAGTGTGAAAATGGACTAATGCAGGCACAATCTAATCACGTGAGTCCTTAGGAGCAGGAAACTTTGGCTGGACTCAGGAAGATACAATAGCAGGAGAAGGTAGAAGAGATGTGGTAGAAGGGACATTCAGGGAGATTCCAAGCCTGCAACTCAATGTGCTGTTGCTAGTGCTGAGATGTAAGAGTCACATGGAACAACAAGAGAGAGGCTTCTGGGAGCTAAGTGTGGCTGTTGGCTGATAGGAAGCAAATAAAGGAACTAGTTCTACAACATTAAGAAACTGAAATCTGTTAACATCCTGAGTGAACTTGAAGTGGATTCATCTCTATAGTCTCCAGGAAAGAGCTAGTCCTGTTGACACTTCCTTGGTTTTAGTCCAGTGAGATCCATTTCAGGTTTCCAAACTACAGAAACTGTGAGATAATAAATGTATGTTGTTTTAAGCCACCAAATTTGTGGTAATTTGTTACAGCAGTAATAATAATTTAAAAAAATGGTGTGCAGAAGATTATATCTGCATTATGAGGAGGCAGGTGCAGACTGTGGTAAAATTTCTATTATTTTTCCTTACTCCTTACTCCATGTTCTGATAATAATGGAAATATAAGTAAATACTCCAAAACCCTTTTCTTATGTTACTCAGAAGTCTGGTATTAAAAATTGTACATTTCTATTTTTATCTGTCAAGATTTTTAACTAGAAATGTCATCATTTCTTAAAGTATTTAAAAAATGGTATATTAGATAGATAGTCAATTTTTCTTCTCTCTGCAGTAAGAGTTTTCACTTAACTGGGATATTTTTATTCTTAGCCAATACTTATAGGAAAGCTGTGGAACAAAGGGTTGTGTTACTCTGAGAGTTTTTTGAGATTAGATTCTTTATAGATTTTTATACGAGGGAAGAAGAGGAACGAGTTTTCCCTCCTGGTATATTGGAATATAAAAAGAAAACATTTAAGGCTGCTCTCTACTTATTGGTTATGAGATAGGTGCTGGTAACTAAGGTTGGTTGTGTTTTTTAACATATGAGATTTATGCCTTTTGCCAAGGGAAATAATTCCAGAACTAAATATGTTTTTCCTGTTGGTTTATCTTTGTATTACTTTTTATATTCCAGGCTTTCTCATGGTCTACTGCCCTCATGTGGATCTGTTTGTGAGAATTAAAAACAACTGCCTAATCAAAAACTTGTTAATAACTTCAGCTGGTCTCCTTTTACAATTAATCTAGTTAGTTTAGCATTTATAAACATACAACATTGAGTTTTGGAATAATTACTTTTCAACACTAAAACTGTGAAACTTATCTGAAAGGACTATTCTATCCTGGACCAATATCCTTCAGAAACTTAAGAAAATAACCAACAAACCTGATCTTAAAGCAGAGGATTTTTTCTTTCACTGAATGAATTTGAAGTGAATACTTTTTGTTGATTAGCTCCCTTTTTCTTAGTTTTTGGATTCAAATAATTAAAGCTATAGTAAATAGAAGTGTCTCTTTTTGTGTGTTCGAACTTCAGAAATAACGCTAAGAAGAATTTAGAATTTAAAATGGTACATACTTAACCTTAAATGAAAATAGAATTATAGGGATTATCAGATTGAACTGACTCACAATGATTTAGATTACATTTACTTAATTTCTTTTGAGAATAATTGTATTTTAATACTTACATTTCCTTTCATGTTGATTCCAGAACTTAGATTACTAATTATCTTAGCTTTCAAGGGAAAAATATTTAAATAAATAATGTATTATTCTGTTTAATTTTATTTTATTGTCAAGAAAAATAATTTAGAATCTACTCACCTTAACTGGGACTTTCCCTTCCTTGTTGTGACTCTGTTTCAGGCTAACAAAAATCAAGCACTTTTCCTGACACAGATGTACTATTATAATTTGTATTTTCAGATTTTGTAAAGTATTTTTCATTATTTCTTAAAAATCTGGTTATACATATAATACATTGTCATTCTAAAAATGTTTGGGGAAATTTTGTGAAGAAGGCAATAGAAATCACCTCTCACTAAACAATCAAAAAATGTTACTATTTTTGGGGATGTTTATTTTTAAGACTTTTATTATACATATATAATGGACATTTTGCAAGAAAATTAGTATCATTTTTCTTATTCCAATATCTTTCACTTGGCCCAAGACATACTTCGGAGAAATATATGGATGGTCAGAGAAGATAGGTAGAAAAACAAAGGATAATAATAAACTTTTGCCATTCAAAATAAGATTTTCCAGAATGTCTTCAAAACCAGTCTTCATTAGAGATAAGGATTTTCCTAAATTTATTTTACTTCACATTTAACCTGTTAAGCAGCAGGGCCTAGAGGGCTGTTTTTGTTGTTGTTGTCATTGTTGTTGAGACGGAGTCTTGCTCTGTCACCCAGGCTGGAATGCAGAGGCATCATCTCCTCTCACTGCAACCTCTGCCTCCCAGGTTCAAGCGATTCTCGTGCTTCAGCCTCCTGAGTAGCTGGGATTACAGGCACCCGCCACTACACCCCACTAATTTTTGTACTTTTAGTAGAGACAGGGTTTCACCATGTTGGCCAGGCTGGTCTCGAACTCCTGACCTCAGGTGATCCACCCGCCTCGGCCTCCCAAAGTGCTGGGATTACAGACGTGAGCCACTGTGCCCAGCTCTTTTTTTTTTTTTTTTTTAAATAACTTAAATAACATACCCTATTTTTCATTAAAGTTTCAGAAGTTAGAGTTGGGAAAAAGTTAGAAATGTGACCAAGAATTGAGGAAACATGACAAGGAAAGGAGAGAAAAAGAAAGAGGACAAAGAGATTGAGGAGGTGTTCAGGATCCAAGCTAATAGTGCCCCTTCACTTTCCTGTCTCCAATCCAAGCCAAAGGGCTAAGCCTCAAAAAGGGGAAAAGGGTTACTTTACAAATATACAGAGTAGCTGAAAAAAGCACTGAAGGCAGACTAGAATTGAACTAAAATGAGGTGGCTATTTAAGGGGACAGAGCTGACGAGTAGGCAGAGAGAAGAAGAGGGAGTCAAATTTGCATGTAAGACTCATGTGGTTATATGGTGCTGTGCTGGCTTGAGTGCCTGGTTGCCAACTGGGGTAGGCCATTGAAAGGATGTGCAGTGCTCATAGCAGAGGCTACAGGTGGGGCAGGTGGTTGGAAAATATGGCAAAGCTTCGAAAATGATTTTAGACAGTTAGAGTTATGTGGAAGTCATGTCAACCAGAAGGGCTACTGAGAATAGACTGAAGGGAAGTAAGGTCATGAGTTGTGTCATCTGTTGACACCCACTTTAAACACTAACAGGGAGAGCCAGGCAGACAAGGAATGTTGCTGTGGAGCACAGAGTAGCCAAAGGTTACTTGGCTGGTACAATGACTGACTTCTGTTCAGCAAAGTTACATGACTTCTTTTGCCTACATTCGTCTGGACATCATCTTAGAAAGAAGCAGGGGTTTAGTGAGAAATAAAAATAAGAGAAGCTGAACAATTATTCCAAAAGACGAATGTTTAGCTTGACTAAAGATCGAGTAAGAGCTAAAGTAAATACAGTTTTCTCTGCTACCGAGGGAGTAGAAATTTGAAAGTGTTAAAGAAAAATTATGGGAGGCCATTGCTTTGGACCGAACTCCTGCACTAGGCTCCAGTAGACAAGACTAAACCAAAAAAGCATCACTCATGTTAAATGCCACATAATCAAACTTTAAGGAAACAGAGAGGTCCCCAAACAGACCAGTTTTTCGTAGAAACAGAAGATTCCAATCTACCTGCATCAGAGTAATAAGGAGGTCACTCTGCTTTAACCCTTACAAAAAAGTAACCTGAAGTAACCTGATGTTCACCAGTTCTTTCTTCCATTGTTCTGTTTCCTTTTTCCCATCTTATATAACTATATATGTAAATACACACAGAGACATATATGTACACACATGCATGCACAAAGGAAATAAAATTTGTATGCTATCATATTTAATATTATAGCATAGCTATTTTCTCCCTTCAATAATTAAGTTTGAAATTATCCATTTAAAAGTATGTATTGTGAAATATAACACACATTTATGAACTAAATTCACACGAAGAAGCCTACTGTGGATTACTTCTTAGTTCCTCAATTCAGTAAGTGTTTACTAACATTAATATTTGCTAATTTTTAAATTTATAAAAATTATTATCTCATTGTTACATAATCTTTATCAACTACATATGCTCCATAAGCAATATGGTATATTTTTTCTTTTAAAAAATTCACATAATGAACTTATACTGTATGTTTTATTTTGTAGCCTACTTTTAAAACAACTCAACATTGTGTTAAGTATTTAATAAATTTTAAACATTGTATCAATGACATTATATGACTAGGCCTTTTTATGTATGTTGTACAATATTATATGACTATATCACAAAATTTTAATTTATTCTATTAGCGACAACATCTGAGGTGTCTTCATTACTTTGCTATCAGAAACCACACTGCTGTAATCATCTTCGTACATAGATATTTTATGATGAAGAGTATGAATTTCTCTAGGGCATATCATACAGATGGAATGAATGTGTTACAGATTACCTATGTTTTCCACTCTATTAGCAATGCCAAACTATTTTCGGAATAGATTAAAACAACAAATTATACTTAGTAGTTTTGGAAAATATTTTTTCAAGTAGATACTTTATGATTTGGGTATCTATTTCTTTAGCTTGGAATTGAGATTTTTTTAAATTTATGATTTATTTAACACCAGTAAAATTAATATCTTCGTGTGCTCTATACACTGTGTCAAAGTTTCTATGTATTTCCTTTTAATCAATTTTTAGATTTGAAATTATGCTGATCAAGTTTGATCATTTTCGTGTCCTTGATAAAATTTTCATGCTTAAATACACTCTTATATGAGATCATCCACATATATCTATTTTCCTTGCCACCTGTGAAACATAGTGCTCTTATTAAGAGTCATTGTACAATAACATCAAAGAACAAATAGACTTGAAAGAATCAAGTACAGTATTTATATTTTTTCTTACCCATATCAGCTATTGACTATAAACAGGGGCGTTTGCCAGTTTTCCAGAATAGTAGGAATGCTTTTTTTACTCAAATTCTTTTCATTAGAATATTGAAATTACCATATACTAGTCTGAGAACTTTTTTTTTAAGTGTCTGTCATTTCTGGTTATGCCTTTTTTGCTTTACAAGAAAAAAGGCCCATGATAAAACTTCTGCAAATCTTGCTCTGATACACAAAAGAGCAAATGCTTCTCTTTTTATGACTAGTGCTAAGCAAAGCAATATATGTAAAATATTTTTAGCTAAATCATCATAGAATTTCTGAGAAAAATTTTAGTACATCTGGAAAAAAAGGAAAGCTCAAATAATTCTAAAAAGGTTATCTGATATGTATCAAATCTGTAATTGTTTTGCATTGATTTTAAACATCATTGGCTATTCTTAAATATATTTCAAATTTTTTTAAATGGCCACAATTATTCTATGGAATTCCTTGAGATTTTATTTCAAATTGTGTTTCTTTTTGGATGCACAGTTATTTTTAAAGGGTTAATCATGCAGAAATGTAAGCTGTGAATCAATAATAACCATGCTGGAAATTAACCTCCAAGGGAAAGGTAAATCTACTGAGATTGTACAAGACAGAACTGCATTAATGCCAGTCAATTTTATTTAGATTGAATCGCCTACAACTAGAGCTGAGTTAACCAGAGCCCGCAATTTCTTTTTTTATTTCTTTCCTTTAGTAGTGGCCTAGGTGATTTGATTTCAATTCACCTGGGGTTTTGAGAAACAAAATCCTCCCCCATAAAAACTGCATGGTGTTTATGACCACCACAGGGATAGTTTAAAAAACAATGAAAAAAGTGGGCTTATGAAAAATAAAGCTGGCTAATTACAGCAAATGGGCTTAATTTAAAAACCACAGGTGCCTCTTTTATAAGGTTTGGTTGTGCTCTTGCCCATAGCATGTTAATATATTATGGGATAAAACTGAAATCTTTGCTGTGGCCAGCTTTAAATGGGGGAACATTTGGTTCAACTCTATTTACAGTTTGGATCGTATATGATGTCATAGAAAATATAAAACCTGCAAAGACATGTTTCTGCCTTGAGGTATATAATATCTAGTTCATTATTTATGAAATTCAAGTAAAATAATATCAATTAATGCCGTGTCAAAGAGCTCATTTGCTACATATTTTGTCTTAAGTAGAAGTACAAAAGGGTTTATTCAATAGTTTATACTATTTTACTTTTAGAAATCTGTGATATGAGAAGCATTAAAATGTAGTTAGTGAAAATAATTTTTGCTAAAATAATTTTGGTTATGGTGGATTTCTATAAGCTTATAATGCCTGACTTTTGATACATGTATTTTTCTGATAGATGTCTCCTAGATGTGACAGGCTTTCAAATCTCCTTACTCTAGGCACTGAAAGTTTAGGTTAGTTCCTTGGGGTTCTTGTGTTTCTAAATCAAGCAAGTATCTAATCTTTTTCTTGTCCTTGAGTAGTTAGAAGTTGCACCATAATCAGAGATTTAGAACAGAATTACTTAATGAGAATCAGGGAGGAAGCCAATGAACCCCAAAGATTACCATCTTGAAATTAACCCAAGGCAGTAAAGAGAACAACAAGTCATACAGACTCAGTTTCTAATTGCTTTGCGAAACAAACATATTATAAATACTTCACCTAAAATTCACTAAATAATATCATGTTAGATACTTTATTGAATGTATGCATAGATTCATAGATTTCAAATAAGCTAAGAAATCTCACATGGTTACAGGTATGTATCTATTCATTTTTTATTTTTATAAGAGAAAAATCTATTCAAGCTATTTTGGTTTAATTAACTTTTGTATTAATTTTATGGTTATATTTGGAAAGCATATGTTATGTCACAGAATGAAACCCTCATGTCCTTAATCTGTAAAATTAAGATACTACATCCTCCTTGGAGGTTTGAATAATGATGTTCCCTCCAAAATTCATGTTGAAACTTCATCTTCATTGTACTAGTTTTAAGACGTGAGGCCTTTTGGGGAATTGATTAAGTCACAAGGGCTCCAAAATCATGAATAGATTAGTGCCTTATAAAAAGGTTAGAGAAAACTAGCCTGGGTCCTTTTTGCCCTTCTGCCATGTGAGGACACAATGTTCACCCTCTCTGCCATGTTGAGGACATGGCCAAAAGCCCCTTACCAGACACCAAATGCTGACAGCTTGAACTTGGACTTTCCAGACTTCAGATCTGTGAGAGGTAAGTTTCTGTTCTTTAAAAATTACCTAGTTTTGAGTATTTTTAAATAGCAGCTATACATAGAACTAGACATAGAGTTCCTAGTGAAATTGCAGGAACTCAATAAATGGTACAATTATGTTGTTGTGTTTACAGTAATATATTCATTTCTGACATTTCTTATCTGAAAAATCTCCCTGTTTTAAAATAATATTTTCATTATCAACTGTTACTAATTACATTTGATCTGGGACTCATTCTCATACACAGGTCAAATATGTACACATATTACTAGCAACTAGTATTGATCACGTTTTGCTGATATTTTAAGAAAACTTCTGCATAACTTTCTTTACATCTAAATACATTTCCATTTTCACCATTATATTATGTTTTGAAAAGAACAATCCTATTAAACATTAATAAAAAAATTTCCTACCATCATATGACTCAATATCTTAATAACAGCCTATAGAGCTTATTTTGCATCTAATACATTACAAATGGTATGTTATGTTATGCATATTAAACATATTTCTAGCCCTTACAACACACATATTATGATCACTTGGATACGATGTGGAGAGAGTTGAAAAGATTATGTAATTTACCTACAGTGGCTAAAACATGAACTGATACAGGTTTGTCTGACTCTTACTTTCCCAATTTTTCTAGAAACAGTCATCTTTTATTGAGGTTGACTCAACCAACCAGCTGATGCTAAGCCTAGAGCTAGGTTGCCTAGATTTGGAAAGTTTATTTAAGTAGGAATTCCTTTTCTTTGGATAGTGCTGACAACAGTAAAGCTTAAATGCTTTGCTCAGTAACAACACATTTTTAGCCATATCTATATAAGATACACTGATATTACTTTATTCTCCTTTAAAGAGTAAGTCCGTGGAATATTGAACTTCCTAAACACTAACTATAGCAAATACTTCAATATACATAATTGAGATGACATTTGATATTTAATTGACTGTTGCATTATAAAACTTTAGAAATTAAAGGGTCACCATAAATTAGTCCACTTAATATTGAGGTCCATAGGATTTGCAAAGACCTACAACTGGAACACAGGTCGTTGTCAACTAAATGATATTCATGTAGAAAATTGAGGTAAAATGTCTTAATGCACTAAAATTTAGGCTGAATGTAAGGTTCATTTGTTCATTCAGTAATTATTAAGTGTCTTCCATACATCAGATGTTGTTTTAGGTACTGGGAACTTGATGGTGAATGAAATAGATAAGATGAATCACAGATAAGGTTCCTGCTCTCATGGGGCTTATTGCCTAGTGGAAGATAAAACAACTCACAAGCCAGGGAACAAATAAATTAAAACATTTCAGATTTTGATAAATGCAATGATGAGCCTAGCATGGAGACTGAGAAATGTGTGTGTTTGCACATGTGTGTGCCCATCTGCTTGTATATATGAAGGTGTATGTGGAATACTTCAGGGAAGAAACTCTGAGGCCGTGATATGTATGCTGAGATATTTGCCATTCATACTACAATAACAAGCCCACCATGGAAAATCTAGCAGTGTGTTTCAGAAAAAAAAAAGGCCCTGAGATCAAAACAAAAACAAACAAACAAAAAAACCTTGGAATGGTGAGGAAATAGAATTAAGGCCAATATGATTAAAAGTAGTTAATAAGGCATTTAAACATTTGTGCATATAAGTGGCCTAAGTGTAGTGGTGAGTGATGTGATATGCTTTACATGTTTCAAGGATCAGTTGGACTGCTACATAAAGAAAGGAGAAAAAGGTCTTTTTATTAAGGAATTAATGTTTATAACCCATTCAATCGTTTATTCAACACTGAGTTCCTACTTTGTGCCAATCACTCTTCTAGGCACTGAGGTAATAGCAGCGAATACAACAAAGTCCTGAATCTCACAGCCCTTACAGCAAAGAGAGGGTAGGCACACAAAAATAAACAAAAACAAAAATTAGATGGTGGTAAGTACTTCAGTCCAAGCATACACCATGGTAATCAAATAGGAAGTGAAGTTGTATTGGTGTGTCTTGCTAATTTATACAAGTGATTGAGGAAGATTTCTCTGATTAATTTACATCTGAACGCAGACTACAAGACAGTAAGGGGATTTGTAATGTGGATATTTATGAGAAGAACATTTCAGGCAGAGAGCCACGTCAAGTACAAATTCAGTGAGGTAGGGGGAATTTTTATGTATTTTGTCCTTCATTTTGTCAAGAAATGCAAAAGAAAGGTCAGAATTTTGGCCTTTTATTCCTGGCATGTCTCTTGATTTTTGAAAAATATATTGCAAAATCTTTAGTCACTGTATATTACAAAGTCTAGCAGACTTTGAGAAAGACACTACTATTTAGAAAGCAAAAGAATGAGAAGCCTGTAGCAGTGGTTCTCAGGTCCTGCTGAATGAATATTATGCTACACCTCGGCCTTGGAGATAGAAAATGTTTCCCTCTTAGGGCCACAGTTTTGGCTCAGGTGCAGCTCTCTATTGTTTTCCATGGCCCTTGATTCCACCTTCCAAGAATTCATTCCTCTTCTATTATTCTTTTTGGCTTCATCAGAAAGAGGACACTAACGAGTATACTCTCTTTAAAGTCCAAATCACACCCTGCTCATAAATATTTGGGGCCTCAAAATTCTCCTTCAAAGATTGATTATTTGTCCATAATTCAGTTTTACCATATTGGGTGATAAGTAACACTGTTGTTTTATTATTAATGCATCAATTTGTGATGAATTTGATTGTCTATTTGTTTTTATTATAAACAAAAATACTGTTTTTTCCATGAACATTTGAGATTAGCCAAGGTTACTAGGCATAGTAGATGCAAAGAATAGGACACATTTCATGTCCCAAAGAAATTTATCAGAGGAGATTCAGAAGAACATCAATACTTACAGCAGTGAATAATAAATACTGTAAAAGTGGTCATGTTCAGTGTGCTCTGGGAGCAGGGAGGAGGACCTATCTAGCACTGTAGATCAGAGATAGGTTCCCACATTTGGTAATTGGTTTTCTAAGCCCAAAGCATAAAAAGTAATTAGCCAGAGAAAGAGAGATGTTTCAGCAGAGAATGTGTAAAAACAGAGAGTCCTGAGGAAGTGACATTCAATCATAAAATACAGAGGATGTTTTTTTGGCTGGAAAATAAACTTTCTATTGGGAAGTGTATAGGCAGGTTTCTCTAGTGGGACAGAGCTAATAGGATAGATATATATATGAAGGGAAGTTTATTAAGGAGTATTGACTCACACAATCACAAGGTGAAGTCCCACAATAGACCATCTACAAACTGAGGAGCAAGGAAGCCAGTACGAGTCCCAAAACCTCAAAAGTAGGGAAGCCGAAAGTGCAGCCTTCAGTCTATAGCTGAAGGCCTGAGAGCCCCTGGTTAAATCACTGGTGTAAGTCCAAGAGTCCAAAAGCTGAAGAAGTTGGAGTTCAATGTTTGAATGCAAGAAGCATCCAGCATGGGAGAAAGAAGAAGTCCAGAAGACTCAGCCAGTCTGTTCTTCCCAAATTCTTCTGCGTGCTTTATTCTAGCCTCACTGGCAGCTGCTAAATGGTGCCCACTCAGACTGAGGGTGGGTCTGCCTCTCTCAGTCCACTAACTCAAATGTTAATCTCCTTTGGCAACACCCTCATAGACGCACCTGGGATCAGTACTTTGCATCCTTCAATCTGATCAAGTTGACACTCAATATTAACCATCACAAGTCCACACCTTTTCAGATTGAACCCATACACATCTCCTGAATCATACGTAATCTTCAAATAAAGACAATAATAAGGTGATAATTACTCCAAACACAGTACAGGTATCCTTCATATAACAGGATGTGCACTAATCCTTAACCTAAATGCTATTACATAAAGTTAACAACACTTGAATGCAGTTATAAAGTCAATAAATCTTATGTCACATGATAAAGGAAAAGGAAAGGAAGTAAAATGAAAATATTTTCTTAATACAAGTGTATACATGCACAAACACGTTCTTAACAAAATAAGGAGAAATACTCATAACAATTACAGTCCTCGTTTCTACAACTAGTCACGTGGTCATAGCTGGTATTGATGACTACCTTCTTCTACTACCCATTCTGTATTCTCTTTACCTTCAGCAAGCACCTCTAGTAGTGGTTTTTTACCTGGTAGAGTGACTCTGAAGGGTCTCCATCATTTATAGTCTTGACTGGATTGGGTCGTTGTAGCTTCCCATTGACCTTAATCACAGAGCATGGTAATACTAAGAGATGCCCTAAGGGATCTCCTGTATTCCATGCATACTCTTCCTTACCGCCACTGTGGAGTAGTAGACTAATTTACTTGTGATAGTCCTGGTCAGTACCCCAGCCAACACTGTAACTCCCTTCTTAGCCTGTTGAATTAGAGGTAGGAGCCCAAAGTAACCAGGTGTCAATGTTAACTTCCAGTTTAATGGAAACATTGTTGTGTCTCCTGGTGGCAGCATTCCTCCCTTTGGCTAAGACCTCTAGGCCAGCAGAATGTAGTGTCATGGAAACAAAAAGCAAAAATGTTGCTAGTGAGTCAATAGGGGTGATGGTGAGTCCAGGCTCACCATCAAGCTCACCAAACAGGTCCAGGCTGCAGCTTGCACAGCAGCTTGGACCTGTTTGCATCCTTGCCATTTCCACTTCCACTCCTTGATTCCTGGACCCACGAATCCTGGCTATGGGAGAAAGAGTACTATGTATTGGATGCTAATGCAGAGCATACACAGCCTTCTGGAGAATTTTGCCCCAGTCCTGCAAAATATTGTCACCTAGTTGATGTTGTAATTGTGACTTCAGAAGGCCTTCCAATCAGTTCTATCAATCCAGCTGCTTCAGGATGATGGGGAACATGGTAAGACCAGTTAATTCCATAAACATGAGCCCATTGTTGCACTTCTTAAGTAGTAAAGTAAGTGCCTTGGTCAGAGGCAATGCTGTGTGGAATACCATGATGGTGGATAAGGCATTCCATGAGTCCATGGATGGTAGTCTTTGCAGAAGTATTGCATGCAGGATAGGCAAACCCATATCTGCAGTAAATGTTCATTCCAGTGAGGGCAAACCTCTGCCCTTTCCATGATGGAAGAGGTCCAATATAATCAACCTGCCACCAAGTAGCTGGCTGATCACCCTGGGGAATGGTGCCATATTGACAGCTCAGTGTTGGTACCTACTACTGGAAAATTGGGCACTCAGCAGTGGCTGTAGCCAGGTCTGCCTTGCTGAGTGGAAATCCATGTTGCTGAGCCCATAAATAACCTCTATCCAAGCCACCACGTCCACTTTGTTCATGGACCCACTGGGTGATGATGGGGTGGCTGGGGAAAGAGACTGAGTTGTGTCCACAGAATGAGTCATCCTATCCACTTGATTATTAAAATCCTCCTCTGTGGAGGTCACCTGTTGATGAACACTCACATGGGATACAAATATCTTCACAGTTTTTGATCACTTAGAGAAGTGCATCCTCTTCCCCAAATTACTTTGTCACCAGTTTTCCAATTATATTTCTTCTAAGTCCCTGACCATCCAGGCAAACCATGGGCTACAGCCCATGAATCAGTACATTATCACAAATCTGGCCATTTCTCCTTCCAAGCAAAGTGCACAACGAGGTGCACTGCTCAAAGTTCTGCCCACGGGGAAGATTTCCCTTCAGCACTGTCCTTCAGGGATGTCTTATAAAGGGGCTGTAGTGCTGCAGCTGTCCACTTTCAGGTGGCGTCTGCATATCATGCAGAACATGTCAACTGATCATAGAGAACTCCCCATCAATACAGGCTGGGGGAGAGAAGGCAGGAGTGGAGACCATGGGCATTTGAGCCACTTCTTCATTTAACTTACTTCTGCCCTCAGGACCTGCTTGAGGCCAATCACACATATACCACTTCCATTTGATGATGGAATGATGCTGTGCATGACACACTTTATGGCTAGATGGGTCAGAAAGCACCCTGTTCATGATAGGCAGTTTAGGTCACATGGGGACTTGAAGACCTATAGTCAAATGTTCAGTTTCTACTAAAAGACAGTAACAGGTCAAGAGCTGCCTCTCTAAAGGAGAATAACTATCTGCAGAAGATGGCAAGGTCTTGCTCCAAAATCCTAAAGCCCTCCACTGTGATTCACCTATGCGAGCCTGCCAAAGGCTCCAAACAGCATCTCTATCTGCCAGTGACATCTCAAGCACCATTGGATCTGCTGGGTCATATGGCCTAAGTGGCATAGCGGCTTGCACAGCAGCCTGGACCTGTTGCAGAGCCTTCCTCTATTCTGGATCCCACTCAAAACTGGCAGCCTTTTAGGTCACTGAATAAATGGGTCAGAGTAACACAACCAAATGAGAAATGTTTTGCCTCCAAAATTCAAAAGGCCCACTAGGTATTGTGCTTCTTTCTTGGTTGTAGGAGGGGCCAAATGCAGCAACTTATACTTCACTTTAGATGGGATAGAAAATATCTCAACTGGCCTCACACCACTGGACCCCTAGAAATTTTGCTGAGATAGGAGGTCCCTGAATTTTAGTCAGATTTATTTCCCACTTCCTGGCACTCAAATATCTCACCAATAAATCCAGTGTGTTTACTACTTCTTGCTCACTGGATCCAATCAGCATAATGTCATCAATGTAATGGATAAGTGTGATATCTTGTGAAAGCAAAAAATGATCAAGATCTCTGCAAACAAGATTATGACACAAAGCCAGAGAGTGGCTTTACCCCTGAGGTAGGACAATGAAGGTATATTTCAGACCTTGCCAGCTGAAGGCAAATTGCTTCTGGTGGGCCTTTTGGACAGGGGTGGATAAAAAGACATTTGCCAAATCAATGGCTGCATACCAGGATATTGTTTATAAGACATCAGGGATGTCTTATTGTTCAAGAAATAAAACCACATCTGTACAGCAGCTGCAATTGGAATTGTCACTTAGTTAAGCTTGAGATAATCTTCTGTCATTCTCCAAGATACAACTGTCTTCTGCACAGGCCAAATAGGTGAGTTTAATGGGGATGTGGTGGGAATCACCACCCTTGTGTCTTACAAATCCTTGATGATGGCACTAATCTCTGCAATCCCTCCAGGGATGGGATATTGTTTTTGATTTAATATTTTTCTCGGTAGAGACAGCTCTAATGGCTTCCATTTGGCCTTTCCCACATGAGAGCCCTCACCCTAATAGTCAGGTGCCAATGTGGGGATTATGGCAGATGCTAGGTATGTCTATATCAATTATGTATTCTGACACTGGGCAAATGACCACAGGTTTAGTTTTGGGACCCAATGGACCCACTGTAAGTCAGACCTGAGCTAAACTCCATTAATTAACTGACTTCCAGGAGCCCCTACTTTAACTAGAGAACCACAATTACGTTTTGGGTTTCCTGGAACCAACATCAGCTCAGATCCAGTGTCCAATAGTCCCCTAAAAATCTAATTATTTCTCTTTCCCCAGTGCACAGTTACTCTGGTAAAAGGCTGGAGGTCTCCTTGGGGAAGAATGAGAGAAAGATTAACAGTATAAATTTTCGGTAGCATAGTAGGGTCCTCCCTCAAGGGGACCCATCTTCTCTTTGCTCAGGCATTCTGGGTCTGTAAACTGGTTCAAGTCTGGAAATTGATTGGGGAGCTGTGAGTCTCTATTTATAATTCAAATAAGTCTTTTGTCCACTCAGCATGGAAGTTTTCTGCTTATACAAATTATGTAAGAATGTAGTAGGCTTTTTATCAATTTCACTTCTAAGAACACCATGATTAATTAACCAACTCCAGAATTCCATGTGAGTCAGATTATTCTGATTGCTGCTTTGCCTCTGCATCCATTACAGTAACTATACCCACCTTTGCTTTGATGGTTGAGTGCTATAACTTGGCTCCAGTCACCCTGGGATCCAATTCTTCCCATTGCATTTACATTTTGTAGTTGAGTGACTGTGGTTCCCACTGTAAGATCTGGCATACAGAGAAGAGCAATCACAGAGTTTTCAAAGCTGCAGGTGTTGCCCTCACAAATCTTTTTCACAAAGTATTGGTGAAGGGTTTGTCTTCTGGCCCCTCCCAGCTGAGATGAGTAGGTCTAAAGTGACTAATCCACTCTAGCATTCAAATTTCCCTAAGCCTTTGAATCCCTTCCTCTATAGTAAACCAAGGAAGAACAGGCGTCTCCAGGTCACTCATAGTGGACCATCTTTTGATCCATTTTTCAGCTAACCAAGCAAATAAACTATTATAACCTTTTTTTTTTAACTCCCTGAGCTGGAATATTAAATGCAGGATCCCTCTTTTGTGGGCCCATATCAATAAATTCAACTTTATGTTCCTTCCACCATTATCCCACACCCTTAATATCCATTCCCATGCCTATTCTCCAGATTTCTTCTTATAGAAATCAGAAAACTCAAGGAGTTCTTTTGGAGTGTGGCACATCTCCTTGTGGGTAACACTCTGAGCATCACCTCTAGGGGCCTCCTGGGACTTAAGTCTAGTCATGGGCCTAGAAGCAAACAGGAGAGTTGGGGTGTTGGGGGATTTCTGAGGAGAATAGGCATTGTCTTTCCTGGTAACTGCCTCAGGGCAGGCCATCACTGTTGCCTCAGGCAGTGCATGGTTAATTTCCTCAGACAAAGGTGGGAAGGCTGATGGCAGCATGGGTGGGAGAGAGGATGTTGCCACCACTGGGGTTGGGGAGGCTGTTTTCTCTGACAGACAGGGCTCATCAGAGTTTACAAGCTCAGTGTCACCAGCTTCATTAGTGTCCTCCCTCATGTCCCCATTCCAAGTTGCAGGGTGCCATTAGTTTGCAATCAAGGCCCTCAATTTAACAGTAGACACTTGGCAAGACTGAGTGTGCACCTTTCATAGCAGGTCAGCCACTCTCATGATAAGAGTTTGTGTCCTATTTTTCACTATTTCAGCCCTTTGCCTACAGGAGATAAGACTCTCACTCAGGGCAATCTTAGAAGATTGAGGCTCAAGTATGTGCTTCTGGAGCTGGGAATTAGATGCTCTTAGCTCATCCTTTTCTTTCATCACTTTGTCCAGTGAACTTAGGAACAACCAGCCAACTTCATTACATTTCTTGGTTCTCCAATATGGTCAAAAGTATGTACAGAGTCACTAAACTCCTTGCCTTTCATGAGTAGTGAATCAGGAATATCAAATGCATTTATTTTGCCTAAATCTCTAAACAGTTTATGCCAAGGACTATGAGTGTTCTCCATACTATTAGAAGTAGAGTCCTTAGCATTTTTGGGTCTAATCGTATTAAGCAGCCAACTCCAGAAACCCCCAAACCAACTAAAGAAATCCATCCTTAAAATTCTCTTCCTCTAAAACCAATCCTGGGACCAAAATCTGTATTAGCCAGGGTTCTCTAGAGGGACAGCACTAACAGGATACATGTATATATAAAGGGGAATTTATTAAGGAGTATTGACTCACAATCACAAGGTGAAGTCTCAAAATAAGCCATCTGCAAGCTGAGGCACAAGGAAGCTAGTTGGACTCTCCAAACCTCAAAAGCAGGGAAGCTGACAGTGTAGCCTTTAGTCTGTTGCTGAAGGCCTCAGAGTTCCTGGCAAATCACTGGTTTAAGCCAAGATTCCCAAGGCTGAACAACTTGGAGTCTGATGTTAGAGGGCAGGAAGCATCCAGTAGGGGAGAAAGATGAAGGCTGGAAGACTCAGCAAGTCTGCTCTTTCCAACACCTTCTGCCTGCTTTATTCTAGCTATGCTGGCAACTGATTCGATGTTGCCCACCCAGATTGAGAGTGGGTCTGCCTCTCTCCATCCATTAACTCAAATGTTAATCTCCTTTGTCAACACCCTCATAGGCATACCCAGAAGCAATACTTTGCATTCTTCAGTCCGATCAAGTTGACACTCAACATTAACCATCACAGGAAGTATGAGGTGAGAAGTTTAGTTGGCATAGGTATGTTAATTAACTTGGATTTTATACTGAAGGAATAGGAGAGACAATGATGGGTTAAAAATCAAGATCAAATTCAGGCATGAATAAAAGGTTGACAGGTGTTGAAACCAGGAAGAAAGTAGCAATATTTTAGGCTGAAGGCAAAGGTAGAAAGCCAAAAACGTTAATGGAACTGAACTTAGGCGATGATTGTGGGATAGTGAAAGTACAGCAGTATAGAGAGAACGAGAATCTAGACTTGAGAGAACTTGATGAAGTGAGAATGAGGGAAAGGATGACTGGAGGAAAATTCTCAACTCTCTTATTGCACAAGAATATCCAAAAAGAACAGATTTTATATACGTAGTGAGACTATCTATATTGAGATTGAATGGTCTAAGGTTTATCCAAATGACCATTAAGTTATCAACTTGGACATGTACGTCCACAGCTCAAAAGAAAAAGCAATCACCTGATCACCTGTATATATCGCTATATATATCTATGTCTATCTATCTATCTATCTATCTATCTATCTATCTATCTATCTATCCATCTATCTATCTATCTAATCTACCTATCTATCATCTGAGTTCAGGTTCTAGTTAAAGGAAAACAAACTGGTAGACATGCAGAAAATGGTAGACAGAGAGGAGAAGAAAGAAAAGTATTTTGAGGAAAGTTGAGGGGGGAAGTATTATTAATGGAGTAAGAATGGTATTGAAGTCTAAGACAAGCCAACCAAGAAAAAGGTCTAGTGAACTTGGCCACTATGACATAAATTATGGGGGAACAATTCTAGGATAACGCATTTAAATAAATGTTTGAGGGTTGTGATGGATGTGTAATGCAAAGAGGTGGAAGTGTTGAACTTGAGGCCAGTATTTATTACACATAATAGTGAAAGAAGGCAGTGCATCAGGTAACTAGTGTTACCAGTTGAGGGTCTCCAGGTTCTTGGCATTTTGAACAAAGAATTGGACAAAATGCACAAAGAAAGCAAGTAAAGAATGAAGTCAATTCTCTATCAGGCTTTAAAGAATATTTTATTATCTAAACTGTTTCCACATCTTTCTTCCCTACTTACTGGTTCGTTACTACATTGTTTCATAAATAATCTTTTCAAATCTATAATTTGAACTAACTTTTAGATAACTTCTGAATTAGACAAAATTATTCTTTTTCTCACTAATAACACAATCCTTTCTGGCACATTGTATATACAGAATTTTGTGTTTACTAGAATTCTTATCCTTAGTAACCTAAAGGTTTACTGAAACCCTAAAAAGCAAGAAATCCTGAACTATCAGATATGAGTATTTATAGATAAGAATAATGCCACTATTTTAGGAACAGATTTCCCCATATCACAACTCTTTCTTAATTGGAAAAGACCCAAATATTCAATAAGCATTAAAAATAATTTTAAGATTTTAATTTACACAAAAAGTTTACTGAAAACATTTATCTCATTCACTGTACTCAATTCTTTCACTTTAACAGTTTATCTAGACTAATTCTGTAAACTGAGATATTAGACACTATCATTTAAAGTTAGTTATTTCCTTGTTAACCCATGTTTTTACTAGCCAGTGAACATCAGGTGCTCACCTAAACCTAAGCAAGATTCTCAAAGTTAAATACATAGGTGTTTTTGCCAATAACTCAGGAGATTTAGCTAATGCTGAATTACTCTCATTTGTTTAAAAAAAAAAAGGCATGTAAAGCAAGATCATTTTGTTTTGGCTGGGTTTATAGTTTTATAACCTTCTTTTTTTATTTTATTATTATACTTTAAGTTTTAGGGTACATGTGCACATTGTGCAGGTTAGTTACATATGTATACATGTGCCACGCTGGCGCACTGCACCCACTAACTCATCATCTAGCATTAGGTATATCTCCCAGTGCTATCCCTCCCCCCTCCCCCCACCCCACAACAATCCCCAGAGTGTGATATTCCCCTTCCTGTGTCCATGTGATCTCATTGTTCAATTCCCACCTATGAGTGAGAATATGCAGTGTTTGGTTTTTCGTTCTTGCGATAGTTTACTGAGAATGATGATTTCCAATTTCATCCATGTCCCTACAAAGGACATGAACTCATCATTTTTTATGGCTGCATAGTATTCCATGGTGTATATGTGCCACATTTTCTTAATCCAGTCTATCATTGTTGGATATTTGGGCTGGTTCCAAGTCTTTGCTATTGTGAATAGTGCCCCTCAATAAACATACGTGTGCATGTGTCTTTATAGCAGCATGATTTATAGTCCTTTGGGTATATACCCAGTAATGGGATGGCTGGGTCAAATGGTATTTCTAGTTCTAGATCCCTGAGGAATCGCCACACTGACTTCCACAATAGTTGAACTAGTTTACAGTCCCACCAACAGTGTAAAAGTGTTCCTATTTCTCCACATCCTCTCCAGCACCTGTTGTTTCCTGACTTTTTAATGATTGCCATTCTAACTGGTGTGAGATGGTATCTCATTGTGGTTTTGATTTGCATTTCTCTGATGGCCAGTGATGATGAGCATTTTTTCATGTGTTTTTTGGCTGCATAAATGTCTTCTTTTGACAAGTGTCTGTTCATGTCCTTTGCCCACTTTTTGATGGGGTTGTTTGTTTTTTTCTTGTAAATTTGTTTGAGTTCATTGTAGATTCTGGATATTAGCCCTTTGTCAGATGAGTGGGTTGCAAAAATTTTCTCCCATTTTGTAGGTTGCCTGTTCACTCTGATGGTAGTTTCTTTTGCTGTGCAGAAGCTCTTTAGTTTAATTAGATCCCATTTGTCAATTTTGGCTTTTGTTGCCACTGCTTTTGGTGTTTTAGACATGAAGTCCTTGCCCATGCCTATGTCCTGAATGGTATTGCCTAGGTTTTCTTCTAGGGTTTTTATGGTTTTGGGTCTAATGTTTAAGTCTTTAATCCATCTTGAATTGATTTTTGTATAAGGTGTAAGGAAGGGATCCAGTTTCAGCTTTCTACATATGGCTAGCCAGTTTTCCCAGCACCATTTATTAAATAGGGAATCCTTTCCCCATTGCTTGTTTTTCTAAGGTTTGTCAAAGATCAGATAGTTGTAGATATGCGGCGTTATTTCTGTGGGCTCTGTTCTGTTCCATTGATCTATATCTCTGTTTTGGTAGCTGTACCATGCTGTTTTGGTTACTGTAGCCTTGTAGTATAGTCTGAAGTCAGGTAGTGTGATGCCTCCAGCTTTGTTCTTTTGGCTTAGGATTGACTTGGTGATGCAGGCTCTTTTTTGGTTCCATATGAACTTTAAAGTAGTTTTTTCCAATTCTGTGAAGAAAGTCATTGGTAGCTTGATGGGGATGGCATTGAATCTGTAAATAACCTTCTATGCCAAACCCCGACACCTGAAAATATCTAGAAGAGACAAATATAGAATCCAGACAAAAATGTATGCTGACAGTTCTGAAGGCATTTCTATTTTTATTTTATGAATAATTTTAAAACCAGCTTGTTTAGTAAAGTTATACTGAATTCATGTGAACTTGAAACTTGCTTGAAAATTGTTGCACGCCCATCAAGGGTCCTGAGTGGGAAAGGAAGAGAGAGAGAGAGAGAGAGAGATTGAGATTCCCATGTATGGAGCAGAAAGAAAAAGGAGAAAAATAAATCTTAAACTTTGTGCTTACCTCTTAGTTGGCTTGCTAAAATATGTTACCAATGGAAGGTGTCCAGATTCTTGGAGTTTTTAACAAAGAATTGGAAAAAACACACAAAGCAAGGAAAGGATGAAGCAACAAAGGCAGAGATTTATTGAAAATGAAAGCACACTCCACTGGGTGGGAGTAGGCCCAAGCAAGTGGCTTAAGGGCCCAGTTACAGAATTTTCTGGGGTTTAAATACCCTCTAGAGTTTTCCATTGGTTACTTGGTGCACGCCCTATGTAAATGAAGTGGCTAAAGTGAAGTTACAAAGTCATTTACTCGGTGTACACTCTAAGTAAATGAAGAGGCTATTTCCTGTCATAGCTGAAGTGTTTCAGCTTGATTTAGTTCTAGGAAGTCCTTAGGTTCCCTGCCTCCAGGCCCTATTCTCCTTCCTCACTAGGATTGTCTATTAATGTCTGAAGGGACTTGAATAGCAGGTATTGGGAGGTGGCAGGGTTTTGATTAGGAAGATAATGAATTGAGAAGTGATGCTTGTTTGGACAAGGCCCTAAGAACATGGCATAAATTAAATGTGGGAGTAATTGGAATTAAGAGCTAAAAGATTATTCATCTTTAAACAGGAAGTAGAGATATTTATGAAAATATATTTAGGGCTTATTCCTGAGCTTTCAGTGGTAAAGTTAATTTTATAGTTTTCAGTTTGTCTAAGTTTGTTTGCTTTTCATTTTTTATGAAAATATTTGCACTGTTGAACTAAACAGTAATCTAAATTATCTGAAAAAATTCACAATCAGAAGTAGTAGAAACAAACAAGTATTGATCAAATTTATTAAATCAATTATACTGTCTCAGAATAAAACTGAAAAATAACTACTTTGGGGAATTACACTGTGACCTCATAGAGCACAGTATAATTTTCACTTTTAGTCCATGATCCTGCATTTTATATATTGTCAGACCGATCTCTTTGAGGGTAAAACTTTTCAGTTATGATTTATAAAAAGTAATAATTTGATCTTTAATTCATCTATAAATATGAAGCAACAAGTGACACTTCAGCAAAAAAAATAGAAATTTTACTTTTGCCCTATGTTAATATATACACTCAGCAAATAAGTTATGCGTTGAGTTTTGAAATGATTAGTCTCAGAAGCAGCGTAGAAAGCAATAACAGCAGCATTAGTAGGGACAGGGTATGCTACTCACGTATTGACTCACTACAACGATCATAGCCAGTTGTAAATAGACAAAATAAAAATCAGCCATAAGCTATTATAAAAATGTCACAATATTTTAAAAATACTTTTGGGTGAATAGAAAATCTGTAATCTGTAAACCAAAAAGTATCTGAGATAAGTCACAATTAATTTAGAAACTTTATTTTGCCAAGGTTAAGGATGCGCCATTGGCACAGTCTCAGGAGGTCCTGACGACCTATGCCCAAGGAGGTCGAGGGCTACGACTTGCTTTTACACTATTTAGGGAGACATAAAAATCAATAAAAGTAAGATTTGCATTGGTTCAATCCGAAAAGGCAGAACAACTCAAAGCAGTGGTGCAGAGGTGGGGCAGCCAAGTCATAGGTAGATTTAAACATATTCTAATTGTCACTTGGTTCAAAGAGTTATTATCTATAGAAAGAAATGTCTGGGTTACAATAAGGGGTTGTGGGGGCCTAGATGTTGTCATGCAGATGAAGCCTCCAAGTAGCAGGCTTTAGAGATAATAGGTTATAAATGTTTCTTATCAGACTTAAGGACTGTGTTGATGTTAATGCTGGAGGGATAAAATGAGGCATGTTCAACCCTCACTTCACTTCATGGCATGAACCAGTCTTTCAGGTTAAATTTTAGGGTGCCCTGGCGGAGGAGCAGGCTCATTCAAATGACAGCCTGGTGAGTGGGATTTGAATTTTATTTTTGGTTTCCAAATCTATAGATTTGGACTTCTTCACACTTAAAGATACATGGCTGTGTTAAGACAAAGAGTTAGAGAGGAAGGTTGGAGGGAAGAAGGAAGAAATGCCTGGGCTGTGCAATTTAGACTCTGGATCCAGGAGGGACAGGGTTCTATCACTGTTCACAGCTCCTAAGACTAAGACTCCAGACAATTTATCTGGCTTATTCCTCCCTTAAACTTCCCAGTGAAACACCAGTGCTTTTTTATGGCCATAGCACTAGTCTCCTGAAACAGCTAACTGTATAAGTTACGTGTCCTATTACCTCATAATGTCAAAAAAATCCTGTACCAGAAGAAAAGAAGTTAAAAGTCTTGTGTTGTAAATTAGAATTACCAAGCTTAAAATGCAAATATGCCCTGGAAAGACAGCACTTAAACACCCATTAGTATAAGATTTGCTTTTGTTTTGAAGCTTAAGGTAAATGGAAATGGGGAACAAGCATATATTAGGTTCATGAAATTAAGAATGATGACATAAAGCCAGAGTTGAGCTTCACATAAGACAAGATTCACACTCAGTTGTACCTGGGTCCCCACTGAAATTCAGAAGGTCAACAGAGAGCCAAATGTGAAAGTATTTTGCCTTATAGAAGCAAAATAAGCTGGTCTTCATTCGATTTAAGATTTGTAAAATTTTTTGCTTGCTGTTAACAAGTCTCATTTCATATTAAAGACCTTTATATGCCATACATTGGTCAATGTATAAAAGAAGTTGTTATAAAGACCTCCTAAAACCATACTTTGTTTTGCATATCTGATGAAGTGAAAGTAGCCATAAATATCTTGGTAATTTCGTCCCTCTGTCGTTGTAATAGGCCTTTTTTAAGTTTGCTAATCTTTCACACATTGAATTTAATAATAGTTATTTGCAAGTGAAGAACATACTATCCCAAATGACCACAACTGAAATGCAAATATAATTTCTTAATATATAAGAGCAGATGCTTTAGTGTTAGAAAAGGCTATAAGGCTGTCTCTTAATCCCTTTTACTCTTCTTACTACTTGTAAAACTTGGGGTAACTTATGAATGGTTAAGCCTTAGTTTTCATATACATTAAATAGCACTTCATGGAATTTTAATGAATATTAAATAATGTTGCAGAATTTTGCTCCTTAGTTCAGTTAAAACTAGGAGCTTGTCACACGACCAGGAAAATTTAGGCATGGGGACACATTGAAGGGTGAGTACAGCAGGATTTTATTGGGTGAAAAGGGAAAAAAAGGAAAATAAAACTCAGCAAAGTGAAATGCAGTCCTGCTAACAGGCCCTCCACCTCACAGATTGACTCCCAGGTCACCACAAAAGCTGAAGAGAATAGATGCCTCCCTTGCATAAGGCAGGAATTCCCCATGGTTCCACCCACTTCCCATAGTGCACAGGTGGGGCTCCAGTCTGCTGTGGGCATGCCCAGACAAGCCCTGGGCAGGTTCCCTCAGCTGCTCAAAAGCATCTGATGTAAACACTTGTAGGGCGGGCTGGAGATTCTCTGGGGACCTCTTTTTATCTGCCTAGGCATTTGGCTGTCTCAGTATAATGCATTGTAATGAGAGGTGAAGCTGGCTGGGCTTCTGGGTCGGGTGGGGACTTGGAGAACTTTTATGTCTAGCTAAAGGATTGTAAACACACCAATCAGCGCTATGTGTCTAGCTAAAGGTTTGTAAATGCACCAATCAGCACTCTGTAAAAACGCACCAATCAGAACTCTGTGTCTAGCTAAAGGTTTGAAAACGCACCAATCAGCACTCTGTAAAAACGGACCAATCAGCACTCTGTAAAATGGACCAATCAGCTCTCTGTAAAATGGACCAATCAGCAGGATGTGGGTGGGGCCAAACAAGGGAATAAAAGCTGGCCACCGGAGCCAGTAGAAGCAACCCGCTTGGGTCCCATTCTGTGCTGTGGTAGCTTTGTTCTTTTGCTTTTCACAGTAAATCTTGCTGCTGCTCACTCTTTGGGTCTGCACAACCTTTATGAGCTATAACATTCACCCCAAGGGTCTGCGGCTTCATTCCTGAAGTCAGGGAGACCATGAACCCACCAGGAGGAACAAGCAACTCTGGACGTGACAACTTTAAGAGCTGTAACAACTCACTGCAAAGGTCTGCGGCTTCACTCTTGAAGTCAGTGAGACCATCAACCCACCGGAAGGAAGAAACTCTGGACACATCTGAATGTCTGAAGGAACAAACTTCAGACACACCATCTTTAAGAACTGTAACACTCACTGTGAGGGTCTGAGGCTTCATTCTTGAAGTCAGCAAGACCAGGAACCCACCGGAAGGAACCAATTCCGGACACAGTAATGCATAGTAAATGCTTAGGAAATGTTAGTGAAGAAGAATCTTGACAATGATAAAGCAGTGGGTTGCTTGCCTTTTAATAATAGAGTAGCATTTGTTGCCTATTACAGTCATTTGGAAAATGACAGTTTTCTTGGACTTAAAATAATTTTGAAAGAATAACTACAGAGACAGAATTTTTTTTTACAGTATGTGTGCAGAATATGTATGTTTTGTATGTGGCACAGATTTATTAGCAGAAAATGCTATTTCTACTAGGTTTGAGACCGTGTTTTAACTAAGCCATTACCTTAAAAGGTAAAGATTTTAAAAGGTAAAGTTTTACCCTAAAACTCTATTTTTTACAAGCTATTTTATTTTCTAGGAAATAGTGGTAGATTATTGGAAAGAGTTCACAGAAGTGGGCTTCTGGAAATGGATGAGGTTAGTGACAAGAACCCTTGAGAATTTTAAGTACACAACATTTGCACCAATGAGCTGGAATGGTGGGAGCCAAGGTTAGACATGCATAACCTGCATGGAGTGTAAGGTCAGCACTAAGCCTTTATCTATGTCCAGTAAACTGATACTACTACTACTTAGATGGAGGAAGTGACAAGGCTTCAAGCAATTATTGATGCCTACTTTCATAAAATCTACCTGCTCGGATAGGAAAAGCAGACCTATATTATTTCAGAGAAATGAAAGCCTATTGTTTTGCAATACCACTAGAGAATGTGTACAATTTATAATAAACATTGTTGCAAGGAATTTATACTTCCAATATAACCAATGTGTTTCATAATCATTTAATATTTATTGTCTACTAGTTTCTATGCGTTTTGTATCACAATTTTATTAAATCCTCACAGCATCTCTGCAAGGGCAAATTTCTTAGACTCATTTTGGTGATGAAAGCTTTGAAGCTCAGACAGTTTAATAGTGTTGGCTAAGGATGCACAACTGGAGGATGGCAAAGCATAATTCCATTTTTAATGAGTTACTATGGTTGTATATTCTTTCTCTATTCACCCTGACAGTAGGTAACTGATTGTATAACACCACTTAATTAATCTTATATGAGCTATAGTCTCAGTCATTTTTCTTTTCTATCAAGGAGAATGCTTGCAATGCAAATAAATAAATGTGTATTTTTTTGTTTAATAAGGAAGTTACAATGGACTCATTCTCTGTGGGGCATCTAATTTGAATTTTATTTTTTTACTTGGGATTATGTGTATTGATGAGACACTTCATAGTTCAGGACCAAAAGTGTAACCACTCATTATAGTTGTTAAGAATATAGTTTTGGAATTCAGCAGGCTTGAAATCTTGTATCATCTGCATTGCTTTCTAGGTAAATTATATACTAAGTAAATTTTGCTAAGTTCTGAATCTCCCTAAACCACACTTTTCTCGCACGCAAAAGGAGATATAATACGCTTGTAATCTTAGCACTTTGGGAGACCCAGCGGGTAGATCACCTGAGATCAGGAGTTCAAGATCAGCCTGGCCAACATGGTGAAACCCCGTCTCTGCTAAAAATACAAAAAATTAGCCAGGCGTGGTGGCAAGCACGTGTAATCCAGCTAGTCAGGAGGCTGAGGCGGAAGAATCGTTTGAACCCGGCAGGCTGAGGTTGCAGTGAGCGGAGATTGCACCATTGCACTCCAGCCTGGGCAACAAGAGTGAAACTCCGTCTCAAAAAAAAAAAAAGGAAAAAAAAAGTTTTGCTAGAGGAAACATTAGTGAAGCAAAAGGCAAGCATTTAACAAATGATACCATACTTTTTTTTATTTTTAACAAATTGTTTGAAAGTGTTGTCGATTTGCTTAAAGGCCAAGTTATATTTGTTTTTTCTCTTATATTAATATATCCCATTTTCTTAAAAGAAAATATATTCCATTTTTCCAAACTTGCCCAAGTGCCAAAATCTAATAGCCAGTGAAGTATAGTATTTGTTTTAACCAGGCATTGACCATTTTTTTTCTGTAGGGTTCATGTAAGTAAATATTTTAGGGTTGGTTGGCTAAGCAGTCAGATGCAACTACTTATCACTGCCTTTATAGCCTATAAGTAGCCAAAGATAATATGTAAATAAAACGTGTTGCTGTTTTAGAAGAAAACTTTATTTTCTTTTTTTTTAACTTTTATATTAGGTTTGGAGGTTCATGTGCAGGTTTGTTACATAGGTAAACACGTGCCATGGGGGTTCGTGGTACATGATATTTCATCATCCAAGTATTAAGTCTAGTACCCAATATTTATCTTCTCTGCTCTTCTCCCTTCTCCCACTCTCCCCCTTCAAGTAGATCCTAGTGTCTGTTGTTTCCTTCTTTGTGTTCATAAATTCTTATGATTTAGCTCCCACTTATAAGTGAGAACATGCTGTATTTGATTTTCTGTTCTTACATTAGTTTGCTAAGGATAATAGCCTCCAGCTCCACCTGTTTTCCCACTTAAGACATGATCTCATTATTTTTCATGGCTGCATAGTATTCTATGGTATATATGTACCACATTTTATTTATCCAATGTGTCATTGATGGGCATTTATGTTGATTCCATATCTTGGCTATTGTGAATAGTGTTGCAATGAACATTTGTGTGCAAGTGTCTTTTGGCAGAATGATTCATCTTCTTCTGGATATATACCCAGTAATGGGATTGTTGAGTTGATTGGTTGTTCTGCTTTTAGCTCTTTGAGGAATTGCCATACTGCTTCTCACAATAGTTGAACTAATTTACACTCCCACCAACAGTATATAAGTGTTTCTTTTTCTCCACAACCTCACCAGCATCTCTTATTTTTTGACTTTTTAGTAATAGCCATTGTGGTTGATGTGAGATGGTACCTCATAATGGTTTTGATTTATAATTCTCTAATGATCACTGGTATTGAGTTTTTTTTTTATGTGCTTGTTGGCTGAAAGTATGTCTTTTTATGAGAAGTGTCTGTTCATGTCATTTGCCCACTTTTTAATGTAGTTATTTTTCTCTTGTAAAACTAAGTTACTTATAGATGCTGGATATTAGATCTTTGTTGAATGCATAGTTTGCAAATATTTTCTCTCATTCTAGAGGATGCCTGTTTACTCTGTTGATACTTTCTTTTGCAGTGCAGAAGCTCTTAAGTTTAATTATATCCCATTTGTCAATTTTTGCTTTTGTTGCAATTGTTTTTCATGTTTTTGTCATGAAATCTTTGCCCAGTCTTATGTCCAGGATGGTATTTCCTAGGTTGTCTTCCAGGGATTTTATAGTTTTGGGTTTTGCATTTAAGTCTTTAATCCATCTTGAGTTGATTTTTGTGTATGTTGTAAGGAAGGGGTCTAAGTTCAGTCTTCTGCATATGGCTTGTGA
This sequence comes from Homo sapiens, assembly GCF_000001405.40. Taxonomy (NCBI): domain Eukaryota; kingdom Metazoa; phylum Chordata; class Mammalia; order Primates; family Hominidae; genus Homo; species Homo sapiens. The sequence continues at coordinate 62,435,957 of NC_000004.12, forward strand.
GTTATCCCAGCACCATTTATTGAACAGGGAGTCTTTTCCCTATTGTTTGCTTTTGTCAGCATTGATCAAGATCAGATGGTCATAGATGTTTGGGCTTATTTCTGGGTTCTCTATTCTGTTCCATTTGTCTATGCACCTATTTTTGTACCAGTACCATGCTGTTTTCGTTTCTGTAGCCTTGTAGCATAGTTTGAAGTCAGGTAATGTGACGTCTCCAGCTTTGTTCTGTTTGTTTATGATTGCTGTGGCCATTCTGTATCTTTTTGGTTCTATACAAATTTTAGATAGTTTTTTCTAGTTCAGTGAAGAATGTAATTAGTAGTTTCATAGGAATAGCATTAAGTCTGTAAATTTCTTTGGGTAGTGTAGCCATTTTAATGATATTGATCCTTCCTATTTATGAGCAGGGGATGTATTTCCATTTGTTTGTGTCTTCTCTGATTGGAGCAGTGTTTTGTAATTCTCTTTGTAGAGATCTTTTGTAGAGATCTTTTACCTCCCTGGCTAGCTGTATTCCTCAAAATTTTATTCTTTTAGTGGAAATTGTGAATGGGATTGCCTTTCTGATTTGGCTCTCAGTTTGGCTGTTGTTGGTATATAAGAATGCCAGTGATTTTTGTACATTGATTTTGTATCCTGCCACTTTACTGAAGGTGTTTATCAGCTGGAGGAGCTTTTGGGCTGAGACTATGGGGTGTTCTAGATATAAAATTATGTCATTTGCAAACAAAGATAGATAGTTTGACTTTCTTCCTATTTGGATGCACTTTCTTTTTTTCTCTTGCCTGATTGCTGTGTCTAGGACTTCCAATACTATGTTGAATAGAAGTGGTGAGAAATGGCATTCTACTTTATTTTCAAAAACAGATTGTAAGTGAATTTGGCCTGTGGGTCACAGCTGGTTCATTCCTGAATAAATTATTGATAAGTGGTCATTGATTATCTGCTGTTATTCAACATATCAGTAGAACCACTTTATATCTATGAACAACTAAATATCTAAAAATGCAACACATATTAACTAATGTGTTTGTTTTAAGAAAATTGCTTATTTTATTGGCACTGTCACATGCATTGGTGTCTCTGCCTATCTCTTTTTCTCAATCTTATTTCTGGATTCTGAATAAAGAAAGAAATAAGCTGCAAAAACTTAAAAATATGTAATATGTAGGTTAGCTGGCTTTCAAAATGTTTTGTTAGACCCAAAATAGTAATGCCTTTTGCAGCACGACCTAGTATTAACTTACATACACGCACATATATGCACATGCATGTGTGTTAAACTCTGATCTATTCTATTTCATTTCATGCCATTGCATTATATTCTTTTCCCAGCAAAGGTAACATAAAACTAGGCTCACTAAAATAATTTCATGATATACTATTGCATTATAAACTATAGTTTAGGAAATTAAGATGAGGCATAAGGATCCAGAAACTCACGGGATAGATCTTTAGTGGATTCCTATCCCACAGACATCTTTTCCCATAATGTTGCGATACAATTGCCAGTTTCCTGTACCTGCTGCACAGCAATAGACCAATACACTGAGAAAACAAAGTTTGCAGAAGAGAAAGAGTTTAATAATAGGCCACTAAGTGAACAGAATCCTCAAGCCCTAGGGTTTTTAAGGGGATTATGGAGGGTGAGGGCCTGGAAAATTGGGGTCATTGATTGGTTGGGACAAAGGAGATGAAATCATTAGGATGTGAAAACTGCACTTCTTGCCACATAGCAAGAAGGAATGAAGAAGCACAAGTGGAAACTCCTGATAAATCCATCAGATCTTGTGAGACTTATCCACTAACATGAGAATAGCATGAGAAAGACTGGCCCTCATGATTAGACAACCTCCCCTAGAGACCCTCTCACAACATGTGGGAATTCTGGGAGATACAATTCAAGATGACATTTGGGTGGTGACACAGCCAAACCATATCATTCTGCCCCTGCCCGCCCCCGCAAATCTCATGTCCTCACATTTCAAAACCAATCATGCCTTTCCAAAAGTCCCACAAAGTCTTAACTCTTTTCAGCATTAACCCAAACGTCTACAGTCCGAAGTCTCACCTGAGAAAAGTCAAGTCCCTTCCACATATAAGCCTGTAAAATCGAAAGCAAGCTAGTTACTTCCTAGATGCAATGGGCATACAGGTATTGGGTAAATCTAGCTATTCCAAATGGGAGAAATTGGCCAAAACAAATGGGTTATAGGGTCCATGCAAGCCCGAAATCCAGCAGGGCAGTCAAATTTTAAAGCTCCGAAATGATCTCCTTTGACTCTAGGTCTCATATTCAGGTCACGCTGATGCAAATGGTGGGTTCCCATGGTCTTGGGCAGCTCTGCCCCTGGGCTTTGCAGGGACAGTCTCCCTCCTGGCTGATTTCACAGTCTGGCATTGAGTGTCTGCAGCTTCTCAGGAGGCCAAGGCAGGGGAATTGCTTGAACCCCTGGGAGATTGTGGTGAATGGAGATTATGCCACTGAGCTCTAGCCTGGGTGACGGAGTGAGACTCTGTTTCCAAAAAAGGAAAAAAAAAATTAGACTCCTTGCTACTTATGCAAATTTTTGCAGCCAGCTTGAATTTCCTCTTAAAAATGGATTTTTCTTTTCTATTGCATTGTCAGGATGCACATTTTTTGAACTTTTATGCTCTGTTTCCATTTTAAAACTAAATGCTTTTTAGAGCACCCAAGTCACCTTTTGAATGCTTTGCTGCTTAGAAATTTCCTCTGCCAGATACTCTAAATCATCTCTCTCAAGTTCAAAGTTCCACAAATCTCTAGGGCAGGGGCAAAATGCTTCTAGTTTCTTTGCTAAAACATAACAAGAGTCACCTTTGTTCCAGTTCCCAACAAGTTCCTCATCTCCATCTGAGACTACCTCAGCCTGTGCCTTATTGTTCATATTACTATCAGCATTTTTGTCAAAGCCATTCAACAAGTCTCTAGGAGGTTCCAAACTTTCCCACATTTTCCTGTCTTCTTCTGAGCCCTCCAAACTGTTCCAACTTCTGCCTGTTACCCAGTTCCAAAGTCGCTTCCACATTTTCAGGTATCTTTTCAGCAATGCCCCACTCTACTGGTACCAATTTACTGTATTAGTTCTTTTTCATGCTTTTGATAAAGACATACTCGAAACTGGGAAAAAAAAAAGGTTTAATTGGACTTACAGTTCCACATGGCTGGAGAGACCTCAGAATCATGGCGGTAGGTGAAAGGCACTTCTTACAGGGTGGTGGCATGAGAAAAATGAGGAAGAAGCAAAAGCGGAAATGCCTGATAAACCCATCAGATCTTGTGAGACTTATTCACTATCATGAGAATAGCACAGAAAAGAGCAGCCCCCATGACTCAATTACCTGCCCCTGATTCCCTCCCACAACATGTGGGAATTCTGGGAGATACAGCTGAAGTTGAGACCTGGGTGTGGACACAGCCAAACCATATCAAAGCCATTTGTGGAATCCTTAAGGAATTCAAGCCTTTTTGTGCTCTACTTTGAAATATAGAACTGATTCTCACTTGATGTCAGAAATGCTACCTCTATTAATAAGTTGACAACTGTTCCAAAATACTTTTGGAGAACATTTTTGAGTTGGAGAAATAGACTAGAATAGAAACATAAACAAAATAAAAAGTAGAAAATGAGCCATTTTTTTAAAGTCTATTTTTTGCCTGGTGACAACAATACATTAGGCAGCAAATTTGTTTCTTTTAAGCAATCTTTAGTCAAATGTTTTTTTTCAAAATTTTTAAAGTTTCTTTCTCAGAGCTTTTTTAGGGTTACAGAGAAATTAAAGCAAGTCCAGAAAGGTCATATTTACTCTGCCCTAGACCCCATTCCCTCTGTCCTCAACAGTTTTTGTTATTAATATCTTGCATTGATGTGAAACATTTGTTACAATTGATGAGCTAATATTGATATATTATAATTAACTAAAGTCAGTAGTTTATGTTAGGACTCACTTTTGTGTTTTACAGTTCAATAGCTTTTGACAAATGCTTAATCATGCATCCATTATTACAGCATAGCAGAGAATGGTTCCACTGCTATAAAAATGTCCTGTGCTCTGCCTATTCATCCTTTCCTTTCTTCCTTTCCTAACCCCTGGCAACTACTGATGTTTTTACTGCCTGTGTAGTTTTGTGTTTTCCAATATGTCATATAGTTAGAATTGTATTGTATGTAGTCTTTTCATACTGATTTCTCTTACTGAGAAATATGTATTTAAGGTTCATCCATGTTTTTTCATGGCTTGATAGCTCATTTACATTTATTACAAAATAAGACTCTATTTACCATAATTTATTCATTTACCTACTGCAGGACATCCTGCTTGCATCCAAATTTGGCAACTGTGAATAAAACTCACATTAAAAATTGTGTGCGGGTTTTGTATGGATGCAAGAGTTCAACTCACTTGGCAAATACATAGGAGTATGATTGCTGATTATATGCTAAAACCATATTTAGTTTTGAAAAAACTGTCAAACTTTTCAAAAGGAGTTGTACTATTTGCATTCCCACCAGCAATGACTGGGAGTTCCTGCTTGTCCACATATTTATCTACATTTGCTGTTTTCAGGGATTTAGATTTTAGTCACCCTAATAGGCATGTAGTGCATGACATTGTTTTAATTCACAATTTCCTAATGACATATGATGTTGAGCATCTTTTCATATGTTAATTTTCCATCTGTGTATACTGTCTGCTGAGGTGATTGCTCAGATCTTTTGCCTACTTTTCAATTGGATTGTTTCTTTTCCTATTGTTGAGTTTTAAAAGTTTGTGCATATTTTGTGTACAAGTCTTTTATCAGATATGTTTTGCAAATATTTTCTCCCACTCTGTAACTCATCTTTTTATTTCTTTAACAGTGTTCTTCTCAGAGTAGTTTTAAATTTTAGTACAGTCCAGCTTATTAATTTTTTCTTTCATGAATCCTGCTTTTGATGTGGTATCTAAAATCTCATTGCTAAACTCAAGTTTACCTAAATTTTTTCCCATTTTATCTTTTAGAAGCTCTGTGTATTATCTATAATAGACAATCATATCATCTCTGAATGAAGACAATTTTATTTCATTCCTTCCTTCTGTATGTCTTTACCTTTTCTTGTCTTATTGCATTAGCTAGGACTTCCAGTATGATGTTGAATAGGAGATGTGAGAAGCATATCCGTGCCTTTTTTTTCCTGATCTTAGGGAAAAATTCCTTAGTTTGTCATAATTAAGTGTGATGTTAGTTGTAGGGTTTTTTTGTTGTTGTTGAGGTTGTTTCAATTTTTTTTTTTTTTGTAGATACTCTTTATCAAATTGAGGAAGTTCCCCCATTCCTTCTGGAGGATCCAGAAGAAGAATATATTTCCTTGCTTTTCTTAGCTTCTAGAGGCTTTCTGCATTTCTTGACATGTGGCCCTTTTCTCCACCTTCCATGTGCATCACTCCAACCTCCACTTTCATTGTTATATCTCCTTTATCTGACCTTGATCCTCTTGCCTCCCTCTTAATAAGGTCCCTTGTGATTACATTGGTTCGACGATGATAATCCATATTAATCTCCTAATCGCCAGACCTTTAATTCAATCACATATGCAAAGTCCTTTTTGCCATGTAAGGTAACCAATTTATAACTTCTGGAGATTAGAACCTAGACATCTTTGGGAGGGGGCCTTTATTCTGTCTACCACAGTAGCATCCCTTGCTTCTATTTTTTACAATTTAAGCCTGCCTTTCACATTCCTTTAGATTTACTTAAAATACTACTTACACAGTGACATTTTTCCTGTACCATTTAGTGAGATTTATTTTCCTTTTCCTTTATGCTTTCTTTGCATCATTCTTCTGGCTTTATTATTTATATTAATTTGTATTCACTAAAAGTCTCTTTACCTCTTCTTGTTGTCTTCAGACTCTTTTTTTTAAATTATCTTTCCATTTCATCATTACAATAAGAGCTTAAGAATACTTATTCCTAAACTGAGTGCAGTGGCTTATGCCTGTAATCCCAGCACTTTGAGAGGCCAAGGTGGGCAGATCATTTGAGTTCAGGAGTTCAAGACCAGCCTGGTCAACATGGTGAAACCCTGTCTCTACTTAAAATACAAAAAGTGAGCCAGGCATGGTGGCGTGCACCTCTCATCCCAGCTACTTGAGAGACAGAGGCATGAGAATCGCTTGAACCCAGGAGGCAAAGGTTGCAGTGAGCCAAGATCACGCCACTGTACTCCAGCCTGGGCAACAGAGTTAGACCCTGTCTCAAAAAAAAAAAATACTTATTCCTACAACAAATATTTGTTTTGCTCCTGTTATATGTCAAGTCCTGTGATAGGAACTAAGATTTTTAGGATAAGCAAAGGAGAATTTTTTTTTTCTTAACAGAGCTTACAAATCACAAAAATGTTTAATTATAATATGACATAAATTTATTGAAGATGAGGTTAAGTGAAATTGCATAGTGCAGCTGAGCTGGTCTGGTGGGGGAGTGGTGGTGGTGGTGGTGGTGGTGGTGGAGGTTAAGAAGAGATTGGAGATTCACAAGGAGTTTAAAATGAGACCTGAAGCTTGGAAGATGTTTCCAGCCAAGAAAAAAGCATATACAACGGGTTTTACAGCAAGAACAAATATTCAAAGAGGTCATATTTGGTCAGAGGAATTGCATATGGAGAAAGGGAAAGAACGGCACAGGGTGGGGCTTTAGAGGTAGGCAAGGGCTAGATCTTAAGGGATTTTGAGCCATGTTACAAGTTCTTACTGGTAACTGTGGGTTTTAAGCAGTGAACTACTATGGTTTCATGCAGGTTTTAAAAAGATCACTATGATAATTACATTCATTTTTAAACATATTTGATATTTCCTTACAGCTTGATTATATCCCACAATGATTTTTCATACTACATTGTATATTGCCTTACTAATTAAGAATATTTTTCAAGGCCGGGCTCAGTGGCTCACACTTGTAATCTCTACACTTTGGGAGGCCGAGGCGGGCGGATTATGAGGTCAAGAGATGGAGACCATCCTGGCCAACATGGGGAAACCCCATCTTTACTTAAAATAAAAAAATTAGCTGGGTGTGGTAGCATGTGCCTGTAGTCCCAGCTACTTGGGAGGCTGAGGCAGGAGAAATGTTTGAACCCAGGAGGTGGAGGTTGCAGTGAGCAGAGATGGCGCCATTGCACTCCAGCCTGGGTGACCCAGCAAGACACCGTCTCAAAAAAAAAAAAAAAAAAAGAGTATGTTTTGTTACTTCCTACAGTCTTTATTTTTGGAAAAATAGTACTTGTTTATTAAGCATACCTTTATGCTTTGGAAAGTTCCTAAATTGGGAATATGCCCGTTATTTCTCCTTCATGTTTCTCCCCACTCACTACCCTCCCACACATGTACACAATGTCTGCCTCTCACTCGTCTCTCTCTCTCTCACACACACACACACACACATTGAGAATCACCTTATTACACTCTAAAGTCTAAACTCATGAGGATCACATTTCATACTCTCCTATTTAGTATTCGTTTGCTTGTATAGTCTCATACTTCACTGTGGGTTTCTCTATTAGTACTGAATCTCATTGTACTATTTGACACATTTTTTTCTAATATGTCATAAACCTCAGTGTAAGTGTTTATGAGATTTCAACTGCATTATGCTATCTGCCTACATTAAGGTGAAATCGTTATATTTAATTAACTATCGTGTAAATACTTCATCCTATACATTGTCTATACATTGATAATATATAAGAAATATTTCTTTTACAGCCTTACTACTTCTACCAAATTAAGTTAGTCTTTATCACACAGATATTGTATACATTGTTAAATATTGTATTTCTCTTTTAACTTTGTCCTTAGGAAGCTTAAAGTTGTATTTGAAAGCCCGTTCTAGCAACTGTATTGATTGACTAGACAACATTATTGTGTGTATAACTCTTAACTGAAAGAATATTATTTTCTTACCATTTTTTTTACTTTTCTAAGTATGTGTGACCCACTATTTTAACCATCTTATACTTCATGTGTTTAAGTTTTTTATTGTGAAGTATAACATGCATAAGAAAAGTTATACAAAACAGCTGTCTGAATAATCAATTAGTATTAAACACTTATAACCACCTATGAAGACAAGAATGGCAACATTGTAAGTCCACTAACAACCCCCTGCATAACCAGTCTTATTGATAGTTGTTCCCTTCCATTCCAGGATATACCCAATATCCTGATATTTAACCAGTATTATGATTTGTATGGTAATTACTTAATTGCTTTTAATTACATTTTTACTTATATAAGTAGAGTCTTTAAGTATGTGTTCTTGTATGTCTTATCAGATTATTTTTCTTCTATGTTAAACGTTTCCTCTTGTACTTTCTTTTATGTAAGACTACTGCTGGAAGTCTGCTTTTATTTTATAAAAACATATTTTCAAACTTTCCTTGAAGAAAAACATACTGAAAATAAAATTTTAGTTGCAAGTTATTTTTCTGCCTTGGAGTAATCATTGGACTATCTTCTGGCTTCCATGTTTTTTATTAATATATTAGCTATCAGTCTCACTGGTGTTCTTTTGAATGTCATCTATTTCTATCCCACTATCCCAGGCAACCATGTTTTAAGATTTTTCTCTTTGTATTTATATTTCTGCAGGTCTACTTTGATACATCTTGGAATAAACTTGTTGTGATTGTTGCTATTTATTGAGTTTGAAGTTTTTGGGAAAATATTAGTCTGTGGATTTCAATGCCTTTTGAAAATTCTCAACATTTCTAGATTCAAATGTTGCTTCTCTTCCATTCTTTCTCTATCTTCTCTTTCTGGATTCCTAAATGTATGTCTTATATTTTGTCTATATCTTCTATGTCTTGTACCTTGTCTTTTTTTCTTCCTGTTCACATTATTTACAATTAATTTATTTCATTTTATTTATTATTTAAAATTTTTAAATTAAAATTAAAATTTTAATTTCAATTTTAATTTACATTTTTTAAATTAAGATGTAATTTCCAAAGCTGTTGTACAAAATAATGCAACACATTTTTTTTGGTACACTTTGCCTGGTTTTTCCAATGGTAACATTTTACAGGACTAACGTACAATATCACAAAGTATTGGCATTAATAAAATCAACTGACATTATTCAGATTTCCCCAGTTTAACTTGTAATTATTTGTGTGCATCTGTATATATTTATGCTTCTTTTTACATACATTTTTAATCTATATTTCTGTTCTTGAATTCTCTTTGACTTTTTTTATCCTTCAACTATTCTCAAATATTTTTCTTTATTCTAGCCTTGGTTGAACCTGACCATAAATTTCTTAAATCAGATTATTTTTTAGCTGCTCTAATGTTTTATTGATTTTTTAAAAATATACACTGCAATTTTTAATAGTTTTAGTTTCTTGCTAAAAGTTTTACATTTAGCTTTTTTCCATAAAGGAAATGCATAGTTGTTTTTAAATTTTCTATGTCTGGTAGTTCTAATCTCTGGAATACTAGTATATCTGCTTCAGTTATTTCTTGTTTCTACTGTTTCTCATTGATCCTGTCATGTTTTAATGTTTCTGGTTACCTGTATTACATGCTAATGAGGGAGTTTGAAGATTGTAGAAATAATTCCAGGTATTGGATGACACTTTCTTCCTCTAGAGAAAATTTTAGGTTTCCATAGACTGAACCACTAGAAATATGGGATCATCTAGAAGGTGACATCAGCAAGATGGCAGAATAGAAAGTCTCCTGGTTGATTCTTCCCAGAGTAACAATTATTTCACAATCATCCATAGACAAAAGTTCCTTTGTGGGAGTTTTGGGATTCAGGAAGGAGGTTGTGAAATCTTGGTGGATCCCAAGACCTAGGAGGGCCATTTTGAGGGGGCAGACTCCTGCCTAGGTGGTAGACTTGTACTTCAACAAAATAAAGGCCACATGTGACAAGGCCACACCTAACATCATACTCAATGGTGAAAATTTGAAACATTTTTTTCTTAGATCAGGAAAAAGACAAGGGTACCCACTCTTAATACTTCTATTCAACATAGTTCTAACCAGAGAAATTAGGCAAGAAAAAGAAATAAAAGGCACCAAAATCAGAAAGGAAGAAGTTATCATTGTCTGTTTGCAAATGAAATGATGTTATACAAAGAAAATCCTAAAGACTTTGACAAAAACTGTTAGAACTAATAAATGAATTCAGTAAAGCTGCAGGATACAAAATCAACACACAAAAATCAGTTGCATTTTTAGATGCTAACAATAAGCTATATCAAAGAGAAGGTGAGAAAATAATCTCATTTATAGAAGCATGAAAAAGAATAAAATATTTAGGAATAATTTAAACAAGAAAAGCAAAGAACTCTGCTTTGGGAATTATAAGACATCGATGAAGAAAATTGGGGAAGACACAACTAAATGAAAAGATATTCCGTGTGAGTGGATTGGAAATATTAATAGTCTTAAAATATCCACACTATCCAAAACAGCCTACAGATTAATTGCAATCCCAATCCAAATACCAGTGGCATTTTTCATGGAAAAAAAATTCTAAAATTTGTATGGAATCACAAAATACACCAAATAATAAAAGCAATCTTGAGAATGAACAAAGGTGGAGGTATTGCACTACCTGATTTCAAACTATATTGCAAAGCTATGGTAATCAAAACAGTATAATACTGGGAGAAAGACAGGCATATAGGCCCATGGAATAGAGAGTTCAAATATAAACCACATGTATGTGATCAATTAACTCATCTTTGACAAGGACACCAAGAATACAAAATGGGGTGAAGAAATGCTCTTTCATAAATGGTATTATAAAAATTGGATATCCACATACAAAAGAATGAAATTGGACCCTTGTCTTATATCGTATATAAAAATTAACACAAAACGGATTAAGGAATTAAATGTAAGATCTGAAACCATAAAATTTTGAGAAGAAACATATGGAAAAGTTCCCTGATATTAGTTTTGGCAATAATTTTTGGGATATGACACCAAAAGCACAGGCAAACAAACACAGGTAGGACTACATCAAACTAAAAAGCTTCTACACATCAAAAGAAACAGTCAACAAAATGAAAAAGCAACTTATGGAATGAGGAAAATATTTGTAAACTGTGAGCTGCGGTATCAGTGTGTCTCCTAAAGTTTGTATGTTGGAAACGTAATCCCCAGTGCACCTCTTAACAATGTTGAGAGGTGGGGACTAATGGAAAGTGTATAGATCATGAGGGATTTGCCCTCATGAATAGATTAATGTTATCAGAGGAGTAGATTGACTACAAAAGTGAGTTTTTTTTCTGATTTTCCTCCCCTACTCTTGTCTCTCTCACCCTTCTGCCTTCCACTATGGAATGGTGCAATAAGAAGACCCTTACCAGATGCCAGCATGTTTATATTGGACTTTTCAGCCTCTAGAACTGTGAGAAATACATTTATTTTCTTCACAAATTACCCAGTCTCTGGTATTATGTTATAGCAGCACAAAACAGACTAAGATTGAAAATTGGTGCAGAAATTGGTGCTGTTACTGTAACAAATAACCAAAGAAAATGGTAGTGGCTTTGAAACTGGGTAATAAATAAAGGCTGAAGTAATTTGGGAGAGCAGGCTAGGAAAAGCCTTGTTTGTTAAGAGTCATTCTGGTAAGAGCTCAGAAGGCAAGAGCTGTAGGGAAAGTCTGGAACCCCTTGGAGATCACTTATGTGATCATGATCAGAATGTTTGTTAGTAGAAATGTACTTAAATAGTCATCAGAGAAATGCAAATCAAAACCAAAGTGATACATCTTCCATCATCTAGGATAGTTATTATGAAAAAGACAAGAGATGATAAGTGTTGGTGATAGTGCAGAGAAAAGGGAACCCTTCTGCACTGTTGGTGTAAATGTAAATAAGTATAGCCATTACAAAACACAGTATCGAGTTTCCTCAAAAAATTAAAAATAGAAATTCTATAGGATACAGCAGTCCCACTTCCTGGTATATATCTAAAGGAAATAAAATCAGTATCTCAAAGAGATACCTGCATGCCCATGTTCATTGCAGTGTTATTCATAATAGCCAAGATATGGAAACAACCTGAGTGTCCATATGAATGAATGGATAAGAAAAATGTGATATATACAATAACAAAGTCTTGGAACCAAGCCAAATGTCCAACAATCATAGCCTGGATTAAGAAAATGTGGCACATATACACCATGGAATACTATGCAGCCATAAAAAATGATGAGTTCATGTCCTTTGTAGGGACATGGATGAAGCTGGGAACCATCATTCTCAGCAAACTATCGCAAGGACAAAAAAACCAAACACCGCATGTTTTCACTCATAGGTGGGAATTGAACAATGAGAACACATGGACCCAGGAAGGGGAACATCACACAATGGGGCCTGTTGTGGGGTGGGGGGAGGGGAGAGGGATAGCATTAGGAGATATACCTAATGTTAAACGATGAGTTAATGGGTGCAGCACACCAACATGGCACATGTATACATATGTACCTAACCTGCACGTTGTACTAGGATTATATGTGATTATATATGATCATTCAGCTAGTACTTTTAAAGATCTAAAGGCTTCCTTTGCCAAAAATAAACTGTAGTTCGTTGTATGTATTTTTGCAAATACTATGCATGACAATAGGTAGCACAGATTACTAATTAAGGGCAGGATTCTGGGACCAAATAACCTGTCTTCACCATTCACAGGTGGAATGACAGGCAAATTACTTAAATTCTGGGTCCTTTAATGTCCTTATCTAGGAAATAGAATTTGTAATAAATGTATTTACTTCAGAAGGTGTTATGAATTGATATTTATAAAGAAATTAGTGCTTAACACATTGAAGTACAAATATGTTACAGGTAATGTTTATTAAAAATCTTAAAAACATTGTGATAGATAACTTTATGTATCAATCTGACTGAGCCATGCTGCTCAGATATTTGCTAAAATGTTATTCTGGATGTTACTCATGTTAAATGTAAGATTTCCATTTTAGTCTGTGGACTTTGCATAAAGCAGATTGCCTTCCATAATGTAAACAGACCTAATCCAATCAGTTGAAGGCTTGAATAGAACAAACGATTGACCTCCACTGAGCAAGAGCAAGAGGGAATTCTGCCAGCAAACTGCTTTTGGACTTTAACTGGAGCATCAGTTCTTTCTTGGGTTTCCAGGCTGCTGGCCCAGCCTGCAGATTTTAGACTTGCCAGACTTCACAATCAATGTGAGCCAATTTTTTAAATTTCTTAAAATAAAACTCTCTCTCATATATGTGTGTGTGTGTGCATGCACATTTTCTATTAGTCTTCTGTCTCTGCAGAGCTCTAACGAATACTTCCACTTTTTTTCATTATTTTCCTAATAAAGATGACGTACCTGATGACAGGAGGTTTAGCACTATTAAATCCAATACAGCATCTTAATTTTTTATTAGTTTAGACCATGGCTCCAAGCTGTTGTGGTGGGACTTACATCTTTTCTATTGATAATAATGTGGCAGAGCAACTATGAAGGTGGTATTATGATGCCTAACATATAGTGTCATATGTTATATAGGCACCCTTCCTCTGGAACGTGGGTGGGACCCATGACTTGCTCCTAACCAACTAAATACATAAAAGGTGGTAGGATGTGTGTGATTATGTGCATGTGATTATTTTACATAAGCCCAAAGTGCCTGTCTATCGGCCTCTCTCTCTCCCTTGCTGTCTGTGAGAAAGCAAATGGCTACACAGGGGACTCTCACATAGTAAAGAACTACTGGTATCCTCTAGGAGGTAGTCTGCCCCAGCCAACAGCCAGCAAACACACTGAACCTCTCAGTCCTATAACTACATGGAACTAAATGCTGCTAACAACCACATAAGAGAGGAAGCAGATTTTTACCCAGTTGAACCTCCAGATGAGAATCCAGTCCTGGCTGACACTTTGCAGCATGGCAGAGGACTCAGATAAATAAAGCATGCCTGGACTCCAGATCCACAGAAACTGAGAGATAATTAATGTGTGCTGTTTTAAGCTGCTAAATTTGTGATAATATTATTGTATAGCAATAAATAATCAACATATTTATTATTATATAACTTCTATAAGAAATATTATGTAACTTTGGAATCATGGCATATTTACTTCATTTTACATAATTCAAGTCATCTATATTTCTCAATGGCTTTAACTTATATTACTGGAGGATCCTTAAATCCTGGATTTCCTCTATGGCCCTTTCTGTAACGTATCTATATCACTATACCTAAAAAATGAAATAAGTTAGAGGAAGAGGACATGAGGGAAGAGGAACAGGAGCATTAGGTGCTTTGTGTCCTGTGCCAGTTTCTATCATGCTACTTGTTACTTTGTGCTGAGTTTATCAGTTCCTAAATTTTTCCATAGGCTACAACGTGGTGGAGACCAGATGAGATATTGTAGCCATCTTTTTATCCTGAATTACCAAGAACATAGTAGGTATTTGTTTCATGCATGTAAATCAAATGGAAATATTTAATTCAGTTGAAAATGTTACATGAAGAATATTTGCTTACACTTAATGCAGGGAACTAAAATATTTCAAACAGAAAAATGGAATTTTACCAAGAAGAGTTTGGACATTTGCTCTCCTTTTCATTGTCATAGTAACAATGTACTTTTTAGGGTGTCCTTATAATATCCACCAGTTTTCCACTTTGCTGTCTTTAAAAATAGGAAAAAAGCACACTGATCATCCTTAAAGAAAAGGAAATAAATAAGGTCATTATTAAATGTAATTTAAAATAATACAAGCAGTCATTTTAACTGGGTGTTATTACATCTACAAATAGTAAACAATATATAGTATATATAGTATAATAGCATTTGTCTTAAAACACACAGGAAAATTCATGAAATCTCATAGGTGTTAACCACTCAACATGATGATTTTGAGAGTTTGTGACTTCATTTCTGTAGGAAGCCATGGTAACTTAGCCACTAGACTTCCTTTCTGATAGTGTCACAAACTTCAGATTATATGTAGATCTCAAGCACCCTTTTCATAATATCCTGCCTTACTCATTGTGCCAGACCACTACAGCTGTTCTCTTCAGAAGGATGTGTCCACAAAAATTACATTAATTAATGTTAATATGTTTATTACATCTAATTTGCTGTGTATCTGATTTAAAAGGCCATTTTTCATTTTAATAACATACATAAGATCAGGAAGAAGTAAACTTAATACAAGTAATAAAATGACTTATCATTTTACTTTAAAATGATAAAAAAACAGAACTTTCCATATGTAGAGTGAAGGAAGGAGATGGAGGTTTGTGAAGTAAGTGTAAGTACATATACATGTGCTCATATGGATATATTATATGTATAATACACAGAGACACACACACATTTATGCACACACATATAAGCTGTATATACAGACATGTAACTACATACATATAAGTGCAATACATGACATATATGCACATAAAATAATAAACATGTAAATTAGTAGTATGAGACTAACAAATTAAGCATAATCCACATAACAATTATCCACCTCACATTGGGCACGGTGGCTCATGCCTGTAATCCCAGCACTTTGGGAGCCCAAGATGGGTGGAACTACTTGAGGTCAGGAGTTCGAGATCAGCCTGACCAACATGGTGAAACCCCGTCTCTATGAAAAATACAAAATTAGCTGGGCATGGTGGCACATGCGTGTACTCCCAGCTACTTGGGAGGCTGAGGCAGGAGAATTGCTTTAACCTGGGAGGCAGAGGTTGCAGTGAGCCGAGATCCTGCCATTGCACTCCAGCCTGGGCAACAAGAGGAAGACTCCGCCTCAAAAAAAAAAAATTATCCACCTTGCTCATAGAACAAATATTTTTTTTTCTATTTTGGTACAGAATAAAGAGAGTAGTTATTATATACTTATTTTGTTTATATTATAATGACAAGTATGTCTTTTCAATAACTTTGTCTCAGATTCATTACCTAAGCAACATAGGGGAGAGAGGAGGCACTATATGCTAAAAAGCCCAAAGATTATGAAGCCAGGGATAGTGCATTTGACCTTGTGCAAGTTTCACAATTGCCTCATTATATAAAGTATGAATGATGATGATTATTGCCTTCTAGCATTAGTTATTATAAGGATTAACTGAAAAAAACGTTTATATAGTGATCAAAGGATGTTATTCCTTCCGAATTTGAGATTAAGGAACAAACATATTAAGAGTTATTTGAGAGTAAATCATAATCTTTGATATCGCTGTGGTTTTAGTTTAATGCCAGTTTTAATATAGATGGAAAAGAGAGATGCCTACGTGATGTGATTTTAACCAAAAATTCTTATCCATGATTTGCAAAAATAGCAATGATAATACGTGAAATTATTATATTATTTACTTTCTTGGTTTCAAGACCATATAGACTCTAATAAATTGATAATTCTTTACATTTGTTTTCTGCCTTAAAATTTACAAGATTTTTTGCATACATTATTTACTTTAAGCTTTAGTCAAACCTATGACTTAGGCATATTAAAGATAATTATTTCATACTTGTAAGCCTGGGCCATGTCAGAACTGAGATATGAACACAATGCTTTTAACCCCAATGGGCATAAGCCGTGGTCTTTCCAGCTAGCTGTGGCTGAGTGAAAATTGTATCTAGAAAGATTTTCTTCCATGAAGAATATGAGGCAAATTAAATCAGTTCCTATCTTCAAAAATATATCCCATGGTAAGTGGACACAGAGAAAGTTGTGATGGGAAACTGCATCAAGAAAATTTCACATTATGAGGCCAAAGTCTAGAGGGAAATGTGAATTGAAATGTTGATTACAACATACTATGCTATCATTAGATTTCCTAGAGCTGAGAGGAGACTAAAGGAGACAAAGTAGATAAAAAGTGTCACTAAGGAACACTTAAAGATACTCTGTGATCTAATCCTAATCCAAACTCATGTTTCTCTTGTCTGACTTGCATTTTGTAATTTAATTATTAATTCAATCATTCATTCAACCAACATTTACTATGAATCAGGCACTGCTCTAGGTACTTGGCACCCAACGGTAACCAAAATGATGAGGAGTCCTACTCCCCATGAAAGTGAAATTGTAGTGGGAAATATTTAAAAAGCTTATGGACCTCCCACAAACTATAATTTTTTTTTTCACTTATGACTCTTCTATCTGTAATGCTTACTAATCTTTTTTTTTTTTTTTTTTTTTTTTTTTTATAAGAAGGAGTCTTGCTCGCTCTGTCGCCCAGGCTGGAGTGCAAATGGTGGGATCTCGGCTCACTGCAACCTCTGCCTCCCAGGTTCAAGCCATTCTCCTGCCTCAGCCTCTCGAGTAGCTGGGATTACAGGCCCCTGACACCACACTCAGCTAATTTTTGTATTTTTAGTAGAGACGGGGTTTCAGCATTTTGGTCAAGCTGGTCTCGAACTCCTGACCTCAGGTGATCTACCAGTTTATGCCTGTAATCCCAGCACTTTGGGAGTCTTCCTAATCTTTAATATTCTGTTTAATTCTCACATTTTTCAGTTTTTCAAAGTCTTCTTGAATCTTGCAGTCTCATCATGGCCTCATATCTTATGTGCCTATATATGCCTCTACTATTACATTTAACATATTTCTTTACCTTTTTTACTGTTCTTACTTAAGGACAGGACTGAGTCTGCTTTGTATGCATATCCATGGCAATCCAAGGCCTTACACACATGCATAATATAGGTTTGTTGAATGAAATAATAAATTTCATTTGCAAATATATCCAAGAGTTAATTTGACTTTTTCAACATGTTTATCTGTTTTGCTGATTGAATTTTGGTAAATGTTCAGCTCAATTTTTTGGTCCGTGAGTCTTCATTGATCAAATGCCTAGACAGCTGCCAAATGTCTACATCAACATGAAACCCTATAGACTTATTTTTTCCTATTTGTAAAGACTCTTAAAATAGACAAATACATATATAAAACAATTATGTTAAGATAAACATAAGAAACCATGATATTCACAATTAACATAAGTAGTACTAAATAACTGTTCTATCTATACCTTTAAATTCCCTGTGCCATGATAGTAAGACAACTGTTTGTGAATTATATATACTTACATATATGCACATACACATTATACACACCCATACAAATTATATATGCATATAGACACACACACAGAGAACTAATGAATGACATTTTTACTACCATTTTCAAAAACTTTGAGCAGCACATTAGCTGAAAGATAATAAAGAACAAATTCCAAACCCATTAGGGAGAAAAATTACCCATGGAGCTGGAGTAGATCTGATATATCCAACAAAATTGGGGAAGGCAACTTGAATTATGATCCGGAAGACTGACAGAGTGATTGATAGACTTCTGTGAACCCATGGGGCTCGTAGAGGATTTCTTCGTTCTCTGTCTGGAGTCAGAGAACAGTACCTTAACAGTACCATGCTACTTAAAACTATACATACAAAGAAATATGATGAGTATTTAAAAATATCTTTATAGTTTATCCTTTTAGGAGAGTCTACATTTGTCAGAGTCTATATTTTTTCAGTTGTCACAATAGCAGCACCCCTTTTGTTTTCCTTTTATGCTATTTTTTAAAGTTTGATAAAATATCCACCTTTTCAGATCATTTATTCTTTGGACTGACTGCCTTAGGAATCCTGTAGTTCTTCAAAATGATAGCCAGAAAGTTTGAAATATGTCCCTCTTCTCAGGTGTAAGAAGCATAGTTATCATAATGGCTGACTGTTAACACAGATGACATCATTTTAACATCATAATGGAACTGAGAATTCTTAGTTCTGTCAAACACAAAAGAGATGTTGGAAAGTTCATAATTTGTAGCAGGCCCAAATGGATAAAACCAAACACATTAAAAACCTTATACTGAGAATAGGGTGTCTTCAAACAATGGAAAGCAAGTTTTGCTTAGGAATTGTCTGCTGGTGAGCGTGGAAACTATCAGCATTGTTAACTTTTCAAAGGCAGCAACACAGGGCTTGCCTCACCATTCCTGCTATAAAGGCAATTCCTGCAGCATGTTTACCCCTTTCTACCAATCAGTTTCAAGATATATAACTCATCCTCCCGTAAACTCTACTAGATAAAGTTAGGGTCTCACTCAATGTTACATATAAAGTTAATGATAAAATACAAACCAAAACGGTGAGGACTCAGTAAATGCTGTCCTTCCCTCTGCCGTCTATAAAAATATTAGTACAGTAAATTTTTCAGTAGCATCCATGTCAGCATTCCACTACATAGCATGGGCAGAGAGTCAGGACAAGTATTGTTAAGTAGAATAGGATCCTGTTCCTGATATGTGTTAAATCCATGCTGAAAAAAATCTATGTATAGTCACTGTATTCACACACAGGTATTGCAAGTATTAATGTAAAAATCTATATATAATTACATGTCGATGCTATGATTACTCTCTTCAACATATATTTAAGCTTATTCTAAGAAATTAGCCTTTTATTTTAATATTAAGATTAAATATTATTAATTTAATGAATTATTAATTTTTATCATGAATTAATTTGAGTAATCTCATATTTTCAAATATGATCTTTAATTCATTTATTTGAACAAAGGTTTATTTATGTCAAAACTTTTTATTTATGCAGCTACTTTCAACTTTCAAACTAATTGCACATTTTTTCATTTGATGTTTACAACATACCAGTAGAAGGGAAAGGTAGTATTAGTCTTACTAAGACTAATAGAAGAAGAGAAGGAGATTGAAATTAGTATGAACAAATGTGTGTATTGGTTCTAAGGTAGGAAACAGTTATTTTTGCAACAAAATTAATTTGCCAAATATTTATGTTCAAGTAGTTCATCAAATAATTTTTATGTATAAACATTTATGATTAATTACTATAGTACTGAGTGTGAGTCAGACAGGTGAATTTTGGATCTTTCCAGAGGCATTTTTCTAAATGGATATGCAGTATTATTGTTGTTGTAATCAGCAATATTTTTTTTTTCCTGTAGCATCAGTCTTTTTCCTTCAGTTTCTTTGTGGTCTTAAGATAACACAGCATCCATCTTGAGTAAGGATGCAGTCATTGCAAATTCCATGGAGAAGATGTCAACTGTGGACAAATAAACACTACTGCTGTGTTTTATCTGGCTTCTCTTAGAGATAAGCACTCTGAGGTCAAGATAAGTTTTTATGGTCCTGTGCTGTTTATTAATTGCTTTAAATTATGATAAGAGGTCAAAACACAAGGGTCCTTCTAATTTATTTCATAATTATTATATGTGTATATGTCTGTGTGTATGTGTGCATGTGTATTATGTCTCAGAGGAAAAAGGTGAAAAATATGTATAATGTATAATGAATTTAGAGACAAGAAATGTGAGAGGAGACATGATGTTCTGACAGCCAGAGAAGTATTGAAGTATGGTGTTAGCCCTATTGGAGGCTGTCTGTCAGCTTGAAGAGGAAAAATCCTTGAAACTATTTTGTTCACAGCCTTGAACAAATCTGCAATGTAAGATTAATTTTTATTTGCATAAAGATCCCATTACTCATATAATTACTGATTATTTTGTCCTCTAAAGTTCTACATGTCTTTTTAAGGAGCAAATTGGCTTGGTTGTCTTCAAATATTTAACTAACAGAATACAGTTTGTTCACCCTAATATATTTTCATGCCATTTTTGTGCTACTGTCAACATTATTAAATTCATAATTTTGTTTTCATGCTTGGGCTACATTATATCCCCAATTCTCAAAAATGAACTCACAACTAAAATGGGGTTCATTGAAGCATAAAAAGTGATGAATTTAAGAGTAACATAGATAGTGCAACCCAAAATAACATCATAAACAAAGAGTGAACTGGTCTCCAGTGGTAAATATGAGATGCAAATCTGTATATGCAGGGAAAAATAAACCTGCAAGTGTCATGATTTCACAGATGTGGCAAGAAAAGAAAAGTGCAAATAGGTAGTATGTTTATGAATATCCAAAAAATTTGAATTATATTTGACTGAAAATTCATTTACCACTCTTCCCCAGTTCATTTTGAGTTATAAAGCCTTGCCAAACAGAGGAATAAACATCTGTCAGAACTACTACTTGAAGTATAGATTAGTGTGTTTCTTCTGATTCCTTGTGAAGTCTCTGGCCTGTACTCTGAGCATTTTCCCCACTCCTGGACCACATGAGTAAGGGTAATCATCCATTTCAGAATCATGAACAAAAAATCTAAGCTCATTCTGGAAGGGAAGAAAAGAAAGAAAAAGGGAAGAAATGGTGAGGAAGATGAAAGAAGGGAAGGAAAAGACAGAGAAGGAAAAGAGAAAGAAAGGAGGCAGAAAATGAAGGGCTCAAAAGTCCCTTATTTTGTCTGAGGAGTAAGGAGTAAGAAGAAAATACTTTTGCTTTTAGGCACCAGAAGCCTGCATCAATCTGGATTAATTACTGAGCTTCGTTTTTGTTTCCCATTGTGAGGCCCACGAACATGTTAACTATAGCCCTTTGATTTGGACACCTGGTTGCAGTAAAACTGTTTTGTAACCTAGACATTCTGCCTTAGTTTTGCCCACATCCCAGTGACTCATCATTTTACAATCTGAGACACTTTTACACCCCTACAAGAGAGGAGAACTTAGATGCCATGTCGTTCTGGTGGGGTGGTGGTGATAGTGGTGGTGGTGATACTCTCTCATCGCAGGGATGGAGGTGGGGAGAACTGGAAAGAAAAAGTTGGAAACTCATTTGACCTGCGACATCTGTGAACATAGGATCCCTGCTTTAAAGCCATTGGTATTTTTATTCTGGTACACTAAGAAAGGATTTTTAAAATAACATGCATAAAATAATTTTCTTTCAGTAAATTGATTAATTTTGTTGCCAGTGGTATAGAAGAGAACAAAGTAGGAGAAGCATGGAAAGTTTCATTCAATAGCAAAAACTCCTGATGAAAATGTAAAACCAATGGTAAAATTAATAATAAACATTATGCTTAAAGAGAAAGCAGAAGAAGCTATTGTCAAAAATCTTTTTTATTGAATGATATTCTAAGATGATGTGTAATATTAATCGCATATTCAAGGAAGAAGAATATTTACTATGTTGTAGGTGCCTGCAGTTATTTTGCTTGACAGTTGAATGAAATTGAAGTACAAACTGAATAAACTCTCAGATTATACACAGTGCACATATGAGGGCATCATAGTTGATGACTTTTTGTTCTGCTTATCAATGAGGAATCAGTACCGCAGTTAAGAGATTTTTTTATTTGGTTACCATTTATTTTGTGCTGTGGTCTTGAAAGAAGGATTAGAAGGAAAGGAAGGGATTGTGTGAATGGAGTTGAGAGCACTTGAGTACAAATTTACATTCTACTTTATTCATAGCGAATATTTTGTGGACATTCATATGCTTTCTGACTTTATGTATCAAGAAATAGTAAAAATGTTAATTCAGTCCCATTGCGACTACTTAATCTGTCACTTACTAAAAAGTGGGCCGTGAGTTCAAAAATTTGCTTTGCCAAGTTAGTAGATCTTCTCTGTCCTGGGTAAGTACCTGTATGACTATTTGAAATTGTTGTTGATATTAACAGACTATATTCAATATTGTCCCTCAAGAACATTCACATATTTCAAGTAATTTCCCCAGTAGGATATCAACTGTATAGATTCTATATGTTAAATTACTTAAGCCTATCTTTCAGGGATGAAATAAATTATTCAATGTTGAGGATTAGATAATAAAATTTCTTAAATAGATTGTGTAGCAAATTCTTTACCTTTGATACTCAGATTAGTTTCCTACCAACTGGTTATACTTTTTAGTTGCTGAAGGAATATGCCAATGAGATAATGTCATGTAAAAAAAAAAATCACATTAAAACACATAGGAAAATATGCAAAATTCTAGAAATGAGTCTGACAAAACATGGATTAGAATTTCACTTATTGTTCTTCAAAGATACAGGATTCATACCTATTTCTCTCTTATCTTCAAAATTCATTTAGAAAATGAGCCAGGTGCAGTGGCTTATGCCTGTAATCCCAGCAGTTTGGGAGGCCGAGGCTGGTGGATCATTTGAGGTCAGCAGTTCGAGACCAGCCAGGCCAACATGGCAAAAGTCCGTCTTCTACCAAAAAAGACAAAAATTATCCAGGTGTGGTAGCACACACCTGGAATCCCAGCTACCCGGAAGCTGAGGTAGAAGAATCGCTTGAACCAGGACTGCAGAGGTTGCAGTGAGCCAAGGTTGCACCACTGCACCCTAGCCTGGTTAACAGAGTGAGACCCTGTCTCAAAAAAAAAAAAAAAAAAAAGAAATTTAGCAAGCGAATTATTTTTAAAATGGATAAGTCTCTTGGTTAATTTTATTTAGCCAATTATTGGATATGGGAGTACTTTTAATGTCCAACATCTTATCCATTAACTTCCTGTCTTATTTGATTCTGTACTTCTTAAAGCCGAATAGCAGGGTGGAAGAGCAATTGAACAACAGGAAATCCCCACTCCCAGCCATTAATGCAATAGGTGACATAGTTATATGTAGCATCAATAACTGCCTTTGAACCAAACCCCAGGACTTCTGAATTCATACTGAGTGCTATTCAATTTGTTGCTGGTGTGATAGCAGATAAAGAAAGAAATTGATAAGAGTTTGGAATTTTTATAGCAAATTAACAAACTACTGTATACAAGCATGTGATCAATGGACTGATCTAACTGAACAATTTAGACCAGTTTTGGTGTACAGTCTACCCTCCATATCTGTGACTTCTGCATCTATGGATTCAACCAAAATTGAAAAGAATATATTTAGGAAAGAAATTGCATCTGTACTGTACATGTACAGACTTTCTTTTTCTTGTGATTGTTGCCTACATAATACAGGATAACAACTATTTACATAGCATTTGCATGGTATTAGGTAATATAAGAAATCTAGACATAATTTATATAGGAGAATGTACATAGATTATCTGCAAATATTATGTCACTTTATATCAGAAACCTGAGCATCTGCAGATTTTGTTATTGAAAAGAGGTGCTGGAACTAATTGCACATGGATACTCAGCAACAGCTATAGTTCATCTTGTGGGGTAAGAGACTTACGTGCAGTAGAATCATAATACAACACGCATTTTAGTTTGCAAAGTATTAATATAACTCAAAAGGATATACAAATCAGAGAAAAAGTGTCATTTGTTTATCTTCAATACTTTGCTATTTCTACATCATTTTATGTTTTAGTTAAGCCTGGTTATAAATCAATAATTTAATAGTATTAGGTAAAATAAGGAAGTGACATTTGTATTATGTATTTTGAGTTTTAATTTACAGGTAATTAAACATTCTTCTCTGAACTACTTTTTCATTAAAAGTTTAAACTTCTCTAAATACTTCAGAATGGCAGTTGTTTTTGATCTGAACTTAGGTCAAGAGAAGCTTGATTTAAAAGGACAATTGGCGATGGGGGGATGGGAATATTGCAATAGGGTAAAGGAGACTTGCAATAGGAGGACTCTGACCACAAAATCTGAGTCACAGGGGTAGGGAAGAAAGGAATTTTCTTTTATCGAGAGGACTAAATAAGGCTAGAGAGAATCAGGGATGAGGGAGTGTGGTGAGCAGGTGATATGACTGGACCGTTCATAGGGGAACTTCTTTATTTGGGACTGATTCTTGGGACATATGGCTTAGAAGAGTCATTCCACATTCTGATGATGGCTCAGGCATAGGGTAGGTTGAAGCTCAGGATTCTGAGGAGAGGTCAGAAGCTTAACTAAAGTTGTGTCTAGTCTAGTTAGCAGGCATTTTGCCCAGAGTGGCCATTGGGTATACATCACTCAGCTAATCAAACATGAGACAAGAAAGGGAATGTGGAACGTCTGTGTCTAGTTTGTCACAGGTGAACAAGAAAAGCAATCGTGATTCTTATCTAAGTCATGTGGGGAAGGGTATTTCTTTGAAGTAAGCCAATTTTTTTGGAACACAAGAGTGAGGGATTTCTTTAACCTTTGATGTTTTTCAGAACAGAGATCAAGACTAACATTGCCAGAAGTGAACTAAGCAATGTCAGTAGAAATAACTGTGAAGTCCCAAAGAGTTACTACTAATTTTACTTAGAAATATAATCTCTTCCGAGGTGGGTGGATCACTTGAGTTCAGGAGTTCAAGACCAGCCTGACCAACATGGTGAAACCCCATCTCTACTAAAAATATAAAAATTAGCTTGGTGTGGTGGTGGGCACCTGTAAACCCAGTTACTTGGGAGGCTGAGGCAGGAAAATCGCTTGAACCCAGGAAGTGGATATTGCAGTGAGCCGAGATGGCACCATTGCACTCCAGCCTAGGCAACAGAGTAAGACTCAGTCTAAATATATATATATATATGTTTAAAGAGTATATATATATATATATATATATATATATATATGTTTAAAGAGTATATATATATATATATATGTATGTTTAAAGAGTATATATATATATATATGTTTAAAGAGAACATATATATATATATATTCTCTTTTGTACTGAATTCATTTTTGTAGCCATGCTTGATAGAGGGATCCTAAAACTGCTGTGTTATTTGTGGGCTCATAATGTGGCTAATAAAGAAACAAACCATCAAAACTTGAGTAGTAATTATGAACAAAACACAAAAAACTTTAAAATAGAAAAAGTTTGAAGGAAAGCATATTGAATAAAATGTTGCTAGAAGCAGGTGCTTCATATTTTTCCTATGAACAATAGTGCTTTGCAGGATTCTAACAAACTAGCACTTAGCTAAGACTACAAATATACAATTGCCATGATATTACTTTTGCTTGGAAATGTTGGGTGAGTTTGTAGCAGAGAAGGTAGTGAAAATACCACTTTCCACTGATGCCATAATGACATGTTCCAGAACAGACTAATGATAAGAAGGATCATCTCAGAGCACAGAGTTATAGTATGTTTTTCATTGCAACTTGCAAATGCCCAGATGTGGCTAACATGACAATTTATAAAATACATATATATGATTTGAACATAGTAGCTATGGAAAGGAAGAATATGTTCTTCAGCTTCATTGCTGGAAAACACAACCCTGAAACATAAAAGTATAAAGGATTACATAGTTTTTAAAATGTGGTTTACAGCTTAAGATTTTTTTGAATATGTTTTGAGGACATGGCTGTGATATCAGAAAACCTTCTGAAGTTCTTATGTAGATTAAGGAGGGACCTGGTGCCAGAATGTAAATCAACACACTGCTTCTTTCAGGGAGAGAGATTTGCTGTGGAAAAAAAAAAAAGTGCCTAGTAACTTAGTAACATTTGTTAATTATAGAAAGGCTAAAATGTTAAAGTTGAGACTATTACTATGTGGTAAAATGGAAAGCTGATCATAAATAACAATTAATGCTGGTTTAGGAATCAAATATTCTGTTCCAAATGTTCAATTACTGAATAAACATTTAGTATTTCTACAAAATAAAAAAAATCATTTAGTCCCAACTTTTACAAACTGTAAGTTGGACAACTAGTCTTCATATTAAATATATTCAGCATTTATAATTTTTTAAATTTTTCCTTGCAAAGAAGAATACAACACAGCTTTCAATGGCAGATAAACTGAAGAGTGAATACAAGAGTTAAATGTCTGGAAGGATCATCTCTACCGATTCCTTAACATGTTTCATAATTTAATAATTATAAGTTAAGTAGAGAATGCTGATATTACATATATGTGAAAAGTCATTGATATGGTTTGGATTTGTAATCCACTGTTGGAGGAGGAGCCTAGTGGGAGGTGATTAGATCATGGGGCTGGATCTTCCCTTTGCTGTTCCCGTGATAGTGAGTGAGTTCTCACGAGAACTAGGGTAGTTGTTCAAAAGTGTGTAGCATCTCCACCTTCACTCTCTTTCTTCTGCTCTGGCCATGTAAGAAGTACCTGCTTGCCCTTCACCTTCTGCCACAATTGCAAGTTTCCTTGAGCCTCCCTGGCCATGCTTCCTGTACAGCCTGTGAAACCATGAGCCAGTTAAAGCATTTTTTCTTTATAAATTACTCAGTCTCAGGTATTTCTGTATAACAGTGTGAGAACAGACTAATAGACTTATCAATGAACAACTTAAGAATTTTATAGAGACATTCGATTTGAATTTTCCAAAAGAATAAGATACACATATGGAAAATCTTTGAATCAGGAATTGTTCTCTTTGATTATAAGATAGTTTAAAGTTAATTATAATTTTATAGGATATGTTATTGAAATTGCTTACTGATAGTGATTGAAGATGAATTTTGAAAATCAAAATAATTTGCTTTCTTCTGGATAAAAGTTAAAAATAAATACTCTGAGATGGACTGAAATCACTTTAAATTTCACCTTCCATTCAGTTCAACAAACCTGTATGAGACTGGCTTCTCCACCCATGTTATTAAAACAAAATATAAATATCATTTAGACATACATTAACTCAGGCAAATAACGCTATCGTCAATCTCACATAGATCAGATAAGCTAACAAGCATGAAGCAAGCTCATTTATCACATTAAATACTTTAAGTATTGATATGTATGGTATTCATCAAAGTGGCTGTAAAGGAATTTAACATGGAGAGTCACCATTTCATTTATAACTTGTCATTCATGTGTACTTTGACACAATAGAAAGGTAGGGTGTATTAGTGATTCTTTATATTACCACTTTTGAACAGTCAATGAACATGTGAAGATGTGTTAATTCTTTTTGCTTATGTCAGTGGAATCTGGTCTTTTTTTCATATGCCTATTTTACTCTTATATTGTTTATTAAGTTACTGTTATATTTTGCAAAGCTCTCTAACCATGACACATTAATTTAAATATATTAAAAGTGATATTTTGTTAAATGTAGTTTGAATGAATGTAGTATCAATGAATATTCAGAACATTGATATTCTGTCCTAATTCTGGACTCTCCCCTTTTACCTCTATTTCCCATCAACTTCTCTGTATTCAAAGCCAATATCTACTGTTGCAACCTGGGCCACTAGCCTCCTTCAGTGAACTAAAACTTATCTCCAACTTAAACTCAGCTCTGACAGCTTGCACATTCTCTTTGTAATGTTTAAATACGACATGGTTTTGCCTGATTCTTTTTTTTTTCAGACACTAACATCAAAAGGTAGGTATGTAGCTGCAGGTTTAAAAGTGACAAGGATTGTCTCTGAATACAAGTTTCATAAAATGTACCTAAAAATGTATACTATGTGTTTTTGTGTGCTTTGAACATATTTTTAAACTTTTAAAATATGAAAATGACAATTACCCAAAAATATTCATTCTCTATATGCCAGATATACATATATATATATATATATATATCTCCAGTGTACTCAAACAGAATAAGAATACAGTCAAGAAAGATAAGTAAATGTTAAAGCTATTACAAATAAATAATTTTGATGATACAAAGAATTATAAGATGTTTTATAATGAACTGTGTTTTTATAATACTGTAAGTATTATAAGCATATAATACCCAACTACAATAGGCTGAATAATGTGCCCCCCCCCACAAAGATGTCCATATTCGAATACCAAAACCTATGAAATATTGCCTTATATGACAAAGTGAACTTCGTTGTTGCAATTAAGAATCTTGAGATAAGGCAATTATAATGCATTATCTTGTTGGATTCTATATAATCAAATGGATCCTTATAAGAGGAGATC
Source organism: Homo sapiens (assembly GCF_000001405.40). Classification (NCBI taxonomy): domain Eukaryota; kingdom Metazoa; phylum Chordata; class Mammalia; order Primates; family Hominidae; genus Homo; species Homo sapiens. The sequence continues at coordinate 62,464,676 of NC_000004.12, forward strand.
AGAGTTACCAGTAGGAGATGTGAACATGGAAACAAGAAGTTGAAATGATGCGAGAAAGAAGCCATGGGCCAAGGACTGCAGGTGGTGTCTAGAAACTGGAAAAGGCATGGAAGCAGATTGTCCCCTAGGTCTTCCAGCAGTAAACCATCCTGCAGACACCGGTATTAGCCCATTGGAACTAATTTTGGACTTCTAACCTCCAGAACTGTGAGATAATAAATATGTACTGTTTTAAGCTACTGTGTGATAAATAGGAAATGAATACAGTGACCTAATATTTTTTGGTGAGAGATTTTTCCATAGTAAATAATATTTAATCTGAAGCACAAAGAAAAAGCAAAAACTAGTCAGGTAAAGAGAAACAGAAATTTCTGGGTAGGAAGAATATTGCATATATAAAGAATTTGGGGCAAGAAATAGCATGGTGACTGTATTAGTTTCCTATTGCTTCTGTAACAAATTCCGCACACTCAGTGACTTGAAACAATGCAAATTTATTATGTGACAGTGCTGGAACTCAAAAGTTTCAAGTCAGTATCACTAGACTAAAATCAAGGTGTTAACAGGGCTGTGTTTTTTTTCAAGACTCCAGAGAAAAATTCATCTGTTTGAACTTTGCAGCCTCTAGAGGTTGTCCATATTTCTTGGCTTGTGGTCTTTTTGTAACCAGCAATCACATCACCCCAACCTCTCTTTTTCTGACTCTTCTGCCTTCCTTTTTCACTCATAAGGACCCTTGTGATTATATTGAACCTCCAGGGATAATCCAGGATTATCTCCCTATCTGAAGATTCTTAATTTAATCACATCTTTAAAGTCCCTTTTGCCATGTAAGATAACATATTCAAAGTTTCTGGGATTAGGATGTGGACATGTGGGTGGTGGTGGTGGTGATATTATAATTATCACAGTGATTTTCAGAAATGGAAATGGCTACAATGTCAAGAGAAGAGAGAATGAGACTAGCAGCAAGAGACAGCCTTAAAAGATAAGTGACTATGAAAGGCCTCATACACCATGTTAAAAGTTTCAAGTGCTATCCCAAATGAAATTATTTTATTCTACCCTGGAATACCTGGAATCTTTCCTAGGGATTTATTGATTTTCTTTTAAAGCAGAAAGGTAATTTTGACTTCCATGTGAGGAACTGATGAGATATAATTAAATAGATAAATTCAGAGGTTAGGAGAGATGGTTGGACAATGTTGTATAATAAAGATGAAAATAAGTAGACCAATTAAAGAAACTTTCCAGAGGAAAAGTTGGAAAGAAATGGTCAATGATTGGAATGATAGCTCATCAAGTGAGCTTGGGCATCATCGTTTCTATAAACCCTGACATGCATACATGGAGGCCTAAACTAAGAGAGAAGAAACTGGATAAGGGGCAAAAAATATTGGGTTTAATTATAGACCTACTGTGTTTTGCTACCACAGATACATTCAATTGAAGATTATTGTTTCCACAGTTCAGGAATACAGATATGAAGGCTGGACAGAGGATGATATATTTGTGATTCACAGACATAAACACATCATAATTCAAACCAATGGAGTGGAGGTATTGTTCAGCAAAACAATGTTGATTGAGAAAAGAAAAGGCTGAGCAATTTCCACATTTAATGAAGTAAGACAAAACAGACCAAAGGTGACAAAGTACTGTCTTAGAGCTAGAAAAATGCTTGGAGGTTGAATTGTCATGAGAACCAAGAGATGAGAGTGTTTTGAAAATAAGATTTCTTATTATTTTGAGATATTTTCGTTTGATTCCTATTTATTGACAGTTACTTATCATGAAAGGATGTTGGATTTTACCAAAAGCTTTTTTTCTGTGTCTATTGAGATGATCATATTGTTTTGGTTTTTAATTGTATATACATGGCGAATCAGTTATTGGTTTGCATGTGTTGAATAAACCATGCATCCCTGGAATGATGCCTACTTGATTATGATGAATTAACTTTTTGATGTGCTGCTGGATTTGGTTTGCTGGTATTTTATTGAGCATTTAGGCATCTATGTGCATGAGAGTTATTGGCCTGTAGTTTTTGTTCTTGTTGTGTCTTTGCGAGATTTTGGCTGCAGGATGACATTGGCTTCATAGAATGAGTTAGGGAGAAGTCCCTCTTACTCTATTTTATGGACTACTTTCAGTAGGATTTACTACCAGTTCTTGTTAAGTGTGGTAGAATTTGGTGGTAAATACATCTGGTCCATGGATTCTATTGGTTGGTAGGTTATTTTATTGCTGATTCAATTTCAGAACTCATTATTGGTCTGTTGAGGGTTTCAATTTCTTCCTGGTTCAATTTTAGGAGGTTGTGTGTTTCCAGGAATTTATCCATTTCCTCCACAACCAACATCATACTGAATGGGCAAAAGATGGAAGCATTCCCTTGAGAACTGGAACAAGAGAAGGATGCCCACTCTCACAACTCCTATTCAACATAGTACTATAAGTCCTAGTGAAGCAATTAGGCAAGAGAAAAAAATAAAAGGCATCCAAATAGGAAAAAATCAAACTATCTCTCTGTGCCAACAATATGTTTCTATTCCTAGAAAACTTTAAAGACTTCGCCAAAGACTCCCCGAACTGATAAATCAATTCAGTAAAATTTAAAGATACAAAATCAAAGTACAAAAATCAGTAGCATTTCTATACACCAATAATATTCAAGCTAAGAGACAAATCAAGAATGCAATCTCATTTACAATAGTCAGAAAAAGAATAAAATACCTAGGAATACACATAACCAGGGAAGTGAAAGATCTCTACATGGAGAACTGTAAAACATTGCTGAATAATAATAGGTGACACAAAGAAATGGAAAAACATTCCATGCTCACAGATTGGAAGAATCAATATTGTTAAAATGGCCATACTGCCCAAAGTGATTTACAGACTCAGTGCTATTTCTATCAAACTACCAATGTAGTTCTTCACAGAATTGAAAAGAAAAAAAAAACTATTAATTATAAAATTTATATGGAACCAAAAGCAACCCTAATGCTCAAAGCAATCCTAAGCAAGGAAAAAAAAAAAAAAAAGGTGGAGGCATCACATTGCTTGACTTCAAACTATACTACAAGGCTACACTAAGCAAAACAGCAACACTGGTATAAAAACAGACATACAGACCAAGGAAACAGAATAGAGAACCCAGAAATACAGGCCTACACCTACAACCATCTGGTCTTCAACAAAGTCGACAAAAATAAGCAATGCAAAAAGGACTCCCTTTTAGCTGGGATTACTGGCTATCCATATGCAAAACAATGAGACTAGACCCATGCCTATCACCATATATAAAAATTAACTGAAGATGGGTTAAAGACTTAAATATAAGACCTCAAACTATAAAACCCTAGAAGGCAATCTAGGAAATAACCATTTGGACATCGACCTTGGCAAAGAATTTATGGCTAAGTCCTTAAAAGCAATTGCAACAAAAACTAAAATTGACAAGTGGGACTTAATTAAACTAAAGCGCTTCTGTGATAGACTGTCAATGGAATAAACAGACAATCTACAGAATGGGAGAAAATATTTGCAAACTTTGCATCCGTCTGACAAAGGTCTAATATCTAGAGTCTATAAAGAACTTAAACAAATCAAGCAGTAAAAAACAACCCTATTAAAAAATGGGCAAATGATATATCTTCTTCTCAAAAGAACACATACAAGTGGCCAACAGGCATATGAAAAAATTCTCAACAACACTAATTCTCAGAGAAATGCAAATAAAAACCACAGTGAGATACCATCTCATGCCAGTCAGAATGGCTATTATTAAAAAGTCAAAAAATTACAGATGTTGGCAGGGCTGCAGCGTAAAGGGAATGCTCATACACTGCTGGTAGGAATGCAAGTTAGTTCAGCCACTGTGGAGACCAGTTTGGAGATTTCTCAAATAACTTAAAACTACCAGCCAGGCGTGGTGGCTCATGCATGTAATCCCAGCACTGTGGGAGGCCAAGGTGGGCAGATCACGGGGTTGGGAGTTCAAGACCAGCCTGACCAACATGGTGAAACCCTGTCTCTACTAAAAATACAAAAATTAGCCAGGCTTGATGGTGCATACCTGTAATCCCAGCTACTCAGGAGGCTGAGGCAGGATAATCACTTGAACTCAGAAGGTGGAGGTTGCAGTGAGCTGAGATTGCACCAGTGCACTCCAGCCAGGGCGACAGAGCAGGGCTCCGTCACAAAAACAACAACAACAACAACAATAAAACTGCCACTTGATCCAGCAATCCCATCACTGGGTATATACCCAAAGGAAAATAAATCAATGTACCAAAATGACATAGGAACTTATATGTTCATTGCAGTACTATTTGCCTTAGCAAAGACATGGAACTAACCCCGTTTCCTATCAAGGGTGCATTGGATAAAGAAAATGTGGTACATATACACTGTGGAAACCATGCATCCATTAAAAAAACCCCAAAATCATGTCTTTTCTAGCAACATGGATGTATTTGGAGGCCATCATCCTAAGCGAACTAATGCAGAAACAGGAAATCAAATACTGCATGTTCTCACTTACAAGTGGGAGCTAAATATTGGCTATATATGGTCATAAACATGGGAACAGTAGACACTGGGGAATACAAGAGATGAGAGGGAAGCAAGGGTTGAAAAACTACCTATTGGGTACTATGCTCACTTCCTAGGTCACAGGTTCAATCATACTCCAAATCCCAGCATTACACAATATACTTTTATAACAAATCTGCACATGTGCCCTTAGAAACTAAAAGTTGAAAAAGAAGAAAAAAAAAATGAGATTTTTTTTCAACTGTGACAAAAGTTGCTAAGAGTTTTATGAATGAAACTTTTATGAAGTTACCGTGTGCTTCTCATTTTAATTTTGTCTCAGCTTTTACAAAATTTGATTGATCTTGTGTTTACCCTTGTTGGGATTTTAATTTCCTTCCCATGTTTATTCTATTCATTTTTTCAATATATCATGATTTATTCTTGTTGTTCTTCTGATGTTAATCTTAAACAAAAACTGATCCCCTTATAATTACTTTTAAAAATCCACTTCTCCATTTCAGTTTTTTTAATGTAAAACTTATGAACTTTTAATGATTTTTATGATATGCGATCACAAGTCAATATATAGAGCTCCTTTTCCATGTAAAAGAGACCGTTGGCTTTCTTCCCATTGTCTAACACTAAAGCAAACCACACCTTCTATTTTTTCTAGTGGGAAAGGATCTCCCCATCTTTTTAATGATGACTTTTAAAAACAAAACAAAATAATCACCATCACAACAAAACAACCAATCTTATCCATGATATTAAAAATAATGGGTTAATTACTAGCTGAGCTAAAATTCTTTCTTGGCCGATTAAATATTTGACATACTGAAATTATTTTTTCTAGATATTCACAACATGTATTGGTGTAAATAAAGTTTTTTTTTAGTCATTGTTTCGACACATTAAAGAACTGAATTTAAAGCAAAATGCCACAGCACATTATGAGTCAGTTAGGAATAGCAAGTAGGTGTAGTGATCTTTCTAGTACTTATACACATGGGCACGGTAAAGATAACTTCTCAATGTTTCCTTCCCCCCCTCCCCCCTTCCCCCCTCCCCCTCCCCTCCCCTTCCCTCCCCCCTTTCCCCCTCCCCCTCCCCTCCCCTTCCCTCCCCTCCCGTCCCCTTCCCTTCTCTTTTTTCAGACAGAGCCTCGCTCTGTTGTCAGGCTGGAGTGCAGTGGTGCAATCTCGGCTCACTGCCACCTCCGCCTCTCGGGTTCAAGTGATTCTCCTGCCTCAGCCTCCTGAGTAGCTGGAACTACAGGCACCTGCCATCACACTCGGCTAATTTCTGTATTTTTAGTAGAGACGGAGTTTCACCATGTTGACCAAGATGGTCTCCATCTCCTGACCTCGTGATCCGCCTGCCTCGGCCTTCCAAAGTGCTCAGATTACAGGCGTAAGCCACCGCGCCCGGCCACCATTCAATGTTACTACATGCATGTTTCTTTCTGGTCTTCTAAATTTGCATATTATAATATTCTTAAAGGAATAAATAGAGTCATACCACATAAGCAATTTTGCTGTCTTCTTGCTTTTGTCGTTTAATATTGCATTGTAAGCATATTTACCATTTAACATTAATAATAGTTTTTAAGTGAATAATATTTCATCCTATAGCTGATGTGTAAGTTTAAACATTTTAGTATTATACGACTCTTTCTTTCAAAATCTTGCATATAATTCACTTTTTTTGGCTATTACCTTAGGAAACATAACAAAAAATAAAATTATTGGATAAAAGCATATAACCATTTTTAAAACTCTTGTTATTTATTGCCAAAATGCTTTACCACATCATGTAATGAGCACATGACATCTCTTGTTTCAACCCTAACAAATTAGTCTCTGGTTCTGATTCCTGGGGTTGGCCTCTCTGTTCATCTTGCTCTATTATTCTTGGTTATCCCCTTTCATACATTCCTTTTTTCATCACCCTCCTTGGCTACTTTTAAAGACATTGCTCTCTTGGCATTTGAGCAGCTTTCTGAGCCTGCCATCTGCTCTTAGCAAGTTGGGAGTCCCAGAGAGTTTTTATATTTTTAATAGTCTCAGTCTTTTTTAGTTCAGGCTGCCGATGCTTTTGCCTTTATAGCTTCTTCAAAAATATTGTGGGATTCTCTTTATCTGGTTTCAGTCCATTCCATAAGACAAAAAGCAATGTCCACTCTTCTTTGGGATATAGCTCTATAAAGGCATAGTTTCTGGTTATTTGGACAATGCACTAAAATATTATTATTATTATTATTTTAAGTTCTGGAATGCATGTGCAGGATGTGCAGGTTTGTTACATAGGTAAACAGGTGCCATGGTGGTTTGCTGCACCGATCACTCTATCATCTAGGTATTAGGCCCAGCATACCTTAGCTATTTTTCCTAATGCTCTCCCTCCCCTCACCCCACCCACAACAGGCCATGGTGTGTGTTTTTCCCCTCCCTGTGTCCATGTATTCTGATTGTTGAGCTGTCACTTATAAGTGAGAACATGAGGTGTTTGGTTTTCTGTTCCTGCGCTAGTTTGCTGAGGATAATGGCTTCCAGCTCCATCCATGTCCCTGAAAAGAACATGATCTTGTTCTTTTTTCATGGCTGCATAGTGGCAATTTCTCAAAGATGTAGAACCAGAAACACAATGTGACCCAGCAATCCCATTATTGGGTATATACCCAAAGGAATATAAATCATTCTGTTACAAAGACACATGCATGCATGTGTTCGTTGCAGCACTACTCACAACAGCAAATACATGGAATCAACCCAAATGCCCATCAATGACAGACTGGATAAAATCATAAGTTATGTGGCCAACCCCGGAATAAGAAAGGGAGGACACTAGTAAGTTATATGGTGAAAGGCAAGGCTATAAGGAGGATAAATATGTGGGGATATTTTTACTATCTACCACACTATAGAAGAAGGAAAAATGATATTGGAGTATAACCAGCAATCTCTGCTGTAGCTCTGTATGAAATTCTTAAGCCACAAGCTAATTTTGTTTCTAAAATTCTATATAAATTGTTTCATGTATGCCTAACATTTAGTATCGCAGATGACAAGCATTGGGGTTAGCTAGATTTGGCTTTTAGGTAACAATTTTTATGTACCTTTCTCTTTTTTTTTTTTTAACTTGCAATGTACAGCTTTTTTTTTTTTTTTTTTTTTTGTCTTACGTAGCTGTAGCTCTTTTATGTAGTTAAAGATGAAGCATGAAGAGTGTTTTAAATCAGTGTACTTGAAAAGTTTAGGGAAGTTTAGAATATTGTTTTTCAAATTATATCTTTATGAGAAGGTTCTGTTTGGAACTAAAAATGTAATTAATAGATAAAGTTATAATAAGATTTTTTATTTCTTACTCAGTGGGCATTATTTGTTTATGTTAATCAAAGTATTTGACCAAATTATCTAAGCTGTTGAATTTTTTAGCATACAGTTGTTCAAAACATTCCCATATTTTCCCTTGATTGCCTGCGTAAGCAATTGGGATATCTCCTTTTTCATTCCCAATATTTTGAATTATTTGATCAGTAATATTTCTTATCAATTTGGCTAAGGATTTATCAATTTTATTGCTCTATTAAAAGAACCACCTTCGGTTGTATTAATTTTCTTGAGCGTGTATATATATATATATACTCAATTTCATTATATTTTCCCTTATCTTTATATCCTCCCTTCTGCCTATTTTCAGCTTTATATACTTTTTTTTTGGTAAAGTGGAAGCTTAGATTTTGATTTGAGACCTAATTTTCCAACATAGATATTTAATGGATAAATTTCCTTTGACGATTTTACTATGTCTCACAAATTTTGGTATGTACGGTTTTCTTTGAGTTAAATGTAGTTCAAAATATTTTCTAAATTATATTTTAATTTGTTCTTTGCCTCATAAATTATTTGAAAGTATATTGATTAATTTCTAATTATTTAGTAATTCAGTTATCTTTATGGTATTGAGTTCTAGTTTAATCCCAGTGAGTTCACAAAACATACTTTGTAAGATTTCAGTCCTTTGACATGTATTGAGATTTGTTTTATGGTCCAGGCTATTGTCTGTATTGGTAAATGTTTTATGTACACTTGAAAAGAATGTATATACTCATGTTACTGGGTACATCTTTCTTTGTTCCTCCCTCCCGCCTTTCCTCCCTCCCTCCCTCCCTCTCTCCTTCCTTCCTTCCTTCCTGCCATCAAGATTCACTCTTCATTTTGGCTTTCAGCAATTTGATGTATCCAGGTGTGTTTTTCTTTGTATTTATTGTGCTTGGGATTCTCTGAGCTTCTTTCTTGAATCTCTGGTTTGTTTTTATTTTTATTTTTTGTTTGTTTGTTTTCAGAGAAAGGCTCTCACATTGTTACCCAGGCTGGAGTGGAGAGGTGCCATCATAGCTCATTGTAGACTCCAACCCCTGACCTCAAGCTGTCCTCCTGCCTCAGCCTCTCAGTTAGCTGGGACTGCAAGTGATCATTTTCTAATTGAGGGAATAGACAGCCATTATGTCTTCATAAGTTTCTCCTACTCCACTTTTCTATCTTTCCAGCATTCCAGTGACATATATTGTAGACACTTTGATATTCTCACAGGTCTTAGATGCTCTGCTCCTTTTTACTTTTTATTTTTTCATTTTCTGCTGTTGCTGATTTTTTTGTTGTTGTTTGTATAGTCATACACTGCAGAATGACATTTTGGTCAACAACAAACCATGTGTATGACAGTGGTCCCATAAGATTATAATACTATATTTTTACTGTACCTTTTCTATATTTAGATATGTTTGGATATATAAATTCCATGGTGTCACACTTCCTTACATTGTTCATTATTGTCACCTGCTATACAGGTTTGAAGCCTAGGAGCAATAAGTTATAACATACATCCCAGGTGTGTAGTAGGCTATTACATCTAGGTTTAGGTAAGTGCACTCTGTGATCTCACAATGACAAAATTGCCTAACGATGCATTTCTCAGAACATATCTCTGTCTCTAACCAATACAAGACCGTATTTCAGTTTGAATAATTTCTATTAATCTAACTCAATTTCACTAATTCTTTCCACTGCTATGCCAAGCTTTATAATAAACCTGTTAATATATTTATCATCTCTGATTTTTTTCTAACATTTCCATTTGAATTATTTTATTTTTTATGATTTGTAGAGAAAAGGTTTTGCTATATTGCCCAAGCTGGTCTTGAACTCCTGGGTTCAAGTGATCCTCCCACTTCAGCCTCCCGAAGTGCTGCGGTTACAGGCATGAGGCAGATTACTCACCATGCCTGATCTGACTTATTTTTTAATACTTGCTATTTCTTTGCTGAAATTCACCACCTGTTAAGGGATTTTTCCACTTTTTTTCATTAGATTATTTGAATGTTAATCACAGTTATCTTAAAGTCCTTGTTTCATAGTTTGAACCCCTGGGGTATCTCTCATCTGGTTTTGTAGATGGTTTTATTTCTTAAAAATTGATACTATTTGTTCCATTTTATATGTCTCATAATAGTTAATTGAAAACTGGATGATATGTGTAAAATAAAAGTAGAATGTGAGGTAAAAATATTTATGACTGGCAGGGGGTACGCCTCTTCTTCTCAGGATATTACTATGGTTAGTTGTGTTAAACTAGTCAGCAGTTGAGCTGGAGCTGGGTTGGGGTTTTGTTCTTGGTATACCTACCCTTAGCGTATTAAGAAATTCAAATTCTTCTAGTAGTGGGCCACTGCTACCTTGTGCTTAGTGTGGGTGTATTAATTTTCTAGGACGGATGTAAAATAATACCACAAACTGAATGACTCATATAACAGAATTTTACTGTCTATAGTTCTGGAGGCTAGAAGCCTGCCATGTTCCCTCTGAAAGCACTGGAAAGGACCTGTTCCACTTCTCTTTCTTAGCTTCTGATAGTTCCTTGGCTTATGGTAACATAATTCCAGTCTTTACATGGTGGTCTGTCCTCATAGGTGTCTATCTTCAAATTTCCCCTTTTCATAAGGTTATTAGTTATTTATATTTATTTCTATTTCATAAGGTTATTAGCAAGATTAGGAACTCTTGCTAAAGTATAATGTCACCTTATCTTAACTAAACATGTCTGTAACAACCCTATTTTCCAATTATGTCACTTTCTGAGATAGGTAGGGTAGGGATTCAACGTTTGAGTTTTGGTGGGATATAATTTAAACCATAACAGTGGATATGGGAGTGAGAGACAGTGGATATGGGAGTGAGAGGTGGTTTTACTCTGTGCTCCCACCTCTGCTTTCAGCAAGTCCTACACACCTGTGTACACAGAGTTCTCTCTGTGTGCTCCTGGCTCTTCAGAAGAGGTAGATTGCTGTTGCTTATTATTTGATGCAAGGCTTGTTTAAGGGGCAGGTGTGTTTCTCTTTTCTGCTGCTCCTGCCACAGTCTTAGGCAGGTCTCGTGTGACTGACACTCAGGAGTGAGGCATCTCTGAATTCTTGCTCCTTCCCTCATGGCAGACAAACTCTCTCTTATATATAATGCAGGGTTTATATAGCAGCTGTGTTTCTCACTCTTCCACCCATGGCATCCAAACTCTCCCTTGTGTCACAGAAAAATCTTGGCTGTGAGTGAATTTCCTGCCTTTGCTCCAGTCGCAACAGCTTTTTTGTTTTATCCATGCAGGGTTCTGGGGCACAAGCAGATTTTCTGCATGTCCAGTAGGAGATGGCTTTGACCTGTTATTTCAGGGTGGAACTGGGGGGAAGTGACAGGTTTTTCTATCTCTCTCAGAGGCATTCAACCTTTGTCTGGATCCTAGGGTGAAAGGATATTCACTCTTACTTCAATCAGCAGATAGCGTTAGCTTCTACCACTCACATCAGTGGAAGCCAGTTTTTGCCTTGGACCTGGGAAAGGGAGGATTTCCTTCCCCCTCCCACTGCTATAGTCAACTTTTCCTGTCAAAGTATGATTAGGTTCCTGAAAAGAGTGGATAATTTGCCCCCCCACCACTAAAAGCAGCTTGCTTTTGTTTTGTTTCAGAAAGGGGTCCGGCAGGTTTCTACCCTGTTCCTGGGGAGCAGCTTATCACCACCTTGCATTTATGGGCAGCCTGAGCCATTGATGTCCTTCTCTAGGTATGACCATTCCGTTCTCAAACCTTGGCAGGCCCTGTAAGCCAGTGTCACGAAGGGAGTTCACTCAGTTTCTTTCCCTCTCATGATAGAGGCCTCTAGAAAAGGGCTGCAGAATGGAAACAAACTCTTTGTATATGGGGCTCTCATGTATTCTTTATGGTCACTTTAGCCCGTGGAAGGGTTTGTCACCCTTTGGAATTAGGTTTTCCTTATTATCTTGCAAGCTCAGTTCCCTGATGAGCTAAAAAAAAAGGATTACAGGTTTTCCAGACTTTTCTCATAGTTAGGTTTGGAGTGATGTTCTGTTTCACATTTAATATCTTAAGTGTTGGTAGAACCCTTTCTAATTATATCCTCTTGAATTCTTCTTCCATTCAGTATTTTTGGCTCATTCCTTATAAACACTTAGTTTTTATATCAGATTTCCATTCTCTGTCTTTCAGAGTTCTTATATTTTCTTTCAAAATCTTTCTTCTTCATTTCTTCTGTGTTTTCTACTTCAGATCTTTGATGATGATTTCTTGTCAATAATTTTCTTACTGCTTCATGGGTATTTCAAGATTTGGCTTTCATCCTTCCTCAAGACAAACTGCTATCTTCTAAGTCCAGAGTATTGTCTTTGAATCTCATATGTTGGCTTGCCTTTGTGTATAATTCTTCCTGCTTCTTACTTCTATTTCATAGCAGTCATATCTCCTTATAGCATATTGAGGACAATTTTAAAAGTTTTCTAACATTTGTTAAGGTTACACTATAACATTTCTTCCTGATAAAAAACTTTTCTTTTGAGTTTCTAGATGATGTTCTTTTTACTTTATGCTGTAGACTTTTTTTTTTGATATCCCCAAATTTGTTTGTTTTGAAACTATTTTTGTTTAGAATTCACATTTGCACTCAGGAAACATGCATGTGACCCATAGTTTTCTTACTGTTCTTTACGATTTTGGTAAATTCGTCATTGTATTGCTACCACTAGAAGGCAAGCTGTATTACACAAATACTAGGACAATTTCTAGCTTATATAACATGCAAAAATTTCATTTGGCGTTAATTGACAGAGGCTATGTCTTTCCTGATGTTTTCAGATTAGTTTATTTAAATCAACTGACTACATGGAATATGAAAATCTCCCAAATAAATAGCCTTTTGTTTTCTTTTGTTTCTTTTCTTTTTTTTTCCTTTTATCTTCTTCTTTAGTGCTTTACTTTTGGGGAACTATGCTACCCAGGAGGCACTGTGTTCTATAATTTAGAGTGTTGACTGAGAATGAAAGCTTCCAAATAAATATAGAAAGAAAGATTCTGCTAATAGTTAGGAAATGGTTATGAGTTATTCCGGCCAACACCAAAATACATCTACACGGATGATTACAGTTCTGCTGCCTTCTGATCAAGAAATTAACTGTGGACTGGAGCCACTTCCTGCCTACCTACTTCTGAGAAACAGCAAGTTTGTGTTGATTCACTTGATAGAGCCACAAATGTGGTTTAATTAATTGAATTTGCCAATGAAGCTCCATGGCTTTGATTACTTTAAGTTCCTCTTTAATTTTGGCAGTAAGCTTAGTGATTTGGTTTTGACATCATTATGTAAAATTATTTTCTCCTTTCCACTTACAGGCATCTAGGGGAAAGTTAAAAAGTTGGATCAGAGACTGCTAGTCAGACTTCATTTTTAACCTGAAAACGTAACATCAAGTTTCCAAAAAAATGACATATATTCTATGGCCATCATATTGATGCTAAAATTGGTGATTTTTGAGAAAGTAACCAAACAGCTGTTTATTACAGATATGGCGTAGGAGGTATATGGTGCTTAATCATTTAACTGCATCTGTAGTTTAATCAATTGTTGTCATATATTTACTGAGTGCCTAGCAGGCAGTCTGAGCTATCGAACCTCCACTGTGGCATCACACTACGAATTTCAGAGTTTTGAATTTGACAGAGCATTCTTAAAGCAACCCTCTTTAAATTGGACTTACAGGCTGTTACCTAGTTAGATAAAATATAACTTTTGTCAATTCTAATCTGCACTAGGAAAGACCATCTAAATTAAAATCAAACAAAAATGGTGTGCTCATTTCCCTTTCAATCTTTCTTCCAATTTAGAATATATTTCACTCTCTAAGTCTGGAAGATACATAACATAGCTCTGTGCTGTGATGCTAGGTTATCTGTTCTACATTTCTAGAGACAGTCCAGTTGGATCTGAGTTCTTTGATTTTTCATTGGACTTGCTAGAGATAGATAGTCAAGGGGAACTAAAATCCCCCATCGAAAAGCAGTGAAAAACAGTTCAAAAAGTAATAAACATAATAGATCTGAATCATAAACTGGAGCAACCTGGTAGACATGGGGGCTTTCAGAATAAACCAGACCTAGCATGTGAAAACCTTCATACATTTTAAAGTTCGAGGTAAGTGAAGTAGGGTTAGTTGCTAAAGCAAATACTCGTTCCCAAAATTCTTAGGTTATTAATACCTGCACAGACACTGTCCCCATTTCCCACTCTTTTAAATGAGATTAATCTAGAATGTGAAGAATTAAATAAATAGCACTACCATAGCTGGTTATTGGTAGAGTCACATTTTGCCCTCAGGTCTTCATGAGTGCAAGTACTGTGCTCTTTCTCTTCTATTCTTCTGCCAACAATGCTTAGGATTTCAATTACATTTTCAAGTTACAAAGGTCTAGGTTGACTTCTCAAAGGTTAACGTCTAGCTGGAAGACTTGGATATATAAACAGCAAATTTGTATAAAAGGTGGACTATGAAAGGAATCATTCTACTAAGGGGGAGAAATCTTATAGCAGAGCATATTCATGACTGGGGCAGTTGGGTAGGTCTTTGAGATTTGGAAGAAAACGTTTAAGATTTGCAGTAAGTGCTGGGTGATCTGAGAGTCTCAAGAATGGATCCAAACACTAAGAAACAACAAAAACAAAAATATTTAGATTTATAAGTTGAAACAGAAAATGTCATGCTAAATTATTTTCTGGACTAAGATTAAATATACAGTCTTTATATTCTGTGTTATTTCTGTTTTCACTTCAGATATACAGCCATGTTGTAGCATTTTAAACATTTAGGTAACTTGGTGAACTCAGTTAAAGGAATGGCATCTACCTGGAGCAGTCTAAACATGGAATGTGTGTGGAAGTTACTTAAACTGTCTTAAAAGGTCACTCGGCATTTGCAGCTTACAAGATTTCAGGAGTTAGAGGCAGTGACTAACATCTTAGTTCTTATACAGACATCAACAGCCTAATTCTACTACAAAGTTACAAAATATCTTTGATGTTCTGAAGCAATGTTTATAAATATTTTTTAAACTTTAAAATATTTATTACTCAAAGGAAAGGATGGGGAAGGAGCTTTAAGAAAGGAGGTTAGTAATGAACTGTAGGGTAGACTACAAAATTGATGACAAATGCTTTTGGAACAATAAATTCATCTTTATGCTAAAATGAATAGGTTCAATTTTAGGTGTATTTGAACATAAGTCTGTAGCTCGGTTGTGAATGATCAGGTTAAAACGTTTGGATTTTTCATTAGGTGATTGGGAACAATAAAACATTTGAGCAGTTAAAGGGAGAGTTCAAGTAGTATTACAAGAGGTTAAAACTGGCAGGGGTGCATTCTATCAGAGGAAAGAAAGCCTAAAGGCAGACTATTAGTCAGTTTTTGTTATATAACAAAAAGCCTCAAAATATCAGTGGCTCAAAACAATACACATTTATAGCTTCTCTTTCATAGTTTTGTAGGTCAGCTGAGGCAGCTTGTTTTCAGATTGCAAATCTTCTGGGCTTGCTATTGACTGCAGGTTGGGTTCAGATTTGCTCTACAGTGTCTCATCCTGGGACCAGGGTTTACAAGGGACATTTTTTTTTTTTCTCATGGCAATGACACAAGCACAAGAAAAAACACCTGCTGACTCTTAAAGCCTCAGTGGAGAAGTAGTTATTGTCACTTCCTTTCACCTTTCATTGGTCAAGCTAAGCATCAATGGGGTGGGAAAATATTCTTTGCTCATTCTGGTGGTACTACAATGTCACATGGCAGAGGGTGTGGCAGCATAATTGTGATCCAGAGAGGGACTGAAGAATTGGGAACAAGGATTAAATCTACCACATAGAAAGAGACTGTTTGGGGACCTACTGCAGCAATCTAGATTTGTGGTGATGAGAGCCTTGACTAGTGTAGTGACAGAAGAAATTAATATCGATAGAAAGGGAAGAATTCAAGAGGTATTCCTAGCAAAGAAGGAAGAGGATTTGCTGCCTGACCTGGTGTCAGGAATGTGGGAAAATGACTTCAAATCAATACAAAGTTCCAAGAGTAAGTGACTGAGCAGATGGCTGAGGATAAGTAATTTGTCTTAAAGACATGAAATTAGAAAGTTGAAGAAATGACTCTGAAGGTCAAGTTTAACTATCTCCAAAACCCATAATTTCTAACACCATGTTGTATTGCTACAAGTCACATTATTGCCAGAAATAAAGCACAATGTGGGTCACGTGTGGGGAATTGGACGTGTCATTATTGCTCTTAATTGGATCTGTTGGTTGACTTCCTCCTAGTACCTATTGGGATCCGAAAATGTCAAGCTAAAGTTTTAAGAATCAAATTCACATATTCTCTTTCAGAAATAGCTGGTTTTAGACATTTCAAAACAGCTGGAGATTATAAAGCTTCCCTAAGATAATTTTAGCTTTGTCTGTTTGAACCCAATTCTATGGAATTAATTTTTTGAATTAGACAATTTAACTTATTTATTGGTTTTGTGGGCTATTCTTTTTACAGCTTCTTTATATTGTGATCTTTCGGTGTATCAGTTTTTTTCTGTCTCCAAGCTAATTATGTATGCGTGTAAATAAGAAAAAAATTGAGAAAGATAATAATATGTAGTATGAAAACATTGAAAGGATTATTGCAAACATGAGGATAATTATTATTATTTAAATGGCTCAGAATATACTATGACAAATATAAAAAATAAGCAGTGGAAATTTTAAAAAATGTTAAATAGATCTTTAGACTTTATCAATTAACAAAATTTTCAACAAAATCAAATGGATTGACTATATTTTGTTTATATTTACACATGATATTAATAGCTAGTTAAGCAAATTTACACTAATTCTTTATAACATAGAAGCTATTATGGCTAAGAAGCAGAATTTGGATAATTTAATGAAAAAAAAACCCACTAGTAACATCGTATGACATCAAGTGGAGAAATCGATAGGTTTCTTAAATGTGTTTGTCAATATTCATTTTGATGTTGTATTGCTACAGTCTAGCACTACAGCAAAAACGTTTCTGTGTGTTTTTCTCCTCTCTTTGAGACCGTTTAACATCCATTGCTCTGCTTCCCAATAACTAAAATATAATAAAATAGAAAAAGAGAAATACTTTAGCATTTTTCCAGAATACTACATCTATGACTCTTTTTACTTATCTTTAGTATCTCACATAAAGGAAGACTACATATATGATAAGCATAAATAAACGATCAGTAGAAGGAAAAAAATATATTAGAATAAAAGAGTAATTACAAAAAATACTTTTCTTGAAAAATACAATTAAATATATTCACCACTATTTGCATTGCTGTCCTCAAATCAAAATTTGGAAGAGTAAAATGCAGAACTAAATGAAACTGTAACTGGAAATTCAAATATTTTTTCAGGCACAGAGACCTTAACTTATAACAATATAAATTGTTGTGTGGCTTGGACTTAAATTCTAAAGTCAAACTCAGGAAGTTTGAATCCTTTTCCAGTGAAGCTGATTTTATAACTTAACCCTTGATATTTCCTTATAAGGAGGGGTGAAATACTTAAAAGAATTGAACCAAAAGAGCATAAATTCATTGTCCTCAAAATGACAGTAAGTGTTATATTTACACATGGGTAAAGCCTAAAAATTCTTTAACTCACCACTGATCACAATATGAAGTTGAGTTTAAAGAGAAAGAGATAAAAAGAGATTCTGCATTTTAAAAGCAGTTATAGTTTTTCTTGATTCCTTGGCAATTCCAGTGGATCAGTAGCGGAAAGAGAGACAGATGTACTCGGAATTTTCAGAGTTGTGTACTGTTACTGGTGGTGGAATCTCAACCCTCAAAGAGTGTGAAATGGGCTTGGACAAGGCAGTTTACTGAGGCTTTCAGCTGTAGCAGAAAGGGAGACAGCAGGAAGGGACATGCTGCCGGCTCCCCAAAAGCAAGTTAGTCTGGTTTTTATGCTTTCTTGAATGTTTTCCAGGTGACATCATTGCATGTTTGGGGTGATCTGTTGGTTGCACCTTCACAGTCTTGTGTCATGCTTCTTCATGCATTGCATGTTTCATTAGCATCTTAAATTTCCACCCAGGGATGTGATTTTGACTATTAAAATGAAGCAAAGGTTAGGTTAGGACAAGCTATGATATTACATTGCTTGTGTACTTGTGAAGGGTCTCTTGGAAAATCCCTATGGTTGATGGCCAGGATGTTTGTCTTTAGAGTGCTCTGTTTCTTTCATGTCTGATTGGTTGATTCGATGAGAGGAAGTGTTTGTGGCTACAAGTCCGTGAGACTGGCACAACCAGGAGCATGTAAGAAAAATGGGGAGGGGTCCTGGTCCCACTTTCCCCATCTGTCTCACTTTTAATGTGGTTGGAGATTGAAGTATTTGAAAAGATGTAAAAAATGTGAATTTTTGTGTTTTTCATTTAAAATCTCATTATTATAAATTAACATTTTAGAGATGACTGCACCTGATGTATTTGAATATCAAATTTGTAATCTCTGTTTTGAACCATAAATTGTCCAATTTCAGAGCACTACATTTCCCTAAATTTTTAAAATAATTTCTATCACTGGTAAACTCTTAAGTATAAAGCATGTAAGGTTACATTTTTTACTGTAATCAGTAGAGAAAAAATGCAATGTAATTTCAAGATAGAAGTGATAGTATTGTTTTTATTTATTATGAAAAAACTACCTATGCATTCTGAACTTCGCTAAAGGTATTATTTCAATATTTAAAAAAATAGCCATTAGAAGATTCAAGTTTCAAAATGATGAAGCAATTGAGAGAAAATGAAAATTCTGGATAGTCTGAGCAAGCAATATGCTATAAAATACTCTAAAACTACTTCCTTTTTGTTTTTGACATTTTATGTTTTATTGTATGAAAATTCTGGAATGAAACACATACTTAAACAGGCCTTAGGAAATTCGTTCTAGATATGAATAGATTAAAACATTTATAAGGGGGGAAAAAAAACACAGTTTAGCTGGAGTCACACAGAATTAAGCCAAAACTAAGATTTTACCAGTCACTGATTATGTGACTATGGGTTGTTTATTATCACACATCTCTTAACTGAGGGAAATTTTTTTAAAAAACTTTCGTGGGTTTAATCTGATGACAAAAATAGATCATATATATGTTTAATTTAGTTCTGTCGTACTATACTTGGCATATAGTAAACTAAATACATGATTGCTCTTGTTCTTATTGTTATTTATTCTCAATGCAGAAGTATATTGAGTGCTGATACCTAACCCCTGAGACCTGGTCATTTGAAGACCAAAGCATTGATTTTGATGATTTCTCAGTTACTTTATATATTTTGTTAGCTTTTTAGAAACTAACTTATCTACACTATTTTTCCTCCTAAACCTCATTTTACATATTTTACTTATAATCTGTACAAATATCCCTATGTTTCTGTTCTAAAGTTTTCCTTTAAACTTTGAACTCATATATTCTACTGCATATTTGACATACCAACTTGTGTATCTCTCATGCCTATGTTGAAAACTGAACTTTTGATTAGATGCATAAACTCTCCTCTCCAAAAACACATGCACACACACACATACAATAGTAACAAAAACACTAATCCACTGTTCCAGTTACTATGGCTTAGTAACACACAACTCAAATCACACCAAAATTTGGTGTCTTAAAGAATGATGATGCATATTTTGCTCATATATATGCACTTTAGGCAGGGCTTGGTAGTGATAGATGGTCTCTGCTGCATTTGCTGTCAGCTAGGATCATTCCAAAGGCTAGAATCTGGAATCACCTGAAGGCATTCACGGTCTTGTCATTTGGTTGTTAGCTTTCAGCTGCAATTTTAACTGGGGCTGTCAGTTTGAACACCTACACAGCCTTCCATGTAGCTTTGACTTCCATATAACCTGATGGCTGGCTTCCAAGGGTAAGTCTCCTGAGTAAGACTGCCTTTTATGACCATTGCACATTGCATTCTATTTGTTAATGCAGTCACCGTAATGCAGTCACCGTGATCCAGCTGGGTTCAAAGGAGGAGAAATAGACTCTTCCTCTAGATGTGGAGCTGCAAGATTCTGGAAATGGTTGTGGAATCAGAAGTGTTGCTATAGTTATTCTGGAAAATACAATCTTCCACACCAACCAAGAAACAAAGCCCAGTTTCTTTATCAGTTATTCCAATCTCAGTAAATGTCACTATCGTCTTCCTATTTGCTCAGTTCAAAAGCCAAGGAGTCAACCTGAATTTATCTTTCCTTTTTCTTTTGCTTCCCACATGAGAAGTCCAGCTGGTTTTATCACCCATATAATATAACTTTATTCTTTTTGAAACAAGGTCTCACTCTGTTCCCCAAACTGTAGTGCAGTGGCTCAATCACGGCTCACTGAAATCTTGACCTCCTGGGTTCAAGCGATATTTTCACCTCAGCTTCAGGAGTAGCTGGGACTACAGGTGTGCCTACCATGCCCCGCTGTATTATGTATCTAGAATCCTTTTCTTTCTCTCCTTTTCCTTCGTCTTTTATAAATACCAATATATTTTTCCTCCTAAACCTCACTAGTAAACTCCTGACACAGGACCTGCTACTACTTCTTTGTACCTGTTAAATCCATTCTCCACATATATGCAACTTACCGTTAGTAACAAAAATTAGCTAATGTCACTTTCTTGCTTAAAACGGCCACACATAAGCAGGAAGTATTTCTTAGTTTTTCTACATGGAGGTGTGATATGAGTATATAAAAGATATTGCTTGTGTAAAGTGGAAAAGAGTACCATCTCAAGCAAGTTTGATTAAGATCAGCAGAATATACTTTCAGCCGGGCGCGGTGGCTCACGCCGGTAATCCCAGCACTCTGGGAGTCCGAGACAGGCGGATCACGAGGTCAGGAGATCGAGACCATCCTGGCTAACACGGTGAAACCCCGTCTCTACTAAAAATACAAAAAATTAGCCAGGCGTTGTGGCGGGCGCCTGTAGTCCCAGCTACTCCGGAGGCTGAGGCAGGAGAATGGCGTGAACCCCGGGAGGAGGAGCTTGCAGTGAGCCGAGATTGCGCCAAGGCATTCCAGCCTGGGCTACAGGGCGAGACTCTGTCTCAAAAAAAAAAAAAAAAGAAAAAAAAAAAAAGAAAAAGAATGTGCTTTCAGCTGCTTTCTGTCTTGAAATAATACAAATGAAAAACAAAAAAAAGATTAGATGCGTTTTTTAAACACCCAGAAAACCATGTTTTCTTTTGTTAGTATTTCTAAAAAATTGTTTTATTATTTTCTCCTGTAAATAAATATACAGATTATAAGATTTTTCCTTCTCTAACCACCATTTTGAAATGGATCCTATAGGTTTATTTTTAATATATTATATGCATATTTAATCTTTTATGTAATTTATATCCAGTGTATAATTGCATAAAACAAGTAGCCAATTTGAAAAGCCACAAACTATTTTTATATAATTTGCTGTTTTCTATTGTGCTGCTCCATGTTCATATACAATACATTAATATTTATTCATAATCAACTGAGGATAAAAAGTAATAAGATTTTAGAAAGTTAAAACCGTATTTCTCAATATCCTCTATATTTTTATCTGCTTTTCATGCTTGATTTTCCTTATGCTCAATAGTATTAGTACATTTACACTATTAAAAAATCCCTTCAAATATAATCTATAACCTGTAATCTGTGATAGAAAATGCATAAAATATTTGTAAATTTGTATTTATTTACACACATACTCCTTTGGCAAGAATTTTAGGTTGCTACATTTTCTTTTCTCCAGTGATTTCATATTCTATGTGATGAAATTCACACAAGGAGTTTAAAAACAGTGCAATTTATATTTTATAAAGGCTTATTTTTCTTTTCTTTTTCTTTTGCTAGTGGCAGCCTTACTAATGACAGTTTTTATTTTTCTTCCAAACCGTGAAATAGCATGTATTGTGTATGCCTGGGGCATACACGTATGCCTTTAAGCAATATGTGGACTGTTCTTGCTTGATGATCAAAAACTGGACAGATATGCTAAATTTACTCGTGAGATTTTATCTCTTTTCAATTGATACCCTTCTAATAATTTTTTAGCTATTTCATAAATTTGTGTATTATTTTAGTTTAATTGAAGGCATTTTGTATTTAAGTTATTCATAAAATAAATGACTTTTGAAGAGATTTTCTGACCTTAATAAATTTAGGACCATGTTGAAAATTAATGATTTTTTTTTTTAAATGAGGTGTTTTAGTCAGTGTTTTTTAAATTATTTTTAAAATTATCTTGGCTCTGAAACATTACTTTTCAAATTAGTTTGCACTCACATATGATCTTAGAAGACCTCATATTTCATAGAAGCTTTTTTTAGTGGGAAATTATTCTCCGAAACAATAGCTTCCTTATTTAAAAAAATTGATAAAGTACAAAATTCACATTGTATAATACTCTATATAAGAATTCTTTCACTAATGAAATTATTCCATATCTGTACTTCAGATTTTGAAGTCATTGTGTTAGTTTTCTACTGCTTAGTAACAAATTATCACAGACTTGGCTGTTTAAAACAACATGTGTTTGTTACCTCACCATGTCTGTGAGTCATGGATCTCATCGTGGCTTGCCAGGATCTTTCCCAAGGCTGCAGTCAAGGTGTTGTCCAAGACTGGAGTCTAAGGTCTGCTTCCAAGCTCTGTAGTTTTGACAAAATTCAATTTCTTGCAGTCTGTTGAACTGTTGTTCTCAGTTCCTAGCTGGCATTGGCCTGGGGACTTCCTTCTTTTACTTTCTGGGCCTCTCCAATATGGCTGCATTCTTCATCAAAGTGTTACCAGAAAGGGGTCCAGATACAGACTCCAAGAGAGGGTTCTTGGATCTCCTGCAAGAAAGAATTTGGGGCAAATCTCTAGAGTAAAGTGAAATCACGTTTATTAGGAAAGTAAATGAAGAAAGAATGGCTACTCCATAGGCAGAGCAGCAGCATAGGCTGCTCCACTGAGTGTACTTATAGTTATTTCTTGATTATATGCTAAACAAGGGATGGATTATTCATGAGTTTTCTGGGAAAGGGGTGGGCAATTTCTGGAACTGAGGGTTCCTCTCTGTTTTAGACAATATAGGGTAACTTTGGGATGGTGCCATGGCATTTGTAAACTGTCATGGTGCTGGTAAAAGTGTCTTTCAGCATGCTAATATATTATAATTAGTGTATAATAAGCAATGGGGACAACCAGAGGTCACTTTCATCACCATCTTGGTTTTGGCCGGCTTTTTTTTTTTACCACAATCTGTTTTATCAGCAGGGTCTATATCTTGAAACAATCACCTATCTCATCCTGTGACTAAGAATGCCTAACCTACTAGAAATGCAGCTCAGCAGGTCTCAGCTTTATATTACATGGCCCCCATTCAAGATGGAGTTGCTCTGGTTCAAACATCTCTGACAAAAGTGTGCAAGTAGGGAAAACCGTAATGAATGCCAAGTTACAATCTTATGTAACTGTTGGGTTTTTAATAGTCATCTTTCCTGATTTCATTCTAAACGTTCTAAAACAGTGACAAAATTCTTATTAAGTATTGCACAGTAAATGGTAGTGCTGGCACCCTATGTCCTAATTCTTATTCCTAGAGTTACAAGCTGAGAGCTAGTCAAATTGTTCTAAGGGAAGAAAAACCTGACTCCGAATCCACCCCCATAATGAGTGGAAAAGAAAAAAATGATGGTTTTCTGTTATAAAGGGCAAGAAGGTACTTTCCCTTCCTGTCTCCTTTCAACTCCTGGAAGGGGTATCCTCCTTTCTTTAGCCTTTTGTTCTGTAAATAAAATCTCTCTATGACACATATAAACTTTGTATCTAGTCTACAACCTAGAGGAGTCTCCAAGGTCCTGGGTCTCATTCCAAATTGAAATGTAAATTCCTTGGATTATAGATTTGCAGTCTTTCCCGGCACCTCAGGAACTCAGGCAAGAAATCTACTCCTAGCTATAGCCATTTAGCCCCCTAAGAAGATAAGAGAAGTTCTGTCACTTTTGTAAATTAGAACAATTAACTAGACAAATGGCTATAGATCTAATTCTCATGAAATGTGAACGTCATAGCAGCTAGAGCTATTTACCTGAACGTTGAGAAATCTAGGAAAGTTTTATTTTTACACATTAACATAATCATGGAAATGATAAGTTATCACTTTTGTCATACTCTGTTAGTTAGAAATAAGTCATAATCAAGAGGAGAGGATTACACAAAGCCATGAATTCTAGATAATGCTAGTAAGTGGAAATTATTGGAGCCATTTTAGAATCTACTCAGCCCCAGCACAGCCACAATTGGAGACATAAATAATTTTGAAAATAAATATAGATAAAAATAATTGTATCAACTTTTATATATAACAATGATTTTTTAAAATCTAGTTTCATATCAATATTGCCTGAAACAAAAATATTTTTGCTCAATCTGCCTGAAAAATTTAGATTGGTAAGCAAACATTAGACTAGTCATGAATCAATATGACAATATTCTGTATTCAAGTCAGTCAAATTTAGTTTTAATTAATTTCCTTTAAAAGGTTTTGTTCTTATCTTTCCAATCAGTAGAGAATTTTAAAAAATAATGGTAATCTATACCTTACATGAATATAATATTTTATGTTTATGAGGTGTTTATTCTTCTCACACAATGTGAGGAAATTAAATTCAAATTAAGAAAAATTGTCTACTTCCTCAAAGTTACCCAACTACCAAGCAAGTTTTGCCCCTGCCCCATTGGAAGTTTTTAATAGCGAAGTCCTTAAGTCTCTCAAAAAAATCCCTGGGGTGAAAAGAGATTTTTTTTTCCTTAGATCACAGGGTGTAAGAGATCACGTGGGCTGCTTCAGTGACACGGTAAGTGGTTGGATGTTGTTTGTTACCTGGATGGGCTATAGGTGTGGACAAGGGCTAGGGTAAGCTGCGTCCACGCATGACTATGAACAGTGGGTTGATTTGGCCCAGCACTTCGTCACTCACTGAGATGCCATTGAAGTACTCCTTCAGCATCTCCCACAGCTTCCCACTGTTTTCTAACAGTGGGCTTGTCTGTGTTGAAGGCTCAGTTGCTCCATTTTCACTTTGTCATACTATTTCTGGAAATTCTCCATCCCTATGTAGTCCACCATCAGCTTGGCGAGCTCCTCGGGTCTTCTAGGTTATTCTCCTCAATCTCCTCCTGCTCCTTAGGAGTCAATACTGACAACAATGAAGCCCTTTTTCTTTTTCGTATTCAAATTTCCTACATATTTTAGAAATCTTAAGGATCTTTTCACCCTTTTCTCAACAATCTTTATCAGGGCCTTGAGAGTAGTGTTACTTTCCAGGGTGAGTTTGACTAAGTCATGGGATGCTGCCTGGGCTTAAGTTTTCACAGTTGTACAAGGACAAATTCCTTGTCATTGTGGACATACCAGTTTTCATCTTCACTCTCACGGCTGTGTATCATGATCTTACCTTTTGAAATGGTTATGCCATCCTGTAGTTTCTGTATTTTTTTCATCTGGACTTTAGTTTCTTTAAAGCTCTTCTCATCCTTCACCTTCAGGGTCTCAAAGGCAATCTTTCGATCATCTGTGGAACCATGTTTAACCCATGTTTCCCAATCATAGTATCAGGAGTACTTCACATATATTTCATTATTATTTCAGTATTTTTTTTAACATGAAAAGAGTTAACAAGGAAGGGAGACTGAAAAGAATTTTCTGATAAATATATATTTTTCACACTGGTATTTCTTTTGTCCCTTCTCTCTTCCTTTCTTTCTCCTTCTTTCCTGTTTCAATAATACAATCTTCCTAAATGTATGAAGAATTAACTTCTTATGGAAACGGTGTTACTTCTATTGTTAATATTGATAGGTTTATTTCCTTGTTCTTTTTCTTATAACTACCAAGTGTAAGCTAGAAAATAAGAATTTTATTGACAAGTACTTTTACATTAAATTATTAAGTGATAAATAATGCATAGCAATGATACATGCTTCAGCAGACCAGACATGTACTTTTCTATAAATTACCACATTTAGTAGTTGAAAGTCCACCTAAGGATTACCCAAATGCAGAAAAAAATCTGGTTAACAATAGCGAGAACAGACAAATAAAACAAAGAGCCAGATCTTATTAAAACTGAAAGACAATTTACTGAAAAGCTTCAGTACACACAGTGACATCAGGTTTCATCCCCAGCATTCCTGTGGTAAATGAATGAAAACCAGAGATGAGGAGAGTATTCCTTCCTAGTAAACTGGCAAATTCCAGGTCACTAGAGCTCATTGTGAACTTTATCTTACATGTAAAAAAATATAGTTTTTAAATTTTATAGTCAAATAGGCAAATAAATAATTGCTTTTCATGGTGACCAATTTTGAAATCAGAATTCTAAGGATTCTTTAGATGGTGCTATTGTGTCCGGAATTGGTGGGTTCTTGGTCTCACTGACTTCAAGAATGAAGCCACGGACCCTCGCGGTGAGCGTTACAGCTCTTAAGTTGGCGCCTCTGGAGTTTGTTCCTTCTGATGTTCGGATGTGTTCGGAGTTTCTTCCTTCTGGTGGGTTCGTGGTCTCGCTGGCTCAGGAGTGAAGCTGCAGACTTTCCCGGTGAGTGTTACAGCTCTTAAGGCAGCGCGCTGGAGTTGTTCCTTCCTCCCGGTGGGCTCGTGGTCTCGCTGGCTTCAGGAGTGAAGCTGCAGACCTTCGCGGTGAGTCTTACAGCTCATAAAGGCAGTGTGGACCCAAAGAGTGAGCAATAGCAAGATTTACCGCAAACAGCGAAAGAACAAAGATTCCACAGCGTGGAAGGGGACCCCAGCGGGTTGCCACTGCTGGCTGGGGCAGCCTGCTTTTATTCTCTTATCAGCCCCACCCACGTCCTGCTGATTGGTAGATCCCAGTGGTCTGTTTCGACAGGGCGCTGATTGGTACCTTTACAATCCCTGAGCTAGACACAGGGTGCTGATTGTTGTGTTTACAAACCTTGAGCTAGATACAGAGTGCCGATTGGTGTATTTACAATCCCTGAGCTAGACATAAAGTTTCTCCAAGGCCCCACCAGAGTAGCTAGATACAGAGTGTTGATTGGTGCATTCACAAACCCTGAGCTAGACACAGTGTGCTGATTGGTGTATTTACAATCCCTGAGCTAGACATAAAGGTTCTCCACCTCCCCACCAGACTCAGGAGCCCAGCTGGCTTCACCCAGTGGATCCTGCACCTGGGCTGCAGGTGGAGCTGCCTGCAAGTCCGGCGCCCTGCGCCCGAACTCCTCAGCCCTTGGGTGGTCGATGGGATTCGGCGCCGTG
Organism: Homo sapiens; assembly: GCF_000001405.40. Lineage (NCBI taxonomy): Eukaryota > Metazoa > Chordata > Mammalia > Primates > Hominidae > Homo > Homo sapiens. Next base: position 62,491,939 of record NC_000004.12, read on the forward strand.
GAGCAGGGGGTGGCGCTCCTCGGGGAGGCTCGGGCGCACAGGAGCCCATGGAGAGGGTGGGAGGCTCAGGCATGGCGGGCTGCAGGTCCCGAGCCCTGCCCCGCGGGAAGGCAGCTAAGGCCCGGTGAGAAATCGAGCGCAGCACCGGTGGGCTGGCGCTGCTGGGGGACCCAGTACACCCTCCGCAGCCGCTGGCCCGGGTGCTAAGTCCCTCATTGCCCGGGGCCGGCAGGGCCCGCCGGCTGCTCTGAGTGCGGGGCCCGCCAAGCCCACGCCCACTCGGAACTCCAGCTGGCCCGCAAGCGCCACGCACAGCCCCGGTTCCCGCTCGCGCCTCTCCCTCCACACCTCCCTGCAAGCTGAGGGAGCCGGCTCCGGCCTTGGCCAGCCCAGAAAGGGGCTCCCGGGATGCAGCAGTGGGCTGAAGGGCTCCTCAAGTGCAGCCAAAGTGGGAGCCCAGGCAGAGGAGGCGCTGAGAGCGAGCGAGGGCTGTGAGGACTACCAGCACACTGTCACCTCTCCCTATGATCTGAATGTACATGTCTGCCCACAATTCATGTTAAAACCTAACCCCCAGGTGATGGTATTAAAAGAAGGATCCGTTGGGAGGTGATTAGGTCCTGAGGGAGGAGTCCTCACAAACGGGAATAATGTCCAGGTGAAAGAGGCCCCAGAAACCTGTCTTGCCATTCTGCCATGTGAGGACAGAGCCAGGAGGTCCCATCTTGGCAGCAGAGAGTGAACCCTCATCAGACGCTGAATCTGGTGGTTCCTTTATCTTGGACATCTCAGCCTCTAGAACTGTGAGTAATAAAATTCTATTGTGTATAAATTCCCCTGTCTGTTGTAGTGTGTTATAGCTGCCCAACTAGACTGAGACAGATAACTCAGTTATTAACTGTTATTTTAATAGTTAATAACCATTATTTTAACTATCATTAAAAACAACAACAGTTATGGTTGTCATTTTTTATGTTTGTAAATGAAAAGTCTAACTTCTTGGTAGCATTATTACTAATATTTATTAAAATAACAGAATTTATTTTTTACTAGAATACCACAGAGAATTTTATTTTATTTTTGCAAAATCTGGCCTAATAAGAGGCTGTTATTCTGCTGGTTCAAATTCCTTATCTGTAAAATAAGAAGAATTCAAAATGTATAAAATCCTTGTAGCTCAAATATTTATTGACTTTCATTCTTTCTTTTCCTCTAATATTACTGAAATACAAATAACTTTATTTTTCAAGAACAATTATATGGCAATTGATATGGTCCCCACCCAAATCTCACCTTGAGTTGTAGTAATCCCCACGTGTCAGGGGCAAGGCCAGAGGGAGGTAATTGAATTATGAGGGCAGGTCTTTCCCATGCTGTTGTCATGATAATGAATAAGTCTCATGAGATCTGATGGTTTTATAAGGGAGAGTTCCCCTGCACACACCCTCTTGCCTGCCACCATGTAAGACATCATTTTGCTCTTTCCTTATCTTCCGTCATGATTTTGAGGCCTCCCCAGCCATGTAGAACTGTGAGAACAAACTAATATAGTAAATTGGTACCAGTAGAGTGGGGTGCTGCTGTAAAGATACCTGAAAATGTGAAAGCGACTTTGGAACTGGTAACAGGCCGAGGTTGGAACAGTTTGGAGGGCTCAGAAGGAGACAGGAAAATGTGGGAAAGTTTGGAACTTCCTGGAGGCTTGGAGGGCTCAGAAGACAGGAAGATGTGAGAAAGTTTGGAATTTCCTAGAAACTTGTTGAATGGCTTTGACCAAAATGCTGATAGTGATATAGACAATAAAGTCCAGGCTGAGATGGTCTCAGATGGAGATGAAGAGCTTGATGGGAAATGGAGTAAAGCTCACTCTTGCTATGCAAAGAGACTGGCAGCATTTTGCCCTTAAACCAGAGATCTGTGGAACTTTGAACTACAGAGAGATGATTTAGGGTATCTGGTGGAAAAATTTCTGAGAAGTGGTAAAGTGTCCAAGAGGAAGCAGAGCATAAAAGTTTGAAAATTTTGCAGCCTGACAATGCAATAGAAAAGAAAAACCCATTTCCTGGGGAGAAATTCACGCCTGTCACAGACATTTTCATAAGTAACAAAGAGCCTAATGTTAGTCACCAAGACAATGGGGAGAATGTCTCCAGGGCAGGTCAGAGACCTTTGCAGCAGCCCTCCCATCGCAGGCCCAGAGGCCTAGGAGGAAAAATGGTTTTGTGGACCAGGTCCAAGGCCCCTGTGCTGTGGGCAGCCTAAGGACTTGGTGCCTTGGGTCCCAGCTGCTCCAGCATGGCTAAAAGGGGCTAAGGTACAGCTCAGGCTGTGGCTTCAGAGGGTGCAAGCCTCAAGCCTTAGCAGCTTCCACATGGTGTTGAGCCTGCAGGTGCACAGAAGTCAAGAACTGAGGTTTGGAAACCTCTGCCTAGATTTCAGAGGATTTATGAAAAAGCCTAAATATCAGGCAGAAGTTTGCTTCAGGGCAGGGCCCTGATGGAAAGCCTCTGTTATGGCAGTGCAGAAGGTAAATGTGGGGTAGGGCCCCCCCACACACAGAGCCCCCACTGGGGCATTGCCTAATGAAGCTGTGAGAAGAGATCCACCATCCTTCAGACCCCAGAATGGTAGATCCACTGACAGCTTGCACCGTTTGCCTGGAAAAGATGCAGAGGCTCAATGACAGCTCTTGAAAGCAGACAGGAGTGGGGCTGTACCCTGCAAAGCCACAGGGGCAGGCTGCCCAAGACCATGGGAACCCACTGCTTATGTCATGATCAATAATCAGCATGACCTGGATGTGAGACATGGAGTCAAAGGAGATCATTTTGGAGCTTTAAGACTTGACTGTCCCACTGGATTTTGGACTTGCATGGGGCCTGTAGTTTCTTTGTTTTGGCCAATTTATCCCATGTGGAATGGGAATTTTTACCCGATGCCTGTACCCCCATTGTATCTAAAAGGTAACAAATTTGCTTTTGATTTTACAGGCCCATAGGCAAAGGGACTTGCTGTGTCTCAGATGAGACTTTGGACTTGGACTTTTGAGTGAATGCTGGAATGAGTTAAGAATCTGGGGGACTGTTGGGAAGGCATGATTGTGTTTTGAAATGTGAGGACATGAGATTTGGGAGGGGCCAGGGGAGCAATGATATAGTTTGGCTGTGTCCTCAACCAAATTTCCCTTGAATTGTAATAATCCCTACTTGTCAAGGGCAGGGCCAGAGGGAGGTAATTGAATCATGGGGGCAGGTCTTTCCTGTGCTGCTCTTGTGATAATGAGTAAGCTTCATGAGATCTGAAGGTTTTATAAAAGGGAGTTCCCCTGCACATGCCCTCTTGCCTGCTGCATGTAAGACATCCTCTTGCTCTTCCTTTGTCTTCCACCATGATTGTGAGGCCTCCCCAGCCATGTGGAACTGTGAGAACAGACTAATACAGAAATGTAAAATAAAAAGTAGATTGTATTTTTAAAATGTGATACTAAGCATCAAAGTTTAAAAAAGTAAACCATGTGGATTCTAGTTTTGTTATATTAAATAAGAAATTAAATATATGGACTTTACATACATAAAAATACATAATTCATTTATTTTTATAATTTAAGCATACTACATTGATTTATTCAGACAGCTTTCTCTCCTCACAGAAAAGTACAGCAAGTTTTATTGGCTCCAACTCCATTTGTTCTCTGCTCTGCTTAGGGTCACTGGTGACCTCCATGTTGTCAAATCCATACACATTTTTCCTTCTTTGTCTTACATTTCTCATCAGTATTTTATTTATTTGATAAATTTGACCAGCCTCTTTGAGTTAAAAAAAAATTCTTTAATTCAATTCATGATATCTTATTCTTTGGTTTTGAGTTTCCTTTTTTTAATATGTTTTCTTCTTTTCTGGCTATTTCTGTTTTATACAACCTGAGAACTTTGTATAGTGCTTGTTCGTTGTTGTTTGTTTGTTTTTTCCCTCACGTCATATATACTTACTTTGTCTAACTCAGGCAGTCCCATGCCTTTAGAAATTTTATATGTTTACATCTCCCAGAAGTATATCACCAGTATCACCAGTCCTGATACTATCTTTGCATTTCAGGCTCTATAAGCAACAATCTACTACCCATCTAAAATTTCCTTCAGACCTTTATCCTTTCATCTCTCTTTGCTTGAATATATCATAAGCATCTTAGTTCTACCATGATCAAAATTATTCTGCCTTATCTCTGCAAACAAATCTACTCTTCTTTTAGCCTTCACTGTTTCAATAAATGACACTACCATCCTCTAGTTAGTTACTTAAGTAATGAAGCAGAGTAACCCTTACATATGATTGTACAACATATTCTGCCAATTTTGTCTTTAAAATAATATATTTAATTTTACAAGTTATCTCAAGTTCCACCCCAACACTCTGTCTTAATCATCCTAATTTCTTATCTTCTGTAATAATTGCTTTCACTCTTGCTCCCAACTAATCCACTGTTCTCATAACAACCAAAATAATCCTAAAATATAAATCAAGTGATGTTATTTCTCTGATTAAATGTTTTCCAAGGCTTTGCATCACACTCAGGACTAAATTTTAAAATTTGACCATGCCCTCATGATGCCTTTCTAGTCATTCTTACTCTCCAGTCCTTCTTACGCTCACTGTTTGCTATCCAGTGCCTGGAAAATTCCTTCAGTCCTTTATACTTTTATGTCTCTTTCATTGAAGTACACCTCTCCATTACTCAGCTCCGCCTACTGCATGCTCAATATTCTTTTTTCTTTTCTTTGATATGGAGTCTTACTCTGTTGCCCAGCCTGGAGTGCAGTGGCGTGATCTTGGCTCACTGCAACCTCTGCCTCCCACGTTCAAGCAATTCTCCTGCCTCAGCCTCCTGAGTAGCTGTTATTGCAGGTGTCTGCCACCATGCCTGGCTAATTTTCAATGTTCTTTTGCCCAGATAATTCATACTCATCAATGAGATTTTGGCTTAAAAGTCAGTTTCTCAGTCCTCTAATTGAAATAAGTTGCTTTTTGCTCAGAGCACTGGTTTCCTTTCTTTCATAGACAGCATTAGTTTCTAAGCATGAGTTTATTTCTTTGTTGTTTGCTTTCTCTTCTTATTGGCCAATAAATGGTGAGTGCTGTTTCTCTTTTGCCCATATTTTATCAATAAGAAGTTCTAGTATAGTAAATAGTGGATGATGAATGATAATTTTGTTGTAATGTCCCCCTCAAATTTCATTTCTTTCTACAAATCCAACACAATATTGGGCATGTTTACATGCATAAGTCATTGTTCCCTGATGGATCATCCCTTTTACCTTTTCTCTTCATAAAGTTCATCTTATCTCAGGAGGATGCACTTATCAATTCTTCTTCAAAGTACTTCAAATCAGTTTGGTGTCCCCTTTGTTGTGGAAATTTCAGTGCCTCTGAAATATCATTGCAAGTTTCATTATAATTTTTTTATCTCCATTTTCCCTACCCTTATAGGTAACAAATTCAAACATGTATTCAATTCATGATATCTTCTATCATTTCTTCCTAAACTATTTACAAACTTGTGTTCCCATGTTTTCTTAATTTATCTACTAATTATTTTTAATTTTGAACAACTTCAATTAAAAGAATGAATAATAACCATAATAGTACAATAGTAACTGCGAAAACTTCTATGATTGTTTGCTATTTTAGGAACCCTTTTAATTTTATATAAATAGAATGTATCTCTTTCCAAAAACCGCAGGAGAGCTGAACTCAGCTTTTATGTGTCTTTTTGTCAGGAAAGGAGAAGAATAGTGTTTCAAAGATTTTAACTTACCTTTGCCTGACTGGAAACTTCACTGAAGTGAGAATTTATATAGGAAGTTGATTACCAGAGTAGAGTATTAGGCTTGATTTTCTTCTCTACAACCAGAAAATACATTTTTGGGTGACTTGGGGACAGAACATTGAATGAGACCACTAAAATATAGGTGTGCATCTTGTGTTTTTCTTGATACAATGTTATTTCTTCTCAGGAAGGTGTCAGAAATGCTGATTACCAAGAAATCAGGTTTTATGAGAGAAAGAAAAGACAGTGAAGTAAGGCTGTAAGTGAATTATTTGCTTTATATCACATAACACAATTCATTTGACCAGTTTGTATTGGTGGTGGTGTCAGTAGTTATTTGAAAAGAGCTAATTCATAACCAAAGAAGGCAGATTCCTCAAACTTTTTTTCACAGACATTTTGTGTGTGTGTGTGTAATGTGGTGTCACTGGTAAGATCCATTTGTAGAGACTCCATAGGAAGAAGAAAAAAATGCAATTACTTTGAAGGGCAGCCAATGAAATGATTAGAATTGAGTATAATTATACATTTTTGTTATCAGTGTCTATACACATTTCTACTTTCATTTATTATTTTCATGGTGTTTCTTTTACCAAAATCAATCATAGTCTTTAAATAGGCACTGTAAGGGATCCAAACAGAAAAGAATCTTTCATTGACAGGATTTTGTAAGAGGTGCTACTTATTTCTTTTGGCTCACTTGAATTTGAAACTTGTAATAAATTTTCCCCAATTGCTTATATATAATATACTTGTAGGGTTTAAAAAATTATGTTGTCTTGTAGATAACAAGCAGATTTAGGGAGAATAGATCATCCTCTGTTATGGGAAATACCAAAAAATTAGTATATATTATTATAAAAATAAAACCACAAAGTAAGTAGAGTCACAATTCATTCTACTCTGATAGTCAATGTACAATTCTAATTTTATTTTATTTTTATTTATTCAGTTTTTAGAGACAGGGTCTGTTTCTATTGTCCAGGCTGGGGTGCAATGGTGCTATCATAGCCCATGCAACCTTGGACTCCTGGGTTCAAGCCATCCCTTCCTAAGTAACTAGTAGTACTACGGGCATGCCACCATTCCCAGCTAAAGTTTTTAAAATTATTTTTTTGTACAGACAGGGGTCTCTCTGTGTTACCCCAGCTGGTCTTGAACTCCTGGCCTCAAGCAAGTCTCCTGCCTTGGCCTCCCACAGTGTTGGGATTATAGGCACGATCTACTGTACCCAGCCAACAGTTCTTAATAAATGAAAGACAAATTTTTATTCTGATTTAGTGAAGATTATATATATTTTTGCTAGATATCTTTCAAGCATTCCCTGCTGTCCTCCATTGATATGGCCAATTGCTTGCACTAGACTCTTATTCTCACTCTTGATGCACTCCTGCATAGTTCCTTCTAGTAGGGCCTCTTGTATCTACTGTCTTCAATATCCTTTGCAAAGCTCAGTGCTTGCGTCATCCTTGGGAATGTAAATGGTGTCAAATATGTTCATCTTAGGTAGTATCAATACTGTCAAATAGTTTAGTTTTTTCTTTCTACATCCTGAGTTCTCCCTTTTTCCTTTATGTTTGGCTCTTCTTTCTGTACAAAGTAACAGTCTGCCCTTGGCAAAATACCTAAAATCTGGAATATAAATAGCTGTAGCTCACTACTTGGATTTCAGGCTGAATTATTATACTTTGTTTATATCTTCCTACTAGAAGCAGAGCCCTGCTTTAATTGTTCTGTCAGTACTTACCCAGTATAATGAAGACAACAGATACATATCTTGTCTAAGTTTTCCTTTAATTTGTAAAAATCTGTGCTACAGAAAAATGACAAAGCCTTTAACAATTCCTTAAGTTAATTGGTAGCAAGGTCATACAATCTTAGTTCTAGCTTAACATTTTTATTTACTTAGATTTTCTACAGAAATGACAGCTAATTATAAGAAACATATGTGTATATATGATATATACCTGATTAAACTTTATTATAGAGAATTCAACATTTAGAGAGTATACACCAATCAAATAAAACTGTCTTAAAAACAAAGTCTGATGGTTACAAATATCACTCACATTAAATATTGCTAAATAATGATTATTAGAAGTTAATTCTAATTGATTATTATGGTTTTATCAGAGTAACGTTTTTATACTCCATACCAAAAAATATTCAGTGTGGTAGTTTCTTCTAAACAGCAATATTTAAAATAGAAAAATAGATCACAGTCTCCTTTTATGTAATTACACTTTTCTCTTAGTAGATCAAGTACAGTATGAATTGTGATGAAAGTCAATGAATAATTAATATATTATGTAACACTTTTGCAAAAATTACCTTAAGAGGAGATGGAATTTCAATGTTAATTGATGTGAGAACAAATTGCAAGTTTTTAATGCTTAATCTTTGTAATCTCAATTTTATTGGAAAATACATGTTTAATATTAGCATTACAAGTGTCATCATATTGCAATTTGAACATTTTGAAACATTGATAATTAAAATAATAAATGAATGTAATTCATCCATTATGGAAAGTCATAGCTAACATTTATGATGTAAAATACACTTATTTGATCTATTAATTATATAACTTATTATTTTACTAATATGCTTTGCATCACTTTTGAATCCCTATAATATACCAGATTATTGCATTCCAATACAAAATTGTAAAAAGTATAATGGAAACGAATAAAATACATGTCATAGTTTGAGGAAAAAGGTATTGCGAAATGTAGATTTTAATAACATTTTATGAAGTAATATATTTACCAATACTAACAAAGGAAGAAAGAATCAAATAAAATAGAACTATGTAGGTAAAATTGAATTATTACTATTATGTCTTTATAGTTCATGCACATTTTACTTACACATAACTTGAAATGCTATTCACTTAAAGAAATGTAATAAAATTCATTGAGAATATATAAATAGGATTCTCTGAGGATTTTGTTGCAAAAAAAGGGCAAAAGGAAGAAAGAAAGGAAGGAAAGTAGGAAGGAAGGAGAAAAGGAAGGAGTGAAGAAGGAGGAGACAGAAAAACATAAATCCTAACTCCATTTGGCAAAAGTAGAGCTCTTGTGTTCTTACAAAGGGAAACCTTTTTCTCAAGTGTCCAAATTCCTAAAACATCCAAACCAAGAATTCAAAATAAAATGAATTACAAAAATGAAAACTATTAAATGTCGTGTTATTAAAAACAAAACTGCCCTATTTGGTCAAGGTGTACTATCATGTTGTAAGCTACGGTGTTGCCATTAAAAGGTCCATGGTATCATAATGGCCATATTCAAAAGAAAGGACAGAGAAGTGTGGATTGTAACAATTTGTGGTGATACGGAAATTGTGAGCGTTCTTAACTTTACATGCTTGGCAGATAACTGTTTTAGAATGCTGAATTGGAAAATACAAATATATATTAAATATATTCCCTATAACATATGTATTTTATCTCATTCCCTTATCTCTAAAACAGGAGGAAAAAATATTTATAAAATGACGAAGGTAAATCAAGGGAAAGAGAAAAGTTTCCGTGGAGATATATAATTTCCAGAGATACTATTGATCCAGAAAAAAAGAAAAGTCAGCACAAATAAGTTTCAAATGTAAACTACTGGAAAATTCTATATAATGAAAATAGTTGTTAAATAATACATTTTTCCACACCAAAATATAATTTTAACATTCAGGGAAAAAAAAGCCCCTGTTATTTGCTTAAATGGCAAAAAGTCACTGTGAGTTGCTTAACTGAAGCACCATCATCATATTAATATTTCTAGCAATGTTATTTTTCTTCTAGTTAAGAGTGAAGCACACAGTATCAATATTAATTTCAGTTCATCTAACCATAAAGTGATTCAAAATTGATTTTAGGTAATATTTCCTTTAGTAATATACTGTTATATTTACATAGGACCAATTAAGACCTTTTAGGTAAAATCATAGTTTGATATATTCCTGTTGAGACTTAATGTGTAATGTGTTTCTTAAAAAATATACAACTTATTAAGATCAAGTTGTGAATATTTTGATAATATTGTTGCAAGATCTGGTGATGTTCTTTCAGCTAATTCTGTGGAAAAAGAAAATTTAAGAAAAAACCCTAGAAAATGCAAGGTTGATAATGTTTGAATCTCCCACTGATTTAAAATATATTAAACACCCTGAATGAGTATTTAAGACATTGCTTTACAACTTCTGCTAGTACGGATCCTAGAAAGGACAGAACTGGCTTATGTAGACTATTAATAATAAAATATTACTTTCATATTTAAAATGACTTTTCTGATCGGTGATAGGATGGCAATTATTCTCTATGTCATCACTAGTGATCAATGTGATAACACAACCATTGTATAGATCAGTTAATAAATCAATGAGAGAAATCTGCAGGAAATCCTGTACTGCTCTCTTTCATGACAAGCTTCACAAAATGCTATGGGGATGAATGCAAAAGAAGCCTAAAATACCAACCCCCACTGCAGTGATATAAAGGAGATAGTTACTGCTGCTCTCGACAAGGCTTGCTTCTTCCTCCATAACCAGAGAATAATTAATCTCTAAAAGTACTTAGTTTCAGAGTTTACAAAAGCCAGCTTGATAATCAGAATATTATCCTTTTATGGAAGCACAACTCAAAGAAGCAAGTTAAAGTCACATTCCAACTTATTTCTGTACCCAAAACTCTTGGAGAGGAAGTAATAGTCTTCTCTCTTAATTGGAAAGTCATAAGCCATCCTCAAATAGCATGTTGTCCTTTTATCTAAGCCCTTTATAATTACCATGTTTATATTTTCATCACTTATCAGTGATTTGTTGCACTGCTACTGACTCTACACGATTATTGGTATGCTACAGGCAGACGCTTTGGAAGAGCCTTTTTCTTTCCCTGAGAGCCAGGTTGCTGAGAAAACAAAAAAATAAAAAAGAAAGAAAGAAAACGAGACAGAGGTACCTTCTGCTAGTTTTTGCAAAGACCCCCCCCATTACCTTTATGAATTAGCAATTGATACAGCTAACATAGTGCCTGGCCCTTTTGTCTGGATCTGGGTCCAGGACATGGGTCTCTGTTTTCAGAGCAAGAGGAACTTCATAAAGGGTTATGGCTCATGGCTTCTCTAGAAGGTATTGTTATCTAATGGCCAAAGTTGGGCAAAATTTTTAAATTAACAGATGTGAAATCAGTGACCAAAAAATTATAGAGTAGGCTACATTTCTCAAAGTTTTTGCCAAATATTTCTAATGCCATAGAACAATAAACCAGGGACGTCTAGTAGACTGCTTGGTGCTCACTGCTGCTCCATTCTTAAAAGTTTATGAAAATCTCTGTAGAAAAGTGATTTTCCAAAGAAGTGGTACAATACAAAGTTGAAATTTTCAATAAATAAATATTATTACTGGAAAATTTAGTTCATTGTGTCATGAAACAGTCACTGACTAACTCATTAGTCTTTTTTGCTATGTCACGCAGGGGCATGCTCAGTAAAGAAAGATAACTCATTCTTTTCCTTTTTTCTTAAACTATTAACACCACAATTTTTGTCACATGTAATTTAAGGTGAAAAACTACTTATATTACCAATGATCAGTTCTCTTTTTCCCGTTCTTAAACTTAATTCCCATTATAAGGATATTGTCAAATAATCACAGTTTTGCTTACAGTTGTTGATGTGACTGTTCAGTCTTGAAAGATAACTGCTAAGTAATTCGAATTTGTTAGCAACTTGCTAGATAAACAATGAATCCTTTCTCTTTATTCTCATGTTTACTCTTTGCCAGAACATCACTATTTTTCTCTTTGAAGAAAAGCAGCAAATAAATTTTGACCAGTGCATTTCACATGCCAAGTAATGATTTATCTCTTGTATGAAAAAGTTTATGCCAATTCAAATTCCCTTATAAATATGGCCCAAAAGTGTTTAAATTATTATTTCTTAATTTACCATGTTAGCACTCATTTGAAAATGCTGAAAAAACTAGGATAAAAAGTATTTAAGCTGAAAGATGGCTTGCTGTGTCTGGGTTCCAGATATGAAATGGGTGCAGTGAACCCCACTCTTATATTTTTACCTGTTATAGTTTTAGCGCCATATAAGTATATATCTCTATTTTATCCAGTTGAAATTAAACTACTATAAATATTTAAAAATTTCATTTTAAGTAATTTCACAATTAATTCTGTCTTCACAAATAATTTTTTATACATGGAGAAACAAGACAAAACTTCAAGACAACCAAAATGCTAACTATTTCTAAAATTTCAAGATTATTCTCTAGGTGATTTCAGTGTTTCAACTAATTATTCAAAAACATTTTTAAGCATTTTGAAATAAAGGATTTTTTTCCACCTTGGCTTTCTCTTTTTGAGCAAGCCATATAGTATATACACACACATATGAATGAATCTATTCAGATATATATGTTCATATATAGATATATAGGTATATCTATTCATATATATATATATATTTATTTATTTATTTTTTGAGTCGGAGTTTTGCTCTTGCTGCCCAGGCTAGAGTTCAATGGCACGATCTCAGCTCACCGCAATCTCCACCTCCCAGGTTCAAGCAATTCTCCTGCCTCAGCCTCCCAAGTAGCTGGAATTACAGGCATGCATCACTACACCCAGCTAATTTTATATTTGAGACGGGGTTTCTCCATGTTGGTCAGGATGGTCTCGAACTCCCGACCTCAGGTGATCCACCTGCCTTGGTCTCCCAAAGTGCTGGGATTACAGGCGTGAGCCACCGCACCCGGCCCATTCATATTTTTAATGTAGTACTATGCTTCATAAAATTTCTAAATATTTTATGAGCTTATTCTCCCAACATGACTTTAAAACTGATCTTATAAAAACCTTCATCTATTTTTATTTGCTTGTCATAGGTAGAAATCTCAGTTTTCTAATTCAGATGTGTAATAAACAAAAATTATTTTTCTAAAATTGAATTTATTTTCTATTTTTAGCCCTATTCTGTCAGAATGTCAAAACCATAATCCCAATTATTATTACTCAGTCTCCCCTCTCCTTTTCAAGGAACCGTGTCAAGGATCCATGTGTCTTACATAGTCTAAAGACATTGAAGGGCAGGGCTGGGCATCTAGTCCTAAATGTACTCTGTCCTCATTGACTTCTATTGAGTCACATATTGTCTTGCTTGTTTCTTAGTGATCAGTCTGTACATATTGCTACTAAATTATTCTGGGCTGTCATCTAATGCATTAAATTCAGCAAATCTCTTTCTTCTTTAGTACCACTCTTAGGCAAAGAGAAATTCTTCTGTTGCTCCCACAACAAATTATGCTCATGGACTTTCTGAGCTCTATTAATCTCCAATCTGCTCAGAAATTTTATGTAACTGTCTTTATTTTTGCTCTGTTTTGTGTTGCATGGATTTCATTCTGCTGCCTCTGTGCATTCTGGGACACAAGGAGCTCTGTGATGCTTCTCAGGTTCTACTTGTATAACACATACTTCTGCCACCTTTTTCTGGAGACTCACTACCTTGTTAAGGTGCTACTGGGAGACAGGGTACAATTGGACTATGGTCTTAGTTGCCTCAAACATGTCCAAGATAAATGGATGGAATAAAAATAACAAAAAATACAGAATAATCTTGATTGGCTATTTACATGCTTTTAGATGCATTTTTATTTATTTATTTATTTATTTATTTTAATATGAAGTTATTTCCATTTTCCAATTGCAGGCTTTTCCTCTTAACTGGGCTTTGTATTCTATCTCCTATTTTCTGAGGCATTTTTTTTTCACATTTAACCACTTTTTATTTACTGACTTATTCTGTTGATGATGATGACGATGATGACAATGATAGTTGTATCAGTCAGGACAAAGTCAGGAAGACAGAACCCATGCCAGGTAGTTCAGTAGAGGAATATAACATGGGAACCTACTTGTAAAAGTGAAAAATGAGATGAAAAACCAAATGGGTCATAGTAAGACAACCCAGAGCTTAGCAACAGGTGAAAGGTGTTATCATCCCTATAGCTGGAAGTACAAATGGGACACAATGATGCTTCTCAAGTTCAGAGACTGAAAGTCTTCAAGGAGAGCTCACACCATGGAGAAGGGACAGGTTCTGTTGAGATCTAGCATGGAACAGACAGAAAGAGAGAGGAAGAAATATAAATATCCTGATTTCTCCTTTTCTTTCTTCCTAGTGTTCTGCTAGTGCATTCAGGATCCTGAAACAAATTAGAAGTCAATGGACAAGGGTCCTTGGAAATGCAGGAGTCAGACATTTGTGGTGACAAGCAAAGCAATGGGCATCAGGGAATGAACCCAAGAGTAAACAAATTAATCACAGGTCCAATAGCCAAAGGACAAAAACATATGTAGTCTTTACCAACCTTTGATTTAGATACTACTATTATTCCCACTTTAGAGGAGAGAAAACTAAAACAACGTCATGTTTAAAAAAAATGGTAATAAAAATAAAGAACAGGTTGTTTAGGGGGCCGAAGGAAAAGGAGAGGTGTGGAGAGAACATTAATTCTTCTTTTAGATTGATTAACTTGTTAAAATCAACAGATACCCCTTCAGTAAATAACAATGAAGTGAAAACGATCAAGCAGCTCCCATTAAAAAAAAATTCCTAATTCTTAATTTTTCCTTGATGTTCTTCTATCATTCGTAATCAAACTTCTTGAAAGATTTTTATAAATTACTCATCTTTAATTCTTGTATTTTCACTAACATTATACATGGAAACATTTTATAATTCTTCCACTCCATTGGAACAATACTGGACAAGGACCCCAGATGGTTGTTCATCATGACACGCAGTGAGGGCTTTTCATGTTTCATTCCATCTTATCTGACCCTTCTCTGTTTTTTCTTGGCAAATTTCTGCCTGTTAACATAAAACACACTAGAAACTAAAAAAAAAAAAAAAAAAAAAAAAATCCAGGCAGAAAGTTGGAGAAAGTAGAAAAAGGAGGCCACATGCATACCTTCTAATGAGCCTTCTAATGATGAAGACACTACACAGTTTCTATTTATGTCCCTTTGGCCAGGACTAATTCATATAGCTACATTTAGGTTCAAGGAAGGATGAGAAATAATCTTTTTGCAAGGTGGCAATGTGCTTATCTAAAGAATGGAATTCTGTCATTAAAAATAAGGATTAAATGTATGTTGTATGGTTACTAGCAGTCTCTACTGAAGAGGTTATGTTTGATACATTGAATTGTCTCCATAAAATATTAAGTAGATCATTAATACTTAACATAATGGAGTTGAAAATATAGAGAGAGTCCCAGGTGCAGTCACTCATACCTGTAATCCAAGCAATTTGGGAGGCCGAGGCAGGTGGATCACTTGAGACCGGGAGTTCGAGACCAGCATGGCTAATATGCGAAACTCCATCTCTACTAAAAATACAAGAATTAGACAGCAGTGGTGGCACATGCCTGTAATCCCAGCTACTTGGGGGGTGAGGTGTGAGAATTGCTTGAACCCGGGAGGCGGAGGTTTCAGTGAGTCGAGATTTCACCACTGCACTCCAGCCTGGGTGACAGAGCAAAACTCTGTCTCAAACAACAACAAAAAAAAGTAGAGAGGGCATGATACATCATCTCAGAATGCTGGAAAACAAATGCACTAGGGAGACATCATAGGAGTTCAAATATACTTGTTTTGTGCTCATCTGAAGTCTTTGATTTTGACTTTAATGTGAAAATGCCCAGTTGTATGATTTTCTTTTTCTTAGAATATTCTGGTTCTCAATTACAGGGAGAAAAATGGTATAAGTTAGAATTCAATAAGAATTTTCTTAAAGTACACAATGGTGGTAAAAAGGGCAAAAGAGATGAGTATTTGCAAATGAGTGATTATAATGGCATACTTTAATTAAGCTGGACAGTAAAAGAAACAAAACCAGGAAAGGGCCAATATTTTGGAATATTTGTATATATGTAATGAGATATCTTGGGAATAGCACCCGAGTGTAAACACAAAATTCTTTAGTTTAACATACACCTTATAAACATAGCCAGAAGGTAATTTTATACACTATATTTTGATAATTTTGTGCATTAAACAAAGTTTGTGCATGAAACAAAGTTATAGCAAGAGAGTTAAAGAAGATTTTGATAATTTTGTGCATGAAACAAAGTTATAGCAAGAGAGTTAAAGAAGGGTTGAATATTGTAATGTCTGAAGTCCACATTTTATATTTGATTCAGTTTCTAATGAAATCAAAGCTGAGTGTGGGAATGGGTATGTAAGGTAGAGATGAGAGTTCAAGAAACAAAGATATGAGGGTGTGGCCACTTCATCTATGTTAATGTTGAAATAGCTGATAATGATAGTGAGGTGGGGAGAAATTCTTTGCCCTGAGAGAAATCTTCAACAAATGATAAAGAGTAGTAGCTTAGCAGAAGGCATTAAGACATAAGAAAGGGTGTCACTCTTATAGATGGAGGGAAAAGGCTTTAGCATTAATTTTCTCAAAAGTATGGGGGGAATGAATTAATTGGATACGGCAGTAAGAAGAAAGGAGGACACCTATCACATCACATTGTCCTGAGGTTTATAGGCTGAGAAAGAATAAAAGGACTTTCTGGTAAAAGCAGTTCAGCAGAAGAATTTACACAAAAGGAAGCCAGGATTAATGGAACTCGGCCACTGATAAGAACATTCGGAGAAGAGGTGGAAGTTACAGGGGAGTTTGCTGATCACAAATTGTAAGACTGAAGTGGATGAGAGAGAGTTGAAGATGATTGTGTAGATGAGAGAATGTAAAGAATGGTATAGGTAATGGTGATTATCAGCATATATAGGCACATGAGTTATCATGGCCTCAGATCTCAGTCTGAAATGAGGCTGAGTCAAAACACCTGGGTCCTGGTGCTTTCCAATGATTTATTAAAGAGCAGCTCTTCAAAGTTTCCATTTTTGATAAGTTAAAGAGGAAGGTTTGTTGTGATTGCTTGCTTTGCTTTATTAGAATTCTTCATAGCCTTCCTCCTACGAGATTATAAACTCAATGGAGTCAAGGACCCACTCAAGAATGTGTTACAGTGCTATTCCCAGGAACTCGCATAGTCCCTGGCATGACATACTAGGGGACCTACTGAAAAATTTGCAGGGGCCAGAATAATAATACCAGTTGAGTATCCCTAATATGAAAATCCGACATCCAATGTGCTCCAAAACCTGAAGCATTTTGAGTGCCAACATGATGCCACAAAGTAGAAAATTCCACACCTGGCCTCATGTGACAGGTTGCAGTGAAAACACAGGTGCACAATGCACAGTTTATTCAGTCTGCTGTTGTTTATAGTTGCTGTTGTTTAACAGCTGATAGAGGTATTCTGATGATGCTACTGTGCTGTTTAGTTACCCCGAACACATTATTTTTTCACTGTATTAATGATATGTCATATTTTTTACTTAAACACCTACATGTGAATAAGAAAATGATTGCTTATTAATAGCATGTAAGTTCAGAGTCAGGAGTGATGGTGATGCCAAACAACCGCAGATTGTCCACATGGGTGGCTTAGATGGTGACACTTTTGCTTTCTGATGGTTCAGTGTACACAAACTTTGTTTCATGCACAAAATTATCAAAATATAGTGTATAAAATTACCTTCTGGCTGTGTTTATAAGGTGTATGTTAATCTAAAGAATTTTGTGTTTACACTCGGTTCCTATTCCCAAGATATCTCATTACATATATACAAATATTCCAAAATCCAAGAAACCCTGAAATACTCGTGGTACAAAGCATTTTGGATAAGAAATACTCAAGCTTTTTTGCTCTTTTTTTTTTTTTTTTTGAGAGGGGGTCTCACTCTGTTACCCAGGCTAGAGTGCAGTGGCTAGATCACAGCTCACTGCAGCCTTGACCTCCCAGGCTCAAACGATCCCCCACCTCAGCCCCTGGAGTGGCTGGGACCACAGGTGCATGCCACCATGCCTGGCTAACTTTATTTATTTATTTATTTATTTATTACTTATTTATTTATTGGGTCTTGCTTTGCTAACTTTATTTGTTTATTTACTTACTTATTTATTTATTTATTTATTGGGTCTTGCTTTGTTGCCCAGGCTGGTCTTGAAGTCCTACGCTTAAGTGATCCTCTGGAGCTTCAGCATCCCAAAGCATTGAGATTATATGTGTGAACCACGGCCTAATACTCAACCTTTATAAGCAGTTGAAGTGGGCTGGATTTTATCTTCTTTATTACAGAAAGTCTTTGGATATTTAATTTAAATTAAAGAAGGTAGTTGAAATTTAAAAGGGAAAATATATTTTTCCCTTTTTCTTAAAATGTGATACTTTATTGGTCTATCTTTTGCTTTTCAATTCTTTATAGACATGAAGGTATAAAACGTATTTATTTGGAGATAAAAACGGTGGCAGGACAATTGAGAGAGGCAGAGTCTCACTGGGGAGTTGTCAGAGCTGTGGTGAACATCACATACCCTTCTCTGCCTCCTTTGTTGAGCTGATCTACGCAAATGCAGGCCCTGGTTGTTCAAGGGAAGACTGACATCCAGACTTGTATATGAAATGTCCTGATTTTGAAATGTTGGTTCAAGTTTTCAAAATGTAGTTAAGGCAGTGGGTCTCAGCAGCTCGGGCGGCGGGAGGAACTGCAGCCCAGCTTCGCGAAGGCTCTAGGTGCGCCCCCGTCCGCAGGATCCTGGCACATGCCCTCCCCGCTGCCAGGATGCCCAAGAGGAAGGTCAGCTCTGACAAAGGGGCCGCCAAGGAAGAGCCCAAGAGGAGATCGGAGCGGTTGTTAGCTAAACCTGCTCCTGAAAAAGTGGAAAAGAAGCTGAAAAGGGCAGCAGGGAAAGATATATCTTCAGACAAAAAGGTGCAAACAAAAGGGAAAAGGGGAGCAAAGGGAAAACAGGCCTAAGTGGCTAACCAAGAAACTGAAGATTTACCTGCAGAAAACGGGGAAACGAAAACTGAGGAGAGTCCAGCCTCTGATAAAGCAGGAGAGAAAGAAGCCAAGTCTGATTAATATCATATACCATGTCTTATCAGCTGTACCTGTCTCCCTTCTTGTACAATCCAGAGGAATATTTTTTATCAACTATTCTGTAAATGCAAGTTTTTTAGTAGCTCTAGGAACATTTTTAAGAAGGAGGGAATCACACCTCATCCCATTATTTAAGTGTAAATGTTTTTTTTTTAAGAGGTGAAATTATTCGCTGGTTGTTTATTTTTTGGTACAACCAGAAAATACTGTGGGATATTGAATTATGGGAGGCTTTGGCTGTCTTGAGTGTCAGCTTAACATTCCATAGCTGGGGAGGTTGGTTTTTATATCCTATAATACAGAGCAGGTTAAATGGCA
Source organism: Homo sapiens (assembly GCF_000001405.40). Lineage (NCBI taxonomy): Eukaryota > Metazoa > Chordata > Mammalia > Primates > Hominidae > Homo > Homo sapiens. The sequence goes on from NC_000004.12 coordinate 62,511,108, forward strand.
ATATAGAGTATGTCCTGCATTTAATGTCTTGAATATTTTAAATTACTTCTATTCCTATGTTTTGTAGTAGAATTATTTCCCAAAGAAAACTACTCCTTGATCATGGCTCTCCCTGTGAGAAATGTGTGCACTCTGTAACATCTTTGGTTGTGGTAGTCCTGATTTCCTAATAACTTTGTTACTGTGCTGTGAAAGATTAAAAATTTGAATATGTCGTGTATATGCTATTCAGTTGTGAATTGGTGGGACGTATTTAACAGCTTATCAACATGTGAAGGCACTGGTACTTGATAGCCTTTAAGGAAAGTTTGCTTCCAAATTTTAAGAGGGAAAGTCACTGGAACAACTTTAAAAAAGAATTACAATACATGGCCTTTTAGATTTTCGGTACGTATGTTAAGAATTGTGTACAAATTGAAACGTCTGTACTGGTCCTCAACCTATAAAATCTCAATGATGAAAGAAAAAAATAAAAAAATAAAATGTAGTTCAGGCAAAATATATTATGTATGATGGTCTTGTTTGAGCTCTCATCCTCAGTCTTGTCTTCTTTTGTGTATTCAATAAATATTTATTGGAAATAATGAAAAAATGGTTTGAAGAAGACAATTTATTTAACTTACATTAAACATTTGTACTTAAAGCAGATCCTTCTTTAAATCAAGAAATTGTACTATAAACTTTTCTTTAATAATTTCGTATTCAGAAGTTGATTATTTTTCAACTTCTTAAAGGTAACATGATGCTATATTCAAAACTTTTGTTTTACCCAGAGTAAAGCAAGTGTAAGAATGCAGAATCATGTCTTTATTTGAAATTATTTTTATGCATACTTTAGAATTTGTTGTGAACCCTTCCTAAAGATAAAAATAATTTATTCAAAATTGCTTTTATTGAATAAAATAAATATTTATTCAATATTTATTCAAAATTGCTTTTGAAGACCTTGTATGGCTCATGAATTATTTTATATATCAGATTTAATTATTTCCAGTTTAAAAAAAAAACAATTTCACAGTAAGATTGCTCTTCTCTTGGGGGTTGTAATCATTGTGTAAGGAACACCGATAGTAAACTGTCAAGGTTTCTGCTAGTTATGGTTGTAAGAGTTAAAGAAAGAGAGAAAAAACATGAAATTCAGCTTGACAGTTAGTTAAAGACACATTTATTTTAGAGAAAATAAACCTGAGAGGGTCTTCTGGTCGATTTCCGTCAGGAGCACCTTCTCTTACAGACTAAGAGTGTATATTGGTTTTAGGGTGAGGGGGCTTATCACAAGCTTGGAATGTTTCTGTGTGAGGGAAGCTTATGGCAGAGTTGGAATGTGTCTGGGTAGAGGGGAGGTTATCTTGGGGCTGACATCTTTCCGGCTGGAGGGGGTTATCTTGAGGCTGAAACCTTCCCTGCCAGAGAGGGGTTATTTCTGGGCTAGCATGTGTCTGGCTGAGGAGGAATTTGGAATGTTTCTGGTTGGAGATGTTAGTTGTGGTTTATTTTTGTGCTGACCTTAGCTGATACCTCTTGGATTTAGGGGGTGTTTGATTAAGGTGAACTTTAGAATGAGGGGCTTGTCCAAGATGGTGATGCTCCTACTCTGTCAATGGTAACCTTTAAAGTATTTTCATCTTGGTTTTCAAAATTGTCCTTAAAATATCTCCAATTCAAGATCTCTGATCTCCTCTTGGGCATTATTGAGACTCCTCCCAAAACAAACAACAACATAAAGCTTAAGTCAATACAAATATATCTATTTCACATAGAAATCTATACACAATTTTTTTTTAAAGTATGCTTTAACTCAGGCCGGGCAGAGTGGCTCATGCCTGTAATCCCAGAACTTTGGGAGGCTGAGGCGGGTGGATGGCTTGAGGTCAGGAGTTTGAGACCAGCTTGGCCAACATGGTGAAACCTTGTCTTTACTAAAAATACAAAAAAATTTTTGTATTTTTATATTAGCTGGGCGTGGAGGTGTGTGCCTGTAATCCCAGCTACTTGGGAGGCAGAGGCAGGAGAATAGCTTGAACCTGGGAGGTGGAGGTTGCAGTGAGCCGAGATGGCGCCACTGCACTCCAGCCTGGGTGACAGAGTGAGACTGTCTCAAAAAAAAGAAAGAAAGAAAGAAAGAAAAAAGTATGCTTTAATTCTAGTGTAGAAATATATTTGAATTTATAAATATATTTTGAAACTCATTTTTATAAGTGTGGACCAGCATGCAAATAAATGCTAGTATTCTGAGCGGGTCCTCTTTCTATGTGAGAAAAAGAGGGAGAAATTGAATATATACACCAACAATGGCCAGACCATATGTAAAAATAAAATTCTAATCTGCAAACTCTGTAACAACTGGTTCAGGAAGCCAAACCACAAACTGTGCAAAATGGTCATGACTTGATCAGTAAATAACAGCTTCCCTAATTTTGCTTCTGGTTCCTGTTCGGAATTAACCATAGAGAGCCAAATAGGTACCTTCACTTCTAGTTAGCCTGCCTCCAGCTACCCAAGGCCAACAACCTACAATTTCACTTTGAAGATTTCTCACTCCCCTGCTGGACTTTGAATCTTTGCCAAAAGCAATTGATGGTGGCTGACTCCCTTGCTTTATGGCAAGCTCTAAATAAACAGTCTTTGCATATTCTCATTTGGATGGTTTTAATTTATTTTCATGAGAGTTATATATTTTTGTTGGTTTTTTGAAAGGGGTGAAAAATGGTTCGTTGGTCTAGGAATTAAATTGACATAAGACAGATTAACAGGAGAAAAGCAATTTTATGTGTATATGCACAGAAGTTCATACGAGAAAAGGCCAGTTAATTGAGGCTTATATAGCATCCTGAGCTACAGAAAATAACTGTGGTTTGGTGCTTCTGGAACGTGGTGAAGGCAAGTTACAGGAAGGTGAAGGGAGGAAGATGATGAATAAAAATTGCATTGTTATGAAGATAAAAGTCTTTCAGGTGATAAAGTTATCTCAGAATAGATTTTTTTCCTGGTACTGATATTTTTACTAATGAAAAATTTAAAATAGATGTACATTTCCTTTACAAAGGGGAAATTTATATTTTAGGCAGTTGAGGGGGAGGTAAAGAACTTTTACTGTGTTGGCTGGTTCTCAATTTTTTAAGCTCAAAATAACTAATGTGCCAAAATGGCATATTTGGGGATGATATGTTCTGAATTCCTTTAGATTAAAATAAATACAAGTAAGTAAATGGACAATGGGTGCTTACTCTGTCCCTGAAAATCTATGAGATAAAATGCAGGAGTATGTTATATATGGTAATTGTCAGGCCTCTGAGCCCCAGCTAAGCCATCATATGTCCTGTGACCTGCACGTATACATCCAGATGGCCTGAAGCAACTGAAGATCCACAAAAGAAGTGAAAATCGCCTTAACTGATGACATTCCTCCATTGTGATTTGTTTCTGCTCCACCCTAACTGATCAATGTACTTTGTAATCTCCCCGACCCTTAAAAAGATTCTTTGTAATCTCCCCCACGCATAAGAAGGTTCTTTGCATTCTCCCCACCCTTGAGAATGTACTTCCTGAGATCCACCCCCTGCCCACAAAACATTGCTCCTAACTCCACCGCCTATCCCAAAACCTATAAGAACTAATGGTAATCCCACCACCCTCGCTGACTCTCTTTTTGGACTCAGCCCACCTGCACCCAGGTGAAATAAACAGCCTTGTTGCTCACACAAAACCTGTTTGGTGGTCTCTTTACATGAACACATGAGACAATAACATGTTAGTGTTTTCTAAAATGGTAAAAAAAAAAAAAAAAAAAAAAAAGAAGAAGAAGAATCTTTACTTCTTCGTAAACAAATAGGGAAAGAATACTTCCAAAATGGGTCTGGGTCAGTCTTTTGACTACATAGCTTTTGTTGTTTTTTGAGATGGAGTCTCGCTCTGTCACCCAGGCTGGAGTGCAGTGGCGCGATTGGCCTCCCAAAGTGCTGGGATTATAGGCGTGAGCCACTGCGCCGGGCTCACGACACAGCTTAATAGGACATTCAGTGAAGGACTTAGATTTCAAGGAAAAAAATATTTTTCATTGACAGTACTGGAAAGATGGAAATGTGTTTGTTGTAAGAGGGAAAAGAATTCTCAATTGCCTGTTTAAAAATCACAAATTACCACAATCCATATGACCTTCCACTTGTCCAAATTTAAGGAGAATCCTTTTAAAAACAGCAATATTAACTATGGTAGTGTGTGAGCTCCAAGCAGGTTTATATTAATGATGATGATGATATTAAAAACAATGAAAAAATAATAGTGGCTATTGTTTACCAAGTGTCTACTGTGTATTAGCCTGTTTTTAAATTCATTTTCTCATTTAAATTTCATAAAATTCTTGCGAAGTAGAGGTTTATCTTTGTTTTAAAAATGAGGAAATAGAAGCTTAGAGTGTATAATGAAATCCAGAATTCACCTGACTAGCATCAAAACTGAAGTTGAAACACAACTCTCAATGACTTAAAACATACATCCTTTCCTTAGTATTTCTAAGATTTTCAGATTCTTTTAAAATAATCATCTTGACAGATATTTTTAAAAAGTCAAGTGTGAATGGGTTTTCTAACAAGTCTTTTTGATATTACTATGTTATGCTTTTAGTTTTGCTTTAAGGCAGTAACAGTAGGAAATTTAATATTTTTATTCCTTCATTCAATATGTATTAAGCATTTAATCTGAGTGATGCACTCTCCTAAATATAGGAGATGAAAGGCAAAAAATCTCTTGCATGCCAATTGCTTAGAATTCAGCAGAAGAGGAGATTCTTTTCCTTACAAAGAAAACAATAGAGCTCTGCATGCTTGATAAAGAATAGGGTGGGGGTAAAGCAAATATTTCAGAGAAAAAGTGACAATCCTTCCTCCTTTTTATTCCTTTAACACGTATTTGCTGATAATCATGTATTTATCAAGAACAATTCTAAATCCTGAACTGAAAGGGGAATAATGCATATTTTTCAATTTAAATTGCTTACCGTTATAGAAGAGCAATGCACATACAAATAAAAAATGACAGTGTTAATGTTTAGTATAAATGCTTAAAGGTGTCAGGGTAGTGGAGAAAGAGATCCTTTACTAAGAGTGTCAAGGAAAACATTTAAAATGAATATGAGTTCACTAGGTTTCTAAGCGAGGGAAGGAAATTTCTGTGCAGAGGGGCAGCACACTCTAGGTATTTTGGGGTGGTTTGTTGCACTTGTTATAGTCAAAATTGTGGAAAGATGTATTAATAAATGCCCTGTTGGATCATCTGGGTGCCCAACATACTTTTTTTCAGCTTCATTACTTCCTTTTGGTGATCAGAATCAATAATCTCTGCCAGGCTGGTGACTACTTTCCTTGGCATCAGGAGCTCAAAATCATTGAGAAACATGTGTAGCTTAAATTTTATTGACACTATTGATAGGCTATCTCTTAGAAGAATACCTGAAGAATTCTAGAATCTAATGTTGTAGAATAGGAAGCATGAATTCTTTCAGTGGGTTGATGGAATTGACAATGAGCAAAGTCACTCCTAACTCCATCCTTTGTCCTAGACGTATGTATTTCATTTATTGTGGACATGGCACCATATAATGGCTCTTGATTTAGGGTGAAAACCACATCTGGAGTTTGGTGTCCCATCCTTGCAGAGTCACATCTCCAATTTAACACCTCAGCTGTATAATCAAAATGCTGTCTCAATGCTACCTTAGGCTGGCAGCCTCTGAGTGGTGCAGTATGTGATTGGACCAGTGTATCCTGTGTCCACACGTCCAACATCACACCTCCTTTGCTACAGAATGGCTCTTTGAGTTTGAGATGATGTTGTGCATGATGATGTGACATTTGTTTAAATATTCTGCAAGTTAATTGAGGCTCTGTGGATAGGAAAGAAAAACCTAACCAAATATTTATGAACATTCCAGTTAAGAGCACTCACTGCTCTTTCCAGGATTGTAGGGTTACAATGTAGTTAACTTGCCACCAATTGGTTGTTTGGTTTTCGTAAGGGATAATTTACCTGAGAATGAACTGGATTTAGCACTGAATGTCCTCTGTCCTGGCAAAATCCTCAGGTGTAGACATACTGGGATTATTGGTCACCCTAGACAGCACTTTATTAGGGGCTCTGATTCAGTCTCTATTGATGGCATGTTGAACATTGGGCAGTAACAGTAGCTAGAAGAGCCTTGGCAAGTAGGAGTCCATGCTGTAGGGCCCATGCATATGCTATATCTTCATCATCATAGATTGTCTATTCATAAGCCCAGTGTGTCCTCAATGGGGTAGTTAATATCAGAAGCTGGCTGATATCAACTGATGTCAGAAGGTGGCTCAGATCACTTGGCTATGTCATTATATCAATTATTCTTTTTAGGCTTTTTATGTGGTGATTGTTCACTCATGGACATCAACATGCAACTTTATGCTTACTTTCATAGTCATGCTTTAGGCTTACTTTTGTAAGTTCATCCATATGCCTTTACCTTAAACTTCCTTACCCATGATCTTTCCCCCAAGTCCCAATCAACAATATGAGGCAATCAACCCACTGAGATGAGGCATTTGCCAATGCCCTTAATTCTATATGCATTCTTCATTTCCAGATGCCTATACTTGAAGCTGTGTTCCCTTTAACTTTACTTATTTTACTGTATCAGTTATTTATTTCTGCATACCAACTTTCTCCCCAAATGAGTGGCTTAAAGCAACAAGCATTTGTTATTTTTCATGGTTCTGCTTTTTGGCTGGCTGTTCTGATGATCTAGATGAGGCTTGGCTGATCTCATCCTTTATACATCTGTGGTCAGCTGGTGGCTTTGTTGGGCTCTGACTTGCCTGGGATAACCTTGGCTTGCATAAATTCATTCTCTTCCACATTCTTCTGCAGGAGAACCTGCATGTTAACGTAGCAGTGGCAAGGCTTCATGAGAAAAAGCAGATATATTCAAGACCTTTTCAATCCTCTGCTTCCATCAAAATTGCTTCTGTGCATTGGCCAAAGCAAGTCATAATGAGTCAAGTTTAAGTGTGGGAGTATACTGTGAAATAAGTGGATACAGTGAGACATGAATAATTAAAAAACTGTTCCATCTCAGGTATCAATGTCTTTGTCAGTATTCAATTAAGAATACAGAATTATTGCGAGCTGCATTGGAAATGAGAGGCTTAATATAGGAATTAAAGCGATACAAATGTGGGAGGAACTGGAGAAGTGAGAAGCTGAAGGAACAGAGAAATAGCAAACATCTTAGCCCAAATTACTCATATGGGTGGGTAAGTGATCAGTAACAGCTTGTGGGAATGTCTGAGAAGGTAAGATCATCTGCTCATGAAAGTGAGATCATGAAGAAGGTGGTCATGGAGGCATCTGTGAAAATCACCACCGTCTGTGGAAGCTGCTGCCAAGTATGTGGTAGTAGTTTGGGGGCTGATTTTGGTTGGTGAAATCAGAAGCTGGATAAACTGGTTGCAGAATAGGAGGGGACTGGGGATCAAGTAGAACCCACCACTGCTCTCATGTCAGTATTCAAAAGAATATAAAACAGTCTACTCTTCTGTGTGTCTCTCTCCTATATAGTGTGCCTCTGTGTTACAGTCATGTTAGCACGAACATTCCTTTTTAGATTTACTAAGTTAACTTACATTTTATGTATTCAGTAAACTTAATGCATTTCTCTTTTCCAGCCTCATTAATTCACTTTTCTCCATCTTCTTTTACCTAGTTCTCTCAATATTTTCATTCTATTGCCTTAGACACTGCACCCTGCACTTCTGGGACAGCTCAATTTTCCCAAAATTTTGTCATAATTTTCTTTCAAATAAATTCTTACCTGACCTGCAGCCAATTCCACTAGGTCCTCTTTATTATAAATTAGATATTAATCAGTCAATAAATTGAAACTTCTATCAACTGAGTGACATTTTGGAGATCCTATGTCTTATAACATAAGGCTGATTTTAACATGAGTGGTACAGACACTGTTGGATGCTGGAGAAGATGTTTTGGTATAAGTAGGGCACTGGTCAATTCTTAAGTAATACAATGCATACAAGCCATGGACTCATAATTGGGTACATCTTCTGAAAAAATTAGGTTGTAATTTTTAAAAGTACATTTAGTAATTAAAATAATACTTTTAATAGGCTGTCACATCAGGGATTAACATCAAAGATAATTACTCCTTGTAGGGAAATGTTACAGGCTTGTACTGTGGTATAGCTGCAGACACATGAAATCATGGATGAAGCTGGCCATTACAGGATATCATGGCAAGAGAGTAGAAAACAAAAGAATGCTTCTTTTGGATATATCCCTTTTGAATTTTCAAAAGTGTGTTTTCTATGATGCAAAACACAGAATTGTGAATTTATGACATACATATTTCAGATTGTGATATAAGAAACTTCTCTACTACCCAATTTAATGCATTTATTGCTGGTGGATATATCTGTTATTATGTTTCAACAAGGTACTCACATTTGTGGTGCATTTTTTATTCTCACTGCTAGTACTTGACTATTTGTAACAATATTAAATGATTAAGCTACAAAATTTCTTTAGCATTAATAAATTGTATTAGGAGTATGCATTTGGAAGAATAAATAGTAAAGAACCCAGAGGTATCAACAACATTCCAAATAGTAGAGCAGAGCCAAAACAAATACAGATTTCCCCACGACAAATAATTTTATTCTTGTGTTTTGAAACTGCAAAACTTTGGTGAATTTGAACATATATGAGTACTTAGACTCAAAGTAACTGGATTTCATTACTTTTCTCAATTCACACTTTAATATTTGTGCTTTCTGAATAGAGAGCTCTCTTAAAAACCTGCAAAGAATATGTTGCTCATTTAGGAGACATATTTAAGCAACATTTTAGGGGCAGCAGAAAAATTTTCAAATGTCAGACACTCAGTGGTACTTGTTGTAAAAGACAAGAAAAATTTTAGAGTAAATTTTATGTTGTTTGTTTTCAACGAATTTTGCCCAAGCATAAAACTATTTAAAAAATATCAAAAGATCTAGTATTAGGACATTAGAACACTGCTTTTATTAAAGTTTGCAGTGTAAGAGGGGTGGCAGAAGAGCTAATATTGAGTAGTTCTCATGCAGATAGATAACTGAAAAACATTATATATAAAATATTTAAAATTTTTTTAAATTATCACTTTTGTGAAGCAAATCATACTGAGCCAGTCAGTGATTACATAAGTTAGGACTACTTTTTACATCAGACCAAAAAAATTTTAATCTTTTGTATTGACTTTTTTTTCTTGCAACAGTCCCCCTGCATATATTTGTACATACTTTATTTTGAAAAACACCATAAACTTAATACGATTCTGATATATTAAAACAATATAATTCTGATTATTAATGATATCTACAATGTGTAACAAGAGAAACAAGTTATTATCAGTTTTAACAGTATAAAAATATTGATCACAATTTGGACAATCCAATGTATTACGTTTTAAGTATCTTTTTGTAACCAATTCATTGTATTCAAGACTACCTGTCATCCTTTCCCTTCCTGTCTCTTACTTTGCTTTTCTTCCCTTTCTTTTTCAACAACAGAGAGCCATTGTTCTGCTCACTTCGTGATTTGTTCTGTTGTTATAATCCATCAGCATGTCTGGTTCTATCAGCACCACTGAGAGTTTATGAGAAGTTGCATTGCCTTTGTAGTAAAGATTTTTCAGACAGCACTAGATAGACATCTTGTGACTGACTTTTAAGCACAAAACAAAATGAGTATTTTGTTTTTCTTGTTGGAGAGATTCTGTTAATATATAGTACATCTTTCAGTTGTCTTATGTGCCATTTTAAGTCTATGTTGGTACATCAGGCAATGCAGATACTCATTTTTTGGTTTTGGTTTGTTAACTTACAGTTGAAGCAAGCACATATAGGTTGGCTGAGTGTACTTATTTTCTCCGTGTTTCTAGTGTAGCTCCCCAAAGTAAATTAATATTAACGAGGAAGAAAACATTATCAGGCTGGATTTGTGTTTAAGAATTAGTGGCAAAATCATAAAGAAAATATCTTTCTCATATTGCTTATGCAGAAAATGCTTAATTTTTCATTCAGTTCTTTCTAAGCCTCAGTAATTTCATAATAGCTTCCACTCCTCAAGGAAAATAAATTATAGAGTACAAAAGGGATTTCTTTCATATATGTGAGTACTAGCTTATTTGCTTATGTAGAGGAGAAAAGATTTCTTTTCTTTACCCATCACTAGATTCATCGCTGTGGCCCTTATAACATAAAGCAATTTAACAAGAGAGAAACATAAACATTTGTTTAATATTAGTTTTAAGTGACATAGGAGCCTTCACAAGGAAATGAAGACCAAAATAAACAGGTAAACCTGTGTGTTTTTTATGCTAAGTTTGATGAAAAAGTGAATAGTCGTGGAGAAGTATGATTGGATAAAAAGGTATGCTCTAATGACAATAAATAAAATAAGACTTACTAGGATTCTTTCCTGTGTCCCTGTTCCTTCAAAGGTAAGGATGTTTCCTTTCTCTGGGTATAAGGAGGGGACTTCGCAATGAGGATCTTTTGACCTACTTCAGGGGAAAAGTGGGAGAGGTGAGAGTAAAATGCTTCTGCTGTTTTCTCAGATGCCAGTGTTTTGGGACAGCATATACTGAATCTGATCCCTGTCGTAAATAAAAAGAGGGAAAAGATAAATTTAAAAAGGTGAAAAATGTAAAAATGGATAAAAATGAGAAAAACAATTACAGCACAAAAAATATTATTGGATAGCAATGCAAAGATGGAAATGAACTGCCTAAAGCCCAATTCATGCATGTCAATCCTTGCCATGTTCAAACTGTATAGGTTCATACTGTGAACCTACCAATGTCCTAGATCCTGAGTCTGAGTTACAGATTAGGTTTTTAATATCAAAGGGAAAAGCTGTCACATCTCTGAGAGACAGGACTAGCTGGATTTCCTAGGCTGAATAAGAATCCCTAAGCCTAGCTGGGAAGGTGACCGCATCCACCTTTAAACATGGCGCTTGCAACTTAGCTCACACCCGACCAATCAGGTAGTAAAGAGAGATCACTAAAATGCGAATTAGGCAAAAACAGGAGGTAAAGAAATAGCCAATCATCTATCACCTGAGAGCACAGAGGGAGGGACAATGGTCGGGATATAAACCCAGGCATTCCAGCTGGCAATGGCAATCCCCTTTGGGTCCCCTCCCATTGCATGGGAGCTGTGTTTTCACTCTATTAAATCTTGGAACTGCACACTTTTCTGGTCCGTGTTTGTTAGGGCTCGAGCTGAGCTTTCGCTTGCTGTCCACCACTGCTGTTTGCTGCCGTCGCAGACCCGCAGCTGACTTCTACCCCTCCGGATCCAGCAGGGTGTCTGCTGCACTCCTGATCCAGTGAGGCGCACATTGCCACTCCCAATCGGGCTAAAGGCTTGCCATTGTTCCTGCACGGCTAAGTGCCCAGGTTTGTCATAATCAAGCAGAACACTAGTTGTGGGTTCCACAGTTCTCTTCCATGACCCATGGCTTCTAATAGAGCTGTAACACCCACCGCGTGGTCCAAGATTCCATTCCTTGGAATCCGTGAGGCCAACAACCCCAGCTCAGAGAACAAGAGGCTTGCCACCATCTTGGAAGCGGCCTGCCACCATCTTGGGAGTTCTAAGAACAAGGGACCCTAGTAACGTCTCCATCTAGTAAGTACCAGTGTATTTTGGCTCTAACAAACAATGACTAAACTGGTTGCTGGTCACAAATTGGACCTCCTTTGCCTCATTTGATTATAATTTAAGACTTCTGGTGAAATGATTTTGTTACTTATCAATTGGCTGATCTTTTGGTATAGGCTTAGAAGAAAACAGAAAGCTATCCTGTGGCAAGCATTCTGAGATACTGTCAGACAGAGAGCTAAGGCTGGGGCAAAGTATCTCAAGACATTTAGGAAACAAAAGAGGAGTTTGTGGTTCCTGTAGTATATTGTTAGCTTTGGCAACAGATTACCATTTTATGATCTGTGTTAACATCTTTTATTCTTGAATTAAGGCATATTTTACCTATGCTTTATTATATTGCAAAGGTAATTTACAAATGTAATAATTAACTTTTTACTCAAAATTCAACTCAAAGCTTTAATAAGTTTCTCATTTTCAGAAGGATGGATAGTATGATATGGACAAAAATATTAGAAGTTATGAAAGTAAATACTTGAATTTAGCTATTGTATTTTGAATCTTTGCTACATTTTTCCTCTGGAGCTCTAGGCCACCTCTAATCTTTTGGCTGACAGCATAGGGTAGGGAAATCAATCCAAGAAACAAGTTGCTATAATGTCTACAAGAACAAGCCAAAATACAGAAAGATGACTTCTGTTCTTCAATCCAAAATCCCATTCCAAAGGTAATGCCAAGTTTGAACTAGTCAGGAAATATTAATGTGCAATTATTTGATTTATTCAAGCTGTTTGCAACTAAAACAGTAAGAGATTCCACAGGTGTTATCCAGAAACTTAAGAGCACACAGGCCCAATTTGACCCCTTTACTAAAAACACAGGTTCTTTCCTTACTGGTTTTAATCATTGTCTGAAGACGAGCTGGAGTGTACTGATTTTCAGTGAAGGCATTCTGGGTACCTGATATGGTTTGGTTCTGTGTCCCCACCCAAATCTCATCTTGAATTGTATTCCCATAATTCCCATGTGTTGTTGGGGGGACCTGGTGGGAGATAATTTTAATAGTGGAGGTGGTTTCCCCCATACTGTTCTCATTGTAGTGATTAAGTCTCATGAGATCTGATGGTTGTATCAGGGGTCTCCCCTTTGTCATCTTCTCATTTTCTCTTGCCACCACCATGTAAGAAGTGTCTTTCACCTCCCACCATGATTCTAAGGTCTCCCCAACCATGTGGAACTGTAAGTCCAAGCAAACCTCTTTTCATTCCCAGTCTCAAGTATATCTTTATCAGTAGCATGAAAACAGACTAATACAGTAAATTGGTGCCAGTAGAGTGGGGTGCTGCTGAAAAGATCACCAAAAATATGGAAGTGACTTTGGAACTAGGTAACCGGCAGAGGTTGGAACAGAGTGGAGGGCTCGGAAGAAGACAGGAAAATGTGGGAAAGTTTGGAACCTCCTAGAGACTTGTTGAAGGGCTTTGACAAAAATGATGATAGTGATTAGAACAATAATGTCCAGGCTGAGGTGGTCTCAGACGGAGATGAGGAGCTTGTTGGGAACTGGAGCAAAGATGGTTCTTGTTATATTTTAGCAAAGAGACTGGCAGCATTTTGCCCCTGCCCTAGAGATTTGTGAAACTTTGAACTTGAGAGAGATGTTTTAAGGTATCTGGCAGGAGAAATTTCTAAGCAGCAAACCATTAAAAGGTGACTTGGGTGCTGTTAAAAGCACTCCATTTTAAAATGGAAACAGAGCATAAAAGTTCAGAAAATTTGAAGCCTGACAATGTGATAGAAAATAAAATCCCATTTACTGAGGCAAAATTACAGCTGGCTGCAGAAATTTGCATAGGTAATGAGGAGCCAAATGTTAGCCTCGAAGTCAAAGGGAAAAATGTCTCCAGAGCATGTCAGAGGTCTTCACGGAAGCATTTCCCATGACAGGACCGGAGGTCTAGGAGGAAAAAGTGGTTTTGGGGGCTGGGCTCAGGGTCCCTGAGCTGTGTGCAGCCTAAGGACTTGATGCCTTGCTGCTCCAGTTGTGGCTGAAAGGGGCCAACCTAGAGCTTGGGCTGTGGCTTCAGAGGGTAGAAGCCCCAAGACTTGGCAGCTTCCACATGGTGTTGAGCCTGTGGGTGCACAAAAGTCAAGAACTGAGGTTTCAGGACTTCTGCCTAGGTTTCAGAAGATGTATAGAAATGCCTGAATGTCCAGGTAGAAGTTTGCTGCAGGGGCGGGGCTCTCATGGAGAACCTCTGCTGGGGCAGTGCAGAAAGGAAATGTGGAGTGGGAGCCTCCAGAGTCCCTACTGGGGCACCGGCTAGTGGAGCCGTGAGAAGAGAACCATCACACTCCAGATCCTAGAATGGTAGATCCACTGACAGCTTTCACCATGTGCCTGGAAAAGCCACAAACACTCAATGTCAGCCCATGAAAACAGCCAGGAGGGAGGCTATATCCTGAAAAGCCACAGCAGGGGGAGCTACCCAAGACCAAGAGAACCCACCTCTTGCATCAACGTGACCTAGATGTGAGATCTAGACTCAAACGAGATCATTTAGGAGCTTTAAAATTTGACTGCCTTGCTGGAGTTCAGACTTGCATGGGCCCTGTAACCCCTTTGTTTTGGCCAGTTTCTCCCATTCAGAGTTGCTATATTTACCCAATACCTGTACCTCTACTGTATCTAGGAAGTGACTAGCTTGCTTTTGATCTTACAGTCTCATAGGTGGAAGGGACTTGCCTTGTCTCAGATGAGACTTTGGACTATGCCCTTTTGGGTTAATGCTGAAATGAGTTAAGACTTTTGGAGACTGTTGGGAAGGCATGATTGGTTTTGAAATGTGAAGACATAAGATTTGGAGGGACCAGGGGTGGAATGATATAGTTTGGCTCTGTGTCCCCACCCAAATCTCATCTTGAGTTGTACTCCCATAATTTCCATGTGTTGTGGGAGGGACTTGGTGGGAGATAATTTAAATGATGGGGGCAGTTTCCCCATACTGTCCTCATGGTAGTGAATATGTCTCATGAGGTCTGATGGTTTTATCAGGGGTTTCCACTTTTTCATCTTCTCATTTTCTCTTGCTGCCGCCATGTAAGAAGTGCCTTTTGCCTCCCACCATGATTCTGAAGCCTCCTCAGCCATGTGGAACTATAAGCCCAATTAAACCTCTTTTTCTTCCCAGTCTCGAGTATGTCTTTATCAGCAGCATGAAAATGAACTAATACAGTACCTAAGGAGATATTGATCCCCTTAAGCCACAAAAAGGTTGTGCAAGGCCTGGGGATCCAGTGAGCCTGGGCCAATTGCCCAGCCTGTCCATTTATGCCAGTGTGCCATGTTTCTTACCCTATTTGTGCTGCTATAACTGAATGCCTGAGATTGGGGAATTTATAAAAATTAGGAATTTTTTAACACAGCTCTGGAGGCTGGGAGGTCCAAGATCTAGGTATTGGTATCTGATGAAGACCTCTAGCTACACTTTCACATGGCAGAAAGTAGGAGGACAAAAAGGGGATGACTGTTCTGTCCTCACATGGCAGAAAAGCAGAAGAGACTGAATGCATTCCTGTAAGCTTTTTTATAATGTCATTATTATTATTATTATTTTGAGACAGGGCTCTATTGCCCAGTCTGGAGTGCAGTGGCATGATCTTGGCTTACTGCACCCTCTGCCTCCTGGGCTCAAGCCATCCTCCCACCTCAGCCTCCCAACTAGCTAAGACTATCCCACTGTTACCATAGGGTCTTTGCTCCCAGAGCTCCCAAGATGGTGGCGGGCCGCTTCCAAAATTGCGGCAAGTCTCGTGTTCTCTGACCTGGGGTTCTTGTCCTCATGGATTCCAAGGAATGGAATCTTGAGACATGCGGTGACTGTTATAGCTCTATTAGAAGCCGTGAGTCACGGAAGAGAACCATGGAATCCAGTGACTGGTGTTCAGCCTGATTAGGACGAACCCAGGCACTTAGCCGTGCAGGACCAATGGCAAGCCTTTAGCCTGATTGGGAGTGGCAATGGGCGCCTCACTGGATCAGGAGCACAGTGGACACCCTGCCAGATCCAGAGGGATGGAAGTCAGTGGCAGGTCTGCCACAGCAGCAAACAGCAGTGGTGGACGGCGAGCGAAAACTCAGCTCAAGCCGTAACAAACATGGACCAGAAGAGAGTGCAGCTGCAAGATTTAATAGAACGAAAACAGAGCTCCCATACAACGAGAGGGGACTCAAAGAGGGTAGCCATTGCTGGCTCGAATGCCTGGGTTTATATCCCAATCACTGTCCCTCCTGCTGTGCTCTCAGGCAATAGATGACTGGCTATTTCTTTACCTCCTGTTTTTGCCTAATTAGCATTTTAGTGAGCTCTCTGATTGGTTGGGTGTGAGCTAATTTGCAAGCCCCGTGTTTAAAGGTTGATGTGGTCACCTTCCCAGCTAGGCTTAGGGATTCTTAGTCGGCCTAGGAAATCCAACTAGTCCTGTCTCTCACCACCATACCTGGCTAATTTTTGTATTTTCTGTAGAGACAGAATTTTGCCATGTTGCCTGGGCTGGTCTCAAACTCCTGAGCTCAATAGATCCACCCACCTTGGCCTCCCAAAGTGTTGGGATCACAGGCAATGGCATTAATTTATTCATGAGGATGCAGCACTCATGACATGACCACTTCCTGAAAGGCCCCTCCCCCCAATACTGCTGCAATGATAATTAAGTTTTTAACACCTGAATTTTGGAGGGGGGACACATTGAAACCATAGCACCATGACAAAAATATTTTCTATGTATACCACACATGCATTTTCTGTATGTGCCATGACATAAAGAAATCTCAAAGGCCTTTTATTCCCAGATAGCCTTTCTTTTAAGGTGAAACTAGCTAGGCACAGTTTTCACTTGAGTCATAATTACCTTATTTACATGTAATATTTCTCATTATAATATAATTCCTATAAGATGGGGGAGAAATTTGTTACTGATTCACCAACAAACTGTGATTGTGCTGTTTAGTTTGAAAACCCTATTTCTTTTTTATACAAGAGCTGTGTTCTTTTTCCCTCACTTATGCATTCTAAAGAAAGTAAAATGTGATAGAATTCCGTTTCCTTTACTATTCTCCTTGTTCCTATACAAAGGTCACACTGATGCTAACACTCTTTTCTAAATTTGCTAATCTAACCTACTTTTTATCTACCCACGGTACTCGATATTTTTCTCTTCTCCGATGTAAGAAGTTATCATCTCACCAATATTGCTAACTCAATACTACACTATTTTGTTTTTATCCATAGATCAATAGAAATGGCTTCCCCTCCCTTATCTCTGGTTAATGCCAAAGGCTTTTAAATAACAGAATAACATTTTGGATTTTCTATCCTGATATTTTGGGGAAAATAGATGCTGCCCATTGTTGGGTACTTATAATATTGCAGCTATTTTTGGAATCACCTGAATTTGCTGTGAAAGTTGGCTACTTTTTGCTGTTTCTAGAAACCTCATATCAGCAATAATAAAGTTCAGTAATACACAAAAGTACAAAGCTAGCTTTTTTTCAGTTTGAATCTTCTCTACCCAAATAGCTTTGTTGCACATAGCTATAAGTATAGTTTTCATAAAAATGAAAATCACCCTGTATTGATTATACATAGTCATTCTCCCTGCCTATTTCATGTAAGCTTCCACCTCAAGATCCTTGAAACTTTTCTTAGCCAGACAGAAACACTTGGAATATCCCTTTTTCTCTTTGAACTATGAGAATTATCCAGCAAGTTTCTATCAGAATTATTATTAAAACATTATTTTGGCAGAAAAAAATTGAACTTGAATATGTAAAGAAAAACTTAAATTGGGACACCTTTAGTCAATGCCAGTGCTTTAAGTTTCTGCATAAGCAAATGAACATCTAACATAAACAGTAAAATGAAACTAGAGACTTCTCTAATCAGAAACTGCTAACCTACCTCTATAAACTTTCCACTCTAACCAATAACATTTATTTTCTTTGCCTTCCTTTCTTGTTTAGCCTGTACAAATTTGCTAACTCTGCTGCTGCAGCAGAGCTCTCTGAACCTCTTCTGGTTCTGAGTGATCCCTGGTTCATAAATTGCTCTTTGCTCAAATAAACTTCATTAAATTTATTTTGTCTAAAGTCTTTCTTTTAATGAATACCAGTGGGGTAGTTCCAAACATTAGCTGAACATAATAAGACAGGAAGGGACATGTTCAGTGTGGTTGAAAAACGCTTCAGAGATTTGGAAGATCCCTGGAAATTTCATATCATCCTAGTGGCCACATTTATGAGTAAGCAGGAAGTAAACTACTGATATGTGCTCCATGCATGCTAGCTGAGGTGCTAATGGTCCACAGTTAAATTGTAACTGCAGAAGAAAAGATTCAAACTCTGTAAAATATTTGAAGGCATTTATTCTGACCCAAATGTGAGTGGCCATGCCCATGAAACAGCCCCAGGAGATCGTGAGAACATGTGCCCAAAGTGCTCAGGCTGCAGCTTGGTTTTATACATTTTAGGGAGATAGAAGACATCAAGCAATACATGTAAGATGTACATTAGTTTGGTCAGGAGAGGTGGGACAACTCAACGTGGAGGAAGGGGGTTCCAGGGCCTATGTGGATTCAAAGATTTTCTGATTGGCAATTTGTTGATAGAGTTTATCTAAAGACCTCGAATCAATAGAAGGGAGTGTTTGGATTAAGATAAGGGGTTGTGGAGACCAAGGTTCTTATTATGCAGATGAAGCCTCCAGGTAGCAGCTTTCAAACAGAATAGTTTATAAATGTTTCTTATCAGACTTAAAAAGGTGCCAGACCCTTAGTTAATTCTCTCTTGGATCAGGAAAAAGACCTGGAAAAGGAAAGAAATTCTCTATAGAATGTACATTTTTTTCCACAAAACACAGCTTTGCAGGGACATTTCAAAACATGTCAAAGAAATATATTTCTGTTGTAAAATACTTTATTTCAGAGCCTGCTATCTTGTCACACTGGTGTCTTATTGCTAAAAAGAGTCTGTTTTCTCAGTCTTAAGTTCTCTGTTTTAATGTTAATACTGATCAGTTGTGCTTGAATTCCAAAGGGAGAAAGGTATAATGAGGCATGTTTGACCACCCATTCCCATCATGGCCTGAACTAGCGTTTCAAGTTTACTTTAGAATGCCCTTGGCTGAGAGGAGGGGTCCATTCAGTTAGTTGGGGGGCTTAAAATTTTATTTTTGGTTTCTATAATAGAACCACTGTGGTCAGAAAATATAGCATGCCAACAAAATGTGATATTCTCAATACGAACACCTCTATAATATATATGTATCAAAGCAATACTATTATATATTGCTTTAAGTAAACTAGTTCAACCATTGTGGAAGACAGTGTGGAGATTCCTCAAGGATCTAGAAAAAGAAATACCATTTGACCCAGCCATCCCATTACTGCGGATATACCCAAAGGATTATAAATCATGCTGCTATAAAGACACATGCACACATATGTTTATTGTGGCACTATTCACAATAGCAAAGACTTGGAACCAACCCAAAGGTCCATCAATGATAGACTGGATTAAGAAAATGTTCATGTCCTTTGTAGGGACATGGATGAAGCTGGAAAACATCATTATCAGCGAACTATTGGAAGGACAGAAAACCAAACACCACATGTTCTTATTCATAGGTGGGAATTGAACAATGAGAACACTTGGACACAGAGTGGGGAACATCACACACCGGGGCCTGTCATGGGGTGGGGGAAGTGGGGAGGGGTAGCATTAGGAGATACGCCTAATGTAAATGACGAGTTAATGGGTGCAGCACACCAACATGGCACAGGTATACATATGTAATAAACCTGCACATTGCGCACATGTACCCTAGAACTTAAAGTATAATAATAATAAAAAAAGAAGTATTATATTTTACTCAAAGGAATCACCTTAAAGAAATAGAATTAGAGAAAGTTATCTGTTGCCAAATACTCTCCACATGTAATTTAAAAGTTTTGAATTCTTCAGGACCTATACCACTCCAACTATTCCACCTATGAAATTTTGTTTTTGGTTAACCACATTCAGATTATTATAAAAAAATAAAATGAGGCCACAGGTAAAAAAATGTTCACATGAAGGTGAAGATACAGCATATATGAATCTTGAATAGACCACAGGAGTCAGAAGTAAATCTTAAACACTCATGACACATGTTTGACAATTACTAATAAAAACAGAAATTTCCACCAAAAAGAATGATTGTACTATATCATATTTATTATTATTAATTCACAATTACTGTTTTATTCTTCTGTCTTTCATAAGCATGGACTGTCTGTGGTATGGACTTAAGTGGAGATTGTGAGCCAGTTTGGTCCTTTAAGGAAATTAACTCTAATGAGGTAGTATAGTAGTATAGGTTAAAACAAAACAAAACAAAACAAAAAAACACTAAGTGCAAGATAGTACTTAGAGGCTACCATAGTTTTAAGGGTTTAAAGATGTTAGCAAAAGCAGTTGTAGTTGGAGAAGTCTTCTAGGAAATTAAAAGACTTGTTTGGATCCTCAAAGAATGGAGAAAACATTCCCAAACAGAGAGGAGGTGGAGAGAGCACTGCAGGACGGGGGCAGCCTTCTAGGAACAACAAAGAACTAGGAATGTGTGCTGAATAGCTGAGTTTGGCTTCAGCAACTGATTTCTGATGGCAAACAGCTGGTGAGAAGATGGGACAGACAGGCTGGAGCAAGAAGGCAAAGTGTGCCCACACTCCAGGTGGCTGCTCAAAGAACACTTAATGCTGCCTCTCTCTCCTACAATGCCTGTCTGATGGAGCAGGTGGTACCAGGTACAGTTTGGAGAAAATTTATAATTTTTAATATTGTTTTGTTTGTAAATTCATTTGGTGGAATTTAAGTTCTATAGAGGAAGTTTATCTGTGCTTTTTCTTTTTTAAAAAAACTTTGGTTTCTGCCTGGGACTTTGTTTCTATGAAAATCCTCCAGAGCTATCTGGAATATGGGTTTCTCTCCCTTTAACACAGACATAGGAAAAACAGAAGCCTTCTTCAAAAGCTCTCTCTGTTCCTGAGGACCTATCTTGTTTCCATGACAACCAACTTTTTACCCTCCAAGAACCCTCTCAGTGCCCCCTGGAGGTCTCAGAAGCACCACTGTGTGTTGGCATGTATTTTCTAACTACAACAAATCACTTTGGTCTGTGGCCATTAGGATGTAATTGCTCCAAAGTGTGTTGATGAATGATCTAAAATTGACTAGGTTCTTCAACTTTAGAGCCATTGATTCTTGCCAAACATTATGCCGACCCTTTGGCTAGACAGAATACCTGTCAATTCTGGAAACAACTTCACAGAGTTTGTGGGTTTGCATTGGATGCAACATAAAATCAAATGATATGACACTGTATTACCAGGCACTAGTGATAGGTCTTGCCAAAAAAGAAACGAAGGAAGGATGGAAGGAAGGATGGAAGGAAGGATGGAAGGAAGGAAGGAAGGAAGGAAGGGAGGAAAGAAAGATTTTTTGTTGCATTAAGCAATAAGGGTATCATAGGTAACCTTTTTCTAAAGCAATTTAGGTTGAGTGTGTTAGCAAAGACAACTAACAATGGATAGATAAGTGAATGTAATATAAGGAAAAGAAGACCCAATATTTGTTCAAGGACCTTGGTAGTGAAAAGAAAAAGCAAAGTAAAGCTGTAGGGGAAATAGAGTCAAAAGAATTGTGCTTCGTTTTTGTTTTTCACAATGGACTAATTTTGCTGATGTTTAAGAGTTCAAAAAAGCAAGCAGAATGAGAGAGACCCAACACAAATATAAAAAAGGGCTAATTGATAGGCAAATGTAGTTTAAAGAGATAAGAAGGAAGGTGGAGGAATTATCCTTGAGTAGAAATAGGGCATCCAAAAAGGCATGTTATCTTCTTCCAAAAGTGGAGGTAAGGAGATAAAGGTATTTTGAAAAAAAAAAATGAGAGTACATAAGGTAAAACCGGTAAGTATATTGGTAGCTGAAAGAGGATGAGAGGTCGAGGTTAAAAAAAATCTGTTTTGATATAAGCAATAATAGCAGATATGTATATTTATAGATATATTTTATATAAATATATAAAATATTTTGTAAAATATACAAAAATATACGTAAAATTTTTATATATGTATATATAAAATATATAAATTTATATATATTTATATATGATATATAAATACGTATGTATATGTGTCTGTCGGTGTGTGTGTGTGTGTATATATATATATGTATATATATATATAAATAAATTTTTAAAATGTTTTTAGAGACAGGGTCTTATTCTGTTTCCCAGGCTGGAGTGCAGTGGCACAATCATGGCTCACTGTAACCTTGACCTCCCAGGCTCAATCGTTTTTCCCACCTCAGCCTCCTGAGTAGCTGGGACTAATAACACCAGCCATCATGCCTACCTAATTTTTGCATTTTTGTTTAGAGATGGGTTTCACAATGTTGCCTAGGCTGATCCCAAACTCCTGGGCTCAAGTGATCTGCCTGCCTTGGCCTCTCAAAGTGCTGGTATTATAGGTGTGAGTCAATGTGCCCGGCCGAAAAATATATTTGATATAGCAATAATAATAACAACAACCAGGATCTTGGGCTGACGCTTATGTTCCAGGTTAAATGTTTATGGATCAATAGGATCATGCTTGTGGTTCTAGATCATGCTTGTTGTAGACCATGCTTGATAATGTTATTTTTCCCAGTGAGGTATATTTGATCTTTTGCTAGGAGTGAAAAAAATGCTTCTTTTATGTGACTTAGAGGAGTCAAGCCTCAAAATCCCTACTGTACCCAGTATTAAGAGTGAGAACCCTGGGCAAAATATTAAAGGCTTTAAATGAAACAAAAGAAAACTTCTACACTGTTGGATAGCTGTGAGGTTAGTGGGATGGCAGGAAGCTCAATCTTACAGTGCCTTGTAATGCACAGCAAGGACTTTGAACTTTACTTTGATTATGACAGAAAATCACTGAAGGGTGTATAGGAATTGCACAACATATATTTTAAAATAATCACTTTATGTGGTGCAGAGAGAAGACTAAACAGATTAAGGATATCAGCAGTGAAAACAGAAGTCTATTGCAATAATTTAGGAAAGATTAAGCTAGGTTGGACTACAGTTATAGAAGTCCAAGAGATGTAAGTGATAGGATTAGATACATATTTTAAAGGTAAGAGAAAAGATATGTTGATGTGGAGAAATAGAGGCATCAAGGTTATCTCCCAAATTTTTTATCTTAGTTACTAAAAATCCTTCACAACAGGGTTTGTGGTTGAAACTTAGGAATTTAGTTTGGCACACAGTAAGCTTAAAGTCTCTAGTACAGGGGTCCCCAACCACTACTGGTCCCCATGGCCTGTTAGGAACTGGGCTGCACAGCAGGAGGTGAGAGGCGAGTAAACGTTACTTCCTGAGCTCTGCTTCCTGTCAGATCAGCAGTGGCATTAGATTCTCGTAGGAGTGTGAACCCTATTGTGAATGGTGCATGTGAAGGATCTAGGCTGCACACTCCTTGTAAGAATCTAATGCCTGATGATCTGAGGTGGAACAGTTTCATCCCAAAACCATACCCTTCCACCAACTGCCCCAACCCAGTTCATGGAAAAATTGTCTTCCATGAAACTGGTCCCTGGTGCAAAAAAGTTTAGGGACTGCTGCTCTAGTAGACATCTGAATGGAGATATCATATAGGAAGGGTGAGCCTGAGTTTAAGGGATATCCAGTTTGGAGATACAGATGTAGGTTTATTCAGCATGTGGGTGTCTTTTAAGGTCATGGATTAAAAGATAACCAGGAAAGTAAGTGTAGATAAAGGAGAGGTGGAGTTTGTGGATGGTGCTTCATGGTGGTCTAATTTCCAAAGCTCACAAGATTAAGAGAAGCCAGCAAAGGAGCCTGGGCAAAAGTTAACTACAAGGAAGCAAGAATAGCCAAAATAGGCATGTATCCTGGAAGCTAAGAAAAGAAAGAATTTCAGGTCAGAGTGTGTGTTAGTCCATTCTGCATTGCCTTAAAGGAATACCTGAGACTGGGTAACTTAAAAGAAGTTTATTTGGCTGATGGTTCTGCAGGCTCTACAAGCATGGCACTAGCATCGTCTTCTGGTGAAGCTTCAGAAAGGTTTTACCCATGGCGGATGGTGAAAGGGGAGCAGGTGTGTCATATCGTGAGTGGATAGCAAGAGAGAGAGGGAGAGGTGTGACACTCTTTTAAACAACCTGATTTGGTGTGAATTCAAAGAGTGAGAATTCACTCATTACTGTGGGGAAGGCATCAAGCCATTCATGAGAGATCCATGTCCATGAGCCAAACACCTCCCACCAGGCCCTACCTCTTACATTTCAGCATCAGATATGGAGAGGCCAATTTCTAAACCATATCCAGGTGACTGAGAAACCCAGGCAAATATTAGTTCTGGCAATCTGAAGGTCTATAGCGACATTGAAGATAACAGTTAATGTGGAGTTGCGAGGATAAAAATGTGATTGGATTGGGTTCAAGACAGGAAAGGAGACAGATTGGGGATGATGGGTATAGATGCTACTTTCAAAGTGTTTTATTGTTTAAAGAAGGCAGAGAAATGTGTTCCTACGTGGAAAACGGGGATGTAAGATCAAATTTAAAAAAAAAAAACCTCTTTTTTGATATAAAAACAATAGTGCATGTTTTTGGCTGGTGGTTATGTTCCAGATTAGAAGAGGGAATTAACAATGCAAGAGAGAGAAGAAAAGCAGCCAAAGCGGGCGTGGCGTCCTGTGTAAAAGTGAAGGGTTTGGCCTTGGATAGGATTTTGAACAGTTTATCTCTTGTAACAGGAGTGAATTAATAAAATATATGTACTGAGCCAGGTCCGCCGGTAGATGTGGTAGTGATAATTGAGAAGTTTGTGAACTTTTTCTTCTGACTGTATTAATGGTTTTTCTTCCAGAGAAATATGAATTAAACAGAAGTAAATTATTATCAGAAAGTGAGAATTGTGAAATGCATATTGGATGCTAATAAAGAGATTGGTGTCTACTATTTCATACAATAGTACAATTTTTTTCAACCTCAACAAGATCTCTAACCCACTGACTCTGTTGTTTTCTCACCAGTCATCAGTCCCCTGTTTACTTCACTTCCTTTCTTACCCCATAGCATTATATTTGTAATCACTTACTGCCAAATACTCTCAACTCCCTGGGCCCTTTATGCTTCTTTTACATGTGCCTGGTAGGAAGCAACATTAGTTCAGCATACTTATCTTCTCTATTTATGATGTATTAATGCTCCTGAATGCTAGGGGACAATAACATCGGGCAAGATTGCATGATTTCATTTTAAATTCATGAATATAAATTCAATTTGTAACTTAACACTTAGCAGAAACCCAACTATTTTCACCTATAAAATTTTCTTGCTCATCTTCTAAAATTATAATTTCTCTTTTGTATTTTCTTTTATTTATTTATTGTTTTTTAGAGATAGGGTCTCACTTTGTCACCTAGCCTGGAGTGCAGTAGCATGATCATAACTCATTGCAGCCTGGAACTCCTGGGCTCAAGTGGTCCTCCTGCCTCAGCCTCCTGAGTAGCTGGGGCTGCAGATGTGTGCCACCAGGCTCAGCTCATTAATTTATTAATTTTTTTTTTTAAGATATGGGTTCTCACTGTGTTGGCCAGGCTGGTCTCAAACTCCTGACCTCAAGCAATCCTCCAAAGTGCTGGGATTACAAGCATGAGGCACCATGTCCAGCCCTTTTTAACTGACTTATACCACTTACTCTCCTCTTCTTTCCAAAATAATAATGTCACCATACACTTCACTAAGAAAATTGAAGACATCAAATGGGACTCATTCATTTTCCCATTGCTAAATTTATACATCCACCTGCAGCTGCACTCATATTCTCTTTCTCCATTTTTATTAAAATGGTGAAAGCATCTCACTTCCTCTAAGCCTAATTCTTCCATATGTGCAATTAATCCTATTCTTTCTTGTCTTTGTAAGATATATATCTTCTGTTTTCCACTTATCTGCTGTAACATATGTCTTTCTCTTTCTACCTTTTCACTTCCATACTGTATTTTTTTAAAAAGAAACTGAATGTTTCTTGTATTTACGTTTTCACTTGATTTATTAAATTACAGATTTTATATGCTTGATTCTCTCAAAAATATCAAAAATATATATTAAAAAAACAAATGTGATACCGACAATGTGTTTCAATGACTTCAAGCTTATCATTATGTCTACACATGATTTTGACATAAATTATCAATTCCATGCAGTTTATTTAATTATCTCTTACTTTCATACCGGTATTACAACTACACTTACTAATTAAACAGTGCTTCACTTACCCAGCCAAGGAAAACAATGCTTTCTGATTATGGACAGTTGATTCTTGCCCCCGACATAATAACTGGTTGCGTCTTCAATCTGATTGAAATTCAAACTGGCATTAGTTGAGTTATGTCTCTTCTTAAGTTTTACCAGCCACATCAGTGATGCTTTCCAGATCCTACCTACTGGCAACAGCTTCCTAATATCTTTGCCAGTGAAATCCAAATTTAATTTCTGACACCCAGGATCTCTGAATCGACCATTTTCTTTCTTCCTTTTTTCTTTTTAAATAAGTCATCATCCATTGTATTAATTAAAAACAGCAACAACAAATCACTTTTCTGGTTCCAGTATGTAAAGAGGTAGGAAGTCACCACTTCATCCTAATGACAAGTAAAAAAGCTGAACAAACTGAAAAATCAACACATCTTAGATCTGTAAGAGAAGCGAGATCACAAGGCAAAACCCTGCCCCCAAATTGGAGAGACAGATAGATGAGTACAGAGATCTACAACTTAGTGGAATAGAAACTCATAAGTAGAAACTTCTCCAGGAACCAGTGCCAAGGTAGGAAATCTAAACTGTAATTGATAAATTGCTGGAGCCTTAGAAGCTCCAGGTGGACCCAGTTTTGGGGATTAGGGGGTTCCTCACACTACTGAGTTTTACCTCTGGAAGCTTCACAAGTTTCTCAGAGTAAGTATTGAAGAAAAATGCCCTCTTGCTCCTGGCAGGGGAAGGGGAAAGGTAGCTATTTTGAAACACAACAAAAAATTCTATTCTACTTAACAAGGGATGGCCTAGGGAAAAACTATTTAACTATAGCCTAATTGACGTGGGGGAAGGGAAATACCCAATTCCACCCACTCTAGACTTCTACATGGAGGAAGGGAAATACACAATGCCAATCCATTCTAGCCACCCTGTCCACCTAAGAGGAGGAAAATGACAAAAAGAATGTGTAACATTAACAATCCAGGGGCACAGGCTTATTAAAAAACAGAGACATAGCAAAAGGTGAAAAAACACAGTTTGAAGAGACAAAACAAACATCAGCACCAGCTTTGGATGTGGCAAGAATATTGGAATAATCAGACGGGGAATTTAAAACACCAATAAGTAATATGTTAAGAGCTGTGATGGATAGACAGTGTAAAGGAACAGATGGGCAATATAAGCAGAGAGATGGACATTCTAAGAAAGAATCTAAAAGAAATCCTAGAGATAAAAAACACTGCAACAGAAATAATAAATGCATTTGATGGGCTCATTGGTAGACTAGGCATTGCTGAGGAAACAATCTCTGAACTTGAGAATAAGACAATGGAAATCCAACTTAAAAGCAAATGAAAAAAGAAAAAATAGAATAAAATATCTAAGAATTGTTGGACAACTGCAACAAGTATATGTGTAATAAGAATACCAGAAAGAGAAGAAAGGAATAAATAAAATCAATATTTAAAGAAATAATGACAGAATCTTTTCAAATTAATTTCAGACACCAAACCACAGATCCAAGAAGTTCATAAAACAGTAAGCTGGATAAATGCCCAAAAAACTACACATAGGTATATCATATTTGACCCTCAGACTATCAAAGATAAAGAAAAAAATCTTGAAAGAAACCAGAGGGTGAGTAAAACACTTTACTGTAGAGGAGAAAAGGTAAGAATTACATCCAGTATCTTCCTAGAGATTATGCACACAAGAAGAGAGTGGAGTGAAATATTTGAAGTGTTGAGAGAAAAAAGCCACCTAACTAGGATTTTCTATCCTGAAAAATGATTCTTCAAAAGTAAAGCAGAAATAGACTTCCTCACACAAACAGAAGTTGAGGGATTTGTTGCCACTAGACTTGCCTTGTATGAAATATCAAAAGAGAGTTCATTTTCTTCAGAGAGAAGGAAAATTATGTAGGTCAGACAGTTTCATCTTGTCTTAGTCTACTTGAGCTGCTATAACAAAAAATACCACAAATTGGGTGGCTTACAAACAGCAAACATCTCTCTCTCACAGTTCTGGAGTGTGAAAAGATCAAGATCAAGTCAACAGAAGTTTTGGTGTCTAGTGAGTGTCCAATCCTTATAGCTGGCACCCTCTTGCTGTGTCCTCACATAGTGAAAGGGGCAAATGAACTTCTTTAGGCCTGTTTTATAAGGGAACTAATCCTGTTTATGAAGGTTCTGTCCTCACGACCTGGTCATTTTCCAAATGTCCCCACCTCCAGTGCTCTTACTTTGGGAGTTAGAATTTCAACAGAGGAGCTTGGAGGAGACACAAACTTTCACGCTGTAGCTGATCTACATAAAGAAAGGAAGAGCATCAGAGAATAAATAAGTGAAGGTAAAATAAAACTTTTAGTTGGGCTCAGTGACTCATGCCTGTAATCCCAGCACTTTGTGGGGCCAAGGCTGGTGGATCACTTGAGGTCAGGAGTTCAAAACCAGCCTGGCCAACATTGTGAAACCCCATCTTTACTAAAAATACAAAATTAGCTGGGCATGGTGGTGGGTGCCTATAATCCCAGCTACTCGGGAGGCTGAGGAGGAGAATTGCTGGAATCTGAGAGGTGGAAGTGGCAGTGAGCTGAGATCCCACCTCTATACTCTAGCCTGGGCGATGGAGCCAAAACTCCATCTGAAAAAATAAAAAATAAAAAAATAGAAAACTTTTACTTTTTAATTTACTTACTCTTAATTGATCTGACAGATAACAGTTTGTTCCAAATAATAGCAACAATAAAAGATTACACATTCTTCTCAAATTCACATGAACTATTCACTAAGATAGACCACCTCCTGGACTATAAAATACACCTTAATAAATTTAAAATAATAAAAATCATATGTCTGGTCTCAGACCACAGCGAAATTAAACTAGAAATCAATACTATCTATGTAGCTGGAAAATCTCAAAATATTAAAGAGTAATTAAAAGGCATTTTAGACTGGATGAAACTAAAAACACAAGGATGCAGGAAAAACAGTGCTTAGAGAAAAATGTATACCATAGAATCCAAATACTTGAAAAGTAAAAAAAAAAAAATGTATAATCCATAATTCAAGCTTCCACTTAGGAAACGAGACAGAGAAGAGTGAATTACATAAAAAGTAAGCAGAACAAAATAAATAAAAATTAGAGTAGGAATAAATAACATTAAAAGCAGGAAATCAATAGAGAAAATAAAAAAATATCAAAAGCTGTTTCTTTCAAAAAATTAATAAAACTAATAAACCTGTAGCCAGGCTAAGAAAGACAAGACACAATTACTAATGTCAATAATGAAAGAATGATATCACAAGAGATCTCATGACTATTAAAAGAACAACCAAGGAATACTATGAATAAATGTATGCCAACAAATTTAATAACCTTCACAAAATAAACCGACTCTTTGAAAGACACAATAAAACTCACACAAGAAGAAATAGACAATATGAAGAGGCCTAATTCTATTAAATAAATTTAGTTAGTAATTAAGAACTTTCTAAAATGGAAAGCACTGGGCCTAAATGTACCAGTAATTCTACTAAATATTTAAAGATGAATTTATATCAATTATCAACAGTTTCTTATAGAAAGTCAAAAGCAGAGGAAATACTTTCTAATTCATTGTATGCGGTTAGCATTACAGTAATACCAACACCCGATGAAGACATTATAATAAAACTACAAATCAATTTCTCTCATGCAAATATTCTCAACAATATATTAGCAAATAAAATCCAACAATATATAAAAATAAAAATATATCATGGCTAAGTGAGATTTATCCCATGTATGCAAGGTTGGTTCAATATTCAAAAGTCAATTAATATATTTCATCACATCAACAAAGTAAAGAAGAAAAATCACATGCTCATATTAACAGGTACAGGAAAAGCATTTGACAAAATCCAACACCCATTCATGATAAAAACTCTCAGTAAACTAGGAATAGATGGGAAGTCCTCAACTAAATAATGTATAAACAACCTACAGCTAAGATCATAATTAATGACAAGAAACTACAAGCTTTTCCCCTAAGATCAGGAGCAAGATAAGGATGTTCTCTCTTACCACTCCTTTTCAGCATTGTGGAGGAATTACTATATAATTCAGCAAGAGAAGAAAATAAAATAAATGGTTTTAGATTGGGAAGAAAAAAATAAAAGTATCTTTGATCATAATGATATTATATTCTATGTGTAAAATCTGAAAGAACTGGTAAAAAAAAATCTCCTGAAACTAATAAGCATTAAAGCAAGGTGGCAAGATATAAGGTTAACATACAATAGTCAAACACCTTCCTATACATTAGCAATTTATAAGTGTAATTTGAAATTAAACACACATTATTGTTTACATTAGCACCTCAAACATTTGGCAGGTATAAATCTAACAAAATATGTGAACAATCTAAATGAGGAAAACTGCAAAACTCTGAAGAAAGATATTAAGATCTATATGAGGAAAACTATAAAACTGTTGAAAGGCATTAAAGAACTAAATAGATATTTTATGTTCATGAATGAGAAGTCTCAATATTATGAAGATGTCAGTTCTTCCCACTTAATGGATAGATTCAATGTTATCCCAATAAAGATCTCAGCAAATTATTTTGTTGATATTAACAAACTGATTCTAAAGTTTATATAGAGAGGCAAATGACCCAGAATAGCCAACACAATATTGAAGAAGAACAAAGACTGACACTACCTGACATAAGACTTAATACAAAGCTACAGCAATCATGACAGTGTGGAACTGGCAACAACAACAACAAAAAAACACAGATAAATCATTTAGTGGAGCAGAGTAAAGAGCTCCAAAATAGGCCCATGTAAGTATAGGCAACTAATCTTTGACAAAGGAGCAAAGGCAATGCAATGAAACAAAGGTGGTTTTCACAACAAATGATGCTGAAACAACTGGACACTTACGTACAAAAAAATGAATCTAAACGCAGACTTTACACTCTTCACAAAAAGTAACTTAAAATGAATTATAGACCTAGTTGTAAAAGGCAAAATATAAAACTCCTGGAAGATAATAAAGGAGAGAATTTAGATACCTAGGGTTTGGCAGTGCATTTTTAAATACAATACCAAAGACAAGATTCATGTTAAAAAGAACTTATAAGTTAGACTTTATTAAAAGTAACAAATTTTTGCTCTATTAAAGGCGCTACCAGAAATATAATCAGCCAAATGACAGACTAGGGGAAACATTTGCAAAAGACACGTCTTATAAAGGACTATTTTCCAAAATAAACAAAGAACTCTTACAACTCACAATAGGAAAATGAACAACATTAAAAAAAATGGGCCAAATACCTTATCAGAAACCTCACCAAATAAGGTATACAGGTTGCAAATAAACATTTGTAAAGATGCTCCATATCATATGTCATTAAGGAAATGCAAATTAAAATGAGATGTCACTACACACCTATCAGAATGGCTAAAATTCAGAACATTAACCAAACACCAAATGCTAGTGAAGATGAAGAGCAACAGGAGTTCTCATCCATTGCTGGTGGGAATGCAAAATGGTAGTCAATTTAGAAGTCAGTTTGGCAGTTTCTTACAAATCTAAACATACTCTTAACCATTTAACCCAACAATCACATTTCTTGGTATTTACCCAAAGGATTTGAAAACTTACGTCCCCACAAAAACTTATACACAGATGCGTATAGCACTGTAATTGTAATTGCTCAAACTTGGAAGCAAGCAATATGTCCTTCAGTAGGTTAATGTACAAAACAACTGTAGTACATGCAGATAGTGGAATGTTATTCAGTACTGAAAAGATATGAGTAATCAAGACGTGAAAAGACATGGAGGAAACAATGCATATTAAGTGAAAGAAGCCAGTTTGAAAAGGCTACATAGAGTATAATTCCATCTATAGGATTCTGAAAATGGCAGAGCTATGAAGATAAAAATTAGCTAAAAAGATAATTGGGTGCCAGAATATAGGGAGGAGGAAGAGATGAATAGGTAAATCACAGAGGAATTTTAGGGAAGCGAAACTACCCTGAGATGACACTACAATGGGGCATACTTGTCTTTACGCATTTGTTCAAAACCACAGAATGCACATCACCAAGAATGAACCCTAATGTAAACTGCAGACTTCAGGTAATAATATGTCAATATATGTTTATCAGTTACAACAAAATTTAATACCCTGGTGGGGGATGTTGATATTGGAGGAGGCTATATGTGTATGGGGGCAGAGGGTGTATGGGAAATCTCTGTACATTCTATTCAATTTTGCTTTGAACCTTTAACAGAAATTTATTTCTCTCTTACTTTTTGGCCCAGAGGTTGGTAGTAGTTTCACGAGTATTAGGCCTGTTGGCTGAGAGAGCATCTGTTACCTTCAATTTCTAGCTTACTTTTCTTGTTTTTGGGTAGCTATTCTAGTTGTCACCATCTTCTAGCCAGCAGAGAGAAAGGAAATGGAGGGCAACAAGCCCTTGTGGCCACTTAGTCACAAGAGATGCTCAGAAATGTACTTTACATTTGGGCTATTGTGACTCAAAATTGAGGGGAGAGGGTTGGTTGTTAACAACTGGATGAGTGGATACTAAGAGATGATTTACAATCTCTTCCTCTCTGGCTACTCAAGTATCAATATATAACATTTTCCCCACTCTTGTATCCAAAAATGTAATACAACCTTCCATGTAGTCACTGCGTTCTACACAAAGTCTAGAGTCACTGGGTAATATGCAATGCTCTCTGTTGAGTTTGGATGTTACTCCTCAAGGTCTGGTGATGTATAAATTAATAAATCATTTCTCTTTCTCCACAATTTTCACAAAACACACACACACCCCTAATACACAGAAAAATGGGAAACAGAAATAGAGTATTGAAAACCAAAGGCCAATTTTGGCCATTTGGAATTGAAGAATGCATAGCAGTCACTAATGCACGGCAATGGCAAACTCCTGCTGGGCAGGAATTATAAAGCCTTCTTGAATTGTCAGTGGAAAAACTCCTTAGTTAGACACTAGTTCATGTCTGATTTATCCATTGTCATCCTTGACTTTGGCCTGCTTTCTGAAAGGTTCCTGCATGTCCATTATGTTATAATGGTTTTTTAATCATTCAGGCTTTTTATTTATTACATTATTAGGTCTACTCTTCCCTTAAATTAGCTGAGGTGACATGAGGCTATATAAGAGAAAAAACAGTCTTGGCTAGGAAGGAAACCATAATATGATCTCCATTACTAGGCTTCCTCCTATATCTGACTGAGAAATCTTAGGAAGAAACATTGAGAAAAGTTATTGGGATACAGTTTTGTCCCTTTTGGTAGCAGCATGCAGAAAAAACGGCAACACTGGTGTTTCCAATACATCACTAATCTCAGTCAATTTAAATTGCAAAACACAGGCAAGTGCTACAGTCTAAATGTAGGTGGCTTGTGGTTTGTGTGTGCTGTGGTTTAAATTCTCATCTCCATGGTTATGGTGTTAGGAGGTGTGGAGTGGTTAGGAGTTGGGCAATAATCTCTTCCTTTGGGAAATGATTAGGTCATGGGGATATATCCCACAAATGAGATTAGCGGCCCTATAAAAGAGGGCCAGAGAGGGACCCTTCATCTCTTCTACCGTGTGAGAACACAGAAAAAAGGCAATCTACAAACCTGAAAGTGGACCCTCACCAGACACCAAATCTGTTTGCATCTTAATCCTGGACTTCCCGGGCCCCAGAACTATGATAAATAATTTTCTATTGTTTATAGGCTACCTACCTTATGGTATTTTGTTATAGCAGCATAAATAGACTAAGGCAATAAAAACCTTTTTCTTTTGACAACAATATGTTCCATTCCAACTCTGCTTGCAATCTGGCTACTTTTTCCTATCTTCATTTGCATCTTTCAGAATCTTTCTAAAAGCCACAAGGTGAAGTCACACACAATGCAACACATTTACCTTTTCAGAACTGCTTTCAGGCTTGGAAAGCATGTGGATCACTTTCCAAACACTTTGTCATGACATAATGAAGGTTACCAGATGATTACCAGATTTTTAAAACTAAAATTTTATGTCCTGATGCTCACAGCCCACCTGGGAAGCTGATGCTTAATTTGCAATTTTTATTATGGCAGCATTATATTAGTAGGTTCCAAATCATATATTAATTATGATGCAGCATAAATTACTATACCTGTTAGCCCCCCAAATACAGTCGGTCAAACAAAAAAGAATTTATTTTTCATGTAAAATTCTAGAGGAATATGAAGGTTTTAGAATGTCTTGTTGACTCAACCAAAAGGTAATCCAGAGATCCAGGCTGGTGGAGTCACTCTGCTATCCTTAGAAAGTAGTGACTGTGTCTAATGTACGATTTTCTGTCATGTCTTCAGATCCAGACAGGAAGAAAGACAAAATAGATGGTAGTATATTTTCTTTTTAAGGACGTGACCTGGAATTTGTTTATTTCACTTTATTTATCATTACATCTGGATGGTACAAGAAGCAAGACAGCCTTGGCCTCTAGCTAGGCATCCATTTTCCCTGATGAAATTCCATGGGGAGGAGGCACACTTCTAATGTTATGAAAGGAATTGTGACATTGGGAGACAATTAATCATCTCTGTCACATCTAAGCAGAGCATGGATGCATTCTTTTTTACTGTTCATACTCTCTGTGTATAAAATATACTTGGAGTGAGGCCAAGGGCCTGTCTTTAATGACTCCTAGAAGCCAATTTCTTTCTATACTCATTCTATGGGATGAAGTGGCTGAGGCAACCATTTCTTTTCTTGCACCTGGCTGGAGAAATGAAATTCTGTAGAACCAATTTACCCTGCGGATGTATCCTAGCCATGTAATAAAAGGGGAAAGCTGCAGTTTAGTTTTACTAGGCATAGATTTGTTATTTTGATCTCAGTATATCTTACTCCTGTGCTTATTCATCATTTGATTCTGAATTTGGTAGGGAAGAAAAGAGTGTAATTTATCAGTTGTACTGATAAATTAGCTACTGCCAGGTTAAGAAGCTACATTAAAGAATGAATAGATTTTGCAGTTACAAAATCTATTCATTCTTTAATGTAGCTTCTTAACCTGGTAGTAGCTTTTTTGCTGTGCTTAAATTTACATACCTACTTTACTGATTTAGCTACTTCATTTTGCCCAAAACCATGGACATCTTTCAGCCCTCACCTTACTCGATTGCTTGATGGTTCTTGATGGAGTTAGATGTTCACTTTTTATTTAACTGCTAATTTTTCTAATTTGTTTTCATTATTTCATACTTTCCTGATACAACTACTATTTCAATGGCTGACCCTTTCTTTTTCTTTGTTTACTTTTTGTTTATTCAGACTCTAATTATTGTACTTCCTGAGGGCTTGGCTCTGAGATTTGTTCCTACATACTCTCTGTGGTAAGTTGTATTATTGTACACCAATATTTATTTTCCCTTTCTTTTTTTTTTACTCTCAGCCTTCTAACGAAATATAATTTTTTTATCCCATTGGCGAAGTGACACTTTTTCTAGCTTAATGTGAGCAGGTTTGCCACATGCTATGTCTGAGCAAGAGCTACAAATACAATAGCATAATTTGGCTTAGCTTCTCTTGTTTTTCCCCGCTTCTGTGAGGAAAGTCACATCCTACATTGAAGGTATCCATATTCCCCAGTCTAGAATTAAAAGGACAATTGTAGAAGACACAAATATGCCCCACAGACTAGAGCAGAGGCACAACCATCCCACAGAATCCACAAAAACGGAATGAGAAATAAACCTGTGCTGCTGTCAGCCACTGAGCTTTTGGGCTTGTTAGTTACACAACATAAACTCTCAAGAGCTAACTAATATAGAAATTGGCACCTGCAACTATTGTCCTACTAAAACCTTTATTATGTCATGACAAAGTATTTGGAACATGAACCACATGCTTTCCAAGCCTGAGGGCAGTTCAGAAAAGGTAAGTGTGTTGCATTGTGTGTTACGTCACCATGTAGCTTTTAGCAAGATTCTGAAAATAAGACCCTCATCAAACAGGTGTCCAGCACTATACCTGGAAGAAAGGAATTAAATTATAGAGATGCCAAGACTCTGACTTAGGCCTTGCTAAGTTTTCCTGTTGGATCATATGCCTTTTTGTCTAATCATACTTCGACACAACTGTCTGTTCTTCACTGAATTTAAGCATATATATATGCAGTTTTCCTTGGGTCTTTGGGTCTTCATTTCTGAACTGTCCCAGGTCAGATAAAACTTTCGTTAAGTAAATGTTTTATGCTTTTCTTTTTTTTAGTCTATTTTTTGTTACAGGGATGTCAGCTGTTAACCTTGCAATAGTTAAGGAAGAACACTATTATTTTTTCTCCCCTACATTATCTGATTGAATTTCAGATTTTTATGTACCACTGATTGATTGCTCTGTGTCTCCCATGATTCTTTTTTAAAACAGCAATGCTTTTTTGGTGAATATTCCACCACTTTATGACGGATGTATAAGCAAGAGTATCAGCATTTAGACGTAAAACAGAGATTATCACAAAATGATGGACTTAGAGTCTGATGCCATAATATCTTTTTGAAGGTGTGCTTTCTGTGCAGTAGTAAATAAACATTTGTGACTAAGGGGCACAGTGTGTTAATAGATAATCATTTATTAATATTCACCCATTCTTATCCTTTCAACCACCTGCCCCATGGGAAAAGTATTTTTTTATTTCATTTTTTTTCTTAACTTGCGATGAGACTTAATTTTGGCCCAAAGAATATGGATGGCCATGATATTTAGCAAACTGAAGCATTAAATGTGGTCGCATGAAACAGCTTAGCCTCCTTATTGTGCTTCTATCACAAGAAAGGTGTGATTTATATACAGGTTGTTCTTTCAGTATGAAGGAGAAAACTCAAAGAACAGCAAAAAGCAGAGACTCAGAGAATCCATAGTATATATATGCAACATGAGCAAGAAATAAACTTTCGTTGTAAGTTTCTGAAATTTGGGGGATGTATGTGCAAGGCTTTTGTATTGGTTCGAACCCCGAGAGGGCGCCAGCAAACAACACAAGGCCGTGTGGAGCAACATGCTGTTTTAATGAGCGCCTGGGTGCAGACGGCCTGAGGCCTAAAATGGCATCAGCCCCAAATGAGGACGGGGGAGGGGTTTTATAGTCTCCTGTAAACAGGAAGTGTCTCAGTCTGATGTAACTGCTATGTGGTACCTGGACGACCTCTCTCTTGGTCTTCAGGGGATACGTGTCTTCTGGCCAGCTCTCTTCCTGCTTCTGCTATCTTGCTGACGCACGCTGCTGGCACAATTGGCCTTGTCCCTTGGACTGGGCCTGAGAAAGGAGGAGTTATTCATCCCCCACCAGCTTCCAGGCCCCCGGAAAGACTTTCAGTATGTTTCTCAGTGTAAACATATCATGATGTCTAGCTGCCAAACACACTTCTTATATTTGGGGAATTTCTCACTAATTGAATTCTTCCAGTCCAATGTAGAAATCAATCAAGGATTCACTTTTTATGCTACTTTACAGCAAAGGCTCAGACTCATAAACTAGTATCTGCTAAGCTAATGAGGCTCATCTACAATGAACTTCAATTAAGAAGTAATAAACGTGAGAAATCAGGTGCCACATGAAATCTATGTTTAGTTGAGAATGGCAGTGGAGACTTTCAGGGGCAGTGATGTGAGATCAGGCACCCAGTGCCCATGGTCACTGATGCCAGGTAAAGTTTCTGATCCTAGAAGCAGTGACAGAAGTTCTTCACTGGCACAATCCTGCAGTGTATTTTGGATGTAAATTGTTTGTGTGGCCTCCAAGCCTGTTTCCTCTGCCCTTCCAAAAAGTCAGTGAGCTATCTAATAAGCTGCAATAAGACCTTTCACTGCTTTAATTTGCTACACTGTATTCTAATTTTCTTTCTTTCTTTCTTTTGCTTAGCTTTTTGCATTTGCTGATGGTGTGCTATCTGCCTGGGCATTTTTTCACAGCTCTTCTTCAGACAGTCTCTCACTTCAAAAATTTTTTTCTTTAAGGTGTCCTTCTCCAACACTTAAGAATACTAACCATCCTTCTTGTTCTGTTCAAATTTGTGGTTTTCTCAGAGGATCCTTTTTATTTTTCCTATAACACCAAAAACTATAATATTTTATTTATTGGTTTATTTTCCCTTTCCGTCACTAGAATATAAACCGCATAATAGCAGAGATCATTCATATTTTGGTCACAGTTTTATCTCCAGGTCTCATCAAAATATACATTGCATGGTAGAAACTCCATGCACATTTTTGAATGAATGAGTTAATAAATAGATGAATGGGGTTGCGTTAGGCAATTGAGAAATGTGATGAAGATTTGAAACTGTTAGAGGAAAGGCAGAGAAAAATGGGCAAGGATTTTCAAGCAATGTTTAAGTTCCAAGTAAGACTTGTATATTCTTGTGCTTTTTTTTCCCTTTAGTACAGCTAGAGAAAGGCATAAGAAGAAAAAAGGAGGCATGATCTTCATACAGCATCAGGGCTTTTTTGATATGCAAATGAGGTGAAAGAAAAAAGCGCAAGGGAATTAAGGAAATTGAAGGTATTTATGAGCAAGCAGTTTAGGTCATTTACAATACAGCTCATAAAAAAGTGAATGTTACAAGAGGCTGTTGATAGACTGGAGAAAATGAAGGAATCAAGAGGTGAAGTCCAAATGTAGTACAATAAAAGAAGTTAGAATGGTAGATGATAAGAGACACTATCAAAGTACAGTGTATTTATTACATTTTAACTT
Organism: Homo sapiens; assembly: GCF_000001405.40. Classification (NCBI taxonomy): domain Eukaryota; kingdom Metazoa; phylum Chordata; class Mammalia; order Primates; family Hominidae; genus Homo; species Homo sapiens. The sequence goes on from NC_000004.12 coordinate 62,549,918, forward strand.
TCCTGAAGCTGAAACATTTCTGTAGCCATATTTCTAAGTACTGAAATGGAATAGATGTAAAATTCATTTGAGATCAAAGGTGAAGACGTGTTTGGGTGACTCTTTTAGACTTTGAAATCAGTAGAGATAAATTTTGCTATTTTATTTTCTAAAACTCAACCTTTTTGCTATGGAATAATTTCACACAATTAAATTTAATTCAACAGAAATTTGTTAAGTATAAGACCCAGGTACAATTAGGCCTTCTAACCTCTCTGTAAGAATTAGGTAAAGGCATCCCTTTCTCTGGGCAGATAAATCCTCAAGACAGAGTGCACAGTTTAGGGAATAGAGAATGGACTGTATTATAGATCCTGGTTCTTCTTTAGGCTTGGTACTTTGTGCTTGGCACCTCTTACACTAACATACAATGGGGCTTTAAATACAGTTTATGAAAGAAACTGTCAGCGGGGAGGAAAGCAAAGCCAGTGAAAGCTACTGAATCCCTGGCATGTACCAGCTCTTGTGTTAAGGATTTCAAACAAGTTATCTCTTTTAATTCTCATCACAACCATATACGAGCAGGTTATTGTTTCAATTTTCCAAGTAAGATAACTAATTTTTTTTTTTTTTTGAGACAAAGAGTTTCTCTTTTTTGCCCAGGCTGGAGTGCAGTGGCATGATCTCAGCGGTTTCAAGCAATTCTCCCACCTCAGCCTCCTGAGTACCTGGGATTACAAGCACCCGCCACCACGCCCTGCTAATTTTTGTATTTTTAGTAGAGACAAGGTTTCACCATATTGGCCAGGCTGGCCTCAAACTCCTGACCTTGCGATCTACCCGTCTCAGCCTCCCAAATTGCTGGGATTACAGGCGTGAGCCACCGCGCCTGGCCAATTGAATTTTTAATACGCTGAATAACGTACCCAACTTTACACAGCTATGTTAAATGGTAGAATGATAATATGAACCCTTTCAGTTAGGTTTATTTGTTTTGTTTTGTTTCATTTTTCTGTTCAACAAGTGGCCTCCAAAGTAAGTGGCTTAAAACAATACATCTTTGTTTTTTTCTTATGGTTCTGTGGATTACGCAGGCAAGTTCTTCTGGTCTGAGCCAGTTTGTTTGGAAAGAGACTGAATAATCTAGGCAACCTCACTCACATATCTGAGATGGGAGAGGGTAGCTGGGAAGGTTTGGGAGCTCTCTCTGAATGGTTTTTCATCATTTGAGAAGTCATCTCCAACTTGTTCACCTGGTGGAGGGTTTCTAACAGCAAGAAATAGTAACAACTTAGTCTGCAAACAGTTTTTGTGACTCTACACCACATTTATTAATGTCCCAGAGGGTAAAGCAAGTCATATAGCCAAGACCAGATTTAAAGGAAAGATAAATGCTCTTTTTAACAGGAGGAGAGGCCAAACGACAGCACAAAGGAACATATATACAGGAAGGGAGAGATTTGTGAGTGTTTTGTAATCTACCTGGAGAACCTAACTCATGCTTTTTTTTTTTTAAATTATATCATATTGCTTGTTTTTACCATAGCACATTTTCACTGAGTATTCTTATTAATTCCAAGATAGAGACAAACATGGTCCAAGCCTTTATGCAACTGTGGAAACAAAAGGAAACTAATATTTATTTAGGACCTTCTCCATACTAAGCACCATCCTAGGAAGTTCCCATTACTTGATAATCATATTAGAGAGCTAGTAATCTGGGGAATAATGCTGTCTTCATGCAGTCTGAAATTCATTAATCAGGTTAAATTATATTCTAAAAATTCAAATCAAGTACTGTTGTGGCAGGACAGGTCTCACGAACGAACATGAGCCTCCATAACAATTGTTTCAGCACTGACTGAGTGGTTAATTTAGACATTAAAAGCTGATAGAGCCAGTGCCCTTATACAAAGGCTGGAATGTAACAAAAGCCCACCAAGCGTTTTGCCTGGGCCTTTCGTAGGCTGCATGACAAAATAATGAAGGAATTCTTAACAGGACCCATTGAGGATTAAACAAGTTTTACTGGGGGTCTGAGGAAACTCCCCAGGCCTCCACAAACAAATTTATTGGGGATCTGAAGGAACTCCCCAAACCTGCATGATTTAGCGGGAGACAATATAAGGGTAATCACCCCAGCACCTGGACCCATTTAGATTCTCAAGTAAATTTACTGAGGCTCTAGGGGAAGGTCTTCAGGACTCAGATCTTAGTTATAGATTAAAAGAAGTTAATCATTTATGTCTTTAGATGAATGCACACTTACACATAAACATGTAGCTGAAAAAGTATATAAGCTCTGGAAAACATTAGAATTTTGAGTTGGTCTGGCAACAATTTCCAGGCCTTCTCCCTGTAACTGGTTGCAGAAATACAAACTCTCCTCTTCCCCCGTTCATCTGCATCTCATTATTGGGCTGTGAGAAATAGCAGCCCAACCCTCAGTTTGGTCTGGGAACACTATGGAAAGAAGTTGTAAATAGCAATAGAGATATAGATCTGTAACATCAATAAAAAAATTACTTTTATGTTATCTTTTTGGATGATGGACTTTTCTTGCCAAAGATACCACTGCATAACAAAATATAGTTAATTTTAAGCTATAAAATATGGCCACCAATATACAACAGATTATCCTGAGAATAAAACATATGCACATGCATATATGAATATATAGCATTTGAAATATTACTTATTGACAAATTGGATGTATATAGATGGGTGGATACTACAGTAATTTCAAAAGTTCTTCATGGTGGTCTGGATATGGCTGAAAATACAATGTTTGACTTAATTAATAGTATCATTAGCAATGTTTATACCAAATGCCAATCTTCGGGTTAAATGCTGTCCACAGATTTTCTCATTTTATCTTCACAATAACATGAGGCAGGTAATGCTGTTACTCTCACTTTATGAATAGGAAAATAACAAAGAAGCAGGAAGTTTAAGTAATTTGCCCACAGTCACATACTTAGTAAAATGATAGAGATAATATTTCCATTCAGCATTTTTACCCCAGAGTTTGAACATTTAACTAATAAATTTATTCTGCTTCTGTTTACATCAATTATTTTTTAAAAGTTTTATTTCTATAGCTTTTGGAATACAAGTGGTTTTTTGGTTACATGGATGAATTATATTGCGGTGAATTCTGAGATTTTAGTGCACCTGTCACCTGCGTAGTGTACATTGTACCTAATATGTAGTATAATATGTAGTATTATATCCCTAGCCAGTCTCCCACCCTCTCCTTTCTGAGTCTCTAAAGTCCATTATATCTCTCTGTATGCGTCGGCATACTCATAGCTTAGCTTCCACTGATAAGTGAGAACATACGGTTTTTGGTTTTCCACTCCTGTGGTACTTCACTTAGAATAACGGCCTCCAGCTCCATCCAAGTTGCTGCAAAAGACATTATTTTGTTCCTTTCATGGCTTAATACTAGTCCATGGTGTATATATACCACATTTTATTTATCCACTCATTGACTGATGGGCGCTTAGGTTGGTACCACGTCTTTGTACTTACGAATTTTGTTGCTATAAACATACATGTGCCAGTGTCTTTTTCATATAATGGCTTCTTTTCCTTTTGGTAGCTACCCAGCAGTGGAATTGCTGGATCAAATGGTAGATGTACTTTTAGTTCTTTAAGGAATTTACATACTGTTTTCCATAGAGGTTGTACTAATTTCCACTACCAGCAGCAGTGTACAAGTGTTCCCTTTTCCCCACACGCATGCTAACATCTACTGTTTTTTGACTTTTTAATAATGACCATTCTTGCAGGAGTAGGGTAGTATCTCCTTGTGATTTTAATTTCCATTTCCCTGATTAGTGATGTTAAGCATTTTTTCATATGTTTGTTGGCCATTTGTAAATCTTCTTTCAAGAAACATCTATTTAAGTCTTTTGCCTATTTTTGATTGGATTATATTTTTTCTTGCTGATTTGTTTCAGCTTCCTGTAGATTCTGGATACAAGTCCTTTGTCATATGCATAGCTTGCAATTATTTTAACCTATTCTGTGGGTTGTCTGTTTACTCTGATTATTATTTCTTTTGCTGTGCAAAAGATTTTAGTTTAATTAGGTCCTATTTATTTATTTTCCAACATGATCTTCTAGGATTTTTATGGGTTCAGGTCTTAGATTTAAGTCTTTGATCTACCTTGAGTTGATTTTTGTATAAGGTGGCTTGCCAGTTTTCCCAGAACCATTTGTTAATAAGTTGCCCATTCCCCAATTTATATTTTTGTATGTTTTGTCAAAGATCAGTTGGCTGTACATATTTGGCCTTATTTATGGGTTCTCTATTCTGTTTTATTGGTCTATGTGCATACTTTCATGCTAGTACCATGCTGTTTTGGTAACTGTAGCCATGTAGTATAAATTCTAGTAATGTGGTGCCTTCAGATTTGTTCTTTTTGCTTAGGAATGCTTTGGCTATTCTGGTTCATTTTTGGTTCTGTATGAATTTTAGGATTGTTTTTTCTAAGTCTGTAAAAAATGATGTTGGTATTTTGATGGGAATTGCATCTAATCTGTAGATTGCTTTGGGCAGTATGGCCATTTTCACGATATTGATTCTTTCAGTACATGAGCATGGGATGGGTTTCCATTTCTTTGTGTCATCAGTGTTTCTCAGCAGTGTTTTGTAGTTCTCTTTGTAGAGATCTTTCACCTCCTTGGTTAAGTATATATTCCTAGGTATTTTATTTTTTGTGCAGTTTATAAAAGGGATTGAGTTCTTGATTTGATTCTCAGTTTGGTTGTTGGTAATGTATAACACTGCTACTAATTTGTATACATTTATTTTATAACCTGAGACGCTACTGATTTCATCTGTCAAATCTAGGAGTCTTTTGGAGGAATCTAGCATTTTCTAGGTATAAATCATATGTCATCTGTAAACAACGATAGTTTGACTTCCTCTTTTCCATTTTGGATGCCCTTTATTTCTTTCTCTCGCCTAATTACTGTGGCTAGAACATCCAGAACTACATTAAATAGGAGTGAAGAAAGTGAACTTTCTTTAATGTAGCTTCTTAACTTGGCAGTAGCTTTTTTGTTCTGCTTAAATTTACGTGTCTATTTTACTGATTTAGCTACTTCATTTTGTCCAAGCCCACGGACGTCTTTCAGTCCTCATCTTACTCAATCTCTTAATCATTCTTGATGGAGTTAGATATTCACTTTTTATTTAACTGCTAACTTTTCTAATTTGTTTACATGATTTCATACTTCCTTGATACACCTACTGTCTCACCGGCTGACCCTTTCTTTCTCTTTATTTACTCCTTGTTTATTCAGACTCTAATTATTGTAGTTGCTGAGGGGTCAGTTCTGAGAGGTGACCATGTGGTTTTTGTTTTTGATTCTGTTTATGTGATGTATCAGATTTATTGACTTGCATATGTTTAACCATCCCTGAATCCCTGGGATGAAACTCACTTGATCATGACATATTATCTTTTGGATGTGTTGTTTAAATTGGTTATCTGGTATTTTGTTGAGGATTTTTGTATCTGTGTTCATCAGGGATATTGGTTTGTGGTTTTCTTTTCTTTGTTGTTGTGTCCTTTCTTGGTTTTGGAATCAGGGTGATATTGGCTTTATAGAATGACTTAGGGAGGATTCCCTCTTTCTCAGTCTTTTGGAGTAGTTTCAATAGGATTGGTACCAATTCTTCTTTGAATGTCTGGTAGAATTCAGCTGTGAATCCATCTGGTCCTGGGATTTTGTTGTTTTTGTTGGCAATTTTTAATTAGTGATTCAATCTTGCTGCTCATTATTGAGCAGGGTTTCTATTTCTTCTCAATTTAATCTAGGAGGATTGTATGTTTCTAGGAATTTATCCATTTCCTCTAGGTTTCCTAGTTTGTATGTATAAAGATGTTCACAGTCGCCTCAAATGATTGTTTATATTTCTGTGGTGTTTGTGGTACTGTCTCCAGTTTTATTTCTAACAGAGCTTATTTGGATCTTCTGTCTTTTCTTGGATAATCTAGCTAGTGGTCCATTAATTTTGTTTTATCTTTTCAAACAACCAACTTTATCTTTTGTATTTTTTTGTTGAATTTCATTTAGTTATATTCTTATCTTTATTATTTAGTTTCTTCTGCTAGCTTTGGGTTTAGTTTGTTTTTGTTTCTCTAGTTCCTGAGGTGTGACATTGGGTTGTCAATTTTTCCTCTTTCAGACTGTTTGATGTAGGCATTTAGCAATATAAATTTTCCTCTTAGCACTGCTTTTGGTATGTCCCAGAGGTTTTGATAACTCATATCATTATTATTATTCAATTCAAATAATTTTAAAATTTCCATTTTGATTTTATTGTTAAGCCAGAAATCATTCAGGAGCAGATAATTAATTTGTATGTATTTGTATAGTTTGGAGGGTTCCTTTGGAGTTGATTTCTTGTTTTATTCTGCTGTGGTCTGAGAAGATATTTGATATGATTTTGATTTTATAAAATTTATTAAGACATGTTTTGTGGCATATAATATGTTCTACCTTGGAGAATGTTCCATGTGCTGAAGAAGAATGTATATTCTGTAGTTCTTGGGTAGAATATTCTGTAAATATCAGTTATGTCCATTTTTCTCTAGCATGTCATTTAAGTCCATTGTTTTTTGTTGACTTTGTCTCCATGATCTATCAGACTTTTGGGTTAGAGCTGCAGACTGTCCTAGAGCCCAGCACTGCAACTGTGCCTCTGCTGAAAGAAACTTCCCACCAGTGGAAACATCTGGTGTTCAAGGCCCTTTGTCTGGATTATTTTGTCCCATGGGGTGTTCCCTTGATGTTGTGCACTCTTCTTTCTCCTAGGAGCCAGAATACTGTGAGTGTTGTTGCTCTTCTGGGTCTAGCCACTCAGTGAATTTGCCATACTCCAGGCTGGCACTGGGAAATGTCTGCAGGGAATCTAGTGATGTGACCTGTGTTCAAATCTCCCAGCAATGAGTAGTAGCACTAAATGGCTAAACATACAAATTTTTACAAGTACATGGAGACCCCCCTCCATAGAAAAAGCTCTAATGGGGGTGACTGGGGGATGACATAGACTCTGTGAAATTCCTTTGTTATAGATAGTCTTAGTGTGTTCGGGAATGCCAGTTATAGTACTAATGAACCGGTCACTTGGATAGACTCAGGACATCCTGGTTACCCAGAGTGATGCAGGCAGTGGTGATAGCTGAGGTTTTCCCTTTGTAGGTGCAGTGTTATTCTACCAGGAGATGCTATAATGGATTGTGTTGATTGCCCTCCAGCCGGACGTGGGTGCTTGCAAAAGAACACTATCTATGGTAGTAGCAGTGGGATTTTTACTTGCTTTACCTTGCCCTGGGTGGAGGTACTCTGGTTCCTTAGACAATGGGTGGGGCCATATATCTCCTCATAGTTTCTGTCCTTTGTGTTAACCCATTTATGCCTAGATTTCCATTATTGGAACACTAAGCTTGTGGGAATTATTTATATCCTACTGCTCAAGGTCATCGCCAAGGTCTGATTTTTCACAAAAAATATTTGCAACCTCCTGCATAAATAGGTTAAACTTCTAGGGCAGGTGATGGGGCAAAGCCAGGTGGGGGCTGTGTCAGGTGGGTTAGTGCCTCTGACTCTCTGCATGCAGGGCAAGCAGCAGCCTCTGTGAGTGCCAGGGGTGGTTCTCAGGCCACTGGATGGATGTTCCAGAGAAGAGTGTTTCTTCCTCTGCTGCACAAGAGAGGTTGCACAGGTAGTGGGGAGTAGCAGGCAGTGGTAAGACCCACACAGCTCCCACACACTTGGTGAGGCAGATCCACTCCCTCAGTGTTCCACTGGCAGCAGTGAGCTAAGTTCCAGGCAGCCTGCACTCAGAACTTACAATTGCCCTGGGTCATAAGCTTTTCTCTCAGAGATAGCAACTGTGGCTTTCAGGCCACACCCCTCCCCATTGACTGGCAAAGCCTATGGATGTGGCTGCAGCCTCCTTTTCATTCACCCTCCCACCATCCCTGGTGAAGAAAGTTTGTCTCCCCTGAAATTATATCATGAAACCCAGTTGGGGGCTTCTTTCAACCTGAAACCACTGCCTGAACTATTTGACCTCTGCAGGATTCCTTGTGAGGAGCAATAAGAAATTGCTTCCCTCAGTCCATGCTGGAGGTTGTGAGTGCACATAAGGGTCTTCCCGCCAGTGCCCCTACTTTTATATTCCTTGGCCCTCCCTAAGTCAGTTCCTGTGCTGGATAGGATTAAGGCCTCCCCCCATTGGCCTAGGCTTTCAGGGTCCCTAGTGGGTGTGTGTATTCTGGAGGCAATCTCTCCTCTTCTCACATTCTGAGGACTCACAGCCCCTTGCCTTACTCACAGTGTAGGCTGCAGCCTGCTGCTGCCTTCAAAGGGTCTATGGATTCCTTCAGTTTTTCTGTTCAGTTCCTGTATCACTTCTTTAAGAAAAAGTTCCCAGTGTGAATTGCTACACACTATTTGTTCTTCCAAGTAGGAGAGATATGCTAGCACTGCCTGTAATCTGCCATCTTGGAACGAAAAAGAAAAAAAACCTAAACTACATAAACCGTTTTTTATGATTAGTTATTGAGAAGTGTGTAGAGGAAGCAAAACTATCTCTATCCTCTTAGCAAAATCGGCATAAGACAGATCAATTGGAGAGAAACATACAGATTTTCACACGTACATGGGGACCACCCCTAGAAAAATAAAGACCCAAAGAAGAAGTAGGAGCTGAATGCTGGTATCCTAAGTTGGATAAAGAGTACACAATTTTGAAAACATGACAAGACAAAGGGTCTTGGGTTAGGGCAGTTAATTATTGAGAAACAGCTATGTAGATTAGGGTCAGTTTAACAAGGTTTGTTTGTACAGATTTCCCCCAGCCTTGATTCCTCATCTTTGATGATAGGAATATTTCTTCCCTCTTGGTACAGGAAGGGCACCTTTCCCCTAGGAGTTTCATCTCCTGTTTTAGGAAGAAAAAGGAAGATCAGGGTGCCTTTTGCAGCTGTTTTTTTTTTAAGTGCCTTTAACTCAAAATAATCTTGATGCCAAAGTGGCATATTTTTTTTGGGGGGGGGGGCATATTCTGCCATCCTTCAAGTCAAATAAATCACATTGACATCTACTAAACCTTAAAACAGCCCAAGTTTCATGGGTGTTTGCATAAGTCCAAACTCATCAAATTGTACACATTAAATATATGCAGTTCTTTGTATACCAATTTTACCTCAATAGAGTTGTTTTAAAAAATAGCCTAAGGTTTTTGCTGATAGAGTATCATGGACAAGGATAAAGTTTACTAACTCAAAGAGATTACTGTTGTTCTTTTCACCCCATTTGAAGAGGAAAATTCAGAATTATATTGTGGTGAATTCTTTAAATTATCTCAATTCTCATTCTTTTCTTCTTCCTTTGGGAGATGTTTAAAAGCCGATAGATGCCTCTTGTCTGGGCACAAATTAGGTTCCACTAACAAGATGCACTGTTGTGAGTTCTGGAGGGTGACAATAAGGCAGAATCCTTCTTCCTGAGATTCTTGGTTCTTTGAAACAAAGTTTGAAAGTATGCAGGTATCTAGTACCAGCATTTCTACATCCATTCTTCCACCTTCATGTTGCTAAGAAGCTATGGCTATAGCAGACATTAATCAGACTGATGAATCAATAAACTGCAGCTGCGGTTGCCTATTCTTCAGCCTCATGTTTTCGAGAAGCAGTTGTGGTGGCAACGTGGGCAGCGAAGCTTCTTGCTTCTGGAATATTTCTGGTGGTCACCTCAGAGGTGACAGCTTCCATAGTGATAAAATAGCCACAATGTATATGAAAAGCAAAATTACACATTAAATGCGTAGAGTTGGTGTGCTGCACCCATTAACTCGTCATTTAGCATTAGGTAAGCATTAGGAGATATACCTAATGCTAAATGACGAGTTAATGGGTGCAGCACACCAACATGGCACATGCATACATATGTAACAAACCTGCACGTTGTGCACATGTACCCTAAAACTTAAAGTATAATAATAATAAAATTAAATAAATAAATAAATAAATATGTAGAGTTATCTCATGTGGAGGGACAATCTATAAAATATGAAAATATGCAAGACTCCATTCCTCAGAATATAGAATTATATAATCAAACACTGATTTGTGAATTAATGTTTATATTTGGACATATAGTACACTATTTTACGTGTTTTTTCAACAGTGTCCAGAATATATAATAATGTGAAATATTATTAAATATTTATTATGTGATAGTTACATCACATTTTAGAGTATAATGTGTTTTATAATCTGTTAATTCTTTATTTACATATATTTTTATCTATTAGACTGGTTCAGCTAATATTTACACTGGGGATCTGTTTATTGTGTGTGTGTGTGTGTGTTTTTTTATCAGCCTATAGAAAATTAGTGTTGGAAGGACTGTCCAATCCAATTTTATGGGTGATTAAATTGAGGTTAAGAGTTTAAGAGATTTTGTCTGGTGAACACATTAATTTAGTGTCAAATTAGGAACTAGAACTCTGACCAGAACAATCCAGTTCAATATTTCTTATACTATCCTGCACTGCTAAAGACAGGGAGAAAATTACAGGGAATACAAAGGAAATTGAAAATGAGATTAGAGAAGTAGGTGTTAAACAGAAATGTATGCCAGGATCATGCAGGTAATTTTATATATGCTGACACACTACAGAGTGACTAAATTTGAATCTCTGGCAGTAGATAAGTCCAGGTGACACAGTTAGGCACAGCCACATAAGAATTAGTAGGCTGGAGAAGGATGCTGTTTGATAAAGGTCAGTATCTAAAAATCACTTCTGAAATGCTTGACTTGAACTCCATTCTCAGACCTAAACTTTATTACTGGGAATAGCATGTGGTATCACTAACCAGATCCCTTCTTAAAATTCTTCCCTCTCTTGGTTTCTCAGACTTTCTCCTGTTGGTCTTTCTATTTCTTTTTGAGTCTCCTGTGAAGGCTCTCATTCCTCTAGTTGCCTTTTTCATGCTGGTGTTCTCTTCTACAGTTAGAGTGGTGGTTCTCAAAAAGGAGCAATTTGGCAATGTCTGGACACATTTTTTATTGTCAGGCCTCAGGGTGTATGACTGGCATCTAGTCAGTAGACACCAGGGGCACTGCTAAATATCCTGCAATGCACAGAACAGGCTCCCACAACAAAGGATTCTCTGGTCCAAAATGTTGATAATATCAAAGTTGAGACACCTTGCATTGGAGTATAATGTCTGTGTGCTCAGGACTGTTTCACTTACACAGAGTAAGTCAGAAAGGCAAGCACTTATGTGTGAAGTAACATTCAAATCATTTTTTCTTTTAAATAGTAGAGCACTAGCTACAAATTCTTTAGCCACTGTGGAGCACATTTGAGGACAGGAACTGCTTCTCATTCATCTTTACATCCATAGTGTTTAGAATAGTAGGCTCTAGAAAAGTTTGACTTTTAAAATAGCCTGAAGACATGGAAAGTAGGGAATTTCATTTACTAAAATGACTATGGTTCCACGAAATGCATTAATCCAAAAGGCAAATAATGCAAGGAACTAATGTCAACTTCATATTTTCCAAACTTTGATTGAGGGCAGTAAATTCACTGAAAGAATCAGATTAACTATTTGTAGAATAACCTTATTGCAGAAATCAACATATCACATAATATCTCCCAGAAATATAAGCACTGATTTCTGGTTCCCTTTTTCTCACTCATAGGGAAGAGCAAGATAGAGAATGCTGTTAGTAACAAGCAGCTTTCAAACATCTACACTTCAGCTTTGGGTCTTTACTTCATCTAGGAATGAAAAGGATATATTCTTGTGAATCTGTGTTAGGTCTTTGATGCATGGTGATTAAATTATGACTGGCCTGAATTCAGCAATGCTGTTTATCAAGCTCTATACTAAAAGAACAGATCACTTTTAATTGAAATGGATTTTATTTTAATTTCATAATGCCTAACATAGAATGAGAGAAATGAGAAAAGTGAGAAGAAATTCTATTTCCCATTATCTCAGTGACTACCAGTTGCTAATTTTATATTTTACTAAATTAGGTACTTTATTAAATAGATAAGAAAAAACAACAAGAAAAAGGTAACATGATGCAAAATGTAGACTTATACACATGCTTATTATTTCTGTAAAACATGTTGAGTGCCCTCATATAAAAAAAAAAGATTTAATGCTTAGAAAGTTCTAAAACCTAAAAGGTCTTATCTCATGCTTAGCTAATTATTTTGACAGGAGTCTAACTGATGTGTGCTTTTCCGTGCAAATGAGTTTGTGGCAAACAAGATGACTGTCATCTACATAAACACTCCATAACTAATTCTAATCTCCACAGAGAGATTAAGTAGTGAAAGTTAGCAATTAGAATTCAGTGGCAATGTTTTCCTCTGCAATTGATTAGTAGACAGGCTATAAACAGTTCCACTAATTACTTTCTTTTTGGAACTCCAGACTACTCTGTCTTTTATGTACTTTGTTTTTCTCTAAAACATCTCTTTTTTAGACACATTCTCCCCTCTAGATCACCAGGTTAATTTTCCAGTTTTATCCTCTTTTTCTTATAATCTTTTTTTTTCTGTCTTATCTGGTTTTCATTTTTTCACAGACACTCTTAATTGAGAGTGAGGCCAAAAACTCAGTCGCTGGTTCTCGGTTTCTATAAACTACCTCTTAGAAGAATTAATCCATTTTCACTAAATGATGATGCTAAAGTCTCTAGCTCTTGCTCTCAATTTGTTCAACTACCATTTGAGTGTTTAACACACGTACATGTCACTACTTCCTTGACTCATTCCAAGCTCTTTGTTTTCCTTCCGTCATTTTTTAAGCTATCTGGTCTTAAAAGCTTGATGTATTGTTGAATCTTCCAACTTTCCTTTTTTACATTTTCAAACAATCATTTATTCTTAGTGTTTTTTAGTAATACCTTTGTTTGCTTTCCTTTTTATACTTCTGCGACTACCCTGTTACATGCATTCAAAACTTTGTGCCAGGAAATCTGATTCTCATTTGACATACTTTTTCCTTCTATGCTTTTATTTTTAATCCATTTCACTCATTACCTCTTCAGAAACCCGACTACTTTCATTACATCACCTTTAGCTCCAAATCATCAGTTGATTTCATTATTATCTGGATCAAATCCTGCCTATTTCAGGACTTTGATAATATCTAAAATCCTACTAATCATCTCTTTTATTTGATTATTTGATTGTCCTCAACAAGTTTGTCAAATTTGCTTACCAAATTTGTGTCTTTTCGGTTAATTCAGATAATTTTTAGGCTTGCAATAGACTTCTTAATCCATTTTAACTGATCACCACCCATTTTTCAGAGTTCAGCTCAGGTCGCACTTTATCTCCACATTCAAGTCCTATGGTGAATCCTTCATAGAGTGCAGAGGATCAGTTATTTGTCTGGCACTTTTCAGATACTGTACAGTGTCTGCTGTAAACTTTTATGTTTTTTGCTTCACTATATTGGTGACTTTTTAACTCATAGATAATTTCTGTTGATGTAGGGATTTATTCTACTGACAAAATGATTTATGGAACTTTATTTTAACAAAGTATGTAGGTATTAAGGAAGTGGATAGGAAAGAATATAATGATAGCACAAATCTAGTTTGTTTTTGTGATGGTTCATTTTATGTCTCAACTTCATTGGGCCACAGAGTGCCCAGATATTTTGTGAAACATTATTCTTGGCGTTCCTATGAGGGTGCATTCGGATGGGGTTAACATTTAAATAGATTGGATGAGTAAAGCAGATGTCCTTCCTAATGTAGATGAGCCTCATGCAGTCAGTTGAAGGCCTGAATAGAGCAAAAAGGCTGCCCTTTCTCAAGTAAGAGGGAATTTCTCCTGACTGACTGCCTTCAAACTTGAACTGAAACACTGGCTTTTCATAGGTTTCAAGCTCGCCTACGTTTGGACACAAACTAAACCATTGGCTTGCCTAGGTCTCCAGCTTGCCGACCCACCTTGAAGATCTTGGGACTCGTCAGTCTTCATAACAGTGTGAGCCAATTCCTTGAAACACAGTTTTTCATATGTAGTGGATCTCCTAATGGTTCTGTTTCTCTGGAAAACTCTAATGCAGATTTATCTTTCCATTCAGCCATGTATGACTTGTTACTATACTACAAATGCAGTAAGGGAAACATAAAAAGACAGGACACTGGACCTACCTGCTGGGGCAAGATAGGCTCCAGAGAAACCAAAGCAACAGCAAGTCTTAACCTCATTTGGTCACTTATTGGCCATGTGATCTTAAGTAAGTCAATGAAGATTTCTGAGTTTGAGTTTTTTCATGTGCAAAATGATGATAAAATCTGGCTTCCGGTTTTTGAAATTGATTTTGTGTAAAGAAGATATTTCATTTGCAAACATTTTGGTGAGTGCTAAATATTAACAGATAAAAATTGTCATTACTATTACTATTTTTAATAAGGACATTTCACCTGTCACACTACATAAAAAGGCTCCTCAAAGCTCTAGATTGGCAAACATGACAATGCCATATCAGAATTCTGACAAAAACACAGAAATACCTCATTCCTACTTGTCATGACTACCACAAGGGAAAAGTGGAAAGGTATTTTAAAGCCAGGTGTTTTAGCTTTGAGATGGATTAGCAAAGTATCTCAAATAGCATTAGGCAATATGGAAGCATACTCCAGTAGATTGTACACCAGGAGGCAGATCAGCAATACAATGTATTTCAGGTTGAAATTCTCACTGGGACCATAATTGAAACTAAAGCTTGGTACTTAGAGGAAAAGTACAGACACACACACGCACACAGACACACACAGGCGCGCGCACACACACACACAGCAGTAGTATAACTATCCTTTTCTTACAACAAAATTGAAAACTACCAATGCATGGTAGTTTCAGTGTAACAATTACATGCACCAGATATTTTCAAGTATTCACAATGCAACATATGGCTTAACTATTCAGCTGCGGTAAAAATCTGGATTTTTAAGAATAAAAATTAGTTTGAAAAGCAGCAGGCAACAGTAATGTTGAATCCCCTGTACACCCGTAAAATGGTGAAACCATCTGTACTTTGTGCACGCTGATGACCTTGAATTAATTCTAGCAGTGTCATTACCCAATTAGTTGAGAGAGGAAAGATACTTGGGAATTACAATTACAGATCCATTAAAATTGTTCAGTGCTTTTATTCTCAAATATTTATTAAATCATATCTGTCTGATTATCATTATATGATGATTTTTTAAAAGAGACTAAGTTTGCTAGGTAAAACAGTGTCAGCCTTAAATGATATAATTATGTTACTTGAGCATACTTCAAGTATGTCTGTCTTTAAAAAATAAAATAATTATCTCTCCTTTTCAATATTATGTCTTCTTAGATGGCAATGCCCCTAAAATACTTTTGTTAGAATAATCTCCTCTGTTATAATAAAGCTATTATTTAACCAATGAAAAAATATAAATATGCATTCCAAATTATATACTATTTTGTTTTTTTCTACTCTATTTATTATTTGATAGAGACTCTGCTGTGTCTCCAGGGATTATATTAAATAAACTAATAATTCTTGGACAATGAGCAGTTTTATTTTTATTTGCTGTTTTACAAATAGAAATCTAAAGGTTTTTTTAGTGGTCCTTCCATGGGAATTTTCTATGTAGCTATTTGTCCTCATTATTTAATTGGAGAAGTCTTTTTAGACAAAAATGTGATTTGTACATAAATCCTTACATGTGGAGGGAGAAGAATATTTGTGAAATTTATGAACCACAATATAGATGAATATGTTAATATTAACACTATGTACAAGCAGTCTAAATTATACCCTGATTGAAAAGTCAATACTAATTTTTTTTAATTGTTATACTTTAAGTTCTGGGGTACTTGTGCAGAATGTGCAATTCTGTTACATAGGTATACGTGTGCCATGGTGGTTTGCTGCACCCATCAACCTGTCACCTACATTAGGTATTTATCCTAATGCTATGCCTCTCCTAGTCCTCCACCCCCAGACAGGCCCTGGTGTGTGATATTTCCCTCCCTGTGTCTGTGTTCTCATTTTTCAACTCCCACTTATGAGTGAGAACATGTGGTATTTGGTTTTCTGTTCTTGTGTGAGTTTACTGAGAATGATGGTTTCCAGCTTCAACCACGTCCCTGCAAAGGATATGAACTCATCCTTTTTTATGGCTGCATGGTATTCCATGGTGTATATTCCATGGTGTATAAATGTAGCATAGTATTCCAGGCCACATTTTCTTTATCCAGCCTATCATTGACGGATATTTGGGTTGGTTCCAAGTCTTTGCTATTGTGAATAGTGCCGCAGTAAAAATACGTGTGCATGTGTCTTTATAGTAGAATGATTTATAATCCTTTAGGTATATACTTTAGGTATATATTATATATTACATATTATATATTATATATTACATATATATTAGGTATATAATATATATTAAGTATATATTAGGTATATAATATATATTAAGTATATATTATATCCAGTAATGGGATTGCTGGGTCAAATGGTATTTCTAGTTCTAGATCCTTGAGGAATCACCACACTGTCTTCCACAATGGTTGAACTAATTTACACTCCCATCAGCAGTGGAAAAGCATTCCTGTTTCTCCATATCCTCTCCAGCATCTGTTGTTTCCTGACTTTTTAATGGTCACCATTCTAACTGGTGTGAGATGGTATCTCATTGTGGTCGTGACTGGCATTTCTCTCATGACCAGTGATGATGAGCTTTTTTCATGTTTGTTGGCCTCATAAATGTCTTCTTTTGAGAAGTGTCTGTTCATATCCTTTGCCCACTTTTTGATGGGGATTGTTTGTTCTTTTCTGGTAAATTTGTTTAAGTTCTTTGTAGATTCTGGATATTAGCTGTTTGTCAGATGAGTAGATTGCAAAAATTTTCTCTCATTCTGTAGGTTACCTGGTCACTCTGATGAGAGTTTCTTTTGCTGTGCAGAAGCTTTTTACTTTAATTAGATCCCATTTGTCAATTTTGGCTTTTGTTGCCATTGCTTTTGGTGTTTTAGACATGAAGTCTTTGCCCATGCCTATGTCCAGAATGGTATTGCCTGGGTTTTCTTCTAGGATTTTTATGGTTTTAGGTCTTACATTTAAGTCTTTAATCCATCTTGAGTTAATTTTTGTATAAGGTGTAAGGAAGGGGTCCAGTTTCAGTTTTCTGCATATGGTTAGCCAGTTTTCCCAACACTATTTATTAAATAGGGAATCCTTTCCTCATTGCTTGTTTTTCTCAGGGTTGTCAAAGATCAGATGGTTGTAGATGTGTGATGTTATTTCTGAGGCTTCTTGTTCTGTTCCATTGGTTTATATATCTGTTTTGGTTCTAGTACCATGTTGTTTTGGTTACTGTAGCCTTGTAGTATAGCTTGAAGTCAGGTAGCGTGATGCTTCCAGCTTTGTTCTTTTTGCTTAGGATTGTCTTGGCTATGCGGGCTCCTTTTGGGGCTCTTTTTGGTTTCATATGAAGTTTAAAGTAGTTTTGTACAATTCTGTGGAGAAAGTCGATAGCTTGATGGGGATAGTATTGAAACTATCAATTACTTTGGGCAGTATGGCCATTTTCATGATATTGATTCTTTCTATCCATGAGCATGGAGTGTTTTTCCATTTGTTTGTGTCCTCTCATATTTCCTTGAGCAGTGGTTTGTAGCTCTCTTTGAAGAGGTCCTTCACATCCCTTGTAAGTTGTATTCCTAGGTATCTTATTCCCTTAGTAGAAATTGTGAATGGGAGTTCACTCATGATTTGGCTCTCTGTTTGTCTGTTACTGGTGTATAGGAATGCTTGTGATTTTTGCACATTGATTTTGTATCCTGAGACTTTGCTAAAGTTGCTTATCAGCTTAAGGAGATTTTGGGCTAAGACGGTGAGGTTTTCTACATATACAGTCATGTCATCTGCAGAGACAATTTGACTTCCTCTTTCCCTAGTTGAATACCATTTATTTATTTCTCTTGCCTGATTGCCTTGGCCAGAACTTCCAATACTATGTGGCATAGGAGTGGTGAGAGAGGGCATCCTTGTCTTATGCCAGTTTTCAAAGGGAATGCTTCCAGTTTTTGCCCATTCAGTATGATATTGGCTGTGGGTTTGTCATAAATAGCTGTTATTATTTTGAGGTACGTTTCATCGATACCTAGTTTATTGACAGTTTTTAGCATGAAGTGGTGTTGAGTTTTGACGAAGGCCTTTTCTACATCTATTCAAATAATTATGTAGTTTTTGTCATTGGTTCTGTTCATGTGATGGATTATGTTTATTTATTTGTATATATTTAACCAGCCTTACATCCCAGGGATGAAGCCAACTTGTTCGTGGTGGGTAAGTTTTTTGATATGCTGCTGGATTCAGTTTGCCAGTATTTTATTGAGGATTTTTGCATCAATGTTCATCAGGGATATTGGCCTGAAATTTTCTTTTTTTGTTGTGTCTCTGCCAGGTTTTGGTATCAGGATGATGCTGGCCTCATAAAATGAGTTAGGGAGGAGTCCCTCTTTTTCTATTGTTTGGAATAATTTCAGAAGGAATGGTACCAGCTCCTCTATGTACCTCTGGTGGAATTCGGCTGTGAATCTGTCTGGTCCTGGACTTTTTTTGGCTGGTAGGCTATTAATTACTGCCTCAATTTCAGGACTTGTTATTGGTCTATTCAGTGATTTGACCTCTTCCTGGTTTAGACTTGGGCGGGTGTATGTGTCCAGGAATTAATTCATTTCTTCTAGATTTTATAGTTTATTTGCATAGAGGTGTTTATAGTATTCTCTGATGGTAGTTTGTATTTCAGTGGGATCAGTGGTGATATGCCCTTCTTCATTTTTTCTTGCATCTATTTGATTCTTCTCTCTTTTCTTCTTTATTAGTTTGGCTAGTGGTCTATATATTTGGTTGGTCTTTTCAGAAAAACAGCTCCTGTATTCTTTGATTTTTTCAAGAGTTTTTTGTGTCTCTGTCTCTTCAGTTCTGCTCTGATCTTAGTTATTTCTTGTCTTCTGCTAGCTTTTGAATTCATTTGCTCTTGCTTCTCTAGTTTTTTTAATTTTGATGTTAGGGTGTCAATTTTAGATCTTTCCTGCTTTCTCTTGTGGGCATTTAGTGCTATAAATTTATCTCTACACACTGCTTTAAATGTGTCCCAGAGATTCTGATAGGTTGTGTCTTTTTTATCATTGGTTTCAAATAACATCTTTATTTCTGCCCTCATTTCGTTATTTACCCAGTAGTCATTCAGGAGCAGGTTGTTCAGTTTCCATGTAGCTGTGCCGTTTTGAGTGAGTTTCTTAATCCTGAGTTCTAATTTGACTGAACAGTGGCCCGAGAGACTGTTTGTTAAGATTTCCATTCTTTTGCATTTGCTGAAGAGTGTTTTACTTCCAATTATGTCGTTAAATTTAGAATAAGTGTGATGAGGTGCTGAGAAGTATGTATATTCTGTTGATTTGGGGTGGAGAGTTCTGTAGATGTCTATTAGGGCCGCTTGGTGCAGAGCTGAGTTCAAATCCTGAATACCCTTGTTAATTTTCTGTCTGGTTGATCTGTCTAATGTTGACAGTGGGGTGTTAAAGTCTCCCACTATTATTGTTTGGGAGTCTAAGTCTCTTTGTAGGTTTCTGAGAACTTGCTTAATGAATCTGGGTGCTCCTGTATTGGGTGCATATATATTTAGGATAGTTAGCTCTTCTTGTTGCATTGATCCCTTTACCATTATATAATGCCCTTTTTTGTCTCTTTTGATGTTTGTTGGCTTTAAGTCTGTTTTATCAGAGATTAGGATTGCAACTCCTGCTTTTTTTTTGCTTTCCATTTGCTTGGTAAATATTTCTTCATCCCTTTACTTTGAGCCTATGTGTGTCTTTGCATGTGAGATGGGTCTCCTGAATACACCACACCGACGGTTCTTGACTCTTTATCCAATTTGCCAGTCTGTGTCTTTCAATTGGGGCATTTAGCCCATTTACATTTAAGGTTAATATTGTTATGTGTGACTTTGATCCTGTCATTATGATGCTAGCTGGTTATTTTACCTCTTAGTTGATGCAGTTTCTTCATAGTGTCGATGGCCTTTACAATTCGGTATGTTTTTGCAGTGTCTAGTACCACTTGTTCCTTTCCATGTTTAGTGCTTCCTTCAGGAGCTCTTTTAAGGCAAGCCTGGTGGTGACAAAACCTCTCTGTATTTGCTTGTCTGTAAAGAACTTTATTTCTCCTTTGCTTATGAAACTTAGTTTGGCAGGATATGAAGTTCTGGGTTGAAAATTCTTTTCTTTAAGAAATGTTGAATATAGGTCCCCACTCTCTTCTGGCTTGTAGGGTTTCTGCAGAGAGATCACTGTTAGTCTGATGGGCTTCCCTTTGTGGGTAACCCAACCTTTCTCTCTGGCTGCCCTTAACATTTTTTCCTTCATTTCAACCTTGGTGAATCTGACAATTTTGTGTCTTGCGGTTTCTCTTCTCGAGGAGTATCTTTGTGGTGTTCTCTGTATTTCCTGAATTTGAATGTTGACCTGTCTTGCTAGGTTGGGGAATTTCTCCTGGATAATATCCTGAAGAGTGTTTTCCAACTTGCTTCCATGCTCCCTGTCACTTTCACGTACACCAATCAAACATAGATTTGGTCTTTTCACATAGTCCCATGTTTCTTGCAGACTTTGTTCATTCCTTTTTATTCTTTTTTCTCTAATCTTGTCTTCTTGCTTTATTACATTAAGTTGATCTTCTATCTCTGATATCCTTTCTTCTGCTTGATTGATTTGGCTATTGATACTTGTGTATGCTTTACGAAGTTCTCATGCTGTGTTTTTCATCTCCATCAGGTCATTTATTTTCTTCTCTAAACTGGTTATTCTTGTTAGTAATTCCTCTAACCTTTTTTCAAGGTCCTTAGCTTCCTTGCATTATGTCAGAACATGCTCCTTTAGCTTGGAGGAGTTTGTTATTACCCACCTTCTGAAGTCTACTTCTGTCAGTTTGTCAAACTTTTTCTCTGTCCAGTTTTGTTCCCTTGCTGGCGAGGAGTTGTGATCCTTTGGAGGAGAAGGGGCAATCTGGTTTTTGGAATTTTCAGCATTTTTGTACTTGTTTCTCCCCATCCTCATGCATTTATTTACCTTTGGTCTTTGATGTTGGTGACCTTCAGACAGGGTCTCCAAGTGTACATGCTATTCCTTTCTGTTTGTTAATTTTCCTTCAAACAATCAGGCCCCTCTCCTGCAGGTCTGCTAGAGTTTGCTGGAGATCCATTCCAGACCCTGTTTGCCTGGGTATCACCAGTGGAGGCTGCAGAACAGCAAATTTTGCTGCCTGTTCTTTCCTCTGGAAGCTTCGTCCCAGAGGGACACATGCCAGATGCCAGCTAGAGCTCTCCTGTATGATCTGTCTGTTGGCCCCTACTGGGAGGTGTCTCCCAGTAAGGATACATGGGGGTCAGGGACCCACTTGAGGAGGCAGTCTGACCCTTAGCAGAGCTTGAATGCTCTGCTGGGAGGGCCACTGCTCTCTTCAGAGCCATCAAGCAGGGACGTTTAAGTCTGCTAAAGCTGTGCCCACAGCTGCTCCTTCCCCCAGGTGCTCTGTCCCAGGGACATGGGGATTTTATTCATAAGTCCCTGACTGGGGCTGCTGCCTTTTTTTCAGAGATGCCCTTCCCAGACAGGAGCAATGTAGAGAGGCAATCTGGCCACAGTGGCCTTGTTGAGCTGTGGTGGGCTCCGCCCAGTTCAAACTTCAACTGTGAGAGTAAAACTGCCTACTCAAGCCTAAGTGATGGTGCACTCCCCTCCCCCCAACAAGCTCGAGCATCCCAGGTTGGTATCAGAATGCTGCTGTGCTGGCAGCTAGAATTTCAAGCCAGTGGATTTTAGTTTGCTGAGCTCTGTTGGGGTGGCACCTGACGAGACAGACCACTTGGCTCCCTGGCTTCAGCCCCCTTTCCAGGGGAGTGAACAGTTCTGTCTCACTGGCATTCCAGGCACCACTGGGGTATGGGAAAAAAAACCTCCTGCAGCTAGTTCGGTGTCTGCCCAAACGGCTGCCCACTTTTTTGCTTGAAACCCAGGGCCCTGGTGGCATAGGCACCAGAAGGAATCTCCTGGTCTGCGGGTTGCGAAGACCATGGGAAAAGTGCAGTATCTGGGCTGGAGTGCAGGGTTCCTTAGGCTCAGTCCCTCACGGCTTCCCTTGCGTAGGGGAGAGAATTCCCCAACCCCTTGTGCTCCCCAGGTGAGGTGATGGCCCACCCTGCTTCAGCTTACCCTCTGTGGGCTGCACCCACTGTCCAACCAGTCCCAGTGAGATGAACCAGGCACCTCAGTTGGAAATGCCGAAATCACCCGCCTTCTGTGTTGATCTCGCTAGGAGCTGCAGCCCGGAGCTGTTCCTATTTGGCCATCTTGCCAGCAATCTCCACTAAAATTAAACTATAAAAAAAGTCTGTGTTTTAACATGATACAAAAGGCCGGGCGTGGTGGCTCACGCTTGTAATCCCAGCACTTTGGGAGGCTAAGGCGGGCGGATCACGAGGTCAGGAGATCGAGACCATCCTGGCAACACGGTGAAACCCCGTCTCTACTAAAAATACAAAAAAAATTAGCCGGGCGTGATGGCGGGCGCCTGTAGTCCCAGCTACTCGGGAGGCTGAGGCAGGAGAATGGCGTGAACCCGGGAGGTGGAGCTTGCAGTGAGCCGAGATTGCGCCACTGCACTCCCGCCTGGGCCACAGAGCGAGACTCCGTCTCAAAAAAAAAAAAAAAACATGATACAAAAATGCATGACAACTATCATTAGGCTGCGTTTTTTATATTTACACTAACATTTTATCTTCATGTTATACTGTTGTTAGAAGGGACAAATTATTGGCATTAATTTTTTAATGCTCAGATTTGAATCTGCTCTGATTGCCTATAGTTGAAGAGCAACAGTGGTTTTTAAAACACAAGTATTCATTTATTCCAAAAATATTTATTGAATGTATACATTATTACAGTAACTGTTTTGTGCATTACAGATGTAGCTCAGAACAACATGGAGAAGCAAAGGAGGAGAACCAAGAAAAACTGGCATCTTAGCAGAATGTATTTCAAGAAATAGAGGGTGATAAACTAACAAAATGATGGTAATAGATCTGGTAAAATAAACACCGAGGATTAACCGTGGAATTTAATACAGTGGTGATTATCAGTGACCTTGACAATGTTATTAGGGGAGTGGTGGTGGCAAGTGATGATTGGAGAGAGTTCAAGAGAGAACAGAAGGACAGGAAGTAGAAACAAGTATTGACAATTCTTTTGAAGATTTATTGTGAGGGAAGATGGGGAAAAAATCTTATTATCTGCAGAAGGGTGTAAGATCAGAGAAGAGTTTATGGTTTAAGATGGGAGATGTTAATGCATGATTTATCCTTAAGCCATGATTCATATGTGGAAGCAAAGACTGTAATGATGTAGAAAGCTCAAAATTGTAGGAGCATTGCCATTGAGTTTGCTCTTAGGATCCAAATCACACTTTGGAGTGATTGCCTACTGCATCTAGAGTGCAGGTGGAATATATAAACATTAATACAGGTTCATTGGCTGCTCTGGTGTTTGGCATAAGAGGGAAGATGGGAAGATCTCTGATTGATTGCTTTGTTTTTGCAGTGAAATAAAAATAATGTCCTCATCTGAGAGTGAATAAAGTGAATGAATAAGTAACTGAATGAACAAATACTAAATCAAGGATGGGTGTTAAATAATGCAATAAATTTTGAAAACAGAGTATTACAATATGAGCCATATATAAAGTGCTGATAAATGCAAAGCAAGAATATTATCAATTTGATCATTAAAAATTAAAAAAAGAATATTATCAATTGAATTAAAATATAAGTCTCTCCTAAACATAATAAACCTTTAAAATATAGAATTTCAACAAAATGAAAGCTCAAATAATTAACTAGTCTATGATAGACAATGATAATCCCAATGTTTACAATGCTGATTGACCCTGACATACATAAGATTCTCAAGAGCTTTATGATTCAATGAGTTTAGTCTGTACAATTAAACTATTGTATATTCTATTCTATTAAAAATTGTGTTAAGTCCATGACTAGCAATTCTCTGCTATTTAAGGCTATAAAAATGTTCCCATGAGAGAGAGAGTATTTGGAAATAAGGCTCAGTTACTGAGGTGAATCTTTCCGTGTCTCTCAGAAGTGAGTCTCAAACAAGGCAAAGATTTCAGTTTTGAACCTGCAAGTCACTGAATTTACATTATCATTATGAATCACGTTTAAAAATATATGGTATTTTGGAAAAAAAAATCTTTGTTAGTTAAGAAGAAGAAATAGAGGAAAGAAGGAAGAAAAAATACCCTGAGACCTCACAAAAGGAAATTTTTATTAACATGTTGGTAAAATAGTAATGTGGAAGTGTGTTTTCTGTGTATGGCTTATCTTGTTCCTATGCCTCATTTCTGCTCAATTAAGTGCAGTGTTTGGTAGGACTTGTAATTCTTGAAATGCTCCACATATTAATGATCACTGAAAAGCTTATTCCTGCTATCTTTGCTTTTCCACTTCTAACAAATATCTTTTGAAAATGGCCACGCTGAAGACCTAAACCTTTGAGCGTACAACTGCATTACTCACTGATGGCTAATGAAGGAGACAAAAATAGAAAAAGCAAAACAAAAAATTAATGGCATATGATTTTATAAGATATAGTATTATATTCCATAGGATATTGTAATTTGTGTATGGTATAGTAGAAAAATACCAAACTAAGTTTGAATATTGATTCTGTCACTAACTAATCCTGTGTCCTTGAAAGAATCTTTTTACCTCTCTTAAAATATGTATCTTCATATTAAAGTGTAATGATATCTAGCTCAAAATATACATGCAGGTAATAAGTGAAATCTTGTCATGTGTGTAACTGTTTCTGATACACTTTGGTACCTTTGATTTTGTTTTTCATTGTGGCAAAATTTACATGCAGTGAAATGGATAAATCTTAAGTATACAAATCAAGAAGCTTCAATAAATTCATAAAAACTATAACCAACTCCTAAATGAAATATAGAATATTTTCATGACTCCAGAAATTTTTCTCATGCACTTTTCCAGTCAATACTCACCATTATATGAAAATATTGTTTTAATTTCTGTCCCTACAGTTTATATTGGTCTATTTTGGCATTTCACAGTAACACAATAAGTGGAATGAAACAGTATGTACTCTTTTACGTTTGAATTCTTTTGACACACACACATGCACATATGTGTGTATGTTTACATATATCAAGAGAAGCCAAATATGTGTGTGCATTTATATTTATGTATTATATATAAATGCACATATGAGTAGCTCATCCCCTTTGATTTTTGATTAGCATACTCATAATTATATTTTTATTTTTGATATATTCTCCTGTTTTTGAGAAATTGAGTTTTCTTTTTTGAGATATAATAAACACAGTTGCTATGATTCATTCAGTGGCCAGCGTTTTCCATTTTCTTGGGTAAATACCTAGTAATGGAATTGATCAGGAAAAGTCTACATGTATGTTGTCTTTTATAAGATATTGCTAATATATTTTCTATATCCTTGCCCAACATTTGTTATTGTCGATCTTTAAAATTTTAGTCATTTTCATGGTTGTTAAATATTATTATATTATGGTTTTAATTTTATTTTTCCTGATGTCCAATGATGCTGAGAATGTTTCCTACACTTATTGATAATTTGTATATCATTTTTTGTGAAGTGTCTATTGAAATATCTGGATGTTATTTGTTAAATTTTACTTTTTATTATTGATTCATAGGAATTATTTATATATTCTGGATAAAAGTTATTTTTCAGAGGCATGGATTATAACTGGTTATTTCTAGTTTGTGACTTGCCTTTTCATATTCTTAATGATATTTTCTTCCTTTCATTCCTCCTTCTTTTCCTTCCTTCTTCCTTCCTTCCTCCTTCCTTCTTTCCTTCTTTATTCCTTCTTTCTCTCTCTTTTTCTCCTTCCTTTCATTCTTTCCTCTTTCCTCTTTCTCTCTTCCTCTTTTTTCTTTCTTGTATTTTTTTATGAGCAAGCGTAGCAATAATTTTAAATTGTAATTTTGGTCTTGAGAAATCTTTGCTCATACTAAGATCACAAAAAAATTCTACATTTACTCCTGGAGTCTTTACAGTTTTACATGTAGGACTATGATCTATCTCAAATTAATTTTTGCTCATGGGATGGAGACTGGACTCGAGTTAATTCTTTTACATGTTTATCTTATTGTTCCACAATGACTTTTTGTAAACACTATACTTTCCATAATTGAATTATCTTAGTATCTTGTTGAAAATAATTAATGTGTTGATCTATATGTGGACTCTATTATATTCAACTGATTTGTCTGTCTGTAATTGCATGTGACATGCTGTCTTTAAAAATGTGTCTTTTTACTAAATTTTGAAATTAGGTAATGTGGGTACTCAAACTTTGTCCCTGCTTTTAAAGATTATTTTAACTACTACAGGTCCTTTGCATGTTAGTATACTTTTGAGAATGTACTTTTTATAGTGTTATTTTCTACAAAAACTCTCAGGATTGCATTGAATCTATAGACCAGTTTGAGGAGAAATGATATTGTAGCAGTATTAAGATTTCCAATTTATTAAGTGGTAGATATTTTATTTGTCTTTAATTTCTATCAGCAGTGTTCCATAATTTTCAGTTCCAATGTAGAGTTTTTGTAAGCTTTTAACTAAGTTAGTTCTAAGTATGTTTTTAAATATTATTTTAAAATTTCCATTTGCGATGGACAATTGTTTTTGTATATTGGTCTTTGCAAACTTCATAAACTTATTTATCTTTGTCATTACTTTTATAGATTCCTTAGGATTTTCTGTGTAATCAGATATGTTGTCTGTGAGTAGAGACAATTTTATTCTTCTCAATATGTAGAACTTTTATTTTTTTCTTCATTTATTTCAGGAATTAGAAACTCTAGAACAATTCTGAGTAGAACAGCTAGGAGTAGACAGCCATTATTATCTTGTTCTGAATATCAGAAGGAACGTGTTCCCTCGTTCACCACTGAACATAATGTTACCCTTATTTTTTTGTGTCAGTGCCCTTTATCAAATTGAGGAAATTCCCTTTTATGCCTGCATTGCTGAGAATTTTTATGTCTTAAATTTTGCAAAATAATTTTTATGCTAAAAATAGAAAATAATGTAATCTTTCTCCTTGATTCTGTTCATGTGATGGTTATATTTATTGATTTTTTGAATGCTAAACCAGCCTTCTGTCCTAATGCTAAACCAGCCTTCTGTCTCAATGCTAAACCAGCCTTCTATAATATCTTCACTATCTTGAGATAAATTCCACTTAGTCATGATAAATTATCATTTATATAGTGATGGATCGATTATTTCAATTCTTCGTTAAAAAATTGTATTTCTGGCCAGACGCAGTGGCTCACGCCTGTAATCCCAGCACTTTGGGAGGCCAAGGCGCATGGATCACGAGGTCAGGAGATTGAGACCATCCTGGCTAACACAGTGAAACCCCCTTCTCTACTAAAAATACAAAAAATTAGCCGAGCGTGGTGAGTATACTGAACTTGTAAAACAAATAAGTCTTAAAGGGTTTCCTGCTTCTCTACTTGTGGAAGAAATTGTTTAGTACTTCCTTTATTTTCTTTTTAAATGCTGAATAGAATTTCCCTAAAAGATAATCTGGGCCTGTGATTCTCTTTGGGGGATGTTTTCTTTTATAAAATAAATTAAATTTGGTAAATAGATGTAAGGCAATACCAATTTTTAATTTATTATTGTACTTGTTTTGTTGTAAAATTTATTACTATAAATGTTTTCACAATTTAATTGTTATTCAGGGTTGTTATGTTGTATACATTAGCCATAAACCCTGTGTTAGCAAATACTGAGCCATTGTTTCTAGGGTACATGCAGGGTTAGGTTCTTACAAGCCTCTAGTCACATTTTCATCAACTAATGAATACATAAATATATTTTTAAGTGTTTTTGTCAAAAGACAGATTATTTAATATATAGTTGGTTCATTAATGTTGAACTCATCACCTATATCATTATAACTCATACCTGAATGAAGCTTATCTAACATAAATATTTTCTCTATAAGGCACATCACATCTTTGTTCTTAAGAATGCTAGACAACCAGAACTAAGCGTGAAAGCCATTTAAAAAGTGAAATTGCTAACAAAAAGTACAAAAAAGCAAAAATATATGGCACCAAATTGACCCACCAAAAGAACACTTGTTTGCAGTATGAGAGCTAAAATAAGAAGACAGAATATTGTCTTGTTTAACCTCAGCTGGAATGTGCAGGTTGGTTGACTCCAATTTTCACTGCTCTGTCCATGTCTGAATTATCATGGGGGGCTGTAAGTATAGGTTTGGGGTTACAAATAAATTTTAACACAGAAGTGAATTCACAAATATACATCCACAAATAATGAAGATGAAATGTATTCTCATTAGCCCTCTCTTCGTTCCATTTACTACAGATGTGTTTTCTCTCTTTTTTTAAAAAAATATATTTTTAGGGGTTCAAATGACCGAAATATGGCTTTGTTAATATATTCCTTTATATGTCCAATTTCTGTGTTTGATTTTGAAAATCTTCATTATCTTTTACTTTCTTCTTATTTTGTGTTCAGTTGCTCTTATTTCAATAGAGTTTCGAGTTAGAAATTTAGTTTTCTAAAACACTTCTTGTGTTGTAACCTCAGCATATAAATATTTATTTTAGTAGTCTCCTAGATCAAATCCACACATTTTGATATGTTGCATTTTAGATAGAATTAATTTTAAAGTATTTTCCATCTTCCCTTGTGATTGATTTCACCCATGGATTATTTAGAAGTATATTATTTAAGTTTAAATGTTTGGGAAATTCTAAAACACCTTGTTATTGATTTCAAATTTAATTCACTGTGGTCATATAAGATACTTCTTACAATTTAATCATTTAAATTTAATAAGATATTTGTAGTTCAGCATTGTTCTATAAAAGTCATGCCACTTGGTATTATTATTTAAGTATTATATACATTTATTGACTTTGCATCATATTGTTTATCAATTGTCAAAATAAGGTCTTAAACTATCCCACTGTAATTGTGAATTTGTCTGCATCTTTCATGTAACTCAAGATTCTGTTATTAGTTGATGCTTATTTAGGATGATTATGCCCCTTTGGCGAATTGCTCTTTTATTCACATTAATGTCCCTCTCACCCCTTGTAATATTTCTCATTTTCAATTTAAGTTTTCCTTATAGAAATGTATGCGTTCTGGGTTTCTTTTTATTAATATTTGCATAGAATATATTTTTCTATCTTATATTTAACCAACTCTGTCCTATTTAAAGCAAATATCTTATAGAAACAGTTTCTTCCTTGTTCAATTCAGTGTGATAATCTCTGCCTTTTGTTAGATATGTTGAAATTTATTATAATTATTTTTGTAGCTGCATTTAGTTCTACTAGTCTGTTTTTTTATATTTGTCATGATTCTGCTTTTCTCTTCTTCGTTTGCTGCCTTTTATCTGGTAACTATTATTTTGAGTCCATTTTAATCTATTTTCTTTTAATTCTAGTTTTTGTATTTTTAGTGGTGGTCTAGGTATCACAATACATATTCATAATTTATCAGTCTACTCAGAGCTCATATTGTAACAGGAATGTAAAAATGCAAGACTCATGCAGTAGATCCAATATTAGTGATACTGTTATTTACATCTATTATAATATAATATAATATAATAAGTATGGGTTTATATATAACTCCACATTACAATGTTGTAATGTTAAACTGTTACTTGTTTTAATAATAAAGAGGATAAGGATGGTATTTGTATATTTTTTATATTTATTCATACATTTTCTATTTCTTCTTTCTTGTAAATCTGAGATTATACTTTGTGCCATTTTATTTCAGCTTCAAGAACTTCATTTAGATTTTTTTTTTGATACTTTAGGCCTTATAAGGTTAGAGTCTCTCTGGTCATGTTTACCTAAACATATCTTAATCTTTGTTTTGGAAAGTATTTAATATATATGTATATTATATATATGTTAATAAAATGTGTGTGTGTGTATATATATATGTTTTCTTTCAGTATATTATATATATCATATCACTGACTTATTTCCTTTCTGTTTTTAATGATAATTTAGCCAGCATTATTATGAATATTCTCCATTTTGTAAAGTGTCTTTTTTTCTTTAGCACATTTCACAATTTTTATCATGTTTGGCTTTCTGCAGTTTGGCTATGATGTTGCCAGATATGGGTTTATTTGTATTATAAAGACTGGAGTTATCTGAGCTTCTTAGATATGTAAGTTATATATTCTATTATCTCTTCAAATATTATGATTATTATTTTACATTTCTATTGTCTTCTTCTGAATATATATTACACATATCTTCATTTGATTGTTTTCTCAATTTTATTTCTCTCTGTTTTCTATATTGCAGATGTTTTTTTAACTTCTTTATATTTCTTCTGTCTCTCTCTTTTTCCTTCTCTTTCAACTTTAATATTCTCTTAAGATTGTGAATTTTTAAATTTAAATATTATACTTCCTATCCTAGAATTTCCACTTTCTTTTTATAATTTCCATTTATCTGTAGAAATTATTTATCTGTTTGATTATTATGACCAGATTTTCTTGTAATTCCTTGAACATTTTATAATAGCTGCTTTAAAGTTCATGCTTTCAGTCTAACATCTATGTTATCTAAGGGTTTATTTCTTTGTGCTACTTCCTTTCTTTGCTACAGGTTAAATTTTCCAATAGTTTCTTCTTATGTTTATTCATTCTTTCTCCACAAGTTTATTCTTTTTTATGCTATCTGGACGATTTATTTTAGGCACTGGTTTCTGTCACCTTCCTGTGAAAAATTTGTGCTCAAAATAGTAGTTAAATAACTGGATGACTACCTTAATTCCTGAAGTTTTGGTTTGATGGTTTCTTAAAGCAGGTCTGTATTTATTTTGCCCTTAATCCCACAGTAAATTTCTTAGACTTGCGCAACAGGAATGGCCATTCTTGGATATCAGTGGAAAATCCAACATGTTTACCAAATAGCTAATGTGTACCAATTTCTGTCTCTCTAGTGCTGAGTGGCAACATATTGCTTTTTGTTGCAGTCCTTGAAGTCTCCAACATGCATGTACAGTTTCTTGAACTTTTATATACAGGTTTTAGGGTTGCCAACTGTGTGTTTTCCTTTTTTCAGTTTTATCAAAAGTCTGGCAGCCCCAAACTTTGTCTTGTGCTACCTCAACTTAATAAATCTGTGACCATTTTTCTTTAATTTTAGCTTCCCTATACCATTCAGATTTGGGAATGCCCTCAGGGGAAAATATGTATAAACATAGATCTAATTCAATGCAGTTTCTTTCTTTCAAGAGTCAAATTCCCCTTAGTTACTGTCTGATTTTGGTAAGTCTATGATGCCTTTTATACTTTATTCAGAGGTAATGCTTATCCACACAAAAGCCAGTCCAATAAAAGTTATACCTCCATTTCTAGTCTTTCGTTCCTTTTTGTGGAAATGATTAGTAATATCTATATTGTCACTAGTATTTACTAGTACATACTAAAGTATAAAGATTGGATCTGTAAACTACTGTGTGTTATATAAGAAAGATATTTTTAAAATGAGGTGCTATCTGATATACATTAAGAGATATTTTAGAGTATATTAAATATACTAGGCAATTCAAGACAAATAAAATTTTACTTAAATAAAATTTAACCTACTAATCAAATTTTTAGTTAAGCAGAATTTAGTCTACTACTACATGTACTTTCCTCAGGAAAATACACCATTAGGTAATTTCTCTTTTAAGTATTTGTTTGTAAAAAAATAAAATGAATTTCAACTATAATTATTTATAAGGCTGTTAGTAGCAACACAAAATAAACTTTGACTGAGAACTCATAAAATTTGAAATAAATGTTGTCTCTGATTACATAGATTAAACAAAATAAAGCCAGATGAGGGAAATAAAATCTGTTCCCACTAGTACTCACTGATAAACAAAAAGAAAGTCTTAGAAGCTACAGAAACCTTTGAGAAAAGAGAATTTCAAGATTAGAATTGTGACATTTTAAAGTGGACTAGACTTGTTAGCATGAAGTAGTGCTCTCTATTGTCATCAATGGGAGTAATTAAA
Organism: Homo sapiens; assembly: GCF_000001405.40. Lineage (NCBI taxonomy): Eukaryota > Metazoa > Chordata > Mammalia > Primates > Hominidae > Homo > Homo sapiens. The sequence goes on from NC_000004.12 coordinate 62,582,184, forward strand.
ATTAAGTAGTTTTTTCAAAATAATTTTATATTTTAAAATTTATTTTTCATCTAAATAAATTAGGCCTTGAGTTTTAGATAGAGTAAGTTATTTTGATCTTCAGAATATTCTCGATTTTGCACTTCAGTATTTCTTGATCTTTATTCCTAGGGTCCAAGAAGAACTCCTTCCAGATCCCCCTCTGCTGGGTATTCGTCCAATCTCAAATTATCTGTGCAGGTCATCTAAAGTAGATCTTTTTTCATTGTGATCTGATTTAATTGATATAAATTCCCAACCACACTGGCAAGATCAACTATATCATATTATCTTTATTTTGTAAAAGGAAATTGCAAGACATAGAACTGCACTTTCACAGTTAAGTGAATGGGAATATTGAATGAGTTGTTCTAATCTTGCACATCGTGTCTATAACACTGCGCTGTTATACCCATAGTCACCTCCAGCTGAGCTTGGAAATGTGAGAACCTCACAGCAAGCAATATTTACCCTATACTGTTGTGAAGTTCACTCTTCACCAAAGCTTCTACAGCACCCCTAGTTGCAGGTATAAAATACAACTCTCTCATCATTTTTTCCCCTTACATTGTGTCTCGTTTGCCATTTTGACAGCCAAACATCCCACAAAGGATTTAAAGGACAGACTTTCAAAGAGTTCAGAGGAAATATATCCCCCACTCTCTTCCTCTAGGCAGCTTTTATTTTACATCTGGAGCTTTGGATATTTTATTCTGTAAACTTCTGGCACACATTTTCTTCTGAGTTGTACCCTACCACATGCTGTAATTCTATACTAGAAAGGAAGAAAGGAGCCCTCGTCCTTCTGGTACACTGTTAGCATTTTATTACTTAACTTCTCCCATGTCTGGGTAGAGCAGCCAAAATTTGTTGTTGTTATATTTCCAGTTCACACAAGCATTTAATTTTTTACTCAAATAACTGCAATTGGAAAAGAAAAAAATATTGGGGATGTTTTTGGGGTTAGAGTTAGTAGAGTTGGACTGGCAATGCTTTCTTGAAAAAAAAAAGTAAGGAGTCTGGTTGTTGGAAGAATTATTTTTGCGTAGTAAGTGATATTAACATGAAACTAAAACCAAATTATTATTCGACAAACTTATTTCAGGTCTACTATGTTCAAGGAAGTCTGGTAGATACTGAGTAAAAATTAGGAAAGATCATTACATTGAATATCTTTATAGATATTAATTTGCAATATAATTTAGAGGCTTGAGGCATAAGGTGAGAAAAAAAATCCATTACTATTATTACTTTCACGAGGCTTACCCAGTCCTTTTATTCCTCAAAGATCTCTTGCCTTGACCATCAGAGCTAAAGGTTCCAATGTAAGGAGTGCTTCCCAGCCACTTTTAAACTTTCAGATGCTCAAAGAATATGCTTGTTGATCTATGAAAGAGTTTGTTCTTGGATTTCATATATGACTATCATATTTTTAAACTAATTAATGTCTTTGTTAGTTTTTCTAATGTTTTTACAGGCATTTTTGTCTTTTATATTTAGAATACAGTAAGTCATAATGTGAAGGGTACAGCGAATAGGATATGCCTAAAATTAGGGAAGTAAAGTTATTTAATTTCTTACAAAAACTGACTTTGCAGTAAGTCATTAGGGCACAGTAAATTCCTCAATAAAATCTGTAAACTTTAAATCAGAACACAAAGAAACTGAGAGTTATTTTAAAACTCACTGTTCACATAAATATATACAATGATTTTTTGCCAATTAAAAATAAATAAAAAAATTAATTTAAAAATCACTGAGTCCCCAAACTCCAAAATAAAAACGAGACCAAAACAAAAAAGCAAAACTCAAATAGGTAAAAGTCATTATCAGTAAATAGGGAAGACAAAAAAAATGAGTTTAATTTTAAGGAAACCTCAGAACTATTTCTCTTCATGTATGTCAAAAACAATTCCCTTTTTTTCAGAGCAAATACATTAGCTATGCAACCCATTACTTTAGTAATTTGAAAGCAGCTCACAATAGATAAGGAGATGGAAATGGGTGGATAATCTCATCCAGAGAAGAAATTCACAGTGTAACTCTTCTAATTTAACATAATACTTCAAAGAAAAGACAGAACAGAAAAATCATAATCATATCACTACCCCTTTACTTTGTCCTGTACTTTACATAAACCTCAACAAATTGATTTTTCTACTGCCAATCAGGGTCTCAAAAGATAGCTTTATGGTGTGGGTTTCATAAATGTTCATCTTAAAATAAGAATTAAATAGGAACTGGATAAAATTGGGATTATGCACAGCAGTGTTTTTAGGAAATAAATGATGATTTTTATCTTTGTATCTTCATCAACTAAAAAGAAGAAGAAGAAAAAAAAAGGAATCCAGAAGAGGCAGTAAGCTTTTGACTAGAGCAATTATGTTAAAAACTTTTACTTTTAGTACTCTTTTATAGTCTTAACACATTACTGAGTACCCCAAAAGCTTTTATTCAAATGAGTTATGTCCATTAATATCTTTCGTGTTGGAAATTAAAACAAAATTTTAACTATATATTTGTTTAAAATTAATAATGTTGATTATGATAACATAAATACATATTTTAAATAAAATTACTATTTTTTTTTTGAGAAGGAGTCTCCCTCTGTTGCTCAGGCTGTAGTGCAGTGGCACAATCTCGGCTCACTGCAAGCTCTGCCTCCTGGGTTCACGCCATTCTCCTGCCTCAGCCTCCTGAGTAGCTGGGACTACAGGCACCTGCCACCACGCCCGGCTAACTTTTTGTAGTTTTTAGTAGAGACAGGGTTTCACCATGTTAGCCAGGATGGTCTTGATCTCCTGACCTCATGATCCACCCACCTCAGCCTCCAAACTGCTGGGATTACAGGCGTGTACCACCGCGCCTTGCCCAAAATTACTATTTTTGAAGTAAGTGAAACATAATTAGTGAAAAATAATGTTAAGATATTTTTGCAGTCTGGGTGTGGTGGCTCATGCCTATAATCTCAGCGCTTTGAGAGGCTGAGGTAGGTGGATGCTTTGATCCCAGGAGTTCCAAACCAGCTGGATAACATGGTTAAGTCTCATCTCTACAAAAAATACAAAATGTGCTGGGCATGGACATATGTGTCTGTAGTCCAGCTGTTTGGGAAGCTGAGTGGGGAGGATCACTTGAGCCTGGGAGGTCAAGGCTGCAATGAGCAGTGATTGTACCACTGCACTGCAGCCTGGGTGACACAGTAAGACCCTGTCTCCAAAAAAAAAAAAAAAGATATTATCGCAAATCTCTTTCATATCTGGCATAATAGCCTATGGTGCTATGATCTGAATGTTTCTGCTTTCCACAAAATTCATTTATTGAAAACTAATGCCCAATGTAATAGTAGTATGAGAGGGGACATTTGGGAGGGTGATAAAGTCATCACCTAATCACCTTAACCACAGCTGTTATGAAGGAAATTGATGCTTGTATAAAAGAAGCCCTAGATAGATCCCTTGCCCCTTCTGCAACATGAGGGCATAGCTAGAAGGTGCTGTCTATGAGGAACAAGCTTTCAACAGACAACAAATCTGCCAGTGCTTTGATCTTGGACTTCCCAGACTCCAGAACCGTGAAAAATCAATGTTTTTTTTTTTTTGTTTGTTTGTTTATAAGACACTCAGTTTACGGTATTTTATTATAGCAACTCAAATGAACTAATAAGACACATAGCTTTTCTTATTTGTTTTTGGATTCAACCTGCTGTAACGTTATTTTGGTTGAAAAACATGAAGAAAATCTGGCCCTACACAGATATGTATTTGGAAATGGGAAAATTATTTCAATAACCTTTTCAGATATTTTAGAATATTCTTCTTTGATTCTACATCAAAATGCAAAAGTAGTAATTTTTGTGTCAATTACTATATGGAGTATTAAATAATATCAATGTACTTCCTGTACACTGTTACCTGAAAGTCTTCTATTTATTTTTTGTACTCTGATTTTATCATTTACCAGTGCAGTATTTTCTTATATCATGCATTAGTCATTTGGAAAATACTTGTTCACTGAGTAAAGAAAGTTTTACAAATGTTGGTACATTTCATAATATATATCAAATATCAAAATGTCACTTTCGTTATATCACCTCTGATCTCATCAGAATATTTTATATCTATTGAGAAACTGTTAAGCTCACAGTAATAAATACACACTCTCCTAGATTCAATTTTTTGCTTGAAATCATGGCAACTACCCTGTCACTTGACTTCCTTCACATGCCAAGCTCACCCTGTTCATTTCTGAGAAAATGTCTACTAGAAGCTCAAGTCTGAATAACCATAGTTTGTCCATCATTCTATCAAGTAATAACAGTCTTTTATGAAAAAAATTTCTTGCTGTGGCTTAAACAATCACACAAGTACTCAAATTTTTATACAAGATTTCTGTGAGAGACAACCCTTATAGTTTCCTTTATAGCTGTGATGGTTAATACTGAGTGTCAACTTGATTGGATTGAAGGATGCAGTATTGATCCTGGGTATGTCTGTGAGTGTGTTGCCAAAGGAGATTAACATTTGAGTCAGTGGACTGGGGAAGGCAGACCCACCTTTAATCGGGTGGGCACAATCTAATCGGCTGCCAGCAAATATAAAGCAGGCAGAAAAACGTGAAGAGTCAAGACAGGCCTAGCCTGCCAGCCTACATCTTTCTCCCATGCTGGATGCTTCCTGCCCTTGATCATCGGACTCCAAGTTTTTCAGTTTTGGGAAGGCTGGCTTTCCTTGCTCAGACTGGCTTTCTTTGCTCCTCCACTTGCAGACAGCCTTTTGTGGGACCTTGTGATAGTGCAAGATAATACTTTATAAACTATCCTATATATATGTGTGTGTGTGTGTGTGTGTGTGTGTGTGTGTGTGTGTGTATCCTGTTGATATTTTCAATGTCCTGGACTAGATAGAATTGGTTTCTTTGGTGACTAGAGGATAGCAAATCTGAAACACATAACCCTAGTTATTCTCAAAGCCTTCAACATGGATTTTCAGAATTAAAAGATGATTTGAGATGTTGATTTTTTGTTTTCATGCTCTAGTCCACAAATTTTCACTGTGTAGTTTGGGATTCCTAGGGATTCTTTAGCATTTTTTTTTTGGACATAGAAAAAAAAATAAAGATAAAGCTATTTTAATAATAGAACTATTAAGAAAAGATAAAACTACTTTAATAATAATGCTAAGACATCATTTGTTTTTTCAATGTGTTCACAATACATTGAGGATGGAAAAGCACAGGTCGGTAAAACTGCTGGAAACTTAACAAAAATCAAAGCAGTGACTCAAAACTGTGTAAGTAGTCATTGCTTTCTTCAAAATCATGCCCTGGCAATGGAAAAAAAAATGAAAATTTCAACTGAGGATGTCTTTGATGAAGCAGTAAATATATTGATTTTAATAAATCTTAATCCTTGAGTACAAACATTTTGAATTTTCTGTGCAATTAAATGGAAATGTTTTTGCTGTAATTTAAGCATTTTAGCTGTTGTATTAGTCAGGGTTCTTTTAGAAGGACAGAACTAATAATTATATATATATATATCCTATATATCTATATCTATATCATATATATATATTTATATATATGAGAGTTTATTCCAGGAGAGAGAGCGAGCTGTGGGGAAGTGCCACACTTTAAAACCATTAGATCCCATGAGAATTCACTATCATGAGAACATCATGGGGAAAAAGGCCCCCATGATCCAATCACCTCTAACCATGTCCCTCCCCTGATATGGTGAAATAACAATTCAAGATAAGATTTGGGTGGGGACACAGGGCCAAACAATATCATTCTTCCCCAGCTCCTCCCAGATCTCATGTCTTTCTCCCAGTTCAAAATAAACCATGCGTTCCCAACAGTCCCTCAAAGTCTTAACTCATTCCAGTATTAACTCAAAAGTCTAAGTTCAAAGTCTCATCTGAGGCAAGGGAAGTCCTTTCTGCTATGAGCCTGTAAAATCAAAATCAAGTTAGTTACTTCCAAAATACAATGGGGGTACATGAAAATACTCCTATTCCAAATGGGAGAAATTGGCCAAAAGAAAGGGGCCACAAGCCCCATGCAAATCTGAAGTCTGGCAGAACAGTCATCAAATCTTAAAACTCCAAAATAATTTCCTTTGACTCCAGGTCTCACATCCAGGGTTACTGATGCACGGTGTGGGCTCCCAAGGCCTTGCACAGCTCCACCCCTGTGGCTTTTCAGGATACAGTACCTGTAGCTGCTTTCACAGGCTAGCGTTGAGTACCTGTGGCTTTTCCAAATGCACAGTGCAAGCTGTTGGTGGAACTACCACTCTGGGGCCTGGAGGATGGTGGCCCTCTTCTCATGGCTCCACTAGGAATGCCCCAGTGGGGAATCTGGGGCTCCAATCCTACATTTTCCCTTTGCACTACCCTAGTAGACATTTTCACAAGAGCTCTGCCCTTGCAGCAGAGTTCTGCCTGGATATCCAGGCATTTTTATACATCTTCTGAAATCTAGGCAGAATCTCCCAAACCTCAACTCTTGCCTTCTATGCACCTGCAGGCCCAACACCATGTGGAAGTCACCAAGTCTTGATGCTTACACCCTCAGCCATGGCCTGAGTTGTATCTTGGCACCTTTAAGCCACAGCTGGAACTGAAGCGACTGGGATGCAGGGCACCCAGAGGCTGCACAGAGCAGTGGGGACCTGGGTCAGGCCCACAAAACCATTTTTCCCTCCTAGGCCTCTGGGCCTGTGATAGGAGGGGCTGCCATGAAGATCTCTGAAATTCACTGGAGACATTTTTCCCATTGTCTTGGCAATTAACATTCTGCTCCTCACTGCTTATGAAAATTTTTGCCTCCATGATCCAATCACCTCCAACCAGTTCCCTTGCCTGATATGTAGGGATTACAATTTGAGATGAGATTTGGATGGCGATACAGAACCAAACAACCATGTCATGACTCATTTCCTTTTACAGTGTGTTCACATCTTCTATGCTCCCTGCCTGATAGGCACTTAGTACTTCTCTCGCTATCAGATCAACTGTGGCAGTATTAGAGTGCTTATGTTCAAAAACCCATTATTTTATTTAATAATAGCCTCAAAGTGTAACAGTAGTGATGCTGGCATATTTTTATACTTAAACTATTATTAGTTGTTGTTGTTAATCTCTTACTGTGCTTATTATAAATTAAACTTTATCATTGGTATGTAATGTGAACCCAAAAGTATCTGAGACAGATCTCAATCAATGTAGAAAGATTATTTTGCTAAGGTTAAGAATGCACCTATGACATAGTCTCAAGAATTCCTGATGACGTGTGCCCAAGGGGGTCAGGGCACAGCTTGGTTTAATACATTTTAGGGAGACATGAGACGTTAATCAATATGTGTAAGATGTATATTGGTTCAATCTGGAAAGGCAGGACAATTTGAAGCTGGACAGGGGGCTTCCAGGTCATAGGTAAGTAGAGACAAAATGTTGCATTTTTTTCAGTGTCTGATCAGACTTTCACTGAATGCACAATTTACATGTGAGAGGAGGGTAGAGGAATAGTCACTTATGCCTTAGTCTGGCTCAGTGAGACAATAGGGCAGAAGAAGCGATCAGATATGTATTTGTCTCACATGAGCAGAGGGATGACTTTGAGTTCTGTCTATCCTTTGTTCACAAGAAATTTCCTTGTGGGCAAATTGTGAGAGATTTGTAGCTATCTTATTTAGGAATAAAATGGAAGGCAGGTGTGCTGCTGCAGTTCCCAGTTTGACTTCTCTTTGGCATAGTGATTTTGGGGTCCTGAGACTAATTTTCCTTTCACAGTAAATATTAGGAAAAACTGTAGTATCTATAAGATTCAGTACTATCTGTAGTTTCCTGCTTCCACTGGAAGTGTTGGAATGTACCCCCATGGATAAAGGGAGGCATTAAGTAGCTAAATTGAACAATGACCAAAAAACAAAACTTACTTATGTGCTTTAATGTTATTTTACTGAAAGAACAATGATCACATAGCCATTGTTTTCAGGACTTGTGATTTATGCCTGATCCTGGCATAATTAAGAAATCCCCTTCAAGAAATCCTTCAAGAAATCCTTCAAGAAACCCTTTCAAGGAATCCCTTTTCAAGAAATCCCCTTTCAAAATTCCCTTTCTTCAAGGTTTCCCTGAGTGCATGATTGTATATGGTCAACTTACTTATAAGAGATCTGTAAAATTATTTCTCACATGTCCATGGCTTTAGAATCTTGTATTTGGCATCATGTGGGAAGTTAATTTCAATAGAATTTATAAAAATCCAGGCATAATAATATCAAATGAGTTAAGAAGTGTGGTTTCTGAAATAAATGACACAGAAAACAGATACATTTCTTTAATATTGACTAGTTTTCTTAATAAATTAAACCTTACATAAGTTTCAATATTAAAAAATATGCAAAAATAATCAGGGCAATTGCAGGGAAGAGGAAATGATGCAGTGGGCATAGATCTTGAGTCAGCACAGCATGTTGGTCACCTATTGCCATAATAGTGCTATGGAATGAACCATCTCAATATTCAATGGCTTGCAAAAACAAGGACTTATTTCTCTTGCTCAGATTTTTTTGGGTCAGCAGGATTAATTCAGCTCCAATCTATAGATTCACTGGGCTTGTTTACAGGTTGAAGACTGAATGAAGACATATTTCTATTTATTTATTTTTTTTGCCATTGTTACCCAGGACATGCTATCCTCATGGGTTATGGAAGAAGTCCAAGAGCCAAGCCAAATGAAGCAAGTACAGTTTGGTCTAATACTTATAGTGCACCCACTAAACTTAATTGTCCCAAGCAAATCACATGGCCAAACCTTAGCTCATTGGTGCAGAAAAGTATATGTCACCAACAGAGGGATAATACTGCAAAATTACATAGCAAAGGCTGTGGATATGTACTCTTAGTGCATGGAGATAAAGAATCTGTACTTCTCCCTTCTATCCCAAAATAAATAAAGAGAATTGCGGAGTATACTTATTTGGCTGTCTTACGAGAACTGAGGTTTTCAAGGTCCAAAAACAAAACAAAAAAAAAAAAGAAGAAGAAAAAGAAAAAAGAAAAACAAAACGTGGCACCAAGGGCTGAGGAAAACGTTCTTAGCTCCTTGCTATGGGATGAATTGTGCCCCCCAACAAGATGTGTTCAAGTCCTAATCCCAAGTACCTGTGACTATGACTTTATTTAGAAATAGGACATTTGCAGCTGTAATAAGATGGCATCACTAGAGTGGGGTCTAATCCAATATGTCTAGTGTCTCTGTAAGTAATGGAAAATGCCATGTGAGGACAGAGGGAGAGATTAAAATGGAGCAGGGGCAAGCCTAAGAGCCCCAAGGATTATTGAAAACCACCAGATGCTAACAAGAGGCAAGAAAGGATTCTCTCCTCTAGGGAGAGAGAGCCATGGCACTGATAACACTTTGATTTTGGACTTTTAGTTTCCAGAACTATAAGACAATAAATTTCTGCTGTTTTAAGCCACTCAGTTTGTGGTACTTTGTTACAGCCACCCTAGGAAACTAATATACCCTTTAATAACCACTTCCCTTGACATAGCCTGATGAGGAGGTAAATATATTGCATCAGCTTGGCAATAGTATCTCTCTGTTGCTGCTCAGATAATATAAACCAACAATTCTGGACTACAAAGAACTTGGAGTGAGTGCAAGATAGACAGCAATGATGCTGGCTTGGGAAAAGGCTCTTTGAAATTATAAGGATGCCATATATCAAAAGGGTCTTCTTGACCCTGAATGCTGCTGGATATTGGTAACTGAAGTGACTGAAATTCTTGGCAAAGTAGCAAAAGTGATGAATATAGTTGATGTTTGTGATGTAGCCGCTAAATGGGTTTTAGTGACGTTTGATGACAATAATTATTAGAGTGCTACAAGATGCATGGATGAAAACTTTCCAAGCCCTATCTTCCTCTTCCACCTCATAATAGTTAACCAAGTTGCCAAAGGGACTGTGGATAGTTGGCATTTTTTCATGTAGATCATTGGGGTTTTTTTTTTTTGGATAATTTTTATGTTTTCTACACTGTCTTGTTTGAATTTATCCGGATAATGGGTGCCATAAATAACTTTTACATTTATAGTATTCCTACTGATTTTCATGAAGATCTATTAGGAATCTAACCTTTAGTTTTTAGTTCTAGTTTTATTGTAAACATTCATACTATTTTCTGAAGCTAATTTGTAAAGGAAGTTCAATGATAGTACTACTTACTAAATTTCTTCCTCAGATAATATGATTTAGAGGATTATTTTCCAAGTAGGTCTATTTTAGAAATAATATTCTAGAAAAATGGATTCATAAGGATAACATAATGTTATGCTGCCACTTTACTTTCACATTGGAAGGCTCGTTTAGATCTCCAATCAAAAGCCAGTGGTATTTCATAACGTTCATATTTAAATTAATATAATACTGAATGAGAATAACTTAAATTGCATTAATTTTTTTTCATTTCTTGCTATACCTACCCTCAACATAGTCTGTTAGAACTGATAATTGAAGTGTTAAACTTTGAGGGAAAGAAGAGAGTCAAATACATGGTGCTTAGAAATGGCATATATATTTTTTTCTCAAAACCAGTTGTCAGTAAGAAATAACTCAAATAGAGTTTGGTTCTGTAGAGACCTTTTTTCCCTTAAATTCAATGCAAATATCTTCTAAATTTGGGGGAAATGACCTATGAATGACAAAAGATTTCCATTGCACTATTTCATTTTATTTTTATAAACATCTTAAGGAAAGGAAATGGAAAATGATATCATCTCTATTTTTGGAAGATAAACTAAGTTGTGAAAATTCTAGGATACTTTTCCAGGATCACATAGCTAGCTAGGATCATTGCAGGATGAGGATTAGAATTCATGTTTTATTCACTCACTTTTCATTTATTTATTCAATTGAGATATTTAATGCGGAGGACTGCTATTTTCTACTCTCATCGTAATGATATCTACTTTAGATGAAGATGAATATTTTGCTTGGGAGTGTGGGTTTTTATACATGGAACTTTAAAAATAGAAAGATGTTGATTTTCATTTAAAAATATCCAGTAGAAAGCTAGGGAGAGGATAAGAGAGCAATGAAAGGGAGAGAGAGAGAAAGGGAGAATAGAATAGCCCATATCCCAAAGAAAATAGGTGTGATGTTTTCTTAAGTTCTACTCACAAAAACAAAGGCAATTCTAAAGTAAGAATGAATAGTCATTACCACTTCATTACTATGCAATCGAAAAGAATATAAATCATGGGTAATCCTCTTCCGAATGGAACAGATTTGCAGAACTTTTTATCATCTTGAATTCTGTGCAGTGTATCTTTTTTTCAGCTCCTTAGCCTTGGAGCTACTAAAGTAACTAGGCCAAAAATCATACAAAAATATAGTGTCTTGTTCTTTATTTCTCTATCTAATCTCTCTTCCTCTCCCTCTCTCTCTCTCTCTCTCTCTGTGTGTGTGTGTGTGTGTGTGTGTGTGTGTGTGTGTGTGTGTGCATCTCTCTCTCTCTCTCTCTCTCAATTTGTGTCGATGTCTGTTTTGGAAAGAAGAAAAAAACAAATTTGTAAGCCTAGACTCTGTATTTAATTTTTGATGCCTAAGTATTTGAGTTAATAATGAACATTTCATAAGAAATTACTAAGAACCTTAATTAGGGTGCAACTTAGATACAAACAAAATGAATGAAAAATAGAAGAGAAAAAAAGTAAAATGTCACAAAGTTAATAGATTTTGACATAATAAACATCATAAAAATGTTCTTTGTGGTGTATTTTAAATAATTCATAAATTAATATAGAGAACTATAGCCCTGGTGGCTCAGAGGAAAGCATAAAATAAAATAGGGCATCCAATGAGTCTGTTTACTGAATATCTTTGTGCTAAATATGATATGAGTATGAGTTAAACAAAGGAAGGAGGTGGGGGAACTTTTAAATTTTTCAAATTTTAATTTTCAGGTAGAGAACATTGGTGGCATGAGAGGGATATAGGTAAGTATTTGTAGTTATAGCATAATCCAAATGGGCTTAAACTTCAACCAACCTTCTCTGCTAATAAAATAGTATATGACAGCTACTTAAGAGAGGGTTTCTACTAAGGATATAAAAGCTCACCCTACTCCGGGGATGTCTTAGTTCATTTTGTGCTGCAATAAATGAATACCACAGATGGAGTAACTTATAAAGAAAAAATGTTTATTTGGCTCATGGTTCTGGAGACTTAGAAGTCCAAAGAGCATAGTGCTGGCATCTGGTGAGGGTCATTCCACGGTGGAAGGGTAAAAGTGAGTGCATGAAACAGACAGGAAAAAGGGGTGAAACTCCTGCAAAAACCAACCCACTTGAGTGACAATGGCATTAATCCATTCACGAGAGCAGAGCTGAAGTAATTATAGAGCAGTGAACTAGTAATATTGGAATGATGAGAAACGCTGGGTTTTCCTCTCTGCATTTTATTCTTCTGGATTGTGACCCTGTAATTTTTCACTTCAATTTTAAGCTTCCTAAAACTTTCAGAAACATAGGTTTCCTTTTGTTCATGTTTTTAGTTGTTCTCAGCAGGAGAGTTGTTACAAATTTCCTATCCTGCCTTACTATAGAAAAAGTTTTTCTTAGTGTTTTCAATCTTTCTTTATAAATGATTCATTAAAACCCTATATACAAGGATTTATGAGTGCAACTGATACTAAATAACAGTTTTACAGTGATATTAATATTCTTTTGAAATACCCACTTTTGGAAAATAATACATCGTAGCTTTAGGTTGTAAAAACAATGCAATTTGGTGACAGATTGACTGTAGTTTTAGGGCTTAGGATAGAGATGATGAAAATGCATTCTGCATCAGTGGACAATTTATATTTACTGTTAATTGAGCACATTTTCCCCATTTCAAAAATAACATCCACTGTGGGCGGCAAGCCACCCAGGTGCCGAGACAAGAGACTGAGGACACGAGCTGTTCCAGTATAATAAAATATAAAATAAGAATAGTTATACCAGATATAGATCTTAGATATGATTATATATGAATATAATTAATCGTTAGTTGGTAGCAATTACTCTTTATTTCAATATTATAATAATCTTCGCTCTATAATCATAACCTAGGAAAAACCAGGCCATACAGAGATAGGAGCTGAGGGGACATAGTGAGGAGTGACCAGAGGACAAGAGTGCGAGCCTTCTGTTATGCCCAGATAGGGCCACCAGAGGGCTCCTTGGTCTAGCGGTAACGCCAGCATCTGGGAAGACACCTGTTGCCAGGCGGACCGTGGTCTAGCGGTAGCGTAAGTGTCAAGGGAAAACACCTGCTACTTAGCAGACTGGGAAAGGGCATCTCCCTTTCCCCCGGGGGAGTTTAGAGAAGACTCTGCTCCTCCACCTCTTGTGGAGGGCCTGACATTAGTCAGGCTCGCCCGCAGCTATCTGGAGGCCTAACCGTCTCCCTGTGATGCTGTGCTTCAGTGGTCACGCTCCTAGTCGGCTTTCATGTTCCATCCTGTACACCTGGCTCTGATTCTAGATAGTAGTAGCAAATTAGTGAAAGTACTAAAAGTCTCTAATAAGCAGAAATAATGGTGTAAGTTGTCTCTCTCTCTGTCTCCTCTCTCTCTCTGCCTCCGCTGCCAGGCAGGGAAGGGCCCCCTGTCCAGTGGACACGTGACCCACGTGGCCTTACCTATGATTGGAGGTGGCTCACTCTCCTTGTCCTGCCCCTTTGTCTTGCATCCAATAAATATCAGTGCAGCCTGGCATTTGGGACCACTACCGGTCTCCGCGACTTGGTGGTAGTGGTCCCCCAGGCCCAGCTGTCTTTTCTTTTATCTCTTTGTCTTGTGTCTTTATTTCTACACTCTCTCGTCTCCGCACACGGGGAGAGACGCACCGACCCTGTGGGACTGGACCCTACAATCCACTCTCTGCACCTTGTAAACTTTAAAGTTTTATCACTTAATACTTATGTAAGAGTCCTCAAAATTTATTATATAGGAATAGTCACACATATTTATTCAGTAGCACCTTATTTTTAACTGTCTTTTATTATTAAGCATTTATCTCACTCTATTATAATTAGATAAAAGAGTATTGACTAGAAAATATGTCTTATGTATCTTTATGACCACATCCTTAACAGAGCCCTACTCTAAGTTTATTAAATAAAGGAGTGATGAATGTATTCATACAAAAATAGTGAGATGTTGTGCTAATTTTTCTAATTTCAAAATCAGACTTTTTTTCTTTCCAACTTTTATTTCAGGTTCAGGGAGTACATGTGCAGGTTTGTTACATGGGAAAATTGTGTGTTGCAGGGGTTTGGTGAACAGACTATTTCATCATGCAGATAATAAGCATGGTACCCTACAGGTAGTTTTTCAGTTTTCACCTTCCTCCCACCCTCCACCCTTAAGTACGCCCCAGTCTCTATTGTTTCCTTTTTTGTGTCCATGTGTTCTAAATATTTAGCTCCCACTTATAAATGAGAACATTTTGTATTAGGTTTTTCGTATCCGCATTAATTTGCTAAGGATAATGGCCTCAGTTCCATCCATGTTGCTACAAAGGATATGATCTTCTTAGTTTTTAAGGCTGTGTAATATTGTATGGTATATACATATATACCACATTTTCTTCATCCAATTCCCCACTGATGGGCATTTAGGTTGATTTCATATTATTTTAAAATTTACATATGTAGCCCTTAATATATGTAAAATTTACATATACATCCTTTAAATATAGAGGTCTTAAAGTTATAAATGTATACATATATATAGAGAAAATATATATATAAATACTTATATAGAAAAAATATATAAGTATATATAGAAACAAATATATAATTTGAATGAATGTCAAGTGACAATTTAAAACTACAACATTTCTGTTAATTTATATATTATGCTCATACATACAAAAATATATGTTTGTGTTATGCACATATATGCATATATTCTTGGCGGGTTCTGATCACAAACAATATATAAAGCATTCTTCATGTACATTTTTGCATCTTTTATATAAATAGAAGCAATGGATATGCCTCTATTTTAGCAAATATTAGCGGCAATAAAAGGATTATATATATATGGCATTGGTTTCTCAGAGTTTGCTTCAAAATCTCCTGTCAAGTGTGGGAGATACCAAAATTCTTCCAAAAATTGTGCTCAAGTTTTACAAGATATTTTTTATTGCAACCAAGAACACCTTAACTGATCCAGCTAACGGGTAAGCACCAGTGGCTCAAGGCTGTGTATTTATATGGACTTCAGGTTTAATTCACCATAGGAATTCTAGCACTGTATAGAGGAGTTCCTCAAGGTTTTGGCACTACTGACCTATTAGGAAAATACAGAAACTGTATTGCTTTAAAAAATGGTATGCTTTAAACATTAATTTAATTCAAAATATTTTAGACTTTCATAAATATTCCGAGAATGATATTATACTATTATGACTACTTGTATAACCATTACATAATGTATGCAAATTTGAACTGTTGGGAACCAAACCTCTATGGGTCTCTCAATCTTCTGCACATCTTGTGAGCACAGGCACTGACTGCCTTTGTGCTAGACTATCTTTTAAGTTTATTTTTATATCAAAAATTTCTTGGAAGACAGAGATATTGTCTCTTTCCAAAGCATAAGGCAGCATGCTTACTGCTTCTTACAAAAAGATTCAAGTACCCTCAGCTCAGACACAATATGTTAAGAAAACACCCATAGTCAATGTGGTATTTTTTCACTTGCTTTCATAATAGAGGCTAAGAAAAAAAGTTTATTTTTTCTAGCATTATGGCTAAGCAAGATAATGCAAAATGGCTATAACCAGTAAGATGTGAGAGGAAGTCCATAGGAGCTTCTTCAATATATTTTTTGGATTGGTAATGAGAAGAATAGAAGTTACTGGTGAGTCCTGACTCTGCAGAGCCATCTTTGTGTTATTAGATACCAAACATAAGAACAAAATGCCAATATGCTACATGTGATATAATAGGAAGAGGGGAAAGGACTAGCTCTTGGAGGTACCATTGAACAGTTGAACTAATCTCATTAGTAGCTACCTGATGGACTTCTTACAGTATAAGAAAGAATAAATCTTTCCCCCAGAAGTTATTAATTAAAAAATTTAAATCTATAGCAAAGCTAAAAGTATTATAAATGTAAACATGTATAAATTGAATATATTATAGCTAAAACTGATATGCGTATTTTTTCAATTTTGCAAAATTTGTTTGCTATCTAGCTCATACATGCTTACTCTGAAAATTTGCTTTTGCATGTACACACATACATGCATATAATTGTCCTTATTATAAATTATTTAAAAGTAAACTTCAGGTATCATGACACATTACACCTAGCATGTCAGCATTTACATTTGAAGAATATGGACTTTTTTTTATAAAACCACAACACTGTTGCTATACCCAAGCAATTTATTGATGGTGAGTAGCATTATCTAATACATTGACCATGTTTACATTTCCCTAATTTGTCTCCAAATGTCTTTTTCCTAGTATTTTATCAGAGATCATGTTTCTTTAGTCTCTAAATCTAGAACAGTCCTAATACTTTTAAAAAATATTTTTTATGACATTGATCATTTAGAAGATAGTCAAGTTATCTTTAAAAATGTCACAAAGCTGCATTTATCTCACTACTTATTTTTGTTAGATTCATATTAAATATATTTGGCAAGAATACTATATGAGCTTTTTGTACACTATTTGGATTTCTATTTTGTACACTATTTGTTTACAAATACACTCTTTGTATTTCCCATTGTATTACATCAGAAACAAGTGTTTGCCTCACTGAAAGAAATGCTGTATTTGTTCAATTGGGTAAAATATCAGAAACAATTTTTTACTTTGTAATAAATTATCTGCAATGTTTTATTTTATTACCATGTAGATATCTTCTTTTTTAATAGTTTAAAAATTTATTGAGATATAATTAACATATTATACAATTTATCCTTTAGTGTACAATTAAATGATTTTTAGTATATTCACAGATATGTAGTCAATTAGACAATATCTTCATCACCTCAAAAAGAAATCCCATACCCTTTAGCTATCAACCCCTCTTCCCTTTCCCACTTGAAGCAACCACTAATCTACTGTCCCTAGAGATTTGTCTATTCCGGACATTTCATATGAATGAAATTATATAACCTATGGTCTTTTGTGAATGGCTTCCTTCATTTGCAGGATATTTTCAAGATCCACCTATGTTGCAGCATATTACAGTAATTCATTTATTTTTATTGCTGAACACCATTTCATTATATGGATATGCCACATTTTGTTCATCCACTTGTCAGTTGATGGACACTTGGGTTGTTTCTAACTTTTTATTTTTATGAGTAATGGTGCTATAAACATTGACATACAAGTTTCTGTGGGGACATATGTTTTCATTTCTCTTGGGTATATACATAGGATTAGATTTGCTGGGTCATAAATTAATTCTTTGTTTATCTTTTTTGAGAAACTGCCAGTGTATGTTTTCCATAGCAGCTGCATCTGGACTGTCAATCTTATTCTACTGATTTTTAAATCTGTCCTTATGCCAGTACTATACCATCTTGAACACTGTTGTTTTGTAGTGTTTTCAAATTGGTAAGCCTGAATCCAACTAATTACTTCTTTTTCAAAATGGCTTTGGCTATTCTGGGTTTCTTACAATTCCATATGAATTTAGAGTCAACTTATTAATTTCTACAAATGAGTCATTTGAAATTATTATAGGAATTTTAGATCAATTTTGTGAGTATTGCCATCTTAAGACTATTAAGTCATTTAATTTGTGAATGAGGATGTCATGTTCATTAGGCGTCTTTGGCCTTTCACAATGGTGTTTTGTAATTTTCAGAGCATAAGTTTTGTATTTTAACAAATATTTTTAAGTATTTTATTGGTTTTGATGTTGTTGTAAATGGAATTGTTTTCTTAATTCCACTTTTGGGATATTCCTCGCAACTGTAAAGAAATATAATTGATTCTCATATCCTGTAACCTTGCTTATCTCATTTATTCTAATAATTGTTTTGTGAATTCCTTAGGATATATCTATATACAAGACAGTGCCATCTGCCAATAGAGTTGTATTTTTTTATACCGATCTGGATGCCTTTAAAAATTTTTTCTTGCCTAGTTGCAATCAGCCACTCTTTCACAATTAAGTATGGCCTTAACTGTGGCTTTTTTTTTAATAAATGTACTTTATCAGGTTAAGAAATTTCCTTTCAATTTCTAGTTTGTTGAGTGTTTTTATCACAAAAGAATAATAGATGTATTTCAATTTCTTTTCCACCTCCATTGAGATGAACGTGTAATTTTTGTTTCTGCTCTATTTACATAATGTGTTACAATAATTGATTTTTTTTTTTTTTTTTTTTTGAGATGGAGTCTCGCACTGTCACCCAGGCTGGAGTGCAGTGGCGCGATCTCGGCTCACTGCAAACTCCGCCTTCTGGATTCACGCCATTCTCCTGCCTCAGTCTCCCAAGTAGCTGGGACTACAGTTGCCTGCCACCACGCCTGGCTAATTTATTTATTTATTTATTTATTTATTTATTTATTTATTTATTTTGTATTTTTAGTAGAAACAGGGTTTCACTGTGTTAGCCAGGATGGTCTTGATCTCCTGACCTTGTGATCTGCCTGCCTCGGCCTCCCAAAGTGCTGGGATTACAGGCGTTAAGCCACCGCACCTGGTCACGAATTGATTTTTGAATGTTAAGGTTTTGCAGGTTGTATCCTCATTTTCATTCATCTTCAAAGTGTTTTCTGATTTCCCTTTTGCATTCTTTTTCACCCATTGGTTATTTAGCAGTGTTATTTAATGAAAAACACATTTGTGAGTTTCCCAAATATTTCTTATCTGTTATTGATTTCTAATTTTACTTCAATGTTTTTAAAGACTACACTTCATATTATTTTCATCCTTTTAAATTTAATAAAGTTTGTTTCATAGCCTAGCATGTGGTTGATATGGAAGGATGCTCCATGTGCACTTGAGAAAATATATCTTTTTATATTTTGTAGTGACTGGGTGCAGCATGTTATAGATATCTATTAGGGCTAGTTGGCTTATATTGCTGTTTTAGCCTTCCGTTTTCTTGCTAGTCGTCTTTCTTTTGCCTAGTTGTTGTGTTCATTATCAAATGTGAGGCATTAACCATCATCTTAATACGTATAAGTTTTGCTTCATATATTTTGTTTCTCTCTTACTAGGCATGTATATGATTGTTTTTATCTTCCTGGCTAATGCACCTTTTATCATTATAATATGTCTAACATATACCTCTAATAGAATTTTAAATTTTAAAGTGCATTTGTCTGCTATTAGTATAGGCAATATTTTCTTGTGGCTGCTGTTTGAATGGCATGCCTTTTCCACATCTTTTCAGCTTATTTGGATTTTTGAATTTAAAGTGTGTCTTTTGTAGAAAACGTGGTTAAATTATTTGTTTTAATCCAGTCTGATAATCTCTGCCTTCTGTTTGGATTGTCTAAGCATCTATATTTAATGCTATAATTGATATAGTTCGATTTATGTCTTACATTTTACTTTTGTTTTTGTGTGTTTAATGTCTTTTTTTGTTCTTCTAATTCTCTTTACTGTTTTCTTTTGCATTAAGTGAATCTTTGTTTCTTCAGACAAGGTCTCACTCTGTTGTTCAGGCTGGAGTGCAGTGGTGAAATCATGACTCACTGCAGCCTCAACTGAGAAGTTGAAACAATAATACAAGCAGTCTCATGTATCTTTTTCCTTCACTTTTCAAAATCAAATTTGTTGGATATGAGACTTTCTTTTCCTTCCTTCCTTCCATCCTTCCTTCCTTTCTCTCTCTTTCTTTCCTTCTTTCTTTCTTCCTTCCTTTCTTTGTCTTTTTCTTTTCTTTTCTTTCTTTCTTTCTTTCTTCTTCTCTCTTTTCTCTCTCTCTTTTTTTCTCTCTCTCTTTCTTTTTTTCTTCCCTTTGAATGTGTCACTCCAAGGCTTTCTGGCCTTCATTGTTTCTGTTAAGAAATAAGATGTTGTGGGGAGGGGCCAAGATGGCCGAATAGAAACAGCTCCGGTCTATAGCTCCCAGCGTGAGCGACGCAGAAGACGGGTGATTTCTGCATTTCCATCTGAGGTACCGGTTTCATCTCACTAGGGAGTGCCAGACAGTGGGCGCAGGTCAGTGGGTGCGCGCACCGTGCACGAGCCGAAGCAGGGCGAGGCATTGCCTCACTTGGGAAGCACAAGGGGTCAGGGAGTTCCCTTTCTGAGTCAAAGAAAGGGGTGACGGACGGCACCTGGAAAATCAGGTCACTCCCACCCGAATACTGCGCTTTTCCGACGGGCTTAAAAAACGGCGCACCACGAGATTATATCCCACACCTGGCTCGGAGGGTCCTACGCCCATGGAGTCTTGCTGATTGCTAGCACAGCAGTCTGAGATCAAACTGCAAGGCAGCAGTGAGGCTGGGGGAGGGGCGCCCGCCATTGCCCAGGCTTGATTAGGTAAACAAAGCAGCCTGGAAGCTCGAACTGGGTGGAGCCCACCACAGCTCAAGGAGGCCTGCCTGCCTCTGTAGGCTCCACCTCTGGGGGCAGGGCACAGACAAACAAAAAGACAGCAGTAACCTCTGCAGACTTAAATGTCCCTGTCTGACAGCTTTGAAGAGAGCAGTGGTTCTCCCAGCACCCAGCTAGAGATCTGAGAATGGGCAGACTGCCTCCTCAAGTGGGTCCCTGACCCCTGACCCCCGAGCAGCCTAACTGGGAGGCACCCCCCAGCAGGGGCACACTGACAACTCATACAGCAGGGTACTCCAACAGACCTGCAGCTGAGGGTCCTCTCTGTTAGAAGGAAAACTAGCAAACAGAAAGGACATCCACACCAAAAACCCATCTGTACACCACCATCATCAAAGACCAAAAGTAGATAAAACCACAAAGATGGGGAAAAAACAGAACAGAAAAACTGGAAACTCTAAAAAGCAGAGCGCCTCTCCTCCTCCAAAGGAATGCAGTTCCTCACCAGCAATGGAACAAAGCTGGATGGAGAATGACTTTGAGGAGCTGAGAGAAGAAGGCTTCAGACGATCAAATTACTCTGAGCTATGAGAGGACATTCAAACCAAAGGCAAAGAAGTTGAAAACTTTGAAAAAAATTTAGAAGAATGTATAACTAGAAAAACCAATACAGAGAAGTGCTTAAAGGAGCTGATGGAGCTGAAAACCAAGGCTCGAGAACTACGTGAAGAATGCAGAAGTCTCAGGAGCTGATGCGATCAACTGGAAGAAAGGGTATCAGCAATGGAAGAAGAAATGAATGAAATGAAGCGAGAAGGGAAGTTTAGAGAAAAAAGAATAAAAAGAAATGAGCAAAGCCTCCAAGAAATATGGGACTATGTGAAAAGACCAAATCTACGTCTGATTGGTGTACCTGAAAGTGATGGGGAGAATGGAACCAAGTTGGAAAACACTCTGCAGGATATTATCCAGGAGAACTTCCCCAATCTAGCAAGGCAGGCCAACGTTCAGATTCAGGAAATACAGAGAATGCCACAAAGATACTCCTCGAGACGAGCAACTCCAAGACACATAATTGTCAGATTCACCAAAGTTGAAATGAAGGAAAAAATGTTAAGGGTAGCCAGAGAGAAAGGTCGGGTTACCCTCAAAGGGAAGCCCATCAGACTAACAGCAGATCTCTCAGCAGAAACCCTATAAGCCAGAAGACAGTGGGGGCCAATATTCAACATTCTTAAAGAAAAGAATATTCAACCCAGAATTTCATATCCAGCCAAACTAAGCTTCATAAGTGAAGGAGAAATAAAATACTTTACGGACAAGCAAATGCTGAGAGACTTTGTCACCACCAGGCCTGCCTTACAAGAGCTCCTGAAGGAAGCACTAAACATGGAAAGAAACAACCGGTACCAGCCGCTGCAAAATCATGCCAAAATGTAAAGACCATCGAGACTAGGAAGAAACTGCATCAACTAACGAGCAAAATAACCAGCTAACATCATAATGACAGGATCAAATTCACACATAACAATATTAACTTTAAATGTAAATGGACTAAATGCTCCAATTAAAAGACACAGACTGGCAAATTGGATAAAGAGTCAAGACCCATCAGCGTGCTGTATTCAGGAAACCCATCTCACGTGCAGAGACACACATAGGCTCAAAATAAAAGGATGGAGGAAGATCTACCAAGCCAATGGAAAACAAAAAAAGGCAGGGGTTGCAATCCTAGTCTCTGATAAAACACACTTTAAACCAACAAAGATCAAAAGAGACAAAGAAGGCCATTACATAATGGTAAAGAGATCAATTCAGCAGGAAGAGCTAACTATCCTAAATATATATGCACCCAATACAGGAGCACCCAGATTCATAAAGCAAGTCCTGAGCGACCTACAAAGAGACTTAGACTCCCACACATTAATAATGGGAGACTTTAACACCCCACTGTCAACATTAGACAGATCAACGAGACAGAAAGTCAACAAGGATACCCAGGAATTGAACTCAGCTCTGCACCAAGCGGACCTAATAGACATCTACAGAACTCTCCACCCCAAATCAACAGAATATACATTTTTTTCAGCACCACACCACACCTATTCCAAAATTGACCACATAGTTGGAAGTAAAGCTCTCCTCAGCAAATGTAAAAGAACAGAAATTATAACAAACTATCTCTCAGACCACAGTGCAATCAAACTAGAACTCAGGATTAAGAATCTCACTCAAAACCGCTCAACTACATGGAAACTGAACAACCTGCTCCTGAATGACTACTGGGTACATAATGAAATGAAGCAGAAATAAAGATGTTCTTTGAAACCAACGAGAACAAAGACACAACATACCAGAATCTCTGGGATGCATTGAAAGCAGTGTGTAGAGGGAAATTTATAGCACTAAATGCCCACAAGAGAAAGCAGGAAAGATCCAAAATTGACACCCTAACATCACAATTAAAAGAACTAGAGAAGCAAGAGCAAACACATTCAAAAGCTAGCAGAAGGCAAGAAATAACTAAAATCAGAGCAGAACTGAAGGAAATAGAGACACAAAAAACCCTTCAAAAAATTAATGAATCCAGGAGCTGGTTTTTTGAAAGGATCAACAAAATTGATAGACAGCTAGCAAGACTAATAAAGAAAAAAAGAGAGAAGAATAAAATAGACGCAATAAAAAATGATGAAGGGGATATCACCACCGAACCCACAGAGATACAAACTACCATCAGAGAATACTACAAACACCTCTATGCAAATAAACTAGAAAATCTAGAAGAAATGGATAAATTCCTGGACACATACACTCTCCCAAGACTAAACCAGGAAGAAGTTGAATCTCTGAATAGACCAATAACAGGAGCTGAAATTGTGGCAATAATCAATAGCTTACCAACCAAAAAGAGTCCAGGACCAGATGGATCCACAGCCGAATTCTACCAGAGGTACAAGGAGGAACTGGTACCATTCCTTCTGAAACTATTCCAATCAATAGAAAAAGAGGGAATCCTCCCTAACTCATTTTATGAGGCCAGCATCATTCTGATACCAAAGCTGGGCAGAGACACAACCAAAAAAGAGAATTTTAGACCAATATCCTTGATGAACATTGATGCAAAAATCCTCAATAAAATACTGGCAAACCGAATCCAGCAGCACATCAAAAAGCTTATCCACCATGATCAAGTGGGCTTCGTCCCTGGGATGCAAGGCTGGTTCAATATACGCAAATCAATAAATGTAATCCAGCATATAAACAGAGCCAAAGACAAAAACCACATGATTATCTCAATAGATGCAGAAAAGGCCTTTGACAAAATTCAACAACCCTTCATGCTAAAAACTCTCAATAAATTAGGTATTGATGGGACGTATCTCAAAATACTAAGAGCTATCTATGACAAACCCACAGCCAATATCATACTGAATGGGCAAAAACTGGAAGCATTCCCTTTGAAAACTGGCACAAGACAGGGATGCCCTCTCTCACCGCTCCTATTCAACATAGTGTTGGAAGTTCTGGCCAGGGCAATTAGGCAGGAGAAGGAAATAAAGGGTATTCAATTAGGAAAATAGGAAGTCAAATTGTCCCTGTTTGCAGATGACATGATTGTATATCTAGAAAAGCCCATTGTCTCAGCCCAAAATCTTCTTAAGCTGATAAGCAACTTCAGCAAAGTCTCAGGATTCAAAATCAATGTACAAAAATCACAAGCATTCTTATACACCAACAACAGACAAACAGCCAAATCATGAGTGAACTCCCATTCACAATTGCTTCAAAGAGAATAAAATACCTAGGAATCCAACTTACAAGGGATGTGAAGGACCTCTTCAAGGAGAACTACAAACCACTGCTCAAGGAAATAAAAGAGGATACAAACAAATGGAAGAACATTCCATGCTCATGGGTAGGAAGAATCAATATCGTGAAAATGGCCATACTGCCCAAGGTAATTTACAGATTCAATGCCATCCCCATCAAGCTACCAATGACTTTCTTCACAGAATTGGAAAAAACTAAAGTTCATATGGAACCAAAAAAGAGCCCGCATCTCCAAGTCAATCCTAAGCCAAAAGAACAAAGCTGGAGGCATCACACTACCTGACTTCAAACTATACTACAAGGCTACAGTAACCAAAACAGCATGGTACTGGTACCAAAACAGAGATATAGATCAATGGAACAGAACAGAGCCCTCAGAAATAATGCCGCATATCTACAACTATACAACTATCTGATCTTTGACAAACCTTAGAAAAACAAGCAATGGGGAAAGGATTCCCTATTTAATAAATGGTGCTGGGAAAACTGGCTAGCCATATGTAGAAAGCTGAAACTGGATCCCTTCCTTACACCTTATACAAAAATCAATTCAAGATGGATTAAAGACTTAAACGTTAGACCTAAAACCATAAAAACCCTAGAAGAAAACCTAGGCATTACCATTCAGGACATAGGCATGGGCAAGGAATTCATGTCTAAAACACCAAAAGCAATGGCAACAAAAGCCAAAATTGACAAATGGGATCTAATTAAACTAAAGAGCTTCTGTACAGCAAAAGAAACTACCATCAGAGTGAACAGGCAACCTACAAAATGGGAGAAAATTTTCCCAACCTACTCATCTGACAAAGGGCTAATATCCAGAATCTTCAATGAACTCAAACAAATTTACAAGAAAAAAACAAACAACCCCATCAAAAAGTGGGCAAAGGACATGAACAGACACTTCTCAAAAGAAGACATTTATGCAGCCAAAAAACACATGAAAAAATGCTCATCATCACTGGCCATCAGAGAAATGCAAATCAAAACCACAATGAGATACCATCTCACACCAGTTAGAATGGCAATCATTAAAAAGTCAGGAAACAACAGGTGCTGGAGAGGATGTGGAGAAATAGGAACACTTTTACACTGTTGGTGGGACTGTAAACTAGTTCAACCATTGTGGAAGTCAGTGTGGCGATTCCTCAGGGATCTAGAACTGGAAATACCATTTGACCCAGCCATCCCATTACTGGGTATATACCCAAAGGACTATAAATCATGCTGCTATAAAGGCACATGCACACGTATGTTTATTGTGGCACTATTCACAATAGCAAAGACTTGGAACCAACCCAAATGTCCAACAATGATAGACTGGATTAAGAAAATGTGGCACATATACACCATGGAATACTATGTAGCCATAAAAAATGATGAGTTCATGTCCTTTGTAGGGACATGGATGAAATTGGAAATCATCATTCTCAGTAAACTATCGCAAGAACAAAAAACCAAACACCGCATATTCTCACTCATAGGTGGGAATTGAACAATGAGATCACATGGACACAGAAAAGGGAACATCACACTCTGCGGACTGTTGTGGGGTGGGGGGAGGGGGGAGGGATAGCATTGGGAGATATACCTAATGCTAGATGACGAGTTAGTGGGTGCAGCGCACCAGCATGGCACATGTATACATATGTAACTAACCTGCACAATTTGCACATGTACCCTAAAACTTAAAGTATAATTTAAAAAAATGCACTAAAAAAAAAGAAAAAAAAGAAATAAGATGTTAATCTTACTGAAATTGCATTGCAAATGATGAATTTTTTTTAATAGCTATTTTCGAGATTTTCTCCTTACCTTTGACTTTTAGTATTTTTACTATTATGTTTCTGTTTGTGTTTTCTTTTTATTTATCATACTTGGAATTTGTTGAGATTCCCAGATGTCTAGGTTAGTTTGTTTCAATAAATTTAGCAAATTTTCAGTCACTATTTCTTTAATATATTTTTTGTTACTTTTGCTGTCTCTTTTCCTTCTTGTATTCTATTACATATATATTTTGCACTTAATGATATTTCACATTTCTCTGAGTGAGTCTCTGTTTATTTTTCTTTATTCTTTTTTCTCTTTGTTCTCAGATTGCATAATCTCAATTAATCTATCTTCAACTTGGCCAATTTCTTCTTCTACCAGTTCAAATCTACTGTTGAGCCCCTCAAGTGAAATTTTTATTTCATTTATTATACTTTTCAAGTATAGAATTTTCATTTGATTCTCTTTTTAATTGTTTTCTCTTTATTATCTGTTTGATATGACACTGTCATCATTCTTTTGCCTCTTTATTCATGATTCTCTTTACTTCTTTGAACATATTTATAATGACTAATTGGAAGTTTGTGATAAATCCAATATCTAGTCCCCACTACAGACATTTTTGTTACTTTTTTAAAAAAGAAATTCTAGAGCTTGGGACATTCATTCCTGTGTCTTTACCTTTCACACTTTTTTTTTGTATATTATAGAACTATGAGTATTGCTCTCAATCTCCAGAACCTGTTATTGTTATTTTCATGTTTATTCATTAAATAAAAGTCTATTTATTTTCCCCCCACTCTCTGAAGTGTTAACCCTCTTATGTTACCCCTTAGTCAGGCACATCTTTGAGTATACCCAGTCACCGTGGAATAATAGGGGGTTTTGGCCACGTTCTCTTTATATATTTCCCTGTTAGCCTCTAGTAATTGCTGGATACTTTTCTGCTTTCAGTCATATCCTGGGGCATAAATTGCTTGACACATTTATTTAATCAAATTTAGGCTTCTTGAGAGAATAGTTCCTAAGGTCAAAGTTTATTATTTGTTCTGACCCCAGACGTGCTCCTCCCAGTTGTCTCCTTCCTTGACTCTCCCCAAAATTATTTAGCATACAGTTTATTCTCTATCTTCATAGAATCCATGAATTTCCTTACAATTCCCCACTTTGACAGCCTATAATATTTTTAACAGCACAAAGCTTAAACTTCTGGTGCAAATAATATCAATTCCTTTGGGAAAATATTAGGAGCTACATGTTTTACAGTTCGATTTTTCTTTCAGGCAAAATCTCTGAGCCAGAGCTCTGGACCCGGGGGTGGGGACAATGGTGCATTTCTCTCAGTGGTATTCATGCTTTAGAAGCTGATCGCTCAGTATAGAGTGGGAGATAGTAGTCTGGGGTCTTCTTGATTTATTTCCATTGGGATGGAAACACTGCTTTGTGAGTCTGGGCAAAGAAAATGGGGATTCTCATATTCTCAACAGCTTTGTACCCAAAATAGAGCCCCTAATTTATGAGTGGGGGTTGGGCAGAGAAGGGAATCCTCACCATTCAACTGCATTTGCCGAGAACTTAGCTTCATCAGTAGGTAGTTGGGAGAAGAATGAGAAATGTTGAGGTCATGCTCCTTCTGGGAGATAATCCTCTCACTGGAATCTTGAGGAAGAGGAAACCCTGTGTTCTTGCTTGTACCAGTCTAGAATGGAGTTTCCATGTCAGTGACATGGGATGGGGAAAGAAGGGAACAGTCCTCCTTCAAATACCACACACTCTCACTTTTATTACTACATATTTTTGTGTATTTTCTTGAGTAGATGTTTGTTTGCTGTGTGCCTTTATGACCATTCCCATAGGCTTTAAATCATTGGGTTTTTAAAAATGAATTTCTACTGGTTTTACTGGGGTGTGGCCTGTAGAGCTCTTTGTGCTGTTAATCAAGAAGTTGATTTCCTGCTCAATTATTTTTCACCAAATATTTTTAGCATCCGTTAAGAAGACTAGCCTGTATTATTCTTTTATTCTATTTATGGCTAAAAATAGTCATTTTCTAATGCGATCAATTTTGCTTCATTTACTAATTGACATTCTTTAGTAAAAACAGAACTTTTAACCTCAGTTTTATGTTTGTTTGTGTGTTTGATTATCACTATGGGCTCATAAGCTACTATTTTATTAGTCAATGTATTACAATCTATTATTGCCATTTTTTTTTGTAATCAACTTGTCTCAGATCGTAGATTGGTAAATGAAAGCCTCTCCAAGTTCATAACTCCTTCTTTTTGAAATGTTCTCTTTAGTGTTTGATATATATTCTTGCTTCCTGGCAAGATGCTTCATTTTGTTTTGTATTTTTTTTTTTTTTTTTTTTTTGTATTTTCAATGCTGCTTACCTGAAATCAGCCATTTTTTTTTTTCCATTGAGCTTTTGGTTCTTTTAATGAAATATGGCATTTAGAAACCACAGTCTGGATGCTAGATATGCCTGTTGCCACTGAATGATTATTGCGATAAGGCTGCATTATTGAGTCCAATGAGAAGGATGCCCCAGGGTGGGATTTGCCAAAACATAAAAGATAAATTTTAGAGTAAGCATCTGTGAGGGAAAATGGGGAGAGAGCAGGGAGAGATAGCAGATCGCAATGCAGGTCTAGTATTTTAGGATGGAGAAAAAAAATTAAAAAGTAGGGTGAAAGGGAGTTGTAGAGTCCAATGCAGTTCTAAAAGTGTTTTGTGAAGGGCTGATGTAAAATTTTTGAGCAAATTAATTCATCAGAGGAGTCTCATCTCATATAATCCAGGAATAATCTGTCTTTCATTTATTTTCCTGGGCAGCATATCTATAGAACAAACTTGGCAAATACAGCAGTTGAGGAAATTACGTTCTCTGTAGCTGGAGATCCATGTGACATATTTTACTGTTTACCATATAGGTCTTAAATAAACCCATAAATTATAAATTCCTCTTTAGTAGAATCTTGTTACTTGAAGCCAAATATACTCATAATGGCTATATTACTCTAAAGTGATTAATGTCATTTTAAAGATTCACTTACAACAAATAAGTGTTCTTGTTTTTCCAATCCCTGTCAATTGGGAATGATCAGAATTGTTAAGTCAAGTGAAACTCAGGAGTATATGATTACCCCATTTTTAAGTTTATTTTTTAATTTTTTTTTTCAGAAAAATTTTAGATTTAAAGAAAACTTAAAAGATACTACAGGGAATTCTTGTATACCTTTTACCCAGTATATTCAGCAGGCTTCTGTAGAGGAATAGAAGCAGTAAGGGGTATGTGGGTGTGTGTTTGTGTGTGTGTGTGTGTGTGTATAACGACATATATACATATATCTATGTACATACACACAAAATTCAATATATTTCTTTGTATTTATTTATATAATAAAGTAATTCATGCCCTTTTATTTCTTCAAATCCACCTTATAATTTCTAAATTATTTTGGTACTTCCTTTTTAATAAAAATGCCACAGTGTGATCTGATGTATGAGTGTAGTTTGAAATTATATATTAACTATAGTGATGATTATTATTAGTCATATGACCTCATTATACAGCTGTAGTGCCTAAATATATCTTGTTATAGATGTGTTGTAATGATAATTATACTGTTTTTAATATAGCACTGTAAAAGTCACCTTTATCTTTTTAGCACTGATTGAAAGTTAGGCAGCAGCTTTCAGAGTTAAAAGATCTACTACATTTCTATGAAATTAAGTTTTTACCTTAGGAAAAAAGACATTAAATGTCATCCAAACAGAAGAAGATGGGCTTTTTTGGCATACTTTAAATGTGAAAACATAGTTTATCTAAATCTCATGCATCTGATAAAGATTCTTATCAAAACATTGATAGCTTATTGTATTATTTCTATCAAGTCTTGAAGAAAAAGAGAAAAATAATTGGTAATATTGTAACAATACTTGTTGAGAAATATTTGTCAGCAGCATGGAATATGAACTGAAGTATTACATTGTCTTTTTCCCGGGATTGATACAGTCAGAACCATGATAATGCTGAGAAGCTACTAGGACCAGAGGACACACTTGTATCGAAATTGAAAGCATAGTGGTGTTATTTCCCTCTGAAGGATATAATATATCCTTTGATATACATACACATATACATATACCTCTTTTTCTACCTAGTCTCCACTATGTCTTTAAATTATATATATGTATATGCAATATACATACATATATGTATATGCAATATACATACATATATGTATATGCAATATACATACATATATGTATATGCAATATACATACATATATGTATATGCAATATACATACATATATGTATATGCAATATACATACATATATGTATATGCAATATACATACATATATGTATATGCAATATACATACATATATGTATATGCAACATACATACATATATGTATATGCAACATACATATATGTATGCATTATATACATACATGTATAAATAACATATATGTATATAGCATACATGTATAAATAACATATATGTATATATAACATATGTGTATAAATAACATATGTATATATAACATATATGTATAAATAACATATATGTATATATAACATGTATAAATAACATATGTATATATAACATATATGTATATATTGCATATTATATAGCTATTAATATGTGTATATATCTGTGTTTGTATAGATTATATATTACCTATATAGATATATGTATATGTATACATGTATATACATGTATATATAACTATATATTATATATAAACACATGTATACACATCTATTAACTAGAAATATAACTATGGAATATATAACAATATATTATATGTAAGTATATATTATATGTGACTATGTGTTATATATATCTATATATTATATAACTGTATATATAAGACAATATAGCTGTAAATAATATAATCGATATCTTCTTTCCTTTTTATTGTTGTCTTTCATTCATAAGTGTCTCTCTTTTGTGATTTGTGCACTCTGATTGCAACCTTCTTTTCATACCACATTTGTTATTTACTCTTAAAAAATTTTTTTTATTCATATTCTGTCCTCTGCCACCATTTAATATGTCATCTTTCCACCCCATAATTCTAAGACAATAGTGTTTACTATTAGCAATAGATGTGAAAATTAGAGTAGCTTTATGGGACCCAATGTTTTATTAATAAATTAGAGAATTGAAATGTGTATTATTTCATGTACGATTCCTTTCCTCAAATATAGCAATGGCTTCTTATTTGTGTTATTATCATAGTGACATAGCTATTGAAGATGCTGCTATTATAATGAGAAAGTCTCCTTTTCATTGTCTGACTTTGAAACAGTGAACAATGTCTCCTAGAATGGCACCTTTCAAAACTTTATTGATCAATCTCTACAATATTACCCTGCAATGTAAGGCCTGTTACTTCCGTTTGGGTTAATTTCCTAAGGTTAAATTTGTTAAGAGGCAAAAAAATTTGCCTCTAAGCAACTGTATTAGCTCGTTTTCATGCTGTGGGTAAAGACGTGCCTGAGACTGGGAAGAAAAAGAGGTTTAATTTAGACTTACAGTTCCACGTGGCTGGGGAGGCCTCAGAATCATGGCAGGAGGCAAAAGTGACTTCTTACATCACGGCTGCAAGAGAAAATGAGAAAGAAGCAAGAGCAGAAATCCCTGACGAACCCATCAGATCTCCTGAGACTTACTATCACGAGAATAACATGGGAAAGACCAGCCCCGGTGACTCAATTACCTCCGCCTGGGACCCTCCCAGAACAGGTGGGAATTCTGGGAGATACAGTTCATGTTAAGATTTGAATGGGGACACAGCCAAACCATATCATTCCACCCCGGCCCCTCCAAATCTGTGTCCTCACATTTCAAAACCAATCATGCCTTCCCAACAGTCCCCCAAAGCCTTAACTCATTTCACCATTAACCCAAATGTCTACAGTCCAAAATTTCATCTGAGACAAAGCAAGCCCCTTCCTCCTGGGAGCCTGCAAAATCAAAAGCAAGCTAGTTACTTGGTAGATACAATGGGAGTACAGGTATTGGATAAATAGAGCTGTTCCAAATGGGAGAAGTTGGACAAAACAAAGAGGTTACAGGGCCCATGCAAGTCCGAAATCCAGCTGGGCAGACAAATTTTAAAGCTCCAAAATGATCTCCTTTGACTATGTGTCTCACATCCAGGTCACGCTGATGCCAGAGGTGGGATCCCATGGTTTGAGCGGCTCTGCCCCTGTGGCTTTGGAGGGTACAGCCTCCCTCCTGGGTGCTTTCATGGGCTGGTGTTGAGTGTCTGCTGCTTTTCCAGGTGCATGGTGCAAGCTGTTGGTGGATCTACTATTCTGCGGTCTGGAGGTTGGTGACCCTCTTCTCACAGCTCCACTAGGCAGTGCCCCAGTAGGGACTCTGGGTGGGGGCTGTGACCCCACATTTCCCTTCCTAACTGCCCTAGCAGAGGTTCCCCATGAAGGCCCGGCCCCTAAAGCAAACATTTGCCTGAGCATCCAGGTGTTTCTATACATCTTCTGAAATCTAGATGGAGGTTCCCAAACCTCAATTCTTGACTTCTGTGCACCCACAGGCTCAACACCACGTGGAAGCTGCCAAGGCTTGGGGCTTCCACCCTTGGAAACCATGGCCCGAGCTCTATGTTGGCCCCTTTCAGCCAGAGCTAGAGCGGCTGGGACACAGGGCACCAAGTCCCTAGGCTGCACACAGCATGGAAACCCTGGGCCTTGCCCATGAAACCACTTTTTCCGCTTGGGCCTCCAGGCCTGTGATGGGAGGGGCTAATGTGGAGTTCTCTGCCATGGTCTGGAGACATTTTCCCCATGGTCTTGGGGATTAACATTAGGCTTCTTGCTACTTATGAAAATTTCTGCAGCCAGCTTGAATCTATCCTCAAAAAAATGGGTTTTTCAGTTGGGCGCAGTGGCTCATGCCTGTAATCCCAGCACTTTGGGAGGCGGAGGCAGATAGATCATGAAGTCAAGAGATCGAGACCATCCTGGCCAACATGGTGAAACCCCGTCTCTACTAAAAATACAAAAATTAGCTGGACATGGTGGCGCGCACCTGTATTCCCAGCTACTCGGGAGGCCGAGGCAGAAGAAGCACTTGAACCCAGGAGGTGGAGGTTGCAGTGAGCCGAGATTGCACCACTGCACTCCAGTCTAGGCAACAGAACAAGACTCCATCTGAAAAACCAAAAGAAAAAAACCAACAACAAAAAAAGAGTTTTTCTTTTCTACTGCATCCTCAGGCTGCAAATTTTCAGGACTTTTATGCTCTGTGTCTCTTTTAAAATGGAATGGTTTTAACAGCACCCAAGTCACCTTTTGAATGCCTTGCTACTGAGAATTTTCTTCCACCAGATACCCTAAGTCATATCTCTCAAGTTCAAAGTTTCACAGTTCTGTAGGGCAGGTGCAAAATGTTGCCAGTCTCTTTGCTAAAACATAACGAGAGTCACCCTTGCTCCAGTTCCCAACAAATGCTTCATCTCCATTTAAGACTACCTCAGCTTGGATTTTATTGTCCATATAGCTATTGGCATTTTGGGCAAAGCCATTCAACAAGTCTCTAGGAGGTTCCAAATGTTCCCACATTTTTCTGTCTTCGTCTGACCCCTCCAAACTGTTCCAGTCTCTTCCTGTTACCCAGTTCCAAAGTTGCTTCCATATTTTCGGGTATCTTTTCAGCAATACCCCATTCTATTGGTACCAATTTACTGTATTAGTTTATTTTCATGATACTGATACATAGTGGAGACTGGGTAGAAAAAGAGTTTTAACTTGACTTACAGTTCCACATGGCTGGGGAGGCCTCAGAATCATGGTGGGAGGTGAAAGGCACTCCTTACATCACAGCAACAAGAGAAAATGAGAAGAAACAAAAGCGGAAACCCCTGATAAACCCATCAGATCTTGTGAGACTTATTCACTATCACAAGAATAGCATGGAAAAGACCAGCCCCCATGATTCAATTACCTCCCTCTGGGTCCCTCCCACAACATGTGGGAATTCTGGGAGACACAATTCAAGTTGAGATTTGAATGAGGACACAGTCAGACCATATCAGAATCATATATATATATATCCAGATATATTCTAACTATTGAGGCAGTCAAGAGAAGTCAAGAGAAACTCTACCTTAAAATACGTTTTTATTGATTTCCATTTTTTCAATAAGAGATACACTACACAACATATCACTTTCATTTGAGACATACTCCAGGGATAAAGAGCCCCATACTCTTAACCTTAAGAATGATATGGTTTGGCTGTGTCCCCACTCAAATCTCGACATGGACTGTATCTCCCAGAATTCCCACCTGTTCTGGGAGGGTCCCAGGGGGAGGTAATTGAATCATGGGGGCTGGTCTTTCCCATGTTATTCTCGTGATAGTAAGTCTCAGGAGATCTGATGGGTTCATCAGGACTTTCTGGTCTTGCTTCTTTCTCATTTTCTCTTGCAGCCATGAGGTAAGAAGTGACTTTTGCCTCCCACCATGATTCTGAGGCCTCCCCAGCCACGTGGAACTGTAAGTCTAAATTAAACCTCTTTTTCTTCCCAGTCTCAGGCACATCTTTATCTGCAGCATGAAAATGAGCTAATACAGTTTCTTAGAGGCAAATTTTTTTTGGCTTGATAATGTCCTAACCCATAGTGTAACTTTACTATCAGAATGAGCTGGTTCAAAGCTTTTCAAATTCTTTACACCTAAGACTCCTCTTTAATATCAGAAAGTAACTTTTATGACTTAATATGTAAGAGCAATTGTTCTTTCATATCCATGAAATGAGACATTATAAAATGACAAAATGTTATGGCTATAGAAATACTATATTGCTGGCATATATAGTATTTCTATATGGCCCCCTGTCCTAAGGTGAACAAGTCTAAACCCATCCCCAAAAGTCCAAGGAAGCTGACAGGATGAAGAAAGAGGCTGACAAATCCAGTTTCTTAGAAAGAAACATTTAGTAGAAACTTATAAGGAGAAGCCATGTTTGTGTCTCACACAATGGCAAGAAGAGATGGTGGATCCCTATACCATTACCCCCCAGACCAAGGACTTTTATACCACAGGGAAGTGTGATGCAGAAAGGATATGAAGGACAACAAAAGTAATATAATATCAAGGTCGTTTGATATAAAGGCAGGATTTACCGTAAGTAACTTGCTCTTACATTAGAAACAACAGATAGACTGGAAATCTTAGAGGCCTTTCCAGACTGGTGTTCATCAGAAGTCAACATAGTGTATTAACATCCAAGATTGAGTTGCTTTGGCCTCCACAGCACGTAAACATCGTTTAAAATTATACTTCATATATGTGTAAGAAATACTTCTATTCTACAGGCAATGGTACACTATACTAATCTGTAAAACTCCCTTCAATAATGCCACAACCTTCCAGGAATCTGAAATACAGAGATTGCTGATGGAAAAATGGCTACAGCTAGGAGTTATTATCAAACAATGAATAATTCTGTGCCATGTTTTCCTCCTCTGTACAGTGGAGAAGCTTGGATCTATCCTATGAATTTCACAGACTAATGTAAAGATTACACAAAGTAATACCTATGAAATATCTTAGAAAATGAAAAAGTTCCATGAAAAAGTAAGTGAACTTATTTATATTCTATGAATTCACCTTATAAAAATGTTACACATAGTGTTGTTTGAACTGTTTAACGTTCATGATAAGAAATAAATTGTTCAGTAGCCAATATGTAGGTGCAGGATTGTTCTCTTAGTACTCAGTATCAGTAAAGGCCTACTCAATATCTTGTTTTCTACTATTAAGGCTGAGCCAGATGTAAATATCCTTCCAGAAGTCAATGGGAGTTCTGAATGCAAGCCAGAGGAAGAAAAGAAAAGTGAAACAAAATGAGAAATTGGCTTGAAGTCAGCTGTTTAAAAAATGGAAGTAAAACTCTTACATGTTACACTAATGGTAGATAATTATATATTATACTTTAGATGGTTTTCAAAGTGCTTTATTTATTCATTTCTTACTGTACTTTATAACCTTTGAATGAGATTATCGAAGGACTTATCTTTTGAATTCAACTTACCTTAGTGTGAATGACACAGGTACCACTGAAATAATTAATCTACTGCTTTGTGGAACTTACATGGGAGGGAGAAAGAGTACTAATAAAAGGCATACATGATCTACATTTTGATTTATTAAATTGTTTCAAAATATTTTTTCTGATATATATTAGGGTAAAAATTATCTTTATTACCATCAAAAATTCCCTTTCCCAATTTTTGCTTCTGAATTCTTGAACTCCTCACATAAGGTTAAAAAGAGGAGACCTAAATTATGTAGTATCAAGTTTAATTTCAACAACATATTTAGTGTTTGACATTATAAGGTGGAACTAATATGGGAAGGAAGACTGATTCAATTTTCACCTTACTAGTATCACAGAACTATTTAAAACAACTTCACACTTGTTATGCCTACTTTTCAAGAGGGCCTCATATTCAAAACTGTGTTTTCAATGTATATTTTCCTTTCCAATTTATCATTGTCCATGAGCTGCAAGGAGTAAAACACTGTGAGTCTGTCTGATCTCTGGATTGCAGGAGCATGTAAGACATCACTAGTCTTCCTGGCTAGCACTCAGAAAAAATGGTACAGAAAAAGCTAAAGAAACATGACGCCCTCTGTGAGAAAAATTCAGATCAAGAAAGGCTAATCACATGGAAAATCAAATAGAAGATATAATGGAAATGTTTGTGTATTATAGGAAAGGGAAGGAAAAGAAACAATCTTAAAAGCTATTTTTTAAAAACAATGCAAGATATAAAATATTACCCTCTTCATTTCTTAGTGGATGGAAGATGCAGATAAGATACTTAAAAGAGAGATCCAGGGCAAGAACCGTGAAAGCTTTAGTATGAATGATTCAATCTTGATTTTTCAGTTAGTTACCAGTAATGTAAGATAAAGTTTAAATTCGATATTCACTGTTATTCAAATAAGTGAAATATAACTGAAAAAAGATAATTCTCAGGTTTTACGTTTATATTTCTCTTATAAAGCTAACATATGTTCTAAACTGAAAATTTGAAAAAAATGAATAAAATTTATAAAGAAAATATTTATCCATAGTAACCATACCCAGAGAGAATTATAGTTAACATTTTACTTTTTCCTTCTGTAATTTTTAAGCATATTTTTATACAGTTGAATGTGCACTATATGTATACATTTCTATCCTGTTCCTAGCACTTAATACATTTTTATGGGTTTTAATACAATTGTATAATCTTTGATACATTTTTATTGGTACCAGGTGTCTATAACACAAAAGAACCCATGTTTATGGAATGTTTCTAATTTGTAAAAGTTTATTTAGCCTTTGATTTTATTTTATGTCAACAACTACCCCTTGAAATATATACTTCAGGAATTGTTATTCTCTTTACTTTTCAGAACTGATACCTAGGGAATCTGAATACTGTGATGGTTGGATCGAGGCCTCCTAAATCTTTGCTGCATGTTTTTTTTTTTTTTCAGTATTATTGATGCTTCACTGGTACTTTAATTATTAAAGGTCTCTGAATGGGATTCAGATAGAACATGCCTCATATCAAATGCCAGGGCTCAAATATGGATTCATAGTTTTGAATAGAAACAACACAATGAGAAATGAAACGATTTTGGCTTACCATAGAATTTCCCAAGTCTATGAATTCTGAGTATATTTTGGTCTGTTTTAAAACACCGATCAAATACTAATAAAATGTTTTGAACAACAGCAGCCAAAAAAGTTATTGACAGTTTTCCAGTGTTGACATACTTCCAAGTAATTTACTCTCCTTGGCAGAACATAGAAGGCAGTTCTACTCTTTGGTGTCTAGCTAATGTTTTAAACATACATCTCAACCTTTTTCTTAACCCAAATAAAAATGGAAATAACTGCAATTTTGAAAAAGGGACAAAGTGCGGAACAGCTAATTAAACTTTCGACAGAAAGCTTATAAAACTGTTATTTCAAGGAGAATAAGCAGGTTATCCACATTTAGCACACATTTTTATATCAAAAGAAAACTCCTTAAAGGAAAATACCATCTGTCATGATGCCACAAATGCAGCCAATATGATCTTCAAGAGTTGAAAATAACTAGGTCTTATGCGATACAGTTTTTGTGTTATTTTTAAGTAATTAGTTTAAAAAATAATTGCAATGTGCTAAAATTATCTGTAATCATGACTTAAAAAATAACTTGGTGATTTGATAGCTAAGACAATTAAGAAGTTAAATTTATTGCTACATCGTTCTTCTCTATGATTGTATATCCTGCTTGCACTAGATCATAAAAACATGAGTCTTAGGAAAGACTTGCACTAAAAACTGAGAACGATTGTTGGACAACAAAGGGAGCTAACTAGCTAACAAACTAACAAAGTGGGCTCTGGGGGTGGAAACACACAATTTTCAACATTTTGTAAATTACACAGAATTATATCTTTTTCTGAGAGAAATTTCAGTATCTAATACATGTCTGACATATAGTAGACTCTCAATAAATATTGATTGGTTGAGTGAATGAATGCATGAGTTGATGCATCAATTCTACATTCCAAAAATATCTGGAACTCTGAACTGTTAGTGTTTGCTCCACTTTTTGATATTTGTCAGGCATTTCTTTCGTTTGATATTCAGAGAAGCGGCATTAATATTAGATAATAACCTAAATCAAGAAAATCAATCTAAATAAACCAGGAGAAACTCTTTTGGTAAGGAAACGGAAGTGGTAGTTGGAGTATGGAAGGGGATGAAGTAATAAATATAGTCGCAGTAGGTGAATGATTACTGTGAAAACATGTAGAGACAAATTGCTAACTGACTCTATTGCCAAAGTTTATATTGCTCTATTTTTCAAAGTAGTGTGGTTTACCCAAACTTATCCATTTGCTAAGACTCTAGACAATTTACAGTACATGTTTTCCTTAAAAAGTCTAAAAACTATGCTATCATTTTTATAGTAGGCATCTGTAGGTTCAAACCAAATTTATGAGATATTAAATGCCAGTGATTTCTTTCAAGATTCTGCTAAAAAATATGGATACAGGGAGTAGTGTGTAGAAAAAAAAATATTGCTCATTCCTCACATCCCCATTGATTCTGTGGTTCTTGTTGGTGATGACACCATTACTGTTCCAAAGAAGCAAGAAACAAATACTGGGAATAAAAGTAAGAATTCAACCCTCCTCTCCATAATACACTTTAAAGCAGCATTCTTTGAAGAAAACTTTTATACATAAATGCCAACACCTTTTTTTAAACCCTGCCAAGCTTGCTAGCTTTTCTAGTAATAGATGTTTACAAGAACGGTTATATATTTAGCAGTTTATGGAGTCATAACAAGTCAAGGGAGCTTATCACAATGAGGACTGAAGATAAATGACAATAATGTGGTACTCATTATATTTAGTGAAAGTGTGATCTGCTTTATTGAACTATAGCACCTAGTAGATAGTTCTGTTTCTCTGTCTGATACAGATGTAGATGTCCTTTATATTCTTCAAAGTTTCTGTATTTATTGTGTGCCATGTATCATAATTAGTTTCGTAAAATTTCAGGTAATTCTTAGCTATGATTTTTAGATAATCCATGAGTAACCAATTGCTACAGTTAATGCTGTAAAGAGCTAAAACTTAATTTAATTATCATATATTCAAAATAAAATGAGAGATCTGAGTTTATGGAGATGAGTGGACAGCTGGGTAGAAGAAAATGAAATAATTTTGCTTTAATGATGAAGTCCTGAACTATCCCAAATGCTAAAAGTCACTGCTTTCATTTTCTATTCTGGGCACTTTGCTGTATCCATGACATTGGGAATTAATTCAAGGGAGACATAGGGCTTTCAAGAGAACCACAGAGTGTGTGTTCAAACTCTTGCTCCACCCCACTAACTAATTGTGAAATCTTGGGCAAGTAACTTCTCTAATCTGTGCCCCAGTTGCACATGTATAAAATGAGAGAAATTGTGCTACCTCTTTAAGGTTTTATGAATATTAAATCAGGCAATTTATATAATGGAGTTGATACAATATCTGGTCCAGAGTATAAAATGAATTAATATATAATAATAGCCATTATTGTTGAAAGGGAAGAAAATAACAATTAGAAAATTTTCTGAAGTACATTTCTTAAAGAATATTTGATGCAGAACAACAAGGATGTCCTATATGAATACCAGGGCTCTAATGGTTATATATCTGCAAGCCCAATAATATATAGTGCAAAGTAAAAGCCATAACCAATGTCAAAAAATGAATCATTGATTATTTTATCTTTCTACTCAAGAAACTTGAATCAAAGCCCGCATCTCTGTATTTTATATGAGTATGTCTGGATGCTAGCTCCATTAATGGTTCCAGAGTATTCACAAGTAGCCTAATATGATTCTAAAAGACACATTATTTTGGCTCATAGCAGAATTTGGGAGAGTATTACAGCCAGGGAAATCAATAATATTTTAGCTTTTGCATTATTGTCCTTTGCCTACAAAGAAATTGTTAACTATAATAATCATTATTTCATTGTAATTTTATAGGTAAACAAAAGTTTCCACCCTTTCTAAAGCTCTGGAATTTTTCTAGACATTTGGACAATATCCTTCCTCAAGGAAATTGGAATAAAATGAGGGAATTTGACCGATAAACACATTATTAATAAACATCATGAAATGTGAATTCATCTTATCTTTAGGCAATCTAAGAAGCAGGTTTATTGTAAAACTCTTAGTATTTTATTGAAAAACATGTGGGGTGCCTTGGAGAAAAGGATGTTATTTTCTTTTTCTTTTCTATTCTTTCTTCTTCTTCTTCTTCTTTTTTTTTTTTTTTTTTTTTAGAGGGACTCTTGCTCTGTTGCCCAGG
The DNA here is from genome assembly GCF_000001405.40 of Homo sapiens. Lineage (NCBI taxonomy): Eukaryota > Metazoa > Chordata > Mammalia > Primates > Hominidae > Homo > Homo sapiens. The sequence goes on from NC_000004.12 coordinate 62,623,275, forward strand.
CTGGAGTATAGTGATAAAATCTTGGCTCACTGTAGTCTCTGCCTACTGGGTTCAAGCGATTCTCCTGCCTCAGCCCTCTGAGTAGTTGAGACTACAGGAAGGTGCCACCACACCAGGCTAATCTTTGTATCTACTAATAGTAGAGATGGGGTTTCACCATGTTAGCCGGACTGGTCTCAAACTCCTGACCTCAAGTGATCCACCAGCCTTGGCCTCCCAAAGGGCTAGGATTACAGGCATGGGCCACCATGCGTGGCCGGGTTGTTAGTTTATCTATCAAAATGAATGCCTGGTCAAATGTAAATTTGGCAAAGAGTGAGTATCTTCTATGTTGAAAACACTACGTTATACAATCATCATTTTTATTAAGAATTTCAGAGTCTGTTAAAGAATAGATAAAATACTTGCTTTTGTCATAAAGCACATTTCATGTGCAGTGATAAAAATTAATGTTCTATAGGAGTAGGTAGAAGATGGAGATTTCTTTTCTTAGTGATAGATTGTGTCTTAGAATATTAAAATTATTGGCCGGGCGTGGTGGCTCACGCCTGTAATCCCAGCACTTTGGGAGGCCGAGGCAGGTGGATCACGAGGTCAGGAGATCGAGACCATCCTGGCTAATGTGGTGAAACCCCGTCTCTACTAAAAATACAAAAAAAAAATTAGCCAGGCCTGGTGGTTGGCACCTATTGTCCAGCTACTACGGAGGAAGGAGAATGGCATGAACCCGGGAGGCAGAGCTTGCAGTGAGCCGAGATTGTGCCAATGCACTCCAGCCTGGGCGACAGAGCAAGACTCCGTCTCAAAAAAAAAAAAAAAAAAAAGAATAGTAAAATTATTAACTACAGTAGACCCTTGAACAATGCAGGGATTAGGGGCACCAAACCCCCAACACAGTCAAAAATCTGCATCCAACTCTTGACTCCTTAAAAACTTAACTACTAATAGCTTACTGTTCACGGGAAGGCTTACCTATAACTTCGACTGTCAATTAACACATGTTGTATGTTATATGCATTATATGCTATATATTTACAATACAGTAAGCTAGAGAAAAGAAAATGTTATTCAAAAAACAAAAAGAAGGGAAAATGTATTTGCTATTCATTAAGTGGAAGTGGATTATTATAAAGGTTTTCATCTTTATCTCCATGTCAAGTTGGATGAGGAGGAGATCGAAGAGCAAGGGTTGCTCTTGTCATCTCAGGGGTGGCAGAGGTGGAAGAAAATTCACATAAAATTGGACCAATGTAATTCAAACCCATGTTTTTCAGGGGCCAACTGTAAACCTTCAAGGAAGAATGGGAGTTTTGCCACAAATCAGGTAGGAGAAAGGGGACGGGAACTTTACAACAGAGAAGAGTAGGAGTTAATGGCCAGAGGTTTTACAGTACAGAGTGAGTTAAAAAATATAATAAAATACCACTTTGTACCCACTGGGATGGTTAAAACAAAAAAGACAGATAATAACAAGCGCTGGTGAGGGTGTGGAGGAACTTGAAGCTTCATACCTTGCTAGCAGGATTGTAAAATGATGTAGCTACTTTTGAAAACAGTGGGAATTTTTTCAAAGTCTCAAACATGGAATTACCACATGACCCAGAAATTCTGGTCCTAGGCATATACTCAAAAAAATATGTGCATACAAATACCTATGCAAAAACTCGTGCATGAGAATTTATAGCAATATTATTCATAGTAGTTAAACATGGAAACAATGCAAATGTTCACTAGGTGAATGTATAAAATATTAGTTGACCATAAAAAATCATGTACTACCCAAACATGCTACAACATGAATGAACCTTAAAAACACTATGCCAAGGGAAAGATGTCAGGCAAAGAAGGCAACATCTTACATGATGTCATTTACATGAAATGTCCAGAACAGGCAAATCTGGAAGGTATATTAGTGAGTGCCACGGGCTGTGTATGCATGTGTGTGTGTGTGTGTGTGTGTATGTGTGTGTGGCAGCTGGGGCTGGGGAAGTAGAGAATTTGGAATCGAGTGAGTGCTAACAGATGTGAAGATTCTTTACAGAATGATAAAACATGTTCTAAAAGAACCTTTTTAGATGGTGGTGATTGTTACACAAATTTGTGACTATACTACAAACAGCAAAATTGTGTACTTTAAAAGAATTGATTTTATGTTATTCAAAATATATCTCAATATAGGCATATGGAATTATATCTCAATATACTAAAATATATCTCAATATGGTCTGGTATTGTAGTAGAAAGGGTATAGTCTATACGTTGAGATATATTTTAAAAGTAGGTTAAGGCCAATTTGTGCCACTTCCACCCAGGGATTCCTGATTTACTTCTGTATACAGTGGGAAACAATTGCATATTTTAAAAACAGGGTATTAACACTGATAACTAACATTTTTGGGGGATCCTTAAAAATTGCCAGCCCCTGATATAAGTGTCTTATATGAATTAACTCTTAATCCCCTTAACAGTCCTATGGGGTAGTCTATATTATTATTATTTGCAATTCACAAAGGGGGAAATTTAGTCATAGATGTTTTAAACACTTTGGTAATATGAGGAAACATCAAGGTCTGAACTCCCAATCTTAAAATCTATACTACAATATATTTTAAGATGATCAGAGTTGTATTTTATAAAAAATGCTTCATTTAGAATATTTAGAGTGAATTTAAGGAAGGAGACCCGGTGGGTATTACAATAGTCCAAATGAGAAGATATGGCAATACTAGTAAAAATATTCTACTAGAATAGTTGAATTTGGACCCAATCTTTTAGTAAGGCAAAAACCATTTATTTGAAACAGAAATACTGTTTTAAACCAGATTTTGCTTGAAAAGTAAAAATAAGTACAAATTGACAAAATAGTTAAATTTGCATGCCTCATAAAGTTTTCAGAGTCAAAAATTCTCGGGCATGATGAACTTAGAAAAACTGACAATTAGTGGCTACCTATTAAAGAAAACATATTTTATCGTTAAATATTCATAGGTTAATGATCTTATTTTATAGGCTGAAGCATTAGAATACTCCTAGTAATTACAGATCCACCTATTTTTGTGCTACCCTTTCCTCTGTATGTTCTTTAAAGCTTTTCTTAGTAGGGAAAAATGCTCATAAGCTTTAAGCTGTGGCTTTGTAATGACACAAATTTTTTCTCAGGCTTTAAAATGCTTTGGGGAACTCTTAAAATCGCATCATTGGCTGTGTGAAAAACCAACCCAGTGCTAATTGTTAATGTGCTATTTCACACTGCAGCTTATTATGTTACTGTCCTTAAATAAACACCATCATAGAAAATAACAAATCAACTTGTATTGTGGAGAAGCTGAAACTTCTCTAAAGCATACGATAAAAAATACCAGATGGTTTCCTAATAGTTTAATTATGTATCCCCATTTTCCTGCTGAGAAGATGGTATCTTTACCAAAGAAACTTCCAAGTATGGACTCAGCAGCAACAAATAAAATAACAGCAACAACTATAGAGAAAAACAACAAAACAAAACAAGGAAAACTTGGGTTTTTATTAATGTAAGAAAAATAGGCAGGCTCAGTAAAAAACTAAACAGGTTTGGAAAGTCTTTTTAATAAGGTGAAAAAAATTAAACTAGATATTCAGTCTTAATTGTAATCTTCACTTATGTCCAAAGACCGAGACAGAAATTCATGGAAAATTTTTCTTCTGCATGGCCCTTTAACGTTATCACTACATGCAGGACTTGGAATAAATTGCTTAGTTCTGTTGTCTGTAACACTTAATGTAACTGAATAAGATCAGTCTTACAATATGATTGAGATACTTTTCCTACTATCAAGAGTATTCTGTCAGGTTACGTTGTAACATTTTATCTACTCAGTAGCACTAAGTGGAGATTTTGTCAAAGGCACTGTATTGAGCATTGGTCATACAGAATTAAAATGTGCAGCCTATGTTTTCTTATTGTTCCACACTTAATGGGAGAGATGGGCCAGTAAATATTTTCATCATTGCATAATAACAATGACGAAAGTATGTAATTACTTGAGTGAACACATTGAAAAAGCACTTAATTACGAGAAACGGGGTGAGGCATTGAGCCTTGTGTTCAAAGTCATCCAGTTACTTCATCCAGTTACTTCATAACCTTCACCAACATTATGTGTGAGAGAATAGAATAAGAGGAAGTATCTATTTCTAAGAAACTTGGTTTATTTGTACACAAATAAAAAGAGCAAGGAAGTTTGAGAATTATTGATAATTTCTAAAATACAATGACATAACTTTATAAGTCACTTGTGTGTTGGTTCCAAATAAGATATACACAATATAGAGGTATGTAACATTTTAAAAATAAGGATATTTTTAAATTATTTAATAATTGCCATATTTTTATATTTTCCTGTTTTCAAAATCGATTCTTAGAATCATTACAGTTGAATCTTCATGAAGTTCTTGCCTATTAGTCTGAATTTTAGAAGACAATTATATGAATACTCACATTCAATACGTTAAGTCACTTTTTTTGGAGATAAATATATACATAATTTGGCTTCATTTTTGGTTTTACTTCTCTTTTGACCCTTTGACTCTAAGATGCCTCAGCATGAATATTATGACTTTCTCCTTCTTGCAACTGTTAGTGTCATCTTGCATGACTCAGTCATCTATGCTTCAAAAATGCATAATTCGATTTCAACTTTCACTTCAACCTGAAAATGACTTTTCCTCTAAAAGGGCTTAAGAAACCCTTCCTTCTTCAAAGCCAATAAAAATTGCTAATAAAGCAGACAAAAGATTAAAAAAAAAGAATACCCAAATATATTAATAGAATACTTGGATTAGAAGGAGTGCATATTACCTCCCTATGCAGTCAATTCTGGGATTAACAAAATGAGCAAAGCATGTGAAGACATTGAGATTTATTAATAGGCATTTAAAAACAAAAGGTGGCATCTTACCAGAGTTCAGACTTCTAGCAGAGGATCCAAAGTGAACCCAAGCTATTCTCTTAACCATTATTAGTATCAGTTCATACAAGCATGATATACTAATTATAGTATTAATATTAAATGAAGCTCATTTGTCTCTAAGTGTGCTACTTATGATATTCCTGAATGTATAAACTTACTAAAGTAAACCTTCATTGTCAGTTTTTCTTGACTAAAACAATTTTAAGAATAAATAAAGGGAATAAAAGAAAAGTTATAATAATATTTAAATGTGGAAGAGATGTTTTGTATAAAAATCTCTTTTGTTCCCATTTTACTTTTGACTCTGATAGTATATGTGGCTGTTATGTCAATTTCATTTTGTCAGTGAGGAAATGAAGATAAGAAACTAAGAACCACTTATATAAATTTTATCAAATATTCTGGCTACATAATTACCTACTTAAGATAAACATAATTGTAAACAATATTAATTCCTCCCTAAATTAATAATAAAATATGTTCTTTATAATGAAAAATCTGATTAATAAACATGTGATTTTCTTTAGACATTCAGCTTTCATGGCCAGATGTTTATTACTATTATTTCCCTTTCTTCTCACAATATTCTCCAAGGTGGTCTCTTGTTCTTTTTTCATTACAGTGTTTTTAATAATTTTCAGAACTGCAGATAAAATGCTTCTTATTAAGGGGTTAGAATTTTATGTCTAGGATTTTTAGCTAAAAATAAATACAACCTGAGATAGACTTGTGAAGGAAACAGGAAGAAAAATTCTACCCTTTTTACCCTTGGACTTTCTCACTTTTGATTATGGTATATGAGGCTAAGATGGGAGAAACAGTCAAGTCTAGTCATCAAACAAGGAGAAACCTGGAATTTCACAGACTGGAATGAAATCCATATTTTACCAGGTATTTGACTATCATCACCTACCATTCATAACTAAAAAAGCAAGCCTTATAAGTGTTTGTTGAAAAATGGGTGAACATTATTTGTGTAGACTAACCAAGTTTTTTTTTTCCCTTGACATATAGTCTTTACATTGAATGGGTATGATTATTTAGGCCAAGTTCTCTTAAAACTAAAATGAATGACTTATGTTAATTAATTTAAAATCTTTTGGATTTTTAAGGTTTCTTTTATTAAGAGAAAGAAAGTAGTATTAATTCGTAGTTTACATACTACATCCACACACTCTGTGGATGTCAAATATTTCATGTTTTGTTTTATCAAATATCTTAACTGTCATCAAGGAAAAATAACAAAAGTTATTGTAATTTTTTTTTATTTTGAACCTAACTGAATAATTAGATTAATTTCCAGTGTGAGGGAGATTTTCTGAGAGTAAAATAAAAACATCTTTATCTCTCTCAATAGTTTAAGATTCTTGCCTTTTTTTCTTGGTTTGTTGTCCTCTGTTTCTAATATACAAGTTCAAAATACCTGCTTAATGTGATAAATGAAACATGACATTGTTCTGAAAAACAAAATAACTTTTACTGAGATGAGGGAATAAAATGTAGAAATTAGAAAGTAAAATAAAACAGTCATTTAAAATTTTGGGCAGCACGATTACTCACTCCAGCTTGGACATTAACAATCCCCCATCCCTACTCCCATACACACTACGGTGGCTACTTGGTCTAGGGTATGTCTAGATGACTCACCACAAGATAAGCAATCCATTGATCAGGAGGTTAAGACCTAGTGACAATGTCAAGCCAAGCTGTATACAAAGGGTAGAAGAAACAGGCATATATTAAAGAGAGGATGAATAATAGAAATCATAAGATAATCAAAGTATGTTCATCTCCATGTATTTCTTCAGTCTGTCATCAAATATCTTGTTATTATTTGAGTAATTTTGTACTCATATTTAGGAAAAATAAATTGTCTTATATAGAAAAGTAGTAATGACTTATGTTCTAATTCAACAACCATATTTGTTCCTCTCCAGTTAGTATCCACAATGTTCATATGTCCAAGTTACTCTAACTGTGGCTCATAATCAAATTACGTTATAGAAAGTTGAGAATGGTTGGACCTCAAGTCAGAAACAAGTTCACAAAGCACTGCAAAGTTGATTTTTGAAGCATCATGCTGACGTGTTAATTGCATTTGTGAGTTCTCATGTGTAGAATTATTGGTTAATACTTCTAGTTCTTATGTTTACTTGTAGATTTTTAAAAATATCCTTTAATAAGAAAATTATGCATCTACTGGTAATGGCTGTTTGAAATAAAAAGTTGAGGATACAAATCAGGAATAGGAAACTGATTTCAATATAGCACTAAGAAAATTTCTACTTTATATTTAAAATTATAGCTAAAATAATTGAAACAATCTTAAGTCCTTGAAATTATTCTCTTTATTAAATGGGAACTGTAAAAATAAATGTTCATTATTAATTTATTTTGGCATAATTATAGATATTCCTATTTCATAAAACATATTTTAAGAAAATTTAAATTTTAAGAAAATTTTTATGTTCAATTTCTATTTTAGGGGAAATAACTCTTTAACTGTTTTATGTGCTTTTATCACATTGTTCGATGATTAATTACACTAAACCCAAGTGTCTTTAGTGATCTTCCCAAAAGCCATTTTGGGCAATTCATAACCTTCCAGCCAGTCACTCAACCTCTTTTAGCTTAATTTTTTTTTTAATCTGAAGTGGGGGTGAAACCTTACAAGTCTATAGTAAAGATTAGAAATAATGTATCCACAGCACCTAGTTTAGTGCTTGTTATGTACTATTTTGTGCAATAAATATGTATATGAAATACTGTTATAAAATAAATTTACTATTATTAGAGCAAGAGAAAATAAAATAATATATTTATTGAAAAATCTCTTGGAGCTTGAAGATTGCTCCTCAAATCAACGCAGGCAGACAAAAATAAAGGAAAACAAATTTTAAAAAGTGAACAAAACCTCCAAGAAATATGGTATTGTGTAAAGAGACCAAACCTGCACTCATTGGCATTCCTGAAAGAGAAGGAGAGTGAGACAGGAACTTGGAAACATATTTGAAGATATGATCCCTGAAAACTTTCTTAATCTTGCTAGAGAAGTCTATAGGAAAAGTTAATGAAATTCAGAGAACCCCTGTGAGATACTGTACAAGATGACCATCCCCAAGAAATACAGTCATCAGACTCTCAAGATCAATGCAACAGAGAGAAGAGGCAGGTCACTGACAAAGGGAACTCCCTTAGGCAAGAGGAGACCTTTTGGCAGAAACCTTCCCATCAAAAAGGGACTAGGGTCCTATTTTATGTATTCTTAAAAAAAATCCAACAAAGAATATAATATCCTGCCAAAATAAGTTTCATGAGGGAAGAAAAAATAAAATCCTTTTCAGACAGACAAATTCTAAGGGAACTTGTTACTGCTAGACCTGCCTTACAAGCAGTCCCAAGGGAATCCTCACATGGAAAGAACAATACTTGCCACCACAAAAGCATACTTAGGCACATAGCCCACTGACACTATAAAGCAACTACCCAATCAAGCCTACATAAGAAACTGTGGGGGTTCAGTCAGGCTGGTGGAAAAATTTTAGTTATAATAGCCACAAACTCTCTTGGAAGGCCTGGGGGGTTTGCCTAAGCTCCAGTAATAAACTTGGCTGAAGGTGGCCTTGTCCCTTTAGTTAAATAAATTAGAGTAGAAATAAAGGAATGTGGGAAGTTTATCTAACTAGCTTGTTTACTCATGGAGTCCTAAGGCTAACCTTTTATCTACTGTGGGTGTTTAATTGCTTTCTACTCGTGAAGTCCACAATGTCAATTACCCTCTAGTGGTGTTGACTCAAGCCTTTGTCAATTAATCTTTACTAAATAAATGTGAGTCTCACTAGCTGGATGGGCCATGGTCACAACTGTTTACGGCACTCTCCTGGCAGTCTATAAGTGGCCCACATGCTCAGCTGAACTGGCAAAGCAGAATATCTGTGTGTCAGTGAACTTTATTCATCCATCGTTTGGTCAGGGTCTGTGGGACCAACCTGCGCAAGAAACAACTAAAAACATGATGACAGGATCAAATCTTCACATATCAGTATTAGCTTTGAATAATAATGGACCAAACACTCCACTTAAAAGGCATAAAGTGTCATGGTGGATAAAGAAGCAAAACCTAACTGTCCACTGTCATCAAGTGACCCATCTCACATGTAACAACACCCATAGGTTCAAAATAAAGAGATGGAGAAAGATATATTATGCAAACAGAAAGCAAAACAGAACTTCTTTGCTATTCTTACATCAGATAAAACAGACTTAAACCAACAATGATAAAAAAGGACAAAGGCATTTTAAAATGTTAAAGGGTTCAATTCAATGAGAAGATTTAACTATCATAAATATATACAAAGCAAACATTGGAGCACCCAGATTCATAAAACAGATTCTTGGAGACCTCCAAAGAAAATTAGATAACCACAGAAGAGTGGGAGATTACCACACAAGAGTCTCCATAATAGTGGGAGACATCAACACCACACTGCCACTGTTAAACAGATCATTGAGGCAGAAAACTAACAAATATATTCTGGAATTAAACTCCACGCTTGAACAATTGAAGCTAACAGACATCTGTAGAATACATCTCCCAACAACAGCACAATATGCATTCTTCTCATCTGCACACAGCATATGCTCTAATATTAACCACATGCTTAGCCATAAAGCAAGTTCAACAAATTCCAAAAAATCAAAATTATACTAACCACACACATGGACCACAGTGCAATAAAAATATAAATTGATACCAAGATTTCTCAGTTCTACACAATTACATAGAAATTAAACAACCTTCTAAATGACTTCTTGATAAAAAACAAAATTAAAGCAGAAATAAAACAGAAAACACAACAAACCACAATCTTGAGACACAGCTAAAGCAGTGTTAAGTGTAAAGTTTATACTACTAAATGTCTATAGCAAGAAGTTAGAAAAATCTCACATTAACAGCCTAACATCACACCTAGAGGAACTGAAAAAAAGGAGCAAACCAACCCCAAGGCTAGCAGGAGAAAAAATTAACCACATCACAGCAGGAATGAATGAAAGTGAGATGTGAAAATCTATACAAAAGATCAACAAACCCCAAAATTGTTTTATTTGTTTTAATAACAGTATTGAATGAGTTCTTGAATCAGTAATAAAAACCCTACCAACAACACCAACAACAATAGCCCTGGATCCGACAGATTCAGAGCTGAATTCTATTGGACATAGAAAAAAGAGTTAGTACCAATCCTACTAAAATTATTGCCAAAAAAAATGAGAAGGAAGACTTTCTCCCTAACTCACTCTACAAAGCCAGCATCATTTGGACACCAAAACCTGGCAGAGATGCAATGGATTAAAAAAAGAAAAAAAAAATCTTCAGAGCAATGTCCCTGATGAAATAGATGCCTACATCCTTAATAAAAATCTAGCAAACCAAATCCAGAAGCACATCAAAATTTAATTCACCATAATCAAAAAGGCTTTTCTTCCTGGGATGCAAGGTTGATTCATCCTATGCAAATCAATAAATGTGATTTACCACATAAATATAATTTAAAACAAAACCAATATGTTCATCTCAATAGGCCCAGAAAAGCCTTTCAATATAATTCAACATCCCTTCATGTTAAAAACCCTCAACAAATTGGGCATCAAAGCATCATGTCTCAAAATAATAAGAGTCATTTATGACAAACCCACAGCCAACATCATACGAACAAGCAAAAACTGGAAGCATTCCCCTTGAGAACTAGAACAAGAGAAGGATGCCTAATCCCAGCATTCCTTTTAAACATAGTAATGGAAGTCCTAGCCAGAGCAATCAGGCAGGAGAGAGAAATAAAATGCATTCATACAGGAAAAGAGGAAATTAAATTATCTTTCCTTGCATATACTACAATTCTATACCTACAAAACCCTAAAGACTCTGCCAAAAGCCTCCATGAACTGATAAACAATTGCAGTAAAGTTTCAGGATACAAGGTCAATGTAGAAAAATTAGTACCATTTCTACACACCAGTATTGTCCAAACTGAAAGCCAAATCAAAAATGTAATCCCATTTACAAAAGCCATAAAGGAATAAAATATCTAACAATACAGCTAACCAGGGAGAAGAAAGATCTCTACAATGAGAACTACAAATCACTGCTCAAAGAAATCAAAGAAAACACAAACAAATAAAAAATTCATAATTATGGATAGAAAGAATCAATATTGTTAAAACGATCATACTGCCCAAAACAATTTACAGATTCGATGCTATTCCTATAAAACTGCCAATGCCATTTTTCACAGAATTCGAAAAAACTTTTTTAAAATTTGTATGAAAACAAAAACAGTGCTAATAGCCAAAGCAATCCTAAGCAAAAAGAACAAAGAGGCATCACATTACCTGACATTAAACTATACTACATTAAACTAGCTACTGTAACCAAAACAGCATAGCAATGGTACAAAAATAGACATGTAGACCAAACAAACAGGATAGAGAACCCATAAATCAAGGCACGTACCTACAGCCATCTGATCTTTAAAAAAAATGACAATAGGCCGGGCGCAGTGGCTCACACCTGTAATCCCAGCACTTTGGGAGGCCGAGGCGGGTGGATCACGAGGTCAGGAAGCTGAGACCATCCTGGCTAACACGGTGAAACCCCGTCTCTACTAAAAATACAAAAAATTAGCCGGGCGTGGTGGCGGGGACCTGTAACCCCAGCTACTCCGGAGGCTGAGGCGGGAGAATGGCGTGAACCCGGGAGGCGGAGCTTGCAGTGAGCCGAGATCGCGCCACTGCACTCCAGCCTGGGCGATACAGCCAGACTACATCTCAAAAAAAAAAAAAAAAAAGACAATAGTAAGCAATAGGAAAAGGACTCCCTATTCGATAAATGATGCTTGGATAAATAGCCATTTGTGGAAGATTGAAACTGGACCCCTTACTTTTAGCATATCCAAACATTAACTCAAGATAAATTAAAGACTCAAATGTAAGACCAAAATCTATAAAAATCCTAGGAGAAAACCTAAGAACTACCATTCTGGATATGAGCCTTGCAAATAATTTAAGACTAAGTTCTCAAAAGCAATTGAAAGAAAACGAAAAATTGACAAATGGGACATAAACTAAAGAGCTCATGCACAGAAAAAAAAAAAACTATCGAGTAAACAGACACTCCATAGAATGGGAGAAAATATTTGTAAACGGTACATCTGACAACTTCTAATATCCAGAATTTATAAGGAGCTTAAACAAATCAATATGCAAACCCCAAACAACCCCATCAAAAAATGGGCAAAGGACATAACCAGACACTTCTTAAAAGAAGATATACACGCAGCAAAAAAATATGGAAAAGTACCCATAGTCACTTACCATTAGAAAAATGAAAATCAAAACCACAATGAGATAGCATCTCATAGCAATCAGAATAATTATTATTGAAAAGATAAAAAATAACAGATGCTGATGAGGTTGCAGAGAAAAGGGAAAGGGATTGCTTATGCACTACTGGTGGAAATGTAAATTAGTCCAGCCACTGTGGAAAGTAATTTGGAAATTTCTCAAAGGACTTAAAATGGAACTGCCACTTGACCTAGCAATCCCATTACTGGGTATATAACCAATGGAAAATAAATTATTCTACCAAAAAGACACATATACTCTTATGTTTATATTAGCATTATTCACAATAGCAAAGACAGTAACTCAACCTAGATGCTTATCAGTGGTGGACTGGATAAAGGAAATATGCTATACATACACCATGGAATACCAACAGCCACAAGAAAGAACAAAATAGTGTCCTTTGCAAAAACATGGATAGGCCTGGAGGCCATTATCCTAAGCAAATTAATGCAGGAACAGAAAATCAAATGCTGCATGTTCTCACTTATAAGTAGGAGGTAAACATTGAGTACACAGAGATATAAAGGTGGGAACAATAGACACTGAGGACTATTTGAAGGGGAAGATTGGGAAGGGGGAGAGGAGAGAAAAACTACCTATCATCAGGTAGTATGCTTACTACCTGAATGACAAGATTATTAATACACTCAAACCTTAGCTACATGCAATTTACCTGTGCAACAAACTTGCACATGTACCCCTTGAACCTAAAATAAAATTAGAAAAGAAAAAAAATCCAGAGATTTTGCAAAACGAGATATTTTGTTAGCTGTCACATCAAATTTTGTTTTTCTAGCAAAAAATACTAAATACAAATTGATACTAAATACAATAAGGAAAAATTACTTATTTGCTTACAATGATGAATCTATTCACTTTGGGTTTAGTTTAGCATACATTTTATTATTTTTTTTTCATGTTTTTTTTTTCCTGAGCAAGAGAAAAGACCTCTCTCTCTACTCTCACTCAATCGGTGATTCCAGTGATCTGTAATACAACAGACCAAAGTGAGATCTACGAATGCTAACCATTGTAAAGCAGCAGAGCTAAGATACATAAAGAAAGTTATGAGATGGGCCTTTCATCAGTACATTGTTGTTAAGCAGTAGAAGTTCACTAACATGGAATATTACTGAGTTTATTGGTATCCATGTGATTTAAAAAGGTTTTTGTATGAGAAAACATTGTTACCTTTGCTGTGTTTTACAAACTTCTATGAGCATGGCACATTAAAATAAACAAACAAACAAACAAGGACAAAGGTGCTGTAATGCATAGCAATGTGTATTATTTTATTAGGTATGCCACCATGTAGCATAATTATTTATAATACATCTGAGGGATCTGACTAATAAACCTACAATAAATAGTTTCTGAAGAAGAGAAACCTCCAAGAAATGTAACAGAAACTGATAACCATTATTTCACACTTTGCATACACACAACATCTATCACAAAAAAAGAGGGAAACAAACACTGAGACACTTATAATGAACTATCTTAGGAAAAAAAAATTGCTTGTCCATAGTCACATAGAAAAAATTTACAAGAATACATTCTGCTTTTTCTGTGTTAATGACAAAAGATAATGTCACAAGGACATAGCTGAGAGACTTTCAAACTGATCCCTTTGTCTCTTAAAAACAAAAACTGAATTTGGGAACAAAAGCAAATCTAAGCAATGAGATATTTTTACAATCATGTTTTAAAATTATTACATAATAGCTCTGACAGGATGAAATAAAAAACTTTAAAAAAGTGTAATCAAATAAAGAAAAAATGAGAGAATATGACAAAGATTCAAATGTCTATAAAACACAAAAGAAGAAAAATTATATTCTGTAGTTTGATGTATTTGCATGGTTTCCCATATAGTTTGATGTACAATAATATTAACAGATATTGACAGATCAATGATGCATTCAGTAAACTTCTAAAGAGCATCCTTGGAGCTATAAAGATATAGAGCTAATTTCCCTGCATCTGTTTTGTTTCTTTTGAAAATATTCCAAATCACAGGCTTTGTCCTTTGCAAGTATGGTTTCATTAGGTTGGAGAGTGTGTTTTCCTATGGATGGCTAATGATAAATCTACTTACTCTATGGGCTAAAATATTCTTATTCTAGTGTCTACACAGTCTGTTACTTGCTTCAATAAAGAGTAACCTAAGCTTTGCATTTTAATTGTATCTTTTCTTTCATTTTCTTTACCTTAATATCTTTGAAAGGAAATGAAACATTCTTTCCTAAACAATTGGCTCAATCAAGTGTATGTCTACTTCTAATGAGTCCCTGTGTTAATTGTCTCTATACAAAATGTATCTTTAACTTTTTTGTATTTTCAGGAAATTGAATAATTTGAAATATAAAGAAAATAGTTGATTAATTAATAAGAAATTTTAAAAGACATATTATGTTGATGGGAATATGGTGGAATAGAAAGCTCCAGGAAATTTGTTTCCCCATCTAGTCAACAATTGCACTGGAAGAATCTGACTAATATAACTATTTCATAACTCTAGAGACTGTTGAAGACTTGTAACTTCCAGAGAAAGGCTTGTAAGGTAAGTTGCTGTAAATTTTAGTCAATTTCAACTTTTAGCAAAGTAGCTGTTACCCATCCCCCACTCCTCAACAATCCTAGGGGAAGATGCAGGCTCAGAAAAGACCTGGGAAGTCTTTTCTGAAGTTTACATCTCAGGTTCATTCTTGGTACAGACAGTTTATAGCAAAATAAATAAATAAATAAAATAATAATAATAATATAAAAATGACAAAAACCACAGCAAGCTCTAGGAAACAGAGAGAATTTCATTTCCAGAATTATCACATCTTTAAATTCAAATGTCAAATTTCCAATAAAAAGTCATAAGGCATACAAAGAAAAAGGGAAAGTATGACCTATTCAAAGGAAAAAAAATAAAGAGAAACTGTCCCACAAATGGTGTGATTATAGAGATACTAGACAAAGACTTTAAAACAACTGTCCTACAGAAACTCAGATTACAAAAGAAAAATGTGAAAAATAATCAGGACAACATTGTATGAACAAAATGGAAATATCAATATTTCAGGAGAGAGAAAATCTAAAAAGAAACCAGAAAGAAATCCTGGAGATGTAAAGAAAAATAACCGATATAAAAATATACAAGAAGGATTCACAGGCTGATTTGAGCAGACCGAATAAAGGATCGGCAAACTAAAAGATATGACAATGCAAATTATCAAGTCTGAGGAACAGGAAGAAAAATATTGAAGCAAAGTCAGCAGAGCCTAAGAGACCTGTGGGATCCCATCAAGTAGAACAAAATATGCATTGTGGAGTTCCAGAAGGAGAAGAATGAGAAAACGAGCACAGAGCATCTTTGAAGAAATAATGGTAGAAAACTTCCAAAATTTGATGAAAGACATTAATATAAACATCTAAAATCTCAATAAACTGTAGGTAAGATGAATTAACAGAAACCCACACAGAGAAATATTATAACCAAACATTTGTAAGAAAGATACAAAAAAACAGTATCTTCAAAGCAGCAAGAGAGAAGCAACTTGACACAGGGATCTTGAATAACATAATAAGCAGATTTTTTTTTATCAGAAACTTTGAAGAGAGTGGACCAATATATTCAAATGTTAAAACAAACAAACAAACAAAAGGCTGTAAAACAAGATTCTATATCTGGCAAAGTATTCTTCAAAAGTGTGGGAGAAATTAAGACATTTCCAGATAAAAGCCTAGGGAGTCTATTACCACTAGATCTGTGCTGAAAAAAAAATGCTTAAGAAAGTTCAGCAGATTGAAATGAAAGGACACTAGGCAGTAACTTAAAATCATACAAATGAAATAAAGATCTCAATAAATGTAAATACATGGGCAATTATACAATTATAAAAGCTGTTATAAGAACAGATTATAGTTCCAATTTTTTGCTTTCTACATAATTTATGGCACCGATATGTTAGAAAAAATTATTCTAAAAGCTAGTGTTATTGTAACGTTAAGAAACGAATACATTAAAAAGAATTACTGGCTTATATTCTTGGGTGCACAATGCATAAAGATGTCATTAATGATATAAACAACCCAAAGGGATAGGGATGAAGCTGTAATGAGAAGAACTTTTGTATGGTATTGAAATTCAACTGGTATAAATTCAAATTAGGTTGTCGTAATTATAAAATGCTAATTGTAATCTCTGTGGTAACCACAATGAAAATAGCTATAGAATATACAGAAGGAAATTTGAAACGAATTTAAATATTTCTTTACAAAAAAACACACAAAAGAAAGCAATAATACAGAAATGTGACAAACAAGCTATAAGTCATGGAAAACAAATAACAAAAAGACAAAAGTAAATCACTGCTTATCAGTAATTACTTTGAGTGTAAATAAACTCTCTAATCAAAGGAGAGTGGCAGAATAGATACAAAGAAATTATCTAATTATATATTGTTTACACAAGACTCACTTTAGATCCAAATACATAATAATATATAAATACAAATGCATAAGTAGATTAAATCTGAAAGGACTAAAAAATATATTCTACACAATTAGCAGCTGGCACATGGCAGATATTTAATAGAGGATATCTTTAACATTGTTTATCATTCCTAGGCATGACCACTAATTATTGCAGACTTCCAGAAGGTGTGTGGCTTATGCCTACCTTCATTCTAGAGGCATGCACCTGGATGCACCTGAGGGAGGAGTGGGAACAACTCCTGACACTTTTGAATTCCTCCCACCTCCCTGTTGCACCCCCTCTCCCTGAGCCAGATATGATTCACCTCTGCCAAGCCAAGGGGGAGCTAGGGTAGGATCAGTGAATCCCCCTCAAGTTGGCTGCAGTTCTAGGCCTCTGAGTCACCTTCATGTTTAGTTAAATATGAAAAGCATTCTAGCCATTTTAATTACTGGGCGTTGCATAAACCAGCAACCAGTTCATACAGAGGAACAACAGACAATAAATAATTTTTCAACATGCTTCAGCCTCTCCCTTTTTTTCCCCCTGAAATCGTTCCCCAATCACTGACTCCCAGGTACTCCAGCTGAAAACAAGATCTTGAAGCAGTATTTGTGTACCCATGCTCATAGCAGCATTATTCACAATAGCTAAAATGTGGATCCAACCCAAATGTTCACTAACAGTATATACAAACTGTGGTATATACTTACAATGGAATGTTATTCAGCCTTATAAAGAAAGTTCTGCTAGATGTCACAATACTGATGAATCTTGAAGACATTATACTAAGTGAAATAAGCCAGTCACAGAAAGAAAAATATTATTTTATTCCACTTATATGATACATGTAGAGTAATCAAAATCCTGGAGACAGAAAGTAGAGTGATGGTTACAAGGGGCTGGGAGCAGGTGAAAACGGGGAGGTATTGTTTAAAATGCAAGAGATTTATTTTCACAACATAAAAAGAGTTATGGAGATGGATGGTGGTGATGGCTGCACAATATTGTAAATGCGTTTAATACCACTGAACTGGACACTTAAAAATGGTTAAGATGGTAAATTTTATGTTATGTATATTTTACAACAATGAAAAAGGGAAAAGAGATTTACTGTTTGATAGGTCTTAAACTGCATATTAAAAATTTAAACATTTGACTTCTGTTGGTTTTATTAGAAATAAAATATTTTTCTTTAAAAATTTGCTATCTTGATATCCAGTGCATAGGACATCATGAGAGATTCATGAGACATTTCAATGTTCAATTAAAATATATCTAAGCTAATTAGTCTCTTTATGATATTAACACAATATTATTGCATTACAATTGTTACAATGTTAACTAAGTATTAACTATTATAGCAGTAAACTTTCAAGTTAATAAAAATATATTAAAGTTACAACCATATTTCTTTTAATTATCTTCCATTTATTTATGTTGTTTTTGTTAGTTTGGGGATTTGTGCTGAGAAGTTAACAAATTCTTATCTTTTCCCTTTCCCATTTTCCTGGTTCGTGTATCAGAAATTATTTTTTTCTCACAATAGTTCAGATTTATTTCAACCTTCTATCTCATATTATAATATCTTAATATCTTGTTCAACTAAGCTCCCTTCCTTCTTGATACTGTATCAGACATATTCCTCAAGATGCACCTTTGCTTTTGATCCTCCTGATATCTTCCTCCAGATTCACAGCTTTTATCACACTGAGATTCAGAATATGTTTCCAGTTTACTTCTATTGTTGTTAGATTTCATTTGCTGATGCTAAGCAACACTATTTCTGCAAATATTTCACCTTCAGACTTAGAAATGGTTTCTCAGGCCTAAAAAAATAACTCATGCACCTCAACCACATTTTAAACAAGAGATGCGTTAGTATCAAACTACGAAGTAGATTTGAGAAATAACACAAATTCTGCCTTAAGTTCGGTAGCCTCTAGCTCCACATTGCCTAGTAGGGTAACCAATAACAAGAAGGTATATAGAAAGGTTAAACTGAAAAAAACAAAATGAAATGAAAAAGTAAAATATAAATACAGTTGAAATAATTCCAATACAATTTGTATATGGCCTGAGATGTGTTCAAACTGTAAAATACACACTGGATTTTAAAAACTTAGTGTGAAAAAAGAATGTGAAACATCTCATTAATAACATTCTTATTGAGTATATATTTGAGAATACTTTTGATGCAGTGGATTAAATAACAATCTTATTAAAAGTTTTTACCTTTTTCATTTTGCTTTTTTAAATGTGTCTAGAAAATATAAAGTTAAATATATGGCTCACACTGTATTTCTATCAGACAGTCCTGTCCTGGCTAAATCAGTTCAGTCCTTATTTTTAAATAAAATAATTATAATGATTACTTAACTACTAATATTTTTTATGAAATAAATATTGGAATAATGAAAATAATAATCATAGAATATTTTTAGTATCATAGAATATGTATATTTTATAGTTAAATCTAAATTTTAGAAGCCATGTTGCTAATATGGAATATCTATCCACATAATTTCACTAATTTTTAATTATGAACAATTTTTTTAATGAAAGATATGATTTTTGTTAATAAAGACTTATGTGAAAATGCTACATAAATTTGGAAGAAGAGATCTAGATAGATAAAATCTGTGCAGTATCCTACATAATATTTACAGTGATCCTGAATATGTTAAATATTAGAAAAGAACAAAATGTGTGCTCTGTGTGTGTATACATGTTAAATGTAGGTATACATATATTTAAGTTATATATTAATATACATATAAGTATACTAATATATAATATTATGTAATATACATATTATAGATTTATATATATGAATTGTATATATAAAATTTAAATATGTGTGTATATATATCTATATATGTAATTAGCTCTTAAGAGGCTAAATTGTCTAGCGTCTTGCTCAATTTTCTTTTCTTCTTAACATATCATTTTCGTTTTCTATAGAAAGCATGATCATTAGGACTAAAGAAGTTTTACTCTGGAAAGTTAATTTCTTAGAGTTATTTTGTATGTATCATCACTTGAAATGCTCACAATAGAATATTATGAATGGAAAGAAAATGACTTAGAGAACTGCACCTTAAAAGTAATTTTATGCTGATGATTTTAGTTAAAAGTCACATATATGTGTGTCATATATAATCACATATATAAATACAAACATTTTATTTCATTCTCATATATATGTATAAGTCTGTCCTCTGTAATATCTTTATTGATTAAATGATTCACACAGAAACTTTATGAATTTTACTACATTAGCAAAAATGAAGATCACCAATTTCATAAAAAGAAAAACTAGGGTGACTATAGTTAGCAACAATGTGTTGAATATTTCACAGCAGCTAAAAGAGACGATTTGTAATATTCCCAATACATAAACATGCTAAATGCTCAAGGTGATGGATGTTCCAAATGCTCTGACTTGATCATTATACATTCTGTGAGTGCAATAAATACTCATATGTACCCAATAAATATGTAAAATAATATGTATCAATAAATATAAAATAATTGACATATGAAGTGAGATGATTTGTTGGGTATTAATGCAGACCTAGAACTGGATATATCACATATATTAAAAAATACATGGTTTAGAAAATTGATGATGTGTATTTCGAATACATTCCCACTTTGTATTAAGCCCCTGTATTCATATTATTGATACATACATTTCCCTCAGGCACTTTGCTTGATCAATATTTGGGGTCCTTGAGCAATACCAAATAAAGAACTCTATTTTTATCATTAATAATTTATGTAAGAATAGAAATTATTTTGTATGTTTAAACCATTGCTATTCTTCTAAAATTTATTTTATATATGAAGAATACAAATGAGCATATCATTCTAGACATGAAGAGCTAATATATAAGCCTTATTTTAAGGCAATCAATCTAACTTACCTTTTGGTGATTTAATGTTAGCTTAGTAAGGACAAGAAACTTATACCCAGAGAATAGGAAGAAAACCCATTCAAGGTAACAGAAAACTGAATGTAGCTATGATAATAACTTGTAGCATACTGTGAATTTCAGTTTGAGTTAAAAAATATGATTCTCTTTTCCATAGACTGTTAAGAATTATGATCTTGCTTGATCTTCTAGCGTGAAATTGAGTGAGACATACATGTCTATAAGTCAGCAAATTAAGACTTAGGAAATAAATACTGCCTTAGCCTGCTCAGCTTCCCATAGCAAAATACCATAGGCTGGGTGGCTTAAACAATAGAAATTTATTTTCTCATAGTTCTGGGGACTTGAAGTTCAAGAACAAGGTGCTGGCTGATTTGGTTCCTGGTGAAGGCTCTCGTCTTAGCTTGTAGATGGATGCCTTCTTGCTGTGCTCTCACATGGCCTTTGTATGTACACAGAGAGAGAGAGAGAGAGAGGAAGAGAGAGAGACAGAGGCAGAAAGGGACAGGAGAGACGTATCTCATCTCTTCACTTTCTTAAGAGGTCACTGGTCTTATTGGATTAGGGCCCCACCTTGTGGCTTCTCATTTAACCTTAATTACCTTTTATAGACCCTACTGTTACATGTTATAAATGGGTGATGGATTTTGTCAAATGCTTTTTCTGCATATATATAATTGTGTGATTTTTTTTCTAGCCTGTTCTTATAATAAATTATATTGATTTTTTTGAATGTCGAACCAACCTTGCATATCAGGGATGAATTCCACTTAGTTGCTGTGTATAATTTGTCTTGTATATTGTTGGATTGTATTTGGTAATATTTTATTGAAATTTTTGCATCTATATTCATGATCTAAATTGACCTGCGGTTTATTTAATGCAATTGCCTGTCTTTCATATTAAAGTAATGCTGGCCCTGTAAAATGAGTTAGTAAATGTGCTATCTGTTTGATTTTCTAAAAAAAATTACTAACAATTGATGTAATCTCTTCCTTAATGGTTCGGTAGAATTACAACTGAACCCATTTAAGCCTTGTTGCTCTCTAATTTGGAAATATATTAATTATTCGTTAAATTTTTAATATAATTATGTCTACAAATGTAGTCTATTTCTTCTGGTGTAAGTTTTGACAAATTGTGCCTTAAGCAATTGGTTTATTTCACCTAGGTTGTCAAATTTATTAGAATAGAGTTGTTCATAGTACTCCTTAGTTACCTTTTTAATGGTCATAGAATCTGTAGCAACGTTTCCTTTTTCATTACTGACATTAGTAATTTCTGTCTTCTCTCTTTTGTCTTTAATTAGCCTGACTAGAGGCTTATTGATTTAACTGATAATTTAGAGAAACATATTTTCATTTCATTGATTTTCTCTATTAATTCTCTATTTTTGATTTCATTGATTTCTACTTTCATTCTTAATATTTCTTTTTTCTTCTTGCATTTGATTTAATTTGCTTTTTCTAAATTTCTAAGGTAGTAACTTAGATTGTTGATTTTAGACTTCTCTTCTTAAATTATGGGCATACAATTGATGATTTTTTCAACAAACAAAAATTTTATACATTTTTAATTTACAATGTAATTATTTGATGTATACACATTATCAAATGAGTAAATAAAGCTAATTAATGTATTCATCTCTTCACACATTTATCACTATTTTTGTGGTAAGAACATTTAAGATCTTTCCTCTTAGCAATTTTCAAGTATACATTATCAAATATAATCACCATGCCGCACAGTAGATCTCCAGAATATATTCATCCTGTCTAACTGAAACTTTGTACTCTTTGATCAACATTTCCTCATTTTCCCTTCCCCTCAGGCCCCAGCAGCCACCATTCTACTTTCTACTTCTCTGAGTGACTTTTTTAGATTCCACATATAAAGGAGATCATGAGGCATTTGTCTTTCTGTGTCTGGTTCTTTTAACTTACCATAATGTCCTCCACATTCACCATGTGGCAGGATTTCCTTTTTTTTCAGTTCCCTATTATTTATTTACTTATTTTTTCTTTTTCTTTTTCTCTCTTTTCAGGATTCTCTTTTTATAAGGCTGAATAATATTCTATTGCCTTTGTGTGTCGGGGCGGTGGGTGTGTATGTGTTTGTGTGCATATATATATATATATATATATATATAAAATGCTGCAATAAACGTATCTCCTTGAGGTACTAATTTTATTTCCTTTGTATATATGCATAGCAGTAGGATTGACTGATCATCTGATAGTTCTGTTTTTAATTTTTGGGGAAATCTTCATATTGTTTTCATAGTGGCTATACCAATTTACTTTACATCAGCAGTGCTGCAGCGTTCCCTTTTCTCTACGTCCTTGCCAAAATGTACCTCTTATCTTTTTTGTAATAGCCATTCTTAACAGTGTTAGGTAATATCTCATTCTGCTTTTGACTTGTGTTTATCTAATGATTAATGATGTGAGCATTTTTCATACTCCAGTTGGCCATCTGTATGTCCTCTTTGAAGAAATGTCTATTTAGGTTATTTGCCCATTTTTCAATTGGCTTGTTTTCTTGCTATTGAGTTCCTTCTATATTTAGACATATTTAGACATATTTAGATATATGGCTTGCAAATATTTTCTACAATTTGTAATTTGTCTCTTCGTTCTGTTGATTGTTTTCTTTGCTGTGTAGAAGCTTTTAAGTTTGATGCTGTCTCATTCGTCTATTATTACTGTGGTTGCCTTTGACTGCCCAACTAGTGAACATTGTACCCAATAAGTAATTTGTCAAACTTTACCCCCTCTCACTCTGCCACATTATGGAATGTCCAGTGTCTATTATTTCATTCTGTATGACTATGGGTATGCATTGTTTAGCTCCCATTTATATGTGAAAACAAGCAATATTTGACTCTTTGTTTCTGAGTTTTTTAACTTAGGATAATGGCCTTTAATTCCATCTATGCTGTTGCAAAAGACATGATTTCATTATTTTCTATGGCTGAGTAGTACTCCATGGTATGTGTGTATATATACATATATATATCTCTCACATTTTTTTAATCCAATCATCAGTTGATGGACACTTAGGTTGATTCCATGACTCAGCTATTGTGAATAGTACTACACTAAACATATAAGTACAGGTGTCTTTTGGATATAATTATTTCCTTTTTTTTTTGAGATGGATTGTCACTCTGTCACCCAGGCTGGAGTGCAGTGGTGCAATCTTGGCTCACTGCAGCTTCCTCTGCCTCCTGGGTTCAAGCCATTCTCCTGCCCCAGCCTCCTGAATAGCTGGGATTACAAGCATGCACCACGACACCCAGCTAATTTTTGTATTTTTAACAGAGACGGGGTTTCACCATGTTGGCCAGGCTGGTCTCAAACTCCTGATCTCAGGTGAGGAGTCTGCCTGCCTGCCTGCCTTGGCCTCCCAAAGTGCTGAGATTACAGGTGTCAGCCATCACACTTGGCCAATACAATGATTTATTTTCCTTTAGGTAGATGCCCAGTGGTGGGATTGCTGGGTTGAATGATGATTATATTTTTAGTTATTTGAGAAATTTTCATACTCTTTTCCATGGAGGTTGTACTCATTTACATTCCCACAAACAGTTTATAAGTATTCCCTTTTCTCTACATCCTTGCAAACATCTGTTTTTATTTCTTTGACTTTTTAATAATAACCATTCTGACTGGTGAAAGATAGTATCTCATTGTGGTTTAATTTGCATATCTCTGATGATTAGTGATATTGAGCTTTTTTTCTGTTTTTTGGCTGCCTCTATGTCTTCTTCTGAAAAATGTCTGTTCATGTACTTTGCCTACTTTCTAATAAGGTTATTTGTTCTTTTTTTCTTGTTGAGTCATTTTGAGATCCTCCTAGATTCTGGATGTTAGCTCTTGGTTGAAAGCATAGTTTTCAAATATTTTCTCCAGACTACACATGTAGTCTGTTTACTTTGGTAATTATTTCTTTTGTTGTGAAAAAGCTTTTAGTTTAGTTAGGTCTCATTTGTCTATTTTTTTTTTTGTCGTTGCATTTGCTTTTAAGGATTTAGTAAATTTTTTGCCTAGGCCAATGTCAAGAAGAGTTTTCCCTAGGTTTTCTTCTAGGATTTTTATAGCTACAGGTCTTACATTTAAGTGTTTACTTGATCTTGAATTAATTTTTCTATATGGTAAGAGATATGCATCCAGTTTCATTTTTGTATATGGATATCCAATTTTCCTAGCACAATTTATTGAATAGGGTGTCATTTACCCAGTGTGTATTTTTATCGAATTTGTCAAAATTAGTTGGTTGCAGGCATGTGACTTTCTTTCTGGGTTCTCAATTTTGTTCCATTTATCTATGTGTATATTTTCATACTAGTACCATGCTATTTTGGTTACTATAGCCTGGGAGTATAGTTTGTAGTTGGATAATGTGATGCCTTTGGCTTTGTTATTTTGTTTAGGGTTGTTTTGACTATTCAGGTTCTTTTTTGGGTCCATATAAATTGTAGAATTCTTTTTCTTTTACCAATTCTCAAAAAATGACATTGGTGATTTGATAGAAATAATGTTGAATCTGACTACTTTGAGTAGTATGGCCATTTTAATAATATTGATTCTTCCAAACCATGAGCTTGGGATGTTTTTCTATTTATTTTTGTCATCTATGATTTATCTCAGTGTTTTGTATTTCTCCTTGTAAAAATCTTTGACCTCCTTGTTTAAATGTATTCCCAGATCTTTTTTGTAACTATTATAAGTGTAATTGCCTTCTTGATTTGGTTCTCAGCTTGATTATAATTATTGTATAGAAATGTTATTGATATTGGTACAATGTTTTTGTACCCTGGAACTTTACTAAATTCATGTATCAAATCTGAGAGTCTTTTGGAGAAATCTGTAGGGGTTTTCTAGGTATAAGATTATGTCATCAGTGACCAGAGATAATTTGACTTTGTTTTTTCAAATTTGAATGCCTTTTATTTCTTTCTGTTGTCTAATTGCTCTAACTGGGACTACCAGTACTATGTTGAATTGGAGTGGTAAACATGGGGATCCTTGTCTTTTCCCCGTTCTTAGGAGAATGTTTTCAACTTTTCCCTGTTCAGTATGACATTGGCTGTGGGTTTGTCATACTCGTTACTATATTTTAAGGTATGTTTCTTTGATGTCTAGTTTTTTGAGGGTTTTTATTAAAAAAGAATGCTCAATTGTATTGAATGCTTTTTCTGCATCTATTAAGATAATAACATCTTTTTTGCTTTTACTTCTGTTTATGTGGTGAATCACATTTATTGCTTTGTGCATGTTGAGTCTTCCTTGCTTCTCTGGAGTATAAAACTCATTTGATCCTGTGTTTAGTTTATTTGATGTGCTGTTGGATTTGGTTTGCTAGTATTAGCTGAGGATTTTTGCCTCCATGTTCACGTGATAGCAGTCTATCAATTTTGTTTATCTTTTCAAAGAACTCATTGATTAAAAGAATTTTTTTTTGATTCAGTAACATTTAGTTCTGCTGTAATCTCTGCAATTTCCTCTGCTGAACTTGGGTTTGGTTCATTCTTGCTTTTTTCTAGTTCCCTGAGGTACAACATTAGGTTGTTCATTTAAGATTATTCTTTTTCATGGAGGCATTTAACACTATAAACTTCCCTCTTTGTATTGCTTTTGCCGTGTCCCAGAGAATTTGGTATGCTGTGTCTCTATTTTTGTTCATTTCAAAACATTTTTAATTTATGCCTTAATTTTATCATTGATACAAATATTCAGGAGTAGGTTGTTTAGTTTCCATGTATTTGTATAATTTTGAGAGTTCCTCATGGTATTGGTCCCACTTTTATTTCACTGTTGTCCAAAAATATGCTTCATAAAATTTTGATTTTTTTAAGTTACAGAGACTTGCTTTTTTGCCAAGCATATGGGCAATTTTAGAGAATGTTTCACACATAAATAAGAAGAGTATATGTTCTGTGGCTGTTGGGTAGTATGTTCTATAAGTGTCTGTTAGGTTAATTTGGTCTAAAGTCCAATTTAATTCCAAAATTTCTTTGTTGATTTCCTGCCTGTTAATTTCATCATCTCTGTCACTTCTGGGTGTTTTAATTGACTATTTTTCTTTATCTTCTGACTCTTATTTTTCTGATTCTTTGCCTATATAGTTATTCTTGATTGGGTTCTAATGTGCATAAATTCCACAAATGTTGAATTATTGAATAGTTTATCATTATTCCTGAGTTGCAACTATCCGAGATATCTACTAGAGATTTTTTAGAATTTGACATTGTTATTAGTCCATTTTCATACTGTTATGAAGAAATACATAAGACCGGGTAATTTATAAAGAAAAAGAGGTTTAATGGACTCACAGTTCCACATAGCTGGGGAGGCCTCACAATCATGGCAGAAGGCAAAGGAGGAGCAAAGCCGCATCTCATGTGGTGGCAGGTAAGATAGCATGTGCAGGGGAACTGCCCTTTTACAAAATCAGCAGTTCTACTGAAATTTATTCATCATCATAAGAACAGCATGGGATCCCCCCCAACCCCCGCCATGATTCAATTACCTCCCATTGGGTACCTCCCATGACACGTGGGGATTATGGGAGCTACAATTCAATATGAGATTTGCGTGGGGACACAGTCAGTCCATAGCATTTAACCATTGGCCCCTCGCAAATTGCATGTTCTCACATTTCAAAACCAGTCATGTCTTTCCAACAGTCCCCCAAAGTCCTAACTCATTTCACCATTAATTCAAAAGTCCACAGTCCAAAGTTTCATCTGAGACAAGGCAAGTTCCTTCCTCCTATGAGCCTGCAAAATCAAAAGCAAGTTAGTTACTTCCTAGATACAATGAGGGTATAGGCATTGGGTAAATATACCCTTTCCAAATGGGAGAAAATGGCCTCAACAAAGAGGCTACAGGCTCCATGCAAGTCCGAAATACTGTAGGGCAGTCATTAAACCATAAACCTCCAAAATGATCTCCTTTGACTTTGTATCTCACATCCAGGTTTCACTGATGCAAGATGTTGGCTCCCAGGGCCTTGGGCAGCTTCACCCTGTGGCTTTGGAGGGTATAGCTGCTTTCACAGGGGAAATGGGAGCTACAATTCAAGATGAGATTTGGGTGGGGGCACAGCCAAACCATATCAGGCATCATCTTTCCATTCATGCTTGTCAAAGCTCAAACATATGAAGTAGAGTATGCGCTCAAAGTTTTACATAGGAAATAAATAGTTAAGTATAATTCATTTTATTCTTCCAAAACAGTATTAAGGGTTTAATGTAAGAGGTAGATCTAATCAGTACAAATATTTCAAAGGTATTTTACTGAGAAAATAATACATTAATTTACTTTCTGAAGTTTATGGTAAAGTAAAATAATATACATAGGAAACAAGAAAGAGAAATCAGGAAAACTTAACATAGAAATGTGAAGCATTGCCTCAGCATTAAAGCAAATAGAGTTTAGAAAAACTTTTAAATTTACCTATAATAAAATTTAGTACTTTTGGTTTCTAGTTTTATGGGATTTAACAAACACATGCTAACATATAATTACAAACAAAATCAAGATACAGGACAGTTCCAGTACCCCAAAAGTAACTTGCTTTAACACACATGCATGCACAGATACCTTTTATAGTTTTAGAGAGTCAAAATCCAAAGTAGATCTCACTAGGCTAAAATCAAGATGTTGTCAGGGTAGTTCTTTCTGGATGCCCTAGGGGAGAATCTTCTATCTTTCCTTTTTCAGGTTTTAGAGTTCATCTGCATTTTTGTCACATGGTCTCATTCCACCATTTCCAAGCTAGCAAATTTGGGCTGAGCTCTTTTCATATGACTATCTTCTGGTTGTGAGAGTTCTAACTTCCATCTTTTAAGGAGTCTGTTGATTACATTGGGCGTGCCTGGATAATTCAGAATGTCCTTCTGTTTTAAGATATTCGATTTAATCACACCTGAGAAATTCCTTCTATCATGTTGCATAGTGGTTGCAACATATGTTTGCATATTGTGAACTTGTGAGACTGGAGATTTGGACATGAACTTCCTTGGGGGGTGGGAGGAAGGCATTACTCTGCTTACCACAGCACACTTTACATACTCTGCTTTTCTGGAAATGTAGTACTTTTTTCTTCTTTGATATTTTCGTGGTTTATAATTCTGAAAAATAAAATAATACTGCAATTCTGCTTTTCTGAGGCTATAAATTGAATGTTAACTATGGGCTTATCATCTTATTTATAGGACATTTTTTGCTGGAAGTTGAGTTTTAAGGTGCATGATTTGACCCAACATGTATTTCAGTACATTTAATAATGAACTCTGCTATAATGAAATGCTAATATATTTATGAAATTTGGAACTGTGCTTCAAATCCATTTCAAGGAAGGACAGTCACATGGTAGAAAAAGCCTGGCAGCAGTAATCAAATAAGCTGATTTTTAGTTACTATTATTAATGATGCTAGAATTGCTAATGCTGAACTTCCCCTTAAAATGTCTCAGCCTTATTTAATATCAAGATGCTTTCTTCTCACTTTCATTTTGTTCAATTCTGTGGCAAATCCACAGAGCCAGAGACCTAGCTCATGTTATTTTAAACAATGTCAAGTTCTATTTCCTGCATTGATATCCATAGAGTTCTATTTGTGTTGTAGGATTCAAAAAAGAAAGTATCTGTGATCCCTGAACAATTTGCATCCATATGAGAAAACAGAAACCCCAGAAGCTGTATTCAGGTTACATGACCACTAAGGGAATTATATAATTTTATTCAGATATCTGCCTCTTCAGCTTTATGTCTTTTTTATAAGAATCATATTATTACAGAATAAGAATTGTATTGTATCTATGATTCCTATCCCTTTCAGTGTGATTATTTTAGCTCTTCTCACCTACCGGCAGAATATCTGAAAATATTGTGAGTTGATAAAATCAGGGTCACAACACTATCACAAATTATTCTTTATAGAAAATGGCAATTTATTTTAGGTAAGCATCTAAAAAATAATAGGATACATTTTCACATTGGTACATTTTCTTTTACTTTAAAATGAACATTTATATATACAACATATATTTTAATAAACATTGAAAATTAGTTGTTCGAGAAAGAAGAGAAAGAGGAAGAAAGATTGGGTCAGGTTGGCAGGCCACTCTGAGCACTGAAATTTATTTCTTCTATCAGTTTCTTAGCTATGCACTTGGATTAAAATACATGGTGATGTATATGAACATTAGTTCTGAGCATCTGATTTTGCTTAGCATATTTCTGGTATGTTTGAAGATTATAATTTCAACTGCAGTTTGCATTGCCTGACAGATCTCATTGGGAGCTTTATAAAAGAGCCTCATGCTTAACACAGGAAGACTTTTAAGTTATCATGGCATATTTTTCAGAATTTATTGTTTGAGACCACAATTTTGAGCAATTTATAGCTTAAGTTGAAAATATTCCCTCTGAGGTGTTTGTATCATGGGAGATAAAGGAAGAGTATTGTGTTCAAGTGTATTTCAGATACAAAATGCATATGTATTTAGCTTACGGAAACTGCATAGGATGTATTTTAATATTTAAATTTCAAATAATGGGATTAAAATTTACAATAGGTATATCTATTTATAGAATTACAGTTATTTGTAATCAGTCTAAGCAGAGAGATTATAGGAATTGTCTCTATTTCCACAAAATAAATATGGCAGACTATTGAGGATGTCTTATGTACATTGTAATTTCATTTATGGTTTTGTTTACTTAAGTAATTGGAATGTGACAGACCCTGATAATTTTTGGTTTCACAAATTGGAAAATTAAATTTTCCCAACATGTCATAATTTTAAAAATTTATCCACAGAAGTAACAAATGCAGTTCTGAATTCCTTTACCATGTCATAGATAGGAAGTCTTTTAATCACTCTATAATAAAAAATAAACTTCTCTGTCTCCTGGGTGGAGCTCATTGTCATCTAACACTAACATTTATGCCTTTTTCTGTTTCAGAATGAAATTAACCAAAATATTTAAGTTATGTTCTGAAGTAGTTTATTATTTTATTGTTGTCTTAATAACACAAAATTTAAGATAAAGTATGGAAAACAAAAATTACAGTCTATTCTATTATTCATGGTAGTTATATTTTGTAAAATCTCCACAAACACTGAGGTAGCAAGTACTAAAGGTGTTGTTCCTAGGAGATATTTTTACGTATCTTTTTATCCATCATCTATCTATCTATATCTATCTATCTATCATCAATCATCTCTCATTTATCATCATTTATCTATCAATAATCTATCTCTCATCTCTATACACATATATCTTCAGAGATTATATTAAAAACACTTCAGCAGGTAGATTACATTTTCTTTATTATATGAAAGAAAAAGCAAAGTTGAGATGTGTTAAGTGACTTGCCTGAGTCTGCTACACTCACAGGTGCCAGAGTTGGGGTTCAAACCCTCTCATCGGCCCCAGATCAGGAGACCCTTGCATTACACTGCCATTTGCAACCCCTGGCTTCTGGTCATCTCTATATGAAAACAAAACAAGAAGGCAAAGGGTCGTCTAATTTGACATCAGACAGGAATGTGCAAGTTGGACAGTTCAATTTTTTTTTCCATTCTACATATGTCAGAGTTTGGGCCTCAGAACATGCTACTGCAAAATATGGCACCTTAGTAATTGAGAATGCTACAGAAGTTAGAAGGTCAATCTGACATTTTCCTGATTTTTTCCTGAAGCACGGTCATGATAGAATTATCTGAATGACCTCACCTGGAAGTAGGTCAGAAGACTCGTACTCAAGAGGGGCCTTGCCCTATACCCAGAGGTCAAGAAGAATTTAAAATAAACAGATCTTGCTAAATTCCCTTACCCTCTTTATTTCCATTAGGTCATACACCATTTTGGTCCAGTCATACTTCTACACGACTGTCCATTCTTTATCATACCTAAGCATACAAATACACAGTTTTCCTTGTCTTTGGATCTGCATTTCCAAAGGCCCTCATGACATGTAAAATTTTAGTTAAATTCATTTGTATGCTTTTATTTTGTAAATTCATCTTTTATTATAGGAGTGTCATCCATGAGCCTTGTAATAAATGAAAAAATTATGCTCTTTTTTCTCCCCTACATGAGCAAATGACCCCAAATGCTGAAAGCATTGCTTTGGGGATTACAAATTTTAACCACTAAGCAAACTGGCAAAACATAGGCTCTCCTAATATTAAAGATCAATTCTGTTTTCTAGTATTCCTTCTTATAAGAGAATAAAGAGAATATAATTAATACCCTTGGAATAACATTACACAGATTCAAAGTATTCACCTTAACTACAGTAATGACTTTGGAATGGCCCACAGAATTTCTCTGAGAATAATTTAGGTAAAATGTCAGGACCTCATTAATTTCTGCTTTTATTATTGAAAATGTAGAACAACAGATATAAAATACCAATTACTCATATTGAGCCAGATATGACGTCTTTATATTCACTGTCTGATTTAAAACTTGAGCTAACACAACAAAGTAGATAGATATAGTTATTGTTCCGTTAGTGAAACAGTTTTTAGGGGTTAAATAACTTTTTAAAGATACCTAAACTAGCATGCGTTTGAATGAGAATCCTAAAAGCAATTATCTGTGACTCCAAAGCTCATGGTCTCTCCAGTACACACACAGCTCCCTAGAGAAAATGGAACACATTTATGGAACACATTATTCTTAATTATTAATAGATTTGTGTGTTTAACTGTATGTTTATTTTGCTTGGATGAAAGTTCTGTGAGACCATAACCAAGATATCTTGCCCAACGTTTTGTTGCTAGTTCCTGGTATAGTGTCTGGCACATCATTAACATGCTGTAAATATTAGTTGATGTTATAAATGAAAATAAATGGATTAATGATATCCTAGTTATAAATATTAGCTTCCAAAAGTTTTAGATACCTAAATTACTCAGCTCTAATTTTTATTTTCAGCTATGCTCACTTTGCCAAAATTGAAAACCTACATTTTGTAATTAATGATTGCTCAAGTTCCTTTTAGGTTTTTAGGATATTTCTGTATGCAACGCAGAGCTCCCTTTGGAACCATTTCCTGCCATTACTATGCTCATTGATGACTCTCTTTATTCTACCTTCTAAGTCTACATTGTCATCAAACCTCAGGGTGAACACTGTGCCCATTCTTAAACAGCCATCTGCATGTGCCCAGGAAAAATAGCAAAGAACAGAAAAAACCCTGTCAAACTCTTATCCTTTGCCAATTTCTTTATTCAACTTTACTGTGTACTATGAGTGCTAATATAAAGTGGGTATTCTAATAGCTTCACTTCTTTTCAATGGTGTGTATTTTAAAGGAGCAGGAAGAACAGAGGCACAGAAAAATGGAAAACAGCTAGAGTTGTCATTATAAAACATTAAATTGATATATATATATATAGTTATATGATGTATGGTAGCAAAGCAATACTTCACAGAACATCTTTTAATACATATATCTACAAACATATAAATATGCATATTGAATCTTAAATTTTGTTGTGAAGACTTGGAAATATGTAGAAATATAACAGAGAAAGACTACAGTGATTCACATTCAGAGAACTTGACAAATGAAAACTCTAAAACAATGAAAATGTGTTAAACAGCTTCTTATAGGAATGTGTTTTAATGAAACATTTTACACTTCAAAATAATAGACATTTAGGTAAAATTTTAGTTTTTTTATATAAAACTCTCGTTATAATAAATAACTTTTAATTGTAGAGTTGTCTCTTGGTATCCCTGGTTCCAGGTACTCCACAGGATACCAAAATTCACAGATGCACAGTCCCTAATATAAAATGGCATAGCATTTGCATATAACCTATACATATCCTCCTGTATAATTTAAATTATTTCTCGATTACTTTATTGAAAATGATATATAAGGCTGGGTGTGGTGGCTCACACCTGTAATCCCAGCACTTTGGGAGTCCGAGGTGGGCAGATCACAAGGTCAGGAAATCGAGACCATCATGGCCAACATGGTGAAACCCAGTCTCTACTAAAAATATAAAAATTAGCTGGGCGTGGTGGCGTGTGCCTGTAATCCCAGCTACTTGGGAGACTGAGGCAGGAGAATCACTTGAACCTGGGAGGCTGAGGTTGCAGTGAGCCGAGATGATGCCACCGCACTCCAGCCTGGGCGACAGAGCTTCGTCTCAAAAAAAAAAAAAAAAGAATATGCCATATCAATAGTTGCTATACTGTATTGTTTAGTGAATAATGACAAGGAAAAAAATCTGCACATGTTCAGTACAAACACAATTTATATATATATACATATTTTTTTGAGACAGAGTCTTGCTCTGTCGCCCAGGCTGGAGTGCAATGGTGCGAGGCTCACTGCAACCTTCGCCCCCAGGGTTTAAGTGATTCTCCTGCCTCAGCCTCCCAAGTTTCTGCTACTACAGGCACATGCCACAACACCTGGCTAATTTTTGTATTTTTAGTAGAGACGGGGTTTCACCATGTTGAGGTTGGTCTTGAACTCCTGACCTCAGGTGATCCACCCTCCTCGGCCTCCCAAAGTGCTGGGATTACAGGCGTGAGCCACCATTTTAATCTGCAGTTTGGCGAATCCATAAATGCAGAACTCACAGGTAGGAAGGGCCAAATGTAATTTATGCAAGCATAGGTTTACTAACACATTTTTAAAAACGTAGTTTTTTTTCTATTTTTGCTACATTTTAAAGAAAAGTATGTTTGAAAGAGGTGATTCTGTTAACCGGGGCTTTTCATGTAAATTTTCTGTGTATTAAAGATGGAACTTAGAATTATACACTTTAAAAACTGAAGGTATCTTTTTTGCTCATGGGTCCAGTGGTCTTCAAATATGGACTAGAATTCTGCTTCTGAAATGGATCTTTTGGAGCCATCGTACTAGAAATATAAACAGATAAATTTCTCTACTTTTAAAAAGAATGTTATAGTTTGTAAGTTTTTTGTTTTTAAGAAAGAGTCTACCTCTGTTGTCCAGGCTGGAATACAGTGGCAGTAATTATAGCTCACTGCAGCCCCAAACTCCTGAGTGCAAGTGACCCTCCCACTTCAGCCTCCCCGCTGAGTAGCTGGAAGTACTCGGGCATGCGCCACCACGCCTGGCTAATTTTTGTATTTGTTGTAGAGACGGAGTTTTGCTATGTTGCCCAGCCTGGTCTTGAACTCCTGGCTTCAGGCAACCCTGCTGCCTTGGCCTCCCAAAGTACTGGGATTATAGGAGGGAGCCACAGCACTCGGCCATGTAAGATTTTTTTTTTTTCAAATCTGCCATCAAATTTGTTGCCTAGGACCATTCTAAAGTGGCTAGTTATGATTTCTATGTTACAGAATTTAGAAACCAGTCTCAAGAAGGCTAAACAATTTTTATAAGTGCACAAGTTCATGCTAATAAACTATGATGTAGGTCTGATAAAAAAAAAAGATCCAAAAAGTCTGAGCAATATAATATTTAAAGGATATATTACTTCTTTATTCTTGTAACAAACGACATAAAAATAAAATGGAGGTTATATGTGATAGATAATTTTATAACTATATATAAGATATAATACTAAACAAATATAATACTACTAATTATGATATAATATAATAAATGTGAAAACATTGAAATTGTTGCTTTTTAAAGTATTAACTCACCTAAGTATACATTTTTTTCTTTCAATAATGAATTTATCTCTTAACTTTCTTATTTATGTAAAACAAATACATTTAAGTTCTCTTTGCATAACAAAGCCATCCAATTCCAGTGGACTTTTTACTCCAATGTTTTATTTGTGGCAATAGCTAAAATTTATTACAAGTTTATCTGTGTGACAGGCTTAGTGATTATTATTTTATGTGCAGCATTATACTTTATCTTTAGACAAACCTTACAAAGTACCTTTCATGCTGGCATAGTTGAAAGAATTGGCAAATGGCTAAGAGTGTGATCTCTGCATCCAAACTACATGGCCCTGCTCCAATATCTATTTTTTTTTTTTTTTTGTTTGATCTTGGGCAATTTATGTCACCTCTCTGGCCTCTGTTTCCTCATCTGTGAAAAGACAATAATAATTAAACTTAACTCATAAGGTTGTTTTGAATATTTTAATAGTACCTTCCAAAGAATTTCCCTCGGTGAATGTCAACTGTGAATGTCATTTTAGATATGAGAAGAGGCTGAGGTTTAGGGGAGATGAGTTGCTGAAAGGAGATTTTGCTAGCTATTGTAATTAATTCATATTTGAGACATTCCTTATTATAAATGCTCCCTCTGACCTTACAGGCCTTGATATCTGGCTCATTTGATGCTGACCTTTTCATTCTCACTAATAAGGGCTGGTGTCCCTGTGTTTTATTCTGCCACTTAATTTTCTGACTGTGGTGACACTACTAGCCTCACTGCACTCCTTGACTTACCCTACAGGCCATTAATAGCTACCATACCAACAATCTCAACATTAATTGTGTAAATCCTGTGGGCAAGGTAATGTAGTAAGTACTTTATATATTTTTATTTTTTAACATTAAAATTAACACTATAGGTTTGATATTAATATTATATCTGTTTGAAAGATGTGTAATATGAGTTACAAGGTGTTTATTAACTTGCCATAGGTCACACCACTTCTAAATTCCAGCTGGGATTTGAACTCAAATCTGAATCCTGAGACAAACATCTTAGCCTCTGTGTTAAGACCTACTCTAGAACACCTTTTTGGTGAAGAAATTCTATATGAGAACTTGTGAATTAATAAAGTCTACTGAATTTTAGAATGCTTTATTGGTAGGAAAACCGTATGAGAACTTGCAAATCTGTAACATCTACTGCATTTTTGATTACTTGTTTGGTTTCATACTGTTTATATAATATTATCATCAATGTCAAAATAGAAAGCATGCTATCAGGAAGCAAAGGGCATCAGCATTCCTGGGAAGTGCTGAAGAGCATAGCACAAATAACTATGCTAAATCTGCACAACATGAAAATAATAACTTAGCTAATGAGAAACATGAAGCCAAGATACAATATAGAATAAATGAGTTTAGAGAAAAGTTAGAAAAATGCATTCCTACGATGCTTTTTGAATTTTGGTTAGATTTGAAGGGTTGATGCAGCATTCAGGAGGATACTCCTTTGCTGGATACTCCTTCTTTGCGGTTAGTATGCAGCGGTTTTAAAATTATTAGTTTTCTTTACTGATGCTACTAATTTGGTTACATTTCTTGGCTTGTTAGCTGAAGTACCTTTCTAGAGAATAACTCTTTTTGAGAGCAATAAACCTAATTAAAATAACTAGGTTCTACTCCTGGCTCTGATATTTTCCAGCATTTGATCTTGTACTAAATAGATAATCTTTGGGCCATTATTGTATTTCCTGTAAAATAATACAATTAGAAAATAAAATAAAATATAAATACAATTGAAAGTGGTGATCAAGGTACCTAAATTGTCAAGGTATATCAGGTATTCTCTTACTAAAGAATTCTTTAAAATAAACAATTTTCTATGGATATATGTCCCTTTGTTTTGCCCTCCAGCATTCATCCAGCCTTCTTTTGATATTTTGGTTTCTCCTCTGTAGGCTACCATCCTACACTCAGTTCCTTTAATTTCAATAGGTACAGGGATATGTTATAGGTTAATTTTGGCTAATTTTAATATTATGTTATCTGACCCCAATTATTGATTCAGGTAACATCAAAATTAATAAGATTCATTGCTTTTTACATTTATATATAAGATGAAGGACTGGAAAGAAGGCAGAGATCTCAAAGATTAGGAGACACTTCTGGTTGTAAGAACCAGAAGTGGGACTTATGCAATTAACTTGGCAATTTTCCTCCCTCTACCGCCCAGTATTTATTTTTAAATTTCTATTCACTCTAGAGTTAG
Source organism: Homo sapiens (assembly GCF_000001405.40). NCBI lineage: Eukaryota > Metazoa > Chordata > Mammalia > Primates > Hominidae > Homo > Homo sapiens. Next base: position 62,660,938 of record NC_000004.12, read on the forward strand.
GATAATTGGAAATTGTAGTAGCTATCTAAAAGCTTACTTCACAAATGTTGGAGGTGAGAAATCAGAAGTTAAGCAAATAATAAGAGCTAACATTTATTGGGTACTTATAATATGCCAAGCACTCTTCTGAACATATTACACATATTAATTTACTGTATTTCAAAACAATAAAGTAATTTGGTTTTTCTACTCCCACCAGGTGGAAATAATATATCCATTTATTAGCCTTGGCTTTTTTAACCACAAGACTAAATAAGCTGTATGAAGTCACATATTGGTCAAAAAGACGTGGCTTATTGAGGAACAACTTTCTGTTGTAAGAGTGAATGCTGAATGTGATACATTCAAAGAAAATAAAGGATGAAAAAGAAATGTCAGTTGTGTTCAGAATGTGAAGATTTATTTCCCAAATTAAGGAGTTTAGATTTCATTACCTGAGAACAAGAAAAGTGACATACATTTTAAGCAGTTTCCTAACAGGGTGAGGGTGGTGGTGGAAGGGAAGAGCTTACTGTGAGAAGAGTGCAGTAATGGATTGGATTGGCTGCTTCAGATTTGTCCCCTGTATAATGGAGTTTATAGCTTTTACCACCTTACTGTTAGTTTTAAAAGTTAAGAAAAGGAAAACTTTTCAATCCCTATAGTGCTATAAAATATATATTATTGATTACTACTAAAATGAAGAATTTAGAAAGCCTTGAGACCTACATCTGTCTTGCAGTTGTCAATAATAGTTAAACTAAACTTTGCTTATGATTGAAAAGTATTATAAAGATAAAACTACTTTCTTCCATTACCCATAATGGGGAAACTGAACAAAGATTTATAAAAAGGCATAAGAGCTTATAGTTGATACTTTTTTACATTCTCTTAAGAAAGGAAAACAAAACTGTTAGGAGAATTGGTTTTACAAACCTAGGTAGAAAAAGTGAGTGGGTAAAAAGAGATATACGTATTGATAAGATAAATGACTGGGACGGTGATCAATTTACCTCCCAGTCGCGCAAGCCTCCTTTGCCAGCTGAGATGATGTTAAGCTTTGCCAGTAGGGTGCCCTGAAGAGATGCTGGAGCAGGAGGCTCTCTCTTACTGGTCCTGCTGTGTTCTTCTCAACTTGGGGCTTTGGTAGCACCTGGCTCTGCAGTTTAAGGCAACCAGCAGCACTCAGCAGTCAATAGCTTTCCCTAGCACACTTATGATTTGATTCACAGCAAATTCTGAAAAGTGGCATATCCCTGGATGTGGCTTTTTCTGGCTCACCTGAGGGCAGATTTCAGGCAAGTTCCCAAGGGAAGATTTCTAGCAAGTTTCACTGGCACATCACTACAGTAACTTCTCTGCCATTCAGCTAGTCTTGGCCATGCCCTCTCCAAGGAGGTCTGAATTTCAGCCCTTGGTGGAGGTAGAGGGCAGGCAGGGAGGAGAGTCTACCTGGGATGCTCTATCTCAGGCATTGGAGTTGTAACTATTATGTATTATATCTACTATTATATTTTTAATTATTCCTGCAGTTCTTTTATTATTCAGAATTATCTTTATTTCTTACTAGGCATCTCCTTGTTACTCCAATACCCTGTTTTAATTAATCATATTTAATTGATATAGTAACTAAATAAAAGGATTTTTACTAAAGAGATAAATAATATATAGTTCTTTGGAATCTCTGACTACTGTGAAAGTTCCAAGCTAGTTTTTACCTAATGTTTCATTTGTGAATACTGATTTTTTAAAGAAGTAAAGTTCAAATTTAAAATGCTGCTTTATACTTACATGTTCAATTTTTAAAATTTGTATTACAAAATCTATGTTACAGTATAACTAACTCATTTATGGAACTAGTGTACATAAAATCTGAACTAAAAAGAACTAAGCAATCATATCCATACCTTTTAACTTCAATTGTATTAAATGTACAGAAAAGCCCTGCTCCAAATTTTGCTGATTGGCTTTTCTTTCCAGCTTTGTGGTATAAACTAACAAATAAAAATGGCATATAATTAAGGTGTACAGTGTTATGTTTTGCCATACAAACACATTGTGAAATTATCACCACATCAAGCTAATTAGCATATCCATCACTCACATAATTACCTTTGTGTATGTGTAGGGAGAATGTTTAAAAATGAAATTTGCTTGAAATTTCAAATTTGAAGTTTCAATGTACAAATTTCAAGTGTACAATGCATTATAACTAACTATGGCCACCATGCTGTAATTAGATCTCCGGAACATATTTATCCTAACTGAAACTTTGTAACCTTGGACCAATGTGTACCCATTTTCCTCACTCTCCAGACCCTGACAACAACCCTTCTACTCTCTGCCTGTATGAGTTTGACTGTTTTACATTCCACCTCTAGATGAGATCATTCTTTTTTAGAGTCTGGCTTATTTCATTTAATGTAACATCCTCCAGGTTCATCCATGTTCTTGCAAATGGCAAGATTTCCTTTTTTTAAAGAGGCTGAAAACATTACTTTATATATATATATATATATATATATATATATATATATATATATATATAATTTTAAAATTTTTATTTGTCACATTTTCTTTATTCTTTCATCCATCAAAAGATACTTAGGTTGTTTTCATATCTTAGCTATTATGAATAATGCTGCAATATACATATCATTTGACATATTGATTTCATTTCCTCTGAATATACTCAGAAGTGGAATTGATGACTCATTATAGTTCGATTTTTAATTTTTTGAGGAAATTACATACTTTTTTTTATAATGGCTGTACCAATTTACATTCTCACCAATAGTATATTAGTGTTCCCTTTTTTCAGATTTTTGCCAACAGTTATCTTTTATCTTTTTTGATAATAGCTATGGTTAATGGTGTTAGGTTAATATCTCATTGTGGTTTTGACTTGCATTCCTTTGATGATTAGTGTTGTTGAACATTTTTTCATATACCTGTTAGCTATTTGTATGTCTTCTTTGGAAAAATATCTATTCAGGACCTTTGCCCTTTTTAAATTGGGTGGTTTCTTGCTATTGAATTGCTTGTGTTCCTGTATTGGACATTAACAACTTATCAGATTTGTGGCTTGCAAATATTTTCTTCTGTTCCATAGGTTGTCTCTTCAGTCTGTCAGTTATTTCTTTTGCTGTGCAGAGCTTTTTAATTGATGGGATTAAACCTGTCTCTTATTGCTATTGTTGTCTCTGCTTTGGTGTCATATCCAAAAAAATCATATCCCACACCAATGTAAGAAAGCTTTGCCCCTGTGTTTTCTTGTACTACTTTTATACTTTCAGGTCTTACATTTAAGTCTTTAATCATTTTTAGTTGATTCTTACATATGGTGTAAATAGGGTCAATATTTATTTTTTTGCATATGGATAGTCAATTTTCCCAAAACCATTTATTGAAGAGACAACCCTTTCCTCATTGTTTGCTTTTGGCATTCTTGTCAAAGATCAGTTGTCCATAAATATGTGGCTATATTTCTGGGATCTCTCTTTTGTTCCCTTGGTCTACATGTCTGTTTTTAATGGGAGTATCATACTGTTTCTATTACTGTAATTTTGATGTATATTTTGAAATCAAATAGTATGATGCTGCTAGCTCCATTCTTTATGCTTGAGAGTGCTTTGGCTATTTAGGGTCTTTTCTAGTTCCATACAAATTTTAGGTTTATTTTTATGCTTCTGTAAAAAGAGGCCATTGGAATTTTAGTAGAGATTGCATTGAATCTTTAGATCTCTTTGGATAGTATTGACATATTAATGATTCTAATTTCTTGAATCTATGAACATGAGATATCTTTCCGTTCATGTGTGTATTCAACAAATTCATTATTATTATTATTATTATTATTATTATTATTATTGAGACAGAGTCTCAATCTGTCACGCAGGCTGGAGTGCACGATTTCGGTTTACTGCAACCTCTGCCTCCCGGCTTCAAGTGATTCTCTTGCCTCAGGCTCCCAAGTAGCTGGGATTATAGGCACGTGCCACCACGCCTGGCTAATTTTTGTATTTTTAGTAGAGACAGGATTTTACCATGTTGGCCAGGCTGGTCTCGAGCCCCTGACCTCAGGTGATCTGCCCACCTCAGCCTCCCAAAGTGCTGGGATTACAGGTGTGAGCCACCGCACCCAGTTCCCTTTCATCCATATTTTATAGTTTTCAGTATATAAATGTTTCACCTCCATGGTTAAATTTATTTTTTTTCATGCTTTTGTAGATGAATTGTTTTCTTAAATTCTTTTTCAAATGGTTTCTTGTTAGTGTATAAAAATGCATCTAATTTTTATAGGTTGATTTTGTATCCTGACATTTTACTAAATTCATTTATTAGTTCTGACAGTTTTTTGGTGGAGTTTTTAAGATTTTCTACGTAAGATTACATTATCTGCAAAAAGAGACAATTTTACTTCTTTCTTTTTAACTTGGATGCCTTTTTTATTTTCTAACTACTCTGGCTAGGACTTCTAATACTATGTTGAATAGAAGTGTCAAGAGTGGGCATTCTTTTCATGCTCCTGATCTCAGGAAAAGTTTTCAGTTTTTCACTATTCAATATGATGTTAGTTGTGGGCCTGTCATATAATAAAGCTGTGGACATTATTATTTTAGAGTTTACTCCTTCTATAACCAATTTGTGGAAGATTTTATCATAAAAAGATGTTGAATTTGTCAGATGCTTTTTTTTGCATCAGTGAGATAATCATGCGATTTTTATTCTTCATTCTTTTTTGTGGTGTATCATATTTATTAATTTGTGTATGTTGAAACATCTCTGTATCCTAGGGATAAATCCCACTTGACCATGGTTACTGATTGAATTTTAAATACTTTGTTAAAGATAAGTTAACCTAATGTAGTTTCAACATATATTAAGTACCAGCCCAAGGTACTTCAATAGAGTTTTATATATGCCATTCCAAAAAGTGAGGGGTTTCATCTCAGATTACTCTTTTTGGCACTATAGCTCTTTTTCATTTAGTGCTTTGTTTTATTTTACTTGCTCATTATTTTATTATGATAGATGGGCAAGGAATAAAGCCTAGAAAAAGTTTTTCTTTTCTTTTTTTCTCTTTTATGTCCATTTATTGTTGCCTCTTAGAGATATGATTTGAATTGTTTTAGTAATTTTCTTAAGCAGATAAATTCAATTACTTGAAATAGTTGCTATTCAAATTGTTAAGACGGTGACAAAGTGACAGGATATCACCTCTACAAAACAGGACAGTAACTACCTCAAACTCAATATTAATAAAGGGATGCTACCAAGCCAATGACTACCATCCTACCAATGGATTGATAGCATTCTTATATTTACCATCAGAATTGGCATCAAAACTACAATAGTTAACATTTAGTTTCCTGTGCACCGTAATTGTGTTAAAGGCTTTGAAATGAAATAACTTACTGAATTTTGTTTTCATTTTTATTTATTTTTTTTACTGTAAGTTCTAGGATACATGCACAGAACATGCAAGCTTGTTACATAGGTATACATGCGCAGTGGCGGTTTGCTGCACCTGTCAACCCATCACCTAGGTTTTAAGCCCCACATGCACTAGCTATTTGTCCTGATGCTCTCCCTCCCCTCACTTCCCAACCCCCGACATGCCGTGGTATGTGCTATTCCCCTCCCTGTGCCCATGTGTTCTCATTGTTCAACTCCCACTTATGAGTGTTTGGTTTTCTGTTCCTAGATTCAATGCTATTCCCATCAAACTACCATTGACATTCTGCACAGAATTGGAACACAAAAATACTTTAAAATTCATATGGAACCAAAAAAGAGCCCAAATAGCCAAGCCAATCTAAGCAAAAAAGAACAAAGCTGGAAACATCATGCTACCTGACCTCAAACTATAATACAAAGCTACAGAAATCAATACAACATGGTACTGGTACCAAAACAGACATATAGACCAATGGAACAGAATAGAGACCTCAGAAATAAGGCCACACATCTACAACCATCTGATCTTCCACAAACCTGACAAAAACAAGCAATGGGGAAAGGGTCCCCTGTTTAACGAGTGGTGCTGGGAAAACTGGCTAGCCATATGCAGAAAACTGAAACTGGACCCCTTCCTTACACAATATACAAAAATTAACTGAATATGGGTTAAAGACGTAAATGTAAAACACCAAACCATAAAATCCCTAGACGAAAACCTAGGCGATTCCATCAGGACACAGGCATGGGCAAAGATTTTATGATGAAATCACCAAAAGCAATGACGACAAAAGCTAAAGTTGACAAATGGGATCTAGTTAAACTAAAGAGCTTCTGCACAGCAAAAGAAACTATCATCAGAGTGAATAGGCAACCTACAGAATGGGAGAAAATTTTTGCAATTTACCCATCCGACAAAGGTCTAATATCCAGAATTTACAAGGAACTTAACAAAATTTACAAGAAACAAACAACCCCCGCAAAAGGTGGGCAAAGGACATGAACAGACATTTCTCAAAAGAAGACATTTATATGGCCAAGAAACACACGAAAAGAAGCTCAACATAACTCATCATTAGAGAAATGCAAATCAAAACCATAATGAGATGCCATCTCATGTCAGTCAGAATGGCAATTATTAAAATGTCAAGAAACAACAGATGTTGGCAAGGATGTGGAGAAATAGGAATGCTTTTACACTGCTGGTGGGAATGTAAATTAGTTCAACCATTGTGGAAGACAGTGTGGTGATTCCTCAAGAATCTAGAACCAGAAATGTCACTTGACCCAGCAATCCCATAAGTGACTATATAACCAAACGAATATAAATCATTCTATTATAAAGATACATGCACACCTATGTTTATTGCAGCACTATTCACAATAGAAAAGACATGGAGCCAACCCAAATGCCCATCAATGATAGACTGGATGAAGAAAATGTGGTACATATACACAATAGAATACTATGCAGCCATAAAAAGGAATGAGATCATGTCCTTTTCAGGGACATGGATAAAGCTGGAAGCCATCATCCTCAGTATAAGTTTTACTTTGATTAGAAGAGGAAGAATGAATAGGGCCATCCTATAAATTTGGGGGATAGGAGAAAGAAAATGAGGCACTGATTCTAAGTGGGACAGTCTCATGATTGACTTTATCATAAGTGAACAACTTTTTGAAAATCTGTTATTTCTTTGCAGATACTGAAATAATGTGAAAATTAAATATTCAACAGCAGTGATTTAACATATCTTATATTTAATTACAAAATATCAGGGATCATGCAGAAAATTTATATGTAAATAAAAAGAAACAGAAATTGATACTTGTTTTCATCACAATACTGACCACTTTAACAGTCTATAATGCCTTTTTATTTACATGAATATTCCTTTTTTAATTATCAGCATGAGCTTGAAAATGCTATGTAGTTGCATGCTATGTACAATTGTAAATTACAGTCATTCTAATATGTTTAAAGGTTAGAAGCTAGATATATTAAATATCTTCAGAATCTTGAGTATGAACTATTTAAACATACTTACTAATTTATTAAATATAAATGTCATACTTCCTTTTTATAATAATTGTTTAAAATTATGACTTTCAAAAGCATTATCTGTCCTGATGCAATTCTAGTAAAATAAACATAAATAAAAATATATTAATAAATGTGGACATGTTAACATATAATTGCTGAAAGCTACAGTAGAATAAATGAGTTCAAATTCATTGCTGTCTGACAACTACATTCTTCACATTTAACCTGATATAAAGAAAGAACAAATGATATTAACTTTCCATATTTCGGTTTTAGCAATGTACATGAAAAAAAACCTAAGCATAGTTTTTCTATTTATTGTGTTGTTGTGTTTTTTAAAATAATAATTGTATATGCAGTTATTTTTGGCTATAAATGAAATAATCCAAAATGTTTTTATAGACTCTTATTTATTTCAAAGTATTTTCTTACTGAATAATTGCAATGTAATGACCTGCAATTGCATTAAGCAATTAGAATGAATGGGAAAGAACTGAGTGGAAACAACATGAATCCATTGTCTGTATTGAATAGAGACAGGTCAAAAGAGAATTCTTAACTCAAAGCACTTATTTATATTTATATTCCTATATAAAATGTTTATTTCTGAATTTTCTTAGTAAAACTAAATGTGAGAGTAGCTTTATACTTAAATATTATCCCCAGATTTCCTGGGAAGATAAATGTTTGTTCTATAGTAATTCCTTACAGGGAGATTATAATATCCCCATCCAAGTGACGCTGTTGGTATAATAAGATAGATTGAGGATAAAGTCATGGAGATACCTATGAATCTAGAAATTGAGCCTACTCTCAGAGACCAACTCCAAACAACTCTTGATCAGATATAATTTAGTTCTGGTGTATCATTCAGATAGGGTAGGGTGACTGAAAGAGGTCAGAAGAATATTCACTTACATCTTAGTGAAAGAGTGAGGGAGAAATATTTTAAATTCTATTGTTTTTCATATTTAAAATGGTGAAAAAAATACTACTTTTTAAAACTGTCATGTTGTAAAATATGGTGGATATCTTATCCCAGTTTCAGTGCTGATAAAATTTCCTTATTAAATCCTCCACATTCCGTCAGCCCAACATATTAGTTTCACATTTGTTTCTAATGACACAGTGTCTCCCGGGGTCTTCTATGAATATTTTAGTGTTTAAGCAACCCTTGAATGTTACCCTAAAACCATCTTATTCACCACCTTACGTGGAAATACTTAGAAATTATTTTCAGTATATGTTATTATGAACTTTTACATTGCTTGATAAACTTGATAATGGTATTTAGCTACAGAAGTATTGGGTGACTAATATATATAGTACAGAAGTATTTGGTGTATATATATATATACACACATGCGCGTGCATGCATGCACACATCACAGGACTGTACTGATCACATTCAAGTTGTTTACTAGTGTGAAAAAGTGATATTGTCCTTCTCACATCTTGTTTTTTCTGGAGTCACATAGATATTACAAGACCTAGCAAGTATGTAGTCACTATTTTTGGTTCGTGATCTTCATCTGTAATATTGGAAATATAATAATTATCATTAGGCTGTATTTTCATTTTTAGTCTTTCTCACAGAAAATACAAGACTGAGTTTACTTGAGTATTCAGGATGTTTCAGATTATAATGTGAATTTTTTAGTGCTTTAAAAATTCATTAGACATTCTCCAAAGCTCTCATTTTCTATTCTCAAATGTCAAAAGACAACATTAAATTCAAGAAACATTTATTGGTGACTATGACTTGGTATGTCTTACAGGGATAAAACATCCTAAATTATGGCATGTTTTACAGGAATGTCGTTACATTCGAATTATTATTATTACATGGTGAATAAGCTGTAATCTTCATTCTTATAGACAGTAAATACAAGGGTAAATGTATTTTGACTTTGTTTTATTTTGTCAGATATTAAAAAATCAATTATTTGCAGAAATATGCTTTTAAATTTATAAAACTTAGTAAAACCTTTCAAACTTCTTTTAAGTTGTGGGCATTTACAAAATAGATTCTTTTTACTCTGACATGGTCATATGGCATTTTTCTTATCCAGATGGTAATATTAAAGTTATATTTAGTGTAAATTACCATACTTTTATTTTTCATATGTGTCTTTCATAGTTGGATTTCAAATCTACCAAAATATTCAATAAAATACACAGGGCTAAGTGCTTTTCTTAGCTCTTCCAAATTCTTTAGTTATTACATGCATAGTAATAACCACCTTGAAGTGGCTCATTCAGTAGAGCCAGCTGCTAGGGTCATGTCCTAAATATAGCTTAAACAGCAGGCTCCGATCTGATGAAACCTGACCGGAAATCATGGAGCAAACAGAAGCTCAGCAGTTGCTCATATTTAAGATTCAGCAGGCACACAAAGCTGAAAGTACCTCTTCTGCTTTGACATTATCTATAGGTCCAATCCTCAATATGCTGATTCTATCATAATACAGAAAATTGGTTAATTCCCTCTGGAAATTAACAATAAGAAAGTCTCTCTTTGAATTGCTCTTGCTTCTTCTTTTGATTGGTTGATGCTATCTTTCCTTTACCTGAGGATAAAAGAAACATTTTAAAAGAAGTGTATCCATTTATAAAACAGCTGCACATTTTCTGTATGTTTTCAATGACATCTCATAACATGAGAACTGATATGTGCAAAAATAAGTGAGGTAGGTATACTCCGTATATAATCAGAATATTCTTAAAGAATGTATGATTTTATGAAGATTTTTGAGTAGTTCTTCTAGGCATTGCTTTTTAAATAATACGTAGTGTTTGGCGTTTTGACTCAAAGACATGTTTAAGAGCAGGACACGGACTTCCAAATGTTCTGAACAATTATCTCCTGTTCTCAGATATATTGATTCATCCCTCTTTACAAACACAGACACACACATCTGCTATAACACACACTCTAATACTACTCTATCAGAGTGGCAA